>NC_000017.11:63185980-64435980 GCF_000001405.40 Homo sapiens | reverse complement strand
ACAGTTCCACATGGCTGGAAAGGCCTCACAATCATGATGGAAGGCAAGGAGCTGCAAGTCACGTCTTACATGAATGGCAGCAGGCAAAGAGAGAGCTTGTGCAGGGAAACTCCCCCTTATAAAACTATCAGCTTTCATGAGACTTATTCACTATCATGAGAACAGCATGGGAAAGGCCTGCCCCCATGATTCAATTCCCTCTCACCAGGTCCCTCCCACAATGTGTGGGAATTCAAGATGAGATTTGGGTGGGGACACAGCCAAACCATATCAAGGTATACCATAGTTTTTGATACACAATTTTTTCTCTCTCTCATCTTCCATTTTTATTAAATTAAAACAAATCATGATAGGACTGATTTGTTTGCAAAACAGGCTTTAATCTTATGATACTTGGCATATTATCGGCATAATGTGCAGCAAGAATAATTATTTGCTATATAGGCTTCTTTTAAATTTGGCTTTGATTGCCAGGCACGGTGGCTCATGCCTGTAATCCCAGCACTTTGGGAGGCTGAGGCAGGCAGATCACCTTAGGTCAGGAGTTCAAGACCAGCCTGACCAACATGGAGAAACCCTGTCTCTACTAAAAATACAAAATTAGCTGGGCGTGGTGGTGCATGCTTGTAATCCCAGCTACTCAGGAAGCTGAGGCAGGAGAGTCACTTGAACCCAGGAGGCGGAGGTTGCAGTGAGCAGATATCACACCATTGCACTCAAGCCTGGGCAACAAGAGCAAAACTCCATCTCAATAATAATAATAATCATAATAGAAAAATAAAATTGGCTTTGATGTAACTTTGTTCTGTAAGGACTCTTAGATTAGAGTTTTTAAGGCCTTGAGCCCAGCCACTGATTAATCTGTGCCTGCAAATACCTATATGAGTTGGTAAATTTCTCTCTTCTTGAGGTCCCAAGATAACTTGAGGCTTCTGGGCCTGTCAGAAAGTGACATTCTTTACTTGCCACAGGTCAGAAACCCTGTACAGGGATTGTGTAGACAAGGTATGATGGCAGTTTTCCTAAGGGGCTTTTATTGGCTTGAAATGTCAACTTTGATTCCTTAAAGCAGTCTGTTTGTATTTGAAAGCACGCCAGATAAAATAACCTTATACAAAAGAAAAACAGATTCTTATTGCACTTATGCAAATAGCTATATTGCCATAAGTTAAGAATACTAGGCCAGATGTGGTGGCTCACACCTGCAATCCCAGCACTTTGGGAGGCTGATGTGGGAGGACCACTAGTGCCCCGGAGTTTGAGACCACCTTGGCCAACATAGTGAGACCTCATCTCTACAAAAAAAAAAAAAAAAATTAGCTGGGCGTGGTGACACACAATTGTAGCCCCAGATACTTGGGAGGCTGAGGTGAGTGGATCACTTGAGCCTGTGAGGCTGAGGCTGTAGTGACCTGTGATGATTGTGATCATGCCACTGAACTTCAGCCTGGATGAGAGAGAAAGGCCCTGGCCAAACAAACAAACAAACAAAAACCCACCAAACAAACAAACAAAAAACACTCATGAATACTCACAAATAGTTTCCAGATTCTGGAAAAATCAGGTAGAGAGAAAGAAATATGCTCCAAATTTTGCTCGTAGGAGTATACTTTACTCAATTGTTAAAAGCTGTAAATAATTCAAAAGAAGAGTTTTCTTGACTCTGAAAAACAAAACAGAAAGGATCAGCAATGTTTGAAGCAAAAAGTTGTAAGAAGATTATTTTGGTCTTTTTTTAATTTAGTGTATGCAATTAATTCCTGTTTTGCTTGATATTTATGAACACATTAGTTTTCCAAGAGAGTCTTGGAAATTTCTCCCCTCTACTTTAATGGCACACTTTCAAAACTTAGCAGAGACTTGGATTTAAGAGTCAGAGTCCTATAGCTAATTATAAAACATCTTTTGAACAGGATCAAAACAAGACAGTAATTGTCTGTGAATGACAACAGGTCTTAAGGGAGCCATATTCAAAGACACAATTGACAAGGAAATTTGGTCACTTCTGTGGTATACAACAATTTTACCTAAAAATTATTATTACTGATAACTTACACTAACTCATATCAGAACTATAGGAGTTTCCCATAATTTTGCACTACGTATCAATAACATACTTATACAAATAAATCCCAAAGAAAGCCAAACACCATTTCATATTTGACAATGCTTCCAGTATGATTTTAATATACCACATAGGTCAAATATGTTTTGTTTTGATTTTTTGAGACAGTCTCACTCTGTCCCCCAGGCTGGAGTGCAGTGACGCAGTCTCACTCTGTGCCCCAGGCTGGAATGCAGTACATAATCCCAGCTCATTGCAATCTTCACCTCCCATGTTCAAGTGATTCTTGTGCCTCAGCCTCCTGAGTATCTGGGACTATAAGCACACACCACCATGACTGGCTGTGTATTTTTATTTATTTTGTATTTTGTATTTTATTTATTTTGTATTTTTAGTAGAGATGGGGTTTTGCCATGTTGGCCAGGCTCGTCTCAAACTACTGGCCTGAAGCAATCCACTGGCCTTGGCCTCCCAAAGTGCTGGGATTATAGGCATGAGCCACTGTACCTGGTCCAAATATGTTAATTTTGGATTTTATAGGACTTAATAACTAAAAGGATTAATCAGGTCAAAAAAAGACATAATTTAGAATTTGATTTTGGAAAGTTTGTCAAGTATCAAAGATTTAAAATACTGATATTATAAAATAAAATCCTAGGTCAACATAAGTCATTTATTTAGCCAAAATGATAACTCAAAGATTTTAAAAAGACAAACACCTTTACTCATTGATAGAGGAAGAGGTAGGTTTCCAAAAAAAAAGTCTTTTTAATTTCCCTTCTTTTTCCTGTAGTTTATTCAAAAGGCAAGGAAAAATCTTTCATTATCTTTTAATATTACATGAAAATTTTGTTCAAGAGAGAAAGCCAAATTTCACCTTTGCATTAGTGTACTATTAATGTCAAACCCAATTCTTAATAAAAGCTATAGACAAATTTATTTAATTTCATTTAGTTTGACCATAAGGTAAGATTCTCGTAAACCTTTTATAACCCTTTACAATTTTCTGTTAAAATCAAATCAGCCAGACACGATGGTTCATGCCTGTAATCCCAGCACTTTGGGAGACTGAGGTGGGTGGATCACTTGAGATCAGGAGTTTGAGACCAGCCTGACCAACATGGTGAAACCCCGTCTCTACTAAAAATACAAAAATTAGCCGGACATGGTGGTACACACTTGTAATCCCAGCTGCTTGGGAGGCTGAGGCATGAGAATCGCTTGAACCTGGGCGATGGAGGTTGTAGTGAGCCCAGATTGTACCACTGTATTCCAGCCTGGGCAACAGAGCGAGACTCTGTGTCAAAAAAAGAAGGATCAAATCAATGCCCTAAGAAAACCCTGTTGTGGTTTTATTTCAATGTTCAATTTATGGAAAAATGGAATAATATCCCTTTAACTTTAGCCAATATATTCACACATAGAATTTGTTTTATAAGATTAATCTTTCACAACTTACTCAAAACTTTCGCTTTATCCTATCAAACTTAAAACAATCCTTTAAATCTCTAAATTAGGCCAAAAAACCTACATTCCCATATCTTCTTTACCAAAAACACATGCTACTTTCCTTACATACCTTGCATGTGAAACTGTTTCTCCAGTACTCTCAATTACATATGTTATAATATTACCTCTTAGTTACTTTTATTCTTGGTGAAAAACCTAGCAAGTAAGAGGTTCTATTTATGTACCAGGTGTGGCGCCTAGAACGCCTGCTGAGAAGTGCAGATGAGGTCTGACTCTTCTCAGCATAGCTAGGGGGCATAGCTAACTCCACTTCCTCAGCCCTTTGCTCCAAAGCAGGTAAGTTGAACAATTATCACATTAAATAGGCAATTTATGACATTTAACCATTTAGCAAATGTGTCAGAGGTGCTGGAACCAGAGCAACTATTCTTTTGAATAGGAGCTGGGTAAAATGAGGCTGAGACCTTCCGGACTGCATTCCCAGGTTAGGCATTCTTAGTCACAGAACAGGAGATCCGCACAAGATATAGGTCACAAAGACTCAAGTGATAAAATAGGATGCAATAAAGAAACCAATCAAAACTTGCCAAAACCAAGATGGCAAGTAAAGTGACCTCTGGAATCTCTTCATTGCTCATTATATGCTAATTATAATGGATTAGCATGCTAAAAGACACTCCCACCACTGCCGTGACAGTTTACAATACCATGGCAACGTCTGAAAGTTATATAGACTGCCTCAGTTTCAAGAATTTCTTCCCCTTTTCCAGAAAACTCATGAATAATCCACCCGTTGTTTAGCATACGATCAAGAAATAACCATAAAAACAGCCAACGCAGCACTCTGGGCTGCTATGCCTCTTGAATAACCATTCTTCTGTTTCTTTACTTCTCTAATAAGCTTGCCTTCACTGTACTCTGTGGACACACCCAGAATTCTTTCTTGTGTGAGATCCAAGAACCCTCTCTTGGGGTCTGTATTGGGACCCCTTTCCAGGAACATCTTCCTGGCAAACCACGAAAAGACATTACCAGAGAGACCCTTGGCCCAAAGGAAAATCATCTGTGCAGCACTAATTGGCCGACTTTGGGTAAGTAGTGGGTAGCTTTTATCCCGGTTAAGGGGCAAAAATTTGGGTTAGAAGCCCAACTTCGAAGGGTTAGATTCCCCCCTAAGACATAGGGGGTTAGAGGTCCCCCTCAGTAAGGCCCCTCTTAGTTAAAAATGGATCTAGTGGCCGGGCGCGGTGGCTCACGCCTGTAATCCCAGTACTTTGGGAGGCTGAGGCAGGTAGATCACTTGAGGTCAGGAGTTAGATACCAGCCTGGCCAACATCATGAAACCCCGTCTCTACTAAAAATACAAAAATTAGCTGGGCGTGGTGGTGTGCACCTGTAATCCCAGCTACTGGGAAAGCTGAGGTAGGAGAATCACTTGAACCCAGGAGGTGGAGGTTGCAGTGAGCCGAGATAGTGCTACTGCACTCCAGCCTTGGCGACAGAGTGAGACTGTCTCAAAAAAAAAAAAAAAAAATGGATTTGGCACTATGGGATGCTAACAGCTATTCTCTTTGGATTAATCCACCTTGCGTTCTTTGCTGATGACTGCGGGTTTTTTTCCTCCATCAAAGGGGAAAATTGAGAGCTGACAGGACTCCTGGAAAAGATCCCTTCGTTACTGACAAGCAGTTGCCTGAACTTTTGTTTCAGTGTTGCTGTGATGGTGGATGGTTCTATGGCCTCCTGGTGCTTCTCATCTCCCTTTCTCTGCTACAGGCAATGCTTTTCTCCCTCCAGTTTCCTCTGTCTGTCTTCCTTTCCTTTCCCTTTTCTATCTTTTCTGTCACTCAGGGTGACTGTCCACTCTTCCATCTTGCCCAGAGACCACATATTGAAACTCCTGGTTTGGAGGTCCTTCCACCCCACTTTGAGTAGATCAAAGATGACAGGGGCCAACAGGGGCAATTTTGAGCCTTGCCAGGCTGATATTTGGTGCCCAGCGGGGTGGCTGTTTTGTCACATGTATTTTGCTCCAGCCAGAATGAAAAAACATTAATTCGATTTCTCCATGCAGCCTTTTGGGCAGCATCTTGCAAAATTGAGAGGCTTTTGCTTATGGTTCCATGAAACAGAAAAAGATGATTTTCTTTTGTCACATGGCTTGGCCCCCATAGCTATGACACAGCAAGCAGGGCCATCAAAGTCATACAGAGAAAGGGAACCTAGAAACTTGGCATGCTGGCAAAAGGGTAAGAATTTCTTACCAGTCAGAGACCAGGTGCAGTGACTCATGCCTGTAATCCAAGCACTTTGGGAGGCTGAGGTGGGAGGATCACCTGAGGTTGGGAGTTCGAGACCAGCCTGGGCAACATGGTGAAACCCCTATCTCTACCAAAAAAACCCACAAAAATTAGTTGGGTGTGGTGGTATATGCCTGCAGTCCCAGCTAATCGGAGGGCTGAGATGGGAGGATCACTTGGACCTGGGAGGTGGAGGTTGCAGTGAGCAGAGATCTTGCCACTGCACTCCAGGCTAGGTGGCAGAGAGATACCCTGTCTAAAAAAAAATAAAAATAAAAAATTTCTTACCAGTCAAGCTTCTGGCCTCTCTCTGTGTGCAAACTGGTTGAATAAATGGTTAAAAAAAATAGTGTCTGTCTCCTCTGCAAGGTTTTGATTAATAGGAAAAATGATTTGTGAGGCTAGTCTTAGGCTGTAGTGAATCTGGTGTACCTTGTGTCATGAATTTGTCTTTCTGTGTTGTTCTGTCATGAAGAGAGGGGTACCACAGGATAGAATGTGGACTTGGGACCCCTATAAGCCCACTATTCAAGCCGGCCCATCAGATTTCCTGTCTTGAATTTTCCTTTCTCAGAGCTACCTTTGGAGATTCCAGATCTTATAAAAACTGCTCACCACCTCTTTGAAAATACCTCCTATGCCCATGATTAAGTCGTAACTTTAGTTAAGGCTCATTGGTTTCACCTGGGAGAGCTTTTGGTCTCGGTATGTAATAACTTGGTGGAAAATATACTTTTAGGGATGGCTAATGGCAGCTATGGGGAATACTCAGTTCTTTCCATGTTTGGATCAGAGACTCATCTTCTTGGAAGCTGCATGCTTTCCTAGCCCTGTTCCTCAAAGGGCTCCAACCCGAAGCTAGCAATCCAGTTAAAAAACTTAAAAACTGGGCCAAGTGGCTCATGCCTGTAATCCCAGCACTTTGGGGGGCCGAGGTGGGTGGATCACTTGAGGACAGGAGTTCGAGACCAGCCTGGGAAACGTGGCAAAACCCCATCTCTACTAAAAATAAAAAAATTAGCTGGACGTGGTGGCGGGCGCCTGTAGTCCCAGCTACTCGGGAAGCTGAAGCACGAGAATTGCTTGAACCTGGGAGGTTGAGGCTGTAGTGAGCCAAGATCATGGCACTCCACTCCAGCCTAGGTGACGGAGTGAGACTCTGTCTTTAAAAAAAAAAAAAAAAAAAAAAAAAAAAAGCTCTTCTATCTGTGTATCTGTGTGCATATTTATATGTGTTGTGTATATAATGTTTATATAAAAGATCTCTAATTAATTGGTTTAAAGAAAAATAAGCACTTAAATATTTCTCAGGAAAGTAGAAATTTTAATGCCTTTTAGTTCCCATGACTTTAATCTTTGGGAGATAAAGATAGTTTTAAAGATTATTGGTAAAATAAAAATGTCTTCAAAATTTAAACATTTGGTCTAAGTTAGGAAGGTCAGATACTGTGTTTACTAAACTACATAAACTGCTTCTGTGGCTTTTGGAACCATTAGAGTCTAGGGAAGGCCTGGGGATATATGAGGGTAGCCATGCCCCCTGGCTATGCTAGAAAGAGTCACACCTTATCTGCACTACTGCCTGCTGTCCTAGGTGCCACACTCGGTACTTGTGAAGTTTTTCACCAAAAATAAAAGTTGCTAAGAGTTAACACTGGGACATATGCATACAAGGTGTGTAAGGAAAGTACAATGTTTTTGGCAAAAGATTACAAGATGGCATGGGAATGTGGGTTTTTTGGCCTAGTTTAGAGGGTTAAAGGATTGTTTTGGCCGGGCACAGCGGCTCACACCTATAAATCCCAACACTTTGAGAGGCTGAGGCAGGTTACTTGATCATTTGAGTCCAGGAGTTCGAGACCAGCCTGGGCAACATGGCAAAACCATATCTCTACTAAAAATACAAAAATTAGCCAAGCATGGTGGCGCAGGCCTATAATCCCAGCTACTCAGGAGGCTGAGGCACGAGAATCTCTTGAATCCAGGATACAGAATTTGCAGTGAGCCGAGATCACACCATTGTACTGCAGCCTGGGCAACGAAGCAATTCTGTCTCAAAAAGAGAAAAGAAAAAAGAAAAAAGAAAAAAGGACTGTAAAATTTAGATAGGATAAAGCTGAGGTTTCAGCAAGTTGTGGATGGTTGTGAAAGGTTAATCTCATAAAAGAAATTATATGTGTGAACATACTGGCTAAAGTTAAAGGGGGTATTATTCAGTTTTTTCAATAAATCGAACATTGAAATAAAAGCACAACAGTTTTCCTTGGAACTTCTCTTCTTTAAAAAAAGAAAAAGAAAAAGAAAAAATCTTGTAAAAGGTTTATGAGAATCTTACCTCATGGTGAAACATTAAGATTGTATAGATTTGTCTATAAGGTTTTATTAATAATTGGGTTTGACGTTAATAGTACATTAATGCAAAAGTAAAATTTAGCTTTCTCTCTTGAACAACATTTTCACATAATATTAAAAGACAATGAAAGATTTTTCTTCGCTTTTAAATACGCTACAGGAAAAAGAAGGGAGAAAAAAAAGACATTGTTTGGAAAGCTGTCTTCCCGCTATCAATGAGTAAAGGTTTTTGTCTTTTAAAAATCTTTGAGTCATCGATTTGACTAAATAAATGACTTGTGGTGTCCTGGGATTTTATTTTATAATATCAAGTGCTTTAAATCTTTGATATTTGACAAACTTTCCAAAATCAAATTCTAAATTATGTCTTTTTCTGACCTGATTAATCCTTTTAGATGTTAAGTTCCATAAGTTCAAAATGAAATATTTGGCTTATTTGGTATATTAAAATCATACAGAAAGCTGTCAAATATAAAACAGTGTTTGGCTTTCTTTGGATTTTATTTGTATGAATGTGTTATTGATGTATGCTCCAAAATTATGGGAAACTCATGTAATTCTGACATGACTTATTGTGTGCTATCAGTAATTATAACTGTTATGTAAAATTGTTGTATGCCACAGAAATAACCAAAACTCCTAGTCAATTGTGTCTTTAACCGTGGCTGCCCTAAGACTTTTTGTCATTGTTAACTAAAAGTATCTGAGACAGGTCTCAATCAATTTAGAAAGTTTATTTTGCCAAGGTTAAGGACATGCGCCTAGGAAACTGTGCCATTCTCCAAAGATTTTGAGGGCTTCAATATTTAAAAGGGGAAGGATGGATACTGGGGGAAGAGGAAAAATTTTTTAAATGTCTGGGTAGATAAGAGACAAATGGTTGCATCTTTCTGAGTCTTTGCTCAGCCTTTCACTGAATACACAGTTTACATAAGGCAGGGGAGTAGATGAATAGCCACTTATGCCATGTCTGGCTCAGTGAATCTGCATTTTTACATATGCTAATGTAAACAGTAGGGCAGAGGAAGCAGTCAGATATGCATCTGTCTCAGGTGAGCAGAGGGATGACTTTGAGTTCTACTCTTTGTCCTGCACCTGTGAAAATAAGCTATCAATTTACATTGCCAGGGTGAAATTCAACAGAATGTTCTAAGGTAAAGATCTTGAGACCCACAAGGAATTTACTTGTGGGCAAATTGTAAGGGAGGTATATGGCTTTTTTTTTTTTTAATCTTTGTAGCTATCTTATTAAGAATGGGAGGCAGGTTTGCCTGACGCAGTTCCCAGTGTGACTTTTCCATTTTGCTTAGTGATTTCAGAGTCCCGAGGTTTATTTTCCTTTCACATCATCTACAGACAATTGTCTTGTTTTGATCCTCTTCAAAAGGTGGCTTATAATCAGCTATAGAACTCTGACAAGGACTCTTAAATGCAAGTTTCTGATAACTTTGCAAAGTTTGCCATTAAAAAGGAGAGGAAAGAACTTCCAAGACTCTCTTGGAAAATGAGTCTATAAGCATTGAGCAAAACAGGAACTAACTGCATAGACTGAACTAATAAAAAGCCAAAAAATCTTTTTAGTTTTTTCTGCAATTTAAACTGACCCTGCTTATTCCTGGGAACCAACCAGTGATTTCTGGCAGCTGCTCAGGAAAAGAGAGGAATGAGTAATATAAAAATCTGGATTGGCTGGGCGCGGTGGCTCACACCTGTAATCCCAGCACTTTGGGAGGCCAAGGCGGGCAGATCACAAGGTCAGGAGATCGAGACCATCCCGGCTAACACAGTGAAACCCCGTCTTTACTAAAAATAGAAAAATTAGCCAGGGCGTGGTGGCGGGCCCCTGTAGTCCCAGGTACTCAGGAGGCTGAGGCAGGAGAATGGCCGGAACCCAGAAGGCGGAGCTTGCAGTGAGCCGAGATCCCGCCACTGCACTCCAGCCTGGGCGACAGAGCCAGACTCCATCTCAATTAAAAAAAAAAAAATCTGGATCAATATCTAATTCTGGGACAGATGGAATTGGCTAGCGACTCCATATCACCTTGGTTCCAACAGTTGTCTAGTTCATGGAAAGCCTCCTTACTTAGTTTACTTTAGATAATTTCTTAAATTGAACACCTGTTAATCTTCTAAATATCACCTTTTGTCAGAACTCAGAGTTATGATTGGCCTTGACCATACCAATGCTCTCTGATTAAGCTTCTCTCTACCCTGAATACTAGAGAAACTAATAGTTAGGCAGGAATGTCATCACCCTTATTTCTCCTAAAGAAATTACAGATGATGGATCCTCATCGCTCTACAACACTTAGGATGAAAAGTCTCCCTGTAAAAGGGAGGGGGAGTGTGTCAGAGGCACTGGAACAAGAATGACTCCATCTTGAGTAGGAGTTGGGTAAAGTGAGGCTGAGACCTGCTGGGCTGCATTCCTAGGAGGTTAGGCATTATCTAGAATCTAATGGGGCTTACTTAGAATCTAATGGCTCCAAAGCAGTTAAGATGAACAATTATCAAATTAAAGAAACGTCCTGGCCAACATGGTGAAACCCTGAGTCTACTAAAAAAATACAAAAATTAGCCAGGCGTAGTGGCACATACCTGTAGTTCCAGCTACTCAGGAGGCTGAGGCAGGAGAATTGCTTGAACCCAGGAAGTGGAGGCTGCAGTGAGCCGAGATCGAGCCACTGTACTCCAGCCTGGGTGACACAGCGAGACTCCAGTCTCAAAAAAAAAAAAAAAAAGAAAAAGTTAAAGCAGTTTATGATATTAAAGCATTTAGCAAATGTTTCAGAGGCATTCGAACCAGAGCAACTCCCTCTTGAATAGGGACTGGGTAAAATGAGGCTGAGACCTGCTGGGCTGCACTCCCAGAGAGACATTCTTAGTCACAGGACAGAAGATCAGCACAAGATACAGGTCACAAAGACCCAGCTGATAAAAAAGGATGTAGTAAGAAGCTGCCAAAACCCACCAAAACCAAGATGGTGAGGAAAGCTACCTCTGGCTGTCCTCACTGCTCATTATATGCTCATTATAATGCATTAGCATGCTAAAAGACACTCCCACCAGTGCCATGAGAGTTTACAAATGCCATGGCAATGTCTGGAAGTTAACCTATAGGGTCTATAAGGAAGAGAAATCCTCAGTTCCAGGAATTCCTTGCCCCTTTCCCAGAAAGCTCATGAGTAATCCATCCCTTGTTTAGCATATAATTAAGAAATTTCCAAAAATAGCCAACCAGCAGCCCTTGGGGCTGCACTGCCTATGGAGTAGCCATTGTTTTGTTTCTTTACTTTTCTAATAAAAACTTGCTTTCTCTTTACTCTGTGGACTCACCCTGGATTACCCCTTGTGTGAGATCCAAGAACCCTTTCTTGAGGTCTAGATTGAGACCCCTTTCCAATAACAAATCTATATTTTACTCAAACCAAGGAAAAGGGTGTGAATAACTGCAGTTAAGACTGTAACGGCTCAGTGGGTTCACCTTGCCCACTGCCTAGACAGACCGATTTATTAAGACAGGAGAATTGCAATAGAGAAAGGGTAATTCACACACGGCCGGCTCTGCGGGAGACCAGAGTTTTATTATTACTCAAATCAGTCTCCCCAAGCATTCAGGGAGCACAGTTTTTAAGGGTGGGTAGGGGGAAGCCAGGAAGCCAGGAGTGCTGATTGGTCAGGAATGAAATCCACAGGGAGTAGAAGTTGTCTTCTTGCACTGAGTTCCTGGGTGGTGGCCACAAGATCAGATGAGTCAGTTTATTGACCTGGGTGGTGCCAGCTGATCCATCAGGAGCAGGGTCTGCAAAATACCTCAAGCCCTGATCTTAGGAGCAGTTTAGGGAGGGTCAGAATCTTGCAGCCTCCAGCTGCATGACTCTTAAACCATAATTTCTAATCTTGTGGCTAATGTTAGTCCTAAAAAGGCAATCTAGTCCCCAGGCAAGAAGGAGGTCTGCTTTGGGAAAGGGCTGTTATTGTCTTTGTTTGTTTGTTTGTTTGTTGTTTTTGAGATGGAGTCTTCGCTCTGTTGCCCAGGCTGGAGTGCAGTGGCGGGATCTCAGCTCACTGCAACCTCCACCTCCCAGGTTCAAGCAATTGTCCTGTGTCAGCCTCCCGAGTAGCTGGGACTACAGGTGCCCGCCACCACACCCAGCTAATTTTTGTATTTTTAGTAGAGACAGGGTTTCACCATATTGGTCAGGCTGGTCTCGAACTCCTAACCTCAGGTGATCCACCAGCCTCAGCCTCCCAAAGTGCTGGGATTACAGGCGTAAGCTACCTCACCCAGCCACCACTGCACCCGACTTATCTTTGTTTTAAACTATAAACCAAGTTTCTCCCAAAGTTAGTTCAGCCTGCCTAGGAAAGGACACGGACAGATTGGAGGTTAGAAGCAAATGGAGTCAATTAAGTTAGATCTTTTTCACGGTCTCAGTCATAGTTTTGCAAAGGCAGTTTCAAGACGGCCAGGAAAATCTTACACATGGAGAGTTCTTTAAAGACGTAAGTTAAGGCCAGGTGCAGTGGCTCACGCCTGTAATCCCAGCACTTTGGGAGGCTGAGGTGGGCAGATCACCTGAGGTCAGGAGTTCGAGACCAGCCTGGCCCACATGGCAAAACCCCATCCCTAATTTTGTAAAAATACAAAAATTAGCCAGACATGGTGGTGCACACCTGTAATCCCAGCTACTCGGGAGGCTGAGGCAGGAGAATAGCTTGAACCCGGGAGGTGGAGTTTGCAGTGAGCCGAGATCATGCCATTGCACTCCAGCCTGGGCGACAGAACAAGACTCTGTCTCAGAAAAAAAAAAAAAAAAAAAAAAAAAAGACCTCAGTTAATTACTGGCTTTAGAGTGGAGCCTTTTAAGGAACAGGGCCAGGAAAGTATGCAGTTTCTAGGGACTAATAAGCAGGCTTGGATCCCCAAATAAAGGGAATCAGGCTATCCCTTATAGGAGTCTTATCTCTCAGTGGGGGTGGGTGGGTATGTTTCCATACCTTCTAGGTGGTCAAGAGCATGCTTCTCTGATCCAAACATGCAAAGAACTGAGTACTCCCCTATAACTGCCATTAGCCATCCCTTGAAGTATATTTCCTACCTAGTTATTACACATTAAGGCTAAAAGCTCTCTCATAATGTAATCTCTCATACCCTAAATGTAAAAAACATCAGGTAACACAATGCAAAACAGAGCAGAGCCTGACTTTTAACCAAATCTCTTATTACCACTCTAGCCAGGACAAATAGCTGATATTCCTGGCTTTTGGACTTGACCAAAGGTAACCTTCCAGGTGAAACGAATAAGACTTAACTAGGATTATGACTTAACCATGGATGTGCATTTTTTTGTTTTTTTTTTTTGTTTGTTTGTTTTGTTTTTTTTTGAGATGGAGTCTTGGTCTGTTGCCCAGGCGAGAGTGCAGTGGCACGCACAATCTCAGCTCACTGCAACCTCTGTCTCCTAGGCTCAAGCTATCCTCTTACGTCAGCCCCCCTAGTAGCTGGGATTACAGGCATGCGCAACCACGCCCAGCGAATTTTTGTATTTTTAGTAGAGATGGGGTTTCTTCATGTTGGCCAGGCTGGTCTCAAACTTCTGACCTCAGGGGATCCACCCGCCTCGGCCTCTTTTTAAAGTGCTGGGATTACAGGTGTGAGCCACTGTGTCCGGCATGTGTGGTATTTTCAAAGAGTGCAGTGGCACGCACGATCTCAGCTCACTGCAACCTCTGTCTCCCAGGCTCAAGCTATCCTCTTACGTCAGCCCCCCAGTAGCTGGGATTACAGGCACGTGCCACCATGCCCAGCTAATTTTTGTATTTTTAGTAGAGACAGGGTTTTCGTCATGTTGGCCAGGCTGGTCTCAAACTTCTGACCTTAGGGATCCACCTGCCTCGGCCTCCTTTTAAAGTGCTGGGATTACAGGCATGAGCCACTGTGCCTGGTGTGTGTGGTATTTTCAAAGAGGTGGTAAGCAGTTGTTACAAGATCTAGAATCGCCAAATGTAGCTCAGAGAAAGGAAAATTCAAGATGGGAAGTCAGAAGTTGTTCATGGTAGGGAAGATAATTAATAACTGGCAAAAGTCACACAGACAGCAAACCAGAAAGCACTTATTCCCTAAGCCGGGAATTGAACCGAGGCCACCACTGTGAAAAAAAAGATAAGGCCTTAGCCACTTAGCTAGGGTGCCGGGCAATTTCTAGTACTCTTCCCAGAAGGAGCCTAAAGCAGTCAATTTCGAGCTTGCAAAGGCTTTTAGCTGCTCAAGTTAATTTTTAGAGCTAAATATGATATGAACCTCCAAAATTCCCACCCTTCAGATGGCAGAAGCCAAGAGAAAGTACCCTGACATGGTCACAGGGTTAAAGGATCAAGCTCCCGCCTCACCTCCCCGAGTAGCTGGGATTACGGGTGCTTGCCACCATGCCCGGCTGATTTTTTTTTTTTTTTTTAATTTTAGTAGAGATGAGGTCTTGCTATATTTCCCAGGCTGGTCTTGAACTCCTGAGCTCAAGCGATCCTCCCACATCAGCCTCCCAAAATGCTGGGATTACAGGGGTACACCACCATGCCCAGCTGAAATTACCCTTTTAAACCAAAGCCAATAAGGATCTGGGTAGGCCCTTAGCTGCCAGCAGAAGTGACCTATCCTAAGAGATGATTTGTCAAGATTTTGTTAGTGGAGAGAAGACGATTCCAGAAAATCTGGGTGTTTACCACAGGCTGAGCACAAGGAAGGAAGGAAGGCTTTGGGTTTCCTTGTAGGGACAGGGGACAAGTAAGGGCTCTGGTGACTCTGTCTTGCTGTCTTGTATCCGGAATGGCCTGGGCTGCCGCCTGGGAGAATGCTGCACTCCCTAGGTCCCAAAGTGATGCCAGTGGACCTCCAGACCCCCTTCAGGGAAGGGGGTGCTGAGGATTCTGGGAAGACTACATCAGCTGACCTGAGTGAACTTGTTTCTTGTTTGTTTGTTTTGCTTGTTTGCTTGTTTGTTTGAGACAGGGTCTTGCTCTGTAGCCCAGGCTGGAGTGCAGTGGTGTGATCTTGGCTCACTGTAACCTCCATCTCCCAGGCTGAGGTGATCCTCCCACCTCAGCCTCCTGAGTAGATGAGCCTACAGGTGCGCACCACCACACCTGGCTAATTTTTTGTATTTATTGTAGAGTCAAGGTGTCACTGTATTGCTCAGGCTGGTCTTGAATTCCTGGGCTCACGTGATCCTTCCACACTAGCCTCCCAAAGTGCTGGGATTACAGGAGTGAGCCACTGCGCCTGGCCTCAACTTTTTAAATTTAATTTCAAGTGACTCAAAAGAAAAACAAGCGAAAATAAAAATAAAGTGTTAAGGCATAAACAGTTAATGGGCAGTCAGTTTCCTCCCTAGAGCTTTTGAAATTACAGACACTTGACAATGACGCCATCTAGTGGAAGGTTAGCAGGTCAGACGAAACCCATCTATTTCTCCTGATTCTTGCTCTGTCAGTCCACAGCTCTGAATAAGTGAGTTTTGCTGGCCATCCCAGGAGTGGACTAGCCCCAATTGTGGGGCATCAGCACCCAGGAACAACATCCTATGAATGGTCTTTCCTGCTTCTCTGAGTTTGCTGGGCTCTCCTCTGGTCTTTCAAGTTCCAAAGAGAAGAATCTAGCACTTACTGAGTACCTCCTGGTTAAAGGTCAGTTCATTAGATGGGCCAGCTGACTCCATTCTCATAATGACCCTGTGACGTGTTCTGTTTCACACATGAAAAAACCCAGCCTGGTCAACATGGCAAGTCCTCATCTCTACAAATAATTTAAAAACTAGTCAGATATGGTGGGGCATGCCTGTGGTCCCAGCTACTGGGGAGGCTGAGGCAGGAGGAGTGCTTGAGCCCCGGAGCTCAAGGCTGTAGTGAGGCGTGGTCACACCACTGCACTGCAGCCTGGGCAACAGAACAAGACCCTGTCAAAAATAAATAAATAAATAAAAAGGAAACTGTAACTATAAAGGTAGTCTGTCTCTTTGTAGGAAGGCTGAAAATACTTGTTTGTACATAGTGCTAGAAGAGCCTTACTGTTGGAATTTACAGAGGGAGAAGCTGAGATATTTGCTCAAAGTTGCTTGCTACTCAATGGGAATGGTGTTTGGGCTGAAACGCAAGTTTTTTGGGGGCAAAAAACTTGCGGTGAGCACTGTAGCCTCGACCTCCATGGCTCAGGTGATCCTCCTGCCTCAGCCTCCCCAGTAGCTGGGACTAAAGGCATACTTCATCATCACACCTGGCTAATTTTTTTTATTTGTGGAGACGAGGTCTTGCCGTGTTGCCCAGGCTGGTCTCCTGAACTCAAGCGATCCTCCCTCCTTGGCCTCCCAGAGTGCTGGGATTCCAGGCATGAGACACCATGCCTGGCCTACTTTATATATTTTCAATGTACTATTTCTGCATTACATATTTTATGTACTTTTTAATATCAATAGTATGTCTGTATTAGAAATAACAATGTAAAAGTGAAATAAGCACTGGGAGCGTCCAAAGCTATTTTAAAGGTGTTGGGGGTGGCCAGGTGCAGTGGCTCTCGCCTGTAATCCCAGCACCTTGGGAAGCTGAGGCGGGTGGATCGACTTGAGGCCAGGAGTTTGAGACCAGCTTGGGCAACATGGTAAAACCCCGTCTCTACTAAAAATACAAAAAGTTAGCTAGGCATGGTGGTGCACCCCTGTAATCCCAGGTACTTGGGAGGCTGAGGCACGAGAATCACTTGAACCCACGAGGTGGAGGTTGCTCTGTCTCAAAAAAAAAAAAAAAAAGCGTTTAGGAGAAGCTGCGGCTGATAAATTACAAATAGATGGGTTTTCGTCTGACCTGCTAATCTTCCACTAGATGGCGTCATTGTCAAGTGTCTGTAATTTCAAAAGCGCTAGGGAGGAAAGACTGCCCATTAATTGTTTATGCCTTAACACTTTATTTTTATTTTCGCTTGTTTTTCTTTTGAGTCACTTGAAATTAAAGAAAAAAAAGCTGAGGCCAGGCACAGCGGCTCACTCCTGTAATCCCAGCACTTTGGGAGGCCAGTGAGGAAGGATCGCGTGAGCCCAGGAATTCAAGACTAGCCTGAGCAATATAGTGAGACCTCGTCTCTGCAAGAAATACAAAAAATTAGCCAGGTGTGGTGGCGCACACCTGTAGTCTCATCTACTCAGGAGGCTGAGGTGGGAGGATTACCTGAGCCTGGGAGATGAAGGTTACAGTGAGTACAGTGAGCCGAGATCACACCACTGCACTCCAGCCTGGGCTACAGAGCAAGACTCTGTCTCAAACAAACAAACAAACAAAACAAACAGACAAGAAACAAGTTGAAGTTCCCTTCAGAAATACCCTCCTGCTTCAAGCCTATAGAGGGTAAACCAAATGAGGTGCTCGTTAAAAGAATTTAGTCCTTACATGAAAAATACCATCAAATGTATGTAGAGTTTCTTTTAGTCCTGCAGAAATGCATACCTGATACCTTGATTATCACAGAGAAAAATGTTTTTGGCTACTTTAAAATGTTCCATAATTCTGAGCAGGCTGGCAGTCCTACCTTTTCACCATCAAAAACCCCCCATTATTTTTATTATGTATTTATTTATTTTATGTTTTGAGGCAGGGTCTCGCTCTGTTGCCCAGGCTGGAGTGCAGTGGCACAACCATGGCTCACTACAGCCTTGAACTCCAGGGCCTCATCCTCCCAACTCAGCCTCCCTAATAGCTGGGACTACAGGCATGCACCACCAAGCCCAGCTAATTGTTTTGTTTTGTTTTGTTTTGTTGTTTGTTTGTTTTAGTGATGGAGTCTCACTATGCTGCCCAGGCCAGTCTCAAACTCCTGGACTCATGTGATCCTCCTGCCTCTGCCTCCCAAAGTGTTGTGATTATAGGCATGAGCCAACACTCCTGGCCCCTTCATTATTTGTATTTTATAAATCTCATTATTGGGAATATTTTATCCAAAATAGCATTAACTAAGTAGTCAATGATTTTTCTATTTGTATTTATATGTATATTTGATTAATTAAAGTCCCCAGTAGATAAGGGACAACCTTGCTAAATTGATAAAACTCCATCCCTGCCGGGCGCAGTGACTAATTCCTGTAATCCCAGCACTTTGGGAGGCCAAGGCGGGTGGATCACTTGAGGTCAGGAGTTCGAGACCATCCTGGCCAACATGGTAAAACCCCATCTCTACTAAAAATACAAAAGTAAGCTGGGCATGGTGGCAGGTGCCTGTAATCCCAGCTACTCAGCAGGCTGAGGAAGAAAATTGCTTGAACCCAGGAGGTGGAGGTTGCAGTGAGCTGAGATCACACCACTGCACTCCAGCCTGGGTGACAGAGCAAGACTCTGTCTGTCTCAAAAAAAAAAGAGAGAGAGAGAGAGAATGCATCTCCTTCCTTCTTGAAATGCCCAGATTGCCGTGGTCATATCATTGATGAGCTAAGTAATGGGATTCTTGGGCTTATAAGTTTACAGTGGCTGAAGCCTCCACTGTATGGGGCAGTTTTTGTGAAATCCTCTAGTACCGGAATGGCACCATGGAAGTGGAAGGAATAGAGTGGAATGTCATTGAGTCTTCCTCATTCAAAAAAAAGAGCCCCTTTGCAGATATAGCTGTCCATATCCATGGGTTCCAGATTCATGGATTCAACCAACCGTGGATAGAAAATATTCAGAAAAAAATTCCACAGTTTCAAAAGTTGAAACTTGAATTTTCCACGTGCTGAGTACTATGTTGAATCCCCCACAAACGAAATGATGTGCAGCATCTTATGTGGTTTTATAAGTAATCTATAGATGATTTTTTTTTTTACTTCTCCTTATGGAGCAGAGCTAACTCATAGGCAGTACACCTAGAGTTGGCCATAAGTAATCTAGAGATTATTTTAAATATACAGAAGGGTGTACCTAGGTTATATGCTAATACTATGCCATTTTACAGAAAAGACTTGAGCATCCTGAGATTTTGGTATCTGTGGGGGTCTGGTACAATCCCCCATGGATATCGAGGGACAACAGTATTCACAAAGAAAAAAGTTTAATTACACCAACAGCACATGTAATTAAGTCTCCAAGACTCCATCTCCGATGAGGTGAATTTAAAGAATGCGTTATTATGATTTTGGTAGTTGGTCAGAATTTCGTATCTGGATAGCTGAGAGCCAGACCTACTAGCAAGTAGCTTTGTGTTGACCATGGACAAGTGGAACTGTGATAATTCTAAAAAGGTGATGTTCTCTTACTAATTACAAAATGCAATTCTAAAAGCAAACACCACATATATGTGAATGTTAGTTTTATTGGACAAGGTCAAAAAAGTTTCTCTCCCATAGAAGGGAAAAATGAGACATCTTTCTCTCTTTGCTTTGAATGATTGTGTGTTTGGAGGTGAGTGTGTCGTGGGTTTGTAATTCACCTCCTTAGGGGCAGGGAAGTGTGGTACTCATTTTTGTAGCCCCTCATCCAGCCTGCACAGAGCATTTAGTGGCCATTCAGTCAATGAGAGTCTGTATATTTCTCTAATTTCTGGGCAGCAAAACGGGGTAGGTGGTTGATTTTAGTATTTGGAGCATCCAACAAGGAGAGGACTGTTCCCAACTCTCCGGTTTGTCCTGTGGTGTTTCTTTCTTTTTGTTGTTGTTGTTTGTTTGTTTTGAGATGGAGTCTTGCTCTGTCACCCAGACTGGACTGCAAGGGTACGATCTTGGCTCACTGCAACCTCTGCCTCCTGGGTTCAAGCAATTCTCCTGCCTCAGCCTCCCGAGTACCTGGGAGGGACTACAGGCGTGTGCCACCATGCCTGGCTAATTTTTGTATTTCTAGTTAGAGATGGGGTTTCACCATGTTGGCCAAGCTGGTCTTGAACTCTTGATGTCAAGTGATCTGCCTGCCTCAGCCTCCCAAAGGGCTGGGGTTATAGGCATGAGCCACTGCGCCCGGCCTGTCCTGTGATGTTTCTGACCTTGAGTCTTGCCCTCCGCAGGCCGTGGGCACCGGGAAGACAAAGCTAACGTGACTGTTTAGAATGTATTTCCTATTGGCCGGGCGCAGTGGCTCACGCCTGTAATCCCAGCACTTTGGGAGGCCAAGGCGGGTGGATCATCTGAGGTTGGGAGTTCAAGACCAGCCTGTCCAACATGGAGAAACACTGTCCCTACTAAAAATACAAAATGAGCCGGGCATGGTGGCCCATGCCTGTAATTCCAGCTACTCGCGGAGGCTGAGGCAGGAGAATCACTTGAACCTGGGAGGCGGAGGTTGCAGCGAGTGGAGATCGCACCATTGCACTCCAGCCTGGGCAACAAGAGCGAAATTCCATCTCAAAAAAAAAAAAACGTATTTCCTACCTTGGTGGCTTCTATGGGTTCCTGGGAAGGTGGGATGGTTTTTGCAGTTGTATTTTGCTAGAGGTGACAGTGGGGAGGAAGTGCATGGAAGGTAAAGCTGGGGGTTTTTTTGTTTGTTTGTTTTTGTTTTCTTTGAGATGGAGTTTTGCTCTTGCTACCCAGGCTGGAGTGCAGTGGTGTGATGTTAGCTCACTGCAACCTCTACCTCCCGGGTTCAAGCAATTCTCCTGCCTCAGCCTCCCTAGTAGCTGGGATTACAGGCACCTGCCACCAGGCCCGGCTAATTTTTTTTGTATTTTTAGTACAGATGGGGTTTTACCATGTTGGCCAGGCTGGTCTTGAACTCCTGACCTTAGGCGATCCACCTGCCTTGGCCTCCCAAAGTGCTGGGATTACAGGTGTGAGCCACCCTGCCCAGCCAAAGCTGTGTTTTTTTAAGCAACAATATTATTCTAGGCATTGTGCTAAATTTAACAGCTTTACCTACCATAAAACTCACCCATTATAAGTGTACAATTAATTCAGGGTCTCTTAGTTAGGCTTGCACATAAAATACAGGATATCCAGTTAAATGTGAATTCCAGGCTGGGCACAGTGGCTCACACCTGTAATCCCAGCACTTTGGGAGGCCTAGGCAGGCAGATCAGTTGAGGTCAGGAGTTCGAGACCAGCCTGGCCAAAGTGGTGAAACCCCCGCCCCTACTAAACATACAAAAATTAGCTGGGTTTGTGTTGCGTACCTGTAATTCCAACTACTTGGGAGACTGAGGCAGGACAATCGCTTGAACCAGGGAGGCGGAAGCTGCAGTGAGCTGAGATCGCGCACCTGTAATTCCAACTACTTGGGAGACGGAGGCAGGAGAATCGCTTGAACCAGGGAGGCGGAGGCTGCAGTGAGCCGAGATCGCGCCGGTAAACAGCAAATGTTTTCTTTTCTTTTCTTTTCTTTTTTTGAGATGGAGTTTCGCCCTTGTTGCCCAGGCTGGAGTGCAATGGCGCAATCTTGGCCCACTGCAACCTCCGCCTCCCGGGTTCAAGCGATTCTCCTGCCTCAGCCTCCCGAGTAGCTGGGATTGCAGGCATGTGCCACCATACCCAGCTAATTTTGTATTTTTAGTAGAGACAGGGTTTCTCCATGTTGGACAGGCTGGTCTCGAACTCCCAACCTCAGGTGATCCACCTGCCTCAGCCTCCCGAAGTGCTGGGATTACAGGCGTGAGCCACTGCGCCCAGCCCAGCAAATACTTTCTTAGTGTAAGTATATCCCATGCAATATGCAAGGATGTCCCATCTGAGACATACTTATATTAAAAATAGTATTTATTGCTTATCTGAAATTTAAATGGGCATCCTGTATCTTTATTGACGAAATTCGGGAACCCTACAATTTGTGAAGACAGAGTTGTACAAGCATCACCACGATCCAGTTGAGCACATTTTCTTCACCCCCAAAAGTTCCCTCTTGCCCAATGGCAGTCGTCCTCCGATCCCTCTCCAAGTCCCAGGCAACCTCTGGTCGGCATCCTGTCTCTATAGATTTGGAGAAGACTGTATTTTTAAGTGGAGAGACTTGGCTGTTACATAACTGTTTAGCACCCGAGTATTTGCATGAAGAGTTTCATTTCATTTTTTCAAGTGGAACCATGGAGGAGAGTGGCTGCCCAAGGTGGGGTTTGTCTTTTGCCGTCTGAGTGGCCCCTGGGATGCAGGTATGTCCATTATTTAAATCTCTTGGTGTTTACAGACCACATGGGTAACCCCTGTTGTGGCAAGGCTGAGGGCCTCTTCACCTGTCACTGAGTGTGGGGACTCTTTTCAGGCCTGGGCAGGGCAGGAAGTCTGGAGGGGATATCAGGTGATCAGAGGGCCATTCGAGAATGCTGCAGGCTACAGTGACAAAATGCTGGTCCTGGGCTATCTGAGACCAGTCCTGGAATGACTTAACTAAATTAAATCTTATGAATCAAGGTGCCTAGCACCGTGCCTGTTGCCTAAAGTGTAGCTGGAAAATAGTCTCCCACGAATCCAGAGTGACATTTGCTCCATACCCAGTTGGGCCTAAGCCTCTAGATCTAGAGATATCCATGAAGAATGGCTCTTGCTTTAAGAACTTAATTCTTTAGTGACTAATGTTTCTAGAGCATTAACCGCAGGCAAGCATTTTCTAAGAGCTTTACATATGTTAATGTCCAATCCTCACAGACACACTGTGAGGCAGATGCTCGCATTCTCTCCATCTTGCCTATGAAGAAATCAAGGCTCAGAGAAGTTAAGCAAATCCCCTGAGGTCACACAGCTAGTCTGGGCCTAGAAGAGCCTTTTCTCCTACTATTACTCTGTGTTGCTTCATAATATGGTGTAAGTTCTGTGGGAGCCCAGAAAGCAAGGCATCTGAGCTACTGGGAAGGAGGGATGAGACAAGTACCCTGAGGAGTTAGCTGACCAAGGAAGCAGGGAACAGCATTTCAAGCAGAAGGAACAGCACATGCAAGGGTTACAGGCAAGAGACCGTGGCCTGCATAAAGAGTGGCTGATGACGTTTGGGATAAACGACTTCCCAGAACATTTCAAAAAAACTCAAATGTTTTCTTTGGGGAAAATAGTCTGATTTTGGCAAGAGAAAGAATCTCAGAAGAGAGCCTTGAGACCTTCAGGAGCTATTGTTAACTTGGTGAATTGTCTCTGGTGCATCTCTCTCCCTCACAAGGCCTGTTTGTTCTTCTGTGATAAAAGGGCTAATAGCACCTGTGCTGTGGGCTCATTTAATAGAACACAGTCGTGTGTAGGGCGTAATAGAAGAGAATGGAATGGAATAATGTAGGTGGCATGCATCGAGAGCTTCGCATGTGGTGGCCACCCAGGTGTGGCACAGCCCTGGGCCCCGACGCATCCGCTCGGGCACCCATGCCTTACTGACACATTGAAGAGGAGCTGGGAATTTGTTTTCCATCTGGCAGAGCCCCTTCCGTCTTCCTCTACCTGCGGTTCTGGGGGCTCAGTCTGGAGAGGCGCCAGGCGGCTAACTGACTCTGGCATTGGGAATGCGTTTGCAGGGAGCCAGGGGAAGGGAGAAGTCTTACTGCCGGCTCCCTCCAGGCTCCCTTCCTCGTGATTTATCACTATGGAAACTGAGCTCCTTTCCTCTTCGCGCTGCCGGCTGGTGGGGGTGCACATTGTTGATGCCGTTGCCCCACAGATCAGAAGTTCCTTCCTCTTTCCTGCTGCAGAAATGCCACAGTAACCTACGTGGCCCAAGAACTGCAGCTCACACCTGAAGAGCCCAGTCTTGGGAAAAACAATCTCATCGGATTCCCCAGGGGTTACGGGGGCCTTCTGGGTAAGCAGAGCCGGCCTGAGAACAATGTCAGGGGAGAACAATGCAGCCACCGGGCTGAGCTGGTGGCCCTGCTGTTCCTCTTCCTTCAGCTTCCCTAGTTGGGGGTTAAAAATGGATTTACAGGCAGTCGCAAGTATATCATGTTAGGCGGCAGAAAACTGAAACTCAGAGTCTCTTAGTGTGGGCAAAGTCTCCCGCGACAACCCACTTGCTGCAGGTGCCCAGCCCTGCATATGCCCACCCATGACATATGCCCACCCACTGCATTTGCCCACTCACTGCATATGCCTACCCATCACATATGCCCACCCACTGCATATGCCCACCCACTGCATATGCCCACCCACTGCGTATGCCCACCCACTGCGTATGCCCACCCCCTGCACATGCCCACCCACTGCACATGCCCACCCACTGTGTATGCCCACCCACTGCGTATGCCCACCCACTGCACATGCCCATCCACTGCACATGCCCATCCACTGCGTATGCCCACCCACAGCATATGCCCACCCACTGCACATGCCCACCCACTGCACATGCCCACCCACTGCATATGCCCACCCACTGCACATGCCCATCCACTGCATGTGCCCACTCACTGCATATGCCCACTCATGACATATGCCTGTCCATTTCATGTGCCCACCCATGACATATGCCCACCCATGACATTCCCACCTAGTGCGTGTGCCTATCCACTGCATATACCCAACCCCTGCATATGCCCACCCATTGCATATGCTTGCCCATTACACATGCCTATCCACTGCATATACCCATCCACTGCATATGCCCACCCACCGCATATACCCACTCACTGCATATGCCCATCCACTACATATACCCACTCACTACATATACCCACTCACTACGTATACCCACTCACTACATATGCCCACCCACTGCATATGTCCTCCCATCACATATGCTCACCCACTGCACAGGCCTGGTGAGAGCTGGCTCTGCTGGACTTGGTCTGGCCCTCCGTAACCATTCCTTAGAGGCCAGTGCCTGGATTACAGCACCCTGGGCATGGCATCACATGTACCTGTGCCAGGTCCTAGACTCAAGGACACAGGGCAAGGGGGGATTCCAGAGACAACAAAGGAAGCTCCCTGGCCAGGAAGTCCTGAGACACTGCCAGGCCCAGCAGTCCCCTTGCTGGCCACACAGACAAGACATGGCCAACCTCAGGGCCTCAGGGTCCTTCTCTGTAAGTTGACCTAAGGGATTCCTCTGTAGCCTCATCCTATGGGGGATGGGAGAGAGGGAGCTAAGAGCACCTCCTACTTGCCCATCTCTCTCTTAAGAGAGGTTCATCTAAGAGTAGCTTTCTGGGGAAACTGGCCTTCAAACGACCTGGGAGAAAAACATTTCATTTAGGAGCTGAGGCTTGTCAATGCATCTCACAATGATTTGCAGAAATCCCCTTTACCTCCCTGAATATACAAGATCTTTTCTAGGTGCAAAATGTTCCTGTTTGTTTTCCGTTTAGAATTTCCCCTTATTGGGAGCATATTTTCTCCCTCTCACCCTCAGAGAAAATTTCCAGGTTCCTTCCACATTCTAAAGAGCAATGTGAAAATTCAAGGTTTTCTGTTTTGTTTTGTTTTGTTTTTTTTGAGACTAAATCTCGGTCTATTGCCCAGGCTGGAGTGCAGTGGTGCAATCTCGGCTCACTGCGACCTCCACCTCCCGGGTTCAAGCGAATTCTCCTGCCTCAGCCTCCTGAGTAGCTGGGCCCACGGCACGTGCCACCACACCTGGCTAATTTTTGTGTTTTTAGTAGAGACAGGGTTTCACCATGTTGGCAAGGCTGGTCTCCAACTCCTGACCTCAAGTGATCCTCCTGCCTCAGCCTCCAAAAGTGCTGGGATTACAGGTGTGAGCCATGGCATCCAGCCCTATTTTTTAAATAGAAATATTTTTATTGAGATAATAGTACATTTGCATGCATTTGCAGTAAATAATACAGAGATATGTGCCAGTTTCCCCTAATGGTAACATTTTGCAAAGCTACAGTACACCATCACAACCAAGTTTTCTGGGTTTTGTTTATTTGTTTGTTTTGTTTTTGAGACAGGGTCTCGCTCTGTTGCTCAGGATGGAGTGCCATGGCCCAATCATGGCTCACAGTAGCCTCCACCTCCCGACTCAAGCAATCCTCCCACCTCAGCCTCCCGAGTAGCTGGGACCACAAGCATGTACCCCCATGCCTGGCTAATTAAAAAACAAAATTCATGTAGAGATGGGGTGTCTCACTATGTTGTCCAGGGGGGTCTCGAACTCCTGGGCTCAAGTGATCCTCCCGCCTCAGCTTCCCAAAATGCTGGGATTACAGTCACCAGCCATAGCGCTGGCTGCAACTGGTCCATTTTTAAAAAGCTCTAATTAAAGCACGTCCTTGACATTTGGGAGGTATTCATCCACAAGCCCAGATGTGTTCTCACATTCTGAGTATTAGGAATGTTTACACAGGCTCCTGACGTGGTCCTAAATCACATGAATCTCATTTCTGTCTAGAAGCACCATTTCCTGTGCATATTCTCATACCCCAACTTGGCTGCCTTTTTGATTTTTACGTATCTATTTATTTCAATTGTGTTTAATCAGGTAATGAAGCTCTAAAGAAACAGGAAACATGGAGACAGTGGTATAGAACAAGGTGAAGGATTACATCCTTGCATAACCTTGGTGAATACATATGTTACATTCAGTGTATTTCAACTGTTTCAGACTTTGATCCCTTCCATCTTTGTTCTAGACCAAAGATTTTTCTATTGTGGAGTATTTCAAGAAGTCCTGAAATGTTTTTCTTTCTGTTTTGTGTTTTTTTTTTTTTTTGAGACAGAGTCTCACTCTGTCACCCAGGCTTGTGTGCGATGGCGTGATCTCGGCTCACCTCTGCCTCCCGGGTTCAAGCAATTCTCCTGCTTCAGCCTCCCGAGTAGCTGGGATTACAGGCGTGCACCACTATGCTCAGCTAATTTTTTGTATTTTTAGTAGAGATGGGGTTTCATCATGTTAGCCAGGCTAGTCTCAAACTCCTGACCTCAGGCGATCCACCTGCCTTGGCCTCTCAAAGTGCTGGGATTACAGGTGTGAGCCACCGCACCGGGCCCTGAAATGTTTTTCTTCCAGAGGCCCTGTGTGAGGAATTAGGGCTCAGGGCTGAAGGCAGGCAGCCAGCATCACCACTTCAGCTGTGGGATCGTGGACAAGAGTACTAACCTCTCTGAGAGTCTTGTTTCTCTCTTGTAAAAAGAGGGTAATAACAGTAACTGACTCATAGGATTAAAGGAAACGTGAGAAATATGTAAGCACTCAATAAATATTAGTTATTATTATTTAAATAAAAGCTCCATAGCGGAGTCTTATAATTTTTAGGAGTAAAATCATAACTCTCATGCAAATATAATATGAACATGTGTCAAATATTTTATTTAACTTATCAATTAATGAGTGAACCAGTGAAATGCTATAACTTACTCAAAGGAGAATCAAAGAGGATATGTATATATGATTAGATTGATTGACCAATTGATCATTAGATATGCAGATATCTACCATCAGGGATGCTAAAATGAGTTGGCTTAAAAGATGTAAAACTGGTTGGGTGCGGTGGCTCACGGCTATAATCCCAGCACTTTGGGAGGCTGAGGCGGGTGGATCACCTGAGGTCGGGAGTTTGAGACCAGCCTGACCAACATGAAGAAACCCCGTCTCTACCAAAACATACAAAATTAGCTGGGCGTGGTGGTGCATGCCTGTACTCCCAGCTACTCGGGAGGCTGAGGCATGAGAATCACTTGAACCCAGGAGGCGGAGGTTGCAGTGAGCCGAGATTGTGCCATTGCACTCCAGCCTGGACAAGAGCGAAACTCCGCCTCAAAACAAAAGATGCAAAATTGCTCAATATCATTAGGGGAATTATCAACTGCATCATCCCCACTGGTCACAACTTGCATTTCTCTGGACAACCTGGAAAATTATAAGATATCTCAAAGACAATGAAAGGCACAGAAACCTCAAAGAGTCAGATAAGCTGGAAGAATGTGCTAGATTGCCTCTACTTTTTGTTGAAGACACCCAGGAATGTTTTAGGCCTATTTCAAACCCTTTCACAATTTTTCCTGATGCTTGTTCATTTGATATGAGGTCAAAGGACAATACTTAACGTGACCCATATCCCTATAGAGTTTTATGATATTGAGGCCCGCAGTGGCCTTATGAGGAGCAATCTACAGGCTGGTGAGCTGAGGCTTGGTAGACTTGGCTCACATGAGTTCAGAAGTCCACAAACCTCCCCCAGGGCAGCTCATCCTCCCTTTCTTTTTTCTTTTCTTTTCTTTTTTTTTTTTTGAGATGGAGTCTCGCTCTGTCACCCAGGCTGGAGTGCAGTGGTGTGATCTTGGCTCACTGCAACCTCTGCCTCCTGGGTTCAAGTGATTCTCCTGCCTCAGCCTCCCTAGTAGCTGGGATTACAGGTGCCTGCCACCATGCCTGGCTAATTTTTGTAATTTTAGTAGAGATGGTGTTTCATCATGTTGGACCAAGCTGGTCTCGAACTCCTGACCTCAGGTGATCCTCCCGCCTCGTCCTCCCAAAGTGCTGGGATTACAGGCGTGAGCCACCGCACCCCGCCAGCTCCTGCTCCCTTTCATGGTGGGTGGTGCAAAGCAGGATTGCTCTTGGCCCCTCAAGGCCAAACTAATGAAACTGTGCTACGTGCAACTGATGCAGGGCAGGTGAACTCCAGAATTGGGGCTTAGCCTGGCAGGGTTCTTGGCTTTGCCCAGGAAAGAATTCAAGGGCAAGCTAGGGGAGCCGGTGGTGTTAGACAGCAACTTTTATTGAAGCGGCAGTGCACAGCAGCAGCAGACAGACTGCTCCTTGTGGAGCAGGGCTACCCTATAGGCAGTGTGCCCAGAGCACCAGCTCAGGGCAGTTCTGCATCATATGTGTGCCCATCTAGTTATATGCAAATTAAGGGCCAGACTATACAGAAATTTCTAGAAAAAGGGTGGTAACTTCTGGGTTGTCAGGTCATTGCCATGGAAAGGGGTGGTAACTTCCGGTGTTGTCATGGTAACGGTAAACTGACACGGCACACTGGTGGGCGTGTCTTATGGAAAGCTGCTTTCTCTCAGTCCCTGTTTAGCTAGTCTTCAATTTGGTCCAGTGTCCAAGCCCTACCTTTGGAGTTGAGTTCCGCCGCCTACCTCAGAACATTTGTAGAGCCATTTAAAAAGGAAAACTCTCTAATGTGACCCTTTGTAGATCCACTTTATGTCTGATAAGGAAAGGTTGGAATTCTTTCTGCTGTGTAGGCACAGGTTCAGGGCCACACAGCCCTTCCCTTCTTTGAACACCGGATTAGTGCATCAGGGAGCCCCGGCGTGGTGGATTCAGGCTCAAACACTGGAAACAGTCCAGCAAAACCTTGACCTATAGAGAGTGAAGGGCACAGGGCCAGGGGAGGGGAGCTCTTTGCGGACACAGAGTGACTTCTTTCTCTAACCTGCCTTTTGGGTTTCCTTGGCTTTTCCTTCCTCCTCCTCTCGGATGAACTTGTGAGAATGAAGGTGCATGTCTGTGGCCCATGCTGGGTCCTCCAGGCATGGTGGGCTCTGGGAGGGCCATGGCTGAGGAGCCCAAGGAAGCCAGGCCCGTTGCTTTCTCACCTGAGGATTCGTCTCAGAACCATGACACAGTCAAATGAGAACAGAAACCCCACTCTAAGGCCGGGGGCAGTGGCTCAGGCCTGTAATCCCAGCACTTTTTTGGGAGGCCAAGGTGGGTGGATCACTTGAGGTCAGGAGTTCGAGACCAGCCTGGCCAACATGGCAAAACCCCATCTCTACTAAAAATACAAAAAATTAGCTGGGCATGGTGGTGTATGCCTGTAATCCCAGCTACTCGGGAGGCTGAGGCACGAGAATCGCCTAAACCCAGGAGGTGGAGGTTGCAGTGAGCCAAGATTGTGCCACTGCACTCCAACCTGGGTGACAGATCCAGACCCTATCTCAAAAAAAAAAAAAAAAAGAAAAAAGAAAAGAAAGAAATCCCACTTCAAATCTCTACTAGAGGTTGCTTGAAGGTTGCTGGAAGGGAGATGTGAGAGCAGACTTACACCACTCTGCACAGAGAAAAACCCATGAAAAACTTGTGTCTCCCTCAGAGTCATGGTAGTGGCCCCAGCGTCCCTGACACCCCTCCCAAAGTCAACCAGTCAGTCTCTCCCTGTTTCCCTCACCCCCAGATCAGCTCCTTTCTGCCTCATCCTGGGCCTTCATCCTTCTGTTGTCCCCAGACGACCCCACCGCCCCTGGGGATAGACTAGGCTGCATTTTGCTTTTCTTTCTGTTTTTGGGGTCCCTGTCATTCTAAAGTTTGTCCAGCCAATCTGCTTAGGTTTCCACAGTGGGAACACAGACACCTTTTTTTTTTTGAGACGGAGTCTCCCTCCGTCACCCAGGCTGGAGTGCAGTGGTGCAATCTTGGCTCACTGCAACCTCCGCCTCCTGGGTTCAAGTGATTCAGCCTCTTGAATAGCTGCGACTACAGGCTTGTGCCACCACGCACGGCTAATTTTTGTATTTTTAGTAGACATGGGGTTTCACCATGTTGGTCAGGCTGGTCTCGAACTCCTGATCTCAAGTGATCCGGCCACCTCAGCCTCCCAAAGTGTTGGGATTACAGGTGTGAGCCACCGTGCCCGGCCAGATGCTGTTTTTTTATGTTGTCTGGGCAGTCATTTGTGCGCTCCATGAACAGTTGCATGGTCCTTTTTAGCATCAGACTAGAGCTATGATTCCCAGCCCACAGTGACAGAGGCCACCTAGCCACCTTTGCAATGGCAACCACATTGACGATGACAGTCTTCCTTCCTTTTCCTTTGTCTTCAGCTGTGGCAATCAGCGGGACACTGCTCTGACCCCTGGCATTGGTTTTGACAAATACTTGGCTCCTTGTTAGCTTTATTAATAAGATGAAGAGATATTTGACAGCTACATTCTCCCCCTAAAAGAAGAAGGAGTGGCCCACATGGCTTCTGGAGTTCTTGGGAACTGACACAAAACTTGCCTCTTGGTGGAGGCTGGGTTTGCCTCAGGTGGGCCCAGAGGAGACTCCGCAGCTTTAGGAATCACCTCCCTCTCTCTCAGCTGGCTTTTTCTTTTTTCTTTTTTTGACAGAGTCTCGCTCTGTGGCCCAGGCTGGAGTGTGGTGGTGCAATCTCGGCTCGCTGCAACTTCCGCCTCCCAGGTTTACTCGATTCTCTTGCCTCAGCCCTCTGAGTAGCTGAAACTACAGGCGCATGCCACCACGCCTGGCTAATTTTTGTATTTTTAGTATAGACGGGGTTTCACCATGTTGGCCAAGTTGGTCTCAAACTCCTGACCTCAAGTGATCCACCTGCTTCAGCCTCCCAAAGTGCTGGGATTACAGGCATGAGCCACTGCGCCTGACCTTTTTGTATTTTTTTAATAGAGACAGGGTTTCGCCATGTTGCCCAGGCTAGTCTCAAACCCCTGGCCTCAGGTGATCCGCCTGCTGTGGCCTCCCAAAGTGCTGGGATTACAGACATGAGCCACCATGCCCAGTCTCATCTGGCCTTTTAAAACATTTGCAAAACTTTCCTTACCTGCTGTGTTGCACAGTTCTGGCTGAAATATACCTCCCTATAATTTCCACCGAAAGTGGAAAAAAGTCTAGTTCTTCTTTCATATAAAACAATGCAATTATTTAGGCTGTGCAGGATCGGGGTGTCAGGTACTTTTCAGGTCTGAGGTGAGGCCGTGGGCAGGGCAGCTTCTACCCACCTCATCTCAACTCTCCCTTTTCTTGCTCAGTGTCACATGTAGGACCAGTTACATAATTTGTGGGTCTAGTGCAAATGAAAATTCAAAATTATCAGGAATTTCAAGGTGGCGACAGCAAGGCATCAAACCAAGCATGGCAGCTTCTGAGCACAGGGCCCCTGTGACGGCACGGGTCACACATCTATGAAGCTGGCTCTGGTCTCATGACTCATGTGTGTCAGGTCAGGGACTGGGTCTGAGCCTTCTGCCCAGAAAGGTGCTGTAAAAGGTCAGTCACAGAAGCCTTGTAGCAAGCCAGGCAGACACAGGCAGGCAGATGTGGTGCTGGGAACTTGGTTGATGTTTCACCTCCTGGCCCTCAGCTCCCCATCTGTAATATGGGTCATGATACCCCTGTGGTAGGCTGCTGATGACCCCCAAGGATATCAGGCCCTGACCCCTGGAACCTGTGAATGTTGCCCTATATGGTGTCTTAGTTTGTTTGGACTGGGTGCCTTAGAAACAACAAAAATGGGCCGGGCGCGGTGGCTCACGCCTGTAATCCCAGCACTTTGGGAGGCTGAGGCAGGTGGATCACCTGAGGTTGGGAGTTCAAGATCAGCTTGACCAACACAGAGAAACCCCATCTCTACTAAAAACACAAAATTAGCCAGGCATGGTGGCTCATGCCTGTAATCCCAGTTACTCAGCTGGCTGAGGCAGGAGAATCGCTTGAACCCGGGAGGCGGAGGTTTCAATGAGCTGAAATTGTGCCATTGCACTCCAGCCTGGGCAACAAGAATGAGACTCCATCTCAAAAAAAAAAAAAAAAAAGAAACAACAAAAATGTATTTCTCACAGTTCTGGAGTTTGGGAAGTCCAGCATCAAAGCTCCAGCAGCTCCAGTGTCTGGTGAGGCCTACTTCCTCATTTATAGATGGCTGTCTCTCTGCTGTGTCCTCACATGATGGAAAGGACTAGGGAATTCTTTTCTTGCCTTTTTTTTTTTTTTTTCTGTTTTGAGAAGGAGTCTTGCCCTGTCACCCGGGCTGGAGTGCAGTGGCGCGGTCTCGGCTGACCACAACCTTTGCCTCCTGGGTTCAAGTGATTCTCGTGCCTCAGCCTCCCAAGTAACTGAGGCTACAGGCGCGCCACCATGCCAGCTAATTTTTGTATTTTTAGTAGAGATAGGATTTTGCTACGTTGTCCAGGCTGGTCTCAAACTCGTGGCCTCACGTCGATCTGCCCACCTTGGCCACCCAAAGTGCTGGGATTACAGGCGTGAGCCACCGCACCGGGCCTAGGGATTTTCTTATGGTCCCTTTCATAAGGGCACCAGTCCCATTCATGAGGCCTCCACCCTCATGACATAACCACCTCCAAAGGCTCCACCTGCAAGTACTATCACACTGGGGAGTTGGTTCCAACATGTGAATTGTCGCGGGGATGCAAACATTCAGTTTGTAACATGTGGGAGAATGGGATTTGCAGATGTGATTAAGTTAACAGTTTTGAGTTGGGGAGATTATCTGGATGGGCTCCAAATGCAATCACAAGTGACTTTACCAGAGAGGCAGAGGGAGGCGGGGCACATTGGTTTATGCCTATAATCCCAGCACTTTGAGAGGCCCAGGCAGGAGAATCCCTTGAGCTCAAAAGTTCAAGGCCAACCTGGGAAACATAGCGAGACCTCATCTTTACAAATAATTAAAAAATTATCTAGGCATGGTGGTGTGTGCCTGTGGTCCCAGCTACTCAGGAGGCTGAGGTGAGAGAATCACTGGTGGTCAAGGCTGCAGTGAGTCGTGATTGAACCACTGCACTCCAGCCTTGGAAACAGGGTGAGACCCCATCTCAAATAAATAAATAAATAATAAATAAGGGAGATTAGACACACAGAAGAGAGGTGATGTGAAGATTGAGCAGAGATTTGAAGATGCTGGCCTTGAAGACTGGAGTGATGCACCCACAGACCAAGGAATGCCAGCAGCCACCAATCTGCTCCTGTAAGAGGCCAGGAACAGATTCTCCTCCCGCAGAGCCTCTGCAGGGAGTGTAGCCCTGCTGGCAGCTTGATTTTGGTCCATTCATACTTATTCTAGATCCAGAATGGGGAAAGAATAAGTTTCTGTTGTTTTAAGCCAGGAAGTGTGTGGGTATTTGTCACTGTAGCCACAGGAAATGAAAACATACCCTCTAAAATTTTTAAAATAACAGATTCATTGAGATATAGTTCACATGCCATACCATTTACCTATTTAAAGCGTGCAATTCAATGGTGTTTCATATATTCAGAGTTGTGCAACCATCACCCCAATCAATTTTAGAACATTTTCATTATCCCAAAAAGAAACCTGTATTCTTTAGCTATCTTGCCTAATCCCCCAGCCCTAGCCAACCAAACTACTTTCCATCTCCATGGATTTGCGTATTCCGGACATTGCATAGAAATGGAATTATATAATATGTGGCCTTTCATGTGTAGCTTCTTCCACTTAGCATGTTTTTAAAGTTCATCTATAGTGTAGCATGTATCAGTATTTCGTTCCTTTTGTTGTTGTTGTTTAGAGACAGAGTCTCATGCTATGACCTGGGCCAGAGTGCAGCGGTGCAATCCTAGCTCACTGTAGCCTCAAAGTCCTGAGCTCAAACAAGCCTCCCATCTCAGCCTCCAGAGTAGCTGGGACTACCGGGGCACACCACCACACCAGGCTAATTTTTAAAAATTTTTTGAGAGAAGTTGGTGGGAGGTGAAAAAAAAAATTTTTTTTTTTTGGTAGAGCCAGGGTCTGGCTATGTTGCCCAGGCTAGTCTCAAACTCCTGGCTTTAAGCGATTCTCCAGCCTCGGGCTCCCAAAGTGCTGGGATTACCGGTGTGAGCCACCATGCCCTGCCCAGTACTTTATTCTTTTTATTGCCAAATAATATTCCATTATATGGCTATAACACATTTTGTTTGCTCATTCATCAGTTGATGAACATTTGTGTTGTTTCTATATTTTGGCTATTGTGAATACTGCTTCTATAAACATTTGTGATTTTTTTTTTTTTTGAGACGGAGTCTTGCTCTGTTGCCCCAGGCTGGAGTGCAGTGGCGCGATCTCGGCTTACTGCAAGCTCTGCCTCCCGGGTTCACACCATTCTTCTGCCTCAGCCTCCCGAGTAGCTGGGACTACAGGTGCCCACCACCACGCCTGGCTAATTTTTTTGTATTTTTAGTAGAGACAGGATTTCACCGTGTTAGCCAGGATGACCTCGATCTCCTCACCTCATGATCCACCCGCCTCGGCCTCCCAAAGTGCTAGGATTACAGGCGTGAGCCACCGTGCCCAGCCCTATAAACATTTGTGTGCATGTTTTTGTGTGGACGTGTTTTCAGCTCTCTTGACTATATCCCCAAGGGTTGAATTGCTGCTGGATCACATGGTAACTCTATTTTTAATTTTGGGGAACCACCAACTGTTTTCAAAGTGGCTGTATCATTTTACAATGCCATAGTAGCATATGGGCATTCCTGTTTCTCTACATCCTCATCAATATTTGTTGTCTGTCTTTTTGGTTATAGTTATCCTAGTGGGTATGAAGTGGTATCTCATTGTAGTTTCGATTTGCAATTCCCTAATGACTAATGATGTTGAGCATCTTTTCATGTGCTTGGGGTCATTTTTTTTTTTTATCTTCTTAGGAGAAATAATCTGCTCAAATCCTTTTTTTTTTTTTTTTTTTTTAAGATGGAGTCTCATTCACTCTATTGCCCAGGCTGGAGTGCAGTGACATGATCTCAGCTCACTGCAACCTCTGCCTCCTGGGAACAAGCGATTCTCCTGCCTCAGCCTCCTGAGCTCCTGAGTATCTGGGATTATAGGCATGTGCCACCGCCCGGCTAATTTTTTGCATTTTTAGCTGAGATGGGGTTTCACCATATTGGCCAGGCTGGTCTTGGAACTCCTGACCTTGAGTGATCCTCCTGCCTCAGGCTCCCCAAGTGCTGGGATTACAGGCGTGAGCCACCACGCCCTGCCCCTTTGCCAATTCTTTAAAATGGTTGTGTTTTTGTTGTTGAGTTGTAACAGTTCTTTATATATTCAAGATCCTAGACCCTTATCAGATATATTATTTCCAAATATTTTCTCCCATTCTGTGAATTACCTTTCACTTTCCTAATGCTATCCTTTGCAATAAAAACATTTTTAATTTTAATACAGTCTAGTTTATCTGTTTTTGTTATTTTGTTGCTTGTGCTTTTGTGGTTTTGAGAACAGAATGCACAAACACCTGTTTTGGCTTCAGTGCCTGGGACATGGTGGTGCTCTTCCCAGGCCAGCGGCCAGGCCACTCAGGGTGGAAGACAGTAGGTCCCTTAACCCCTTGGGCTGTTGTGTGCCTGATCTGTTGTCAGGCCCTTCTTCATTAGGTTTAGAAGATACAGTCATCAGAAGAATAAAACCACTGTCTAGGTAAAAGAAATTTTTAAATATATAATATGAATATCTTCTTATTTATACCAGTACAGTTTCAAAATGTAATTTTTTTTTTTTTGTGGAGGAAGAGGTCTACAAAGGCAAAAATGCCTATGGTTATGAGTCATAATACAACCATGTCAGCCAGGTGCGGTGGCTCATGCCTATAATCCCAGCACTTTGGGAGGCCGAGGCGTGCAAATCGCTTGAGCTCAGGAGTTCAAGACCAGCCTGGGCAATGTGACGAGACCCCATCTCTACAAAAATTACCAAAATTAGCCGGATGTGGTGGTGCATGCCTACAGTCCCAGCTACTCGAGAGGCTGAGGTGGGAGGATGGCTTGAACCTGAGAGGCGGAGGTTGCAGTGAGCTGTGATCACACCGCTGCACTCCAGCATGTGCAACAGAACAAGAACCTGTCTCAAAAAAAACCCCAAAAAATCCCAAAAACAAAACAACCATGTCCCTTGTAACTGGAGGGGGCCTCCTGCAGGGGATGGAATAGCACAGACTCCTCCACAATGTCCCTGCCTGCCTCCCTTTTGCCCAGCTGCCCAACTTTGTGAGGGGCCAGACTGGGGTGGTGAGGGCAGCATATGGTGGGTGTGGAAGAAAAGGCACTGAGCGCTGCCCCTTGGGTTCACTAAGTCAGCTGAGCTCCAGAGCAGCGATTCAGATGTGGCAGGCCCAGCCAAACCAGATCAACAACTGTTGTTATTATTGTTCAATCATAACTATTGTTTTTTTTAAACTTTTTAATTAATTATTATTACTTTTTGAGACAAGGTCTTGCCCTGTTGCCCAGGTTAGAGTACAGTGGTGTGATCGTGGCTCACTGCAGCCTCAAACTCCTGGGCTTAAGCGTTGCTCCCACCTCAGCTTCACGAGTAGTTGGGACCACAGGCATGCACCACCGTATGCAGCTATTTTTTATATTTTTTTGTTGTTACTATGTTCTTACTGTGCTCTGCTGGTTAAATGTGCTTTCAAAGGCTAGCTCTTGTTTGATCTTCCTAACAAGCCTATTCAATGGGTAGATGGGCACATTATTCCCATTATATAGGTGAGGAACATGAGCCTCAGAGCATTTAAGCTATTAAGCTGCAGAGAACAGACAGGGAACCCAGGCTTCTGATTTACGCATTAGTGCACGTTCACTCCCAGGCTGGGGTGTGTCCCAAACCCAGTGGATGGGGGCTGTTGAGTCTGGCTCATCAACTCTCCAAGACTAATGAGATCTGAGGCTACAGGTGGGGGAAATGGAACGGCCGGTGAATCTCATTTCCAATCACCATTGTCATGAAATAGGTGGTTGGCCTGCTGTGCCCTCCGACATGTCTGTTGCCCACCTGCCTCCGCCTTCCTCCCCCCACTCCACCTCCAGTTGCTCAGAAAAACCACTTCCTGAAGTTTATTCCAGCAGACAGCTTTTTCTGTGCAGTTAACGAGTCGCTATGTTTCGGATCTGCGTTACTTCCCCGGTATTTGAAGGCAGGAGCACTGCAGGTAGGAATAACTGTGTGTCTGTCCTCCTTCAATTCTGCTTGGCTGAGAAGAAGCGAACAACACCATGGGAGAAACAGGGTCCTGGGTGAGTTTGTTAAGCCTGGTGGGAACTCCTGGGGTCCCTTGGTTATGTAGGAGTCAGTCTCTTGATCAGTTACCAAGAAGCCAAAGCCGTGTGGGAACCTTTGCCTCAACCCAATCAAGGAATCCACCAAGGTCAAGGGGAAGAAGTGAGGAGAAAGGAGAGGCCCACAAACGAATAAAAACCCATTCAATTTACTATATTGAAAAAGGCCAGGCCAGGCATAGTGGCTCATGCCTATAATCCCAGCACTTTGGGAGGCTGAGGCTGGAGGATCTTCTGAGACAAGAAGCTGGATTCCAGCCTGGGCAAGACCCTGTCTCTACAAAAAGTAAAAAATTAGCTGTGCGTGGTGGTGCACACCTGTAGTCCCAGCTACTTGGGAGGCTGAGGTGGGAGGATTGCTTGAGCTCAGGAGTTTGAGGCTGCCGTGAGCCATGATTGTGCCACTGCACTCCAGCCTAGGAGACAGAGTGAGACCCTGTCTCAAAAAAAAGATGTTGGCTGGGTGCGGTGGTTCATGCCTGTAATCTCAGCAGTTTGGGAGGTTGAGGTGGGCGGATTGCTTATGGTCAGGAGTTTGAGACCAGCCTGGCCAACATGGTGACATCCCATCTCTACTAAAAATACAAAAATTAGCTGGGCATGGTGGTGCACACCTGTGATCCCAGCTACTCGGGAGGCTGAGGCAGGAGAGTTGCTTGAACCCAGGAGGCAGAGGTTGCAGCAAGCCAAGATTGCGGCACTGCACTCCAGCCTGGGCCACAGAGCAAGACCCTGTCTCAAAAAAAAAAAAAAAAAAAAAAAAGGCCAGGCGCGGTGGCTCACGCCTGTAATCCCAGCACTTTGGGAGGCCGAGGCGGGCGGATCACGAGGTCAGGAGATCGAGACCATCCTGGCTAACACGGTGAAACCCTGTCTCTACTAAAAATACAAAAAATTAGCCAGGCGTGGTGGCAGGTGCCTGTAATCCCAGCTACTCCAGAGGCTGAGGCAGAGAATTGCTTGAACCTGGGAGGTGGAGGTTGCAGTGAGCCGAGATTGTGCCACTGTGCTCCAGCCTGGGCAACAGAGAGAGACTCTGTCTCAAAAAAAAAAAAAAAAGAAAAAGAAAAAAGACACACCAAAGATAATGATAATAATAATAAAAGGTACATACTGTATGAATCTTTACAAAATTCCAGAACATGGAAACTAATCAGAAAGCAGATCAATCTTTGCAGTGGGGAGGGTGCAGAGGGCAAGGGAGACGAGGGGCATAGGAACCTTTTGGGGGTGGTGGATGTGTCTGCTTCCTTGATTGTGGAGGTTGTTTCATCAGTATACACATGTCAACACTTTTCTGAGTGTATACTTTAAACACAGCTTATTTTATGTCAATTATATAATACTTCATAAAGCTGAACAGAAATTCAATTTCTTAATTAAAATTTTAAAGGTAATACTGCCGGGCACGGTGGCTCCCGCCTGTAATCCCAGCAGTTTGGGAGACCAAGGTGGGTGGGTGGATCACCCGAGGTCAGGAGTTCAAGACCAGTCTGGCCAACACGGTGAAACCCCATCTCTACTAAAAATACGAAAATTAGCTGGGCATGGTGGCACATGCCTGTAGTCCCAGCTACTCAGGAGGCTGAGGCAGGAGAATCACTTGAACCCTGGAGGTGGAGGTTGCAGTGAGCTGAGATAGTGCCACTGCACAACAGCCTGGGCAACAGCGCAAGACTCCATCTCAAAAAAAAAAGAAAAAAGTGAAAGGGTAATACAGTCACATGATTTAAATAACAAAAGTACAGAAAGCTTTACAAAGAAAAGTCCCCAACTGCTCAGTTTCTGCCACCCACCCCTCTGCCACAGATAATAAGAATCCTTTGCATCCTTACTGACTTTCTACAAGTTAATGTTTACCCTCCCCTACTGATTGTAAAGTATTCTAGTCTACTGTAAATAGCAAGTCAAACAAACGTTAATAACCTTAGAGTGTGAGGTAAACCCTGGACAGGCATGCAGTACTCATTTTTGCCTATTTCCAATTTCAGATACTTTTTCTTACATTATGGAAACTATCTGTTCATATTCTTTGCCCATTTTTCTATTGGATTGTTGGTCTTTTCTTTTTCTTCTTCTCTTTTATTTTCTTTCTTTTAATCAGGCAGCCTCCCAAGCCAGAGTAGCTTAGACAGACTCCCGAACTTTTTCTTCTTAATTTATGAGTGTTCTTCACACACTAGGGAAGTTAGCTCTTTGTCCGTGATGTGAGTTGCAAACATTTTTTCCAGTTAGTAGTTTTTCTCTTGACTAATTTTTTTTTTTTTTTTTTTGGCAAAACAGAACTTTTTTTTCATAAAGTACAATTTATCAATCAATTTTATGGCTTCTGGATTTTAAGTTTTAGTTAAACCAGCCTCTGCCATTCAAGGTTGTAAGGACTTCTTTTCTTCTTTTGTATTTTCTTCTAGAACTTTTTTTTTTTTTTTTTTTTGCGAGACAGAGTCTTGCTCTGTTGCCCAGGCTGAAGTGCAGTGGCATGATCTTGGCTCATTGCAACCTCTGCCTCCCAGGTTCAAGTGATTCTCCTGCCTCAGCTTCCCAAGTAGCTGGGACTACAGGCATGTGCCACCACGCCTAGCTAATTTTTGTATTTTTTAGTAGAGACAGGGTTTCACTATATGTGGGCCAGGCTGGCCTTGAACCCCTGACCTCAGATGATCTGCCCACCTCGGCCTCCCAAAGTGCTGGGATTACAAGCATGAGCCACTGTGCCTGGCCCCTTCTAGGACTCTTATGGGTTTATTTGTACATTCATATCACTGGTCCATTTGGAATGTATTCTGGTACACAGTGTGAATTATGGGATACAATTTTTCAATTTTCTAAAAAAAACATTTATTTTTGAAATAAAGCTTTATTTTATCATGGTATCCTGAAAATATTAGAATCATTTATGAAGCAATTGCCACATTTTAGAAATTTACTTTGGAACTTGAGGGCACGGGGTCTGGGGTCTTGGCATTTATCACTATCATTTGAATTGTTGCTCTGCAAAAGGTGCTTACTCTGCAGTGTCTAAAAATTACCATTGAAGCCAAAATTTATTTTATTAATCATGGTGTTTCCTTTTCTGTTCCCACATCAAAATTTGGTAGATGGGTGAGGGTAATTTCCAGTAGGTTGCCAAAGAAGATAGCTTATAGTGGGGAATGGCGAGCACAAAACAACAGCAAATAACGCAATGGAAAACATTCCTTTAGAAATAAATGGGTAAAGTGTGTATTGCTGTTCAAGGCTCTTATCAAAACTTCCACTGAACCATAGGTCAGAGAGAGGAATTGTTTTCTAGCTGGAAGCCATTACTTCTTGGTTCTTGCCCTGAGGTAGAGGAATCTGGTTTTGACTGTGGCCAGTTTGTATCTGTCTTAGCTTTACCATGGGGAAGTCCTAGAGGGTGGCATTTCAGAAACAATATGGCACCCTCAAGGCAGTGATCATCTGATTCAGACAATACAGTAGTTTGTCTTCATCCATCTAGACAATCATCCATTGCACTAATGCTTTTTCATCATCTACTAGGTTCCAGACACTCTCCCTGTCATCAAGGAGATTGCAGTCCATTTGGGGGAGGACAGGCCATTATGACACATCCTATAATAAAAGTGTCTGGCTGGGCGCGGTGGCTCACGCCTGTAATCCCAGCACTTTGGGAGGCTGAGGTGGGTGGATCACAAGGTCAGGAGGTCGAGACCATCCTGGCTAACACGGTGAAACCCGTCTCTACTAAAAATACAAAAAATTAGCCGGGTGTGGTGGGGGGCGCCTGTAGTCCCAGCTACTTGGGAGGCTGAGGCAGGAGAATGGCGTGAACCCGGGAGGCAGAGCTTGCAGTGAGCCAGGATTGCGCCACTGCACTGCAGCCTGGGCGACAGAGCGAGACTCCATCTCAAAAAAAAATAAAAGGGTCCGACAGCTGGGCCCGGTGGCTCACACCTGTAATCCCAGCACTTTGGGAGGCCAAGGTGGGCGATCACCTGAGGTCAGGAGTTCAAGACCAGCCTGGCTAACATGGTGAAACCCCGTCTCTACTAAAAATACAAAAATTATCCGGGCATGGTGACGCATGCCTGTAATTCTAGCTACTTGGGAGGCTGAGGTAGGAGAATTGCCTGAACCCGTGAGGTGGAGGTTGCAGTGAGCCAAGATCACGCCACCGCACTCTAGCCTGGGCGACAGAGCAAGACTCTGTCTCAAAAAAAAAAAAAGTATCCGACAGAGGGAAAACCAGGGAGGTAAGGGGGTTGCAGAGGAAGGGCAGCTCAGTCTGGGGAAGACGAGGAAAAATTCTGGAGAAATGGATTCCTGAACTGAGTTAGGAAGGATGGGTAGGAATTTGCTTGGAAAGAAGTGGGGAAGGCATTCCAAGTAGGGGAGCAGCCCCGACAAAGGCACAGACAGATGAAGAGTGCTAGGAACTAGAAATTCTAGCAGCCATAATGTAGGTGCAAGGAAGGAAGTGGTGAGAGACTAGGCTTGAAAGGTAAGCAAAGGCTGTATTATGGCAGGCTGTAAATTGACTTTTTCTGGTCTCAAACAGAGGAGTGAAAGGAAATGATGTATATCTTTTTTTTTTTTGAGACAGTGTTTCACTCTTGTCCCCCAGGTTGGAGTGCAATGGCGTGATCTCAGCTCACTGCAACCTCCACCTCCCAGGTTCAAGCGATTCTCCTACCTCAGTCTCCTGAGTACCTGGGATTACAGGCATGCGCCACCACACCCGATTAATTTTTGTATTTTTAGTAAGGACGGAGTTTCTCCATGTTGGTCAGGCTGGTCTCGAACTCCTGACCTCAGGTGATCCGCCCGCCTCGGCCTCCCAAAGTGCTAGGATTACAGGCATGAGCCACCACGCCCAGCAGAAATGATGTATATCTTAGGAAGCTCCTGCATAGTGGCCCAGTAGAGTACGCATTTGTTTAGGGGTGCATGCTGGGGAGGGGCCTCTCATAGGGCTGCGTATGTCACCCACACCAAAAGCTGAGGAGAGCTTCCTAGTTCTGTTACCAGATGGTGCCGCGCAGCTCCAGGCTGTTGGTGCCATGAACAAAGAATTGGACATGACACACGTACAAATAGCGAAGCAGCAAATGATTAAGCACAGCGACACTCTCGGAGAGGGGTGAGTGGGCTGACCTGTGAGTGGTTATCAGTGCCGGTTTGTTACATTTCACGGCCTTTTACATGTTTTTCCTCACTTGCTTAATGTCACTTGCCTTTCTCTTATAGTGCCTTCACCCTACTTTATTTCTTGTAAGATAGTTGTTCAACCTTGTTTACCCCCACTTTACCTCTTCTGACCAAATTGCCCATCTTTACTTTTATTTTTTGCGACCAAATAGCTACTGGAAGTCCTTCCAACTTACTTCTCTTACCATGTCCCAACTTACTGCTTACTCCCTTATCTATTATATTACTTTTTGTGGCAATATTTGATTGATGTTTTAAATTACAGACTATAAAGAAACACCATAAAATATTAAGACAGTCTGAGAGATTTTGATGTGTTATTAATATCCACATGGTTTGCTTCTTTTCCAAAGCATCCCATAACGTTTGACTCTATGACTGTAACAAGTTAGATTTTTAGAAACTGATGCAAAGGATCAGATTCTAGTAGTTTCTTTCTCTTTTTTTTTTTTTTGAGATGGAGTTTCACTTCTGTCGCCTAGGCTAGAGTGCAGTGGTGCCATCTCGGCTCACTGCAACCTCCGCCTTCTGAGTTCTTCTGCCTCAGCCTCCTAAGTAGCTGGGATTACAGGTGCCGGCCTTCATGCCCGGCTAAGGCTAATTTTTGTATTTTTAGTAGAGACGGGTTTCTCCCTGTTGGCCAGGTTGGTCTTCAACTCCTGACCTCAAGTCATCCTCCCGCCTTGGCCTCCCAAAGTGCTGGGATTACAGGCATGAGCCATCGCGCTCTGCCAGATTCTAGTATTTTCTACCATCAAAATATCTATTACCCAATGAAAAGTCTAAAGGCCAATCTTTTTTTTTTTTTTGAGACAAAGTCTTGCTCTGTCACCCCAGGCTGGAGTGCAGTGGTTCGATCTCGGCTCACTGCAACCTCCGCCTCCCGGGTTCAAGCGATTCTACTGCCTCAGCCTCTTGGGTAGCTGGGATTATAGGCGTGTGCCACCGTGCCTGGCTAATTTTTGTATTTTTATTGGAGACAGGGTTTCACCATGTTGGCCAGGCTGGTCTGAAACTCCTGACCTCAGGCAATCCTCCTACCTCAGCCTCTCAAAGTGCTGGGATTACCGGCATGAGCCACGACTCCCGGCCCCAAAGGTCAATCTTAAAGCTACAAGGTATCTTTTAAAAGGAGTAGGAATAACGTATTTTGAGGCTTAAAGGAGTAGGAATAGTGTATTTTTAGATTTGAAGCCATCTTCTAAAGGGTACGATATTTGGTTAACATGTCACTCCTTATCGCCATGGAAGAAGTTAATTCTATTCTTTTTTTTTTTTTTTTTGAGATGGAGTCTCACTCTGTTGCCCAGGCTGGAGTACAATGGTGTGATCTCAGCTCACTGCAACCTCTGCCTCCTGGGTTCAAGCAATTCTCCTGCCTCAGCCTCCTGAGTAGCTGGGATTACAGGGGTTCTCCACCATGCCTGGCTAATTTTTGTATTTTTTTTTTTAGTAGAGGTGGAGTTTCACCATGTTGGTCAGGCTGGTCTCAAACCCCTAACCTCATGATCCGCCCGCCTTGGCCTCCCAAAGTGCTGGGATTACAGGCGTGAGCCACCACGCCCAGCCGTTAATTCTATTCTTACTGCTTACTCCCTTATTTTGTATGTTCTTCTTCTATCTTACATCTTTTGCTTTTGCTATTGCTTAAGCTAGCCTACGCCCAAGGGTGCTCTTTGCCCCCTACTTCCTCTGCTATTCTCTCGCCTCAGTTCCGCTGCATTCCAAGCTCAGCCTGCCCCAGCAGCAGGTCTCTTTGACAAACCTGCAATTTTGGGGAAAAGTCAGCCCAAGAAAGGCAGGGGGCCCAGACTTATGCTGTGTGGCAAAAGCCCTCTTTGATGGGGGAAGGGGAGGACTGGAAAAGCAGAGAGATCTTTCTGGATGTCCTGGGAGAGCAGCCCTTTGGGTGGTGGGTGGAGGCTGGAGGCAGGGAGGAATCCCCTCACAGTGCCATGAGAAGGGCCCCCAAACCCAGGCGAGACAGAGGGAGGGTCAAGAACGCCAAGGCAAATGTCACTTGTGCCTTGTTTTTTCCCTAAAGAAACTAAACAAAGCGGCCGCGTTCGGTGGCCCCTCAGGAAGGCCGGTCATTTCCTGAGGAGATATCAGGCCAGCCCAGGCCCCATTGTTCCCGGTTTCCAGCCATGGCTGCCATTACCTGACCAGCGCCACAGCCGGTCTCTCTGCAGGCGCCGGGAGAAGTGACCAGAGCAATTTCTGCTTTTCACAGGGCGGGTTTCTCAACGGTGACTTGTGGGCAGTGCCTTCTGCTGAGCGAGTCATGGCCCGAAGGCAGAACTAACTGTGCCTGCAGTCTTCACTCTCAGGATGCAGCCGAGGTGGGCCCAAGGGGCCACGATGTGGCTTGGAGTCCTGCTGACCCTTCTGCTCTGTGAGTGTTTACTCTGTTTCCACATCACTTTAACTCCATGAGCATCGAAGCTTCTGGAATCAACATGTTTCTTATGTTTCTTGCAGGTTCAAGCCTTGAGGGTCAAGAAAACTGTAAGTCTGATGTTTCCACTGTAACAGATGTTTCTACCTGGCTTCCTCCTTTCTCTTCTGTGATGCCTAAAACGCACATTAAATTGCTGGGGTTTGATACTTCTAACAATTAAGGAAAAGAATCCAATTGAGAACTAAAGTTTATCCCATGTGGGCATTTTTAGAAAGGCTTAGATCTAAGCCAAGTTCTGGTCAGTGTGTTTTAGAAGTAGCACACGTTTCCTTGGCTGGTCTGAAAGTAGTGGGTTATCTTGATGAATTGTTTAGTCAGTTACAGATCAAACTCCATGTTCTTTTCTCTGTTCTCACGACTACTCTTGACTAGTCTAAAAATATATTAGGTTGTTGCAAAGTAATTGTGGTTTTTGCCATTACTTTTTTAAAAGATGGCAAAAAACACAATTATAAGTAGCACACATTTTCTTTTTTTTTTCCTTTTTTTTTTGAGACAGAGTCTCTGTTACCCAGGCTGGAGTGCAGTGGTGCAATCCCGGCTCTCTGCAAACTCCGCCTCCTGGGTTCAAGGGATTCTCCTGTCTCAGCCTCCTAAGTAGCTGGAATTAGAGGCGCATGCCACCAGGCCCGGCTAATTTTTGTATTTTTAGTAGAGACAGGGTTTCACCATGTTGGCCAGGCTGGTCTCAAACTCCTGACCTCAGGTGATCCGCTGGCCTCCACCTCCCAAAGTGCTGGGATTACAGGTGTGAGCCACCGCGCCCGGCCTCACATTTTCTAGATTTCAGTGCATTGCTGTTTTTTGGGATGGGGAGGTGATTTTTTTATTTTAATGAGCAATTCCATAATTAGTTTTTTGTTGTTTTACCATAATGGCTTATTTGAATATTGTAACCTATCCCCAACTGTTTTTATTTGCAAATGAGATATAATTGATTTGTTAGACATATGAAGACAGATCCTAGTTTAAATTGTTGCTACTTTTTTTACTCCTAAATGATAAAAATCACACACTGGAGCTCATTTTCCATTCACCTGTGAGGCTACAAGTATATCTGTAATATTTTGTGCTTGTACAAAGGGAAGTGGGGTGCTGCCTATCTTTGAAGCCTGGTTTATCTTCCACTTTACAGCTAATTTTGAACCTTTGTCTTGAGATGAGAGGGTTTTGTTCTGCTTCTTCTGGGACCACATGAATGAGGGGGCTCAGTAGTGTCCCGGGGCTGTGAATAGAGGGAGAGCCCACAGAACACTATTTCCTTGTCAGAAGTCACTGCAATCAGCAAAGAATGGAGGTGACTGGGTTGCAGGCAAATTGCACAGCTCTTTGGAGGTGAAGTCCATGGGCAAGGCTAGCTGGTGAGTCAAGCCTCGGAGCAGTGGCCCCAGGCTGGGGAGGGCTAGTTGGCCACTGGCAAAGCCCCTCTGCCAGGCTTCTCTGCTCAACTGTAGGTGCTTCCTTGGGCATTTGATCCCCATGGCAACCCACGGAGGCAGGATATCCATAATCTTCATAATTATCCTGCTGGACTGATGGTGTCACCAAGCCTCAGAAATAACCGATTTTACCAGCCGCGTTGGCTCACACCTGTAATCCCAGCACTTTGGGAGGCCAAGGTGGTCGAATCACTTGAAGCCAGGAGTTCAAAACCAGCCTGGCCAAAACAGTGAAACCCCGTCTCTACTAAAAATACAAAAAATTAGCTGGACATGGTGGCACATGCCTGTAATCCCAGCTACTCGGGAGGCAGGGGCATGAGAATTGCTTGAACCCAGGAGGCAGAGGTTCGGTGAGCCAGGATTGCGCCACTGCACTCCAGCCTGGGCAACGGAGCAGGACTTTGTCTCAGAAAAAAAGAAAGAAAGAAAGAAAGAACCGATTTGTCCACGAGAGAGGCAGTTGGCTGGGCACTGGGACTGGAACTTCCACTCTCTGAAGCTGCACCATTTGTCTGGAGCCATAGGCCTGACTCAAGTCTTTTAGACCAGTTTTACTTAAGCTCTTTGATTTGTTTTCCCAATCTGTAACATGGGGATGATAAGAGAACTTCGTGGGCATGAAGTGGGTGTGAGGTTGAGACTGGATAAAAGGAGGTGATTAATTGGCCCCCGCCTCGAGGTGATTGATAAATGACAATGGTGTTTACTACACGGTCCTAGCCCCCCTTTACGACTGTGACTCCTGCCCTACCCACTCTCCCTTTGTCCACTCCAGCCCTCGTACCCTCCCAGACCACACCCTTTGGGCCAGACCCTGCCCTGCAGACACTCACGCTTTGGGGTCCCTCTTTTTCTTACCCACAACATCCTGTTTCCCAAAACCGTGGTGCTCTCCCCTCTCCCCCTCCACACCACATGGAAGTCAATTGCTCCCTCCTTTGGGTTCCTAGAGAATGAATGTTCTTTGTACCTTCAGGGAAGACGTTGGAACTGCAGCACATGGCACAGGGAGCGACTCTCCCACTGCCTCCTCAGGCCTCTGCCTTGTTTTACACTCAAGGAAACAGACCCAGAGGCCACAAGGCACCAAGCAAGCAGGGTCAACACTGGGGGTGGGCAGGGCGGCGGCTGGAACCAGGTCTCCATTCCTTAGGCCCCCTAGGCCAGCATTTGCAGTGCGTGGCCTGCAGGCTTGCTCTGAGTCTCCCGCTCTGCGGCTGGGGTCCTGGGACAGCCTCGGCCCTTTCCCTTCCTTCCATCTCAGGCCTCTTTGTTCCCCTCCAGCCCGCACCTCACTGCAGCTGCCTCACCTCAGGAGGTGACGGCTGCTCCATCTTCACCTAGAAAACAGTCATCTGGAGGGAACTCCCTCAACTTCCCGCCTGGGCCTGGCTGCAGGCTTATCAGCCTCTCCACCCATCCTCTCGGTTTCCCTCCCGGCCTCGGAGGACACATGCACCCTGCTCCTCAGCTGATGGGGGCCAGCCAGGCACTTAGGCTGAGACCCTTCCTCACCCCCAGGACCCCACGCCTACGTGCATTCAAGTCCCTCTCCCCTACCACCACTTCTAGAATCTCTATTTCTGCTTCTGGCTCTGTTCTCTCAGTGAATGGGAACTCTTTTTTTAGGAAAAAGAAAAATCACAAGCAGACACCCACCCCCACCGTTTATCTGGTGTCCCCCTATCTGGCCTTTCTAGTTTCCTTTCTCAGTCGAACCTCTCTGAAAGTTAGTTTATAATCTGTGCCTACCCACCTCACCTCTCAGACACGCCTCGCCTCCCAGCAGCCTGGCCTCAGGCCCCACTTCTCCGGCTGTTGGGTCTCCTCTTGCTGAGGGGTCACCAAGGACCACCTGATGCCAAATGCAACGGACACTTCCAGCCCTCGGCTCCCTGTACCCCTTTCCTGCCTTTGACTTTTGATCGTGCCCCAAAGCCTCGCTCCTTGACCTTTTCCATCCTCTTCCCTGCTTTGTCTCCTCACTCTCTAACAAACCCTCTTCCTTCTCCCCCATGGCTGACTTTGGACTTACTTTGTCTTCTCCTGGAGTCTGAACCCTGTCCTGGTCTCTGCGGGCTCCTGGTCTTATCCTCCCTGGAGACCAGCTCCCCTCTCAACACCTCCACATTCCCCCCTCCTCCCCTAAGTTCACACTCCTCCCACCTTCACAGTCCAGCCCTGGCCTCTGCCCTGAGCCTCCAGTTAACACAGGCTGACCTTTGATGTCTCCTCCCAGTCCTCCTACTGGCCCCTCACACGCAGCTGCACCACCATCACTTTGTCTTCCTTCCTTATCTTTTTCTGTTTGTTTGTTTGTTTTTGTAGAGACTGGGGTCTCATTTTGTTGCCCAGGCTGGTCTCAAACTCCTGGGCTGAAGCCATCCTCCTGCCTCGGCCTCCGAAAGTGCTGGGATAACAGATATGAGCCACCACACCCAGCTGCGTGTGGCATTTTCTATTTTAGTTTGGTGGCACACACATCCTCCTGGGAATCTAATCCAGGAAGTTTATCTTCCATTCTTTCAACCCCATATCCAATCAAACAAAGTCTTTTTTTAAATTGTGGTAAAATACAAATAATATAACATTTATTATTAATGACATTTAGTACATTCACGGTGTTGTGCAACCATCACCATTGTCTAATTCTAGAACATATTCTTTCTTTTTCTTTTTTTTTTTTTTTTGACAGAGTCTCACTCTTGTTGCCCAGGCTGGAGTGCAGTGGTTGGATCTCAGCTCACTGCAACCTTCACCTCCCAGATTCAAGCAATTCTCCTGCCTCACCCTCCTGAGTAGCTGCAATTACAGGCACGAACCACCATGCCCGGCTAATTTTTGTATTTTTAGTAGAGACAAGGTTTTGCCATGTTGGCCAGGCTATTCTCAAACTCCTGACCTTAAGTGATCCACCTGTCTTGGCCTCCCGAAGTGCTGGGATTCATTCTAGAACATTTTCAACACCCCAGAAACAAGTCCTGTTGAGTCCACTCAGGAGATCCCCAGCCTATCCTTCCCTCATCCCCACTGCACCCGCCTAGCTCAGGCCTCATCAGCTTTCACCTGAACCACTTCCAAGCTGTTTACTGGCCTTGGGTGCTGTCACACCCCTCCTGACACCCTCAGGACAGGGCCCAGCTTGTCAGCACAGCAGGCCAGCCCTCCATTCTGGCACGACAGACCCAGCCACCTGGCCTCTCTAGCCCCACACTCTGGTTTCTGTAATGGGCCATGCCCAGAAGGCACGGATTTCTCACACCCTCGTGTCCTGGGACACGCTGTTCTCTTACCTGGAGTACCCCACTGCCTGTCCTTGGCCTGGCAGGCTCAGTTCAGTGGTCACTTCCTTCAGACTCCTTGACCTCTCCTGGGCAGCCCTTCCTCTTGGTGCTTACTGATATCACTGGAGTCCAGCTATGTGGGCCCCAGCAACCTTTGCTGTTTGGGACAGCAAGGATGATTTCTTACTTACTCTGTCAGCCCAGCACCTGGCACAGGTTCTCGACACATGTCTCATTGGATGGGAACTTGAACTGAACTTGGAGATGCTTGAGATTCGGGTAGGAAGATGGCTCAGCATGCTCTCTGATGAGCACAGAAGTTCATCAGGGACTCTATGCTTCGTGGCTCCCAGTAATTTTCCTGACGAGGGTGGGCAGCCCCTCCTTCTCCTGCACCCTCCACTTTCTCTCTGAGTCATTTCCAGGTTGAGGGCCAGGGGGCTGGCTGACTGATGGTGCCGCATGTTTCCAGGGAGCACCACCATCCACTGATGAGTGGCCTTGAGGTCAAGGTCCCACTGTTTTTAGCATGTTGGGGTTTGGCACTGTGGTCACTGGCTGTTCCGTGGTGACTTTCCAAATTTAGATCCTTCTCCGTCAACCTTCATCTCCCCGGGTTGAAAAGATCTGACCTCTTTAGGCTGTCCCACAGCCCCACCCTTCATCACAATAGTCCTGAAACTTTTTGGGTTCAGTAAGGAAATCTGTGGGCCTTCTCTCCAGAAAAAGCACACATTTGCACACAATTGGAGGTAGTTGATGAGCCTCCTAACACCCACCCATGCACCTCCCAGGGGCTGTGTCCCCCAGGTTGTGAACAGTCACTCTGTGTAAATAGTGAGACCTACAGGCAGTAATTCAGTTTGGCTGTGCTTGGCTGGTTTATTTAGAAAGATGATAATGTTTTCCATATTATCAAAACAAGAATCAGGCAGAGACTTTTGAAGTTTGGTTGCGTGGTATATTTGTTACCTATTGCTGCATAACAATTTACCTAAAACTTACTGGCTTAAGATAACACAGATTTATTATCCTGAAGTTTCTGAGGGTCAGGAATGCAGGAGTGGCTGAGTTGGGTGGTGCTGGCACCGGGTCTCATTAGATTGCAGATAAATTGTTGGTCAGGGTTGCGGTTATCTGAAGGCTTGACTGAGTCTGGGGAATCTGCTTCCAAGCTCACTCCTGTGGCTATGGGCTGGAGGCCTTAGTTCCTCATCCTGGGTACCTTCCACAGGGCTGCTTATGCTATGACTGCTGGCATTCCCCAGAATGAGGGATCCCAGACAGGAGAGAGAGTGATCAGGATAAAAGCTGCATTGTCTTTTATTACCTGATGGAGTATTTTGTTGGTTAATGTTAACGTGGGAGGTGACCACGTGTAAGTGTGATGAGCAGAGGGCAAGGACCATTGGGGGGGGCATCTTGAAGGGCTTCTATAGCAAGGGAGGTGGTGGTGGTTGTGGCGGTAAAAACTAGGTCACTGTTTTTGTTGTTTTGTCGATGATATTTGTGTTAAGATGAAGAGCTGAGACTCATATCTCAACAGAGTTTATAAAATGCTTTTCTTTTTTCCATCCTGCCCTCTCTTCTCCCTTGTCTGTTCGAGCTAGCCATGGGAATGTGGTGTTCCTGCCAGTGCATCCATTGAGTTCGTTTATTGTTAATTTATTTATTTTCTGAGATGGAGTTTTTGCTCTATTGCTCAGGCTGGAGTGCAATGATGTGATCTTGGCTCACTGCAACCTCTACCTCCTGGATTCAAGTGATTCTCCTGCCTCAGCCTCCTGAGTAGCTGGGATGACAAGTGCCCGCTACCATGCCCGGCTAATTTTTGTATTTTTAGTAAAGGCTAGGTTTCACCATGTTGGCCAGCGGGTCTCGAACTCTTGACCTCAGGTGATCCACCGACCTAGGCCTCCCAAAGAGCTGGGATTACAGGTGTGAGCCGCCACACCCTGCCGAGTTTGTTTATTTGAGCAGATAATGTGTGTTAGAGTTGCTTAGAAAAACAAGATGGTGGACGGGCCCCATGCTAGTGGGTACCATCCCTACTGGAAAAACCACTGCTTGGTGCATTAGCCAAATTTGCTTTAAAATTGTTTTTTAAAAAGGGAGGGCTTTTATAAAAATCAAATGAACTAGGACTGGTTAGTGGGAGGCTCACGCAAGGGTTGTGCTGAGGCTGGAAGGCCCAGAGTAGGAAGAGTTGTGGAGTGCAGAATGAGCTCTCCAAGGGCAGACACTGCCAGCCTCACTGTTCTCTGAACCCCCAGTATGGGGGACAGTGCTTGGCACAGAAAAACCCCCTTAAATGTTTGCTATGAATGGTGCTAAGGAAGAAGGCAGAGAATGTCAACCAGAGGCCAGGCACTGGGCAATATATACACGGCCCCTTCTGTGCCCTCAGCCACTTTGGCGCAGTCACTGTTTAGGTTAAAGATACCAGAGAAGGCAGGTATTCATGTTCCTACTTCGTAGGCAGAGACGTGGTGGCCCAGAGAGGTTAAATAACTCCCGAGATCACCCAGCTAAGCACTGTGGGATCACGGGTTTGAATCTGGTATGTCTGACTCCCTTCTGTACCCAGCACTGTCTGCTGGTCTAGGGCATAACCAGCCAGGGATGGGCAGCTCGTTCAGTAAACAGGAGAGCAGATGAATGACTCGTGTGGAGAGCACGCAGTGGAGTGAGCAAAACTGGGAGGCTGGAGAAGTCGCTTTAAATTAACCTGAAAATGTTTAATATGCTTTTTATTTTGTTTATTTTTTTTGAGATGGAGTCTATCTTTGTTGCCCAGGCTGGAGTGCAGTGGTGCAATCTCGGCTCACTGCAATATCCACCTCCCAGGTTCAAGTGATTCTTCTGCCTCAGCCTCCCGAGTAGATGGGATTACAGGCAACTGCCACCACGCCTGGCTAGTTTTTGTATCTTTAATAGAGATGGGGTTTCACCATGTTAGCCAGGAGGCTGGTCTCGAACTCCTGACCTCAAGTGATCTGCCCAGCTCAGCCTCCCAAAGTTCTGGGATTACAGGCATGAGCCACCACGCCCAGCCTTAAATATGGTTTTTATTTGAAAAAAAAAAAAATCCCTAGAAACATGTAGTGGAGACACAGCTTTAAAGCTCTGAATAGTTGATTTTCAGCTCATGCCTGTAATCCCAGCACTTGGGGAGGCTGAGGCGGGATGATTGCTTGAGGCCAGGCGTTTAAGAATAGCCTGGACAACATAGTAAGACCCCATCTCTAAAAAATTAAAATTAAAAAATAAAAAAAGAGTCGACTTTATTTCTGTAACTGGAAGAATCTAGCTAACATTTCTCAAGCACTTTATAGGTGCCAGGAACTCTACTTTAAGTAATTAAACTCAGGTTCTCATTTATACTTACATTCCTTGTGCCTATTGTATGGATAAGCAAACTGAGGCTCAGAGAAATTTAGGGACTTGCCAAAGGTCACACAGCTTTGTTAGTAGCAGAGATGAGATTTGGCCCAGGTCTGGCTCCGTGCACTTGATTTCTGCTCTTTAGTATCTCCTGGTTGAGTCACTGGAATACACAGCATAGCTTAAAATGAAGGAGGAAGTACTGAAGAGGTAATGGAAGGAGACCTAACTGTCTCTGAGAGGGAAGAGAGTGGTTGGGAGGGAACTATATTAATTGAGGAGTGCAGAGAAATTAATATGGTCCAAAGGAAAAAAAGGTTTTTTTGAGATGGAGTTTTGCTCTTATTTCCCAGGCTGGAGTGCAATGGCATGACCTTGGCTCACTGCAACCTCTGCCTCCCAGGTTCAAGCAGTTCTCCTGCCTCAGTCTCCCAAGTAGCTGGGATTACAGGCGCCCACCACCACACCCGGCTAATTTTGTATTTTTAGTAGAGATGAGGTTTCACCATGTTGGCCAGGCTGGTCTTGAACTCCTGACCTCAAGTGATCCACCCGCCTCGGCCTCCCAAAGTGCTGGGATTACAGGCATAAACCACCGTGCCCGGCTGGTCCAAAGAAAGTTGTGTGTCGAGAGCTCATCCAGCAGGCTTCTTAAATCAGGAGCTTGTAAGTTGCATATAAAGACAAAAAAGGGAGTTCCAAAGAGTAATGCTGTGGGAAATGACTTGAATTTAAACCGTCACCTTGTTTCATCTCATGGACTGGTCAGACACCATTTTTGTTGTCGTTGTTGTTGTTAAATTAATTGCTCAGAATATAGCAGCAGGCGCAAATTGTAGTACTCGTTTTAAAATTGAAGATTAAATTTTAAATTACCCAACAAAGGCCTAACTTTGTTAAAAGAGAGGGAAAGGACAGGTTCTGCCAGTATCTCTGGCCAGCTAGCTAACTAACTTTTTTCTTATTCCAAAAAAATGACTTGGGACCACTTATAAAAATTATGTATTGTTCAATGAGATACAATTAATGAGGAAATCAGGATGAGAGAAAAATAAAGGCAGGGAAATAAAGCTATGGCCCATTTAGCACAAACGCATCCCAAAGATTGCTAGAAGCAGAGGTGAAATTTTTGCTGTGTGTTAACAATCAAAGCAAAAAGAGGAACAAGGTCCATTAGAACATTCTCAGAATCCACAAGATAGAAATGAATCAGTTGTTCAGCATAAACACAGTGTTTCCTGGTGCTGTTGGAACACTTTGTGAAATTAGGGACAATATCTCATCAACATCCCAGACCAACATCCCAAAAGACCATTTAATAGCTTGCATCTGTGCTTCTCCCTACCCCATAGCCCCTCCCTCCAGAGATGACCACTATGCTGACTTGTAAAATATTAATCTTATATCCAGCCACCTTTCTTTTTCGTTTGTTTGTTTGTGTTTTTGCAGACAGAGTCTTATTCTGTCGCCCAGTGCAGTGTTGTGATCTCAACTTACTGCAACCTGTGCCTCCCAGGTTCAAGTGATTCCCCTGCCTCAGCCTCCCAAGTAGCTGGGATTACAGGTGCATGCCACAATGCCTGGCTAATTTTTGTATTTTTGGTAGAGACGGGGTTTCACCATGTTAGCCAGGCTGATCTCGAACTCCTGGCCTCCCACAGTGCTGGGATTACAGGTGTGAGCTGCCATTCCTGGCCTTATCCAGCCACCTTTCTAAACTCACATTTATTTCTAATAATTTGTCTGCAGACTCTTTGAGGTTTTTACATATCATGTCATCTGTCTTTGAGAGTTTTAAACATTGGACTGCTCCATTCACTCAAAAATTTTAAAAAATTCCATGATTGCATTATTCATACTTCATGGAGATAGATGGGGGGCTAAGAAAGCATACCAGACATAGTCACTTTCAATCCCAGGTCCAAATGCTGGATAGGTAGCTTCCTTGAGAATGGGCATGGTAGAAATTTCTGGGGGGACGTGTAGGGATTTGGGAAAAACACCTGGTTTTATGGTCATGGACTTTCAGTACATTTTTTTCCAAATCCCCTACAGATCAATTACTTTTTCTCTTTTTTATACTTATTTAATTTTTTTTAGATGGAGTTTCGCTCTTGTTGCCCAGGCTGGAGTGCAATGGCGCGATCTCAGCTCACTGCAACCTCTGCATCCCGGGCTCAAGCGATTCTCCTGCCTCAGCCTACTAAGTAGCTGGGATTACAGGCATGTACCACACCCGGCTAATTTTGTATTTTTAGTAGAGACAGGGTTTCACCATGTTGGTCAGGCTGGTCTTAAACTCCTGACCTCAGGTGATTCACCCACCTTGGCCTCTCAAAGTGCTGGGATTACAGCCGTGAGCCACTGCGCCTGGCCTCTTTTCTTTCTTTTTTTTTTTTTTGAGACAGGATCTCACTCTGTCACCTAGGCTGGAGTGCACTGGCATGATCATGGCTCACTTCAGCCTCGACCTCCCAGGCTCAGGTGATCCTCCCACCTCAGCCTCCTGAGTAGCTGGGACTACAGACACATGCCATCATGCCCAGCTGATTCTTTTGTATTTTTGTAGAGTCAGGGTTTTGCCATGTTGCCCAGGCTGGTCTCGAACTTCTGGGCTCAAGCGATCCTCCTGCCTCGGCCTCCCAAAATTCTGGGATTACAGGTGTGAGCCACTGCACCTAGCTTCATCCATATTTTTTTTAGCCATGTATAGAACATGAGATGTTTGAAGTTGTTTTCTGACAGGAATTTGGAGAGTGAATATTTTATGGTGCTGATTAAACCCAGATTCATGTGCTTGGAAAAGACAACCACAGGGAAGCTAGTGAGTGCTTTGAGATATGTCAAGGGGTAAAACTAAGACCACAAGTGGGCTGCAGAAGCACCTACAGGCATTGCCAAGAGGATCTCCAAAAAGCAGTTCACCCTGGTCTGCTCTGAAGTTTGGATACAAGTCCTGACCCATGGGCATGGTTCAGGATCTTCTAGCCTGGAAAATTTTCAGGGCAGTTGCCCACAACCAACCAACTGACAAAAACACAGCAATAGCTAGAGAGCACCCAATTTTAAGCAATCCACCCTTCCGTCAGCCTGCTACTGTGAATGAGCCTCAATATGTGATCTGTAGTTAGCTGAATTCTATTGACAGCCTATGGTTACTGGATATAAGCCAATTCTGTTCTGGGGACTTGCCAGAAATGACACAATTGGCCAGTTGACCCACAGCCTAGTTCCTAGCAGAGATTGGATAGCTGATTGAGCATTGTGGCTGTTTTGAGGCTTGACCAGAGATTCCTGCCGTTGGCAGAGGGGAATCTGTAGTCTTTGCTTCTTGGTAGCAGGTGAGGCTGAAAACGCAAGTAGCAGGCTAAAAACTGGTTTCAAGTCCTCACCATCTGGTGAAACCTCAGAGCCCATCAGATAGAAAATGCCAGCTGGGACTGTGCTAATTCGGTAAGGCCTGGGTGGAGAAGGAGGGCCTGGGCACGACCATCTGGTTTCGGAATGGAGGTAGCAGTCATTTATTAAGCACTTAATGTATATCGGGCACTGTACAGGAGACGTTCTGGCTGTTCTCCTGTACATTTCCTGCAAAGACCTAATGAGATATGATTACTCCATCCTACAGGTAAGGAAACTGAGCTCAGAGAGTCTAGCTGCCCAGGGTCACACAGTAAATGATGAGCCAGGACTTGAACACTTGACTGCTTGAATCCTGTACTCCCTCCAGGGGCCAAGATGTGGCAGCTCACAGAATGCCTATATCTTTTTTTTTTTTTGTCTTTTGAGACAGTCTCACTCTGTCGCCCAGGCTGGAGTGCAGTGGTGAGATCTCACCTCACTGCAACCCCCGCCTCCCAGGTTCAAGTGATTCTTGTGCCTCAGCCTCTCAAGTAGCTGGGATTACAGGCCTGCACCACCAAACCTGGCTAATTTTTGTATTTTTAGTAGAGAGGGGGTTTCACCATGTTGGCCAGGCCAGTCTCTAACTGCTGACCTCAGGTGATCCACCCACCTTGGTCTCCCAAAGTGCTGGGATTATAGGCGTGAGCCACCATACCTAGCTCTACATCTTTATCACACTCTGTTCCTTTGCCTTGGTGGGAAAAGTTGCAGCTTAGTACCAACTGCCTCCTGCTTGAGCCACTGTGCACAGTTACTATCAGCCTGGCCCTGTAGGCACGTAGAACCCCTGGACTCAATACTGCATAGGATGGGATAAGACCACATCTGATGTGGTGAAGGTCACCGGGATGATGTTGTTTCTGAGATAACAGGTATGTCTGCCTTCCTTCCCTTTGCATTTAGCTTTCACAATCAACAGTGTTGACATGAAGAGCCTGCCGGACTGGACGGTGCAAAATGGGAAGAACCTGACCCTGCAGTGCTTCGCGGATGTCAGCACCACCTCTCACGTCAAGCCTCAGCACCAGATGCTGTTCTATAAGGATGACGTGCTGTTTTACAACATCTCCTCCATGAAGAGCACAGAGAGTTATTTTATTCCTGAAGTCCGGATCTATGACTCAGGGACATATAAATGTACTGTGATTGTGAACAACAAAGAGAAAACCACTGCAGAGTACCAGGTGTTGGTGGAAGGTGAGTCCTTGGAACTGAGCACAGGCAAGCAGATGGAGCATAGCACACAGTGGCGTGAATAACAGCTGTGAATGAATAGTGACACTGGACTTAACTCTCCACCCATCACCCTCTCATTCATCTGCCTGGCATTTTCCTTACCTGAATACGTAAGCACTAGACATATTCCCAATAGGCCAGGCCCTTCCTTCCTTCCTTCCTTCCTTTCTTTCTTTGATGGAGTCTCACTCTGTCACCCAGTCTGGAGTGCAGTGGTGTGATCTCGGCTCACTGCAACCTCTGCCTCCCAGGTTCAAGCGATTCTCCTGCCTCAGCCTCCCAAGTAATTGGGATTACAGGTGTGTGCCACCACACCTGGCTAATTTTGTATTTTTAGTAGAGATGGGGTTTCACTGTGTTGGTCAGGCTGGTCTCGAACTCCTGACCTCAAGTGATCCACCTGCCTTGGCCTCCCAAAATGCTTCTTCATCTCGTCTCATAAATTAAAATTTCTTCTTCAAGACTCAACTCAATGATGTCTTCTCTTTCCAAAACAAAATGGGTCTACCCCAGGGTGCCAGTCAGTACAGCTCTGATGCTCTCTCTACATTCAATGGTATTTGTGTGTATAAAGGCCACAGCGGTGTGTTAAGACACCTCGTTCTGCAGTCACTCTGCCTGGGTTTCAATCTGGGCAAGTCCCTTAACAGCTCTAAACTTCAAAATCCTCACCAGTAAAAGGAAGATAACAACGATACCCATTTCAGGCAATTATTGAGAGGGTTAAAAGTGTCATGTGGGTAGAGTGCTTAGCAAAATTTCCAGCACCTAGTGAGTTCCTAATAAATAGAAATGTATTTATTTATTTTGAGACAGAGTCTTCCTCTGTCACCCAGGCTAAAGAGCAATGGCGCGACCTTGGCTCACTGCAACCTCTGTCTCCTGGGTTCAAGCGATTCTCCTGTCTCAGCCTCCCAAGCAACTGGGATTACAGGCACGCGCCACTGTGCCTGGCTAATTTTTTGTATTTTTAGTAAGGATGGGGTTTTACCATGTTGGCCAGCCTGGTCTCGAACTCCTAACTTCAAGTGATTTACCCACCTTGGCCTCCCAGAGTGTCAGGATTACAGGTGTGAGCCACCATGCCCGGTCCACAAATATTCTATTTCACTCAGTATTGCCATCCATTCTTACACATCTGTCTGCTCTTCTGGATAGTGAAATTGTAAAGACAGAGATGGTGTTTGGTTTATTCTTATATCTTGAACAATGAATGTGGCTCATAGTAGGCATTCAGTCAATGTTCATGGAATAAATTAAAGTCAGTCCTAGCCTGTGGCTGCATTCAATAAAGGGTAACAACAATCACAGTGACACTGACAAATACTGGCTACCTTTCCCCTCTAAGCATCATCTGTTGGGAATCTGATTGTGTCCTCTTCCCAATAGGATTATAAACCATTGAAAACACCAAGTACATCTTGACCATATTTTATTTTTTAAATTTATTTATTTATTTATTTATTTATTTATTTATTTTTAGACAGAGTCTCACTCTGTTGCCCAGGCTGGAGGGCAGTGGCACGATCTCAGCTCACTGCAACCTCTGCCTTCGGGGTTCAAGCAATTCTCCTGCCTCAGCCTCCCAAGTAGCTGGGATTACAGGTGCCTGCCACCATGCCCGGCTAATTTTTTGTATTTTTAATAGAGATGGGGTTTCGCCATGTTGGCCAGGCTGGTCTCAAACTCCTGACCTCAGGTGATCCACCTGCCTCAGCCTCCCAAAGTGTTGAGATTACAGATGTGAGCCACCTCGCGTGGCCTTAGTGGTGATTTTGGTGGACCCATCACCCGAGCAGTGTACACTGTACCCAGTGTGTAGTCTTTTATCCCTCGCTCCCTCCCACTCTTTCCCCTGAGTCCCCAAAGTCCACTGTATCATTCTTATGCCTTTGTTTCCTCATAGCTTAGCTCCCATTGAGCATATTTTATATTTTTTCCTTTCTTTTCTTCTCTTTTTTGAGACAGGGTCTCTGTTGCCCAGGCTGGAGTGCAGTGGTGGGATCACTGCTCACTGCCGCCTCAACCTCCTCGGCTCAGGTGATTCTCCCACCTCGGCCTCCCAAGTAGCTGGGACTACCAGTGCACACCACTAACTACCCCTGGCTAATTTTTAATTTTTTTTTTTGTAGAGATAGCATTTCACCGTGTTGCCCAGGCTGGTCTCCAACTCCTGGGCTCAAGAGATCCACCCACCTCAGCCTCCAGATTTTATATATTTCAAAGTGCCTAGTACTGTGCTGGGCACATACCTGTTCATTTATTACCTGGTAGGTCGCACTGGGTGTTCAGAGAACAAAAAAGAGCCCTCTCATGGGTCAACTACAGTCACTCAGCGGAGGGAGGCTTGTGTCTCTCAATCAGGCTGATACTGACAGACTTTCTCTTCAATCAGGCTGATACTGACAGACTTTCTCTTTCCCCGTAGGAGTGCCCAGTCCCAGGGTGACACTGGACAAGAAAGAGGCCATCCAAGGTGGGATCGTGAGGGTCAACTGTTCTGTCCCAGAGGAAAAGGCCCCAATACACTTCACAATTGAAAAACTTGAACTAAATGAAAAAATGGTCAAGCTGAAAAGAGAGAAGAATTCTCGAGACCAGAATTTTGTGATACTGGAATTCCCCGTTGAGGAACAGGACCGCGTTTTATCCTTCCGATGTCAAGCTAGGATCATTTCTGGGATCCATATGCAGACCTCAGAATCTACCAAGAGTGAACTGGTCACCGTGACGGGTCAGCATCCTGCTCCCTTCCTCATCGTTCTTTGTGGTTTCTGGTTTGGTATGGGGAGAAAGAACCCAGAACTGGGAAGGGGCTGCTGTTCTCAGGACTTAAGACCTGTTCTTAATCATTTTAAGCCAGTATTTTTCAAGCTTTTTTGACTGTTATACAGTTAAATTGCATACAATTTTTCAGACAAGAGTTTCACCAACAACACTTTACTCTTAATATATATGATGCTTTTTGTTTGTTTGGCTTGGTTTTTGGGGTTTTTTTTTTGAGACAGAGTCTCGCTCTGTCGCCCAAGCTGGAGTGCAGTGGTGCAATCTTGGCTCAGTGCAGCCTCTGCCTCCCGGGTTCAAGCAATTCTTATGCCTCAGCCTCTGGAGTAGCTGGGATTACAGGCATGCAGCACCACACCTGACTAATTTTTGTATCTTTAGTAGAGATGGGGTTTCGTCATGTTGGCCAGGCTGGTCTCAAACTCCTGATGTCAGGCGATCCACCCGCCTTGGCCTCCCATAGTGCTGGGATTACAGGCGTGAGCCACCACCCCAACCTTGTGTGTGTTTTTGAGACAGGGTCTTGCTCTGTTGCCTGAGCTGGAGTGCAGTGGCATGATTTCAGCTCACTGCAACCTCCGCCTCCCAGGTTCAAGCGATTCTCCTGCCTCAGCCTCCTGGGTAGCTGGGATTACAGGGGCATGCCACCATGCCTGGCTAAATTTGTATTTTTAGTATAGACAGGGTTTTACCATGTTGGCCAGGCTGGTCTCAAACTCCTAACCTCAGATGATCTACTCACCTCGGCCTCCTAAAGTGCTAGGATTACAGGCGTGAGCCACCGTGCCCAGCCTATTTCAGTCTTTAAACACTGGCCATGACACACTACACTGATGCATTATGTGATCTGTAGTTTGGAAGCCACTGCTTTAAGCCATCGAGGGTCAGACACCAGGAAGTTGGGTTTGGAGGGGATCGGGAGGAAAGAGGGGCCAGGTCCTCAGCCTTGGCCTCCTGTTGTTCAACGTAGATTTGCGTTGGACAAACAGCAAACAAATGAGGTGGCCTGGGAAATGCTCCCAGGAGAGAAGGAGGCAACAGCAGAGGGAAGCTGGGGAGTGTCCAGGACATACAGGGCTCTAGGACAGGTAGTCAGCCACTCCCAGGACCCGGTCTCATTTGCCAAGCCGGGAGAAGTCAGGGGAAGGCACACCCATGTAGATATTTGCAAATATTTCCAAAATAGGAAACTTACATTTTGTCATAAATGGTCCCCTTCTTTTGGCATCCCACTTTATCCTGCCCATTGTGTGTATGTGTGTCTGTATGTTCTATTATCTGATTATAAAATCATGTGTGCTCTGGGTAGAATTTTCAGACAAAAGAGCAGGATATAAAGTATGTATATAAAGTGACAATCATTTATAATGCCTCTACTTAGAGAAAACCACACATGATCCTCTAGACTTTTTCTACATATATTTATATATCATATACACACCCAGCCACACACACACACACACACACACACACAGAAAAAACATCTTTTGTTTTTACAAAAGATGGGGACCTATCACACTATTTTACAGCTTTTTAAAAACCAGACAAAATCTTATGGACTTTTGTCCATATGAAGAAATATAGATCTATCTCATTTTAGAACTCAGAACTTGACTGTAGGGATGGGCCATCTCTGCAACCCTCAAACTCCTGGGCTTGAGTGATTTACCTCATCTTCTGCTGATGGATATTTAGGTATTTTTCTCAGTGTTTGCTATTACAACAATCCTGCAGTATAGATATTTGTACTTGTAACTTGTGTACTTTGGCAACTATTTTACTATTATTATTTATGTGGTTAATTCTTAGTAGTCAAATTGTTGAATCAGATGTTTTGTGCATTTTCTTTTTTTTTTATTTATTTATTTATTTATTTATTTATTTATTTGAGACAGAGTTTCACTCTTGTTGCCCAGGCTCGAGTACAGTGGCGCAATCTCAGCTCACCGCAACCTCCGCCTCCCGGGTTCAAGCGATTCTCCTGCCTCAGCCTCCCGAGTAGTTGGGATTAGGCATGTGCCACCACGCCTGGCTAATTTTGTATTTTTAGTTGAGATGGGGTTTCTCCATGTTGGTCAGGCTGGTCTTGACTCCCGATCTCAGGTGATCCACCTGCCTCAGCCTCCCAAAGTGCTGGGATTACAGGCATGAGCCGCCACACCTGGCCTGTGCATTTTCAGTTAAAAACTTCAGCATGAGGCCAGGCATGGTGGCTCACATCTGTAATCCCAGCACTTTGGGAGGCTGAGGCAGGCGGATCACCTGAAATCAGGAGTTTGAGACCAGCCTGGCCAGCATGGTGAAACCTCATCTCTACTAAAAATACAAAAATTAGCCAAGCGTGGTGGTGGGCACCTGTAGTCCCAGCTACTCTGGAGGCTGAGGCAGGAGGATCACTTGAACCTGGAAGGTGGAGGTTGCAGTGAGCCACCGTGTCACTGCATTCCAGCCTGGGTGACTGAGTGAGACTCCATCTCAAAACAACAACAAAAACTTCAGTATGAAAAACTTATCGTAAAATAAAAAGACAAATGACAAACTGGAGAAAATATTTGCATAGTACCTTTAACAAACAGCTAATTCCTTTAATTTATAAAAGGTTTGGCTGACTGTGCCTGGCTCGATGTTGCCAAAGTGCTAGATATTGCCAAAGTGCTCTTCAAGATGGTTGAACATTTTCATCAGTAGTGATGCTAGTGTTTGTTTTCCCACATCCTTACCAACAAACTTTTTCTTTCTTTCTTTCTTTTTTAAATAGAGATTAGGGTCTTGCTATGTTGACCAGGCTGTTCTCGAACTCCTGGCCTCAAGTGATCCTCCCATCTCGGCCTCCCAAAGTGCTAGGATTGCAGGCATGAGCCACTGTGCCTGGTCCTAACAGAGTATTTCAATGTTTTATTATTTTTGACAATCTAGTTGAGGTATAGTGATATATATCATTGTTGTGGTGATTTGTATTTCTTTAGTTTTTAGTGAGGTTGAGTTTGTTTATTCATCTATTACATTTTTTTCCCGTAAACCACCTATTCATATATGCCTTGTCATTTTCATTGTGAATCACAAAACTCCAGTGCCACAAAGAAACAAGATAGTTAAATTTGACTAAAGTCATTTTTATTGTTCCTGGTTGGATTTGTTCAAGCCCTTTATTTTATTTATTTATTTATTTTTGAGATGGAGTCTCACTCTGTCGCCCAGGCTGGAGTGCAGTGGCGCAATCTCGGCTCACTGCAACCTCCGCCCACCAGGTTCAAGTGATTCTCCTGCCTCAGCCTCCTGAGTAGCTGGCATTACAGGGGGCTGCCACCACGCCCAGCTAATTTTTGTATTTTTAGTAGAGACGGGGTTTCACCATCTTGGCCAGGCTGGTCTTAAACTCCTGACCTCGTGATCCACCCACCTTGGCCTCTCAAAGTGCTGGGATTACAGGTGTGGAGCACCGTGCCTGACCCCTTTATTTTATTTTAAAAAATATTTTATAATATGTTTTTTGAGATGGAGGGTCTCACCATTGTTTCCCAGGCTGGTCTTAAACTCCTTAGCTCAGGCAGTTCTCCTGCCTCAGCCTCCCAAAGTGCTGGAGTTGCAGGCGTGAGCCACCGCCCCTAGCTGAGCCTTTAATAAATTGATTAGCTATTTGTCAGTGATATTATGCAAATATTTTCTCTAGTTTGTCATTTTTCTTTGAGTTTTATGATAAGTTTTCCATGCTGAAGTTTTTAATCTTCATTTAGTCAAATTTACCTGTTCTGTTTCTTTATGGCGCCTCAGTTTTGTGATTCATACTTAAAGGTCTTCTGCATGTCAAGATTATTAAAGGAAAAAAACACACCCATGTTTTCTATTCCTGTGCTATGGTTTCATTTTTTTCCCTCTGCATTTAAATATCTGGTGCATCTGGAGGTGATTTGGGTGAAAGAAAAACACCCTTCAGCTATTATTAAGGTTCCCCAGAAGACCTAAAATTTGAGAGTCCTAAAGCATGTAAAGGATGCCTTCCCCTTTTTTACTTTTATTTGAGAAGGCAGGCTATTATTTTATGATAACTTCTAATTATGAATTGACTTTATAATGTTAAAAATCACTAATGAATATTAAAGCATTAGAGTACTCTAAGTTCACTATTAGCATTTTAAAGATATCCCTAATCTATATTTTACACAGTTGGAATCTGTGTATATATTCCAGTTTATGCCCTGGGCTTGTTTTTTTGTTGTAAGTGGAAACGAAAGCCTAGGACCTATCCCTACTTCCCTGAAGATCCTATGCCCTGGTTGGTATGTGATCTATACTTGATTAAAACTATTTTTCTTTTTAAATAGAGATAGGGTCTCACTATGTTGCCCAGAGGCTGTTCTAGAACTCCTGGGCTTCCTAAGTGTTAGGATTACAGGTGTAAGGCCCCACACTCAGGCAAAATTGTTTTTCAAACTGCATGAGTCATGAAATCAGTTTAGTGAGTGATGGCCAGCATTTTAAAAAATGAAATAGAAAAGACTAGAAGCCACTTTTTTGGAGGCATGCGATTATTTAAATATTCATTTCCATGAAGCAGCACGTTTCACAGAGCTGAACTTTTGAAAGCTATAGTATCTTCATGCTGAAATGCCAAGCTTCCATGAAGTGCTGAGAATAGCCTAGAAAACTCGTAGTGGGCAGGAGGAAGATCATTTCTAAATACTGTGGTTATTTCTGAAGTCCTCTGAAGGCGAGATCTAGAGAAGGTGTTTGGCCTTTGGGAAGCTTCAGAAACCCAGAGAATTGCAGTGAAGAAGCCTGAAGATGCAAGAGTGAGCGAGAAGGGAGGGAGTATGAGAGCAGCCAAGGCAAAAGTTCTAGAGAAGAAAGGTTGAATTTTTAAAGTTAGTTAGGAACAATAGAAGTTTGAAAAGGGGAAGCAGCAAAAAGAGCAGAAGAGGCTCCTCTTGCCCAGGTTTGCACCTGAGTCCAACCAGGTTGTCTTCCTCTCTTGCAGAATCCTTCTCTACACCCAAGTTCCACATCAGCCCCACCGGAATGATCATGGAAGGAGCTCAGCTCCACATTAAGTGCACCATTCAAGTGACTCACCTGGCCCAGGAGTTTCCAGAAATCATAATTCAGAAGGACAAGGCGATTGTGGCCCACAACAGACATGGCAACAAGGCTGTGTACTCAGTCATGGCCATGGTGGAGCACAGTGGCAACTACACGTGCAAAGTGGAGTCCAGCCGCATATCCAAGGTCAGCAGCATCGTGGTCAACATAACAGGTAGGGCTGCTGCTGCGGGAGGGTGTTGGCATATGGCGGGCTCAAGAGGCCACCATGCTGCAATCCAGCATGGCCAAAGAGAGCTGATACATTTCCTGCCCCTGCTTATCTGAATGAATGTGCTCAGATGGGGCTTTGGTGCTCGTGGGAAGAAACCACTGCAGAGCGAGTTAACAGTCTACTGTGCGTGTTGAGGGTACAGGCTCCGGCACCAAAGCTCAACCCTGCCGCTCACTGCTTCTGTGACCTTGGGTGAGTTATTGAACGTGCCGCAGCGCTGTGAGATGGTGATAATGACCTTTTAGGACTGCTATAATGATTAATGAGATAACTATACTGTAAGCATGAGCTGAGAGATTTGTACAGAGTAAGACTCTGAACACTGGTTAATGTTTTCATTACTCTGTTATATTTCTCCATCCCCTGTGACAAGCACTATGCTAGATCCCAGACGTGGGTCCTATGACAGGGCCACAAATGAGAAAGCATTAGTAAACTCAAAAATAATGATAACATGGCTGGGCATGGTGGCTCACGTCTGTAATCCCAGGACTTGGGAGGCCAAGGTGGGCAGATCACTTGAGGCCGGGAGTTCGAGACCAGCCTGGCCAATATGATAAAACCCCATCTCTACTAAAAATACGAAAATTAGCTGGGCATGGCAGCATGCCTGTAATCTCACCTACTCGGGAGGCTGAGGCACAAGAATCTCTTGAACCCGGGAGGCAGAGGCTGCGGTGAGCTGAGATTGCGCCACTGCACTCCAGCCTGGGCCACAGAGTGAGACTCTGTCTCAAAAAAAAAAAAAAAAAAAAAAAGAAATGACAATTACCCTTTGTTGAACATTGCATGATGGGTTTATATACATTTTCTTTTCTTTTTTTTTTTTTCTTTTTTGAGACAAAGTCTCACTCTGTTGCCCAGGCTGGAGTGCAGTGGCACGATCTCGGCCCACTACAACCTCTGCCTCCCAGGTTCAAGTAATTCTCCTGCCTCAGCCTCCCGAGTAGCTGGGATTACAGGTGCATGCGCCACCATGCCCTGCTAACTTTTTGTATTTTTAGTAGAGATGGGGTTTCACCATGCTGTCCAGGCTGGTCTCAAACTCCTAACCTCAAGTGATCTGCCTGCCTCGGCCTCCTAAAGTGCTGGGATTATAGGCATGAGCCACTGGGCTGGCCCAGGTTTATATATATTTTCATTTCATGCTCATAACAATTCAAGGAGATAGGCATAAGAATGTCCACTTTATGGATGTGGAAACTGAGACTGTGAGGTTAGTAACTCAACGAAGGATTACAGGGTTACCAAGGGGGTAGAACAAGAGTCACCCTCAGGCCTGTTTGGCTTTCAAATCCATGAACTTGAAAGTTCCCTCAGACTCCTAACCCTCCTTACCTGGCTTTATTTCCCTCTAAAGTACTTAGCACCAAAAATATACTCTACCTTTCTTGTTTATTATGTGTATGCAGCCACTAGAATGCAAGCCGCTGAGAACAGGAACATTATTTTGTTCAGTGCTATATCCTTAACACCTAGAACAGTGCCCGGCACACAGGAGGAATTCAATACATATTTGTTGGATGAAGGAATGAGTGTTAGATGACAATGTTTCAGGGGACAGAGACAGTCAGCACTTCTTGGTTGCACGGTGAAGGGGTTCTCATGTGTCTGCATTCATAACGTTCATTCATTCATTTGTTCAGTTATTTACTAAAAGCCTCCTATGTGTCAAGCATTGAGTGTGCAGTGTCAGCAACAGTCTCCAGCACCATAGGTAGGCTACCAACTACCCAACTGGTATATTGGCATATACATTGGGTCCTGCTGGTCTATAGTGTGTGCTAGCAATTTAGTTAAGTATTGATCATGACTTATATTTTGATGGCTCATGGTATTTTTTTACTGATACAATTTATATTATCTCATTAAAGAAAAGTACCAGTTCAACACATATTGAGCATTTTCTGTATGCTGGGCAACTTACTGGGGATAAAGAGCTACCTAAGACCCGGTTTTACCTATGAAGAATTCATAGACATAACTAGACCAGTCTACAGCATTTTGTGGTAGAAGCCCAGATGGACTGAGACATTCTGTCTCAGATACTTTCCCTGGATAACTTTCTCCAACAGGCCTTTCCATGATTCCCAAGGCTAGGTTCAGTGTCTTTTTTCTTTTCTTTTTTTTTTTTTTTTTGAGATGGAGTTTTGCTCTTGTTGCCCAGGCTGCAGTGAAGTGGCACTATCTCAGCTCACTGCAACCTCCGCCTCCCGGGTTCAAGCGATTCTCCTGCCTCAGCCTCCCGAGTAGCTGGGATTATAGGCATGCACCACCACACCTAGATAATTTTTGTATTTTTAGTAGAGACGGGGTTTCGCCATGTTGGCCGGGCTTGTCTTGAACTCCTGACATTGTGATCCGTCCACCTCGGCCTCCCAAAATGCTGGGATTACAGGTGTGAGCCACCACGCCCTGCCAGTTCAGTGTTTTTCCTATGGGGTCTGTGACAAATAATGCATCTGAATCAACCACTAAATGTAAGCACTTTGAAGTCAGAGACTGTTTCTTATTCACTGCTATCTCTCAGTGCCTAGCAAGGGGCCCGCCACAGAGAGAACCTGCAATAAATACTTGTGGGGTGAAATGAGTGAGTGAACAAATACATGAGTGAATGCATGAATCATTATTTGCTGCATTACAAGCTGCAAAACTTTTCTTTTGTTGCTTTTTTTTTTTTTTTGAAATGGAGTTTCAGTCTCTTTTTTTATTATTATTATACTTTAAGTTTTAGGGTACATGTGCACAATGTGCAGGTTAGTTACATATGTATACATGTGCCATGCTGGTGTACCGCACCCATTAACTCGTCATTTAGCATTAGGTATATCTCCTAATGCTATCCCTCCCCCCTCCCCCCACCCCACTACAGTCCCCAGAGTGTGATGTTCCCCTTCCTGTGTCCATGTGTTCTCATTGTTCAATTCCCACCTATGAGTGAGAAGATGCGGTGTTTGGTTTTTTGTCCTTGCTATAGTTTACTGAGAATGATGATTTCCAATTTCATCCATGTCCCTACAAAGGACATGAACTCATCGTTTTTTATGGCTGCATAGTATTCCATGGTGTATATGTGCCACATTTTCTTAATCTGGTCTATCATTGTTGGACATTTGGATTGGTTCCAAGTCTTTGCTATTGTGAATAGTGCCACAATAAACATACGTGTGCATGTGTCTTTATAGCAGCATGATTTATAGTCCTTTGGGTATATACCCAGTAATGGGATGGCTGGGTCAAATGGTATTTCTAGTTCTAGATCCCTGAGGAATCGCCACACTGACTTCCACAATGGTTGAACTAGTTTACAGTCCCACCAACAGTGTAAAAGTGTTCCTGTTTCTCCACATCCTCTCCAGCACCTGTTGTTTCCTGACTTTTTAATGATCGCCATTCTAACTGGTGTGAGATGGTATCTCATAGCGGTTTTGATTTGCATTTCTCTGATGGCCAGTGATGGTGAGCATTTTTTCATGTGTTTTTTGGCTGTATAAATGTCTTCTTTTGAGAAGTGTCTGTTCATGTCCTTCGCCCACTTTTTGATGGGGTTGTTTGTTTTTTTCTTGTAAATTTGTTTGAGTTCATTGTAGATTCTGGATATTAGCCCTTTGTCAGATGAGTAGGTTGCAAAAATTTTCTCCCATTTTGTAGGTTGCCTGTTCACTCTGATGGTAGTTTCTTTTGCTGTGCAGAAACTCTTTAGTTTAATTAGAGCCCATTTGTCAATTTTGGCTTTTGTTGCCATTGCTTTTGGTGTTTTAGACATGAAGTCCTTGCCCATGCCTATGTCCTGAATGGTAATGCCTAGGTTTTCTTCTAGGGTTTTTATGGTTTTAGGTCTAATGTTTAAGTCTTTAATCCATCTTGAATTAATTTTTGTATAAGGTGTAAGGAAGGGATCCAGTTTCAGCTTTCTACATGTGGCTAGCCAGTTTTCCCAGCACCATTTATTAAATAGGGAATCCTTTCCCCATTGCTTGTTTTTCTCAGGTTTGTCAAAGATCAGATAGTTGTTGATATGCGGCGTTATTCCTGAGGGCTCTGTTCCGTTCCATTGATCTATATCTCTGTTTTGGTACCAGTACCATGCTGTTTTGGTTACTGTAGCCTTGTAGTATAGTTTGAAGTCAGGTTGCGTGATGTCTCCAGCTTTGTTCTTTTGGCTTAGGATTGACTTGGTGATGCGGGCTCTTTTTTGGTTCCATATGAACTTTAAAGTAGTTTTTTCCAATTCTGTGAAGAAAGTCATTGGTAGCTTGATGGGGATGGCATTGAATCTATAAATTACCTTGGGCAGTATGGCCATTTTCACGATATTGATTCTTCCTACCCATGACCATGGAATGTTCTTCCATTTGTTTGTATCCTCTTTTATTTCATTGAGCAGTGGTTTGTAGTTTTCCTTGAAGAGGTCCTTCATGTCCCTTGTAAGTTGGATTCCTAGGTGTTTTATTCTCTTTGAAGCAATTGTGAATGGGAGTTCACTCATGATTTGGCTCTCTGTTTGTCTGTTATTGGTGTATAAGAATGCTTGTGATTTTTGTACATTGATTTTGTATCCTGAGACTTTGCTGAAGTTGCTTATCAGCTTAAGGAGATTTTGGGCTGAGACAATGGGGTTTTCTAGATATCCAATCATGTCATCTGCAAACAGGGACAATTTGACTTCCTCTTTTCCTAATTGAATACCCTTTATTTCCTTCTCCTGCCTAATTGCCCTGGCCAGAACTTCCAACACTATGTTGAATAGGAGTGGTGAGAGAAGGCATCCCTGTCTTGTGCCAGTTTTCAAAGGGAATGCTTCCAGTTTTTGCCCATTCAGTATGATATTGGCTGTGGGTTTGTCATAGATAGCTCTTATTATTTTGAGATACGTCCCATCAATACCTAATTTATTGAGAGTTTTTATCATGAAGGGTTGTTGAATTTTGTCAAAGGCCTTTTCTGCGTCTATTGAGATAATCATGTGGTTTTTGTCTTTGGTTCTGTTTATATGCTGGATTACATTTATTGATTTGTGTATATTGAACCAGCCTTGCATCCCAGGGATGAAGCCCACTTGATCATGGTGGATAAGCTTTTTGATGTGCTGCTGGATTTGGTTTGCCAGTATTTTATTGAGGATTTTTGCATCAATGTTCATCAAGGATATTGGTCTAAAATTCTCTTTTTTGGTTGTATCTCTGCCCGGCTTTGGTATCAGGATGATGCTGGCCTCATCATCCTGAGGGAGGATTCCCTCTTTTTCTATTGACTGGAATAGTTTCAGAAGGAATGGTACCAGTTCCTCCTTGTACCTCTGGTAGAATTCGGCTGTGAATCCATCTGGTCCTGGACTCTTTTTGGTTGGTAAGCTATTGATTATTGCCACAATTTCAGATCCCGTTATTGGTCTATTCAGAGATTCAACTTCTTCCTGGTTTAGTCTTGGGAGAGTGTGTGTGTTGAGGAATTTATCCATTTCTCCTAGATTTTCTAGTTTATTTGCTTAGAGGTGTTTGTAGTATTCTCTGATGGTAGTTTGTATTTCTGTGGGATCGGTGATGATATCCCCTTTATCATTTTTTATTGCGTGTATTTGATTCTTCTCTCTTTTTTTCTTTATTAGGCTTGCTAGCGGTCTATCAATTTTGTTGATCCTTTCAAAAAACCAGCTCCTGGATTCATTAATTTTTTGAAGGGTTTTTTGTGTCTCTATTTCCTTCAGTTCTGCTCTGATTTTAGTTATTTCTTGCCTTCTGCTAGCTTAAGGAGTTTCATTCTTGTTGCCCAGGCTGGAGTGCAGTGGAGCAATCTCGGCTCACTGCAATCTCTGTCTCCTGGGTTCAAGGGATTCTCTTGCCTCAGCCTCCCAAGTATCTGGGATTACAGGCGCCCACCACCATGCTGGCTAATTTTATATTTTTAGTAGAGATGGGGTTTCACCATGTTGCCCAGGCTGGTCTCAACTCCTGACCTCAGGTGATCCACCCACCTCTGCCTCCCAAAGTGCTGGGATTACAGGCATGAGCCACCACACCTGGCCACAAGTTGCAAAACTTTTCTAATCCTTGTCATTGAAATAAATTGGATTAACAAGAAAGGAAAACCTGCCATTGGAATCCTAGGCAAAGAATGAACCCTAGCTCCTTACTGGGGTGATCGTTAGGTACATGAGAAGCAAAGGAAAACTTTTTGCTGGAAGTTGGAAGTTGGTTCTGCCAAGAGCACCTGAGCCAAGGGCCTCTCCAGGAAGGGTCTTTAGGGTGGTGGCCAGACACATCTCGCTCCATTCCCACTCACTGTTTTTCAGAACTATTTTCCAAGCCCGAACTGGAATCTTCCTTCACACATCTGGACCAAGGTGAAAGACTGAACCTGTCCTGCTCCATCCCAGGAGCACCTCCAGCCAACTTCACCATCCAGAAGGAAGATACGATTGTGTCACAGACTCAAGATTTCACCAAGATAGCCTCAAAGTCGGACAGTGGGACGTATATCTGCACTGCAGGTATTGACAAAGTGGTCAAGAAAAGCAACACAGTCCAGATAGTCGTATGTGGTGAGTATATTGTTGCTGACTCAGAGGACATCCAGGGTTGAATGGGAGAAAGGAAATTTATCTGCAGCTGCCGCCCTCTCCGGTCTGAGCAGACTCAGGCAGGGTAAGAACTAGAGGGAGAGAAGTGCGAAATCAAAGGCCAAAGAAACAAGGAGGTATTCCTGCTCAGAACACTGATTCACTGATGATGATGTGGCCTCTGACTTGCTAAGATTCTGGCAAGATTCTGCCTCCTGGAGCAAGTACCCACCCAAAAGTTCAGGAAGGAAACACTACTTAGTCAATGTTAAACTTTTCTTTTTTTTTTTTTTGAGACGTGTCGCCCAGGCTAGAGTGCAGTGGCACGATAGCTCACTGCAACCTCTGCCTCCTAGGTTCAAGTGATCTCCTGCCTCAGCCTCCCAAGTAGCTGGGATTACAGGTGCCCACCACCATGTCTGCCTAATTTTTGTATTTTTATTTTTATTACTTTTATTTATTTATTTATTTATTTTTTTGAGATGCAGTCTCGCTCTGTCACCCAGGCTGGAGTGCAGTGGCACAATCTGGGCTCACTGCAAGCTCCGCCTCCTGGGTTCACGCCATTCTCCTGCCTCAGCCTCCCAAGTAGCTGGGACTACAGGCACCCGCAACCACGCCCGGATAATATTTTTTTGTATTTTTAGTAGAGATGGGGTTTCACCGTGTTAGCCAGGATGGTCTCCATCTCCTGACCTCGTGATCTGCCTGCCTCAGCCTCCCAAAGTCCTGGGATTACAGGCCTGAGCCACCACACCCGGCCAAGAATATCAAAATTCCATTTTTTAAATCTGTATCCTGGCTAACCCAAAAGGGTAAGACTTCCAGTGGACAGAATGTAGGTATTTGACCACCAGGAGCTGGGCTTCTCAGGCCTGAATGTGCATGCAAGACCTGGTTAAAATACAGGTTATGATTCAGTATTTTAGGCCCAGATGGGGCCAGGTTCTGCATCTCTAACTAGCATTTTGGTGATGTGGATGCTGTTGGTCTCTGGACCACACTTTGGGTGGCGAGATTCTGGTTGATTATAGAACTCCAGTCAAGTTGTCACTGTCACTATATTATTCAGTCACGATCCTTTCATTTAACCTGTGGCTGTGTTTTATCCAGCTAAGATTTTATTATAGCTTCAACTGAACCAGGATTTTAGCCTATTTTTAATGCTCTAACCACCTAACTCAAAAGGCAGGAATGCAAGAGACAAATGTGTGTTATAACGTTTTATTTTATTTTTTGTTCTTGGGAGGAGGAAATCTCATTGTATAAGGTTTAAATAAACTAATGCCTAAATAATGACCTAATATAATTCTTATCTGTTAAGAGGCTGAAGCACTAAGAAGACTTTTTTTATCTTTTTTTTTTTTTTTTTTTTTTGAGATGGAGTTTTGCTCTTGTTACCCAGGCTGGAGTGCAATGACATGATCTCGGCTCACTGCAACCTCTGCCTCCCGGGTTCAAGCGATTCTCCTGCCTCAGCCTCCCGAGTAGCTAGGATTACAGGCATGTGCCACCTTGCCCAGCTAATTTTGTATTTTCAGTAGAGACGGGGTTTCTCTACATTGGTCAGGCTGGTCTTAAAGTCCTGACCTCAGGTGATCTGCCCACCTCGGCCTCCCAAAGTGCTGGGATTACAGGCATGAGCCACCGTGACTGGCTGAGAATAATTTAAAAACATATATATTGGCTGGACCTGGTGGCTCACACCTGTAATCCCAACAATTTGGCAGGCCAAGGTGGGTGGATCACCTGAGGTCAGGAGTTTGAGGCCAGCCTGGCCAACATGGTGAAACCCCCTCTCTACTAAAAATACAAAAGTTAGCCGGGTGTGGTGGCACATGCCTGTAATCCCAGCTACTCGGGAGGCTGAGGCAGGAGAATCCCTTGGACCCAGGAGGTGGAGGTTGTGGTCAGCTGAGATTGCGCCATTGCACTCCAGCCTGGGTGACAGAGCAAGACTCGGTCTCAGAACACACACACACACACACACACACACACACATATATGCTCAGCCAGGTGTGGTGGCTCATACTTATAATCCCAGCACTTTGGGCAGCTGATGTGGGAGGATCACTTGAGTCCAGGAGTTCAAGACCAGCCTGAGCACATAGTGAGACCCTGTCTCTACAAAAAATAAAGAATTAGCCAGGTGTGGTGTGCACCTATAGTCCCAGCTACTCGGGAGGCTGAGGTAGGAGGATTGCTTGATTCTGGGAGGTTGTAGTGAGCTGTCATCGCACCAGTGCACTCCAGCCTGGGTAATAGAGTGAGACCCTGTCTCAAATACACACACACACACACACACACACACACACATTTTGTTGGCTACTTGTTGTACTTTTTCTATGTTTTCTGTGTCTTTGCTCAACACAAGAAAAGTATATTATGTGTGCATGTGCGTGTGAGATATGGTAAAATATGAACATGTATTTCTGGGGATGTAATGTTTTCCTTGAATTTCTGTCATTCTCTGTTTTGCTTATTGTACTTCTCTTTCCCTTTCCCTTCTCACCACACACACACACACACACACACACACACACACACAGCCTGTCAGTCTCATAGGTGTCCTATAAAGGTAAATAAGGCAGGCAGGCATTTGAAATTACAGCAGGGATAGAAAGCAAAGCTCAGGCTTTGGAGGAGGAACCTCTTGTGCTGGATGCTTTGCTTTTACCTTCAGTGCCTTTTGGATTGTTTCTCCCTCTGTTCTAGAAATGCTCTCCCAGCCCAGGATTTCTTATGATGCCCAGTTTGAGGTCATAAAAGGACAGACCATCGAAGTCCGTTGCGAATCGATCAGTGGAACTTTGCCTATTTCTTACCAACTTTTAAAAACAAGTAAAGTTTTGGAGAATAGTACCAAGAACTCAAATGATCCTGCGGTATTCAAAGACAACCCCACTGAAGACGTCGAATACCAGTGTGTTGCAGATAATTGCCATTCCCATGCCAAAATGTTAAGTGAGGTTCTGAGGGTGAAGGTGATAGGTAAGTTGCTGTGCTGTGAGAAGAAATCATGTGGGCTTGGGGCATTCTTTCACGCCCAGGGACTGTGGGAACAATAAGAGAAGTAGGGGGCCAGGTGCGGTGGCTCATGCCTGTAATCCCAGCACTTTAGGAGGCCAAGGCCGGTGAATCATTGAGGCCAGGAGTTCAAGACCAGCCTGGCCAACATGGTGAAACCCCATCTCTACTAAAAATACAAAAATTAGCTGGGCATGGTGGCGTGCGCCTATAATCCCAGCCACTCGGGAGGCTGAGGCAGGAGAATTGCTTGAACCCAGGAAGCAGAGGTTGCACTGAGCCAAGTTGCGCCATTGCACTCCAGCCTGAGCAACAAGAGCGAAACTCCATCTAAAAAAAAAAAAAGCGAGAGAAGTAGTGGGTGCTTATGCAAAGTCCATATACTAGATATGCACCAAAGCAGGGCCAAGGTTCAGTAAAGGAGGCTGGAAAATATTTGGGGGCTATTGATGAGGACAATGTAATCTCTTTCCAGAACCTTTCAACAAACTGCTAAAATATGATAAGCATGAAAGTGTCCTGACTGCAGGAAGCACTGAAGTTGTGCATATGGGCTCCCTTAGCACTTTCTCCTTTTCAGATACACTGTTCTGAGAATTGTAGATCAGGACTCTGCTGTTGTGACTCCTAGCCGGGCAACCCTGCCTTGTGTGAATTCTGCAGCAGTGAGAGCTACAGGCTGTGGTCTCATGGCAGTTACTAACATTTGCCTGGGATTCTCATCATACTCAAGAGAAATATACCATTGTCTTGGGGGTGGACAGTTTCCCTTAAGCCTCTATCTCATGCCTCTCAGAAGGCCTCAGGAGTGCCATTGCTTGCATGTCTTAGATATTTTGCATCCTGTTGTAAAAAGTTTAATAAGGCTTCCTCCTCTTTGTCCTTCTTGTTTAGTAACTGCCTATCTACATGGGCTGCTGGTGGATGTGAATAGGAGAGAGGGATTCCTGCTTCTATTCATGTATAGTCTAATAGTAGCCATACCTTTTCAATTAACATTAACATAGGCTGGTTGAGGTAGCTCACACCTGTAATCCTAGCGCTTTGGGAAGCTGAGGTGGGCGGATCACCTGAGGTCAGGAATTCGAGACCAGCCTGGCCAACATGGTGAAATCCTGTCTCTAATAAAAATACAAAAAATTAGCTGGGTGTGGTGGTGGGCACCTTTAATGCCAGCTACTCGGGAGGCTGAGGCACAAGAATCATTTGAACCTGGGAGGCAGAGGCTGCAGTGAGCCAATATCATTCCGCTACACTCCAGCCTGGGCAACGGAGCAAGACTCCATCTCAAAAAAAAAAAAAATTAACATTAACATAGACTAAGCACCTAATGGTGTGAGGCATACAAAAAAGAAGACATATTCTTTGTTTCAATGCTGTGGTAAGAAACACAAGCTCTCCTAATTAAATGATGGAGAAACATCTGAATCATAATACCAATAAGCATAGAAAAAATGTTAGGGGTCATGTTTGGTTGTCACGTGAACTATATCCTTACAGTGATGGTGATAGTAATTTAGGGTATGTCAGACTTCATCTAGCTTAAGTGGGTAAACATTGTGAAAAAGCTGGGCTAGGTGCCAGGGCTTGAGAATGGGTGGGCAGAGAAGGCTGAAGATGGCTGAACATCTCCAGCAAACACATGAGCCAAAAGGTCCCATGGGGCACTTCAAAAGACTGTGCGCAGCCAGGTGCGGTGGCTCACGCCTATAATCCCAGCACTTTGGGAGACCGAATGGGGTGGATCACTTGAGCCCAGGAGTTTGAGACTAGCTTGGCCAACATGGCAAAACCCCGTCTCTACTAAAAATACAAAAATTAGCCCAGCGTGGTGGTGGGTGCCTGTAGCCCCAGCTACTCAGGTGGCTGAGGTGGGAGAATCACTTGAATCCAGGAGGCAGAGGTTGCAGTGAGCCAAGATCGTGCCACTGCACTCCAGCCTGGGTGACAGAGTGAGACTCTATCTCAAAAAAAAAAAAAAAAAAAAAAAAAGACTGTGGCCAAATCAGATGGCTGGAAACAAAGGCTGGAGTTTGGGAATGGAGAATCACCGGATATGAGCTGAAAAAGTGGCTGAGCCTAAGCGTGACAGGTGTCAGGTGCCAGTATCAGGAGTAGGCAATTGTCCTGCATGCAGTGAAAAGCCAGAAGATGGAAGGAAGGACAGGATGCAAATGAGTTCTCGGAACGATCCACCTGGTGGCTGGGTCAGGGAGCAGGCATGGTGACTTCAGACCTCATGGTACGTTAGAGGCTAATGTGAAGCCCATGTGAAGCTGTTGGTTTAAACTGGGTCGATATCAGTAGCTCACATTTACTGACCATGTGTCCAGCCCTGTGTGAAGTACTGTAGTAAATTGCTCCAATGGAAACTCACAATAACCACAGAAGGCCAGTAACAGCATTGTCGTTATTTTATCATGACGTAACTGAGGCTTAGGGCAGACAGCTGGTGGGTGGTGGGACTGGGATTTGAGCCCACTGGTGTCCCAGGCCCGGAGCTTGGCTTCTTCCATTGTCTTACCACAGCCTGCACTCACAGGAGAGTGACTCATAAGTTACAATACCATCTGCTGACCATCTGCTCTCACACTAGAAGGAAAGTCTACTTGGGAAGACAATTTAGGATCCGAATTTTGGTAGTTGAGGATGGAGCTAGGAAAAGCGGATACAGGAGGTAGCCAAGTTCTGCTTGGACCTGCAGGGAGTGAGGCTGGCTGGGCTTCCAGGTGGAAATGCCCAGGTGAAAAGGGAGACTTGGAGTTCAGGAAAGTAACCTGGACTGGAGCCATAGGTTTAGGTGTCAGTGGCTCAGAGACAGAAGCTCAGCGTGTAGGTGAAATCACCCAGGAGGAGAATGGGGATGGAAAACTGAGGATTGAATTTTGCAAAATGTTCATACTTCCGGGGAAAACAAAGAATAACCAGTGAATAAGAAAGGGGTGCCAGGTAAGAAGGGAAGAGAATCAGAGTCATGAGGAAGCCCAGAAGCCCAGAAAAAGCTGAGTTCCACAGTAAGACCTGGGCAACAGTGAAGTATGGAGAGCCCAAGATTGGGAGCGTGGAGGAAGAGCATCCACCACTGAATTTAATCAGCAGGGGACTCAGGGACGTTGGTTGGGGAATCAAGTGACCTTCCCAGTTTCTTCAAAACTTGAGAGAGAGTGCAGTGTCACAAGATTGTGACTACAAAAGAGTGCAGTCAGATTTCAGGGGTAACAAGAAAGTGTGAAATAAGGGAGTCAAAGCATAAAGGAAAAAGGAGAAAAAATGGCCGATAGCTAGAGAAGGCAGTGGGTCAAGATTGTCTGTGGCCTGGCATGGTGGCTTATGCCTGTAATCCCAGCATTTTGGAAGGCCGAGGTGGGCAAATCACCTGAGGTCAGGAATTCAAGACCAGCCTGGCCAACAGGGCAAAACCCCGTCTCTAAAACAACAACAACAACAAAAAAATCCAAAAAGTTAGCTGGGCCTGGTGGGCGCACCTGTCATTCCAGCTACTCGGGAGGCTGAGGCAGGAAGATTTGCTTGAACCCAGGAGGCACACGTTGCAGTAAGCTGAGATTATACCACTGCACTCCAGCCTGGGTGATAAGAGCGGGACTCTGTCTCAGAGGAAAAAAAAAAAAGTTGAGCAGTGGCTGTCTCATGTTCCTCTTCCTCTGCCCTTCTTTGCTCAGTGTGAATCCTTTTCCTGCTTTTCAGCCCCGGTGGATGAGGTCCAGATTTCTATCCTGTCAAGTAAGGTGGTGGAGTCTGGAGAGGACATTGTGCTGCAATGTGCTGTGAATGAAGGATCTGGTCCCATCACCTATAAGTTTTACAGAGAAAAAGAGGGCAAACCCTTCTATCAAATGACCTCAAATGCCACCCAGGCATTTTGGACCAAGCAGAAGGCTAGCAAGGAACAGGAGGGAGAGTATTACTGCACAGCCTTCAACAGAGCCAACCACGCCTCCAGTGTCCCCAGAAGCAAAATACTGACAGTCAGAGGTGAGTCAGGGTCTCCATAGCAAGCTGTGCTGTGGGCTCCCAAGGGCAAGACCAGAAAACACACCCCTTGTAAGAGGGAGTTGGGGGGGAGTCTAGCTTATGTGACTGAAGGCTAGGAGAGTAATGTCCTCCAGGCTCTTGGTTGCAAGTGACAGAAACCCACTCAAATTAAGTAAAAAAGAGAAATCGATTATTATAAGGAATTGGGAGAATGTCACATCGTTCCAATTACAAATTGTTGGCAGACTCACCATTGAGTCATCTTGGGTCAAACATCCAACCACAGACCACCTGTAGCCAAGGGGATTGGGTCACGCAGAACAGACATGATTGGGGAACCCACTTATGTGGGTGGGGGCGGTTTCCTGGAGAGGAAGAGGGCTGAAAACACATGCCAAAAAGGAGTCTACTCCACTTGAGCCCTGGAGTTGGAGACCAGCCTGGGCAACATGGTGAAACCCTGTCTCTACAAAAAGTACAAAAATAGGCTGGGCGCAGTGGCTCATACCTGTAATCCCAGCTACTCGGGAGGCTGAGACATGAGAATCACTTGAACCCAGGAGGTAGAGGTTGCAGTGAGCAGAGCTTGCTCCACTGCACTCCAGCCTGGGCAACAGAGCAAGACTCTGCCTCAAAAATCAAACCAACAAAAAATAGCTGTGTGTGGTGGTGTGCTCCTGTAGTCCCAGCTACTCGGGAGGCTGAGGTGGAAGGATTGCTCAAGCCCAGGAAGTTGAGGCTGCAGTGAGCTGTCATCAGCCTCTAGCCTGGGTGACAGAGTGAGACCCTGTTTCAAAAAAGAAAGAAAAAGAAAAGAGTCTACCCCAGCAAAGCTGGTTTGTTCCCTCCTTGAGGACCACAGCTGACCTCTATTTGTAGCAGAAACAATCATTTCTGCACCAGCTCTGAGTGCAGAACCCCTCAGAGGTAGATGGATGCTAAGGCAAGCTGCCAGTTACAAGAGCTGTGAGAATCAGACTGACTTTTGTTGCTTAAGCCTGATATTATTTCTTCCTGGCAGAGGAAGAGCCTATATACAAAAAAAATTTTTTGTTTTGTTTTGTTTTCAGTCATTCTTGCCCCATGGAAGAAAGGACTTATTGCAGTGGTTATCATCGGAGTGATCATTGCTCTCTTGATCATTGCGGCCAAATGTTATTTTCTGAGGAAAGCCAAGGGTGAGCATAGTTCTTTCCTTCCATACTGACTGGTCGTCCTTGCCAGGAAACCAGCCAGGGATGCGTGGTGCTTTTCTGACCCCTGGATTCAGCTAGGCAAAAATGAAAGCTATTATTTTCCTCATTGGGCAAACCAGAAAAGATAAATTTGGGGGGAAATTGCATCTTTGTGTGGTTAGAAGAAGCCATTTCTGTAGATTTGTCCACACCTAGTCCTGTAATGCGTGTAGAGTGGGGTGCAAGTGTCTTGGAGACACACAAACATGCGCATAACACCCACATGTTGCACACACACATTGAATGCTTTGTAATTAACCTGGTGGTTGTGCTGTGACTTCTACCCTATGCTTGGGGTTAGCTAAGTAAGCCCGGCTGAGCAGCCAGGACCACCTGCTGATAACCAGGAATCAGAGTCAGCTGTCCAAGACTCAAGGAAAAGGGCAGAGCATCAGTAAATCCTGCAAAAATTTTTTTGTGGGATAAGGTAGGTTCTTTTGGAGCCTCTGGTGCTGCTGCCCAGGATGGGAGGGGAAGATGGGGTGAGGAGGGGCCCTGGTTTTTGTCAGGAAAGCTGCCACCCATCAAGGAAGATAGAGCACACCCTGGCGTTGATCTTAGGCCAGCTTCGAGTTACAAACGCAGGGATTGATTTCGCCTTTACTTTTTGTAATTATCTGGAATCAAAGAGAGTGGTCAGGCACGGTGGCTCACACCTGTAATTCCAGCACTTTGGGAGGCCAAGGCAGGCAGATCACTTGAGGTCAGGAGTTCAAGACTAGCCGGGACAACATGGTGAAACCCCCATCTCTACTAAAAATACAAAAAATTGGCCAGACGTGGTGATGGGTGCCTGTAATTGCAGCTACTCAGGAGGCTGAGGCAGGAGAATCACTTGAACCTGGGAGGCAGAGGTTACAGTGAGCCCAGATCACATCACTGCACTCCAGCCTGGGCAACAGAGCAAGACTCTGTCTCAAAAAAAAAAAAAAAAAGAGAGAGAGAGGAAGAGAGCTGCCTGCTTATCTGGCTAATCTGGTTCCCATATCATTGTCTCTTTTTCCATCATATTTCACTAACAAAAATCACTTCTGGCTAAAATAGTCAAGATATCATGTTTCTGGGGAAATATCTTGGTATAAGACCAAGAGAATACCTCTTTCTTTTCTGTCTTTTGTAAAAGAGTGAATATATTTGGCTTCTTTTTCTCTCTTTTTCTGGGTATTCAATCTTCTGGGAAGTCAAACGTAGCTGAAAAGAGTGTTCCTTCACAGCTTACTAGGAGTAAAACAAAAAGAAAAGAAAAGTGTTTTCTATCTATTAGGTTAGTGCAAAAGCCATTGGCGTTTTGGCCATTATAGTGGTATGGATGTGGGTACTGTATACTGACTTTGGTTTTTCGTTTTCTGTTTTAAAGCCAAGCAGATGCCAGTGGAAATGTCCAGGTGAGTGTATTTGTAAGAAGGGGGCGGCTGCTCTGTGAGCACGGTGGACATGTCTGGAGGGAGATTCTGGTCATTAGGAAGTTTTCAGTGGCTCTTGGCAAACTTAGAAAAATATAGGCCTTCCTTGGGTGTGAGTTGTGTGTGTGAGTTGTGTGTGTGTGTGTGTGTGTGTGTGTGTGTGTGTACCTCCGTGGAAGAATGCCAATTGTCCTTTCATGGGAAGGAATGGCTTTTATTCTGAGATCATGTCCTTCCTACATGATTATTTGTGAAATCTCCCTTTCTTTATGAAATTATAATGGTAGTAGATAAATTTTTTAAAATTTGACAAAATAGAGTTGGCCTTTAAAAAATGGTTTTACTACCTTTACTGTTGTTGAAATCCCAAATCCAAAAGTATAGAAATGATTGCTCTGTTCCAGAGAGAAACAGTAGCGTGGGATAAGAATTTCAGGGGCTTGGTAGTAGCCTGTGAAGGACTCCTGGTATTCATGTGTGCTTTGGTCCTGATGTTTATTTTAATAGGAAAAAGTTTTATCACCGCCAAGCATGGTGGCTCGCACCTGTAATCCCAGCACTTTGGGAGGCTGAGGCAGGCAGATCACCTGAGGTCAGGAGTTCAAGACCAGCCTAGCCAGCGAAACCCCATCTCTACTAAAAACACAAAAATTAGCCGGGCGTGGTGGTGCATGCCTGTAATCCCAGCTACTCGGGAGGCTGAGGCACGAGAATCGCTTGAACCCAGGAGGCGGAGGCTGCAGTGATCCGAGATTGCACTGCTGCACTCCAGCCTGGGTGACAGAGCGAGACTCTGTCTAAAAAAAAAAAAAAGTTTTTTTACATAATCCTTGGAGCTGCCAAAAAATATTTGTTTTCCAAATGAGAGAGTAAAGTTTTCCTTACCTTGGAAAACTCTTCCTGGTTTTCTCATGATCTTCCCTTGTTTACTTTGGTGGTTTGGGGTTAGAACAATAACAACAACAAATATATCTATATATTGTTTTCTGTTTTTATATTTCATTTTAAGGCCAGCAGTACCACTTCTGAACTCCAACAACGAGAAAATGTCAGATCCCAATATGGAAGCTAACAGTCATTACGGTAAAGTCATGTTCTCCTGCCATTTCTAATTTCCCCCAACTTGCTACATACTTCCTTAGCCCTCTCAGAAGCAGAATATGTAAGTGGTGGGATTACAGTTGGAAGAGAAACCCTGGCTTCAACAGGGTACTTCATCTCATCAGCCACTGGGCCATGTAATATACGGAAACGTAAAAGGAAAGGTAACATATTTTATTCTAACTTTGCCACCTTCCAAACTCCCCGTAGAAGAAATATGGAGAATAATCATAATGCCTTCAAAGACTTTGAACATTGCTCCAGCGTAATATTATAATTCTCCATTTTCAAGACAGAGACCAGGTATTGAATGAAAACATTGGTAAAACATCTTCTCAGATGGAATTATTACAAGCACAAGACAGTTTTACTTCAAATTTGCCACAAAGGGAATGCAATTTCAATATTCTCTCAGTAAAGGCATAAATAAAGTGTTCCAACTAAGAAATATCTATTCATAAGGCTCATCAGTAGCTTCAGGGTCAGCTCAGCTGAATGAGTAGCCAGTCCTAGGAGTTCTTAATCCCAGGTTAGTAAGAAAATTGCTCAAGCATTTCAGCAGGGATGCTACTTACTTCCCAGAGGGGGCTATAATTACATCACAAAAAGTCCTGTCCCAGACCAAATTTGGAACACTCTTCCTCTTTTCTTTCTTTCTTTTTTTTTTAGACAGGGTCTTCCCAGGCTGGAGTGCAGTGGTGCAATCTCAGCTCACTGCAGCCTCTACCTCCCAGGCTCAGGTGATCCTCCCATCTCAGCCTCCTGAGTAGCTGGGATCACAGGCATGTGCCACCATGCCCAGCTAATTTTTATTTTTTGTAGAGATGGCACTCTACCAATGCTGGTTTCAGACTCCTGGGCTTAAGAAATCCTTCTGCCTTGGCCTCCCAAAGTGCTGGGATTACAGGTGTGAGCCCCTGAGCCCAGCCACTTTTCTTGCTTTATCAGCAGGTTTGGTCATAGAATGCTCATGTTCTTTTCTAATTCTATAAATGTCTCACAAAATAAGAAATTTTTAGGATATACTTTTTACAGAGACATATTTTGCTTGAGAAATATGTTTTAAGAATTGAGTAATTCATATAGTACTGAATCATAAACTTTAAAAAAGGAAAATAAAATATTTGTAGTAATAAAAGTAATGTGTCAGTAAATAGAAACGAGCAAATATATTGTTTAAGAAACTATATTCTAGGCTGGGCGCGGTGGCTCACGCCTGTAATCTCAACACTTTGGGAGGCCGAGGTAGGTGGATCACTTGAGGTCAGCAGTTCAAAACCACCCTGGCCAACATGGTGTAACCCTGTTTCTACTAAAAATACAAAAAATTAGCTGGGCATGGTGGTACATGTTTATAATCCCAGCTACTCAGCAGGCTGAGGCAGGAGAATCCCTTGAACCTGGGAGGTGGAGGTTGCAGTGACCTGAGATCTCAACATTGCACTCCAGCCTGAGCAACAAGAGCGAAACTCCATCTCAAAAAAGAAAGAAAGAAAGAAACTATATTCAGGCCAGGCATGGTAGTTCATGCCTATAATCCCAGCTCTTTGGGAGGCTGAGGTGGGAGGATCACTTGAGGCCAGGAGTTGGAGACCAGCCTGTGCAACAAAGCGAGACTAGGAGAATCGCTGGAATCTGGGAGGAGGAGGCTGCAGTGAGCCGGGATCGCACCACTGCACTCCAGCCTGGGTGACAGAGCAAGACATTGCCTCAAAAAAAAAAAAAAAAGAAAGAAAGAAAAAAAGAAAAAGACTACACAGCAGGTCAAATGGAGCCCACAGGAGGGCCAACGAGGGGACCCAGGACCCAGAGACAGTGCTGGTTGTCACTACACTGAATAAATCAGGCTTGACTTTGTTAGGGGTACTGAATTTTTAAAAGGTTTTAGAAAACTAGAATTTCCCTTGTCACTCACCCTAATTGTTATTTTTCAACTAGGTCACAATGACGATGTCAGAAACCATGCAATGAAACCAATAAATGATAATAAAGGTAATTATCTAATTACATGTTTTTATTAGAACCAACTTTTACATTAAAAAAAAGACTCATAGGAAAAGAAAACTAAAACTTGAAGGACTGTGGATAATTTCCCACCTCTCTTAATGACCCTGTACCCAGCCGATGTGTCAATGAAGGTAGCTAGCTGCTTTCACCAGAGATGCTATCTAGTGTCCTCAGTGGGAAAGTCACCTAAATCAAAGTAGGGAAGAACTGGGTTATACTCAAAAAACAACTTCCTGACTCATAATGAGCTACTGGGTAAGGCAGTGGGACCTCTTTTTTCTTGAGCATTGAGGTGGTGATTTTTAAAGACAATGGACAATAAATTGCTCTCTTCTGCCTGAAGCACTGAGGGATTGGACTAAATCATTTTTCAAAATTCCTTTCGCTCTGGGCTGCTGCCATGGGAGCTAAGGCTCCTAACAAAGAGAAAGGATTCTGTTAAGGTCTCTTCCTTTCTTTCTTTTTTTTGTTTTTTTCTTGAGACAAGAGTCTCGCTCTGTCAGCCAGGCTGGAGTGCAGTGGTGCGATCTCGGCTCACTGCAACCTCCACCTCCCGGGTTCAAGCAATTCTCCTGCCTCAGCCTCCCAAGTAACTGGGACTACAGGCGCCTGCCACCACGCCCGGCTAATTTTTGTATTTTTACTAGAGACAGGGTTTCACTGTGTTGGCCAGGCTGGTCTCAAACTCCTGACCTTGTTATCTGCCCACCTTGGCCTCCCAAAATGCTAGAATTACAGGCGCGAGCCACTGCGCCTGGCTCTTTTTTTTTTTTTTTTGATACAGAGTCTTACTCTGTCACCCAAGCTGGAGTACGGTGGCACAATCTTGGCTCACTGCAGCCTCCGCCTCTCGGGTTCAAGCCATTCTCGTGCCTCAGCCTCCCAAGTAGCTGGGATTACAGGTGTGTGCCACCATGCCCAGCTAATTTTTGTATTTTTAGTATTGGTGGATTTTTACCATGTTGGCCAGACTGATCTCGAACTCCTGACCTCAGGTGATCTGCCCGCCTCAGCCTCCCGAAGTGCTGGGATTACAGGCATGAGCCACCACACCCAGCCTGAAATGTATCTTTGACTGCAGAATCATTGTTTTGGTAGCTGATGAGAATCCCTATTCTTTAGGGCTTTAAAAACAAAACAGTAATGTTATTTTTGACTTGAAGACAAACTACTTTTCTAGCTTTCACCTTAGTACCCTGAGTGATTTCATTCACGTGTATGCCTCACACTCTCCAAGTATTTTTAGGGTAGTGACCCCTGTTCCCCATTTCCCGAAATCCTCTCAGTCTTGGAGGTAGCTTTGTTTGCCTGTGGCTGTGGAGAAGGCTTCCAGCATCTTGAGTGAGACTGAATTGGGAGAACTGCTGGGGCTGATACTGGGCTGTTTTCTGTCTCTACTGACCTGTTCCAAGTCCCCCCACTGTAGAAACAGGGACCTAGGCCAGAGGGTCCCTCCACATCCTGGTAACAGAGGAGTCAGGGAGGAAACCATGGGCCCCGAGGCCCTGTATCTGCCTCTGGGACCAGTGCGGGGTTCGTACTCCCTTCCTCATCCCGAATGGAATTAAGCCTGTGTCTGGCTGCCCCCTCAAAATACAGAATACTTTAATAACCTGAATGAAAATCTAGCCGGGGGCAGTGGCTTATGCCTGTAATCCCAGCACTTTGGGAGGCTGAGGTGGGCGGATCGCTTGAGGTCAGGAGTTCAAAACCAGCCTGGCCAATATGGTGAAACCCTGTCTCTACTAAAAATACAAAAATTAACCCCGTCTCTACTAAAAATACAAAAATTAGCTGGGCATGGTGGTGCACACCTGTAATCCCAGCTACTCAGGAGGCTTAGGCAGGAGAATCACTTGAACCCGGGAGGTGGAGGTTGCAGTGAGCTGAGATCACACCACTGCACTCCAGCCTGGGTGAAAGAGTGAGACTCTGTCTCAAAAAAAAAAAAAAAAAAGAAAAGAAAGTCTCTACTTCTATGATCTGAGGTGCCCACAAGAGATTCCACCTAAACAACAAGCTGCTGTGGTTTCTTTGAGCAGAGCCTCTGAACTCAGACGTGCAGTACACGGAAGTTCAAGTGTCCTCAGCTGAGTCTCACAAAGGTAAGTGCCACTCGAGTGAGTCCCCAGGCATTGCCTTTGGCTTGGGTTTAAACCCCAGTGGTGGCGGGGGTGCTGTGTTCAGTGAGAAGAGTCTGTGCACCCTCAGTCGCTCCAAAGGAAGTGATTAGCAGACCTACCGGCCTGCTAAGACTGGAAGGAGCAAAGGCCCCTGGCCCTGGCCCTGTCTCTGAGCTGTAAAATTTCAATAATTTAAAAGAAAAAAAGAAAAGGCCAGGCACTGTGGCTCACACCTGTAATCCTAGCACTTTGGGAGGCCAAGGCGGGTGGATCACCTGAGATCAGGAGTTCGAGACCAGCCTGACCAACATGATAAAACCCCATCTCTACTAAAAATACAAAAATTAGCCGGCTCTGGTGGCGCACACCTGTAATCCCAGCTACTCAGGAGGCTGAGGCAGGAGAATCACTTGAACCCGGAAGGCAGAGGTGGCAGTGAGCTGAGATTGCGCCACTGCATTCCAGCCTGGGTGACAGAGTGAGACTCCATCTCAAAAAATATATATATATATATAAAATATATAATATATATAATATATAAATATAAATACATATATAATATATATGTTTTCTTTGTGTATAATATATATTTTATAATATTTTATATATTTTTATTTTTTATTTTTATATATTTTATATATAATATTTTTATATTTATATTATTTATATATTTTTTATTTTATATATATATATATATTTTTTTTTTCTTTGTTGAGACGGAGTCTCACTCTGTGCCCAGGCTGGAGTGCAGTTGCGAGATCTCAGCTCACTGCAACCTCTGCCTCCGGGTTAAAGCGATTCTCCTGCCTCAGCCTCCCGAGTAGCTGGGATTACAGGCATGCACCGCCACAGCCGGCTAATTTATTTATTTTTTTTTTGTATTTTTAGTAGAGATGGGATTTCACCATGTTGGCCAGCGTGAACTCGAACTTCTGACTTCAAAAGATCCACCCCCCTCAGCCTCCCAAAGTGCTGGGATTACAGGTGTGAGCCACCACACTCGGCCTCAATAATTTTAAAAATTAATTAAAGAAAAATAGAGACAGGGTTTCGCCATGTTGCCCTGGCTGGTCTCAAATTCCCGGGCTCAAGCAATCTGCCCACTTTTGTCTCCCAAAGTGCTGGGATTACAGGCGAAGCCACCACACCTGGCCATTTTTGATAATTATTAGTTATGATACTACTAATAATAGGTAAGATTTATTGAGCACTTACTAAGTGCCAGGGAATTAGGAAGTACTGAGCAATTTGTCCCTTCCAGAGGTAGACCCCCTGCCAAACCCAGTGTGTTCCTAAAGTTGCTTGTGCAGACTGAATGTGTGTCAATCAAATGCATGTTTCAAGATATCGAGTGCTTTGCCATTTAGAGGGACACTTAGGTAAAGGCTTTTGAAAGCACAAGATCCCTGTCCGTGTGAGCAGTGGCACTGATTTTACACCTTGGGTTTTGTTTTTGTGTATGTGGTTCTCTCAAGGGCAGGCTGGCCTGGAAGTCCCTGTCTCTGGTTCTATGCTGGGGAAATGGATGCAGAGTGGGCTGCTCCATAGAAAATGCTAGAACATCAATCTCGTTTGTTTTGGGCACCATAAAAAACATGCATCTCCTGGCCAGGCACGGTGGCTCACACTTGTAAACCTAGTACTTTGGGAGGCCAAGGCAGGTGGATCACTTGAGGCCAGGAGTTCGAGACCAGCCTGGCCAACATGGTGAAACCCTGTCTCTACTAAAAATACAAAAATTAGCTGGGCGTGGTGGCGCATGCCTGTAATCCATCTACTGGGGAGGCTGAGGCAGAAGAATCGCTTGAACCCGGGAGGCAGAGGTTGCAGTGAGCCAGGATCAAGCCACTGCTCTCCAGCCTGGGTGGCAGAGCAAGACTCCGTCTAAAAAAAAATTAAAAATGCATCTCCTAACTGTCCTCCTCCTTTGCGAACCCAGATTGGGCAGTACACAGTCCCCGGGGGTCACTGCACACTCCTGCATGCTCAAAGGAAACAGTGGCTCCTGCACGCTCAAAGGAAGCAGTCTCAGAACCTTCCTGCCCAGCTGGGAAGCTCCCTGGGATCATTGCCATCTGTCTCCCTTCCTCTGAGGCTAACCCCAGGCTGCATCCACCTAGCCAGGCAGGCCTGGGGTAGTTTTCCTGACTGTGCAGGCTGAATGCGTGCAGTTTTCCAGGCCGTGCCAGCCACTAGCCAGACCACATGGCAATGGGGTCCTGAAATCACCCCTTGCTCCATGATCTGGGAGGAGTCTTGGACTTCTCCTTGTCTTCTCTTTTTGAGCCTGGGCTGAGTGTCAGCAGCTGTATGCACAGAACTTTCCTTACAGGGATGCCCCGTAGAGCCGCTGGGCTGTGTGCTGCACCACTGGGGCACATTCCCATAGCCTACCAACAGAATGGCCCCCGGGGGTTGTGTACTGCCCAATCTGCACAACTCACTTCCAAGTCTAGACTGGACCTGAGAGGGGTGGGGAACGCGGCAGGCCTGAAGCTCTCTTCCTCATTTTTTTTTTTTTTTTTTTTTTATGACAGTCTTGCTCTTGTTGCCCAGGCTGGAATGCAATGGCACAGTTTCGGCACACTGCTTCCTCTGCTTCCCGGGTTCAAGCTATTCTCCTGCCTCAGCCTCCTGAGTAGCTGGGGTTACAGGCGCCCACCACCATCCCCGGCTAATTTTTGTATTTTTAGTAGAGACAGGGTTTCACCATGTTGGCCAGGCTGGTCTCCAACTCCTGACCTCAGGTGATCCACCCGCCTTGACCACCCAAAGTGCCGGGATTACAGGTGTGAACCACCAGGCCTGGCCTCTTCCTCTTTATTTCATTGTAGAGTGATTGACTCGTTGAGATAACAAATTGTGATTAAGGCCCTACGCAGGCAGCACAAGCACATACAGACCCTCCCTTGTGGAGGGACAGCCTGAGAGGCAGCCAGGAACACACTGCAGCAAAGCCCTCCTAACCTTCAGGGATCACCTAACCTTCAGTGATCTGCCCACCTCAGCCTCCCAAAGTGCTGGGATTACAAGCATGAGCCACTGCGCCCGGCCCTGGTTTTCTTTTTCTTGCTCAAAGGTGGGGAAGGGTTGAAGGGACAAGAAGGAGGTATTGTAATCCCAGCACTTTGGGAGGCAGAGGCGAGAGGATCACTTGAGCCCAGGCATTCAAGACCAGCCTGGGCAACAAAGCAAGAACTTATTTCTACAAAAAATTTAAAAATAAGGAGGTATCGAGACCCTCCAGGATTGGGTGAAGCAGAGGCGGTCAGCATGTGCCCTCCTTGCCAAGCTGTGCAGCTGCAGGGATGCCATCACCTAACTGGTCCCTCTTTCCCCATTTGCACAAAAGCTGTGTGGGCTGCAGAGGTCCAGGTAGACCCGTAAAGAGGGTCACTTGGGGGCAATGGAGAGCTTTTTGGGAATTCAATTTGAGTTTTCTAGACCCGTCCTCCTCCTTGGCAGCTAAGGAGCAGTGTGGGAAGTCAGGCCTGAGCCTCAGGTGTTCCCTCTCTGCCTTCCTGTGGGTGGAGAGCCAGGTATTACCAGGTACGAAAAGGGGCTTTGTGGGTACAAGGCCAGTGGTGAGTACATTTGACCTGGTCTTGACCAAGCCAGTTCCCTGCTCTCAAGACTTCCTCCTCCTATGGAGGAGGGGTTGGGAACCACATCCAGCTCTGACCCTAGTGGCAGCCGACCAAGTGGTCACTTGGGGTGGAGGAGGGGCAGGAAGGAACTCAGTAAATCCTGGTTTGCTGCATGTTTGCTCTGAGACTAATTGCTGGGAAAACCCCATGACGTTGAAGCCATCTCCTTCTCTGTTAACACAGAGAAAAACAGAAGCCAAAATAAAGCCCCATCCGGAAACATCCCTGACAGCAGAGACAAAGAGCCTGCCAGCCTGGTTTACTCATTAGCAAGCAGCTGCTGCCGTGGAGTGGGTGGGGAGGAGAGGTAGTGATGAGCTGCAACTCTGCCTGCCCACCCATCACTTAACTGGGCAGATTTGGGGGCAGCTGCAACTCTAGAAGCTCCACCAAGAAGCAGAAACCCCCAGGCCCAAACACCAAGCCCTCTCCCTCCATTTATTCCTCACCTGCCCCAGCCCCCACTGTGGGCCTGGGTCGGAGGGTGAGCTGGCCGTGACCACCCCACCATGCGCCTGGTATATGGTGTTTGATAGCATTTGTTGCAGTGTCTGCGTTGTTTGTGCACCTGTCTGCCTCGCAGCCTGGAGCTCCTGAAAGCTGGGACCAGGCCCGATCACCTTTCCTCTTCCACAGTGCGGGGTTCACACTAGGTGTCTAGGATTCTGCTGAGTGAGTGATTTGGCCAGGCCTGACATCAAGCAGAGGGTGTCTTGGGGATGTGGAGGATCCCCCAATAGGGTTGGGGATCCCTACAGCTTTCCTTGAGGCCCCCACATCTGGTGCCACAGAAAGAGAGTGAGGGGTGTGTGGGCATCTCTGCTGTCCCAGCAGTGTGGTGCCCTGGTAGCTCAGCCACTCTACTGAGTTCCAAATCCTGTTTGGTGCCCTGGGGAAGTCAGTGTAAGGCCCTAGTCACCCCAAATGCCCCAAGTTCAACTGTAGGGATCTGACCCACCCCCAGGCTTTCTCCTCACAAATGGTTCCTGACACAGGAGCCACCACCATTACTGTCACTTCAAACTTGGACAGGTGCCCCCAGGCAGCTGAGCAAGCCTAGGAATGGGACATGTCCAAGACCCCAGCTGTCACCCCATAGGAGGTCGGGGTCTGCCAGGGAGACGGACTTGGGAACAAGTCACATCGGTGTGTTGTGGACAAATGTCACCAACATGCTGTGGAGCTCAGGGGGCCCTGTAACTTCCCAGGGCACAGAGGGAGAGTGAGTGTGGGTGTGTTGGTACATGCGTGAAGCTCCACCAGGGTCGTGGGGAAATGGGGCAAGGAGAAAGGGCAGTGCTGGCTGTGGAGGAGTGTGTGTGGGGCCAGGAAGTGAGAGTGGGGTGTCCCTGGAGCATGGTGAGACAAGGGCATCTCAGTGCAGGTAGAGTCCAGGGTCACACCCCAGCCATTCACTCCGAGGAGGGAAATGCACTGACCATGGCACAGGAAGCCCCTTACCCTATCTGGGGCTTCCTTTCCCCATCTGTAAAAGGAGAACAGTGGCCCACACGACATCAGGCTCTTTTCTACAGTGAGGCTTCCTGGGCCTTTGTGCAGGTGACAGGAGCTGGGAAGTGGCCAGGTTCCATCCTGTTTCCTCAGGGTTGGTGGGTATGTATGTGTGTGCACACCCTGTGTGCATGAGTGTGTGCACACCCAGATTGCATGTTTGTACATACAGTGTGTATACAATGTGTGTAGACACATCCTACACACTGTATGAGGGTATACATAGCATGTATACACATTGTGTGCATGAGTGTGCGTGTGTATATGCTGTGTGTGTATTTTTGTATACACATCCTGTGCCCATACCCCAGTGTAAGGTAAACAGATGGCAGGAAGGGCGCCCTTGAGTCTCCTCCAGGTATACGCCACACCCTGGGTCAGTCATCATGCTGCCATATTGAGAGGGTCTAGCCCAGAGGATCTCAGCCCTGTCTGCATATTAGGGCCCCTGAGGAGATCCTAAAAAACCAGCACCAGGGACCCCCCCAGACCAATCCAACCAGAAGCTGCAGTGAGGCCCAGGAGCCAGCAGTGAAAACAGCCAGCCCAGCTGTCTATCCCTGTAAGAGTTCTCAGTCCCAGCTATTCCTAGGGTCACTGACAACCCCCAGGCTCTAACCCAGACCTCAGGATCTCGTTCTGGATCCCGGGGTCTGGGCTCTCAGGTGATTGGGAGGCCATAGCCCAACCCTGCGTTGAGGGACCTGGCAGAATGTCTGGACAAGGGTCACGGTGGCAGGGGAAGAGGAGTGGGGCCAGCAAGCTGGAGGCTGCAGGCCCTTGCTGGGGGCCTCTCCATCCGTGGCCCCTCAGGTCCAGGGTTCCTCTGGTGCATGTGGCCCTGCTCCACAATGGCCTGCTGACCTCCTATTCCCAGACTGGGAGTGACGCTCGTTAGACCAAGACCTTCTTCTTCTTCTTTTTTTTTTTTTTGAGGTGGTGTGTCACTGTGTTGCCCAGGCTGGAGTGCAGTGGCGCAATCTTGGCTCACTGCAACCTCTGCATCCTGGGTTCAAGCGATTCTCGTCCCTTAGCTCTCGAGTAACTGGGATCACAGGCACGCACCACCATGCCCGGCTAATTTTTTGAATTTTTAGTAGAGACGGGGTTTCGCCATGTTGGCCAGAATGGTCTCAACCTCCTGACCTCAAGTGATCTGCCCCCCTCACCCTCCCAAAGTGCTGGGATTACAGGTATGAGCCACCTTGCCCAGCCAGGATCTTCTAACATCAGAAATGACAAGGTCTCTGGGTGCTTCTGGACCTGGTTCTGGTGGGGTGCAGTGGTGGGGTACAGCCTTGCCTGCAGAGCCTCAGACCTTTTCCTATGACTGCAGTGGACTGACCTCGTTCCCAGAGGCAGCTACTAACTTATGCCTGGTCCTTTTTCCAGATCTAGGAAAGAAGGACACAGAGACAGTGTACAGTGAAGTCCGGAAAGCTGTCCCTGGTGAGTGAGGGTCTCCAGTGCCCCAGCCTGGGGGATGCCCCCTAGAATCACTGATGGGGCCTTGGGAGTGGGCAGAGAAAAGAAGAAGCAAAGAAGGCCAAAAAAGGGGTGCCACCTCTTACACCAGCGCTGTGGGCTTCCTCTCTCCCACCACCCTTAAAAAGTCACCTCGGGTCACATTTACTATTCATGTAGTCAACGAGCGCTTCTTGAATGCTTACTGACCCCAGCCGGTGACCCTTACCTGCTCCCCACACAGGCCCTGGTGGCTGGGGTTCCCCAAGGTCTTGGACGTCGAGTGTTTTGCTTTGGAGACCCCCAGTAGCTTCAGCCTTTCTTCTTGTTTTCTTTTTTCTCTTTTTTTTTTTTGGATATGGAGTCTCGCTCTGTCACTCAGGCTGGAGTGCAGTGGTGCAATCTCGACTCACTGCAACCTCCACTTCCCGGATTTAAGTGATTCTCCTGCCTCAGCCTCCCAAGTAGATGGGATTACAGGCGCCCGCCACCACACTCAGCTAATTTTTTTTTTTTTTTTTTGAGACAGAGTTTCGCTCTTGATGCCCAGGCTGGGGTGCAATGGAGCGATCTCGGCTCACTGCAACCTCCGCCTCCCGGTTCAAGCGATTCTCCTGCCTCAGCCTCCTGAGTAGCTGGAATTACAGGCATGTGCCACCACACCCAGCTAATTTTGTATTTTTAGTAGAGACGGGGTTTCTCCCTGTTGGTCAAGCTGGTCGCAAACTCCCAACCTCAGGTAATCCGCGCGCCTCGGCCTCCCAAAGTGCTGGGATTACAAGTGTGAGCCACCGCGCCCAGCAGCTTCAGCTTTTCTGACAGTAGACTGACTTTGGGAGTGGGTGTGGGTTTGCGGATCTGCTCTATTTCCTTTGGTTCGGCTGGCCCCACTTCGCTTCCCGTGACGACCCACTGCTTACTCATGAAAGGGCTTCCCCCAGAGCTGAGCACAGAGCTTAAGCAGACCTGGAACTGGGGGAGCTCAACAAGTCCTTTTTTTCGGTGGGGGGGTATAATAACTGTATTCAATTCTGGTGAAATGAAATACACAATGACAACTTTTAAATTCTGAAGGTAAGTCAGCAATCCGAAAGACGTAAACATTGTGGGGGAAATAGTGACTGTGTGAGTATCTCGCTTTGTACAGCAGACCTCTATTTAAGTGGGTTCTTGGAAAGGGAATCATTAAAATGGTCCAGGACATTTCTGCAAAGGGTGGCTACTCAGGCTAGGCGTGGTGGCTCATTAAGCACTCAGTAAGTGCTTTATTTATTTATTCAAAATAAATAAATAAATATAAAAGGATGACTCCTCCGAGTACAGTCGGCAAACCAGCAGCAGCAATCTCGGGCCCAGCCCAGACCCACAAAACTAGTCTCTGGAATCTGAACTTAGCCAGCTTCAGATGTTTCTGATGCTGCCAATATTTGAGAAGCACTGTTTGTGTTTTGTTTTGTTTTTTTGTTTGAAACAGAGTCTCACTCTGTCACCCAGACTGGAGTACAGCAGTGCCATCTCAGCTGACTGCAACTCCGTGCAACACCCCCCGGCCCCTAAGGCTTAAGCAATCCTCCCAAGTAGCTAGAACCACAGACACACACCACCATGCCCAGCTAAGTTTTTGTATTTTTGGTAGAGATGAGGTTTTACCATGTTGCCCAGACTGGTCTTGAATTCCTGAGCTCAAGCAATCCACCCCCTTCGGCCTCCCAAAGTGCTGGGATTACAAGCGTGAGCCACTGTGCCAGGCAAAAAGCACTGTTTTAGAAGAACCATCCAATTCTCTGAGGACCCTGCTTTTTATCTGAAATAGCGATCACTTCTTAATTCACTTTTAAAAGTTGGTATATCTACAAGAAGAATAGAAACTCAACCCTTGTGGAACTTGACCCTGAATAATTTTTGAAAAACCAATTCTCTGGGGAATTTTTAGCTCAAATACCTCATTTCACAATCTCCATATATTCAGAGCTAACAAAATGCAAATCTGACAATAAACAGCCGTTCTCTATTTGTCTAGTGTAAGGGAAAGTTATAAGTGAGGTAGGGTTCAAGGTTGCTCCCATTGTGCAGTTGTACAAAAATGCCCCTTCTACTTTCTTGGTGGTCCCTGAGAGTGTTCGCTTTCTTGGACACTGCTGAAGAGTTCACTTTCAGTTGCTTTCGTTAAGCAAAATCTCCTATTTGAGCACTTATTGTATGTGCTAAGTGGTCTAAGTACATCGTGTCTTTCAATGGGATTTGTCCATGGGATTCACCACAAATCCCATTTTACAGTTGAGGATACTAAGGCATAGAGAGGTTAAGACGCTTGCCCAAGATCACGCAGCAAGCCAGCCCCTGAGAATCGTTCCTCCCCGGAGTGGACTCCACGCTCTTGATCACTGAGGTGTACTGTCTTCGGTTTGGGAAAGTCGGGTGGTAGAAGGTGGAAGCTGCAGGGATCCTCGCTGCAGGAGGCCAGCTCCTTACCACCTCTGCCTCGAGGCCTCCAGCGAAGTCTGTGATCATCTGAGGCTACTGGTTGGAGGCCCTTTTATAGGTGGTGAGGGGCACCTTAGTGTGGATTCTAGGGAAAAACTTAACTTTTTTTCCTTTACTCTCCTAAGTGCTCTGACTGGGGCCCTGCGAATTGGACAAGCAGATTAACAAGAGGAAAACAGAGTTTATTAACATACATAACGCAAATCACACAGGAGAAACATCAATGATGAGTAACTCAAAGGGGTGGTTAGCACTTGGGGTCTATAAAGCATCTTAGGCTGATCGCAGTGGCTCACGCCTGTAATCCCAGCACTTTGGGAGGCCGAGGCGGGTGGATCACCTGAGGTCAGGAGTTGGAGACCAGCCTGGCCAATATGGTGAAACCCCGTCTCTACTAAAAATACAAAAAATTATCTAGGCATGGTGGCATGTACCTGTAACCCCAGCTCCTCGGGAGGTTGAGGCAGGAGAATTGCTTGAACCCGGGAGGCAGAGGTTGCAGTGAGCCGAGATCACGCTATTGCACTCCAGCCTGGGCAACAAGAATGAAACTCCATCTCAAAAAAATAAAAATAAATATAAATATATAAAGCTTCTTAACAAAGAGCAATAAATTTGTAGACAAATGACAAGACAAAGGAAAGATGGTTTTTGGCTTCCCAGAGTGGCAAACTGAGAAAGTCAATCAAGTGGCCACAAATATTTTATGGGGGCATTTACAGCAGGTGTGTTTTCTTAGGAGTTTCTGCTTTTAGGGCTGGGCATGGTGGTTCATGCCTGTAATCTCAGCACTTTGGAAGGCTGAGGTGAGAGAATCGCTTGAGCCCAGGAATTTGAGACCAGCTTGGGCAACACAGTGAGGCCCCATCTCTAAAAAAAAAAAAAAAAAAAAAAATTTTAAAAAATTTAAAAAACCAATATAAAAACAAAAATTAGCTGGGCATAGTGGTGCATGCCTGTAGTCCCAGCTGCTCAGGAGACTGAGACAGGAGGATCGCTTGAGCCTGGGAGGTGGAGGCTGCAGTGAACTGTGATTGTGCCACTGCCCTCCAGCCTGGGTGACAGAATGAGACTGTGGGTTCCAAAAAACTTAATTTTCTTCCTTTACTCTCTTAGGTTTTCTGACTGGGGCCCTGCAAATTACACAAGACAGATTAACAAGAGAAAAACAGAGACCCTCTTTGTTTTTCTCTTGTTAATCTGCCTCAAAAAAAAAAAAAAAGGAAGAAGTAGTTTCTGCTTTTAGTCAGATAAACAAGCTCTGGGAAGACTTCCTTCTACATCTGAACCAGCTCAAAACAATCCTTATGCCAAAGGGGCATATTTTGTGGTGGCATATTCTGATTTCCTTCATCTGCTTTAGGGCAGCTGGCTGTTCAAGTGGGTTCTCTCGGGGTCTCCAGGTTGGTTCTAGATTACTCAGTCCGGGCTGTTGGAACCTGACCCCTCAGGCAGAAACTATAGGCATCGTAGAACCCACTCTTGTAGGATTTGAGGCGGTGTAGAGCACAGGCTTTCCTGGGAGACATCCCAGTCCCCGTTCTGAGGCAGCCCCCAATCAGCTGAGTTACTGTGACCAAGATGTCTTACCCCTCAGAGACTCAGTTTCTTCAACTGTTAAATGCAAATGGGGTTAAATGAGATAGAATCATGGGAGATGGTGCTGGTTATCCCCACAGTCACTGTATTATCCCTGCCACAGAGTGAGCACTTAATCAATTTCAGTTTAAAAACACAGGAGGAACTTGAGCCCTATAGAGTTCAGTGTCTTGCCCAGGGTACTACTAGAGCAGTCCCCTGACTCCGAGACCAGGACCCTCCCACAGCACCACCTGGGCCACCTGGAGTCAATCAGGGCTCTGTCGCTCTACAACCTTGTCTCTAAACTGGCAGACCATTAGGGAACCTGCCAGGTCTCTAACCTGCCCAGGGGTGAAGGTAGAGAGAGCCCTGGTTCTTGCACAGGCTGTAGCCCTCGGGGCCTGCAGCTGCCTGCAGCTGTGCCTCCAACCCACCTGGAAGCCTCTGGTCCTGGAAGCCAAGGGGTTTCCTGTTTGTCAGTGCTTCCTTGAGGAGAGGAGCCTGCAGGACATGGCTGATTTCTTTTCTTTCTCTCTTTCTCTCTCTCTCTTTCTTTCTCTCTCGCTCTCTCTTTTTCTTTTTCTTCCTTTCTTTCCTTTTTCCTTTCTTTCCTTTTCTCTTTCCTCCTTCTTTCTATCTTTCTCTCTCTCTCTCTCTCCTTCCTTCCTTCTTTCTTTTCTTTTCTTTCTTTTTTGTAAGACAGAGTCTCACTGTGTCACCCAGGCTGGAGTGCAGTGGCACGATCACAGTGAACAGCAGCCTCCACCTCCTGGGCTCAAGCGATCCTCCCGCCTCAGCCTCTGGAGAAGCTGGGATTACAGGCACGCACCACCATGCCCAGCTAATTCGCCATGTTGCCCAGGCTATTGCCCAATTCCTGGGCTCAAGTGATCTGCCCGCCTTGGCCTCCCAAAGTGCTGGGATTCAGGCGTGCGCCACCTGAATGCTCAGCTTTTCTTTCTTTTCCTCTTACTGGTTGCTAAAGAGCAGGCATCCCATTTGAGGAATTTCTCTCCTAAATTCTCTGGGACTTCCTTAATAGAAAACATCTTCCAAGTAATCTCTTTTCCTTCACTCCCTACATAAAATCAGAGAGATTCCCTCCTCTCTGCCTGGGGGGAGTTAGATGATTCTCCAAAGAGCCAGATCCTTCAGCCAGCAGTAACCCACCCGCTTAGGCTTCTCTCACACTCATCCTCAGCCTCTCTTTGTTCAAGTCTTCCCCAGAGCCCAGAGCTGTTAAGGATCATCATTTCTTTCTTTCTTTCTTTCTTTTTTTTTTTTTTTGAGACAGGGTCTTCGCTCTGTCACCCAGGCTGGAGTGCAGTGGCGCGATCGCAGCTCACTGCAACCTCCAGCTCCCGGGTTCAAGTGATTCTTCTGCCTCAGCCTCCTGAGTAGCTGGGACCACAGCTACTGCCACCACGCCCGGGTAATTTTTTTTGTATTTTTAGTAGAGACGGTGTTTCACCATATTGGTCAGGCTGATCTCGAACTCCAGACCTCAGGTGATCCACCTGCCTTGGCCTCCCAAAGTGCTGGGATAACAGGTGTGAGACACCACGCCCGGCCAGATCATCATTTCTTATTCATCATCATAACCATCCCCAGATTCTTCATCATTGCCAAATTCTTCAGCAGCTCTTTCCTCTGGATATTATTCCACCTCTGTAGACTGCAGATTTCTTTTGTTCCATGTTGATTGTTTTCTCCCTATACTCTAATTATCTTGCGGTTGGGCGGGTCCCTTCCTCCTCTGTCACAGTTAAAGCTAATATGTATTGAGCACTCCCTCTGTGTGAGACACTTGGAGCCCTACCTTAATCCCCAAGATCATCTAACAGTTGATGGGGGTTCTATTATTATTCTTGCTCTGCAGATGGGGAAACGGGCCCAGAGGTTAACTAATTTGTCCTTGTTCCACAGCCAGTGGCAGAGCAAGGACTGAACCCAGGGGGCCTGGCTGAAGCCATGCTCTTCAAAGCCTTCCTGTTCCCTCTCTTTTTTTCTCTTAATTGGTTTGTTACCAATTGCTGTCCATTGTTTGTTGCCAAACCAATTGACTGCATTCTTTTCTGTTTTCCATCTTTCTTAGTTTAGGCTTCATGTTATCGGCATAATTGGAGAACTTTTGTCTACTTTTTTTTTTTTCAGACAGGGTCTGGCTCTGTCACTCAGGCTGGAGTGCAGTGGCATGATCTTGGCTCACTGCAACCTCTGTCCCCCGGCCTCAAGCATCCTCCCCTCTCAGCCTCCTAAGTAGATCCTATCTACTTTAAACATGAAGAGTAATATTCTACTGTGGCCTGGGTGACCCTGGGCAAGTCATAGAGCCTCTCAAGACCTTGGTCACCTTCTCTGTGAGATGAGGTATGGGCTGGAGGCAGGTCAGTGGTCCTCGGGCTTTATTAAAACATCAATAGTTTGGCGCACCCCACTCCCTGTGAATTTCCCATTCACTAGGTCTGGAGCGGTGCCGAAAACGTGCATTTCTAACAGGTGTCCACACGCAGCTGCTGCCGTCACGCTGGGGCCCGGGCTTTGAGAACCACTCTTGATGCAGCATGTTCCTTTCTGATTGTGCCACGCTAAGGCTCTGCTTCTTGTTGGAAGGAGTAGGGTCTTTCTCACCCTCCAGAAATCCTGGAGGGATCTTTCAGCATTGGTGGGCAGGTAAAACCCAGAAACACTGTGCTTATTAGAGGGAAGGTGGTATTGAGTGACCCCCAATAAAACAGGGGGCCCAGGGCCGTGCGCAGTGGCTCACGCCTGTAATCCCAGCAATTTGGGAGGCTAAGGCGGGCGGATCATGAGGTCAGGAGATCGAGACCATCCTGGCTAACACGGTGAAACCCCATCTCTACTAAAAATACAAAAAATTAGCTGGACGTGGTGGCGGGCGCCTGTAGTCCAGCTACATGGGAGGCTGAGGCAGGAGAATGGTGTGAACCCGGGAGGCAGAGCTTGCAGTGAGCCAAGATCGCACCAGTGCACTCCAGCCTGGGCGACAGAGTGAGACTCCATCTCAAAAAAAAAAATTGGGGCCCAGTGTGGGGTAGGTCTGTGAGATCAGTGAGCCAGCTGGGTGCAGAGCGGAGTCTTTGCTGACCTTTCCCCTTCATGTTCCCCGTCATCTTCTAGCATGCAGCATTTCAGGGCTGCCTATTTTGGGAAATGGCTTAAAGGGCACAGTTCTGGCCCTTAAACCCCCTTTCACCCCCTGAGTAATACAAAATAAGCCCTCCCCTAGATAAGCAATAGGGCATGGGGCAGGCCTGCCTCCAAGGAGCAGCCCCAGGGCCGAGGAGAGAGAGCTGGGCGCTGGCCCGGGGGACTTGAGTTTGATGGGAAAGCTTGCAGACAGTGGGGGAGCTGCCTGGTCTTTCCAGTCTTGGCTTTTGGCTCTAAGCACAGCTTTTTTTTTTTTTTTTTAATTGTTGTATCATGAGGCGCCTTCCACTCAGCTGCCTCCCCACGTTAGGGGATGGACACAGCACTGGCAGGGATCCTGTGTGTCTCAGTTTCCCTATTGACTCTCTGTGGCCTAGAGATGTATGGTAGAATTCCACACTATGCTTTTTTTCCACCTTTTTTTTTTTTTTTTTTTTTTGAGACAGGGTCTCTCTCTGTCACCCAGGCTGGAGTGCAGTGGCGCAATCTTGGCTCACTGCAACCTCCACCTCCCCAGGCAGGCCCCTCTGACTCAGCTGGGACTACAGGCATGCACCACCGCACCCAGCAAAATATTTTTATATTTTAGTAGAGATGGGGTTTCGTCACATTGGCCAGGCTGGTCTTGAACTCCAGAGCTCAAGCAATCCGCCCGCCTCAGCCTCCCAAAGTGCTGGGATTACAATGCCCAGCCCACTTTTTTTTTTACTTTTTACAATTTTATTCTTAAAATTGTGGTAAAACACATATCACATAAAATTTACCATTTTAACTCTAAGTATCCAGCTCAGTGGCACTAAGTACTACACTTTTGGTTGTCATAGCGTGGTGAACAGAGAAGAGAATGCTACTGCGTCTCGTGGAGAGAGGCCAGGGATACCGCTAAACATGCGACAATGCACAGGACAGCCCCCTCCCCACCACAAAACACCACCCAGCCCAAAATTTCAACAGGGCCACCATGGAGAAACCCTGGCCAGAGGAATTCACCTCCTGCAACTCCTCCAACAGGAGAGCTGGTTTTCCTCTCCAGTACCAGCTTTTGCCTGCCCTCTGTCTTGGGAGGTGACTTAAGGCACATCCCACCTGATTACTGTGGCTCTGGATGGGTGCTGAGTCTTGCTCTGGGCACCAGCCCTACCTGTTGAGCCAGAGGCCCACCTCCCCATCACGGAATCTACTCACTCAATGGTCCATCTTCTACTTTTTTGTTGCTATTTTTTGTTTTTTGAGACTAAGTCTTGCTCTGTCACTCAGGCTGGAGTGCAATAGCACGATCTTGGTTCACTGCAACAATCGCCTCCTGGGTCCAAGTGATTCTCATGCCTCAGGCTTCCAAGTAGCTGGGATTGGAGGCATGCACCACCACGCCCAGCTAATTTTTGTATTTTTAGTAGAGACGGAGTTTCACCATGTTGGCCAGGCTGGTCTCGAACTCCTGGCCACAAGTGATCCACCGGCCTTGGTCTCCCAAAGTTCTGGGATGACAGGCGTGAGCCACTGCGCCCAGTCCACCTTCTACTTTCTATTTGCCTGGAATTCAGACTTCCAGGGTGTTTCTTAGGGAGGCAGAAACCCTGGTCCTCACCGCATCCCCTGCCACCCAGTATACCAAGACTAGCTGGGCCGAGAGTAGCCGTGACAGGAAATGGCTGAGAAAGAACCAAAGAAAAGGAGGCCTCTGTGCCAAGTCTCCTATGGGAGGAAGAGAAGAGCACTTGAGGATCAGTCCCCACCCATCCTGTGAGGCCCAGAGCCAGTGAGGCCAGAGGGCACTGCCAACCCTGCCCCTGGGGAGGCATTTCCTACTTCAGCGTGCAAGATGGTGAAAAAGTATCCCCATGAAAAAATGGATGCTACCTCCAATTCAACTTTGGTGATGATTGCTCTGTTACCAAAAAAACAAGAACTGCAAGTGTGCATGGAGTAAGTGTTCCATCCGTATTTGAGTTTTTCACATTTTGTCTTCAGATTGCTTTAGAAAATGCCTACTTGAGGTTCTTTCGCTGTTGGGAAAGAGGTTCCAGAGCCCTTAGGGGACTAGGAGGGTCCAGGAATCACGGGGTCCTTTGGGTCCTTGCAGGTCAGATTTGCATTGGGGGTGCTGTCCTCAACCTCACTCAATGCATGGAAGTTGACACAATGGCTCAACATTAGCGTTGGGCTGATTCATCATTTGGCTGTTGACACCAGCCTCTGGCCCAGCCAGGACAGAAAAAGGGCCCCTGAGGAACTTCTGGCTCTGTTCCCTCTATGGGGGAGGGGCAGTGGACTTGTGATAAGACAGGGTGTTAGGGTGAGGTGGACTTGGGGAAACAGGATATTTCTAAATTAGAGAAACAGAAGGATTGTGACCCCCGCTGTGACAGACAGGCCCTGAGCCTGCCCGAGGTCCAGGAGGAACTGTATGTGAGCTTGGGGCTGGGTCTATACTGAGGCCCCTTGGCGTACTTTTCTCGATAAGACTGAGGACTTATGGCCCTCCCACCATTCCCTCCACCACCTTCGAGAACAGCAACCATCCCCAATGCCCACATCTCCTCTTGGGGTCTCCCCCAGGCAGCAGGTGAGGTCCCCATGACTTCTCTGTCTTCAAGTCAGGGTCCACAGTCAGCTGTTTGGGGATCTGCCCCAGCATGTGGGCCACTGACCATTGGGTGGGGTCCTGGTCCTTTCCAGAAGGGCAAGCCATACCCGTCACTTGCCTCTCATAGGAAACACCATCTCTAATGAATGCAGGCAGGGATCACCCACCACCTATGCAGAGCTTCCTGCTCTCATTGGCTTTTCTCAGCCTCACTGTCCTCTTGCTGACATCCGGTTGGGACCATTTGCGCAACTGCAGACTGGCAGGGCCAGGCAAACACAGCATGGCGCCTGCCAAGAAGGTGGTGTGAGACTGGGCACAGTGGCTCATGCCTGTAATCCCAGCACTTTGGGAGACTGAGATGAGTGGATCACCTGAGGTCAGGAGTTTGAGACCAGCCTGGCCAACATGGCGAAACCCCATCTCTACTAAAAATACAAAAATTACCCGGCTATTGTGGTGGGCATCTGTAATCCCAGCTACCTGGGAGGCTGAGGCAGGAGAATTGCTTGAACCCAGGAAATGGAGGTTGCAGTGAGCCACTGCACTCCAGCCTGGGTGACAGAGCTAGACCCCGTCTCAAAAAAAAAAAAAAAGAAGGTGGTGTGGGCTCCCACACAGTTGAGAGGAGACTCCTGAGGGGAAGGGGAAACAGTTGCCCAGATCTGCTAAGAGCGTTGGCAATGCTTCTGCCTCCTCCTCTGTTGAGCCTGCTCCTGGAAGGGATTGACAAAATAGTATGAAATCTAGAAATAGCTTTATTCCCAAAGAGGATACCGGTGGTGTTATTGAAAAGAGCAAAAACTTGGAAAGCACCTACATTTTTAAAGTAAGGAATTGGTGAAGTCAATAGTTGTACATCCATTTAACAATTATTTAGTAGCTAATTGGACAATTATGCTTAAGAAGTTTTCAGAAAAAGTTTATAAAGCCATGTTATATGAAAAAGTTAAGTTATAAAATGGCATATACTGTATAATTATAACTGCTCCCCACCCCCAAAAAAGCCAAATCGTAGTGGAAAATGACTAGGAAAAAAAAAAGTATCAACAGGGTTTGGAGAATGAGGCCAGATATCATTTTTATCTGCTACTTCCTACTTTCCATAGTTTTCATTTTTTTCTTAAAAAAATATGTGCTACTAATTTTTTTTTTTTTTTGAGATGGAGTCTTGCTGTGTCGCCCAGGCTGGAGTGCAGTGGTGCGATCTCAGCTCACTGCAACCTCTGCCTCCTAGGTTCAAGCGATTCTCCCGCCTCAGCCTCCCGAGTAACTGGGACTACAGGTGCCCACCACCACGCCTGGCTAATTTTGTATTTTTAGTAGAGATGGGATTTCACCATGTTGGCCAGGCTGGTCTCCTGGCCTCAGGTGATCCGCCTGCCTCAGCCTCTCCAACTGTTGGGATTACAGGCATGAGCCACCACACCCAGCCGTGATACTACATTTCTAAAAAACTGTTTAAAATGTTAAATGAGGCCAGATGTGGTGACTCACACTTGTAATCCCAGCACTTTGGGAGGCCAGGGTTGGCAGATCACCTGAGGCCAGGAGTTCGAGACCACCCTGGCCAACATGGCAAAACTCCATTTCTACAAAAAATACAAAAAAAATTAGCCAGGCATGGTGGTGTGCGCCTGTAGTCCCAGCAACTTGGGAGGCTGAGGCAGGAGAATTCCTTGAATCTGGGAGGCGGAGGGTGCAGTGAGCCGAGATAGTGCCAGCTGAGGCAGGAGAATTCCCTGGAGGTAGAGGTTACGGTGAGCCAAGATGGCGCCACCACACTCCAGCCTGAGTGACAAAGCGAGACTCTGTCTCAAAAAATAAAAAATAAAGAAAATTTTAAATGAAGTGCCAGGGACTTTATGCGCATGTCATGTGGAGCTAGAGGGTCCCGGGGAAGCTGTCTTGCACAAAGGAGCCATAAACCTCTAAGGGCACCTGCCGGCTGATGTCTCCTGGCTCTCGCCTCCTCCCTCTTTTCTCGACCTGCTCCTGACCCTGTGATGTTGTTGGGGCAGTTGAACTGGGTTATTTGCGTTGCTCACTGCCATGTCATCCTTTGTTTTGTAGATGCCGTGGAAAGCAGATACTCTGTAAGTACACATTTCATATACATTATATTTAAAAGTACTCCACTGAACAGTGAAATATTTCCAGACTCACCCACGTCCTGCATTCACATGAATTCTTCCCCGCTCCCTAGTCTGTTTCAGACCAGAAGCCCTGGGCTTCTCTGACTAGCCTTGGCCAGTTCTGATTTCGAATATTCTCTCCTGCAATTTCCATCATTACATCTCAGCCCACACGTGAAGGGATTGGGACTCTGGGGTGCTTAGCGCCAAACAAGCAAAGCACACATTTCGTTTAACGCCAAAGTCTAGGCTCTGGAAGTGAGGCAGATCTAGGGTGTATGCTTGGAGGAGTGGAGCAGCTGACAGCTCATTGCAATTTAGCCGATTCTAATTACCCCCTACACACCAGGCCATCAGCTGCAGGAGACACCCAAGCTTCTTGACCTCAGTTCACCTTCTGATGAGGGAATCAGACATGTGATCACTTATCATAAAGCAAAGTGAGCTATGCCAGAGCCTATGGGAACACAGAACAGAGACCTAGCTAGTGGCCTCTTCCCCAAGGAATCATTTGGAATGGGCCATGAAGAATGAATGGAGTGATGGCAGCATTGAGGGAGAAAGATCAGCAGGAGCACAAGGGTGAGGGATGACCAGTTTCAAGCAGTGTGGGATGGGAAAAGAAGAGTGTGACAGTGACAAGTGACGGGAGAAAGATAAGTCAGGGCTTAAATCCAAAGGATTTACATGCCTTGTTAAGAAGCTTCATTCTGTAGGAAATGGAGTTAGGAATCTGCTATTTGGCAGATGGGAGGGTTTATGAAAGACACAGAGGCCCACGTTCAACTTTTGCAAAGACGTGTCTTCCAATCCCAACCTTTTTGTGAGCTACCCAGCAATGCAGGAGTTAACTGGGCAGCTAATATCTGAAGAAATGAGGCATTTGCCGCATAAACTTCTTTTAGGTCTGGGAAGAACTTTCAGCAAGATTTCTGGTAGCTCTTCCAGTGGGCCCCTGGCTTCCTTTGTTTTGCCCATGTCTGGACTCTTGTAAAACAGAGCTCATTATGCCTTTGACAGACAGGAAGCCACTGACATTCTTTTTATGGAAGAAAGCTATGAATTTAAGGAAAAGAGGAATGAAATGAATGGTTGTTTTTTTTCCTAGCCAAAACCCACTCAGACTCCTGAAATCAGAGACTATCGTGTCACTGGGACAAGGAGCCCAATTTACAGATGAGGAAACTGAGGCCTGCACTGGTAGAATAGCGTGTCTGGGGTCACCTGGATGGCTAATAGAGTGAGGAACAGAGCCCAGGCCTCTATACTCTGCGGCCAGTCCTCTGTCACGACAGAGACTCCCTCCAAGATGTGAAGTTGCTGTCCCAGCAATAATGGCTTTGAGAGAGTGGAAAATGAGGTCTTTGCTCCCTGGGCAGTGCGGGACACAGATGTGTTCTCCTGAAGCGATAAACATGGCTGGGTCCACCCAAAACACCCTGTAGGACCAACTTATTTACTTTGTCTTGGATCCAAAGGGTGTCTCTGGACAAAGGCTTGGAGCTCCAGGCCAGACAGAACTTTACCCAGAAGCTGGCCCTTGGGCCTCAAAGTCTGCTCCCAGGATGGTTCTGAGAGCTCACCCATGACTGGTCCTGTCCCCCCAGAAAAAAGAATAGAGTCATTTGATGGGAGCACAGGGTTTCCAGCCGTTGGGAAAGGAATTTTGAACCTTTAAGCAAATGGGTTTTGTTTATAAAAGAAGCAGGTATAGCTTCCCTAATAATCAGCTGGTGTGGGTCAGGAGAAAATTAATTGAATTGCCCAGTGGGGAAATGGGAGGAGATTTCCTTCCTGAAATCAAACCTGGCGATCATTCCCAGTTGTTTAATGGCCGTTGCCTCTGAAAACATTGGAGGAAATATCTTAACAATGAGATAGCCACGTAGCCAAAGACTAATTTGGTATTGTTTGACTTGCTTCAATGGCACATTCTGACTTCATTTTTCCTCTGCCATTTTTACCTTGTTTATAAATTGTGTGTGTGGCCGACGCAGACAGATAGCATGGAAGAGAACACCCTGTACTTAAATGAAAGGGGTGAATCTGGACTTGTGAGAGTCTTGGGATCTTGGAAAGGACCCTGCCTTCTTACAGAAAGAAAGGCAATTGGCAGCTATAGCTCGCCTCCCCCCTTCCTGGAGGCCAGGAGGCAGCTGGGCTACAGTGGAAACTGTCCAGGTGCTAGGATCAGGGGATGGGAGGGGAGCTCCAGCTTTCCAGCTGTCTTTTGGGTGAGCCTGTCTTCCTCAAGCTCAAGCTTCCTTATCTATAAAGTGGAGATGGTGATGACAATGATGATAAGAGCAACCTATTAGGATTTTAAGGATGAAATGAGCAACTGCAACCACCATATAAAAGCTGCAAGCTGCAAACCACCATATAAAAGCTGGTTGATCTCAAGCTCTTTTCATCACTTGGGCAATAGTAGGTGTGGATGGGGGACTTAACTTGATTTGGCCATGAAATGACCCTGCCACATATGGAGAATGTAGCAGTTGCTTACCCAAGGCATAGGATTCAACCAAGGCCAGGCTTTGACTTAGGAATCAGAGACCCACATTAACACTTGACTTCCCACTTCTTAGCCATGTCACCATGGGCAAATTTCTTGGCCTCTCAAGACCTCTACTTCCTAATCTGTAAACTGGGAATCATAAACTCCCTCACTTGGTTGTTGCAAGGGTTGAATGAGCACCTGGCATAGACCTGGTCTATTGCAAGTGCCCACAGGAGCACTTTGTAGAAGCAGGAACTAGAGATCCCAGGGTGTGTTGAAATCAAAATGACCTTTGAGGGAGACCACACCATATTCCGGGTACAAGGCAGGGCGATTTCACAACTGCACTTGGGTGGCTGATGGCTGGCTTCTGATTTAAGCACAGCAAGCCCAGACCTTGGATGTGAGCGTGTTAACCTTTACTTCAAAATCCCTAAGGCCCTGTTGATTGTGGCCCAGCCCTTCCTGTCTGTGGCTTTGGTTCTGCAATGGTGCCCCAGGCATTGGCTGCCCCCACAGAGAGAGAGCGGAGGTGTCTGGGGAGGGACTTGGTCTGGGGCCCACAGAAAGGCTGGACACCAGAGTCATGTCTCCCCCATCCAGGCAGAGCAGAGGAAATAGGGCAGGGTGGCTGCCGGCGCTGGCAGGCCTCCAGCCTCTGGGGCCAGCACGGCTTGCTTGGCCCACTTGCATGGGGCTCTCCTGGCAGAGGAGGGGCCAGAGCCTTGGCTTTCTAGTTGGGGCACCTCGGCCCTGCATCCTGTTCCCCAAGGGTCCTTGGACCCAGCAGGGCTGAAACAAAATGGAGACACTATCCCAGCTCACCCTCAGGAAGCCAGCCAGGCTGGCTGTGGAGGTCCCAAGACCCTGGGTCATCCTCCATCTCCAGCTTCTGCCTTGCTGAGTTCCACCTGCAGCAGAGTGTCCTGTGCACATGGAGGGTCCAGAATAGTGGACTTAGGTGCTGCCTGCTCTTCAGGGCCCACTGTTGCCCAGGGCCCCCCTCTACTCTGGTATCTCCCAGCAGGCCCTGCTCTTTTTCCCTCCAAGGGCTCCTTCCATTTGTCAAAATCCAATCTTTAGGCTGACTCCAGAGTTGCTTCTGTGAATCCCCCACTGCCCAGCCCAGAGCCCTCTCAGTGCCTCTGAACCCCTTCTGCAGTTTGTTGAGACCTCTTATACCTTCTACTTCATAGTGGTGTTGTTTATCAATAATTGATACAATATAAAATTCTTGGGGACAGCTTCTTGCATCCCCAGCATAGAGAACAGTGTGGGTCAGATAAGGGTCCAGGCACTGATAGGTGGATAGGTGACACAAATACCATTTGAAGCTGTTAAAGAGCACTACAGGATGGCAGAAGGAATCCAGGAATCCTTTTGTGGGTGTTTTTTTGCTTTTTTTGTTTGTTTGTGTGTTTTTTGAGATGAAGTCTCACTCTATCACCCAGGCTGGAGTGCAGGGGTGCTATTTCAGCTCACTGCAACCTCCATCTCCCAGACTCAAGTGATCCTCCCACCTCAGCCTCCTGAGTAGCTGGGACTACAGGTGCACACCACCATGTATGCCTAATTCTTTGCATTTTTGATAGAGATGGGGCTTCGCCATGTTGCCCAGGCTGTTCTGGAACTCCTAAACTCAGGGGATCCACCCACCTTGGCCTCCCAAAGTGCTGGGATTACAGGGATGAGCTACCATGCCCAGCCAGGAATCCTTTTTTTTAATTGTCATAAAATATACATAATATTAAATTTACCATTTTCTTTTTTTTTGAGACGGAGTCTTGCTCTGTCGCCCAGGTTGGAGTGCAGTGGCGCAATCTTGGCTCACTGCAAGCTCCGCCTCCCGGGTTCACGCCATTCTCCTGCCTCAGCCTCCCGAGTGGCTGGGACTACAGGCACACGCCACCACGCCCGGCTAATTTTTGTATTTTTCAGTAGAGACAAGGTTTCACTATGTTGGCCAGGCTGGTCTTGAACTCCTGACCTCATGATCCACCCGCCTCGGCCTCCCAAAGTGTTGGGATTACAGGCGTGAGCCACTGCGCCCGCCCGGCAAATTCACCATTTTCCAGTGTATACTTAACCATTTTAAAGTGTATAATTCAGTTGCATTAGGTCCGTTCACATTGCTGTGCAACCACCACCACTATCCATCTCCAGAGCTTTTTCTTTTTAAGTGAAAGCAAGTTTATTAGAGAAGTAAAGAAACAAAAGAATGGCTACTCCATAGGCAGAGCAGCCACTGAAACACTGTACCCATTAAACACTAACTCCCCATTGCCCCTCCAGCAACCCCTAGCAACCACTGTCTACTTTCTGTCTCTATGAATTTGACTATTTGAGGTACATCACATAAGTGGAATCATATATTTGTCCTTTCATGTCTGCCTTATTTCATTTAGCATAACGTTTTCAAGGTTTTCCTGTGTTGAAAATATATCAGAATTTCATTCTCTTTTTAAGGTAGAATCATATCATTTTAAAACATTTCAGTTGGACCATCTAAGTTCAGTCCTTCATTTTCAAAATTAAAAAACAGGCCTCAAACGGGTACATCTCACGTTAGCTAGAGACAGAACTGGAGCTAGAAGTCAGATCTCTTACAAAGTTGCCTTTCTTCTTCTGTGGGTAAGTGGGGCACCCTTGGGACGCTGTGCTGGGCGTACATGGGTGCTTGATGAAGTTACTTGGTGGACTGATGTGATTGATGTCCAACATGTATGCAGGGACAGAGGCTATGGTCCCTACAGAGCAGGCATGGAGAGAAGGAGAAATACATACGGGCAGGAGCCAGGAGAGGGAGGGTGTAGTGAGCAGAGACCGCGCCACTGCACTCCAGCCTGAGTGACAGAGTGAGAATCCATCTAAAAAAAATTGCTTGCTAAAGAAGTGGTCTCCTGAGGTCTTAAGACGTTCCTGACAATGTCTTGAGTGGGTGGGAGAGAGGCTGCAGTCATTGTGCTGTGGAATTTCAGAGGTGAGAACCACACCTAACCAAAATTACTTTCCCTGTTTGCCTCAGTGACACAGCTGCAGGAACCCTGGTGGGTGTTGTATTAAGTAAATTTGACCTTTATTCTTTGCAGATCTGTGAAATGTTGTCTTCTGAGGGGCCACGTGTATCTGTAGTGCTGAGGACTCCTTGGGCCTCTGAAGTCACAGAGAGAACCCTGCAGGGTGGGGGACCAGTGTGTGACAGCCCTGCTTTGCATTTTCTTTGAGAAGTGCTGTCATTTTGCATTTCTCTCCACCAGGGCAATCTTCAATCTTGAGAGGTGTGATCATAACTTGCCTTGTTTCTTGTCGCTACAGAGAACGGAAGGCTCCCTTGATGGAACTTAGACAGCAAGGCCAGATGCACATCCCTGGAAGGACATCCATGTTCCGAGAAGAACAGATAATCCCTGTATTTCAAGACCTCTGTGCACTTATTTATGAACCTGCCCTGCTCCCACAGAACACAGCAATTCCTCAGGCTAAGCTGCCGGTTCTTAAATCCATCCTGCTAAGTTAATGTTGGGTAGAAAGAGATACAGAGGGGCTGTTGAATTTCCCACATACCCTCCTTCCACCAAGTTGGAACATCCTTGGAAATTGGAAGAGCACAAGAGGAGATCCAGGGCAAGGCCATTGGGATATTCTGAAACTTGAATATTTTGTTTTGTGCAGAGATAAAGACCTTTTCCATGCACCCTCATACACAGAAACCAATTTTCTTTTTTATACTCAATCATTTCTAGCGCATGGCCTGGTTAGAGGCTGGTTTTTTCTCTTTTCCTTTGGTCCTTCAAAGGCTTGTAGTTTTGGCTAGTCCTTGTTCTTTGGAAATACACAGTGCTGACCAGACAGCCTCCCCCTGTCCCCTCTATGACCTCGCCCTCCACAAATGGGAAAACCAGACTACTTGGGAGCACCGCCTGTGAAATACCAACCTGAAGACACCGTTCATTCAGGCAACGCACAAAACAGAAAATGAAGGTGGAACAAGCACAGATGTTCTTCAACTGTTTTTGTCTACACTCTTTCTCTTTTCCTCTACCATGCTGAAGGCTGAAAGACAGGAAGATGGTGCCATCAGCAAATATTATTCTTAATTGAAAACTTGAAATGTGTATGTTTCTTACTAATTTTTAAAAATGTATTCCTTGCCAGGGCAGGCAAGGTGGCTCACGCCTGTAATCCCAGCACTTCAGGAGGCTGAGGTGGGCGGATCACCTGAGGTCAGGAGTTTGAGACCAGCCTGATGAAACCCTGTCTCTACTAAAAATACAAGAATTAGCCGGGCGTGGTGGCGCATGCCTGTAGTATCAGCTACTCAAGAGGCTGAGGTGAGATTATCGCTTGAACCCAGGAAACGGAGGTTGTAGTGAGCGGAGATCGCGCCACTGCACTCCAGCCTGAGTGACAGAGTGAGAATCCATCTCAAAAAAAACAAAAAACAAAATTGCTTGCTAAAGAAGTGGTCTCCTGAGGTCTTAAGACATTCCTGACAGTGTCTTGAGTGGGTGGGAGAGAGGCTGCTGTCATTGCGCTGTGGAATTTCACAGATGAGAACCACGCCTAGCCAAAATCACTTTTCCTGTTTGCCTCAGTGACACAGCTGCAGGGACCCTCGTGGATGTTGTATTAAATAAATTTGACCTTTGCTCTTTGCAGATCTGTGAAATGTTGTCTTCTGAGGGGCCACATGCATCTATAGTGCTGAGGACTCCTTGGGCCTCTGAAGTCACAGAGAGAACCGAGCAGGTCTATGTTTTTGTTTTGTTGTTTTGAGACGGAGATTCGCTCTTGTTGCCCGGGCTGGACTGCAGCGGCGCAACCTCTGCTCACTGCAACCTCCGCCTCCTGGGTTCAAGCAGTTCTCCTGTCTCAGCCTCCCGAGTAGCTGGGATTACAGGCACATGTCACCACGCCTGGCTAATTTTTGTATTTTTAGTAGAGATGGGGTTTCACCACGTTGGCCAGGCTGATCTCGAATGCCTGACCTTTGGTGATCTGCCCGCCTTGTCCTCATGTGTGCTCCACAGGCCTTTGGGTTGGGATTGCAGGCGTGAGCCACCATGCCCAGCCTAGACTCTTTTGACAATATGATGAAAGCTGTTGGTTCCTTTCCCCAACACACACACACCGAGTTGTATCACGAAAATGTCATACAATTTCCAGGTTTTCTGAGTGGTGGGCTCAGATTGAGGTCAAAGGATCAGACGACCTCTAACGACCTTCATGTCTCTGTTGATGATCTGGGGACAGCCAGATCCCCTGTGTCCAGGGAGTTCCTTAGTCCCTTGCCACCACCAGAGAAGGGCAATTGCCACGGGAGCTGCAAAGACCCTATTCCTACTCCTGGTGCCTTACTTATGCAGCACGACTGAATTTTTTGTTTTGTTTTGTTTTGTTGAGACAGGGGCTTGCTCTGTTGCCCAGGCTGGAGTGCAGTGGCACAACAATGGCTCACCGCAGCCTCGAACCCCTGGGCTCAAGCGATCCTCCCATCTCAGCTTCCTGGGTAGCTGGGACCAGAGGCGTGAGCCGCCATAGCTGGCTAATTTTTAATTTTTTTTTTGCAGAGATGAGGTTTCACCATGGTGCCCAGGCTGGTCTCGAACTTCTGGGCTCAAGTGATCCTCCCTCCTTGGCCTCGCAAAGTGCTGGGATTGCAGGCATGAGCCACCGCCCCCGGCCTGTGGAGCACACATGAGTTTAAAATTACTTTCCCTTCTGCCTATATTTCCGAGGAGGAAACTTCATGCGCAGGGATCTTTCTTAGTGGATTTAATGGCTAAAAGGTCTGTCTGAATCCAGGACGCTGGCTTTAGCCTTCCTCGGCAGCTGCCGTAACCCCGGTGTCTAAACCTGAAGCATCCCAGGAGCACCCACTCCAGGAGTTTTCTCGGCCGCGGAACTCATTAGTTAGAGCGCCCTCTTGTGTTCTCATGTGGTAATCGGTCACTGAAGGACTTAAAATGGTCCTTAGCCAACACACAGTAAAACTTTTCCCTCTTCTGACCCCAAGAGGTCAGCCACCCATTTCATGAGCATATACTGGTCGCCCCATCAGCGTTCTCTGATTGGCTAACTGAACCCACTCCCCGACCTAGACTCAAGACAGGCGAAGTGACGCTTAGGTCAACATTCACTCACTAAAGCAACGACTGTCGGGCGATTTTGTCTCCCGCTGGTTTTGGAATGGTGTCTGGAGACATTTTTGGTTGTCACAGCTGGGTGGGTGTGCTCCCGGCATCTGGTGGGTAGAAACCAAGCATGCTCCTAAACATCCTACAGGCACAGAACCGTCTCCCACGACCAAGCATGATCAAGTCCCAAATGCCAATAATGGCCAGGTTGAGAAACTCTGCACAGAAGCATCCAGTTATTTGTCTGTTTGCTCAACAAGCTTGTGCTCATCATGCTCTGTGTTCCTGACGCTGTGCTGGGTGTTGGCGGTGGGAAGATTACAAGAGTCACATGGCAGCTGTCCTCCTGGAAGGTACAACCCAGTAGAGATGCAGACTAACAGAGAGCCAATTACAAAGCAGTGTGACAAGCGTCATGGTGGAAAATTAAAAGCTCAAACAAGGGCACATGGGAGGGGCTTCCAACACAGACTTTGGGGGATCCAGGAAGGTCTAAGAGGAAAGTGGGTCTCACCAAAGCCTTGACCATAGGCAGAGGGTACCAGTGGAAAAGGTGGGGTGAAGAACATTGAGGACAAAAGGAAGAAGTGCAGGAAGGCCCTGAGGCAAGGGAGTGGGGGGTGCCCTGGAGGGATGGCAGCAGGGCAGTCTGTCAGACCCAAGTGGCCTCCAGCCCTAGAAGCCAATTAGTCCTCCTCAAAAAGCTGTCACTGTCCCCTAAGAATTGCTGCCAGGCTCCCACTGGCCTGACTCAGTCTTTGAGAGTCTTAAGGAGGAGGTCTCTGAAAGGTACACACCAAGAACTCTCCCCAGCACAGCTGTTTTTAAGACTCTCCACCAGCGTCATTGGCGTGTTGGGAAGAAACCCTCTGCCACAGAGGCCAGCTTCAGCCTTTGCCTAACACCGCAAGGGCAAATGGAAAGGTAAACGGGAAGGAGATGTCTCCCCAGCAGGCTATTTGAGGACAGTCTTCCCTGCAGAAGATCTCAACCTGGGGTCCACAGAGTGGAAATGTTAGAGTAGGGAGCTAGGCAAACATGAGCAGGACAGGTGAGGGCCCCCACAGGAATGTCAGGCTACCATCAGGTGATGGTCAGGTGGTTGTTAAACTGTCTCTGTAAAATAATAATTGGTTGCAGCCAGCTCCAAGCAAGGACAGTCTCTCAATAGATACAAAACACCCTGATCTGGTGATCAGCCGCTTCCCGATAAGATCTCAGGAGCTGGGCAAGCAGCCTGGAGCATGCGCACCAAGAGGCAAAATGGCGGAATTTAACCAGTATATGACCTACCTTCCTCTGGGAACGCACGACTGGTAAGGGGAAAAATGCCTCAAGTGAGCATGCGCGCAACTTCAGTAATCACACTGTGCATGCGACCCCTTCCAAGTGCTGGCAGGTCACCACATACGCGGACAGCCTGCTGCAAGGGAAGAATCAGGGGAGATGAGACGTAAATCCCAGAACTATGCCAAATACATAAAACCCCAAGTTAAGGGTCAGGCAGGGCACTTAGATCTCTCAAGTTGCCTGCCTGACCCAAGTGTAGTGTACTTCCTTTTGTTCCTGCTCTAAAACTTTTTAATAAACTCTCACTCCTGCTCTAAAACTTGCCTTGGTCTCTCCCTGTGCCTTAAAACCACTTAAAACCACCTCTGCCCCTCAGCTGAGTTCTGTCTTTGAGAAGGCAAGCATCAAGTTTGCTGCAGACCCATTGGATTCACCACTGGTAACAGAAGTTGGGGTAAGGCGTGGGGCCTGAGAATTCTCTAAGAGTAGGTGCAGCCGGGCGCGGTGGCTCACGCCTGTAACCCCAGCACTTTGAGAGGCTGAGGTGGGTGGATCAGCTGAGGTCAGGAGTTCGAGACCAGCCTCAATATGGGGAAACCCCATCTCTACTAAAAATACAAAATCAGCCGGGCGTAGTGGTGCATGCCTGTAATCTCAGCTACTCGGGAGGCTGAGGCAGGAGAATTGCTTGAACCTGGGAGGCAGAGGTTGTGGTGAGCCAAGATCGAGCCATTGCACTCCAGCCTGGGCAACAAGAGCGAAACTCTGTCTCAAAAAAAAAAAAGAGTAGGTGCAAAAGGTTATGAGGGTGTGCAGTTTTCTATGGGAGAGAATCCATAGCTTTTATCCATGTCTTTGTTTGTTTTGAGATAAAGAGTCTTGCTCTGTCACGCAGGCTGGAGTGCACTGGTGTGAACATGGCTCACTGCAGCCTTGACCTCCCGGGCTCAAGCAATCCTCCTGTCTCAGCTTCCCAAAGCTGGGACCACAGGTGCCCACGACCACACCCAGCTAATTTTTAATTTTTTTGTAGAGATGAGGGTGTTACTATGTTGCCCAGGCTGGTCACAAACTCCTGGGCTCAAGTGATAGAACTCCTGCCTCAGCCTCCCAAATTCTGGTATTATAGGTGTGAGCCACTACGCCTGGCCTTTTATCAGTTTCTTGAAGGGAGATAGGGTCCAAAAAAGGGTTAGGAACTTCTAAATAATTAAAAACTCACATATGCTTCATATTATTTGATGTCAGTTAAAACCCCAAAATAGTGATCAATACATTTCTTACCAAAGGATCTACTTTAAAGACAGTTTTACATTCAATATCCCCAGCAAGACTCGGCTTACCTTCAGAAAATTGCTCAGAATAAGGAAACAAATGGTGATTTCAACATTTGAAGGGGGTAGCCCTCATCTCTCAAAAGTAATAAGCTATTAGAATGTTTTGGAATACCAGACCAGGTGCAGTGACTCATGCCTGTAATCCCAGCACTTAGGGAGGCAGAGGCAGAAGGATTGCTTGAGCCCAGGAGTTTAAGTCCTGCCTGGGCAATATAGCAAGACCCCATTCTCCACAAAAAAGAAAAAAAAAAAGACAAAAAAGAGAATATTTTGGAATATCAAAGAACCAGCAGTAAATCTATTGAAAAACTTCAGAGTCCAAAGTATTTCTAAAGCCCAAATTGTCCCTTCATATATATTTCATAATTCAATAGGAAAAGAATTCTTTCTTCAGAATGAACTTTGGCAATAGAAAAGAAACCTTATTTCCACATTCAGAAAGGATGACAATGCTGGAAAGCAAATTAACTTTTTTTAACTTTTTTGCTTGTTTAGTTTTTGAGTCTCGCTCTTGTTGCCCAGGTTGGAGTGCAGTGGCACCATCTTGGCTCACTGCAACCTCCGCCTCCCAGGTTCAAGCAATTCTCCTGCCTCAGCCTCCCAAGTAGCTAGGATTACAGGCATGTGCCACCACACCCGGCTAATTTTGTATTTTTTTAGTGGAGATGGGGTTTCACCATATTGGTCAGGCTGGTCAAACTCCTAACCTCAAGTGATCCACCCACCCTGGCCTCCCAAAGTGCTGGGATTACAGGCATGAGCCACCACGCCTGGCCGCAAATACAATTCTTAAAGAAAAATAAAAGCTAAATTGGAATAGGGGATTGGCCACCAGTCGATTACATGACCTTGGATGTGTCACACATCCTAGGGCTCCTCTCCTGCAAAGGAAAATGTATTCATCATTTCCCAGGGATGCCATAATAAATTACCACAAACCAGCTGGCTAAAAACAGCAGAAATCTATTCTTGCACAGTTCTGGACACCTGAAGTCCAAAATCAAGGTGTCAGCAATGCCATGCTCCTCCAAAGGCTCTAGGAAAGACCCCTTCTCTGCCTCTCCTGGCCTCTGATGGTTCCTGGCAATTCTTGAGATTTTCTGGGTTGCAGCTGCACTGCTCCAGTCACTGCCTCTGTCATCACAGGGCATTCTTTCACATGCGTGTCTGTGCCTTCACATGGCCTTCTGAGAAGGACACTAGAGCTGGGTGTGGTGGCTCATGCCTGTAATCCTAGCACTTTGGGAGGCTGAGGCGAGTGGATCACCTGCGGTCAGGAGTTCAAGACCAGTCTGGCCAACATGGTGAAATCCCATCTCTACTAAAAATACAAAAAATTAGCCAGGCCTGGTGGCACACACCTGTAATCCCAGCTACTCAGGAGGCTGAGGCAGGAGAATGGCGTGAATCCGGGAGGCGGAGGTTGCAGTGAGCCAAGATTGCACCACTGCACTCCAGCCTCGGGGATAGAGCGAGACTCTGTCTCCAAAAAAAAAAAGGACACTAGTTATCGGATTTAGCGCCCACCCGAATCCAATACAACCCCATCTTCACTAACATTATCTACAAAGACCCTGTCTCCAAATAAACTCACATTCTGAAGTTCCAAGCAGATATGATTTTGGGGTGACACTATTCAACCCAGTACAGAAAAGACTGGACTAGACGAGCTCAGGTCCTTGTAGCTCTGACTTCCCAGGTTTCTAAGATGCTCATGTAAATCGGAAGGCAGAAAGATGGTGATTTTCCTTCAGATAACATCATCTTCTCAGCATCATCTTTTGAGCCTTCTCAGGCCAGTGTTCTCTCACTGTGCTCTGTTCTCTTGTGCTTTGTGTCTCGGCATCTCTGAAATATTATTGTTTTCTTTTCTATTTTATTTATTTATTATATGGAAATGAGGTCTCACTATGTTACCCAGGCTGGTATCAAGCTCCTGAGCTCAAGCAATCCTACTGCCTCGGCCTCCCAACGTGCTGGGATTACAGGCATGAGCCACCATGCCCGGCCTTTTTTAAAATTTTTTTTGAGACAGAGTCTTGCTCTGTCTCCCAGGCTGGAGGGCAGTGGCGCAATCTCGGCTCACTGCAACCTCTGCCTCCCAGGTTCAAGTGATTCTCGTGCCTCAGCCTCCCGAGTAGCTGGGATTACAGGCGTGTGCCACCACGCGCAGCTAATTTTTGTGTTTTTAGTAGAGATGGGGTTTCACCATATTGGCCAGGCTGGTCTCGAACTCCTGACCTCAGGTGATCCTCTCGCCTCAGCCTCACAAAGTGCTGGGACTACAGGTGTGAGCCACCGCGCCCGGCCTGTTGTTTTCTTTCTCTGGCCTTCTTCAGAGTTCTCCCTCACTCTCCTCTCTCATTCTTTCTCTGCTTCCTCCTTTCCCTTCCTTTTTCTCCTCTAGTTCAGTTTTTCTCTTTGTCTCCCTCCCATTAATTGGCCAGAATACATAACTAAAGTTTATAAACTTCTCTTTTAAAATTTAGTTGTATTTATTTTAGAGACGAAGTCTTACTTTGTTGCCCAGGCTGGAGTGCAGTAGCTGTTCATATGTGTGATCATAGCACACTACAGCCTCAAACTCCTGGGCTCAAACAATCGTCTTGAGTAGCTGGGACTACAAGCGCATGTCAAAGCACCTGGCCTGAAGTTTATATGTTTCTTGCATATCTTGAAGAATTTTATATTCCCAGGGTTGTTCTTGGTTTTGTTTGTTTTTTGGTTTTTTTGTTTTGTTTTGTTCTTTGTTTGTTTGTTTGTTTTTGAAAGCCAATGCCTGGAATATTTTTTACTTTTCTCTCTTTTTAGGGAAAAAAGCCTCCAAAAGCCTTCAAAGTTGTTTTCTATGTATATTTGACCCTCGGTGGATTATTTTTCCAAGGATTTATTGGACTCATTAGGAAAAAGTCCCCAGTTGCTGCCTTACTTCCTCCCAATCCTAGGATATGCTCATTTTCCTGGAACCTCTTGGCACAGGAGGGTCTGGCATGGTGCCGGGTGCTGTTCCATCAGTTTCTGGTACACCAACACACCCTCCTCAGGGACTGGATTGTTTGGGCCAGAATTTGCAGCATGAGGAAATCTCCCAGTCTCCTCCCAAGACTTCTACAGAGTCTGGGACTGGATTCTAGGAAAGGAAAAAGAGTGGATTTCAGTGCCTTTCAACGACAGACCCTAAAGCGGAACCTAACACCGTCTCTAGAAGCCCATCACACCGCCAGCCGTTGATTAAAAGTGTGTATCCCTGGGCCAAGACGAGCTCAGTTTGCAGATGGTGTCTCTGGCAGGGTTAGTTTAAGATGAAAAAGATAGCAAATTTTAAAAGTTCTTTTCGGCTGGGCACGGCGCCTCACGCCTATAATCCAGCACTTTGGGAGGCTAAGGCGGGCAGATCATTTGAAGTCAGGAGTTCGAGACCAGCCTGACCAACATAGTGAAACCCTGTCTTTACTAAAAATAAAAAATAAAATAAATAAAAAAAATTAGCTGGGGTGTGGTTGCGCACGCCTGTAATCTCAGCTACTTGGGGGGGCTGAGGCAGGAGAATCGGTTGAACCCAGGAGGTGAAGGTTGCAGTGAGTTAAGATGGCACCACTGCATTCCAGCCTGGGCAACAGAGTGAGACTCTGTCTCAAAAAAATAAAAATAAAAAACAGACTGGGCACGGTGGCTCATGCCTGTAATTCTAGCACTTTGAGAGGCCAAGGCAGGCAGATCACAAGGTCAGGAGTTTGAGACCAGCCTGACCAACATGGTAAAACCCTGTCTCTACTAAAAATACAAAAATTAGCCAGGCATGGTGGTGTGCACCTGTAATCCCAGCTACTCTGGAGGCTGAGGCAGGAGAATTGCTTCAACCCAGGAGGAAGAGGTTGCAGTGAGCCCAGATCGCACCACTGCACTCCAGCCTGGGCAACAGAGCGAGACTCCGTCTCAAAAAAATAAAAAATAAAAATAAAAATAAAAAAATAAAAAGTTCTTTTCATCAGGAAGCTCTTGACTACAGTCATTTCAATAGACCCTTGGCATTTGCAGATTAAACACTTGAGGTTTTGATTATTTAGAGAATGACCACAATGATTTAGATTTGAGGCAGGCTGTCCTTCCATTGGGCCCCTGTGGCAGGGCCATTTGCAGAATTAATTTGCTGTTAATCTCCCTGGGATCCTTCCTGTCCCTGCTGCCACACAGACCTCTAGAAATCCCAGTTTGTGTGTGCTTCTCACCCCAGGAGAGGTTGTAGAGCAGGAATGGGCAGAGGTGGAGCAGCAGATAATAAAGTGTCCCCAAAACTAGAAAGAGAAAGCTGCAGGGATCCACTCTCTGCCTCCAGGTGATGGAGAGTCTGTCAGGGAAATGGCTGATGCCTGGGGCACCCAGGAAGGCTAGACTACAGGCCCTGGGTACCCAGATAGGCTGGACCCCAGGCCCTGGGTCTTACAGCCTTGGCAGAGATCCCATGCACCTCATGTGGCCGGGAGCCAGTGGACCACCTGCCTTCTGTGGACCTTGGAAGCCTGGACTTCAAGGAGCTTGAACAGTGACCATAACCAGAGTCCCTTCCCCTTCCTCTGTTTTCTAGGAACCACAGGAGCCTTCCAGATTCTTGTGCCACCCTAGAGGGAAGGAGGGATTTTCCAATTGAGGCAAACATTAACTTTCCCAATAGTCTGGCAGAATGGGAGCTCAGAGGCAGATTCTCTTTCATTTAATGACAGTGACATAATGTGATGTTTGTCGCAAAACCAAGTTTGGAGTTGATAAGTCATGCCCTCTATATAAAACTTTTAATCATATTCTTTGAGGCTGGCAAGCAGGAATGGATAGCATAGCTGGTGAGTGAGCCTAACCAGCCACTCAGTAGCCTCATCTTATTGAGTATATTTGCAAGAATTTTTTTTTTTTTTTTGACAGAGTCTCGCTCTGTCGCCCAGGCTGGAGTGCAGCAGTGCAATCTCAGCTCACTGCAACCTCTGCCTCTCAGGTTCAAGCGATTCTCCTGCCTCAGGCTCCCGAATAGCTGGGATTACAGGCATGCACCACCATACCCAGCTAATTTTTGTATTTTTAGTAGAGACAGGGTTTCACCATGTTGGCCAGGCTGGTCTCAAACTCCTGACCTTGTGATCCGCCTGCTTCGGCCTCTCAGAGTGCTGGGATTACGGACATGAGCCACCACGCCCGGCCTGTTTGCAAGAAATTCTTAAGTGCCTATTAAGGGTCTAGATCCTGTGCTATGTACAGGGGATACATCAGAGAACCAGACAGACATGGTCCCTGGAGCTTGCAAGGCTTTGCTCAGAGAAGTCAGGTTTTCCGGTCATGCCTGTCAAGGGGAAAGTTGCTAGATTGTGAGATGTTTGTAGGAGGCTTCCCTTTCTAGTGTTACAGGTCTACTCAGGAAGCGGATCCAACATCTAGAAGACCCTGTAGTCATTGCAAAAGATCCTCAAGGGCATGAGGGCGTATTCTTTACCAATTTACAGTGCTAAAAGGACACTTTTGTCCTTTTGCGAGGGTCTTTGCAATAGTTTTTGTTTGTTTGTTTGTTTGTTTTTTAAGATGGAGTCTCACTCTGTCACCCAGGCTGGAGTGCAGTGGCACAATCTTGGCTCACTGCAACCTCCACCCCCCGGGTTCAAGTGATTCTCCTGCCTCAGCCTCCTGAGTAGCTGGGATTATAGGCGCCCACCACCACACCCAGCTAATTTTTGTATTTTTAGTAGAGATGGGGTTTTACCATGTTAGCCAGGCTGGTCTTGAACTCCTGACCTCGTGATCCACCCGCCTCGGCCTCCCAAAGTGCTGGGATTATAGGCGTGAACCACCGCACCTGGCCTCACATCACCATCTTAAGGTTATGTGACTGTGAGGACCTTAGTCCCCGAGTATACACAGGTAGACATGTGCATAAACACACATGTCCATGCAGTCAGACACATGCACACACGCATGTGCACAGTGCACTGGAGAACAAGGATGCCCCCATCCTGCCCTCACAGCGATCTTGTGCCAAGACTAACACAGGTGCTTCTCTCTGTTTTGTGGAGATGTTGGCATATGGGCTGTGATAGCTGAATCAAAAAGTGAAAATTAAGACAGCATGACTCCACATAGTTGAACACGCCGCCTTTGCTTATCAGAGTTTATTCAACAAACAGCAAGCGTCTGGTTTATGCTAAGCTCTGCAATTCCATGGCTGTGTGGAAGATGCCAGGCAAGCAGATACCCCAAAGAACTGATACAGACTAAAAGTTCTTCTGCAAAGCCTACCATAAGCCTACCCAGGCCTCAAAGATGGCAGCCCTTCCCACAGTGCTTTGCACACAGCAGGATCATGGCAGCCCCAGTCCAGTCTCTTTTTTCAAGATGGAACCAACTGATCCATGTGGTTGAAACAGACTAATCCAGGCCATTCAGGCAAAAGCCTGGGATTTGACTGGGGCAGAACCCAGCCTGGGATTACAGGTATGCACCACCATGCCCAGCTAATTTTTGTATTTTTAGTAGAGACAGGATTTCACCATGTTGGCCAGGCTGGTCTCGAACTCCTGACCTCAAGTGATCCGCCTGCTTCAGCCTCCCAAAGTGCTGAGATCACAGACATGAGCCACTGCACCTGGCCTGTTTGCAAGAAATTCTTAAGTGCCTATGAAGGGTCTAGATCCTAGGCTAAATACAGGGGATACATCACAGAACCAGACAGACATGGTCCCTGGGGCGTGCGAGGCTTTGCCCAGAGAAATCAGGTTTTCTAGTCATGCCTGTCAAGGGGGAAGTTTCTCAGTTGGTAGCTGAGGCCACTTGATATGTTGCAGAGTCAAGCCCCTGGGCCCTCTCACAGCCAAGGGTTGTCAAAGTGGCAGAACCAATGCCAGGTGGAGAAAAATATTTCATGTGTGTGCCACATATGTGACAGACAGAGGCAGAACTTGGCAAGGTGAGGTGGGGTGGAGGGGTTGGTGGGGAGTGACAGTTGAAGATGACCACGGTGACCTCTACTTGTAACAAGTGTACCAGACAGAAAAACATGCCCTAGAAAATCTTTAAATTGAAATAATAATAATAATAAAAGACAAGGGGTCTAAAAGAAAAATTGTATTGACATTTATTAAAATATATTAGTTAATATTCATAGGATGTTCTGAGGCTCTGTAAAAGAACTAGGTTTTTGAAAAGGCTTCAGCAGAAGTCAGTAATTGTCCCTGCTCTGCAGTGGAGGACAACTTCCTAGTGGCCAGAAAAGGTGAATTTGCTGGATGTGCAGTCAGAGTTTAATGATAAACTCTGGCAAAGACTTTATGCAACTTGGCCGGGCACGGTGGCTCACGCCTGTAATCCCAGCACTTTGGGAGGCTGAGGCGGGCAGATCACTTGAGGTCAGGAGTTTGAGACCAGCTTGGCCAACATGGCAAAACCCCATCTCTACTAAAAATACAAAAATTAGCCGGGCGTGGTGGTGCATGCCTGAAATCCCAGCTACTCAGGAGGCTGAGGGGGGAGAATCGCTTGAACCCGGGAGGCGGAGGTTGCAGTGAGCCGAGAGACGCCACTGCACTCCAGCCTGGGTGACAGAGCGAGACTCTATCTCAGAAACACAAAAAAGACTTTATGTAACTTGAAGAAACAGAGCTGGCTTCCCCTCTGGTCTCTGTGCTCTTCCCCTCTGCCTTAGAGATAGCTGGGCCTGGGGAGTTCCAGGCAGAGAGTCAGCAAAGGAAAGAGGAGAAGGTTTATAGTAGAAACTCAATAAACATTTGTTGATGTATTCAACAAATCCAAACCATGAGTTGCCTGTGGTTTAATGTTTGTCAAAGATTTGAGACGTTGGTGGATAATTACAGAAGATATTCCTAGACATGTTTATTCTAGATTCTTTAGTTTTCATCTTCATTTTCAGTTGGATCATCACAATATAATTCACCTGAACCATAAGAACTATAATGTGTTTTTCTGTTTGTTTGTTTGTTTGTTTTGAGACAGGGTCTCGTTCTGTCACCCAGGCTAGAGTTCAGTGGTGTGATCTTGGCTCATTGCAACGTCCACCTCCTGGGTTCAAGCGATTCTCATGCCTCAGCCTCCCAGGTAGCTGGGATCACAGACTCATGCCACCAGGCCTGGCTAATTTTTGTAATTTTAGCAGAGACAGGGTTTCACCATGTTGGCCAGGCTGGTCTCGAATTCCTGGCCTCAAGTGATCCACCTGCCTTGGCCTCCCAAAGTGCTGAGATTACAGGCATGAGCCACCATGCCCAGCCTATAATGTGATTTAATATTATACCCTTAGTCTTTGCAGATAAAACAACAATGTTCTTCAACCATGACTTTGGGTTTTTTTGGTAAACATTGTCCAATGTGAGGCCAAAGGGATATTACACAGGGTTCTCCAGGACCAGGTTCCTCCTGGATGTGAGTCCCTGCGGAGCACTCAGTCTTCCTTAGCTCAGACAAGGAACGTTATGGAGTCCCACGTGCTTCCCGTTTAACCTCAGCTGCCAGAGGACTCAGAGCCAAATTCTGCCCCCATTAGAGTAATTAACTATGATCTAGTGCCTGTTAGGCTGACTCCCTCTTCCTTTAGATGATATCTCTTCCATTTGGACTCCTAACTGTTCCATTCTATATTACCTCTCATCTTGTCCACTGCTTCAGATCCTTTGGGGAAAATACCTAACACAAATTAAAAAATAAAATAAAATTAGAGCTTAGAAAATTAACTGATAGAAACCAGTCCGGCTTTTAGATTGTATTCATTTAGAAGAATAAGAAGAATATTCCCACAGTCTATGTGACCCTGGGCAAATCTTCGTCTTGCCCAGAGACCTAGGGCTCCTTTCTTCATCAATGAAATGAGGGGATTGGACTCTGTTATCTTGAAGGTCCTTTTAAGCTTCATTCATTCAGCAAATATTTCATATGCACCTACTATGTGCAGACACTGTTCTAAGTGCTCAGAAAATATCAGTGAAGACAATAGACAGACAAAGATCCCTTCCCTCATGGAAGTTAGATTCTAGCAGGGGGAGACAGAAATGAACAATAAACGCAGGAGGTAGATTATATGATATGTGAGAAGGTGGAGAAGGCTGGAGGAAACAAAGAATCAAGCAAGTTAAGGGAGGGTGTGAGGGGGTGGGGGAGGCAGCAGTGTTTAATAAGGATGTCTGGGTGAGCCTCATCAAGAAAGTGAATTTTCACTTTGACAGGCCAAGGTGGGTGGATCACTTCAGCTCAGGAGTTTGAAACCAGCCTGGGCAACATGGCAAAACCCCGTCTCCACAAAAAATACAAAAATTAGCTGGGCATGGTGATGCATGCCTGTAGTCCCAGCTACTATGGAGACTTGGGAGGATCAATTGAGCCCAGGAGGTTGAGGCTATAGTGAGCCATGATCACGCCATTGTATGCCAGCCTGGGTGACAGAGCAAGACCCTGTTTCAAAAACAAAACACAAACAAAAAAGAAAGGTTTGAGCTAAGAACTTGCAGGAGACAAGGAAATTAGTCAAGCAGAAGGATATCTGGGGGAATGGCATGCGAGGCAGAAGGGAAAGCTAGGGTCGAGGCCCTCTGGGAAAGAAGCAAGGCCAAGGGGCTGGAGTAGAGGGAGGAAGAGGGGAAGTAGTGGAAGATGAGACTAGCTTTACTACTGATTATGATGTAAGAATAGTGGCCAATTTCCTTTCCAACTTGGGCCCGGCAGAATGGCTCCTGCAAAGAAGGGTGATGAGAAGAAGAAGGGTCATTCCGCCATCAACGAGATGGTGACCCGAGAATACCCCATCAACATTCATAAGTGCATTCATGGAGTGGGCTTCAAGAAGCGTTCCCCTCAGGCACTCAAAGAGCTCCGGAAACTTGCCCTGAAGGAGATGGGAACTCCAGATGCACACTTTGATACCAGGCTCAACAAAGCTGTCTGGGCCAAAGGAATAAGCAACGTCTCATACTGTATCCATGTTCGGTTGTCCAGAAAATGTAATGAAGATAAAGATTTACCAAACAAGCTCTATACTTCGGTTGCCTACGTACCTGTTACCACTTTAAAAAAATCTACAGTCGGTGTGAATGTGAACTAACTGCTAATCATCAAATATACCAAATAAAGTTATAAAATTGTTTTTTGTTTGTTTGTTTGTTTGTTTTTTGGGGGGGTGGGATAGAATCTTGCTCTGTCACCCAGGCTGGACCACAGTGGCGTGATTTTGGCTCACTGCAACCCCCACCTCCCGGGTTCAAGCAATTCTCCTACCTCAGCCTCCCTTGTAGCTGGGACTGCAGGCATGCACCACCATGCCCAGCTAATTTTGGTATCTTTAGTACAGATGGGGTTTCAGCACGTTGGCCAGGCTGGCCTCAAACTCCTGACCTCAAGTGATCTGTCCGCCTTGACCTCCTAAAGCGCTGGGATTAGAGGCATGAGCCACTGTGGGGGCCAAAATTGTTTAAATATATATATATATATATATATATATATATATATATATATATATATATATATATATAATAGTGGCCAGGCATGATGGCTCATGCCTGTAATCCCAGCACTTTGGGAGGTCAAGGCGCTTTGGGAGGGCAAGATGGGAGGATCCCTTGAGCCCAGGAGTTCGAGACCAGCCTGGGGAACATACAGAGATCCTGTCTCCAAAAAAATGTTTTAAATTAGCCAGGTGGAGTGGTGCATGCTTGTGATCCCAGCTACTCAGGAGGCTGAAGCAGGGGGATCACCTGAGCCTCAGGGGTCAAGGCTGCAGTGAGCCGTGATGGCTCCACTGCACTCCAGCCTGGGCAACAGAGTGAGATTTTGTCTCAAGAACAGAAGCCACTAATTGTAAATAGATTATAGTTCTTCATAGGCTTGTTCTAAACCCCTGCTACTCAAAGCGTGCTCTTCAAATCAGCAGCATCACAATCACTTGGCCATTGTTAGAAATGCAGAACCTTGGCCAGGACAACGGCTCATGCCTGTAATACCAGCACTTTGGGAGGCTGAGGTGGGAGGATCGCTTGAGCGCAGGAGTTTGAGGCTGCAGTCAGCCGTGATCACGCCACAGCACTCCAGCCTGGCTGGCAGAGTGAGACCCTGTCTCAAAAAAAAAAAAAAAGAAAGAATCTTGGGACCCATTACAGGTCTACGAAACTATAATCCTAATTAGCAAGATCCCCAGATTATGGAAAAGACACCACGTGCCTTTATAAATATATGGGCACTGCCAACATCATATGCTTTACCAAATAACAGCCTTAGTTGATTGAGACAAAACGAGTTTTCTTGCCTTAAGTTGCCCTTTCACAAGGGTTTTTGAGGACCAGGACCTACCAAGTGCGCCACCTGGTGGCAGCACAGATAAAATTTACACTCTAGGACCAAGATCACGTGTAGAATTCAAATAGCATAAAGTAATTATAGTTTTAACACAATTGGCTTGGACTTTTCAAAAATATCCATGTCAGAAAAGATCAAAATGGTCTGAAAAACTGCTCTAGATTAAAAGAGACCAAAGGGTCTGAACCGCTAAATGCAATCTGTTCAAAAAGCTATTCAAGGGCAGGCACGGTGGCTCATGTCTGTAATCCCAGCACTTTGGGAGGCCAAGGTGGGTGGATCACCTGAGGTCAGGAGTTTGAGACCAGTCTGACCAACATGGTGAAACCCTGTCTCTATTAAAAATACAAAAATTAGCCAGGCATGGTGACAGGCGCCTGTAATCCCAGCTACTCGGGAGACTAAGGCAGGAGAATTGCTTGAACCCAGGAGGCAGAGATTGCAGTGAGCCAAGATCGTGCCACTGCACTCTAGCCTGGGCAACAGAGCGAGACTCCATCTCAAAAAAAAAAAAAAAAAAAAAGCTAGTCAAGTACATAATTGGGCCAATTGGGAAAATTGAATATGGAATATATATCACAATATAGTATTAATGTTAAATTTCTTTCTTTCTTTTTTTTTGAAACAGTGTCTTGCTCTGTCATCCAGGCTGGAGTGCAGTGGCATGATGGTGGCTCACCGCAGCCTCAACCTCCTGGGCTCAAGCAATCTTTCCACCTCAGCCTCCGAGTAGCTGGGACCACAGGTGTGCGTCACCATGTCTGGCTAATTTTTTGTAAGTTTTGTACAGACAAAATTTCGCCATATTGCCCAGGCTGGTCTCAAACTCCTGGGTTCAAGTGATCCACCTGCCTCAGCCTCCCATAGTGCTGGGATTACAGGCATGAGCCACTGTGCTTAGCCTAATGTTAAATTTCTCAAGCATGGTAATATACTGTAATTATATAGAATGTCCTCATTCTTAGGGGATACATGGTGAAGTAATATTAGAAATATGATGCCTGCAACTAACTTTCAAAATATTTAGCAAACATTGAAATAATTTTTTTTTTTGAGAGGAAGTCTCACTCTGTTGCCCAGGCTGGAGTGCAGTGGTGTGTTCTCGGCTCACTGCAACGTCCGCCTCCTGGGTTCAAGCAATTCTCCTGCCTCAGCCTCCCGAGTAGCTGGGATTACAGGCGCGCACCACCATGCCTGGCTAAATTTGTATTTTTAGTAGAGACGGGGTTTCACCGTGTTGGTCAGGCTGGTCTTGAACTCCTGACCTCAAGTGATCCACCTGCCTCGGCCTCCCAAAGTGCTGGGATTATAGGCGTGAGCCATCGTGGCTGGCCAGAATAATTTTTTTGAGACAGGATCTCACTCTGTTGCCCAGGCTGGAGCACAGTGGTGAGATCTTGGCTCACTGCAATTTCAACCTCCCTGGCTCAAGTGATACTCCCACCTCAGCCTCCTGAGTAGCGGGTCCACAGGCACATACCACCATGCCTGGCTACTTTTTGTATTTTTTATAGAGACAGGGTTTCGCCCAGGCTGCCCAGGCTGGTCTCGAACTCCTGGCCTCAAGTGATCTGCCTACCTTGGGCTCCCAAAGTGTTGGAATTATAGCCATGAGCCACCACACCCAGCCAAAAATTAAAATAATTTTTAAAAAATGTTTGCGTGTGTGTGTGTATGTGTGTGTGTACAAACACAGAGGAGGAGAGATAAAGCAAATGGGCAAAATGCTAGCAACAAATGAATCTAGGTGAAGGATATACAAGTGTTCATTGTACTATTTCTTGTAACTTTTCTGAAAGCTTGAAATTTTCAAAATTAAAAAAAGGAGGCGGGCACAGTGGCTCACACCTGTGATCCCAACACTTTGGGAGGCTGAGGCAGGCGGATTACCTAAGGTCAGGAGTTGGAGACCAGCCTGGCCAACATGGTGAAACCCCATCTCTACTAAAAATACAAAAATTAGCAGAGTATGGTGGTGGGCACCTGTAATCCCAGCTACTCAAGAGGCTGAGGCATGAGAATCGCTTGAACCCAGGAGGCGGAGGTTGCAGTGAGCCGAGATCACACCACTGCACTCCAGCCTGGGCGACAGAGCAAGACTCAGTCTCAAAAAAAAAGAAGGGAGTATCACTTTTGGATACACTTTAAGTTGCAAGGAACTACTTAAGAAGGAGCCCTAGGATGTGTGGATCAGGCAGAAACAGCTGAAGTAAACTTGAATCCCAACTCAACGCTTATCTCTGTTTCTCTGGCTTATTGTTCTTGAGAGGTTAAAGATCAAACCTGTGAGTAGATAGAAAACTGAAGAGTTGATGTCCTACCTCTCTGGGCTGTGGAAGGAATGGAGGTGGGAAATCAGACACCTGTTTAAAAACAGAAAGGGCCGGGTGTGCTGGCATTTGCCTATAATCCCAGATGCTTGGGAGGCTGAGGCAGGACAATCACTGAGCCCAGGAGTTCAAGACCCTGTCTCAAATAAAAGGTAATTTTTTTTCTTTTTTTTTTTTTTTGAGAAGGAGTCTCGCACTGTCACACAGGCTGGAGTGCAGTGGCACGATTTCGGCTCACTGCAACCTCCGCCTCCTGGGTTCAAATGGTTCCCCTGCCTCAGCCTCCCGAGTAGCTAGGATTACAGGCTTGAGCCACCAAGCCTGGCTAATTTTTGTATTTTTAGTAGAGACGAGGTTTCACCATGTTGACCAGGCTGGTCTCGAACTCCCGACTTCAGGTGATTCACCCGCCTCAGCCTCCCAAAGTGCTGGGATTACAGGCGTGAGCCACCGTGCCCAGCAAAAGATTTTTTTTTTAAGAAAAAAAAAAAAAAGGTGGCTTACACCTGTAATCCCAGCACTTTGGGAGGCCGAGGTGGGTGGATTGCTTGAGCTCAGGAGTTTGAGACCAGCCTGGGCAACATGGCAAAATTTTGTCTCTACGAAAAATACAAAAATTAGCTGGGCATGGTGGTAGGTGCCTGTGGTCCCAGCTACTTGGGAGGCTGAGATGGGAGGATCACTTGAGCCTGGGAGATGGAGTTTGCAGTGAGCCAAGATCGTGTCACTGCACTCCAACCTGGGTAACAGAGTGAGACCCTGTCTCAAAAAAAAAAAAAACTGTCATCATGAAATGTCAAGATCTATCAGTGAATGGAGCTCATTGCAAGTTAGGACTTTCTCAGCCACTCAACATCCATTACTGAGCACACTATGGAAGGATGAAGGGTTGGTGGGTTGAAAGGGAAAGTCTGAGTAGAAGAGTTGAGGGCACTCAGCTGGAGGTAGACTGAGTCCCACAGAAGCATTTCCACTCTGCTTGCTGCTGCACAATTGTGTGTTGACCTCCTTACTCAGAGGGTGGGAGGGCGATGGTCTTTGTTAAGGAAGGGCAGGGAAAGCCCAGGCTCACAGCCCCCTTGGCCTCCTCACCAGGGCAGGCTTAGCCCCTCACAAAGTCTCCAGGGCCAGCAGCCTGGCCTGACGGGCCCATGTGTTCAAGCCCAGGAGAATTTCCCATTCTTTAAGTTGCTGGTGAGGGTGACTCCAGGGAAGGGACCCTGTCTGGCTGAAAGCTTCCCAGCAGAGCCTGAAGAATCTCTTCAGCTCCTTCCCATCTGGTCAGACCTCTCACCCAGACAGTTGCCATCTCTGGCTCTTCATAACTGGCAGTACCCAGTGAGAAAATAACAGAGCTTGGCCCGGCTTAGTGGCTCAGCACTTTGGGAGGCCGAGGCAGGTGGATCGCTTGAGGCCAGGAGTTCAAGACCAGCCTGGCCAACATGGTGAAACCCTGTCTCTACTAAAATTACAAAAATTAGTTGAGTATGGTGGTGCACGCCTGTAATTCCAGCAACTCAGAAGGCTGAGGCACAAGAATAGCTTGAACCCAGGAGGTGGAGATTGCAACAAGCTAAGATTGCACCACTGCACTCCAGCCTGGGTGACAGAGCAAGACTCTGTCTCAAAAAAAAAAGACAGAAAATAACAGAGCTTTAGGAATAAGATGAAGATGTAATCTCAGGCATTAGCATCACCCTGGAATCCTACAGGGGTAGATCCTGCCTTAGTGCAAATGGTTTAGGGGGCCCTTTGATCTTCTCTCTGCCATTCCTATTCCAGCCAATCAGCTTCTTTTATTTTCTCTCTGTTAACCATTAACTCAACATTGCTCTGCCTGACCCCCAGCTCCACCTATTACTTCTGAGCTGATAACCAAGTCAGAGAATAAAATATTATCTTATATTTATATCATGCTTTACAATTGACTGAGCTCTTTCTGATAATGTTCTCAATAAGCCTCATTCTATCATGTGAAGAAGGTATGATCCCATTTTAGAGCAGGGAAAATAAAGTTCAGAGAGGTCAAGCAACTTGCCCATGATCACACAGCTGGTTGACAGAGGTTTTACAACTAGCCCACTTCCCCTGCTATCCAACAACTTAGAGCAGAGGTTTACAAATGTTAGCTGCATATTAGAATCACCTGGAGATCTTTAAAAAGCTGATGCCTGGGTCCCATCCTCAAACATTCTCATTTAATTGGTCTGGGGTGAATTTGGACACTGGGAGGTTTTTAAAGCTGCCCAGGTGATTCTAATGTTTAGCCAGGGCCAAGAATCACTACTAAGCATGGCCTCTCTAAGACTGTCCAGACCTTTCATGGGAAACTCTTTAATACCAAAGCTCTTCAGGAATCAAAGGAATGTTGAATGGTGAGTTTCCGTGTGTGTGTGTGTGTGTGTGTGTGTGTGTGTGTGTGGTGTGTGGTGTGTGTGTGTGTTTCCTTTCTTTTTTTTTTTTTAGATGGAGTTTCACTATTGTTGCCCAGGCTGGAGTGCAACGGCATGGTCTCAGCTCACTGCAGTCTCCACCTCTCGGGTTCAAGCTGTTCTCCTGCCTCAGCCTCCTGAGTAGCTGGATTTACAGGCGCCCACCACCACGCCCGGCTAATTTTTTTTTTTTTTTTTTTTTTTTTTTTTGAGACGGAGTCTCGCTCTGTTGCCCAGGCTGGAGTGCAGTGGCGGGATCTCGGCTCACTGCAAGCTCCGCCTCCCGGGTTCACGCCATTCTCCTGCCTCAGCCTCCCAAGTAGCTGGGACTACAGGCGCCCGCCACTACGCCCGGCTAATTTTTTGTATTTTTAGTAGTGACGGGGGTTTCGCCATGTTGGCCAGGCTGGTCTCGAACTCTTGACCTCAGGTGATCCACCCGCCTCGGCCTCCCAAAGTCGTGGGATTACAGGCATGAGCCTCTGTGCCCAGCCTCAGTCTTTTTTCTATTTATTTATCCACCCTGGCTATGTGTGTTACATGAGGACAGGGGCTCTGTGTGGCATGCCTTTTTATCCACAGTATCTGGCATGTGGTAGGTCCTCAGTGAATATTGATTGAATAAATTATTTCCTTTTACATAAACAGGATTGTTTTGTACAGGGATATTTTTCCTCTGCCTGCTATTCTCATTTAACAGCAGATATTTATTTATTGTCTATACAGGTCTGTCTTATCGTTTTGGGTGTTTCGCCTCATTATTTTTAACTGCCTGGTATCCCACAGTATGGAAGGACCCTCATTTATTTAACCAGTTGCCTGTTAATAGGTTTTTGTTTGTTTGTTTGTTTTCTAACAGTAGGGAAAGTCCTTGCAAATAGCATTATGCACATGTCTAAGTATTCTCTAGGATCGATTTCCAGAACGGTAGCTGTGGGTCAGAAGATGAGCATATTGAACATTTGAATGAACATTGTCCTCCTTTGGACTTGGTCATGGCAGTCTTCCCTCCTGGAAACTTCTCTTTCCCAGCTACACTGTAGATCCTGGAGCACAGGGGAGGTAATAATGGCCTTTTCCATTCCTTTTTTTTTTTTTTTTTTTTAGACGGAGTCTTGCTCTGTCACCCAGGCTGGAGCGCAGTGGCACGATCTCAGCTCACTGCAAGCTCTGCCTCCCGGGTTCACGCCATTCTCCTGCCTCAGCCTCCCGAGTAGCTGGGACTACAGGCGCCCGCCACCACGCCCGGCTAATTTTTTGTATTTTTAGTCGAGACGGGATTTCACCATGTTAGCCAGGATGGTCTCGATCTCCTGACCTCGTGATCCGCCCGCTTCAGCCTCCCAAAGTGCTGGGATTACAGGCGTGAGCCACTGCGCCCGGCGGCCTTTTCCATTCTAAGGCAGGAATGAACTGTCCAGGCAAACTTCAAGAAACTCTGCCAGGGTGCCCTTGCTTGCCAGAGATGGATGGAGGAGGAAAGGGTGAAAACATGAAATATGACAGCTAAGAACATTGAGCTTCGGGCAACATTCTGTGCGGTGGGCGGCCAGTCCCCTGCCCACACTGTAGGTGTTAGTATCTCGGGTGAGATGCTGTCAGCTGAGAGGACCTGCCCGTTAGCTGAGTGTCTGGGGAGAACGAAACACACAGGCTTCATCCTTCACACATAGAGAGAGCAAAGCTTTTCTAGGAAAATGAAGTGATGGGTGTTTACAGCATTGGCAAAATTACCAACCATGCATTGCAATTCTCAGTCTCTGCAAAAAGAAAATAATGAGCCTGTGTGTTCCTAGGATGATTAAACAGTAATTAGTCTTCAAAAGCTTGCTAAATGCCTCTCTTTAAAAACCACCCAGCTAGGCAATTTTTCTTTCACATTTAATAGCAACTATTCCCGTATTCTTTCTTGTCAAAAGTGGCCATAATTGTGGGGGTTTGATGAGACAAGCACCCTCGGAGGCTCCGGTGGGAGAGGGAAGTGGCGCAGTCTTTCTGCAGAGTAATTGATGATTTGTCCCGGGAGCCTTGAAAACCTGCCTGCCCTTTGGCTCAGTAACTCCACTTCTAGGAATCTATTCTAAGGCAATAAATAGACCCAGAGACAAACAGTTACGTACAAAGATATTTATCACAACTTTGTTTGTAGTACAAAAATATTTGAATCACCAGACGCTTAATGATGGATGATGTTGTACTAAAAGTAAGTGCTAGGTACAGGGATGGATGAGTTTTAGAATCAGCTGGAATTTCATTAGACACACGTATGCACACATGTATACACACACACACACACACACACACACACACACACACACACACACACTGAGACAGCAGCTGGGTGGCCCAGGCACAGTGTGAGCATTTCTATTTTTAACAAGCTCACCCAGGTAATTCTTTTTTTCTTTTTCTTTTTTTTTTTTTTTTTGAGACAAGGTCTCATTCTGTCACCCAGGCTGGAGTGCAGGGGCATGATCTTAGCTGACTGCAACCTCTGCCTCCTGGGTTCAAGCGATTCTCATGCCTCAGCCTCCTGAGTAGCTGGGATTACAGGCATGCACCACCACACCCAGCTACTTTTTGTATTTTTTAGTACAGACTGGGTTTTGCCATGTTGCCCAGGCTGGTCTTGAACTCCTGGCTTCAAGTGATCCTCCTGGCTCGGCCTCCCAAAGTGCTGTGATTACAGGCATGTAACATGGCGCCTGGCCAGTTCTTATGTTAACACCAGGTGGAAAATCATTTGCCTGATCCCTCCAGAATTATGGATTTTTCTTCTTATTTTTTTAACATCCCACAATGGGCATGAATTACTTCTATTTTTTCTTTTTTAGAGACAGGGTCTCCCTCTGTCACCCAGGCTGGAGTGCAATGGCATAGCACTCCAGCCTGGGAGCTCATAGCTCACTGCAGCCTCAAACTCTTGGGCTCAAGTGATCCTCCTGTCTCAGCCTCCTGAGTAGCTGGGACTATAGACATGCACCACCACACCTGGCTAATTTAATTTTTTTTTAATGTAGAGACGAGGTCTCACTATGTTACCCAGGCTAATCTCAAATTCCTGGCCTCAAGCGATGGTCTGGCCTCAGACTCCCGAAGTGCTGGGATTATAGGCACAAGCCAATGCACCTGTCATGAATTATAGACAAATATATACATATATATATTAAGAAAATACTCTAAAATACAATAGGAAGTTGAGCTGGCAAATATCTGTTGCATATCAGGCCCCTGTGCTTGGTGTTGAAGATTCTGAAATAAAGAAGACAGTCTACCCTTTAAGAAGTTCACGGTCAGCCGGGCGTGGTGGCTCATGCCTGTAATCCCAGTACTTTGGGAGGCCGAGGTGGGCAGATCACCTGAGGTGAGGAGTTCGAGACCAGCCTGGCCAACATGGCGAAACCCCATCTCTATTAAAAATACAAGAAATTAGCTGGGCATGGTGGCGTGCGCCTGTAATCCCAGCTACTTGGGAGGCTGAGGCAGGGAGAATTGCTTGAACCCCGGTGTTGGAGGTTGCAGTGAGCTGAGAGCTGACATCGTGCCATTGCACTCCACCCTGGGCAACAGAGACTCTGTCTCAAAAAAAAAAAAAAAAAAAAAAAAAAAAAAAAGAAGTTCGTGGTCTGCAATAGAAGACGGCCACATAAAAATAAATATTATTCAAGCCGGGTGCGGTGGCTCACGCCTGTAATCCCAACACTTTGGGAGGCCAAGGCAGGTGGATCACGAGGTCAGGAGATTGAGACCATCCTAGCTAACACGGTGAAACCCTGTCTCTACTAAAAATAGAAAAAATTAGCTGGGCGTGGTGGCGGGCGCCTGTAGTCCCAGCTACTCAGGAGGCTGAGGCAGGAGAATGGCGTGAACCTGGGAGGCGGAGCTTGCAGTGAGCCGAGATGGTGCCACTGCACTCCAGCCTGGGCGACAGAGCAAGACTCTATCTCAAAAACAAAAAAAAAAAAACAAAAAAAACAAATAAATAAATAAATAAATATTATTCAATATACACAGAGAGACAAGCTGTACTAAAAGTAAGTGCTAGGTACATGGATGGTGCAATCATGGGGTAGGTGATTAGCTCTGGTTAGAAGGCTTGGGAAAATGCAGGCCGGGCACGGTGGCTCACATCTGTAATACCAGCACTTTGGGAGGCCAAGGCAGGAGGATCACTTGAGGCCAGGAGTTCAAGACCAGCCTGGCCAACATGGTGAAACCCCATCACTACTATAATTACAAAAAAAACAAAATTAGCCAGGTGTGGTGGAGTGAGCCTGTAGTCCCAGCTACTTGGGAGGCTGAAGAATGAGAATCACTTCAATCTGGGAGGCGGAGGTTGCAGTAAGCCGAGATTACGCCACTGCACTCAAGCCTGGGTGACAGAGCGAGATTCCATCTCAAAAAAAAAGGCTTGGGAAAATGCTTCTGAGCAGGGGACATTCCAGCTAGTACATTCCTGAAAGCACATAGAGGAGGGAGGGCGGAAACAGAATGCCAGGCAGAGGAAGACCCTCATGGAGGCATGAACACCCTCTCTGGCTGGAGGAATTGTGAGCAGTGAGCTATGGCCAGAACAGAAGTTTGACCCAGGGCACAAGAGGAGGTGAAACCAGAGAAGCTGCACAGGGGCCTGTGAACCAACTGGGCCAAGGGCCTGCAACTTGAGCCAGAAGCCCAGCGGTTCCTAGACTGTGTGCCGAGGAACACCAGTCCTTCAGACTGACAGATGCTCTGTGCAAAAGGCTTCCATGGCAAAGTGCCCTTGGAAAACTCTGGGTTAAAGGGTTTTGTTCTTTAATTGCAGACGCATCAAAGCCTTTACTATACTAATATGCCAGGAATTCTCCAAGAGGGGGCAACACAGGGAGCTAGTCCCAAATGGATTTAACCACAGGCCTCCCATGCCCACCACCACACACTTTGTTGTTTAAGGAAAATTTATGGCCAGGTACAGTGGCTAATGCCTGTAATCCCAGCACTTTGAGAGACTCAGGCAGGAGGATCACTTTAGCCCGAGAGTTTGAGACCAGCCTGGGCAACAAGCAAAATTCCATCTCTACAAAAAATAAAAATAAATTAGTCGGGTGTGGTGGTGCACTCCTGTAGTCACAGTGACTCGGGAGGCTGAGGTGGGAGGATTGTTTGAGTCCAGGAGGTTGAGGCTGCAGTGAGCTGTGATCGTGACATGACACTGGACTCCAGCCTGGGTGACAGAGACCCTGTCTCCAAAAAAAAGCAAAAGAAAATGTATTGTTAACATCTTATACGGTGATGTCCCCAGGGCACAGTTTCAGAAACTCAGCTGTTGGGCAATGGGAAGCCAGTGAAGGAAACCAGTAAAGTGAAAAGAACACAAACTTCGGAGTCCCATGGTCCTGAGTTCAAATGCATTTCACTGTTTACCAGCTCAGTCACCTTGACCAACCTTGGGCAAGTTGCCTCATCATTAAAGTGGGACCCACAGAAGCTACCCTGTAGGCTTTTGGAAATTAAATGAAAGAACCTAAGCAATATGGTAGACACTCAGTAGGTTCTGGGTACATAACTGGCAGTCACCATTACAATCTTTTCATCATCGTGATCAGAAAGAGCTCATGGGAGCTGTCTTGGGGGGTTGCTCTGCCCAGTCGGGCCTGGACACAGCGAGACTAGAGAACCGGCTATGAAACCACCCCAGGAGGGAGGCCGAGGGGAATATCCCACAGCTGTGAGAGGCATGAAATCCACAGGTCTGGGTGGCTGGATGGAGTCAAGAGTGAGATCAATATTGAGGACACCTGTGGGGCTAGGGCCAGTGGGTCAGGGAGTTGGAAGGGCTTTTAACCAGCACAGAAAGTCCAGGCTGAGCAGCATTTCAGGGACAGAAACAAATTGTTGCATGTAACCTTCTCTCTCTAACTCAGATATTTCTGGCATGACTTAAGACTAGCTCTAAAAGCTACTCCTTGATCTGTTTATTTTCTTTAGAATTGTCGACACAACGATTACTTCCAATGTTAAATCGCATTTCGTGTTGTTTTCTTTGTCAGACTCAAAGAGTTTTTATTATGTCCTTTCTCCAGACTATAATAACAAAAGAAGGAAGAATCAATTTTAGGTGGGAAAATTAGTCGCTCAGCACTCAGCATGAAAATTACCATGGATGCAGGAGTCTAGGTGCTGTCTTAGAAGAAATATTCTATAGTTCCTCAGCAGTGGGGCAGGGGTTGGGATAGTAGCGGTGCCCTTTTTTTTTTTTTTTTTTTTTTTTTTTTTTGAGACAGAGTCTCACTCTGTTGCCCAGGCTGGAATGCAGTGGTGCAATCTCGGCTCACTGCAAACTCCACCTCCTGGGTTCAAGTGATTCTCGTGCCTCAGTCTCCCGAGTAGCTGGGATTACAGGCACCCGCCATCGTGCCTGGCTAATCTTTATATTTTTAGTAGAGACGGGGTTTCAGCATGTTGGCCAGGCTGGTCTCAAACTCCTGACCTCAAGTGATTCTCCCGCCTCAGCCTCCCAAACTGCTGGGATTACAGGCGTGAGCTTCCGCACCTGGCCTAATTTTTGTATTTTTAGTAGAGACAAGGTTTCACCATGTTGGCCAGGCTGGTCTTGAACTCCTAACCTCAAGTGATCCACCCATCTCAGCCTCTCATGGTGCTGGGATTACAGGCGTGAGCCACCACACCGGGCCCATACTGTTACCTTTTGAATGGATGTGGTAGCACTTAGATGGTTTTCTACTGAGAGACAACAGCACACCCACTTTGTGAACACGTGTGTTCAGGAATCCTAGTCACAAAGAACAAATGGTCACAAATAACAAATGGTAGCAAGAGAACTGTGCCAGGCATTTTGCTCAAGGTAAACCTGATCCTCACAACATCCCTGGAAGATAGGCAAAGGCAGCACCATTTTGTAAGTGAGGCTTATGATGCTCTGAGAGGTTGACTCACTTGTCCAAGGTCATACAGCTAATTGTGGCAGATCTGAGACTCCAGCTCAGGTCTTGCTGATTCTAAGTGCCAACTCCACTAGCCTATTTCCATGCTTTCTCTGGAGAAGGACACAAGTCAACTGCTTAACACAGCACCTGGCACGCAGTAAAGGTTAGCCGCTCCTGTTATCATTATTGTTACTCCAAAAACTCAGAGCCGGGAGGCTGTCAGCAGGTAGAATCTAAGGGCCCCACATCCCCAAAGGTAATGATAGACCATGTTTGCGCAGCATTCCCTTTAAGCTTAACAGCATTTGCAGCAGGAGGGAAGCCTTCTCTTCTACCCCATGTGGGAGTTTCACAGCTGGGGAAACCAAAGGCCTAGGATCACCCAGTGAGGAAGGCAGAACGGGACTTGAACCCACATCTCCTGATTCCCACATCAACACATTGATTCCTTGGCTGGGCTGCCCGCCCATTCCCGTGAAGCCTGCTTTGTGTTAAGGCAGAGGTACAGAAAGCCTCTTTAACCCAGCTCTGACCAGGTGCAGTGGCTCACGTCTGTAATCTCTATACTTTGGGAGGCTGAGGTGGGTGGATCACTTGAGGTCAGGAGTTCAAGATCAGCCTGGCAAACATGGTGAAACCTCATCTCTACCAAAAAATACAAAAAAATTAGCCAGGCATGGTGGCATGCACCCATAGTCCCAACTACTTGGGAGGCTGAGGCACAAGAATCGCTTGAACCTGGGAATTGGAGGTTGCAGTGAGCCAAGATTGCGCCACTGTACACCAGCCTGGGGACAGAGTGAGACCCTGTCTAAAAAAAAAAAAAAAAAAAAAAAAAAAAAAAAAAAAACTAGCTCTGAAAGCAGGATGGGGGAAGGTAATTTGACTTTATTGATGATTGCAGATAATTACTCAACGACTGTATTAGCTTCCTAGCGCTACTGCAACAAATTAGCACAGAATACATGGCTTAAAGAAATACACATTTTTTTCTCTCAGTTCTAGAGACCAGCAGTCCAAAATCAGCATCAATGCGCTGAAGTCAAGGTGTAGTCAGGGACGTGCCCCTCCAGAGGCTCTAGTGGAGAGTGGATTCCTTACCTCTTCCAACTTCTGGTGGCTGCTGGCACCTTCACTCCAAGCATCAAGGTCAGCATCTTCAAACCATTCTCTGTTCTGTCTTCAGATAGCCCCTTCTGTGTGTCAAACCTCTCTCTGCTTCTCTCTTATAAGAACACCTGTGATTGCATTGCAAGCCTACCTGGATAATCTAGCATAATCTCCCCAATGCAAGATTCTTTTTTTTTTTGAGACGGAGTTTCGCTCTTGTTGCCCAGGCTGGAGTGCAATGACACGATCTCAGCTCACTGGAACCTCCACCTCCCAGGTTCAAGCGATTCTCCTGTCTCAGCCTCCTGAGTAGCTGGGATTACAGGCACGTGCCACCACACTCAGCTAATTTTTTGTATTTTTAGTAGAGATGGGGTTTCATATTGGTCAGGCTGGTCTCAAACTCCTGACCTCAGGTGATCCACCCGCCTCGGCCTCCCAAAGTGCCCAATGCAAGATTCTTAATCACATCTGCAAAGATTCCTTCCTTCCTTCCTTCCTTCCTCCTTCCTTCCTTCCTTCCTTCCTTCCTTCCTCCCTCCCTCCCTCCCTTCCTCCTTCCTTCCTTCCTTTCCTCCTCCTCGTTCTTCTTCTTCCTCTTTCTCTTCTCTCTTTCTCTCACATTCTCTTTTTCTTTATTCTTTCTTTTCTTTCTTGACAGGGACTTGCCATGTTGGCCTGGCTAATCTTTTATTTCTGTGGAAACAGGGTCTCACTATGTTGCCCAGGCTGGTATCAAACTCCTGGCCTTAAGCAATCCACCTGCCTCAGCCTCCCAAAGTACTGGGATTGCAGATGTGAGCCACTGCACCCAGCTCCTTTTTCCATATAAAGTAACAGTCAGCGAGTACGGTAGCTCATGCCTGTAATCCCAGCACTTTGGGAGGCCAAAGCAGGTAGATCACTTGAGCGCAGAAGTTCGAGACCAGCCTAGGCAACATGGCAAACCCCCGCCTCTACAAAAATACGAAAAGTTAGCCAGGGGTGATGGTGCATACCTGTAGTCCCAGCTACTTGGGAGACTGAGGTGAGAGGACCACATGGGCCTGGGAAGTGGAGGCTGAAGTGAGCTGAAATCGTACCACTGCACTCCAACCTGAATGACAGAGTGAAACCCTGTCTCAAAAAAAACAAAAGCCATTCCAGTTTCCAGGGATTAGAATGTGAATATCTTTCGGGGGAACCATATTTTAGCATACTGCAAGTGCTAAATAGATTCACTTATTACTAACTAACCTTCAAGGCCCTGGGGGAATGAAATCTGGATGGAGAATGCCAGTTAAATGGAGAGAAGAAGAGGAAGACAGATCTGGGGCCTGGGGTGAGCTCTCATCTACCAGGCTTAGGTAGCCCCTCTGGGTTTTGGGGGTGCTGAATGAGCACTTAGGGTACCCACTGGATGCTCTCGGGGAGAAACTGGCAAACTATAGACCATGGGTTGGCTGCCTGTTTTTATAAATAAAGTTTTACTGGAAGACAGTCATGCCCATTTGCTTATATATTGTCTATGATTGCTTTTGAGCAGAGTTAAATAGGCTGGGTTGAGAAGTTGCAATATAAACCATATGGCCCTGGCCGGGCGCGGTGGCTCACGCCTGTAATCCCAGCACTTTGGGAGGCCAAAGCAGGCAGATCACTTGAGGCTGGGAGTTCGAGACCACCCTGGAAAACATGGTGAAACCCTGTGGTGGTGAGCACCTGTAGTCTCAGCTACTTGAGAGGCTGAGGCAGGAGAATTGCTTGTACCTGGGAAGCGGAGGTTGCAGTGAGCCAAGATTGTGCCACTGCGCTCCAGCCCGGGGAAAAGAGTGAGACTCCATCTCAAAAAAAAAGAAAGAAACCATATGGCCCACAAGCCTAAAATACCCACTATCTCTTCCTTTAAGTAAAAGTTTGCCTATCTCTACACTACAGAAATATGGGAACAGAAAGAGAATGCTTGGCTTATTCCCCCCCCTCTCCCACCAGGGACTATTTCCAAGTTCATTTTTTTCCGTCTTTTTCCCTTCTTGTTTCATTTTGAATATTTTAAAGGTTATGTCTTCAAGTTTACTGGCATTTTCTTCTGTGATATCTAATCTGGAATTAGCCCATCCAGTGTATTTTCCCTCCACAGGCATTATATTTTTCATTTTTAGAAGTTCAGTTTGGATCTTTTAAAAAATATTTTCCATATCTAGATGAAACATGCTCAATCCTTCCTCTACCTTCTTGAATATAGGATATGTAATAGCTGCTATGATAACTGTTTTGTTTTTGTCTACTAATTCTATCATCTGTGTTTTGTTTTTGTAAGAGACAGGGTCTCACTCCATCACCCAGGCTGGAGTACAGTGGCACCAGCATAGCTCCCTGCAACCTCGAACTCCTTAGCTGAAGCGATCCTCTCACCTCAGCTTCCCAAGTAGCTGGAACTACAGGTGCATACCACAATGCCCAGCTAATTTTTAAATTTTTAGTAGAGACGATGTCTCGTCGTTGCCCAGGCTGGTCTCAAACTCCTGGCCTCAAGCCATCCTCCCATCTCAGCCTCCCAAAGTGTCGGGATTACAGGCATGGACCACTGTACACAGCCTCATCTGTGTACTTTTAAAGGTTATTTCTATCGATTGATTTTTCTCCCCATTATGAGTCATATTTTGTCTTCTTTGCATGCCTGATCATTTTTTATTGAATGTCAGACTGTGTCTGTACCAGCTATCAATCTATTCTCTCTCAGCTTCAAATCTACCCTTCCTTGCCTGCCGGTGATAACTGAGCTGGACCCTGTAAGAATTTCTCCTTTGCTATGAGCACAATACTAAACTTTGTCAGTAGAGGGCGCTGGAGATGCACTGTAGGTAAAAAGGTGCTTGCTTCTCTTTTCTTGTTTTCGTGCACTTCTACGGATTTCTTGCTCTTATTTCATGGTTGCCAGGGGAGCATGAGGGACATCCAGTGGTACTCACCCTCACCAAATTTTAGAATTATCCTCACTGACAGCTTCCCATCAAGTTTCAGCAGTCCCCGTGGGCAGATTCTCAGTGAGTCCCACAGGCCCCATGGTGGTTCACTTTCCAGCTTTAGTCCATCTGTACCCTGATGGGGAGATTTCTTGCTTGCCAATCTTAGCCATAGTTCTGTGCCCACCAACCTCTACCTGCTTGCACCCCAGACGGGAGTTTCTGTTTGTCCAGCAACTGTGGACCAGCTGTGGCCTGGGACAACCCAGTGAACTTCATTATCCAGTGGGCCGTAATTTCACTTTGCCCCACAAAGTCTGAATTCCAGCTGTGGGTCTTCTCCCTTAGCCATAGGATATTCTTTGTTTGTTTGTTTGTTTGTTTGTTTGTTTTTGAGATGGAGTCTTGCTCTGTTGCCCAGCTTGGAGTGCAGTGGCGCAGTCTTGGCTCACTGCAACCTCCGCCTCCCGAGTTCAAGTGATTCTCCTGCCTCAGCCTCCCAAGTAGCTAGGATTATAGGCATGCACCACCACGCTTGGCTAATTTTTGTATTTTTAGTAGAGACGGGGTTTCCCCATGTTGGCCAAGCTGATATTGAACACTTGGCCTCAAGTGATCCTCCCACCTAGACCTCCCAAAGTGCTGGGATTATAGGCGTGAGCCACCACACCCAGTCTATTTCTCTTCTCTCAAGGATTGTTGTCCTTGAGATCCATTGCGTGACATCCAATGTCTTGAAAACCATTGTTTTATATTTTGTCCAGCTTTTTTTTTTGTTTTTCCTTTTTTGGTTCACTGAAATCTTTTGTCCAGTTTTTTACTTGTTTCAGACTGGTCCCTGTTATTCCATCTTCACCAGAGGTGGAAGTCAACTCTAATTTTAAAATATTCATTTACTCAACATGTACACACAAAAAATTGTGGCACACCAGCCATGGGGATGCAGCAATGAACAAAACAAACAAAAATCTCTGCCCTCCTGGAGCTCGTATTCTTATGACAACTGATTAAGAAAATGTCTAATGCTGTGTGTGCTCACCACACATGTCCTGGCCTGGACCACCAGGCTGGGAATCCACAACAATACCCACTTCCCCCTCGTTGCTACTGATCTGTCCTCTTTCCTTCCTTCCTTCCCCCTCTCCACCATGCCCACCACTCTGGAGGTGCCCCCTCCTTCTCTTTTCCAAGGTAATTCATGGAATTATTCAAACTGCCTTGTCTGTGCAATGCCTCTGGAAAGCTACATGATAAATGTCTTCCAAGCCTGGAAAGTGTGATTTATATTTTTAATTATATCTTTCTGGCACCACAGGAGGAGTTTTCGTCTTCCCCATCTCCACAGCATCACACTTGGCTGTTTAGTGAATAGATTGAGATCAAACTTTGCTCCTTGCAAGGTCACAGATAAGCAGCCCTCATCAGCACCTTGCATCTGACAGCTACAAGCCAAGGTCTTATTTATAGGCCCTGTTACATACTCGCCCCACATCCCCAGCTCATCTTTTATTGTTCTATTTTAAATTGGGAAGACAGCCAACCCCACGTCCATCTCGTTCTGCCTTATCACCCTGCAGCACAGGCTGGATAATGGCCATATATATATATATATTTTAATAACAGCTTGATTGAGATATAATTCACATACCATAAAATTCATGCTTTTAAAGTGACGATTCAGAGGTTTTTGGTATATTCAGAGTCCTGCAACCAACACTACAATCAATTTTAGAACATTTTTGTCATCCCCCCCAAAAAACTCCTACTGGCTGGGTGCAGTAGCTCACACCTATAATCCTAGCACTTTGGGGGCAGAGGTGGGAGGATCACTTGAGCCCAGGAGTTCAAGACCAGCCGGGGCAACATGGCAAGAACCCATCTCTACTAAAATAAAAAATACAAAAATTAGCCAGGCGTAGCAGCTTGCACCTGCAGTCCCAGCTATTCGAGAGGCTAATGTGTGAGGATTGCTTGAGCCCAGGAGGTCAAGGCTACAGCGAGCCATGATCACGCCACTGCACTCCAGCCTGGGTGACAGAGCGAGACTCTGTCTTCCTCTAACTCTCATAGTCCTAGGAAACTACATATCAGTCTTCTGCCTCTGTGGATTTGCCTACACTGGACCTTCCATATAAATGTGATCATAATATGTGACCCTTCGTGACTGGCTTCTTCCACTTAGCGTAATGTTTTTGAGGTTCATCCCTGTTGTGGCATCCATCAGAACTTTGTTCCCTTTTATTGCCAGATAATATTTCGTTGTATGGATACACCACATTTTATCCATTCATCAGTTGGTGGACATTTGGGTTGTTTGACCTTTTTTGCTATCATGAATACTGCTGCTAAAAACATTCATGAATTAGCCAGTCGTGGTGGCGCACGCCTGTAGTCCCAGCTATTCGGGAGGCTGAGGCAGAAGAATCACTTGAACCCGGGAGGCAGAGGTTGCAGCGAGCCAAGATCGCGCCACTGCACTCCAGCCTGGGCAATAGAGCAAGACTCCATCTCAAAACAAACAAACAAACAAACAAAAAAATTCATGTACACATTTCTGTGTGGTGGGCATAAATATTCAGCCTCAATTTCCAACAGCACTTTGGCTGAGGGTGGGCTTGGGACACAGAAAAGGAAGGCGGCCACAAAACCCAGCCTGTCTTCTGACTATGACACTGATAGAACCCTCAAGGAAAAGGAAGACAGGAGAGCCGGCTTCCTCCTAGAAAATTCAGCCTAGACCAGGCACGCTGGCTCATGCCTGTAATCCCAACACTTTGGGAGGCTGAGGCGGGCAGATCACTTGAGGTCAGGAGTTCAAGACCAGCCTGGCCAACATGGCAAAACCTTGTCTCTACTAAAAAAAGAACATATAAAAATTAGCCAGGCGTGGTGGTGGATGCCTGTATTCCCAGCTACACAGGAGGCTGAGGCACAAGAATTACTTGAACCCTGGAGGTGGAAGTTGCAGGGAGCCAAGATTGCACCACTGCACTCCAGCCTGGGTGACAGAGCAAGACTCCGTTTCAAAAAAAATAGAAAAGAAAATTCAGCCTAATAAACAAGAGTTGAGGACTTGCTGTGTGCCTGGTTCTGAGACGGGAGCTGGGGGCTGCAGCCTCCCTCCCTCCTCCCTCTTCCTCCTTCCTTCTTTCCAGCATTCCTGTATTAGCATCTACTCTCTGTCAGACTCTCTGGGGGTACCCCCAAGGGTCTTAACCTAATTTTAAAAGGCAGGCAGTTGAATTCAGAATTCTAAGTGTCCCGGTGACTGATGTCGGGCCAGGACAGGAACTACGGTCACCCATGAGAGGGACACCCAACCCAGTTCTAGGGAATCAGGGAAGGCCTCTCGGAGGTTCTTCCTACATTATATTATATAAATTTCCAAACATACAGAAAGCCTTACATGCTCACCACCCAGGCTTAACAGTTATTAGCATCTTGCTAGATTTATTTCTAACTTCCTTCTGAAGGATTTTAAGGTAAACTTCAGACATTGCAGAGGTTCACCCCCAAATACCTCAGTGTTCCTTTTTTTTTTTTTTTTTTTGAGACAGAGTCTCACTCTGTCACCAGGCTGGAGTGCAGTGGCGCAATCTTGGCTCGCTGGAATGCAGTGGCGCAATCTTGGCTCACTGCAACCTCCGCCTCCCGAGTTCAAGGGATTCTCTGGCCTCAGCCTCCCAAGAAGCTAGGATTACAGGAGTGCACCACCACGCCCGATTAATTTTTACATTTTTAGTAGAGACAGGGTTTCACCATGTTGGCCAGGATGGTCTCAATCCCCTGATTTTTTGATCCGCCCGCCTTGGCCTCCCAAAGTGCTGGGATTATAGGCATGAGCCACCACGCCCGGCCTCCTTTTAAAAACAAAGATAGCTGGGCACGGTGGCTCACGCCTGTAATCCCAGCGCTTTGGGAGGCCGAGGCGGGTGGATCGCCTGAGGTCAGGAGTTTGAGGCAAGCCTGGCCAACATGGTGAAACCCCGTCTCCACTAAAAATACAAAAATTAGCCAGACGTGGTGGCACATGCCTATAATCCCAGCTACTTGGGAGGCTGAGGCAGGAGAATCGCTTGAACCCAGGAGGCGGAGGTTGCAGTGAGCCAAGATCATGCCATTGCACTCCAGCCTGGGGGATAAGAGCGAGACTTCGTCTCAAAAAAAAAGAACACACAAAGATAATTTCCTACATAGGGATACCTTTATCACACCAAACGTAGGTCATCATATTTCTTTGATAATCCAATGCCCAGTTCATATTCAAATTTCCCCAGTTATTTCAAGGACATTACGTATAGTTCTTTTGTTTGAAAAAGGATCTAATTACAGTGGAGGTGCCCTTTAATCTGCAACAAGAAGGCAGGGTGAGAAGGCTTTGTGGGCAAAGCAGCTCCTGGGCAAAGGCTCAGGGGGACAGTCTGGGCCTGGGGAAATTGACGAACTCAGCTTGAGGAAGATGGGCCCAGTTCGGAGGCCCTACTGGCCCTGCTGTGTTCCCACTGGAGGAGAGAGAGCGAGCCCTCCTAGGCACAGCTGTGACATGCCCAGAGAGTGGGGCTCTGATGAAAGGGCCTGCTGGTTCTTGCTATGATCCCCAGGGCCTGATTCAGGACACACCTCGGGCTGGAGGGCCTTCTTCGAACCTTCCTTCAGTCAAGGGAGCGGTCAGTCCAACAATCCACGGCTCTGGAAAGTTCCCCCTGAAGATTGGTTCTGTCCTGCTCACCCTGTGCTCCCTATGGGGACAGGCCCTGCCTTGGACTCCCAGGACAGTGTCTTTCTACTGTCTCTCAAGACAGGCAGGGCACTTGTATTAATCCACTTTCACACTGCTGAGAAACACATACCCCAGGCCGGTCACAGTGGCTCACGCCTGTTATGCCAGCATCTTGGGAGGTTGAGGCAGGCAGATCACCTGAGGTCAGGAGTTTGAGACCAGCCTGGCCAACATGGCGAAACCCTGTCTCTACTAAAAATGCAAAAATTAGCCAGGCGTGGTGGCAAGCGCCTGTAATCCCAGCTACTTGGGACGCCAAGGCAGGAGAATCGCTTGAACCAGGGAGGCAGGGGCGGCAGTGAGGCAAAATAGCACCACTGCACTCCAGCCCGGGCAACAGAGTGAGACTCTGTCTCAAAATAAATAAATAAAAATAAAAGACATACCTGACACACCCAAGACTAGGCGATTTACAAAAGAAAGAGATTTAATGGACTCACAGTTCCACGTGGCTGGGGAGGCCTCACAATCATGGCAGAAAGTGAAAGGCACGTCTCACGTGGCAGCAGACAAGGGAAGAGAGTTTGTGCAGGGAGACTGCCCTTTATAAAACCATCAGATCTCATGAGACTTATTCACTATCACATGAATAGCATGGGAAAGACCTGCCCCCATGATTCAATTACCTCCCACTGGGTCACTCCCAACACATGGGAATTGTGGGAGCTACAATTCAAGATGAGATTTGAGTGGGGACACAGCCAAACCATATCAGGACCCTTCCTCCAGCCCTGTTAGGACATGTGGCAGATCCTGACTATAACAGCCCAAGACAGTGCTGTCTCTCCCTCAGGGCCCCATCATCCAGCCCTCTCAACTCCAGGATGGGCTGCCATGGTCCTCTGGGTGCCTTTGCCTGGTTCTAGTCACTGTGTTGAATGTCAGAGAAGGAAATAGCTGCAGTCTCTGTTTAGAGCCCTGTCCTTTGAGAACAGCAGGTACTCTTGATGTGGGCTGTAGATGACCTTTTGAAAATCAGACCCTGCTTCCCAGGAGCCTTTCATCATGTTTCTGAGATGTTGCTCTTCTCTCTTTGATGGAACTTCAGACAGAAGCCAATCTGCAGCCTAAGCCTGCCCGGGCCTTGAGTCCACTTAACAACCTAGGAGCCCTGTTGGATGTGCCAGAGGAGTATTGATAATCAGGGAGCAGAGATAGAGGAGTTAGGCAGGGGCAGCTTGGCCCTCTACGACCTCCTGGCACAGCACCATGAAGCCTAGGTGTCTGGCCCCTGACAATTTGCTCCATGCAGCAAGGGGCAGGGTTGGGAGGGGTCTTTCTTATTCATCAGCCAGTCAATAAAGCATCTTTCCAGGTGGGGCTTTAGTTCAGGCCTTACCTTTCCAGGAACTTCTGTTTGTTTGTTTTGAGATGGAGTTTCGCTCTTGTTGCCCAGGCTTGAGTGCAATGGCACAATCTCGGCTCACTGCAACCTCCGCCTCACGAGTCCAAGCGATTCTCCTGCTTCAGCCTCCCAAGTAGCTGGAACTATAAACACGCACCACCACGCCTGGCTAACTTTTTGTATTTTTAGTAGAGACGGGGTTTCACGATGTTGGCCAGGGTGGTTGAACTCCTGATCGCAGGTGATTCTCCCGCCTCGGCCTCCCAAAGTGCTGGGATTACTGGCATGAGCCACTGCCCTCAGCCTCTGGAAACTTCTTTATCAGCTTACTTCATTAATCAAGCTGTCGGGAGTTGGGTGAATAATTCAGGAGGCCAATTTCATTCAGTCATTCATTTATTCACTCATTCAACATACATTTTTGAGCACACGCTGTTTTCCAGGCACAATTCTAGGGGCTGGGCATATAGTGGTGAAAAAGACAAAGTTCCCACCCTCACAGGGCTGTAGTCTGGCAAATTCGCCTGCATTTAATTGGTTTCAGCAAGAAACAGAATGGCCAGACCACTGAAGGCTCAAGTCAGCTGACCCACCACAGACAGGATCAGCAGGAATGGTGTGGCCAGTAGACCTAATGACCAACGGATATAATTTTAATATATATCCTGGCCAAATCTCATGTTGAACTGTAAACCCTGGTGTTGGAGGCGAGGCCTGGTGGGAGATGTCTGGGTCATGGGAGCGGATCCCTCATGGCTTGGTGCTGTCCTCGTGATAGTAAATGAGTTCTCAGGAGATCTGGTTGTTTAAGTATGTGGCACCCCTCACAACCACCACTCTCTCTCTTGCTCCTGCTCTGGCCACGTGACATGTCTGCTCCCGCTTCATCTTCAGCCAGGAATAAAAGCACCCTGAGGCCTCCCCAGAAGCCAAGCAGGTGCTGGCACCATGGTTGCACAGCCTGCAAAACCATGACCCAATTAAACCTCTTTTGTAAATTACTCAGTCTCAGGTATTTCTTTATAGCAATGCAAGAATGGCCTAATACACCAGCTTTGGTCTCTGGACTACTAGAAGCATCTGAGTACCACAGCGGTGCCCACTTTGGAAAACCCTATTCTATGTCATCACGTACTGGTCATACAAATTGAGACACTGCCCTAGTCATTACAACCAGCCTTGGCTGTCCCTAAATCCCCCTCAGGCACCCACTACTCATCCTTCCCTAGAGAGATCACTTCTATAAATGACACACATCATCCATGACATGGGGATTCCACCTGAATTTACTTAGGGGAATGGTTCAAACCGTATATTTTAACTACACCCGGAGATTCTTCTTCAAGATTCCTTTAAGCGTTTGTCTTAGTCTGTTCCTGCTGCTATAACAAAATACCTTAGTCTGGGTGATTTATAAATAGTAGAAATTTATTTCTCACAGTTCTGGAGGCTGGAAAGTCCAAGATCAAGGGATTGGCAGATCCAGTATCTGGTGAGGGCTCCATCTCTGCTTTCAAGATGGTGCCTTGTTGCTGCGTCCTCCAGAAGAGACAAATGCTGTCTCCTCACATGGTGGAAAGGGAGAAAGGGATGAAAAGGACAAATAGGCTCCCTTCAGCCCTTTTATAAGAACCCTAATCCCATTCATGAGGGCAAGGCCCTCTGACCTAGTCATCTCCTAAAAGCCCCACCTCATGCATTGGGAACGAAATTTCAACACACATTTCGAAGAGACACACACATTCAAACCACAGTAGGGTTGTTCCTTTTAAACATTATTTAAAGGCACCCATATGTATGTAATAATAATAAGGGGGGCTGGGCACGGTGGCTCACGCCTGTAATCCCGGCACTTTGGGATGCCGAGGCGAACAGATCACTTGAGGTCAGGAGTTCGAGACCAGCCTGGCTAACATGGTGAAACCCCATCTCTACTAAAAATACAAAAACCAGCTGGGTGTGGTGGCACGTGTGCCTGTAGTCCCAGCTACCTGGGAGGCTGAGGCAGGAGAATCGCTTGAAACCAGGAGGCAGAGGTTGCTGTGAGCAGAGATCACACCACTGCACTCCAGCCTGGGCAACAGAGTGAGACTCTGTCTCAAAAATAATAATAAGGGCTTGGGGCTTTACCTATATTAAATAATTATGATTAAATGTAAATATAAGTGTAATTAAATTATTACACTAAATAGTCTTCACAACAAGCTTGAGAGCTGGGTATGAAGATTATCATGTTCTTTTCACAGATGAAGAAGCTGTGGCTCAGCAGGTTTGGGGGCAGAGCCAGGAGGAAATCCGCCATCTGCCTCCAGAGCCCTGCTTCGATGACATGTGTCACTCTTGAAACAATGCCACACTCTGGAGGAAGTTTTCCAGATTCCTCCGGAAGAGGACAGAGACTGGCAATTCCGGAAAGGTCATCTAGGGAGTGCCAGGTCCCCAAACCCACTGAGCCTTTGTCAATTACAGATCCCCAGGGCCCCCCACCCCCGACCGCCTGCGTCAGGATTTCTGGGCAGACACAACAAAATTATGTCAAAGCGCCCCAAACACTTCAGAGCCAAGTGGCCCCGCAGCTGGTTTAGGGGCCTTCCAGAACAGTTGGCCCCGGGGGGATTCGATGTGGGTGGAGGACGCAGGTATGGGTTCCTCTCGGACCACCCTCTCTCAGGTGGGCTTCCAGCGGGCAGGGGCCAGCTTTTCTCTGCACTAGTGGGTGGGCTTGCTCCTCTCTGTACATTGGACACAGTGGAGACAAATTTCCGGAAAGGCTCAGGCTGAACACAGGATAGCCCTAAGGGTGGGCTAGATTCATGGAGAATGTATCGCGGACTAGTCAGTCATATAAAATACTTGAGCCATATTTTTGTTCACCTGAGGTCAATTCCATGAGGCCCCTGGGATACCCACTGGGCCCATAGAAGCCCCAAGATAAAAGTCCCAGCGTAACATTTTTGCTACTTATGGAGCTATACCATTGCTTGTTTAATTCTTCCTTGAAATTTTTTTTTTTTTGTCTAAGAGTAGTTGCTTAGTTTGACCACGAGGTAGCGCTAACGGGCTTGGTAGCCAATGGACGGGGGCGTGGTAAGCCTTGTGGACTTAAGAGGAAAATCTCAACATTGCCCCTTTATTAATTAATCAAACCTTGGATTTTTTCCCCCCATTCTGCACTTTCCAAATTTTCTGTATTGAGTTTGCATTGTTTTTACAGAAGCAGAATAAGGGCAGGGGTGGGGGACGATAGAGAATCACTACGCAATGATAATCTGTTATTTTGACATATTAACTTTAGACACTGTCTTTATGTGGCTGTAGTTATAGGATATGTGTATTTGTTTTATTGGAGTGCAGTGGCATGATCACAGCTCACTGCAGCCTCGACCTCCTGTGCTCAAGTGATCCTCCCATCTCAGCTTCCCAAGCAGCTGGGACTACCGGTGTGTGCCACCATGCCCAGGTAATTTTTTTGTTTTTAATTTTTTGTTTGTTTGTTTTGAGATGGTCTCGCTCTGTCACCCAAGCTGGAATGCAGTGATGCGATCTTGGCTCACTGCAACCTCTGCCTCTCAGGTTCAAGGGATTCTCATACCTCAGCCTCCCAAGTAGCTGGGACTACAGCTGCATGCCACCATGCCCAGTTAATTTTTGCATTTTTAGTATAGACAGGGTTTCGCCATGTTGGCCAAGCTGGTCTCGAACTCCTGACCTCAAGTGATCCACCTATCTCGGCCTCCCAAAGTGCTGGGATTACAGGTGTGAGCCACCCCACGCAGCCTGTTTTTATTTTTTTGTAGGGGTCTCTCTATGTTGCCCAGGCTGGTCTCCAACTCTTGGGCTCAAGCGATCCTCCAGCCTCAGCCTCCCAAAGTGCTAGGATTATAGGTGTGAGCCATCAGGCCTGGCCTGTTTTATCATTTTTAAACTTGACTTTATAATTTTTTATGTTACTACAAGTTCTTCATGAACATTTATTACTGCACATTTTACAGTGACCATATATTGAGGGTTCACTTGGAACCATGCAAACACTTTGCTGTGTTAGGTGCATTTTTGTGTAGCCCTCACAATGGGAGGGCCTAACCCATGAGGTGGGTATTATTATCACCCATATTTTATCTGTGAGTAAAATGATGCTTCAAGAAGGCAGGTCACTTAATAGTAAATAAATGGAGGAGTGAGTCTGTCTAACATCCTGCCTTTCTCTAACCACAATGCTATTTCATTGAGTATGACCACGACTTAATTTACCTAGTGTGCCCATTTAATTTGGCCACATTTCATTATCAATAGCACTGCAGAAAATATCTCTATGTAGAAAGTTTATTCTGCATTCAGGAAATATTTATAGAAGTGGACTTGATAGCCTAAACATTTTGAAGACTCTTGATAAATATTCAGTGCCAAATATGAAGAAAAAAAATCAGGAAAACTTAACTCTGGCTGGCTATTTTATGATATTAAGAATTATTGTTACTTTTTCTAGGCATGCTAATGCTGTTGCGGTCGTATATTTTTAAAGATACACAATGAAGTACTTACAAATGAAATAATATATTTGGAATTTGTTTGAAAATGCAATTGAGACAGGACTAGGGAGCTGATGAAAAAAGATTAGGCATGTGTTGCTCATTGGGTTACGGGAATCACAGGCATTGATTCCGCCGCTATCATCTCTGCTTTTGTGTCTATCTGAGATTTTCTTTTTTCTTTTTTCTTTTTTTTTTTTGAGATGGAGTCTCGTTCTGTCTCCCAGGCTGGAATGCAGTGACAGGATCTTTGCTCACTGCAACTTCCACTTCCCGGGTTCAAGCAATTCTCGTGCGTCAGCCTCCTGAGTAGCTGGGATTACAGATGTATACCACCATGCCCAGCTAATTTTTGTATTTTTAGTAGAGACGGGGTTTCACCATGTTAGCCAGGCTGGTCTCGAACTCCTGACCTCAGGTGATCCGCCCGCCTCGGCCTCCCAAAGTGCTGGAATTACAGGCATGAGCACCCAGTCTTTTTTTTTTTGTTTGAGACAGAGTCTTGCTCTGTCGCCCAAGCTAGAGTGCAGTGAAGTGATCTCAGGTTACTTCAACCTCCACCTCCCGGGTTCAAGCGATTCTCCTGTCTCAACTTCCCGTGTTTGAAATTTTCTATGATTAAAAAGCTTCAAATATCCAGATGAGGAAACTACCGAAAGAAAAAAAAAAAGCTTAAAATATAGCTATGAAACAAAAGATCTGATAGTCTACAGGACAAGCTAGCCCCGTGATTCCTCTTCTGCCTAATTAGTGAGACACGCAGAATAAAGGAGTAGCTTTCTAGAACAGTTTTGTTCAACCTCCTCTCCCATCAAACAAAAGTTAAGGTCTCCCTAAAACCAAAACACATCAATCTATTTTGTTTTTCAAAAACTTGTGTTTATTTATTTTATTTTAATTAATTAATTAATTAATTATTTTGAGACAGTGTTTCATTCTTGTTGCCCAGGCTGGAGTGCAATGGTACAATCTCGGGTCACTGAAACCTTTGCCTCCCAGGTTCAAGTGATTCTCCTACCTCAGCCTCCCAAGAAGCTGGGATTACAGGCATGTGCCACCACGCCCGGCTAATTTTTGTATTTTCAGTAGAGATGGGGTTTCACCATGTTGGCCAGGCTGGCCTCGAACTCCTGACCTCATGTGATCCACCCACCTCGGCCTCCCAAAGTCATGCCTTACAGGCGAGAGCCACTGCACCCGGCCAAAAACTTGTATTTATTTTTAAATAAGATTATAAAGTTGGACAGAATTTTAAAGGTCTGGTCCTTATTCTTTTAAACTTCTGATTTTTTTTTTAATGGAGTCTTGCTCTGTCACCCAGGCTAGAGTACAGTGACACAATCTTGGCTCACTGCAGCCTCCACCTCCCTGGGTTCAAATGATCTTCTCACCTTAGTCTCCCAAGTAGCTGGGACTATAGGTGCGCTACCAAGCCCAGCTTTTTTTTTTTTTTTTTTTTTTTTTTTTTTTTTACTTTTTTTTGCAGAGACGGGTTTCACCATGTTGCCCAGGCTGGTCTTGAACTCCTGAGCTCAAAGCAGTCCACCTATCTTGGCCTCCCAAAGTGCTGGGATTACAAGCATGAGCCACCACACCCAGCCATAGTCAATAATCTTGTGACAATTTTACATACACACTTCCCAACTGTAGTTTGATGCAGGCTTTGTTAAATTTCTGGAAATGTCTAGTGTTCCCCTTTATAGTAAGGAAACTCACCAACCGTTATTGGAGAAAGTCCCTTGGGAGAGGTCACAGCATCAAAAGGAAAGAGAGTTACACCTCTTGTCAGTTTGTAAACACACAGACACACACACACACACACACACACGCACGTGCTTACACATCCTTGGTTTTACTCACATCCTTCTCCCTACTCTGTCTGGGCAGGCACTTCCTGTCCACCCTCCCACATTATTTTCCCAGGACTCTCATGCCTTACCTGGCCAACTCTGCCAGAATCAGCAGCCAGGCTTGGGCCTGTCACACAGGACTCATGCTGGTTCCCAGTGGGCTAGACTCAAAACCACACCCCTCTTAATAGATCTTGGTTTTTCAGTCTTCAGAAGTCCTTAAGAGAAAGCAAAATTTAGCATACCCCATTCACTCTTTTTTGTGCAGACTCAGCCACAGAAACAGGAATTTCCTCATGGTACTGCTCTGTTCCCTAGATGGGACTTGTCAGTTTGAAGCTTCTGCAGCCTAGGACGAAGTGATGTCTGTCACACCTTGCGGAACAAGAACAGAAACTCAGGGCCAGGCAGGTGGCTCACACATGTAATCCCAGCACTTCGGGGGCTGAGGTGGGAGGGTCGCTTGAGCCCAGAAGTTTGAGACCAGCCTGGGCAACATAGCAAGACCCTATCTCTACAAAAAATATAAAAATTAACTGGGTGTGGTGGTGTGGGCCTGTAGTCCTAGCAACTCAGGAGGCTAAGGTGGGAGGATCGCTTGAGCCCAGGAGGTGGAGGCTGCAGTGAGCTGGGATGGCACCACTGCAATCCAGCCTGGGAGACAAAGCCAGATTCTGTTCTCAAAAAAAAAAAAAAAAAAAAAAAGAACAGAAACTCTCTGGTTCATCCCAGCAGCTGTTAGCCTAAAAATATCTCAACTCAGCATGCAGTAACTTTTTTCTCTCTCTCTTTCTGGCAGATGAGGCTGGAGTCAGACAGGACCTTTCCAAACGCTAGCTGGATAGAGTATGTTGTGTCTAGAAAAGCTGAGAGAAGGACAGAGAAGAACTGAGAAAGGTTTCCTTGAGTTCAACAGGCCCAGAGAGGGCCCTTCACGGGCCCCTAGTGGATTTCACTCTTTCAACAAGTGTTTCTGGAGGGTCTCTAAAGGGTCTGGTCTTAGGAAAGGAGGGAGGGGACAAGGTCCAATTTCTGCATTCCTGGAGTCCACAATTCAAGAGCAGAGATGCTAATAAGTATGTGTATGGCTCTTTTGATGTGTCACAAGGGAGATACACAAGGGACCTCAGGAGAGGACCGGAGGGACCTAGGCCATTCTTGATTTACAACCCTGGGCCAAAGGAAATGTGTTGTCAGGGCGACAAGGCTTGATTTCATCTTTAGAGGAAGGAGAACTGAAGCTTCTGAGTCCAGTAAAGGTGAAGAGGTCTGAGAAGGAGATTGGTATTGATAAAAAAAAAAGATTGGGATTGAATATGGATTAATCTCCAGAAAGAGAGAAAAGAAAGGCAAGGTTTCAAGTTGTTCCCTGGGGCATTCTTTGTCAGCATAAAGGTTAAACAGAGTATATAGCAGATAAATGGATTCTATAGCCAAGTTCTTGAAAAGGTCACTGAGACACAATCCCAGCTGCACAGGAATCCTGAGTGATGCCAGCTAGGCTCCAGCCGTCACATCCTTCAGAGCTGCCGTGAGCAGGTCTCTATTAATTGCTGCCTGTGGTGGGGATTCTTTCCTGCTCACCGCCCATAGGCGGGATCCGTGCAGATGAGGACCAAATCTTCTTATCAGGCATTGTAAATTTTGGCACTCAACTTTTCTCTGTTGCCTAAACACCATTTTTTGTTTGTTTGTTTGTTTGTTTGTTTTGAGACGGAATTTCCGGAATCTCGCGCTTTCACCCAGGCTGGAATGCAGTGGCACGATCTTGACTCACTACAACCTCGGTCTCCTGGGCTCAGGTGATCCTCCTACCTCAGCCTCCCAAGTAGCTGGGACTACAGGCATGTGCCACCATCCCCAGCTAATTTTTTTGTGTTTTTGGTAGAGACGGGGGTCTCACCATGTTGCCCAGGTTGGTCTCGAACTCCTGAGCTCAAGTGATCTGCCCATCTCAGCCTCCCAAAGTGCTGGGATTAGAGGCATGAGCCGCCGCACGCAGCCCCTAAACACCATTTGAACAGCAATCATGGAAATTGAGAAGCGAAAAAGAAACACCAGTGATCCTGTCACTCCCTGTATCAACGTTTTATTTATTTATTTATTTTTATTTAGATTGATTGATTGACAGGATCTTACTCTGTTTGTCACCCAAGCTGGAGTGCAGTGGCACAATCATGGCACATTGCAACCTTGACTTTCAGGGTCAAATGATCCCCCTGCTTTAGCCTCCCAAGTAGCTAGAATTACAGGCACATGCCACCATGCCTGGCTAATTTTATTTTTTTATTTTGTAGAAATGAGGTCTTACTATGTTGCCCAGGCTGGTCTCAAACTCCTGGGCTCAAGTAATCCTCTTGCCTTGGCCTCCCAAAGTGCTGGGATTACAGGCATGAGCCACTGTGCCTGGACTGTATCAATGTTTTACATTTTCTATTTCCAGCCCTGTGTAAAAGATAAAGGGAACAAGTTCACAGGGACATTGTCTGGTGATCCTAGTGGACATCTCACGGCCTGCCCTGGCCAACATTCCACCCTCGCATTTTCCAGCACCAGTGGATGGATTGACGTCCTTTCTTAAGTCCGATCTGCTGGACCACCACAAATGTGTGACTTGAGTGCTGAGACTTGACATCTCTCCATCCTACCATGGCCTGGCGAGAACAGAAGAGCTCATTCTAAGTGAATCAGGCTTGGATAGATTAAGAGGTGGCCAACGGATGTTTTGATCTCTATTTTTGTTTTGTTTTGTTTTGTTTTGTTTGTTTAGATGGAGTTTCACTCTTGCCCAGGTTGGAGTGCAGTGGCGTGATCTCGGCTCACTGCAACCTCCACCTCTGGGGTTCAAGTGATTCTCCTGCCTCAGCATCTCCATTAGCTGGGATTGCAGGTATGCGCCACCACGCCCGGCTAATTTTTGTATTTTTAGCAGAGACAAGGTTTCACCATGTTGGCCAGGCTGGTCTCGAACTCCTGACCTCAGGTGATCCACCTGCCTGGGCTTCCCAAAGTGCTGGGATTATAGAGGTGAGCCACTGTGCCCGGTCTTAATGGATGTTTTGAAAAGAACTGTATAAGGGCCAAGTAAGACAGAGACCCACATGTGACCTCTGGATTTGGCAGAGTGGAGATCATCAGTGGTGTGACAAGAGCAGTTTTAGAGGAGCAGTAGAGGCAGAAGCCACTTATCAGAAGCCACTTTGGAGCAGGTGAAAGAGGATGATAGGAGAGGAAGAGAATTCTTTGGAAAAATTTTGCTGTAAAGGACAGCTGGGAATGGAGTAGCAGTGAGAGGGGTGATGGGCAAGAGGAAGGGAATTTTTCAGAAGGGAGATAGGAGAACATGTTTGTACGTTAATTGGAATAATCTGGTAGACAAGAAGAAATTGATTATGCAGGAGAAAGGGGGAAATGGTTGCAATAGTAAAGTCTCAGGAAGCTAGAGAGGTTAGGCCTTCTGTGGAAAGAGTGGTCACAGAGGTCTGAGAGTGGGAGAGTGAACTCACCCAGGTAATATAGGCTTGCCAGCCAGGGCCCAGTGCCCATTTGAGATTTGTGATGATCGTTTTGAAGTGGAATCGTTGAGTAACAGCAGAGGCATGAGGTGAGAAAGGATGATGGCTGTGGGGTTGGATTTGGGGCAGAGTTTGGACATGCCCAACCCAGCACTTGCTCATGGATTGGATGTGACCAGGAGAGGATGAAATTGAGGACAAGGATGCAACTGAGACAACTCATTGTTCTTGACTTGAACGAGTGGGTAGGTGGGTGCCATTGATGAAGAGAGGGTGGGCAGAGCCTAAGAGCTAGTTCTGTTTGATGTATTTTGATGTGGGATGATTTGAGATGATTATTAGCATCCAACAGGCGAGACCCAGCAGGCAGTTGGGCAAGTCTGGAGTGTAAGGGGAAGGTTGCTGTTTTCTCCTCTGCTCTGCAATATATGAAAACATCCCTTGGGCTGGGCCAGGGTATGTGACATTCACCATCATAATGTGCACACAGGCAGAGGCAGGGCTTCCGAATTTCCCACTAGACTGCAAGCTCCTCGTGAGCAGGGCCTGGGTTTTGTTCACTAGCACCTTTTAGGGCACCCCAGAACCCAGCAGGCATTCAATCAGTATTTTCTGCTGGATAGATGAATTATGTCATAGTCCCTCCCAGCCTCCGGAAACCAGGTGGCTTCCTAAAGTCTGGGACAGGTACCTTCTTAGTTTAATGAGGCCTTACTAATTATAATGGTGACAGTGATGCTTTGGGGGTGACTTACAGTCAGGAAGGGCCAACTGGTCTTCTGAATAATGATTTAAGTGGGTCACACCGTGATGGCTGAGTGACATGGGAGGCCAGGTGGGTGTAGGAGGGTGGAGTGGGCGATTGGATATAGAAAGAAGGCAATTCCAATTCTGCCAGTAAGCTGGGTTTGTTTTGTGACCTTAGGCCAGAGACTTGGCTTCTTCAGGCCTCAGTTTCCCTTTCTTTCTTTCTTTTTTTTTTTTTTTTGAGATGGAGTCTCGTTCTGTTGCCCAAGCTGGAGTACACAGTGGCATGATCTCAACTCACTGCAACCGCTGCTTCCCAGTTTCAAGTGATTCTTCTTTTTCAGTCTCCGGAGTAGCTGGGATTGGAGGCACGCACCACCACAGCCGGCTAATTTTTGTATTTTTAGTAGAGATGGGTTTCACCATGTTGGTCAGGCTGGTCTTGAACTCCAGACCTCGTGATATGTCTGCCTCGGCCTCCCAAAGTGCTGGGATTACAGTCGTGAGCCACCGCTCCTGGACCCTCAGTTTCCTTTTTACTTATTTATTGTTTTAATGGGAATGACAGAGATCTACTCCCTGCCCCCAGATGGCCGTAGGCACCACTAGTAAAAGTGATCATGATGTTTCTTTTTTTTTTTTTTTGAGACAGAGTCTCACTCTTTCACCTAGGCTGGAGTGCAGTGGCACGATCTTGGCTCACTGCAACCTCCACCTCCTGGGTTCAAGTAATTCTCCTGCCTCAGCCTCCCAAGTAACTGGGATTACAGGTGCCCGGCACCACGCCCGGCTAATTTTTGTATTTTTAGTAGAGACGGGGTTTTGCCATGTTGCCCAGGCTTGTCTCAAACTCCTCACCTCAGGTGATCCACCCACCTTGGCCTCCCAAAATGCTGGGATTACAGGTGTGAGCCACCGGGCCCGGCCGATCCTGGTGTTTCTGTGGCAAATAAGGGAACCTAATAAGCCCGAGGCTGAGCATTTGTTCTCAGAAGCAGGGTTCTCATCTCTGTTCTAAGAAATGTAGCCTGGGCTCTGGACACTGTGAAAGAGGCCAGTCATGTTCTAGCAAAAAGACAACTCCAGGACTTGGCCTTGAGGAAGGGTAGATGGCAGACAGTCTGCGTTTGTTCCTCTTGTCACCTGTGTGTCACAGGGCCCTTTTGGGAACATTTCTAGCATCCTCTGGCTGAACTGAGGAGGTGTAACCCAAAAGGCAGAGGGCCTGTACTGCTCTCCTCCTGCCAAACCTCACAGCCCCATGATCAAAACGCCAGGAGAGCTTCAGGAGGAAGCGGGTACCTGGGGTGTGTGAGTGCCTCAGAAAGAAGGGAGGAGGAACTAGCATGCGGTGGAGGACAGAGACGCCACAGATGCTGGAGTTCCTGCAAGAATAAAGTGTGACCCTGCAGCAGGCAGCTGGGCTAGGAGACACACCACCACAGAGAGGTGGAGACTAGTAGAACGTGAGGCATGGAATAGCCTAACCTCTGCGATGTTACAGAAGAGGAAGCTGAGACTCAACAAGGGACACCCATGTGTTCACCAGATATTTTTCTCTTCTTTTCTTTTTTTGGAGACGGAGTCTCACTGTCGCCCGGGCTGGAGTGTACAGTGGCACAATCTCGGCTCACTGCACCCTCCCCCTCCCGGATTCAAGCAATTCTCCTGCCTCAGCCTGCCAAGTAGCTGGGATTACAGGCACATGCCACCACACCTGGCTAATTTTTTATATTTTAGTGGAGATGGGGTTTCACCATGCTGCCCAGGCTGGTCTCGAACTCCTGAGCTCAGGCAATCTGCCCACCTTGGCCTCCCAAAGTGCTAGGATTACAGGTGTGAGCCACTGTGCTTGGCCCACCAGGTATTTTTCAAGAGTCAATTAGATGCCAGAAGCTGAGCCAGCTTATGGTTAAATATTGCAGTACAAAACATCACCCCAAAACTGGGGCTGAAAACAACTGCCATTTTATTATGTCACATTTCTGTGGGTTGACTGAGCTCAACTGTGTGTTTTGCTCTCTGTGGTGATAGCTAAGGCTGCAGGTGTCTAGGACATGACACGGCTGGAACCTCCAAGATGGTCCATGCACAGATATGGCAATCAATGCTGACTGTTGGCTATGAGGTTCAGTGGGGCTTTCACCTGGAGTGCCTCAGTTCTCTTCTGTGGTTTCTCCATGTGGCCTGGGCTTCTTACAGCATGGTGCCTGGATTCCTAAAGTCAAGAAGTGAAAGCTTCAGTTCTCCTAAGGCCTGAGTTTAGAAGTTCCAGAATATCACAGCTGCTGCATTCTATTGGACAAAGCCAGTCATGGGGTGTTTTATTCATAGTTGCATAATAATCCCAAAATGTAGTGGTTTAAAATGATGATAAACATTTATCTCTCACAGTTTCTGTGGGTGAGGAATTATGGAGCAGTTTTTCTGGGCAGTTCAGGTTGGGAGTGTCCGTGAGATTGCAGTGAAAATGTTGGCCAAGGTTGCACTCATCTGAAGGCTTGACTGGGGCTGGAGGATCCATTTCCAAGGTGGCTTACTCATATAATTGACAAATTGGTGCTTGTTGTTGGTGGGTAGTCTCAGTTTTTCTGCACATCAGCCTCTCCACAGGCTGCCTGAGTATCTTCACAACCTGATGGGTACTATTCCCCAAGCAAGTAATCCAGGAGACCAAGGCAGCAACCCAAATGCCCTTCATAAGCTAGCCTGAGAAGTCATACATTGCCATTTCCACCATACTGTATCTATTGTGACCCCTGACTCATGGTGGAAGGAGAGATTATGAAAAAGCATGAATGACCAGGAAGTGAGAATCATGGGGGTCATTCTGGAAGTTGGCTACCTCACAAGGCCAGCCCAAGATTCCAAGGGATGGAGAAATAAGCTATAGCTGTGGATGAGGGAACAGTCACGACTAAGTGGCCATCTTTAACCTATCAGAGCTCAACTGTCAGGATGTAACAGAGGACCAGTCAGAAGGGGCTCACTGTTCACAGAGCTCCCAGTCTAGAGGACCACACAGAAAACTAGCAGCAGAGAAGGGATGTGTCTATAATCTTGCGTGGTGATGCGTGTCTGTGTGATCCCAGCTACTCGGGAGGCTGAGGCGGGAGAGTTGCTTGAGCCTGGGAGGCAGAAGTTGCAGTGAGCCAAGATCGCGCCACTGCACTCCAGCCTGGGTGACAGAACCAGACTCTGTCTCAAAAAAAATAAAAGAAAATGAGTCTTTTCTTCCTTCTTCTATGTTTCTATGTTTCTTTGTTTTAAAAATATTCTAAATGAGCTTCTATCATGTTCATAACAGAAAAACCCAAACCATTTCTTGCTGCGGTGGATCCCACAGGCTCAGCAGGAGAGGGTGCGGGGATGGGGCAGAGGTTAAAGGTGGGGGGTTCTCCACCTGTGGATTTTGGTTCCTCCTCTGCTGTGGGGTATCCATTGCACTGCAAGTTTCCGGTTCTTCTGAAAGGCCTGTGACTGTTAGTTAACTCACTTCTGAAAACAAAACTGCCCCTTCAGGCGAGGTGTTGGAGGAAGAATCTCAGAAAAGAAGGGTTATGTTTTTGACACTCCAGGAGTGGGTGGAGCAAAGGAAACTAGGAGCCGATGTTTTCCCTCCTGGGTGGGGTAGACCTATGATGCTGTTTTCTGGTTCAAGATCGAGGTGACTGCCTCTCAAATATGAATTTATGTACTGGGACAACCAGAGAGAATATTTCAAATGGATGCTGTCTTGGAAATGCCAGGATACGTAGTCATTGTAGACAGAAGCTGCTTGGTTGTTCGGAACATTTAGAAATCTTTTTGGTTTCCTGCAACCATATGATATCTTCTTTCACTTCTATTTTTGATTTTTGAGGCTTTAGCACATCACCCCATTGTCTTCCTGCATGCCTTACATTCCATGATCAGTAATTTTCTCTATAGTAAAAAACATCAGCTTCCATTAATTGGGCAACTATTATGTAAAGATGCTATACTAAGCAATTTACATACACAATCTTTACAAAACTGTAGGATGTGGACATCGGCAATTTCTAGATGAGGGGCTCAGGGGAGTTCAATAGCTTCTCCAAGGTCACACAACTCAGAAACAATAGAAGTGGACCCTGAACCCAGGTCGAAATCTGAGCCCAGGTTGAAAAGACCTCAAAGCCACTAGCCTAATGCTGCCTCCCTAAAAGAATACTGTAACATTAAAAGACATTTGATATCTTATATCCCTCCATCCTAACTTAAGATATCTTTTTTGGCTCCAAATTTATCCCTCTTTTTGAAAATAGTCTGTACCACACACCTCTTAAACACCCTCTGAGATCCTTCCAGCCACTGCTGTGGCAGTGAGAACTGTGAATGTTCCCAGCAGCTCTGGCAGGTGTAAACTGACAGTATCTTGCCTCAGGCCTGCAGCTGCCATCTCTCAAACCCAGCCCAGGGCATCTCTTCTGACACTGCAGCTTAGAAAGCACTGGAACCCATTCAGTGCCAAGCCAGTGCATTCTGGAAGCTCGGCTCAGGCAGGTGTGCAGAGCCTTTTACCTATGGGGAAGGGGCCAGTGGGTAAGTGCCCTCCCCTTTACCCCAGGGGCGGGTCCTGAGACACTTCTTACAGTCCTCAGACAGTTCCCTCCAAATCAAGCAGCCAGGAATGTGGCCACCCCAGTGACACGCACTCAAGTGCTTCTGCCTCCCTCCCTGCGTCAGTTCCCGGAGCCTCAATTATGCTCCCTGGGCTCACACCCCCCAGTAGTGTATTCACACACAAGCTTTTGTCTCAAGCTCTGTTTTCTGGGCAACTCTCACAGATCCAAACATTTTCCTTGCCTAAACTCTCACCCAAATATCTTTGCTTCTAAATCAGAAAATGGGTGCTAAGTAACCATATGGAAATGATGAAAGCTAGCAATTCCAACATTTCCACTCACAATTCTGTTGAACAACCTGGGAGGGAGCCAGCATCTCCCGCTTATTCCTAGGTACTCTATATCTGGGTGTATAAATGACCTTTTCAAGGTTACGAACCAAGAAACACCCAACCTTCCCCTGTGTTTGGGTGGATGTATATGTCGTTAAATGGCCAGTTGAGCCCTTCCACTTCTGCTATTTAAGGGATGGTGTGTTCTGGTGGGGCTGAGAGGTGCCCCAGCTGCAGGGCTGGGGCTGTCATCCATTGGCTGTGCTGTTGACCTTCTGTCCCTGGAGTTAGAATCGTGTTCGGGGGTGATTCCAGGCAAGCTCAAGATTGGATTTCCCGTGCTGGAGTGGAGGCAGGAGGATGGTAGTCACGAGCAGGGGACCTTGTGGTTGGAAGGCAACAAAGATGGCAGGCAATGTCAAGGTCATCAAGAGAGCAAGGCAGTATCTGCTGAAAGGCATATTCCTTCTCTGTGCAGAGTGTTGGGAAGGCCCTGAGAGGCAAGGTGCAGAATCAGGGCAGAAAGGGAGGAGAATGTCAGTCTTTCTCCTTAGAAATTCCACCCTGGTGCTGCTCCACATCAGTTAGAAGCCACCATTCCCCAGCGGGCCTTGGAATGACAGAGCTTGAGCCATTTATATTTAATAACCTCAGGCCTCACATGCTAATTGGCAAAGTAAATAATGGGCATCACCACTGTCTGCTGCCCCATTATGGCAGGGAATTATTCTCGTGAGTGCATCCACCACTTGAGGCATCTCTAAAGCCCCTGATGATGTCCCTCAAGGAGCCCTTCCCACAAATGCTTGTATCTCGAAGGTGGTGGGAGTCCTGATTATAAACAGGTTTTCATTTTAGAAGGAAAACCAGTCACGAATGAGGCTCTCCCCCTGCCCCCCATCTTGGAGAGCCGTCCCAGTGCTGGTGCAGAGTGAAAAGAAAGTGTTGGAGGCTTGCCCAGTCCTCAGACTGATTATTTCCCATAAAGGATCCAGGGGAAGAGAAAACCCAGGAGTTGAGCATCTTTAGAAACTCCAGTTCTGTGGCTGCACCTGACCTTGTCATCACTCGGAATGGTTCACCAATGAACGAAGTCGGCTTCCTCTCACCTTTCCTGCCACCACATATTTCCTCCCGTCTATCCCCTCTCCCTTGGATTTCCTATCCCGCATGGAACCCATGACCTATCACTTCAACCACCCTGTTGTCAGTGTCCCCAACTGTTTAGTGTTTCTCCTGTCTGTCCATCCCTAACCCTGGATTCTCCATACCTGGCTTCTGTGGCCAAGCCCCAGAGAGCCATCCATCCAACTCCACAGACCTGGTGCCACCACAAACGCATGGGTCTCCCAGAATCCTCCCTCTCCATCGGGCAGTTCCCACTTTCATTCCTCTTGGTGGCTTTCCAAACCCTCATGGTTCCCCTCAAAGCCCTTCATCATCCCCTCCCCACCCACTCTCGAGAGATGACTTTGCTTCCTACCCTGGCCCAGGGCTACTCTCTTGTCCCCTTGGGACTCCTTGGACCCTATCCCATCAGTCCTCCACTGCACAGTCTCTTCATTCTTCTTCTTCTTCTTCTTCTTTTTTTTTTTGAGATGGAGTCTCACTCTGTTGCCCAGGCTGGAGTGCAGTGGTATGATCTCAGCTCACTGCAATCTCCATCTCCCGGGTTCAAGCGATTCTCCTGCTTCAGCCTCCCGAGTAGCTGGGATTACAGGCATGCACCACCACGTCTGGCTAATTTTTGTATTTTTAGTAGAGACAGGGTTTTACCATGTCGGCCAGGCTGGTCTCTAACTCCTGACCTCAAGTGATCCACCCACCTCGGCCTCCCAAAGTGTTGGGGTTACAGGCGTGAGCCACTGCACCTGGCCGATTCTTCTTTTTTCTTAGCTCTTCTCCTCAGCCCAGCTCTAGGGAGCCTCTACATTTCCAGCCACATCTATGCTGCATGTGTCAATGACCCTAATCTTCTAATTTCGAAATCCCAGAGCATACTTTCAGGCCTCTTCTAATTTGACCATTCTGTGGCATCTGTTGCTGTTGACTGCTCTCTCTTTCAATCTCTTCTCCCTTGGGTTTGGTGACTCTTACTTGGGTTTTTGTAAACTTTCTGGCTTCTCTTCATAATGAACTTCATCTGGCCACCCCTAAAAACATTATTGGGTTCCCCAAGGGTTCTAAGTGCCTATTCTGTGTCCCCACGGCTCCTGGGCTTCCCTCTAAGGAAGCCTATAATGGTCTATCAACGTGTCAGTTTCTCTACTAGATCTAGCATCTACAAGTGCCTTCATCTCTATCCCCAGTACTCAGCCCGCCACCTGGTACTGAGTGCACAGTGATTGCTCATTAATGGTGTGGCTTGTGGCATGATGATCCCTAATCTTTGTTAGATATACAAGTGGATCAACTTTTTGGTTTTCTGTACTTCTTAACCATTTCTGTCTCCAAGAATGCAATGTCAAAAACAGAATTAAAAATCTTAGGCTGGGCATACTGGCTCATGCCTAATCCCAGCACTTTGGGATACCGAGGCAGGAGGATCATTTGAGCCCAAGGGTTCATGACCAGCCTGGGACAACACAGCAAGACCTCATCTCTACAAAAAGTAGAAAGAAATTAGCCAGGCATGGTGGCGCATGCCTGTAGTCCCAGCTACTCAGGAGGCTGAGGTGGGAGGATCACTGGAACCCAGGAGGTCAAGGCTGCAGTGAGCCATGAGTGTGCCAGTGCACTCTAGCCTGGGTGACGGAGAAAGACCCTGTTTCAAAACAAAAAATAAAATCTTAGAGCATTTTTTGGTTTGTTTAGAAATTGGTGAGAAAATAGGGATTATCTTGAAATGCAATAATTGGGAATCTTTCAAGTATATCAGAACCTATGTGGGCTTAACCTGATAGTTGAAACCTGGGTTTCAAGAGAGCCTGGCATGAGGGTTGAGGGGTTGGGGGTAGAGAAAGAGGGGAGAGTATTAGCTTGGGCTTGCATTTCTGTGACTTAAGATCCTACTCTAGGTGAAAAAATTTAGATCACTTGGTACATGCTATACATATAGAGTAGCTATCTGGGGGACAAAGTAAGGAATCTTGCTTGATATCTGAATTTAGCCTCACAATCCCTAACCTTTTTCAGAGGTACTACAATGAGTCACAGATGCCAAGCTCTAAAATCACTCTTTTAAGCATGATTTGAGCCAGGCACAGTGGCTCACGCCTGTAATCTCAGCAGTTTGGGAGAGGTTGAGGCAAGAGGATCGCTTGCACCCAGGAGTTTGAGACCAGCCCTGGCAACATGGCAAGACCCCATCTCAAAAAAGCCTGGTGGTTACGGTCATGAATGCTGGCTCTTCCTTCAACTAGCCCTGCTATCCTGGACACATCACTAATCTGTGAACTTCAGTTTCTGCATCCATAAAAAGGAGAAAATAATGGTCATATCTACCCTAAAGAGTTACTGTAAGGTTTCAGTGAACTGCTATGTTCCAGGGACTTGGCATAGTACCTGGCACATAGTAACCTCTTAATAGGTAGGAAACAGGCCAGGCGCAGTGGCTCACACCTGTAATCCCAGGACTTTGGGAGGCCGAGGCTGAGGTGGGCAGATCACCTGAGCTCAAGAGTTCAAGACCAGCCTGGCCAACATGGTGAAACCTTGTATCTACTAAAAATAAAAATAAAAAAAATTAGCCAGGTGTGGTGGCGTGTGCCTGTAGTCCCAGCTACTCAGGGAGGCTGAGGCAGGAGAATTGCTTGAAACCAGGAGTTTGAGACCAGCCTGGACAACATGGTCTCAAACTCTTGGGCTCTCCTCCTGAGCGGGGGTTGCAGTGAGCCAAGGTCACGCCACTGCACTCCCGCCTGGGCAACATGACAGAGGCTGACTCCATCTCAAAAAAAAAAAAAAAAAAAAAGGTAGGAAACATTATTGTGTTATGATATGTTCATTTATTTTTCAATGCATCCAAATTCCTCAGATTTCAAAAAGAAGGGATCCTTCTAAGTGTTCATGCTGGATCTTACTGGCTTCTAGTTTGAGATCTGGTTGGTAGTGTATTAATTAATTTAATGCTTACGTGGAGCTTGGTAGGGAAAGGAGGTTGGTGGGCACTCTGAGAGGCACATTGCCAGCTTCCAAGGACCTTTGCAAGGGGCAGCTCCAGGGCCCCTACCCTTTCTCTCTCTCTCTCCCTGAGGCAGGGGGCTGAAGATGTGGCCAAGGAGAGCTTCAGGCTGTGTCTCCATTGGTAACTGCCTTTGTTGCACATTTCCAGAAAACCACAACTGGAAACCTCTTCTGTTGGGACATGAATTCTTTTTCCTTTGGGAAGGGCAACAGAAGCAAGTGGTGATCCCAGGCAGTAATGCCTGCAGCCCAGAGACTGCATTCTCATGAGGCTGATCAATCCTTGTGCAGAGTTGTCCCTGGCAACACAACATCCATCAGAAATCACAGCACAAACAGGGTTATTGTGTGGAGGCCATTCCAAGAGCCTGAGATCTGTGTGGGAGGCAGCTGACCTGCAAGATCTAGTGGGCGAGGGCTGACCTCCAAGTCTGAGGACAATGACTTCTGGGTCAGGCAGGTGTCTGGGATACTAGGAAGGGGAGAGGAATGTTGCCAGGAGGGTAGGCAGGGCTTGCTGGCATTGGAATGAGGCACCAGAGTAGCAGGGCATTCTTCTGGGATCATGACTGGGCCTGGTGGTGAGCCGGAGTGTGTCTGCCATTAAGATATTTATGCACTGTCTCACGGGTCAGAGAACTAGCCTGGCTTCCCTCTGCTTGAGGCATCAAATCTTCTTCCTGCTTGAGGATTTCAATCTTTCAGATGTTGTTTCATCTGGGTCCAGTGCCCTTCTACACTCAGTTCTTGGCATGACTTATTCTGTTATGAGTGTCTTAGTAGGTGACCTCCTCCCTTACTAGCAAGTCTCCCAACCATATTACTAATTCTGAGGATGAAAGGAGTTTGGCTTTCATTTTGCCAATTGAATTTGAATTTCATGACTATGATAGACTCAAAACACGCACCTGAGTGTGGTCCTTGTACCACTTGCATTAGAATCACCTGGAGGGAGGGGTGTCGAAGGCCATCTCAGACTTACTGAATTACAGGTTCTGGGGTGGGACTTAGAGATCTTCATGTTAAAACCCTCCAGGATGATCTGACGTTGAAGATCTGACATTTGGGACCCACTAATGCAGGAGACACACTGACACATCTGTTTGTTGTCTTGGTCCTTTCTTGTGGTGGGTGGGAAGTGCAGAGGGGCAAGGACTACGGGGGAAGGGGGAACTCTCCCTATGTGCCAGTGCTTCTGCCAGCCAACCCAGGTTCGCAGAAGATAAATGCACAATGGGCATTGCCATCCCAGGAAGCTCATTCTAAGTGAGAATTTACCTCGAGAAGTCACTTTACCTCTCTGAGCCTCAGATATTGCCTCTCTAAAAATGAGTAGTTAATACTATATAAGTTCTAAGCTCTAAGAACTCGTGGCCAGGCGCGGTGGCTCACGCCTGTAATCCCAGTACTTTGGGAGGCTGGGTCCGGCGGATCACGAGGTCAAGAGACCGAGACCATCCTGGCCAACATGGTGAAACCCCGTCTCTACTAAAAATACAAAAATTAGCTGGGCATGGTGGCACGCGCCTGTAATCCCAGCTACTCGGAAGGCTGAGGCAGGAGAATCGCTTTAACCCAGGAGGCGGAGGTTGCAGTGAGCCCAGATGACGGCACTGCACTCCAGCCTGGCGACAGAGCGAGACTCCGTCTCAAACAAAAAAACTAGTAACAGAGTTAGTTCAGGATAGGATGTGGTAGTGTGGTAGTCAGGTGGGGGAAGTACATAATGCGGGAAACTGGGAATTTGCCTTTTTAAATCAATGTCTGCAGTTGGATGGGGATAGATACGTCTGATGGCCCTCTAAAATGCAAATCGAGTGAATTTGCCCAGGGGGATACCCCTGGTTCTCCGCGCCTCAGTCACCCCACCTCAACCCCCAGCCCTCGTCTCAAGGGCACTTGTTGCTGCTAGACTGCAGGAAGAGGAAATTAAGAAGTGCAAAGAGCTGGGGACAGTGTGCAGCCCCGTTGGGAGAGTGAAGCTTTTGTCCCCCTCACCTGGGGCTCTTCCAGGTAACCCTCCCCACCACTCCTCTCCCTAGCTCCAAGGGCGGTGGCCCCTTTAACAGACCTGACAAATCGCTCCCCCATTTCCGCGGCCTCACCTCGGCGCGCGGTAGAACTGGATTGGTTGGGCCTGGCGTGCCGTTTGCTCCGCCCCCGCGCCCTCTGGTTGGCGGCGGCGGCCGCGGGCGCGGGGCGGGTCCGCCGGCGGGGCGGGGCGGCGTGTGCCCGGGGGCGGGCGGGCGGCAGGGCAGCAGGACCGCGGCCGGTGCCCCAGCCGAAGCCGGAGTCGCGCGGCCGGGAGCACGGGCGCCGGCATAGTACAATGAGGCAGCCAGCGGATCTTGGGTGAGCAGTCTCAGGGCCAGGCGGGGGCGGTGGAGGGAGCGCCCCGCGGATAAGGCCCGGGCTGGGCGCGGATCGACCCCGCGGGCTTCAAAGTACCGGTCGGGTCCGGCGGCCCTTGGCGTGGCGGGGCTCGGCCCCCCACCCCGCTGTCATGGTTCAGGTATTGAAGGGGACGCCCACCCGCGACACCCCCGGGCAATCCCTTCCTTCGGGGCCCCGCCGGATGGCTCGGGCTCGACTCCGGCGGGAGGAGCTGCCGGCCCCGTCCCCTCAGCCTGCGGTCCCCGGCCCCGGGCAGGGAGGCACCGTCACGCGCAAACTAGAGGAAAACGGCTTGCAATTTTATGAATGGGGCCCCGGGTTCCTGCCGCCCCCCTCACCGGCGACGCGAAATGCTTGAAAGTCGAGAACCGCAGTTACTTTTACTCGAATCTGTCAGAGGTTGTATGCGCCCCGGTGGTTTTTCTCCAACTCCTGGAGAACGCGGGTGGCGGTGGGGTGGTTTGTGTGCTTTAGCAGGGAGGCGGCGGCGTGCCGAAATCCGGGGGATCGGAAGGTTAACAAGTGACATTGGGCTGAGGCCTAGCGCCAGGTGCCTTGCGGGGAGGCGGTGTGGCCGTGGACGCCGTCGCTGCTGGCTGCTGAGCACGGAAACCATACGGTGGAACCGGAGAAGGCGGGGAACGGCTGGCCACATTGCACCACACGCTGCCTAGAGCGTACGGCTGCCATGGGAGTTGGTGCAGGGGAGTCTTCCCCTTTTGAAAACGATTTTTGGAAAACTTAGCCCCTCAGTGGGTTGATAGTTACTTAAACCATCGGTTGTTATGGTTACTGGGCGTCAAATGTAAGGGCAAAGTCTGTTTCCACCCTCGCTCTTTCTCCAGAGCTATGAAGTACTTTGTCACTGTGTTTTACAGACACTGTCCAGGGAGGACATCCTTTTTTAGAGTTGAGGGAAAATTGTGGGCTCCTTGAGGGCAGGGCTCGTGCCACGTTCACGTTTGAAGTGCCAGCGTCTTCACACCATCACCGCTCTGCACATGCATTAAAAGGAATGAGGCTTTTACATGTTTTGAGGATTCTCAGAGGATTCAGAGGAGTCATTTCAGGAGCCAGGTGTAAGCTGGAGGGGAAACAACGAGTGACTTTTATATGGAAAACAATAAGGAAAAATGGAGGGCAGGTTATCCTTGAACTCTGGAGTATGGGGAGTTTGAGGAGTCTAGGTTTGTGAGTTTTAGGGCTGGGTCACACAGAGACGCTTGTCTCATATTGGAAGAATGAAACTGCCATTTCTGTTAGCTCTTACCTAGCCCATAAACAATATTCTTTCAGATTCTCCCCAAAAATGGTAGTTGGTCTAAAGTTATGGTAAACAAGCCCCCTGAGGTGATGTGGATAGAGTGGGATTTTGCCATATCATTTCTTTCTTTTTTTTCTGGGCCCCTTTGGGAGTGTGAAGGCTTGGAGGGAGAGGATGTGGAGGGCTCTGGGTGAACTGAACTTGCTTGCATGTTTATCTCCAGTAAAAGGCACTGTGCCTGAGAGGAAGGAGATTAACAAATTGATTCAGATCAGAAGATGGTGGTAATTGAGTCTACTGACAAGCAACCGAGGGGCTGGGACAGACGAGGAGGGAGGAAAAATTCAGGAGTTTGGTTTGGGCTGATTGTTGGAGGTCTGAAGAGCAAGTTATGTCATCGTGAGAGAAGATTAGACACAGCATATACCAAACATAATGTTCATTATTAGAGGTTATGTTAGAATGCTTCTGGAGAAGAAGCAGGAAAGATTAGGCTTTTCGATAGAATAAATACGTAGCATGTTTTGGACAAAAAGCAGTTGCCTGGAGTTAAAAAAGAAATTATTTATTAAAATAATAATAATTTTGCTGTATGCCAGAAACTGCTAGACATTATAGAAATGATGGAGGGTTTTTTTGTTTTTAAAGGATGAAGAGTTTGTTTCTATATGCCATATTAGTTGCCTTTCCTTCAAGTCAAATGCTTCTGTTTTCTGGAAGGTTTTCTGAATCCCTTGAGGAAAGAGAGGGGAGAACTGCACAGTTTATTACTTAATATGAGAACAGAGCAATGGGGAAATTCTCCTCACTGTAGATTACTTTCAGTATCAAAGTGAATCTTCAAAGACCAGTTTTCTGTGTCAGGTTCAATATAAAATTATATTAATCCTCACGTCTGTTGACTGGTATCTTTTGATGGAAAGTGCCTGTTCTTTCTTTTTTTCCATTTGTCAATTCATTCATTCAGAGTTAGGAAGTTCATTAAACACACACTGTCTCTTGTTCTCTAGGTGTTTCTAGTTCATTTTCTTTGCCTGAATATCCCTCAGGGTCTGCTTTCTTCTGTCTGATCCTTATCTCCTGAAGGTCTCCTTGGGAATTGCTGAGGTCACAGGGAATGCTTATTCTTTGATTCTGTCCCAAGGCAGAAGACTAGTATAGAAAAGAGAGCAGTGTTGAGTTCCAACTCAGCCAGGTACTGTTTTCTGCCCCTTATGTATATATCCTCTCCAGTCCTAGAGCAGCCCTCTAATGGAGGTGTGATAGCCTCATTTTACAGAAGAGGAAACCGAGGCTCAGAGCAAAGTAGTAACTTGCCCAAGGTGACAAGCTGGTTAGATGGTGGAGCAAGAATGTCAGTCTAGGACATTGATTCAAAAAACGTGCTTTTTGGGCCAGGCACAGTGGCTCACATCTTGTAATCCCAGTACCTTGGGAGGCCAAGGCAAGAGGTTTACTTGAGGCCAAGGGTTTGAGACCATCCTGGATGACAGAGTAAGACCCTGTGTCCAAGCAAACAAAACACACTTTTTCCATTGTACCACGTTGTTTTTCCCTGGAGAGAAATGGCAGTTTATTAGAGATGTCTCTTGCAGTGTCCTCTTGAGTGGACATGTTCAGAGTGGTCAGGTTCAGAGATGTTCAGAGAATTGCTGCACTAATGAGCTCCTGTGCTCCTGCTGGAGCCAGAGTTAGATGCCGATGTCTGTCTCTCTGCCAAGTGCAGTTTTGAGTAATTCACGAGGCTATTGGGAAATCTTTTACTGCCATGAAAAGGTGACTGGACTGACTGGGTCTGTATCCTTGTGCTCTGCTTACCAGCTCTGTGACCTTAAGGGTAAATTACTTCTCTTTCTGTGTACCTCAGTTTCTTTGTAAAGTGGGAAAATATTCCCATTTCAACAATGCTAAGACAGTGTAATTTATGTAATGTTAACATTCCTGGGGAAAAAAAGCATCTTGTAATGTATGGGGTCTTAGACTTGTAGTCAGCAGTGGCTTCCTTTTTTGGCACATAAAATAACAGTGTGTCTTATAGTCAATGGTCTTAGATGAACTAGGGTAGTATATTATTTATAGGTAGTTGTAAGAATTAAATGAGATCACTTATGTCCCTGGTTCTAGTGAGCACCCAATAACAGGTCATGCTGTCCACTGACAGGATGAATGGTTAACTGGGAAAAGCTGGGAAGCATCTCGTAAGATTTGCCACTCAACGCCTAGGCAATAATCCATGGTTTGTGGCTGGAGGAACATTTTCCAATTTGCCTAGAGCACTATCCTTTGGCTGACTCTTGTCCCTGTGAGAAACATTAACTTCAGGAGCTAACGAGCCATGGACAGACAGCTCCCTTTGTCTTCCTATTCATTAAGGTCTTTGTCAACTTTAAATCCCAAGTTTAAAGTAAATATTGTAATAAGAAGACTGGAAGCCCATGCTGTTGTGAATATTCTTACATGTGAGTTTTAAAGCAACTCATAGGTTATACAAGATTTTGTGTTGCTCCTTTCCAAACTCTTTATAATGCGTAATTACACTGCGTGAAATGTCCATGAAGCACCATTAATGAGAGGGATGCTAGGAGGTCATGAAAGTTCAGAAGCCCTTGACTGGCATTGGTGGGGTGGAGAGAACACTAGACTTGGAGTCAGAAGGCTACAGTCCTGACAGTTTCACCTGTCATCCCTGCTTCACCATTAGAAACATATTTCCCAATGGCTGCGTGGATCACCCAAAATTGCACTGGGCAGCAAGGCAGGATACCAGCTGCGCGTCACTTCACTAATTTGGACTTTTAAAAGTCTCTCTTCCAGGACAGGGCGCGGTGGCTCATGCCTGTAATCCCAGCACTTTGGGAGGCGGATCACCTGAGGTCAGGAGTTCAAGACCAGCCTGACCAACATGGTGAAAACCTGGCTCTATTAAAAATACAAAAATTAGCCAGGCGTGGTGGCACATGCCTGTAGTCCCAGCTACTTGGGACTGAATCAGGAGAATCGCTTGAACCTGGGAGGTAGAGGTTGCAGTGAGCCGAGATCGCACCACTGCACTCCAGCCTGGGTGACAGAGTGAGACTCTGTTTAAAAAAAAAAAAAAAGTCTCTCTTCCAAAATGAAGAGTTGATTTCTTAGTGCCATCCCCTACTGCTAGCAGTCTCATAGATTATATGAGTTTATGATTCTAAGAATCTGAGAAATTAAACAATTGAAAGAAAATGATTGTATTCAGGACTTTTGAAGTCTCAGGTGTTTGTGATAGTGCTTTGAAAAACAAAACAATACGCAGGTGATAACAATGTGAGTAACTATCATTTACGGGGAATCGTGTGCCAGGCACTGTTCCTACCTTTAAACTTTATACCACCCTATGAATAGTAGATACTATTATCAATCTTATTTTAAGATGAGAAAACTGAGGCTCAGAAAGGTTAAATAACTTTCCAAGATTACACAGCAAGGTCAAGGACTGATAGCTGGGCCTAGAATACTGGCTTATGTTGCTCCCCAGTGGATGCCTGAAACCATGGATAGTGCTGAACCGTATATACACCACGTTTTTTTCCTATGCATGTATACCTATAATAAAGTTTAATTTATAAATTAGACACGGTAAGAGATTAACAATATAACTAATAAAAATAGAACAGTTGGGCCAGGTGCGGTGGCTCACACCTGTAATCCCAGCATTTTGGGAGGCTGAGGTGGGCAGATTGCCTGAGCTCAGGAGTTCCAGACCAGCCTGGGCAACACAGTGAAACCCCATCTCTACCAAAATACAAAAAATTAGCCAGGTGTGGTGGTGTGCACCTGTAGTTCCAGCTACTCAGGAGGCTGAGGCAGGAGAATCGCTTGAGCCCAGGAGGCGGAGGTTGCAGTGAGCCAAGATTGCACCATTGCATTCCAGCCTGGGCGACAGAGCGAGACTCCATCTCAAAAAAAAAAAAAGAACGGTTATAACAACCACATATTGTTCACAATTTTCGGAGATAGAAGATTCATTCTTAACATAGATCTTAGCAACCTCAGTACAAGATTTTTTCCTTTCCTAAGTTGTGAAGTTTGACTTTTTCACTTAAAGGAAGCACTTTACAGCTTCACTTTGGCGTATCCAAATTGCCAGCGTCATTAATCTTGTGCTTTGGGGCTGTTATTAAGTAAAATAAGCGTTACTTGAACACAAGAACTGTAATATGGTGACAGTTGATCTGATAACTGAGACAGCTAAAGGTGACTAATGAGTAGGTAGCGCCTACGGCGTGGATCTGCTGGACAAAGGGAGGATTCACATCCTGGGCAGGATGGGATTGGACAGTGAGAAATTTCATGACACTACCCAGAATGGCATGCAGTTTAAAACTTGCGAATTGTTTATTTCTGCAATTTTCCATTTGATATTTTCAGAACTTGGTTGGCTATGGGTGACGGAAACTGCAGATAAGTGGGGACTACTTGTATTGGGAGAACTTTGTTAAACTTAAAGAATTAACTCTTATTGCAGAAGACTTAAGTCCTTGAAAGGAAAGGCTTTTCTTTGGTGAACAAAAGCCATGTGCCAGGTCACTGTGAGCATAAATGGGACTATTGAGAGAAGAATCTAACCTTTCTGTGTGGAAGCTGGGAGAATGGGAAATGTGGGTGGGCTTTGAAACAACCAGGTAACCTTTGTCTGCTGGATTTGCCTGGAATATTGGTTCTAAGGGCTTTTCCCTAAGAAGATTATTGCAACAAACACATTAAGTGCCTCCCCAGCTTATTCTAACAGTTGAAAGCAGCACTGGGCAAGAGGAGCTGGCTTCAGTCATAAGCTTATTTAGGATCTGAGATTAAAACCTACCCGTTGGATTGCTCCTGCAAATAACCTTTCAGAATCCCAATATGCATTTTATAAGTTTCATTTCTCTTGCTGTTCAAAGCTGACATAAGCTGGCTTGTTTTCTTATTCAATTTTCAGTCCTTTCTTGGACCTCATGCTGTCTTTTGGGCTGTATTCTTATAGATGGTTATATTTATTATTTTAGGCTCAAAATAGAGAATTTAAAAATCTTTTTACTGAAAGGATTGACTGAACAGTGATCGTCATTCAGCAAGTATTTGAGCATCTACCAGGGCCAAGCATTGTGCTTGGCATTGGAAATCTGATGGGGAGCAAAACAGATGTGGTTCCTTCCTGCACAAAGCACATTATCTAGTCTAGACAACAAACAAGTCAATAGACATATGCATCATATATATTGGATTGTAATATGTGTAAAATCTCCTTCCTCTGAAGGAAAAGAACAGGGCACCAAGAAAGAAAGAAAAGGAAGAAACCAGCAACTGGGGGTCTTGGGCAGAGCATTTCAAGAGAGAGAGCAACGTGGATGTCTGGCTGCTGTGCAGAGGGGCAGAGAGGGGAATATGGGAAGGGCAGGCTCAGAAGGTGCCATTCTGCAGAGGACATGTCACAAGGCAGCATAGTGTAGCAGGGAGAGCAGAAGCTTGGGAACCAGACACTGCTCAAGGGGCCTCGGGAAGTTTCTTAACCTCTTTTGCCTCACTTTCCCACCTCCAAGATGCTATGAGGGTTGAATGAGCCTTGAGAGCCATGCCTGGCATGTACAGAAAGGACTGTGGGTAGGGTTTGCTGACTCTCAGGGCTGTGGGGAACTTGATTTCGAGTGGATGAGCTTCTCTTCCTAGTCAGCATTTCCCATGATTCCATGTGTAGCGTAACCATAGGGCAGAAGGTAAAACTAAGACAGCTGAGTAGGTGTATCCATGGAGGCATTCTAAGGTAGATTATGTTGGACTTTCTGTGGTGTGCTAAGCATTCAGCACCCGTACCTGGGAGACTTGGCCCTACCTGTAGGCATCTCTGCAGTGGGTGCAGTCCTGAGTGTGGAGCAAGGTGGACCGGAAGCAGCTGTTCCTCTGCTCTTGCCTGCAGTTGTTTGCTTTAGTGTTTGGATGCGGGCAGATCTTTCACCTTTTTTCCTGATAAGAGGAGACAGAGACTACTGGCCTTACAGCCAGGTGGTCAAACATGACAACTCGGAGTTGCTGTGTGCAAAACCTGCCTGAACCCCATCTCCAGCGAGATTTGATGATGTTTCCCCATTCAAAGGAACAACCACGCCTCAGGACCATACAAGGAGAGGACTTCATGAAACAGGTCACTGGCTTGGGATAGTCAATAAAGTGCTATGAACCCAGCCATATTTAAGTTATAGTTATCTTGTAAAGTATGTGTGAGGCCTCATCAAATTTGTATATAATTGACTAAGTTTTTCAAAATATCTTTTGCTCTGGAATTTTAAAAAACATACACAAAAGTGAAGAATAATATAATGGATATCAGGCATCTATTACTCAATTTTGATAATTATCAACTTTTGCTAATCTTGTTCCAAGATAGTTCCACAATGAAGCATTGTTGGTGGATTTTCTGTCACAGTATAAATGTGTCTTTGGACTATAAAATCATTTGGTAGATATTCTAGAGAAAAAAATGCCTGCACACTGCATAATTATAGGGCTGGTGTTAGGTAGTTGAAATTCAGAATCTGAAATGAACATTTAGTGGAAACCTCTTACAGACTTGTGTATGAGAAGTAGGCATATAAAATTAAGAGTGCTTTCAAGATGACCAGTTAGTCTATGTATTTACTAAGTAGCAACTGTACTGGGCAGTGTGCAAGGTACATTTTTTTTTTTTAAAGGCCAGGTGCTGTGGCTTATGTCTGCAATCCCAGCACTTTGGGAGACCGAAGTGGAGGATCACTTGAGGCCAAGAGTTTGAGACCAGCCTAGGCAACATAGTGAGACCCTGCCTCTACAAAAAAAAAAAAAAAAAAGCCAGATGCAGTGACACACACCTGTAGTCCTAGCTACTTGGCAGGCTGAGCTGGGAGGAGGATTGCTTAAGCCTGGGAATTCAAGGCTGCTGTGAGCCATGATGGCACCACTGCACCACAGCGTTGGTGACAGAATAAGACCCTGTATCTAAAAATCAAACAAACAAAAAAGGACAGTGTTTGTCCACAGTGGCTCATAAAATTATGAGCCCATGATGAAGTCACAGGTTATTTTCAAACATTCTTAGCAAATGAATTTTACACAAAGCCCAAACTGTGAAACTGATTAAGAAGCAGTATTTTAGTGGCATATGTTACTTTAAGTTCAATTTATAGTATTCACTTGTAGCATGAAACAGGACACAAGTTAATATGTCGAAAGTTTCTATATGTTGAATTTCATTTTTATTTTTTAAAGGGGAAATTCACATCAAACATGCAAACAACCCTGTAGCAGTGCCTCTGTGCATCATGGTACAACAGACCATTAAACATTTGAAAGGTGGTTAGTGCAACTGAGAATTGGAAGCTTTAATTTTAATTAAGCTGAAACCGAAGCTTTAATTTTAATTTAAATAGTTCCATGTGCCCATATTGGACAGTATAGCTCCAGGGTTTATTAAACCACCATTCCTGGTGATAGGATAGAGCCCAGCACAAACTAATCTGGGCAACAAATCAAAGGGCACAAGTCGCATGTAGGTTCCAAACTCAGTACATTTTAGAGAAAAGGAGTTTGATTATGTAGTAGAAGGAAGAACTGCCTGGTGGGACTCATGATCTTCCTTTAAGAGCAAGGCTCAAAGACCTGGGGAGTTTTGATTTGATGCTATGATGTCTCCTGGGGCTCAGAATATTATGAAATGAGGAGTGAATCTCTGAGTGAAAAGAACTCAAGCTGCTTGTTGCATTGCGGAATGTCTCTAAGAGGTAGAGAGGCGTCTGTTAAGTGGCTTGTATGAAGGTTTCAGAAGGTAAGATGAGCCCCAGCTTTGGGAGTTGTGTTTGCTGCCAGGAGGGTTTAGAGGCTGCCTCTAGGCAACACCCAGGGGCTCAAAGAAGACAGACGCAGAGAGCATGAGCTGCTGGTCACCTCTCTATCCCCAGAGCATCGTAGATGCTTGATAAATGTGTTAAAAATGGATGACAGTTTCAGGAATAGATTTAGGAGTAAATAAGAGATGGGCTTGAAATTTTTCTAGAAATTCTGAAAAATAGGTGCCGAGGGAAGTGCAGTGCCAGTGAGCTGCAGAGTTTGTTCAGCCTGTGCTTTCTGCCAGAGGTAATTGACATTTCTCCTCACTACGAATGCAAGCTCGACCTCCCTCCTTTCGCCCTTATCTAGTCCTGCACCAAATACTGCTGATTTTTATCTTATAAACGACTCTTGGATGGTTCTTTTCTCTGAAGCTTCTCTGCCACTGTTCTAGTTTGGTGCAAACAACCATCTTTTTGCTTGGAATACTCCAGCAGCCCCTCACTGACCTGCCCTCATCTACCTCTACTCCTTTCTAATCTCTTCACCTCTCAGCAGTCTGAGTGGTCTTTAAAAAATTCCTATCATGGCCGGGCATGGTGGCTCACACCTGTAATCTCAACACTTGGGGAGGCTGAGGTGGGAGGACTGCCTGAGCCCAGGAGTTCGACACCAGCCTGGGCAACATAGTGAGACCCTGTCTACAAAAAAAAAAAAAAGAAAGAAAGAAAGAAGGAAAAATTAAAATTAGCTGGGTTTGGTGGCCTGTGCCTGTGGTCCCAATTACTCGGGAGACTGAGGTGGGAGGATTGTTTGAACCCAGGAGGTTGAGGCTGCAGTGATCTGTGATCACACCACTGCATCCAGCCTGGGTGACAGAGACCCTGTCTCAAATAAATAATAAATAATTCTAACATCATCATGTCACATCCTTGCTCAAACTCTCTGAATGTTTCTTTGTTGCCTGTGGGATAAAATCTACATTCCGAACATGTTTAGGTGCTGTGTGATCTAGCCCCTCCTGCCTTCTCCAGCCTGGGCCTCTGTGTCTCTCCTGGTTTATTGTATTCCAGGCACACTGGCCACCTTTCTCTTCCCAGTTGGAAGGGAGCTAGACTTTTTAGGAGCTGAACCCTCTGCAGGAAACAGCTGTACTCCCTACCTCACCCCCACCCCCATTTTCTCTTGTCCTTTGTAGCACTCATCACAGTTTGTTACTATATATTCTGTTGTAGATACCTGCTTTTCCTCTTCTTCCAAGAAGGCAGGGACCTTGTTTATTTTGCTCCGCGTTATATACCCAGTACCTAGCTTCGTATCTGACCCATTAGACATGCTGCTTAAATATTCTCGGGGTGAATGAATGAAAGAATGCAAGCCACATTAGAAAATAAGGGAAACTCAACTTGAGGACTTCTCTTTAAAACTTGGTTATATGGCTGAGCACAGTGGGTCATGCCTGTAATCCCAGCACTTTGGGAGGCTAGGGTGGGAGGATCGCTTGAGCCCAGGATTCAAGACCAGCCTGGGCAACATAGGGAGACCTCCCCATCTTTAAATTCTTTACAAAAAATTTAAAAATTAGGCATGGTGGTGTGCACCTGTAGTCCTACTCAGGGTGCTGAGGTGGGAGGATTGCTTGAGCCTGGGAGGTCCAGGCTGCAGTGAGCCATCATTGTGCCACTGCACTCCAGCCTGGGTGACACCTCAAAAACAGACAAAAACAACTTGGATTTATTGGAGAGGTTAAGTAGTTTTTAGAGAATAACCCAGGAAGGGAAATGGGGGGAAAGAGTTCACAGGGATCTATCATGAAAACTGTACAGAGGGTTTGGAGCATCCTACAAAAACATGTTCTGAGAAACCATGTTCCATGCCCTTGTCCCAGACTTGAAAGGCATTTGCCCATCATGTTGGAAGGATGGGATTTGAGGCTGATCCTCTTGTCTGGATGGGTTTTCTGCACCCAGCCTCAGGAGACACTGACATGAGGCTCCATTTTGAGACCTTAAGGTTGGAGTATTCCATATACAGCCCACAGCCAGGGGTGCAGTAGTCTTCCTCTCTTCCTAGAGGGTAGGGATTCTGCCCTGCTCATATTTGCACCTTTCTCCTCCCTCTGACCTCCCTCACTGCCATCAGCAAACTAGAGTACTTTGCCTGTCGGGGGTGTTTGCCAAGTGTTTCTGAGTAGACCCTGGTACTACCTGGTGGACACTAAAGAGGGCTCTAGGCAGTAATAAGAGGGAATTCTGGTTGTACCTTGTGCAGGGGAGGCTTCCTGCTGTTGCTGGATTCCCTGTTGGAAAGAAGCTGGGCAGTTGTGTTTAGAACTGACCCTGCAGATGGGGAGGCTTCCCCCTTCTCTCTCTTCCTGAGGGCTACTTCCAGATGAGTGGGGGAGCCTGCCAGTGCTCATCAGGTCCACCTGACATGTCAAAAGGAAAAAGGAGAAACCTGGGTCTTCCCCGGGAACTTTGAAGTTACGAATAGGAAATCGAAGGACTTGATGCCGAGATAATGTTCTTTTGGAAGGAAGGGACTGGTTCCCCAGACCAGCACCTCTGGTAACCAGAGAGAAGATGTTTTGTGAAGACTAGAGTGATGCGTTTTCTGGGAGACTGCAAGTTAAGAAGGCTTTAAGCTTTATATTAATTAGAAATTTGTATTAATGTATAGTAATTAGAGAAAAGCCTACAGGAAAATCACAGAATCGGATAATGAGGAGACCTGTGTGACTTAGTAGCATTCTAGGTACCAAAGTGGTGCCTCGGAACTCTCGAGTGGAAACCAGCACCAAAGCTGATTGGGAACACCATTAAGGGAGGGGCTCTGGTATCTGTAAGCTCATGCCTGAGTGTGAACAGCTCATTCCCCATGTGCTGGAAACCTTAACAGCACAGGCAGGCAAATACCATCTGGTGGTTGTTAGGATTGGAGTTAGAGCAAAGTACTATGGGGTGCACCTAGCCCCAAAGGAAAATCCTGTAAGTAATTTACTCTGTGTGCCCTGATCATGGAAACCTGGTGGAAAGCATTTCCTTTTATGATGGAAAGGGGAAATCTGGGCCTGGTGGCTCACACCTGTAATCCAGCACTTTGGGAGGCTGAGGCAGGTGGATCCCTTGAGTTCAGGAGTTCAAGACCAGCCTGGGCAACATGGTGAAACCCTGTCTCTACAAAAATAAAAAACAAAAACAAAAATTAGCTGGGCATGGTGACATGCACCTGTGGTCTCTGCTACTTAGGAGGCTGAGGTGGGAGGATTGCTTGAGCTTGGGAGGCAGAGGTTACAGTGAGCCAAGATGGTGCCACTGCACTCTAGCCCAGGCAACAGAGCGAGACCCTGTCAAAAATAAAAAAAATAAAAAAGTGAGAGGGGAGCAAGTTATGTTGTTGTAGGATGCTGCCTGCCAGACCGAGACAACAGTGTTATTTTCCATAGACAGATTTTAAAGTAGGCCTCCGGCAGGTGTAGTAGACCATGCAGATGTTTGTATAAGGTGAAGTCTATTACAAGTGGACCATGCAGTAAACTCTAACCCTACCTTGCTGATAATTTTACATCTGAGAGCAGGTAGAGGGAAGTGTGTGTGTTGGACTTAATGATGACAAATGAGGAAAAGCCATCCAGAGGGCAAGGGAGCTTGTGACTGGGGCTGGGAAGTAAGCACAGAACTCTTGTTCAGGCAGGCAGGCTGGCACCTGCTCACTAAAGTTGCTCACTAACGGCTGAGCATTTCCTACCTTCTATTATTGTTTCCTTTGATAAAAATGATGGAAATGCTCCCACTTAACCTGGAGCAGGAGCCATCTTGGTATCCTCAGTGCCTGGATGTGTGTTAGAAGTGACTGCTTGACGGTTAGTCCCTGACAGTGGCTGATCTGATGTGGCCACCCCAGTTTCCTATCCACCTCACCTACAGTTAGGAGCAGAAACTGCTGTAGGAAGCCTGGCAGGAGCTGCCCTCAGGAATTGAGCCTCTTTGCCTGGCTAAGTTCAGGGGCAAGATCGAAATGGGAAATAAGTCAGTAGCTGAAAACCCGTGGGAAAGGAATTGCTTTTGTTTTAATTTCCCAGGGTAGGCTAATGTCTGTGGGGATACGGTGAGTGGTATTCGATCCTGATGGGGTAGGTTAATAGTGAAGCAGGAACATTAATTTTTTTTTAAGGCTAAAACTCCCAGCAGAAATGGCTGTTGATCATGCTCTGAGCCAGAAACCAAACTCATTTGGTCAGCCTAGCTTTTGTCTTAAGGCTGACTGTGATCATTGTTCAGAGGAGGCCTAATAGCCTGAAGTGAATTTTATTTCAGGAGGTACTAAAATCTTAGGGAAGAGAAAAAACACATCTTGAGTTTAGTTTTTCAGTTAGATGATAGAGTTGTTTTGGCAGCAAGTGTAGCAAGTGCAGGGCCCAGAATTTTCTGGGGTGGATGGTTAAGAGATCCTTCCAGAAGTCTGTATGATTTTTTAATGCCAAAGTGTTAATCTCAAAAAATACAATTGAAAACAAATTTAATATATGTATATTTGTTGACCCACAGCTCCAAAGAAGCCTTCCAGAAATTGCAAATTTCACTATTTCTAAAACTTAGCTTTCTTATGGTCTGCAAGCATTTTAGCCATTTTGTGGGATCTGTCACAGAACTGAACCATTAGCCTCCGTTTTCCCTCTCAGAACTGCCTTCCAGCTCCTCCTGAGCTCCTTCCCACAGTGCTCCAGTGGAGTGTCCTAGCCTCTCACCCTACACACTGCTAAGTAAGCACAAAGCAGGCTGTACTGTCGATTGGTTAACGTTGAGTGAGATGGGTGCTTTATTCAAGCTAAGGAAAAAAGGAATTTTTTTGAACGATGTTTTTCTGTTTTAGGAGCTCATTTATACAAGTGCTTAAGTCAGTATTTAAAGTTGGAATGAGAGGTTTTGCTTTCCTGTTCTTACAGCAGTAAACAGTAGGTATGGGGGCAGGTACCTGGGGTCAGCCCTTTATGTTTTTTCCTTTTTTTTTTTTTCTTTGAGACAAAGTCTTGTTCTGTTGCCCAGTCTCAAGTGCAGTGGCGTAATCTCGGCTCACTGCAACCTCCGCCTCCTGGGTTCAAGTGATCCTCCTTCCTCAGCCTCCTAAGTAGCTGGGATTACAGGCATGCACCACCAGGCCTGGTAAATTTTTGTATTTTTAGTAGAGATGGGGTTTCACCATGTTGGCCAGGCTCATCTCGAACTCCTGACCTCCAGCAATCCACCCTCCTTGGCCTCCTAAAGTGCTGGGATCACAGGGGTGAGCCCTGCCTGGCCAGCCCTTTAGTTCTTATTTCTGTCAATGTGGGTACACAGGGACATCTTTTCAAGTGTGATGCTACTGCTAAGGGAGGGAGGGTCCCTGACAGACAAGCAGGAAGCCTACCATCTGGCATGGGAACCCTCGTCTAATCACTGGGATGATTTCAAGCCAAATTCTTTGAGGCCTGATAAAAGGCTTATAAAATAGGCTATACCTGCATTTATTTAATATGGACTGGTTATCCAGTGATCCCTTCAGCATTCAGCAGATGACACTGCTTAGAAAACAGTGGCTATGCTTGGGGACTGTCACTGGGCAGGTCCAGACACTGGTGAGAGTCAGCCTCCTGTGAATCTTTAAAATGAGGTCCTTACCCATCTTGTGTTTCCTTTTAGGGAAGGTCTTTGAAGAATCTTAAACAAGTATTTTAACTCTTTAAGTAGCATTAAGCATGGAAAATTCTTATAAAATAGATTCTTTTCTCCCAAATTAATAGCTTATAAATTAGTGTACCAATTTTTCTTTTCTGTCTTTCTCTCTTGTTCTTTGATTATTTCTTATTCTTTCTCTCACTAACATAAAGCACTTAGGTATGTTTTGCAGTTATAGTTTGTTTTTCAATAGATTGGTTATTTATTGTCTAGAAAGTAACCAGCCGTTTTCCCACTACAGTCTTGGTTCCAGGAGTAAAATTGCTGGCAAAGCTTTGGGAGGCACCAGAAGGCTGTCTTCTTCCTGGAGTGAGATTTCACATGCTGTCTCTGTCTTGCCCAAATGCCCTAGGACCATGCACTCACCATCCAAAGGAATGTGGATTAAAACCCTACTCCTCCTATTCAAAAGAGTGTAATGAATTCTGTACATCTGGGTTTTTTAATCTTGGGGAGGGGGAAGAGAAATATCTGTGTCTCCTTGAAAATCAAGTGCAAAATCTTGAGGATATTTGTGTATGTATATTTGTGTGGTGGGGAGAGATCTTTGATGTTCATCAGGCTTTCAAAAAGCCCGCAACTGAGAAAGGTTAAAGAGGAACTTCAGGTCTAAATCTCTCATACCTCTCATCTAAAAAGCTCTAAAGCCAGCTTTTTAGAATGGAGAGACCAATTCACGGTAGAAGAACCTGGAGCACAGACAACACCGGTGAGCGAACTGCAGGCTCCCCGCGCGGGGCATCCGTGCGCAAGCCTGGCCGCCTCCTCACTGCTCAAACCAGATCATCTCTGGAGCCCTGACATTCTCTTTCCTCACTGCTAGCCCCACTCCCCTCAAATCCTAGAAGACCTTTGAGGGAGAGAATTGGAGATACACGTCATCCTAGCCAGGTGTCCTGTGCCAGGATATTTTCTCCTTCAGTTTTCTTAGTCCATTTGTTTTGACCAGAACCCTACTGAATTTTCACAGGGCATCTTTTTATTTTTCTTGGGTTTGCCTCTTTTATTCCTCTTCTTCCTCCTCTGCCTTCTTCTTTCTTTCTTTTCTTTTCTTTTTCTTTTTTTTTTTTGAGACAGAGTCTCACTCTGTCACCCAGGCTAGAGTACAATGGCCTGATCTCAGCTCACTGCAACCTCCACCTCCTGGGTTTAAGCGATTATCCTGCCTCAGCCTCCCAAGTAGCTGGCACCTGCCACCACGCCCAGCTAATTTTTGTAATTTTAGTAGAGATGGGGTTTCACCATGTTGGTCAGGCTGGTCACGAACTCCTGACCTCAGGTGATCTGCCCACCTCAGCCTCCCAAAGTGCTGGGATTACAGAATTACAGGCATGAGCCACCACGCCCAGCTGCCGCCTTCTTTATTTTTCTGTATCCTGAATAATCTGTTCCCCGTCATTGGCTTTTCTGTTAGGTCTGGTGATTCTTATCTGCAGCAAGAAAAGGGGGTCCCTCACGTAGACACAGCACCAGGAGGCTGGTCCTCCCAGCTCTGTGACTCTGGAAGGTGGATCCTGCCCTTCCTTGGAAGGCCTTAGGGCCTCAGCTTACCCCTTTTAGCCCAGAAGTCCAGCCTTCTCCTCGTGCAGCCTCCAGCTGTTCTAGAACACACATCTGCTGTTGCCTGTTACTGACTCCTTCCTTTCCTCATGAACATCATGTGTGTCCTGTGATGGTGGGCTCTGCTCATGAAAGTATGATTGTTTTATATACCTTTTTTTAAAGACAGAAGTTGCTGCTTTCAGAAAGACCATTCTTCTAGGGGGCAGCCCAATATTTAAGACAATGCTGGTAGGCTGGACGTGGTGGGTCACGCCTGTAATCCCAGCACTTTGGGAGGCCAAGGTGGGCAGATCACGAGGTCATGAGTTTGATACCAGACTGGCCAATATGGTGAAACCCCGTCTCTACTAAAAAATGCAAAAATTAGCCAGCTGTGGTGGCGCACACCTGTAATAACAGCTACTCAGGAGGCTGAGGCAGGAGAATTGCTGGAACCTGGGAGGCAGAGGTTGCAGTGAGCTGAGATCATGCCACTGCACTCCAGCCTGGGCAACAGAGCGAGACTCTGTCAAAAAAAGGACAACACTGGTGACAAATATGCATGATTGCAGCAGATCCCTGTTAGCAGAAATTTAGAGTCAAGAATGGTCATCTTCTGCCTTTGGCCATTTAAGCTTCTTCCTTTCTGAATTTCAGCCTCTAGTGCTCAGGAGGAGGTCAGGGATCTGGCTCTTAAAGGGTGTTGGAGAAAGGTCTCCTTTCCATATTGCTTCTGAGGACTTCTTAGACCATTGGCAGCACACGTCCTCACATGAAGGTGGGCGTATGATCTGGGAGACTCTGCTTAAGAAACCGGATCTCTTTATTGATAGAGCCATCTCATGAGCAAGTAATGCAAGCTGTTGGTAATTACAGAAAACCTACTGTGGAATTTCATCTAAAATTAATGAAGAGTCAGCACTGTGGATTTTAAATACAGAGGCAGTAATGGCTTTAGCTCTCAGCTGTCTGCGGGCTTTCCTTTGCTCTCTGTTGTGCTGGGGGCTCCCTTCCGTCTTGTCCAGTTGGTTCGTATCCCTATGACACAGACCCATTTTAATGGAACACCACCAAAATATGCAGTATATTCCAAAGTCAAAGGTTTAGGATCAGAAAAGTGAAAAAGGTTCATCGTATTAAAAAGAAAACAAACGTGGAGAATAAAAACTGGGCAGTGAAATCTAGCTAGATGACCATAATATGTCTGCTTTTCTTGACTTTATTATTATTACTTTTTAAGGGCATTGTTCAATCCTCGATTTTGTATCTATGGCAGCAGGTGAAGGTCTCTAGATGAGCGTTCACATACACGATGACAAATGGTTAAGGAATTTTGAGGCTAAAATCTTTACTGCTTAGATGTCATGTACTTTATAGGCATAGCATTTCTAGATTTAATAGGAAGGATCTCTGCTCTGTATGTGCTTTTATGTGACTTGCAAAGGAACTATTCCATTTAAATAGATTTCAATTAGGATAATGGGTTTGAGACATTTCACAATGGTATATTTTCTAGACTCTTAAGATAGAATTGTCAAATTATAGCAAATAGAGTTAGAAATTATTTTGCAATTTTCTCAGCAGATTGTAATTTCTCCTGCCATACATGTAGTCATTGTAAAAATAATAGTGTAAGGGTACCTTTTATAAAACTGATTATTTTCCAAATAGACTGGTACCTTTTGGTTTAGAAAAAAAATGATGGAAGAAGATTGTAGTTCAGGAGAGCAAGCAGAAAGCAGTCATTTTTCAGCCTTTCATTTTATTGTACCTTTGGTCACATTTTTGAAGAAAGGCCCAAAATTGCCATATGTATGAAAGAATATTGGTAATGGGGTAGAGTTGGAATGAAAGTGAGATTTTCAGAGTAACAAGGTCACTTTCTTCTGTGGCTTGTAGAAACAGATATGTGATCACAACAGGTCCAGCAGCCAGGGTTGGGGGGAGTAGAGAGTTCATGTAATTTGTATCATGCTTAAATTTCCATATTTGAAAAAGCAACTAGAGAACAGGATTTTGTCAAAACAAAGAGAAAAAAATAATTTTTTTAAACAGGAGGGGGAAATGTACGTGTTATTCTTACAGGATGTTGAAAAATGTTTAAATAGCTGCGATACAGTTTGTTGAGGGGGCAGGGGACAGTGGGAACAGTGACTAAAGGGTTACATTTTGATGTAGAAATGCCTAGTTGAAGAAAAAAGCTTGCCTGGGAGGAAAGTTTCTGTGGAGATGTACCCTGCATTTGGAGTGATGTACTGAAGCATCAAAGACTCAGCATTAATTTTGATCTTTCTTGGGAAGCTGGAGAAAATAATGCATTTCTGAGAAAAAATAGTAACTTATGAAATGTCAAAGCCTGCTCTGGACAATGTCAACATCCATGAGTGCGAGGCAAATTCAAGAATCCAAACCCTAAGTGAAGACCTTCCTGACCTGCTGTCTAGACGTCAGGGGCTGTTTGAGCGGTGAGGTCCAGCGGGTTAGGCATTCCAAAGATACGAGAGGCCCACACCCACATCAGGATTGTGTGTTAGTTCTCAGGCTTCCTAGGATTTTTCTTGGGAAAAGGTTTTTGACCCCAAGTGGCTCCCAGCTTGACAGAAATCTTTAGAGGCAGCTCAGAAAAACTTTGGTTTCCCAAAATAATCCAAAGGCTAAAGTTCTGCCACCCTTTAAAAGAGTAGTGTTTTGGCTGGGCGCGGTGGTTCACACTTGTAATCCCAGCACTTTGGGAAACCGAGGCGGGCGGATCACGAGGTCAGGAGTTCGAGACCAACCTGGCCAACATAGTGAAACCCCGTCTCTACTGAAAATACAAAAGTTAGCTGAGCATGGTGGTGCATGCCTGTAGTCCCAGCTACTTGGGAGGCTGAGGCAGGAGAATCGCTTGAACCCGGGAGGTGGAGGTTGTAGTGAGCCGAGATCCCACCACTGCACTCCAACCTGGGCAGCAGAGTGAGACTCCATCTCAAAAAAAAAAAAAAAAAAGTGGTGTTTTAACTTCTTTTGGGACATAGTCACCATTTAGGACTCTGAACACTATGAACTCTCTCCGCAGAAATCCGCACATGTACACACAGACCAAAACTTGCATGCATGTGTGTGTTAAGAACCCTTCATTTAAAATAAGATGCAAAGTTTTGAAGAGAAAGTTTGCTGCTGTTACAGACACCATTTTCCCTTGAGTGTTAAAGCGTTCAGCTGGGAATGTCCCTTGTTGGTTGTTCCTCAGTAAGATTAGCAGAGCTGGAACCTGCCAGCCAGGCCTCATTTTGAGACTTGTACAGCCTGACAGTAGTGCTTCCAAAAGATGCACCTCCCCACTCACATCAGGAGCTGAGGCCCAGTGTTTCCCCCAAGGGTCTTTTTGAAGAAGACATTTTTGTCTAATAACAGTTTTATTATTTTTATTATTGAAAAAGCTGTACCAACTCTGTATTCATTTTCCTGGTTATTCATATGCTTTTTTCCCCTGAGAGTCAAAAGATGGGTTTAACCTTTGACCTTGTGGGTTTTTATGGCCTGAAATTAATTTTTTAGAGAAATTGCTTTATCTTTAAAAAAATTTTTGGCCGGGTGTGGTGGCTCACGCCTGTAATCCCAGCACTTTGAGAGGCCGAGGCAGGCGGATCACGAGGTCAGCAGTTCGAGACCAGCCTGGCCAATATGGTGAAATCCCGTCTCTACTAAAAATACAAAAATTAGCCGGGTGTGGTGGTGTGCGCCTGTAGTCCCAGCTACTCGGGAGGCGGAGGCAGAAGAATCGCTTGAACCTGGAGGGCAGAGGTTGCAGTCAGCTGAGATCGTGCCACTGCACTCCAGCCTGGGTGACAGAGCAAGACTCCATCTCAAAAAAAAAAAAAAATTTTTTTTTTTTAGAGATGGGATCTCGTTATGTTGCCCAGGCTAGTCTCAAACTCTGGCCGCAAGTGATCCTCCCACCTTGGCTTCCAAACGTGTTGGGATCATAGGTATGAGCCCCTGCACCTGGCCAAATTGTTTTTTACATTAGTTATGAAGGAGGCATTGCGTGCCTGTATTATGTGTAACACAATTTGAGAATACATGTTTTTAACAAAGTACGTTATGAAAACTGCATATGTTGGATTTGTGTCCTGCTTTTAAGTCCTTTGCTGTACTTTCTCACAGGCTGGGAGGAGGATGATTCTGGTTCAGAGGCAGGCCCTGGCACCACAGGTCTGAAACTGCAGTCCTCTTGGTGGCAACAGCCCTTTGATTTCTACTTCCAAACCCCTGGTAGATCACATCCTGCAGAGGAGCCTTTATTTGTATGATCAAGATATGACAAGTTTCCACCACCCAGAAGTAGTAATTCCTCCCTTTTCTGGAAGGATCCTTTTCTTTGTTACAGCAACTGGATTAGATTTTCCATGTCCTAAAAGAAATGTATTTTCCCAGCAGAAACAACCTTATACAAAGTGGTTCCGTGGAGGAGAGAATTACCATGTTATAGTCCTCAGGAAGGCTTTTGTTCCTGGAAAGGATACCATTGAATAGTGACATCTGAGTTTTAAGGTAGATTTCACTTTCTTATAGCAACAGTGCTGTAATGTTACATTATGGAAGCTAAAACCTGATGCTCAACTTGTAAAATATACTCAACTATAAACATTCCTCTTCTGAACTATATGGAATTTTCTAAAAAGGACATAAATAGGTTACTTAGGTATTATGTGCAGTGTTCCTTCATTCATTCATTAAACTAATAAATATTTCAGTGCCAGCATTGGGATACAGCAGTGAATAAACCTAACTTTCTGCCACATACAGCATATTTTTCTTGTGGGGCAAAAAGTAACAGGTAGGCAATGTCAGACAGTACCGTTCTCAAAAATAAAGAGAGAGCCAGGTGCAGTGGCTTACTCCTGTAATCCCAGCTCTTTGGGAGGCTGAGGCAGGAAGATTACATGAGCCGAGGAGTTTGAGACCAGTTTGGGCAACAGTGAGACCCTGTCTCTATTTAAAACATTGAAAAACTAGCTGGGTGTACTGGCATGTGCCTGTAGTCCTAGCTACTCAGAAGGCTGAGTAGGAGGATTGCTTGAGCCCAGGAGTTCGAGGCTGCAGTGAGCTATGATCGCACGAGTGCACTCCAGCCTGGGTGATAGAGTGAGATCCTGCCTTTAAAAAAAAATAATAATAATTTTAGAAAGATAATAAGGGATGAGGAGGCCCCACTTTTAGGATGAGGTAGTCAGGAAGGTCTTTCTGAGAATGTGACACTTGAGCTGAGACCCGCTGTTATTTTTACTACAACAAATTTTAGGAGTAACAATTATCTTTGGGATCTTGGAATTCAGTGAGGCTTCTTTTCACAGATTTTGATAGATTTGTTTGAAGGACCTCTTGAGGAGTTAGGACTTTGGTGTCAGTGTCCTTTTGAGAGAGAGACCCAGCCATATCTGTTTTTTCCTTATTGTCAGTTTTCCTGCGGCAAGAACTGGAGGAGAGATGAAATTACCGCTTGGCCTCTTGGCCGCAGTTCAAAGCAGAACTGAGCATCTTCCTGCTCACTGGTCGGCTTCTGAGCTCAGCACTGAACCTAGCTGCCAGACATTAGACAGTAGTTCCCAACTGTCTTCCAGACGCATGAACCGACCCCTCAGCAGTCACTCCATGAGCTCTGACAACCCCAAATGCTTTCCCTGGATTTGTCACTGCATCTGGAGGCCAGCTGGCTTCAGCATGGCCCTGAATCCCAGACACAGGAGCCTGGGCACAGGGTGAAGGATTGCGGCTGTTGGCCTGAGGCTATTTTTCTTCTGAATGTCATTTTAAGCACTGAGTCACAAAATTCTAAGTCTTTTAAGCAGCAGTATAATACTGCCAATGATGCTGCTGCTGTTTAAAAATTTTTTCACATGTGACCTGCTCAGCCCTGAAGTTATTCCTATTACTCCAGAGTCCCAGAGTACATTAATAATCAGTGTTTGTACAGGGCTGCAGTTGACAGATCCATTGCCATACATCTTCCTTTAATCCCCACAATACCCTATTGTTACTCTTGCCTTGCTTTCCCCTTCATCGACCAGGCAACTGACTCTAAACCGATCAAGGAAGAAGAGGGACTAGCCATCCAAGGAGACAGACACTTATGCCAGGAATTTTGTAGAATTCCTTTCATTCCCCATGCAAATGCTAGGAGGTAGACTTTATTTTTCTCATTTTGAAGCTCAGAAAGTTTCTGTCACTTGCCTGAGGTCACACAGCTGGTGAGGGGCAGAGCTAGAGTTTGACTGCTCAGAGGGGTCAGTCTGAGTTGGAAGCATATACTCTTTCTACTGCACCAGGCGCCTGTCTGACCTGCCTGAGGACAGCCCTGCTTGCTCCCTCCTCTTCGTAACTCCACCTCCACCCTCTTCCTCTTCAGTGTCCCCTCAGTCACCTTGCCCAGTGTCTGAGCCAGGACAGGGTGTCGTGGGCTGGCCCGTGGGTGGGCAGTGACAAGTGCTGTTATCTTAGGTTCCTGGAGGATGAATAGGCTTTTAAACATTTATTAACAAAGAGCTTTACACACACACACACACACACACACACACACATCTGCATATACACATACTTATATACATCTGTATATATAAAGATCATAGAGGAAAGTTAAGCTTCATATGACCCTACCATAGCAGGCATTCATTTACATTTTTAAACATTGTATAATCAGTGTACTTACTAGTTTGTATTTTCCCCCTCATTTATCATGATTTCATTTATGCATTTCTAGGCAGTGCATATACTTACCATCTGTAAGGACTTGTAATATTTCCTGTTAGCACACCTAGAGTCCTTATTTAACAATTCAAGTTGTTAACCTTTTGTGGCCTGGTAAGGAACTTACCAGATAACATTATTTCTCTTCTCTTATCTTCTCTGCTTTTTTTTTTTTTTTTTTTTTTTTTTTTTGAGACAGAGTCTCACTCTGTTGTCCAGGCTGGAGTGCAGTGGCATGATCTTGGCTCACTGCAACCTCTGCCTCCCAAGTTCAAGCAATTCTTCTGCCTCAGCCTCTCGAGTAGCAGGGATTACAGGTGCCTGCCACCACACCTGGCTAATTTTTGTATTTTTAGTAGAGACGGGGTTTCACCATATTGGCCAGCCTCGTCTCGAACTCCTGACCTCAGGTGATCTGCCTGTCTCTGCCTCCCAAAGTGCTGGGATTACAGGTGTGAGCCGCCATGCCTGGCCAGCATTATTTCCTTAAGAAAATAAGTTGCTTTTGAAAATTTTTTTGTAAGTTAAGCTTAGTTTATTCATCGTTTTAGTGGATTTGGGTTGGAAACATGCAGTAAGCATTTGACAGAAAACAAACATTTGTATTTTCCAGGTTTCAGTTTACATTTTGATCTAAATTCTGCGAACAGTTATAACTAAATTTACAAAGCTCTTTGGGGTATGATTATATGTCTAGGTAAAACTCTTTTAAGAAGATGAAGCAGAGAGGATTGAATTGACAAAGACAGCTCTTTAAAAATTAAGGTTATTTCAAGACTAAGAACATAACTGCTTAATTGCAGGTAATAACAGAAAAAACTTGGAAATAAACATCCCATTATTTGACCTCCAAGGCAGAAGACTGGCACCAAGGAAATGGCAGCTTCGTCCCTTTCCTGTCTTGGGCATTGGTAAAAGGAGTTGTCTAGACATGTTTGATTTCTGTTTCAGCCCTTATTAGTAGTTATGCCATGGCAAATTATTCAATTTCTCTGACTCAGTTTCCTTATTCAGAAAATGGAAGCATAATTCTTGCCTCATAGGGCCATGAAGATTAAATGAGGGGTGTCTTGAAGTGTCTGGGACATAAATCTTCAATAAAAGCTAATTCCTTTTTTTTACAGTTATCTCAAACCTTTTAGTGAATTGGTGCTTATCAGTGAGCTTTTTAGGTGATGCAAAGACCCTGCTTTGCTCATTTTAAGGAACAGTTATTTTTCTTTCTCCATTTTGAAGTTTCTTGTTTGCTGCCTGGTTGATATGGTTTGGCTGTGTCCCCACCCATATCTCATCTTGAATTGTAGTTCCCATAATCCCCACATGTCATGGGAGGGACCTGGTGGGAGGTAATTGAACCATGGGGGTGGTTACCCTCATGCTGTTCTTGTGATAGTGAGTGAGTTCTCACAAGAGCTGATGGTTTTATAAGGGGCTTCCCCCTTCGCTTGGCACTCATTCTCTCTCCTGTTACCCTGTGAAGAGGTGTCTCCTGCCGTGATTGTAAGTTTCCCGAGGCCTCCCGGCCATGTGAAACTGTGAGTCAATTAAACCTCTTTTCTTTATAAATTACCAAGTCTTGGGTATTCCTTCAAAGCAGCATGAGAACAGACTAATACATTGGTTTAAATTAGAATGCCAAAATTTAAATAATTTTTATCTTGAATAGTAGATGGAATTAACTTTCTCTTGAAAGATATATTTTAAAAAATTGAACTTACACAGACAGTTTTGAAATGGTCTTATTTTAGTTTTATTTATTTATTTATTTTGAGACAGAGTCTCACAGTGTCGCCCAGGCTGGAGTGCAATGGCACAATCTCGGCTCACTGCAACCTCCACCTCCAGGGTCAAGCGATTCTCTTGCCTCAGCTTCCTGAGTAGCTGGGATTATAGGCGCCCACCACCATGCCCAGCTAATTTTTGTGTTTTTAGTAGAGACGGGGTTTCACCATGTTGGCCAGGCTGGTCTCGAACTCCTGACATCGTGATTCTCCCACCTCGGCCTCCCAAAGTCTCAGGATTACAGGCATGAACCACCGCGCCTGGCTGAAATTGTTTTTATTATAGATGTTGCTTGTGCAGTTTTGTTAGAAGTTCGTGACTTTTAACAGTGATGAAAATACTTCGTCATTCAACAGGTTATTTTTCTGCTGGTTGTAGGTTATTTGTAAGGAACTGTTAGTCTCCTATCTGGGTGGACATGTAATAGTATCAGTTACTGAACCAGAACTTTAAACACCTTTCTGATACTCACACTGGGAGGTCACCAAGTATCTCAGAATAAAATGTCCCAAACTGAACCTACCATGTTCCCAGAAACCCAGCCCTTCTCAAATTCCCAGACTTGGTGAATGGGAGCCTGTCCTTGCAGTCTTGTAGCCCAAAACCTAGGGCTTAAGAACACCTTCTTCCTTACTCCCATATGCAACCCATCAAGTTCCATGCATTTCATCTCCTAATCTCAAATCCCTTCACCCATCTCCACAGCCACCCCGCTAGTCCGGGCTGCCATTGTCTCTCACTTAAAATGTTGTTATTGTCTAACTGACCTTCCTGAACCCTTTCTTGCCTCTTTCCAGTTTATTTTCCACACTACAGCCAGAAAAAGCTTTTCAAAATACGCATCTGGTCACCTGCATACCTGTCTCCAGACCACATACAATAAGCCTTCACTTGTTCCTCCTTTCCCTTAGGAAAAAAACTAGATCCTCAATGTGGCCTTCAAGGCACTGCATGACCCAGCCCCTGCCGCACTCCTGTCTCATACTGTGTGTATAATACTCACCCCCGAGAAGCTGCTTCAGATTCCCCCATGAGGCTCTGCGCCTGCCTCAGGCCCTTACTCTTACCCTTCTTGTTTCTGGAATGCCCACGCTGCCATCACTTAGCCAGCTCGACTCATCCTGGAGATGTCAGCCCAATGCCCACTTGTTCAGGGGGCCCTTCTGTGATTAATATTCAAAACGGATCAGGTTTCCCTGCTGACTGTGATCTCTTGGTGCCCTTCACATCACTTCCTAGTTCTTGCATTGATTATGTGATTGTCTCGCTCCTCACCCCTCTCTAAGCTCCCTGAGGTCAATCTGAGTACTGCACCACTTTGCAAATTATAAGACAGGAAACAAGTAAGTCCGGAATATTCAATCATTGCCTTCACTCTCAGAGCTCAAATTCCACGTGTCCAACTGTCAAGATTTGGCTTACATTAAAATGTTTATGCAAACAGACATTTAACAGTGAATAAATTGTGAAATTAAGAGAGCCATAGATCTATAGCTAACTCCAAATGTTTGTGTGCATAATAAATTGAGGGAAAAATAAGAGTTTATCTTTAACTAGGTGTTATTCTTAAATTAATTCCTGTATTGTAGTGTAATCATCCCTCGGTATCCATAGGAGATTAGTTCTAGGATCCCTGATAGATACCAAAATCAGAGAATGCTCAAGTCGCTTGTATAAAGTGGTGTTATATTTGCATATAACTTATGCACATCCTCCCATATACTTTATTTTTAAATTAATTAATTTTTTGAGACAGGGTCTTACTCTGTCGCTCAGGCTGGAGTGCAGTGTCAACCTGGGCTCAGGTGATCCTCCCCACTCAGCCTCCAGGTAGCTGGGACTACAGGCGTGAGCCATCACACCCAGCTAATTTTTAAAACTTTTTGTAGAGACGGGGTCTCACCGTGTTGCTCAGGCTGGTCTCAAATTCCTGGGGCTCAAGCGATCCTCCTGCCTTAGCCTCCCAAAGTGCTGGGATTACACTGGGCCCAGCCCTCATATATACTTTAAATAATCTCTAGATTACCTGTAATATCTAATAAGATGTGAATACTATGTAAATAGCTGTTATATTGTGTATTGTTTTTAAAATTTTTATTTTTTTTTAGTTGTATTTTTTTTTCCCCGAATATTTTCGATCTGTAGTTGGTTGAATCTGCGGATGTGGAACCTGTGGGTATGGAGAGCCGGCTGTACCTTAAGCTATTTAGATTGCTATTTCAAGGAGGAGTTTACATAGGGAAAAATCTGTGTTGCAGGTGCCCAAGGTGGCCAGTGTAAAGGGGAAGACAGAGTCATCAACAAAGTCACCAGGTAACAGTAATATGGATGAACATTTGCTACAGGTGGAATTTCATAGGAAAGCTCATCTGATATAGCTTGTTTGTGTCTCGGTAAAGTCCTAGGCTAATGTAACCAACTTCCCTAAAGATGGAAATATATTCCCATAGCACTCAAAAAGGGATGTGCAGAATTTGGGAGTTTTTATGATTTTAGTACTTGTAGTAGAACATTTACTTATGTATAGCAATGAATTAGAGGAGCAGAATAGGATGGGTCATACTCAGGGATGACCTAGGCCTGCTGGTTTCTTTTTGCTGTAAACTGTGGTTTACTTTTTGTAAGAAAGTCTTCACAGTATGGAACATATATCCCTAATAGGCAGCTTTTTACCCCAAACAAGTTTTGAGGGGCCTATCACAATAGACAAAAGCGCTTTATAGCCTGGTCTGTGAATTACTGTGACTTTTTAAAAGCACCTTTCAGTGCTTGCCTGAGTTGTCATTACACTCAAGGTCCCCCAGAATTGATGTTCCCCCTGGGTAGATAGGGTGAAAGTCTTTGTCTTTCCAGTGATGTGCTCAGTAAGTACTGAGTGGATGGAACACTTTCTTGGAGCACAGAGCACCTGCAGAAAGCTTCTGTTGGCTCCAGATTGGTTTGTCAACGGAAGCATCCGCATGAGGCAGTGCCACACAGTGGTTAAGAGGATGGCCTTGGAACCTGAGTCCTAGCTCTGCTAGTTAGTAGCTTTGTTACCTTGGTGAGTTGCCTAAACCACTTTCTTTTTCCTCGTGTATTAAATGTGGAAATGATGATAGTACCTACCTGGCAGAATTGTGAGGCTTAGATGAGATAGTGTTATAATGTTGGTAAAGTGATTAGCTAGAGGGCTGGCAGTCATAAACGTTGATTGTTGTTCTTGTTGGTTCAGGGTCCCTCTGATACATCTTCACAGATCAGGACTGCGTTTGACTTGGATCTCTATGGCCCTTTTTTCCAAGAATTCCTGCCACTTTACTGGACTGGGTCATGCGCTGCCCAGTACCTAAAGGTGTTCTTTAACCACAGAAATTAAAATGGCAATCATAATGTTTTTGGAGGAAAAAAAAAATACCTGTATTTTCTGAAGAAATAAATAACCATTGTATCTTTGTATTTAAATAGAGTAACTGCCAAATCAATAGGATATTTTGAGAACAAGTGGTAATATTTCTTGGTGTCATTTACTCCATCATAAAGATCCATGGGGAGAGAGCAGTGTGGTTAATTATGATGTTCCTGTGCTGTCACTGCCTAAATTGACAGTGTATGAAGTGCCGTCCCATTTATTCTTTCTCCCAACAAGCTGAGGGGTGGGGTTTTACCATCATGGTCCTCATTCGACAGATCCAGACCCAGTGAGGCTGCTCCTGAGCTGGTGTTTTTTCCAGTTAGCCTCAGCTGTCAGCTGCGCCATGGAGGATGATTTTGGGTGTTGAGTTATCTGGGTGGTATTTAATGGGCTCCTAATTGCACATGGATGGCCAGAAAGTTCTGCTCCTGTTTTGGCGTTTTGCTTTGGCAGACAGTGCTCTCTGAGGACTCACATAAGCTGGAAGAAAAAAACCCAACAACAAACTCAACGCTAATCATCTGGAAAGACAGGATACTGCTGTTAGGCAGATATTGGACCTGTGAACAGAAAAACATCAAGATCACAATTTTACAGCGTTTGTTTCTTTGAAATGTCAAATGGAGCCCCAATACAGCCATCAGGTTTATAGCACCTCCAGAATTAGATTAGACGGTGTGGTTCCATGCTGTGTACTTGTATTTCTGGTTATGAAATGCTCCTTGTGCTTATTTTCCCCAATCTGCTGAGAAACACTTTTTTCTTGTTCCTTTATGCATTCACGTTTCTTTTTTATTCCACTTGCCTTTTTTCCTTACCCCTTATTTCTGCCTTCTGCTCTGCTTTTGGCCTTTAGACAGCAATGGAACAGACCTTCAGGAATGGGCGTCCATGGAGGCCCTGGCGGGGGCCAGCTCTGTACCTAGGATCTGAGTTGGGGGGTTAGGACCACGTCCCAGGAGGTAAGGCCACAACTCAAGGGCAAACAGTACAGGCATGTGTAGTGAAGATCAGGAGCAGGACATGGTCTCACTGTGCCCTGTGTCTATGGAAGCAGCTGCCCATTTCTGATTCTTCAGATATTTTAAATGAGTTCATTGACCTTGATAGAGACTTGCCCTTCTTTGATGTAGTTACACAGCAATAGCCTGTTAGAAAGCACTTGCCTCTAACATGGTGCCTTGCAAGGTAGGTGTAGACTATATTAACTAGTTATTGGTGCCAGGGAATAACTGGTACTATATCTCCACCTGAATTCCTCGTGATTCCATTGTCTCTTTCTGGGTATGCATGTGTTTTTGTTTGTTTGTTTGTTTTTTGAGATGGAGTCTCACTCTGTCACCCAGGCTGGAGTGCAGTGGTGCGATCTTGGCTCACTGCAACCTCCACCCTCCAAGTTCAAGCGATTCTCCTGCCTCAGCCTCCCAAGTAGCTGGGATTACAGGCGCCTGCCACCGCGCCTGGCTAATTTTTTGTATTTTTAGTAGAGATGGGGTTTTACCATCTTGGCCAGGCTGGTCTTGAACTCCTGACCTCGTGATCCACCCACCTTGGCCTCCCAAAGTGCTGGGATTACAGGCGCGAGCCACCACACCAGGCCGCATGTGTGTTTTTAAAGTGTAATGCATTCCTAATGGTCCAAGTTGTTTTACACCAGTGAATCTCAGTTCCAGGGTGGGCCCCGGGGCAGGGTATGTGTGTGTGTTTGGGGGTGGGGTAGTTGTGTGTGTGGTTGTGCACATATAGGCTTATGATGACTGGGGAATTAAAAAAATGTCTTCCAATCCATCAGTTGTGAAACTCCACAATCATGATAAGCCTCAAGATGGATAGGGGTGAGCTGGGTCATTTGTGTGTTGAAGATGTTGCCTAGGATTTTCTGGTACACTAACCCTTCCCTCAATCCCAAATGCCTCTGCCTTTTTAGAACTGTGATTAAGAAGGTAATGATTAGGGATGATCAGTTGTCTCACCAGCAGTCTGTTAGGTGGAGCTGACCTGGGCTCATGCCATCTGCAAAGGAACCCATGGGAACCAGGGACCATTTTCAGCATTTGAAAAGGCTTAACAGAAACTATGCTTTTACCCAGGATGAACATACAAAAGCTACCCAAACCATCAAGTTTCCTTGCTTTTGTTTGGAATTGCAACCCTGTATGGAAGGTTTCATGCTGACTCCACGTTCTGATTGGCTGTGGATGACATAATAGGAGTTTCTGACACAGGATTGGTCTAACTGTAGATATTGTTACTGGAGCTGGTACCAGGTCTCACTTCCCACTACCTTTAGAATGAGGTTGACCTTGAATGTGAGTGCCCTTGACTATGGAAATGAAGCCACTGATTGTTTCTTGCTTGCTCAGCTATGCTTATTATCACACCTGTGGCAGTGACTTGATTTTTATAATGTCATTATGAACCCCTTATAAATATGGATTGTTGATTAAAATTTGGATCAGTATTGAAATGGAAGAATAATACACAGAATTAATCAGTTTACTGGTAAACAATGTAAGAATATTGAAAAACATGTGGCCAACATGGGGAGGGGACAGAAAAAAAAGAGGTTGATGAAACTACAGATCTTATCCACAGCTCTCATTTAAAAAAGATCCTTTTTCATCAGCTTTTCACTGAAATCAAACACCAATAACTCTTTCACCACGAAACACCAACTATTAATACTTAGTCTCTATAAGCCTCCTAGGATCCTGTTGTGTTCATTTACCTAGGTGATGTACATCATCCTAAATTCTGCCTTTTCATTTTGTATTACGATGTATATGTACAGTACATATTTTTACATTGTCATTGTGTCATTCTTAATGGTCACAGCTGCCTGAACTAAACCTAAAGTCAGACAGTCAGGACAGTCCAGTGCTGGTGATTAGAGAAGGCTGGAAACAAGCTGTCTGATCCCGGATAACATGCCGGTGAGTCCACAGGCTGAGTCGGCACGGATAAAAAGATGTGCTCACACCTGCTGTGGATGCTGATTATAGTAGCTTACATATGTTAAGTGTTATTTCTTAATTCTCCCAGCAGCCCCTATGAGATAGGCACTATTATCTGCATTATATGTAAGGAAAAAGAGGCCTTTTGCCGTAACTTGTCCAGGGTGACACACTGATAAGAGGTGGAACTGGAATCCAAAGCTGGGTCTGTTTAATTTCAGAGTTTGAGTTCTTAACCAGGTTTTCTGTGCAATTGTGTTGCACCCCAGGACCTATTCAGTTCTCACCTCCCTTCAGAATCTAACCACCTTCCACCTTAATAATGACAAACACATCTATTAATATGCATTAAAGTGACAGAAGCTTAATACTGAAACAAGATAGAGTGGATGTTGCTGGCGAACAGGAACCCCAGAGACGGTCCTGTCCACATGAGGCTGTGTTAGTTTTCCTAGAGCAGAGTGGTGTGAAGGGCCAGCCTGCATTCAGTCTCTCCTTTGGTTCCGTCCTTTAGTCAGCCTCAGAGTTTTTCAGACTTGAATGGGCACAACAGTGACCACACAGGGTTGCCTGAAGCACATATATGGTACTTGGTGGGAGACTCAAGATTCTTAGTGAGGCTGAGAAGTGGTGCTTGGGTGATGTTTGTACAGAGTAAGAACTAATGAAGCACTGGGATAGAGAGCCCCATGAAGTTCAACCCCATCACAGCCTGAGCAGGAGCAGCCTCACAGTCACCTTCTGTACTGTTTGGCAGTAGGTGGGGGAAAGATAGGGGCTGCTGAGGAGGCCAAGTTGATGCCTGTCCTCTGGTGCCTGAGCACATGCAGGTGCGGCTGATCTGCAGCTCATTCTCATAGGTTGGAAACTCTCCACCTAATGGCCAGCACACATAAGGGATGTTTCTACAGCTGGGCTGAGCAAGACAAGTCTGGAAAGTCTAGAAGTATTTGTTAATGGGAGATGAGCTGTTTCAGTACTATTTGAAAAATATTTTGACTTAATTGCCTTAGGCACATTAGTCAGCTGATGTGCACTCTGGTTTGCTTTCCTTGACTTTAACAGTTGCCAAGAATTTCTCTTGTTACAAAAGAGAAAAGTAGGACTCTAAGTATGTTCTGTTCCATGGAAATTGAGTCATAGACTCTTAGAATTTAGAGCCTTCTGGAAAATTCCTTGAAGACAATGGAGGAAGCTTCCCTCAGTTTACAGCAGAACCCCAGGCTCAGGGAGGTGAAGTGGGGAGCTCCGTCACTGTCATTTGAGGGCCATTTGAGGGCTGTGGTCCTCCGTGGAGCTCCTCCCTCTGCTGCCTCATGGCCTCACTCGGTCTGTGTTTTCAATGACTGATTTACTACTAACTGAACAATTGTCTGAATCCCAATCATCTCATCAGTGGGCAATCCTTTCTTGGCATGATCCACAACAGAGGTAGAGTTGGGTGGGGAATGTTCCCCCTCAGGGCCTATAGGCAAGTGGTTCTCCTCAGGGAACCATGAGGTGGCCAGCCGGCCAGGTCAGGACCATGCCTGTGCCAGGAACCAGTATCTCCTAACCTTGCCAGTTGTGAACATGGCTCTGGGTTTCTTGCCTCTATTCCTTTTCTTCTGCTTTGTCCTCCACTTAAAATGTACTCTCCATTTTGTCTTGGCGGGGCACCTTGTCAGGTCCCCATGGGCCAGCTCACACGGGGCCCCTGGGAAACCTTCCACCATGCCTTCTCATATTCCTCCCATCAATTCCTATTTCCCTCAGTCCCACTCTTTCCCCTACACACACATGTGTGCACACATACATGCACATACACATGTGCACACATGCATGCACACATCTTAAACCTGGTTTAAAAAAATTTATCTTCTTTGGCCCTCAGATGCCTTACCTATAAATAACATTCTGATGTAAGATTACACTTAGCAAATTTACTGCCCTATATCAAGGTTAAGTCTGCTGATGCCTGTGTGAAAAGGAGGGTTTCTGACTGGGGGAAACGGCTAATTTTTTTGAGTTCTTAAAGAGTTTTTTCAGTTTTTGAAGAATTAATCTGAAATACGTTCCTCACATTGAGAAGCTGAATGGCCAGTGATCAACCTAGATGTAAGCTAGGTTGTCTAATTTCCTAATATGATTTGAAGGGAATAAATTCAATGCTTTACAGTTTATTATAGCTAGAAAATAGAGAAATGATTGTCCATATCAGTCAGTTTTTCCAAAGTTAAAATTTAGATCCTTGTATAGGAAACAGAGCAATATGTGTGTTATGTGTGTTATATACACTATTGTCAGCGTTTTCTAAAAAGATTTCAAAGACGAATGTTTTTATGCTGATGGAATGGGAAGGCTTCATCAGGAAGCTGTAAAAAAATCCAGAAGCCATAAAGAAAAAGATAGAGAGCTTCAACATCTCAAAATGTAAAACTTTGTATATTAAAAAAAAAACCCATACAATTAAAAGGCAAGTCAGAGATGGAAGGAAATATTTGGAACACATACAATAGACAAAGTATTAACTATCCTTGATAAAGAAGTGAATAACAAAAGTCCTTGGGCAAGAAATATGAACGACCAGTTAACAGAAGAAGAGAAGCAAATGAGGGAAAAGTATGAAGTGACTATCAAAGCATTGAGATACCTTTTCCCTGCCCACTGAATGGGCAGAAATTTAAAATAATATTCAGTCTTGACCAGGGTTGAAGGTGGACATTTTATACAATGTTAATTAGGAGAGTAAATTGGACAAATTGGCAAACAGTTTCAGAATTTTAAATATGTACCTCATTTGACCCAGCAACTCCACTCTAGAAATACATCCTACAGATAGACTTTCTTTTTGCACAAGATTTATATGGAAACACAGCTTTTAAAGGCAGCGTTGTTTCTAATGGTGAAAACAGGAAACCCTGCAAATTTCTATCAAATAAAAAAATGATTAAGTTAATAGTGGCATACCTTACTGTGTAGAAAAGGTGTGTGTGTGTGTGTGTGTGTGTGTGTGTGTGTGTGTGTGTACCTGTCAGTCCATAGGTATAGGCCATAGGAGGTGGTCCAAGAAATAGTAAGTAAAAAACAAATGCAAAACAATTTGTATAATATGATCTCATTTAAAAGTAAAAACAAAAACAACTTTATTTGTGCGCACTACCTTTTGTATGCACACAAAATGCCTATGAAAGGTCTGGAAAGATACGTTCTAAACCAGGGGTCCCCAATCCCCGGGCCACAGACCAGGAGCGGTCCATGGCCTGCTAGGAACCAGGCTGCACACCAGGAGGTGAGCTGTGGGTGAGTGAGCAAAGCTTCATCTGTATTTACAGCCCCTTTCCATCCCTCGCATGACTGCCTGAGCTCCACCTCCTGTCACATCAGTAGCGGCACAGATTCTCATAGGAGTGTAAACCCTACTGTGAACTGCGCATGCGAGGGATCTAGGTTGCTCCTCCTTATGAGAATCTAATGCTTGATGATCTGTCACTGTCTCCCAGCACCCCCAGATAGGACTGTCTAGTTGCAGGAAAACAAGCTCAGGGCTTCCACTGATTCTACATTATTGTGAGTTGTAGAATTGTGTCATTATATACAATGTAATAACAATAGAAATGAAATGCACAATAAATGCAGTATACTTGAATCATCCCGAAACCATACCCCGCTGCCTCTGGTCCGTGGAAAAATTGTCTTCCATGAAGCTGATTTTGCAGGGAGGAGGAGAAAATTTCACTTTTCCTCTACATCTGTTTTTGAAGTTTTTTTCAATGAGTTTGAAATTATATATTTTTTATTGAAGTGAAGATGTATACATATGGTTCAACTCTCTCATTTCACTTCTAGAAATATTTCCTAAGGAAATAACCAGAGGGCAGTCAAAGGTTTATCTATAGCTAGTCAAAGGTTTATCTATAGCATCATGTGCAGCATTGCAGTCTTGTTTGTAATAAGAAATTCAAGTGGTATTCTTGAATTACATTATGGAATATTCATCCTATACAGCGATTAAAAATCATGCATGAAATAATCTTTGATTTGAGAAAATGCTTATAAGAACAGTAAACAATTAGGGAGGGCTGCTCTGTGCCAGGGATCATGCTCAGTGCTTTGCTTAAGTTGTTTCGTTTAATCTTCTGAACAGTCAGTTGCCATTCCCATTTTACAGATGAAAAGAAGCTTAGGCTTGGTTAGGGTAAATGATTTGCCAGAGGGCCAGACTGCTACCAAGTTGGTGGAACTCAAACTAAAGGCCTTGCTAATGATAGATTACTTCAGTGTGTAATCTTGAGTATAAAAGCAGATTACATACATACATACAGTGTGTCCTCATTTAATAAAAATGAGTCTTTCTGCCTTAGTTTTCTTGTGGGTAAGGCACGGAGGATTGGCTAGGGCAATTTTATATTCTGAAGATAATGATTATAATAATTTTTAAAAGATTGACATGTGTTTACATATAATTTTTTTTCCAGATCACAAAAGTATTTGGAAATACCTGAAATTAGCAAATAACAATTACTGTTAAACCTGTTATATGGAGAAAATGAGAATTAATGCTACCCTCTCCTTTTTTTTGCCCAGTGCAGACATTTGTACATTGGTGTCAGCTTGATGAGTACTTACTTGATGAGTACCATCTGTTTAGGACATACCTGTCCTGAGTTTTCATTACTTATTCTAGGGATTTTTTGCCCCCATATTGATGTCATTTTCTTTTTTTTTTTTTTTGATACGGAGTCTCACTCTGTCACCAGGCTGGAGTGCAGTGGCAGGATCTCAGCTCACTGTAACCTCCGCCTCCAGGGTTCAAGTAATTCTCCTGCCTCACCCTCCCGAGTAGCTGGGACTACAGGCGCGCACCGCCACGCCCAGCTAATTTTTGTATTTTCAGTAGAGGCGGGGTTTCACCATGTTGGCCCAGATGGTCTCGATCTCTTGACCTTGTGATCTGCCTGCCTCGACCTCCCAAAGAGCTGGGATTACAGGCGTGAGCCCCCGTGCCCAGCCTGATGTCATTTTCTGATGTCTATGTGTTGTCTCCTTGAGTTTTCCCTGTGGATGCACCCATTATTTTTTATAAATATTTTATTATTTTTTATACTACTTTTATACTACAGAAAAGTTTTTACTAATTTTCTAGTTTCTAATACCAGTTTTCAGCAAAGTTTTTGCTAATTATGTTCCAGCCTTAGTGCAAGAGAGGGTTTGTCTCATTGTGCCCTTGCCAGCATCATACATGTTTTAATCATTGAGAGAAATTATTTCATCGGTTTGTTTCCAATTCTGTATTATTTTTAGTAAGGTTGAGTTTTTTATTTGTTTCTTGGCCATTTGAACTTTTGGGTGAAGTGCCTGTTCATGTACTTGGGAGATACCTATTGAAGATGCCTTCCTAAATTTGACCATTAAAGAAAGACCTTAAGAAAGACTGTAAGTCCTTCTAAGGGGAAGTTTTACTCTGCCAGGTGGAATGCATTTTTCTTACATTGCATGAAAGTTAAAAACATGATTTCTTAACCACTTGGAATTTATCTGACTTACAAGATTTGCCTTTAAAATTTTAGAAATGATTGGTGAAAAGTACATGGAACCTCTCTGTACTACTTTGGCAACTTCCTGAGAATCTGTCATTATTTCAAAATGAAGCTTGAGAATTTAAGGAATGGTACAACTTCAGCTCTCTCCTCTTACTGCCTGGAACCCTGCTTGATAATCCCAACTGGTAGAACCAATAGGGACGGGAGGGGAGCAGCTCTCATGATATCCCCAAAGCCAAACAGTGGTTAGGAATGCTGCTTTTGTTTTTAATTTGGACATAGTTTCAAACTTTAAAATGGATGCAAAAGTAAAAATGGAATCTTAAACCCTTTCCCAAAGGTACATTGTTGTTAACATGTTACCCCATGAGCATCAGCTTTTGAAAATGTGTTGTTTTGGCTAGGCATGGTGGCTTCCGCCTGTAATCCCAGCACTTTGGGAAGCCAAGGCAGGCAGATCACCTGAGGCCAGGAGTTCAAGACCAGCCTGGCCAACATGGCGAATTTCTGTTTCTACTAAAAATACAAAAATTAGCTGGTTGTGGTGGCATACACCTGTAATCCCAGCTACTTGGGAGGCTGAGGCAAGAGAATGGCTTGAACCCGGGAGGTAGAGGTTGGAGTGAGCTGAAATCTTGCCACTGCACTCCAGCCTGGGTGACAGATCGAGACTCTGTCTCAAAAAAACAAAAAACAAACAAAAAAAAAGAAAAGAAAAGAAAAATGTGTTGTTTTGTGACCACAGCCACAACACACTATTCTCATATCTTGGGCTTTCGGCACCATACTCTCTTGGCTTCCAGGCATTCATTCCTCTGAAGAAAAATGCTTACTCCTGGTTTTCAGATTTCTCAAGAGCCTACGGTTTAGGAATGATTGGTGAAAAGTACATGGAAAGGTTTTCTTTTTAAGATTTAAATATAAATTCAAGCACATTTAGAGGTTTGGAACAATTGATTGCCTGCTCCTGAACTCAAATATTAATATTCTTTCCTCACCCCTAGCACCACCCCTCAGCTTCAGGTAGCAGTTAACGTCCCTCTTGTGTAGCTGCCTTGTTCCCATCTCAATGCCCTTCCATGTGCTGTTGCTTCATATCCACAATATTCTTTTTTTGTTGTTTTTAAATAGAGATAGTGTCTCGCTGTATTGTCCAGGCTGGTCTCGAACCCCTGGACTCAAGCATTCCTCCCGCCTCGGCTTCTCAGAGTGTTGGAATTACAGGCTTGAGCCACTGTGCCCAGCCTGCAATATTCTCTTCTCTGCATATCCTCCTTCTAAGACACATAGATGACTTTTCTGCTTTAAAAAAAAAAAAGTTATTCCCAGACTTCTTTACTTGATAAGTACCATCTGTTTAGGACACACCTGTCCTGAGTTATCATTACTTATTCTAGGGTTTCTGTGACCCCATATTGATGTCATTTTCTGATGTCTATGTGTTGTCTCCTTGAGTTTTCCCCTGTAGATGCCCCCATTATTATTTTTTATAAACCTCCACAGGCCTTGTATGGTTGTGCTGAACGCATGACCTGGTTTTCAATGAGTTACTGTGAATTGAATTTGATTTTGTTATTTGAGCCATCTAGCAATCTATAAAGCAAAATTCTAATTGTATTGATGCTTTCGAACCCCCCTTTCCTCTGGGATGTGGCACTCTTCCCAGAGTGGGCTTTCTTCATGGCAGGTAAAAGGTCTATGCGGTGGTGGAAGGGAGTGGGCCTGCTAGTTTCTTCGTCTAAACCCTGTGCTGTGTTGGTGGTGGTGCAGGACCCTGCTGGGTCGGAAGAGATGGTGAGTAGGGGCCTGGGAACCTAACAACTAATGGGAAAGGATTTCCAAGTTTCTTGCCAGTGATGAAGATAGAGTCTTGTCTTTTTCTTTTCTTTAAATGAAACTAAGGCTAGAGCTAGTTCATTATCTACAATGTCATATTGATTTTTGTTTGTGAGGTGGAGTATTAACAGATTAGAATGGCTGCTGGCAGTTCTCAGCTGCTTCATTGAATTTAAATGAATCAAGGGATAGCTCTTAAGATGTACTTGAGATTTGTAGGCTAAATCAGACCTTCCTGCCGTGGTTGGTTTTGACCAGATTCACTGTTTTGCTCTGTGGCATCAAGGCAGAAAAATACAGAATCTTATAGCCTTTTCCCTCCTTTTTACAAAACCAACTCCTATTAAAAAATGCACAGGTAAGAAGTATTAAGACATCCTCTGCAATAGAATGCAGCTTGCCTTCTTTTCCTCTGCCAGGAGCTTTTGGATTGAAACTGTTGACTGACATAACCCAAGCTAGCAGATGGTACTCATACATCAAATGTCCAAATGCAAGCTTGTTCAGAGGTAGCAAATGCCTAACAGGCTGAATTTTACAAAGACAAAGAATGTGAATAATGACCTTGAAGGATTAGGGATGGTCCCGAGAAAGGAAGCACACTCGACACCAGGCTTGCCCCTTCAGATGCTGTGTTACCTGCCTCGGCCTCCTGGCCAACATGGTAAAACCCCGTCTCTACTAAAAATAAAAAACATTAGTCAGGTGTTGTGGCAGGCACTTGTAATCCCAGCAACTCAGGAGGCTGAAGCAGGAGAATCGCTTGAACCTGGGAGCTGGAGGTTGCAGTGAGCCTAGATCGTGCCATTGCTCTCCAGCCTGGGCAATAAGAGTGAAACTCCATCGCAAAAAAAAAAAAAAAAAAAGATGCTCTGTTACCGTGCTCACTGTACACTGTACCTGGAGGCTGGTTCCATTTTCAATGAAATTTGCTTTCTTCCCTCCCTGCCTTACCCTGTCTCTCATTCTTTCCTCCAGTATTTCCTCTAATCTAGTATATGAATTAGAAGTAAATAATATTCATGGCTATACTACTATTTGGCCTAGTGTGTTTGCTATGAACAAACACGTGTTGGTGATAATTGAGTGGCCTGGAACGAACCATCTGCTCTTTTTATGGCTCTGATTCTAGAACCCCAGGATTGTGAAAGACAGAGCTAGGAAGGGCAGTTATTAGTAGAAAATGAGACCAAAGAAAAAAAGTGAAAAAAAAAAAAAAAAAGCCAGATTCAGTGAGGTTAATATTATCTTGGAATTAATAAATGCTAATATTGAGTCTTGAAATGGCTCTTCATTTTTTATTATACAGCCTGATTTATTGTTGATTGGTTTTTCATGGCCTAATTGATGATGATGACCTTTTTGGGTGAACAGAAAGCAAATAAACCTCATTGCTGTTTGATACGCTCACTCTGACTCCACTGACACAGAGCGCAGTTGGCTCCAGTTTGAGGCCTTTGTTTTTTATGAGTTCAAGTTAGATGGCAGCTACTAATTTGTAAACTAGATAGAACAGAATCCTACATAAATTCTGGAGAGAGAAGCCCTTATTAGAGGCTTTCTCAGTCTTAATGGGAGAGATGAACTTCTTCATAGGGATAGCAACCTTAAAGGAGGATTCTGGCAAAGACCTTAGGAAGGACCCATCAGCAGAAGAGTTTGAGACATCCTGCTTTCTGGAAACATACCGGATCAAGGCTAAGGTTTAGAGGGCATTTGGCTCCAAATAGCCTCCCCCACCCCACCCCTGCCCCACCCCAAATGTATGGGAGCATAAATACATTTACATCTATTATCTTATAACTTAACCACACTGTAGTGTAAACACTAAAGAACAATGTGAAGTTTTTGAATAGAATTGTTTTAGTTGGCATAACAAGTGGTTCAGAGTATTATTTCTTTGTAGTTTTGAAGAGTGAAATCTTTTAAAATTTTATATTATTTGTTTATTTTTTAAAATAGTGATGGGTCTCCTGTGTTGACCAGGCTGGTCTCAAACTCCTAGCCTTAAGCAGTCCTCCCATCTTGACCTCCAATTTTTGCTTTTTTTTTTTTTTTTTTGTGAGTTGGAATCTCGCTCTGTTGCCAGGCTGGAGTGCAGTGGCGCGATCTCAGCTCACTGCAACCTCTGACTCCCAGGTTAAAGCGATTCTCCTCCCTCAGCCTCCCGAGTAACTGGGATTACAGGTGCCCACCACCACACCCAGCTAATTTTTGTATTTTTAGTAGAGACGGGTTTCACCATGTTGGCCAGGATGGTCTCAATCTCTTGACCTGGTGATCCACCCACCTCAGCCTCCCAAAGTGCTGAGATTACAAGCGTGAGCCACCGCGCCTGACCAATTTTTGCTTTTTAAAATGTAACTAACCTGCACATATACTGGCCTTCAAATTTTATTTTTAATTATGATAAAATACGTATAGCAAAATTTTACCATCTTAACCATTTTTAAGTTCGGTAGTATTAAGTATATTCACATTGTTATACAACCAATCTCCAGAACTTTTTCATCTTATAAAACTGAAATTCTGTATCCATTAAACAACATCTCCCCATTTCCTCCTCTGCCAGCCCATGGAACTCTTCATTTTCCTTTCTGTTGCTATGAATTTGACTACTTTAGATACCTCTTGTAAGTGGAATCATACAGTATTTGTCTTTATGTGACTAGTCAGCTTATTTCGTTAGCATAATGTCCTCAAGGTTCATCCATGTAGTAGCATGTGACAGGATTTCCTTCCTTTTAAGGCTGAATAATATTCCCTTGTGTTTGTCCATTCATCTGTCAGTGGACACTTGGGTTGCTTCCACCTCTTGGCCATTGTCTGAAATGCCACTGTGAACATGGGTGTGCAAATATCTTTTTGAGACCCTGCTTTCAATTCTTTTGGATATATACCCAGAAGTGGGATTGGAGGATTATATGGTAGTTCTATTTTTAACTTTTGAGAAACTTCCATACCAGTTGCGCCATTTTACAGTCTTGCCAATAGTGCACAAAAACTCTAATCTCTGTACAACCTTGCCAACACTTCTTTTCTTCTTTTTTAATTGTAGTCATCCTAATGGATGTGGGGTGATATCTCATTGCGGTTTTAATTGCATTTTCCTAATAACTAGTGATGTTGAGCATCTTTCCATGTGCTTGTTGCCCATTTGTATATCTTTTTGGAGAACTGTCCTTTCAAGTCCTTTGCCCATTTTTTTAAAAATGTAATTTAATTTTAAGTTCCAGGATACATGTGCAGGACTTGCAGGTTTGTTAACATAGGTAAATGTGTGCCATGCTTGTTTGCTGCACCTGTCAACCTAGGTGTTAACCCCCACATGCATTAGCTATTTATCCTGATGCTCTCCCTCTTCCTGCCCCCTGCCCCCTGACAGGCCCCAGTGTGTGTTATTCCCTTCTCTGTGTCCAAGTGTTCTCATTGTTCAGGTCCCACTTATAAGTAAGAACATGCAGTGTTTGGTTTTCTGTTACTGTGTTAGTTTGCTGAGGATAATGGCTTCTAGCTCCATCCATGTCCCTGGAAAGGACATGATCTCATTTCTTTTTATGGCTGCATAGTATTCCATGGTGTATATATACCACATTTTTTTAGTCCAGTCTATCATTGATGGGCATTTGGGTTGATTCTGTGTCTTTACTATTGTGAATAGTGGTGCAGTGAACGTATGTGTGCATGTATCTTTATAAGAGAATGATTTATATTCCTTTGGGTATATACCCAGTAATGGCATTGCTGGGTCAACTGGTATTTCTGGTTCTAGGTCTTTGAGGAATTGCCACACTGTCTTCCACAATGGTTGAACTAATTTATATTCCCACCAACAGTGTAAAAGCATTCCTATTTCTCCACAGTCTCACCAGCATCTGTTTTCTCTTGACTTTTTAATAATTGTCATCTGACTGGTGTGAGATGGTATCTCATTGTGGTTTTGATTTGCATTTCTCTAATGATCAGTGATATTTAGCTTTTTTTCATATTTTTTTTGCTGCATAAATGTCTTCTTTTGAGAAATGTCTGTTCATGTCCTTTGCCCACTTTTTAATGGGGTTGTTTTTTTCTTGTACGTTTGTTTAGGTTCCTTGTAGATTCTGGATATTAGACCTTTGTCAGATGGATAGATTACAAAAATTTTCTCCCATTCTGTAGGTTGCCTGTTCACTCTGATGATAGTTTATTTTGCTGCACAGAAGCTCTTTAGTTTAATGAGATTCCATTTGTCAGTTTTTGCTTTTGTTGCAATTGCTTTTGACGTTTTCATCATGAAATCTTTGTCTGTGCCTATGTCATGAATGGTATTGCCTAGATTTTCTTCTAGGGTTTTTATAGTTTTTGGGTTTTCCGTTTAAGTCTTTAATCCATCTTGAGTTAATTTTTGTATAAGGTGTCAAGTTGTTTGTTATTAGAGTTCTTTACATTTTCTGGATATTAACCCCTTATCAGATAAATGATTTGCAGATATTTTCTTCCCCTCCATAGGCCACCTGCATTCCTTGGGTCATGCTCCTTGCTCTCATTACTCTGATGTCTGCTTCTGTTTCACATCGCCTTCTCTGAGTTTCTGCCTTCCTCATATCTTTTAAGGGCACTTGTGATTACATTGGGCCCACCCAGGCAATCCAGGATAATCTTTCCATCTCAATCATATCTGCAAAATCTCTGTTGCCATGGGAAGTAACAGATTCACAGGTTTTAGGGACTAGGATGTGGACGTCTCTGAGTGGGGTAGGGGAGGAGCATTACCTGTGTACCACGTCCCTTATCTCCCCTGCCTGCCTTCACAGGAACTAGACTTATCTCTTTAGTGACTTAAGTCAATTTGGACTGTTCCTCATGTTTTCTTTTCCTTTCCAACCTTCCATCTGGTCCTGTTGCTTCATTCTTTTCCTTCTCTTTCCATCTGCCTTTTCTTGCCAGCTCCACATCCACTCCTCTAGTTTAGGCATTTCTTACATCATGCTTTGGCTGCCAGAATAGCCTTAAAACTGGTCTGCTTGCCTGTAATTCTCCCTTTAGATATTTTATTTTATTTTATTTTATTTTATTTTATTTTATTTTATTTGATGAGATGGAGTCTCACTCTGTTGCCCAGGCTGGAGTGCAGTGGCCCAATCTTGCCTTACTGAAACCTCCTTCTCTCAGTTTCAAGCGATTCTTGTGTCTCAGCCTCCTGAGTAGCTTGAATTACAGGCATGCGCCACCACGTCCAGCTGATTTTTGTATTTTTAGTAGAGATGAGGTTTTGCCATGTTGGCCAGGCTGGTCTCGAATTCCTGACCTCAAGGGATCCACCCACCTCAGCCTCCCAAAGTGCTGGGATTACAGGCGTGAGCCACTGTGCCTGGACTCCCTGTAGGTATTTTAAACTCATCTTGATGCATACTTGTAAAAACAAATCTATGCCTGATAATTCCATTATCTGAAGTCCTTATTTTTCTGTTATATTCTATTTCTGCTGGTCCTTAGTCTTGTTTCCTCATCTGCTTGGTTACCTTTGGTTATGTGCTTACCATTCATTGTATTTGAGAAAGTATTTCTCGGAATAACTTGAGGCTTCGGGTGAAAGTGCTTTGCTTTCGTGGGGAGAGAATTTCTTCTGCCAGGTCCCTGGAGGTATTTCTGGTCCAAGACCACCTTGGAAGAAGCTCATGGTTGAGATTCCCTGGTTCTTTCAGAGGAGGCAAACCTAGGCCTCCAGTCTAAGTGAGGCCTGGTTTGCTTCTGGTTCACCTGTTACCTAGTAGCTGTAGTCCTTTGGGGTCCCGGCTCCTTGAGGAAGAGTCTCCAGTTGGTGTTCCACGCTGGCCAGCCCTGGATGTTGACTTCTGCTCAGGAGGCTGTTAAAGTGAAAGGCTGCCGGGTGTGGTGGCTCACACCTGTAATCCCAGCACTTTGGGAGGCCAAGATTGGTGGATCACAAGGTCAGGAGTTCAAGACCAGCCTGGCCAATATGGTGAAACCCCATTTCTACTAAAAATACAAAAATTAGCCAGGTGTGGTGGCGGGCGTCTGTAGTCCCAGCTACTGGGGAGCCCGAGGCAGGAGAATCACTTGAACCTGGGAGGCGGAGGTTGCAATGAGCCGAGATTGTGCCACTGCACTCCAGGCTGGGTGACAGAGCAAGACTCTGTCTTTAAAAAAAAAAAAAAAAAAAAAAAAAAAAAAGTGAAAGTGTCCTTTGCCAGACTAGGCTAGGCCAATGCTTGAGGGCAAGGTGGCTTCTCTAGAGCTCATACCTCGGGGTTCCTGTTTTCTTTAGTTTCTGTACTGTTATTCCTTGCTCAGTTCTTGAAGCTTCAAAGCCTTTCAGACTTTTTTTTTTCTGGAGTCAGAGTCTCACTTTGTCACCCACGCTGGGGTGCAGTGCCACAGTCTCAGCTCACTGAAACCTCTGTTTCATGGATTCAAGCAATTCTTGTGCCTCAGCCTCCCTAGTAGCTGGGATTACAGGTGTGAGCCACCGTGCCCAGCCATTCAGAAATTTTTTTTCAATGTATTCATTGTTAGTTGTGTTCAGCAGAATTGTGAGCCTGATAATGGAGCCTGCCTTCCCAGACAACCAGACTCCAGACCTGTTTTTCCATGTTGCCTCTGCCACCCTCATCCATTCTGGGACGGGACGTGATTAATTTTGTGTACCACTTTGATCATGTCAGACTTTTGCTTAAACACCTCTCCAGCACGAAATCATACCTATGGGAGCCTGGCGACAACATGAGCTACAGCTCTCCTTCCCATCACAAGGCTTGGGGGGTCAGTGTTAAAACCCAAGGGCTTTGTAGTCTGCTGGAACTATGGGAAAAAGAGACTGTTGAGAAGGAAGCTTTCTTTTTTGGCCTTTCAGTTCCTGAGGGCTTGAGAGAAGCTTGTCTCTTTTTTTGAGCCTGGGTATAATTGAGTTTCAGGAGTAGAGGGCAGGAGGCTAGCCATTTTATATGGTACCAGATTGTCAGATGGATAATGAGACCTTTCATTTCTCAGTGCGGCCAGTCACATGCTGCTGGTTGAGAACTGAGGTCTTAGCTTGTAAGTGAGCTGTCCATGACGGAGCACAGAGGGCAGGTACAAAAGCTGGGACAAAGCAGGAATAAAGAGCGTGTGTGGCATGTTTGAAAAGGCACCCTGCCGGGCATCGGGCCTCAGTGTCAGGAAGCCCATGTTGTCAGTGCTGTGCCCTTGGACAAACCATGTAGTCTTCCTGGGTGTCAGTCAGGTCCTTCCTCTTGGCCTTGGCTGTCCTGCATGGCTGTGGCTGTGGGAGGGTCGGCTCAGTTGGCCTTAGCAGCCAGCCACTGGGAGGACAGAGAGAAGAGGGAACTTGAAGTGGTCCCCAGGAGGAGGCAGAGGCAGTGACCACTTGATAGGTTGTCTAGAGCCCAAACCATGGTCTCTGGTTCTAGCACACTCAATTACCCAGCAGTTTGGGGCCTGGAAGCAGCCTTTGTTTATCTAGCCTAATCCCCTCATTTTGCAGATGAGCAAACAGAAGCCTGGACATTTTCTTGTATTTAAAGAGCAGTAGTGATGCTCCGGCCTCGTGTGGCTTATTTTAGTAAAAATCTAGAGAAGTGGAACCAGGCTTTGGTTAGTGTGGGTTTGGGGGCATTTACTGTGAACCTCTGAGGCCACTGTCTGAGTGAGCCCTGGAGGACAATAACAACAGTGAGCCAGAGCCTGCCCCCATCTGGCCACCTGACACCCAGCTCTCCCTGGGGCCCACCTTCAGCTCTGTCCGCCCAGTCTGATCAGAGGTCGCTTTACCTGGCCAGTCAGGGGGCCCAAGTGTGTGGAGGATTAGGCAAGCAGGGTCCTGGTGACCTCCACACGAAAAATAACTCTGCTTCCTGAGCAGGTGCCAGCTTTTTGTTCCCTGGGGCCTGGCCTGACTGCTGAGACCGCAGGCTTCTGAACGCATTGCTGTTTTCACCCTTTGGCGCTAGGCTGGGCCTAACTTTGCCCTTAGATTCCCAGGCCTTCTTATCCTCAACTGCAGACGGGCCTCTCCACTCTTGCCTTGGTTCCTGAAGGACCGATTCACTCTGTTCAACCTCAAAATCATGCACTTTGTACTTGGACTTGTGCCCACAGTTACCTTCATTTATAGCCACCGCTGTGGGTGAAGCAGCCTCAGAACAGCAGAGCCTTACATATCATCCTTTTATGTTATGAAAGCAACTTAAATGAGTTTTTCAGCCCACTGAGAATTATCAAATACCAAACTTTTCTTTTTAAATTACCTCTATAATTTTCTTTTTAAATTGCCCTTATAAAACTAGGTGATAGTTAAATGAAAAACATATGTTGCTTCTGATATTTTTCTTCTTACTAAGCCTACAAATTCCTTAGCTTAAGATAACAGGGAAGGATTGTCCTGGACCCGAGGCTGTGTTTTTCTGGCTGCTGCCAGTTCCTGGATTTAAATTGCTTTGTTGGTGGATAGAGATCATTCCCTTTTCCTGGATTCAGGATAGGAAAGCCTGAGGGTCACAAATGAGCCTGGACAGAACTGTGTGTGAAAGTTTTTACGGTAACTTCTCTCAAATATTTGATACTGAAATTGTGTAGTTTCAGCTTGAGTCCATGTTGCAGCTGGGCCCTTGAATGTAATTCTTGTCATCCTTGGAATATTTCCTCCTTCTAGTGATCCAGGATCACTGTTTCCCAAACCCCCTTATTCCCCTACCCATTTTATGATTTCTCTTGTTGGTAATATCAGTTGCCAGCATTTTGAACCTGAATATTTAGCAGAAGGCTTAAATTAGGAGCTCTTCAAATTAAAGAAATAAGCAAGCCACATAATGTCGATTGTGGTAGATTACTTGTAAGCGTATTGTGTTGGGTTGGATACAGTCACCTGTAAACATAAACGTGTAGCGTTTTAAATTTGGAAAGGACTGTGGATCTACCTCCATTTTACAGACCAAGATACTGAGACATCGAGAGGCCCTGGCTTGTTCAAAGTCCCACAGAGTCAGCTGTAGAAAGACAAGTACTAGAAGCCCTATGTCCTGGGCCCAAGCTGGGTGCTCTTTCCACTGCCCCACGATGCCCCTTTTGTCTCAATGGCCTCCCACTGCTCCCCACACTCACCCTCTGTCCTGGAAACAGAATAGAGCCAGGTGGCTGCACACACCATGCCCATTGCCATCTTTATGCCCTTGTCCCTTCCCTCTGCCTAATCATGCTCATCCCACTACAACTCACCCATCAGTTCCAAAGACCCGTTGGATGTCCCACCTCCCACACTGGTGTCATCCTCCTCAGAACTTCTGAAGCGTGCCCTGTGTCTTGGCTCTTTTTACATGGTCTCTGTCCAGGTGTGGTCTTAATTTTTACATAGTAGGGCTAGTGCCCAGTAAATGGGCCATGAGTGAATAAAGAGAGATGACTGTACCATGTCACAAGGTGGGCGTGGCATCTTGTTTTGCTGCCCAGCTTTTCAGGCTTCTGACTTCGTTCCAGCTAAGCTCCAGAAAGAAGCAATCAGCTATTAAGCTCCAGAAGGGCAGAAAGCATAGCTTCCACATCTCTCACCACAGTCCTTGGTAGAGTTCTTGGTTGGTGGTGGGTTACAGCAGTGATACTTCATTTTCCTGACACATGAATCTTGCATTCAGTTTAAAATATGTTTGCTTTATCCTGATGCCTCAGAACGTGGCCATGTCCTCATGGCTGCCTCATGTCTTCATGGCTGCCTAAATACTCTGGTCTTATGGTACCTACCATTTGAGGAGGCCAACAGACCATGGCAATTAGTTTACAGATTTCCACATTTGGATACTTTGCTACTTACTTGCAATAGCAGGAAGTTGGGAGATGCAGGCCAAATAATTGTTAGGATTGCTGTGAAAATTGCAGTGAACGCAATACCCCTCCTGGGTTAGCTTGTTACAGCTACAAGACTCCTAGTGAAATTTTTGTTCCAAGATCCTCAAACTCAACAGGATGCTACATTTTATCCTGTTGGGCTTCTCAAGCAATGCTGGTAACATCTATTGTTCAGGTATTTTAAGGCTTAAGATAGAAAATTGTTGGTAGAAATTAACCAGTTAAAAGGGAGGAAATGATTACTCAGGTGTTGTGAAGTAAGACAGATTGTATGGCATTTATAACATTGGTTATGTAGTTTGCTCATAAAAGAGAATGCCTAACTGGAATTTAGTGAAAATTAAACCATTAAACCCAATGAAGTGAAAAACGGTGGACATCTGCCAAGTAAAAGCATAATCACCACTTAAACAGCTTCATCTGTGCTCCTATCTGCGAATGACAGCGTCTCCTGTGGAGAAACTGCTCTCTGACTTCTGGTTTTCTCACTGTTTTCACAGAGCCTGAGCCCTTGTGAAGCCGGCAATGACAAGTCTGTATGGTCGCCATGCCGAGAAAACCACTGACATGCCAAAACCATCAGCCCCTAAAGTGCACGTGCAGAGGTCCGTGTCCCGAGATACCATCGCCATTCACTTCTCGGCATCCGGCGAGGAGGAGGAGGAAGAGGAGGAGGAGTTCAGGGAGTACTTTGAGGAGGGGCTGGATGACCAAAGCATTGTAACAGGGCTGGAAGCCAAGGAAGACCTCTATCTTGAACCCCAAGTTGGCCATGACCCCGCCGGCCCTGCTGCCTCGCCTGTCCTGGCAGATGGACTGTCCGTGTCCCAGGCCCCTGCCATTTTGCCCGTCTCCAAGAACACTGTAAAGCTGTTGGAGTCCCCTGTTCCAGCAGCACAAGTATTAAGTACAGTGCCATTGGCTGTGTCCCCAGGGTCGTCTTCGTCGGGGCCCTTAGCTAGCTCTCCCAGTGTGTCATCCCTTTCTGAGCAGAAAACCAGTTCTTCCTCCCCATTGTCCTCTCCTTCTAAGTCTCCCATCCTCTCATCCAGTGCCTCAACCTCCACCCTTTCCAGTGCAAAACCCTTCATGAGCCTTGTGAAGTCCCTGTCGACCGAGGTGGAGCCAAAAGAATCCCCACACCCCGCAAGGCACAGGCACTTGATGAAGACATTAGTCAAGTCTCTGTCCACGGACACTTCCCGGCAGGAGTCGGATACAGTGTCCTATAAGCCACCTGATTCCAAACTGAACTTACACCTGTTCAAGCAGTTCACACAGCCCCGAAACACAGGTGGAGATTCCAAAACTGCACCTTCTTCCCCACTGACTTCTCCCTCTGATACTCGTTCCTTTTTTAAAGTGCCCGAAATGGAGGCTAAAATTGAAGATACTAAACGACGCCTTTCAGAAGTCATCTATGAGCCTTTTCAGCTCCTTAGTAAAATTATAGGGGAAGAAAGTGGCAGCCATAGGCCCAAAGCCTTATCTTCAAGTGCTTCAGAACTCTCCAATCTGTCCAGCTTGAATGGGCACTTGGAAAGCAATAACAACTACAGCATCAAGGAGGAGGAGTGTGATTCTGAGGGGGATGGCTACGGAAGTGATTCCAACATCCCCAGAAGTGACCACCCAAAGTCCACTGGTGAGCCCACAAGAGAGATAGAACTGAAAAGTTCCCAGGGGAGCAGTCTGAAGGATTTAGGCCTGAAGACAAGTTCTCTAGTTCTGGAGAAATGTTCTTTGTCTGCCTTAGTGAGCAAAGAAGATGAAGAGTTTTGTGAACTGTACACTGAGGACTTCGATTTGGAAACGGAGGGGGAGAGTAAAGTTGATAAGCTCTCAGATATTCCTCTCAAGCCAGAGGTGCTCGCGGAAGATGGTGTGGTCCTTGACAGTGAGGACGAGGTGGACTCGGCCGTGCAGCACCCGGAATTGCCAGTGAAGACGTTGGGCTTCTTTATAATGTGTGTCTATGTGTACCTCATCCTCCCCCTCCCCCACTATGTGAGTGGACTCTTTCTGGGAATTGGCCTTGGATTCATGACTGCAGTTTGCGTGATTTGGTTTTTTACACCACCAAGTGCTCATAAATATCACAAGTTACACAAAAATCTGCGACACTGGAACACAAGATCTCTGGATATCAAAGAACCTGAAATACTGAAGGTAAGCCTCTCCCCGGGAGCTGGCTAGTACACACACTTCTCACATACAGCCGTATTTTAGATCTGACTTGTTTTTTGGTTAGCTGTTAAAGATTTTTGCACAGGCCGTGTTTTTTAAGAGCTTGGGGCCACTTCATTCTCCAGGCACCCAGTCAACTCATCTGGTAAACCTCATTCTAACCCAAGCTTTGCAGATTCACAAAGTAGTTTCTGAAAGATCTCTGTGACTCTAGAGAATAGTGTTTACATCAGTTCCTGTTCTGGTCTGTCTCTAAACTTACTTGGAATGTGCTACTTGCTGAGCATTTTTAATGGCTGAGTCTGTTAGGGTTCACTATTCTTGAGACCTTGAAGAAGGGTTAAATACTCCCGGAATTGCAAGAGGAGGGAAGGAAGAAGAGAAGGCAAATTAATGTCAGCTGTTGGCCCCTGCTGGTGCTCCTCTTTCCTTTGCACGGTGGGGAATGGGATGGAGAAAGATGTCATCTTTCACTGCATATCAGATGTCAGGCTTTTGGGCCTCCTGAGGGGTCCCTGGGACAATTCATTGGGAAGCAGGAAGAAACATTCATCTAGCTGTCTAATCTGTCGATTGAGACGGAGTCTCACTATGTTGCCTAGTGTGGTCTCAAACTTCTGGGCTCAAGTGATCCTCCTGCTTCAGCCTTCCAAAGTGCTGGGATTACAGGTGTGAGCCGCTGTGTCCAGCCTAGAACTTCTATTTATTATTATTTTTTTGCATATTAAAATTTCTGGTTATGTGTATACACACTATAAAAGTACAATTAGAACTTATATAGTTTGTAAGTTATATGCACACACACATTTATGTACAGTATCCAAGGGGGCATTGGTTTCAGGACCCCCCCCAAGGATACCAAAATCGATGAATGTTTCAGTCCCTTATGTAAAATGGCATAGTATTTGTATTAATATATAACCTATGCTCATTCTCCTGTATACTTTTAAATCATCTCTAGATTACTTATAATACCTAACATAATGTGAATGGTTATTATGCTGTATTTTTAAATTTGTATCTTTTTTACTGTTGGATTGTTATTATTTTTTTTAATTTCATATTTTCAATCCAAGGTTGATTGAATCCATGGATATAGAGGGCTGATTGTATATGTTTTTAGAGATAAGGTGGAAAGCCAGAAAAGTTTAGAGACCACTGCTTTATAAAAGTTATCTAATTCAGCTTCATAACCATCCAGGAGTTTGATGCTTCCAGTTTTACACATGAGGAGATTCAGGCTCTGAGAGAGGTGGTCATTGTCCAAGGTGTCTTGCTACTTAATAAGTAATAGAGGCTGGGCATGGTGGCTCACGCCTGTAATTCCAGCACTTTTGGAGGCTGAGGGAGGCAGATCACTTGAGGTCAGGAGTTCAAGACCAGCCTGGCCAACATGGTGAAACCCTGTCTCTACTAAAAATACAAAAATTAGCTGGGCTTGGTGGCGTGCACCTGTAATCTCAGCTACTTGGGAGGCTGAAGCAGGAGAATTGCTTGGGCCTGGGGGCTGAGGCTGCAGTGAGCTGAGATTGCGCCACTGCACTCCAGCCTGGGTGACAGAGTGAGACTCTGTCTCAAAAATAATAATAATAATAATAAAATAAGTAACAGAGGTAGGCTTTGGAGCCTTTGTGTGTCCTCTTCCTGCTTTTCCCATGACACCTCTCTGCAGAAGGTTCATGCCTAGACCTGCCTGGAGAATTCCTTGTGTTACAGGAGATGTATGAAAAGGAGAACTTCGTTTCCCTGGAGCAATTTTGAACCTTAATTATTGGTTTTAATCTTTAGCTTTTCAAATTCAAAGCTTGTTTGGCTTCTTAGTTAAATTAAAGGTATTATTCTCCCATCTATTTAAATGAGAATGCTCTAAAAATGGCAGCGTGATGTCCCTATTGCAAAAAAAAAAAAAAAAAAAAAAAAAGCTGGGGGTTGGGGAGAATTCTTTTAGGATCCAAAATAATATTTGTTTTTAAATTTCATTGACTTTTTTCCTTGTTCAAAGGAAATACATGGTTAATGTTTTAAAAACACAGGAAACCCAAAGAAAAAAAATTTTTTGATCACACTAGTGGAAGGGAATTACAGTTAATGATTTGGTATATATCCTAGTTTTTTGGGTTTTTAAAATTTCTGCATATATGAAGATATGCATCACATACATGCATACTCACCCACTCTTTTTGTTTTGATTTAATAGGATCATATATTTTGCAGTCTGACCTTTTTTCTTTCTTTCACATGGCAATATGTTATGACACTTTCTTCTTTAAGAGAAGCTGTGTTGAGTCTTGTGGATGTGACACCCTTAAGCTTAGCGTTAATAAATGAAGTGGAGCAAAAATGACTCACGCGTGGTTGCTGAGCTTTTTCTGATAGGGTGGTGCAGTGACTACCTGAAGTACGTGCTCTCCAAGTAAGTTCGTGCTAACTTTAGCAAGGAAAAATTGCGCTTATATTAACTCTAGTACCTAATGACTGACTGTGGCATTCAGTTTAAACTGGTTTGAGCACTGACTTGTCTTAGGAAGATTTTAATTTTAATCCAGTCAATCTTTAGTGTTTTTTTCCTACCCTCTTCTCAGATGTAAATTACTTAGTGTCAATCCAATCACTGTGATATGTCAAGAGTTTACTAACTACACAGGGTGCCGATGGAATGGGATTTTAATGTTATAGCACAGCCTGGTTGCTTTGATCTGATCACTGGAAGAATAAAGGCAACACTGTGATGCTGAGCACTGCAGTGGGCTAAGTGTTGGGTGTATTATCTCATTCAATCCTCGTCACAACCCTGTTCAGTTAGCGTATATGTGCTCATGCAGATGGAGGCCCACAGAAGTTAAGTTATTGCCCAAGGTCACACAGCTAGTGTGTGGTGGAGCCTTGTAGGACAGTGTTTTCTTTTAAGGAAGGTGTTTTGCCCACAGTGGCTAGGATAAACGTATTTGAATTTTCCTTGTAGAGAACAAGTACTTTAATGCTCTCATAGACTGACACCCCTAATCCAAGCAAACTGTCATAGACTAAGCATTTATTCTTCCTTATTGCTGTTTGGACAACTCTGATCACTTTGGTAATTCTTTTTTCATTCTTAGCCTTAACTTGTTTAGAATGGTTTCATTACTAAAGAGGAAAAGTATATTTTAGCCTGAAGTCTTTTGTTGGGTATGCGGTGTTGTTTTTAGAAACTGGGCTGAATGCATTCTCTATTTAGAAAAGGGACACTACTATGAATTAGAAGGATATGCTGTCTGTTACAAGCTAATTTCAAATGCAAATGTTCTTTGGACTTAGTTAATTTTACTGAATGGGAGATTATACTCTTGGGAACCGTTTTTAAACTATGGTACTTTAAAACATTTAGCAGCGTTGACATTAACTTTAGGACCCAAGTTTACTGTTATCTGTCTTCCCTAATATTCCATAAGCTTCATGAATGCATAGGCCCTGTCCATCTTGTTCATCTTGTATCCTCAGCACCTGCCACGTATTAGGTATGTGATAGGTAATTGTTGGCTGAATGGATGGGTAGATGAATGAAGGAGTGAGATTTTATCAGAAGATTTGAGCAGTGAGTTGGTATTGACCCTGTCATCTCCTGGTGATGTTGCTTTTTAAAAGAAATCCCTAGCTGGGCATGGTAGCCCACACCTGTAATCCCAGAGCTTTGGGAGGCTGAGGCAGAAGGATCACCTGAAGCCAGGAGTTTGAGACCAGCCTGGGCAACACAGCAAGATCCCATCTCTACAAAAAATTTAAAATAATTAGCCAGGTATGGTGGTGCATGCATGTGGTCCCAGCTACTCAGGAGGGTGAGGTGGGAGGATCACTTGAGTCCAGGAGTTTGAAGCTGCAGTGAGCCATGATAACACCACTGCACTCCAGCCTGGGTGACAGAATGAGACTCTGTCTCTAAAAAAATAAAATAAATCCTTGATGCTTGCTTTAAAAAAAATAGGGTTTAATAGGAGTGATCTTTTAAGAAAATGAAAATAATTACTAAAAAGTAAAGCTTTTGGTTGGGCGTGGTGGCTCACCCCTGTAATCCCAGCACTTTGGAAGGCCAAGGCAGAGGATTGCTTGAGGTCAGGAGTTCAAGACCAGCCTGGGCAACATAGTGGGACCACCATCTCTATAAAAGTTTTGTTTAAAAAGCCAGGTGTGGTGGCGCAGCTTGCAGTCCCAGCCACTCGAGAGGCTGAGGCAGGAAGATCGCTTGAGCTCAGGGGGTCAAGGCTGCACTGAGCCGTGATCATGCCACCGCACTCCAGCCTGGGCAATAGAGTGTGACCCTGTCTCAAAAAAACAAAACAAAAACAAAAACAAAAACAAAACAGTAAAGCTTTTCCTAAGCTTTTTTTCTGAAAGTGGACAAGCCAAGACAGTCCATCTTTAACAGGATTTGAAGCTTGACATTTGTTGCTTAGAAATCGACTGGTGACCCAAGTCTGCTCTCCTGTGACCAGTGCTCACGCAGTGCTGCCCTCCTGAATGCAAAGGGAGTAGTAGAAAGGCAAATACTGGCCGGGTGTGGTGGCTCACGCCTGTAATCCCAGCACTTTGGGAGGCTGAGGCGGGTGGATCACGAGGTCAGGAGATCGAGACCATCCTGGCTAACAGTGAAATCCTGTCTCTACTAAAAATACAAAAAAATTAGCTGGGCGTGGTGGCGGGTGCCTGTAGTCCCAGCTAGTCATGAGGCTGAGGCAGGAGAATGGCGTGAACCCGGGAGGCAGAGCTTGCAGTGAGCTGCGATCGCACCACTGCCCTCCAGCCTGAGTGACAGAGCGAGACTCCGTCTCAAAAAAAAAAAAGAAAAAAAAAAGGCAAATACTAAGTGGAGGATTGGAGAAGTGGGCAGTGATGAGTTCCAGATTTCCACTCTGCCTCCAGGTTGATGGCTTTAAAGTGATGTAGGAGATAGACCTTGGTTTCTTTATAAAACAGGCCTGTGAACTTGTTTCTAGGGCAAGCCAAAAGAGCCACTTATTGAAAATGTTTGATTTCAGGGGATAAGTGAGCTGGTTTGAATTATTTTGTGTACATCTGATCCAATTTAGTTGGTATTTACAGAAGATGGTGCAATTCTTGAGGGAAGGTACGGAAGCCTTTTTAAAAAGCTCACCAATATGGAAGACTATAATACCTGCCTGCGACCGAGATCTCCAAGACAGGCCCAGCCCAGGACCGAGATCCCGCATACTTTATGCCCTAAGAGGACTCCATATATGAGCTGTGAACCAGTCAGGCAGTGAGCTGGGTGCTCAGGGACTGTTTTAGGAGACCATGTGGTTTTGAACCTCTGAGCCGTATAAGTTCTCACTGATGGGTCCAGGAACTGCTTGCAGCCAGACTGGACTAAGAGTCTTGCCCCTTTACTGGTTCCATGAACAGTTCAAGGAGCATTGCAGTTTTTCTTCTGTGTAACTTCACATGCTGAGGAAAGAATGGAGAAAAGGAAAGTTTTTGTGTACTTTATCAGGGTCCTCACTGCAGACATATGTATTTATATATGATGCTGCAGCAGTGATACATTTATGGGATGACAAACCAAAAAGACCAATTTGCAGCCAAGTAGTAGCTAATCTCAAAGACTGTTGTGTGGTTGTCTAGGCCCTATGGTACTCCGCCGTCTCCCGCTCTGAACCCATTTGATCAGCAGCTGTACTGTCTAGAATATAAGTAAAAAAGAGGCCGGGTGTGATGGCTCACGCCTGTAATCCCAGCACTTTAGGAGGCTGAGGTGGGTGGATCATGTGAGGTCAGGAGTTCAAGACCAGCCTGGCCAACATGGTGGAACCCCCTTCTCTGCTAAAAATACAAAATTAGCCGGGTGTGGTGGGGCATGCCTGTAATCCTAGCTACTTGGGAGGCTGAGGCAGGCGAATTGCTTGAACCTGGGAGGTGGAGGTTGCAGTGAGCTGAGATCGCACCACTGTACTCTTATTGCCTGGGCAACAAGAACGAAACTCCGTCTCAAAAAAAAAAAAAAAAAAAAAAAAAAAGTAAGACCTCTATGTGGCCAAAGAGCTGTCACAAAGTCCACAGAAGAATTCTTAGGACCTCCTCCAAAGCTTGCTTGTTCTTAGTATGTTGGAGTTCATAGCTGATGAGAAGCAGCAAATAGGAGAAAGGTTGCTACAGGCATTCAACAGGAAGTGGCATGTGAATGCACATGGTATTGGCACAAAGGCCAATACCAAAATGTGAGAAGAAGCTCATAGGACTTAGAGCATGGTGGGCTGGGCAGGTTAGCTCAAGGCAAAGAGCCTCGTGTGTGCCACAGACCAATGGCATCCCTGTAGTGACACCCCCTGTGTGGTAGCCTTCAGGAGTTCTTATGTTGGGTGACTGTCTAGATGCCCTAAGCTGGGGACCTTGGGAAAGGGTGGGTTTGGGCACGGGGAAAATGGGGCATTTAGAGTCAGCAAACTGCACTTGGCATGTTTGCTTAGCCAAATCAGATGGTCCCTTGCCCAGGATTATTTTTAATTCAGAGCCATTCCTGTTGCACACTAACTTTCTACATGTTTATAATGAAAAGCTTCCTGAAGATTTCATAAGGGTCTTGGATTTATGTTTGAGTATATGACTCAGATGCAATTTTGAATTATATTCACGAGCAAATTCTTTATCTCAGATTTATAAACCACCAGCAGAACACAGCAGTAGCATATTGGTTTCCAGAGTGATAATCCATCTCTTTTTTAAAGATATGGCCTGCAAGTTTGACTAAAATTATATTTAGGCCATTGCAGAAACTAATAGAAATGGATTTTGGAGAACTTTTTTTTCTTTAGATTGTGTCACATGTAGATATTTAATAAGAGGGATAGGTTTTAAAAATAGGTTCCCTGAATATAGGCTTTGGTTTTGATATATAAAAGAATAATTTTGGGGGGAGGACATGATCAATTTTGAGGAGAAATTCCAATTTGTAAATTTAATCTCAATTTGTTGAAATTCTTTCAAGAAATTAGAGTAAGCAAGTCTTTAGGAGAAAATGGCCATTACATGCAGCCCAAAGAGACTTGGATTGCTTTTTGTTGGTCTCTTATAACTTAGAGTAAGGACAAGAAATGTGAGTGCATTTCTTTCTACATTATACTTTACTGAAAATATCCTGCCCCTATAATGGGTTACCTGAGTTTTTATGTATGGTTTTTATAAACATGGCTATTTCCCAGTGCCCCTTGTAGAATAGTTTTCAGGTGAGATGTTTGTTTGTTTGTATGTTTGTTTGTTTTGCCTCGCTCTGTCGCTCAGGCTAGAGTGCAGTGGCACAATCTTGGCTCACTGCAACCTCTGCCTCCCGGGTTCAGGCAATTCTCCTGCCTCAGCCTCCAGAGTTGCTGGGATTACATGTGCGCATCACCATGCACGGCTAATCAGTGAGATGTTTTGATGCAGGCAGCCCTCACTTACCAGAAGGTACCCCTTGTGTTGAAGTTGGAGAGGCAGCTGTGTGGAACGTGCTTCCTGAATTCCATAGGAACAATATGGTTAAGGATGTCAGGTAGTCCCAAAATGACTTTTTTGAACTTTCATTTTTAAACTATTTATTGATGAAAATATTAAATACAGACAAAAGTAGAGGCAATAGTAAAATGAACCCCCCATGTGCCTGACACCCAGTTTCAACAATTGTCAACATTTTGCCAGTTTTTCACTCAATTCATTAACTTATGGCATGGCTGAATTGTAATTCTGGTTACCTATATATAAGTACAGTTTTTAGCATCCTGAAAATACCTTCTGAACTCTGTAAGAAAAGTAGCAAAAACATCGAAGATTCTTATTGTAATTATTGTTCAATAATTAGCCGTTAAGAAGAGGTTTGCTGTACTCCAAAGATGAGTTTGCCAGCAAGATGGTTCTAGGGCATGAGCGTGTTTTTTTGTGGGTGCCCAGGCCATAGTTGTTGACTCACTGTTTTCATTCCATTGCTTCTTTCAGTGGTGTTCAAATGGGTTGCAGAAGACACTAATCAAGAAGAAAACAGTAAAGTTTCCGTCTGTATCAGTCTTTGCTCTTTCTAGTTGAGAAAGTAAATAAGCCTTGCTGATATTTAACATACAGATGACCATATATCGACTTTTGGCCAAAAACCTTGGAAATTATCAGTAAGACTCTGAAATACAGATTTACACTCAGGATCATCAACAGTGATCCTCACCTTGAGTGTATGTATTGTGCCTTAAGGTGTCAGCTGAAGATAGTACAAAGCTGTCATACTGGAAAAACTAAAAATTATCAAAAGGATAATTATTTCATCTTTTGCTCTTTATTTCTATTCTGTACTTTATATAAAAGCTGTATATATTGGGACATGTGTATAAATTATAAGTAAAGTATATATTTGTACATACCCAAAAAGTTGTTTGATAGAATGCGTGATCTGAAAAGTGACAGAGGCTGCTAATTTATTTGCTTGCTGATCTATTTATCTTACAATTTTAACCCTTGTTAATATGATTTAATGTTTATCATGTATTAATGTAACTCAGACCTTGGTCATTTCAGTGGTTCATCTGAGATCATTTTACCTTTCTAATTTGAATCCACGTTATCTCCTATTCTATTACTGTCTGTCAGTGCATTATAATTTCAAAAATGTTCTATGGCCACCTGAGTTTGGGAGATTCTGCACTGGAGGATAGGAGAGCAGGATAAAGCTGTGGCTTTAGCCCTGACTCCAGTGCTTCTAGTGTCACTGCTGGGAAGGTGACCTTGAAGCAGGCAGTTGGAGGATGTGGACGGTATTAACGGCGCTTCCCTCCCCTAATGGGCTTTCTTTCTTTTCTTTTTTTAATGTTCTTTATAGTGTCTTTGAGCAGCATTTATTTTGAATGTTGACTCCCTGCTTAAGGCTATCATTTATAGTATGAATTCTGGATGTCTGTGGGTCTGCTTGCCTTTCATGGGTAAAATCAAATTTGTATCTCAGGACCTATAAAGTTTATTAGACGGTCCCACCCCTGCCATATTCTCAAACTCCATGATCTATGGTGCTGTGTTTCTGATACTGATGATGCTGGTCCTAAACCATTAATACATCAAAAAAGGTTTAGGCTTGGTAAAGACAAAATCCTGCTTATGTTTTAGTTTTGGAGACAGAGAGTAATTACCTTTTTATGTGCTTCAGAGATGATTTTCAACAGGAGGGGCCTCAGGCCCTGGCTCTATTCTTGTGTAGGATTTGCTCCTTCCCTGATACACTTGATGAAGCAATGATACAGGGATCTGAATGACAGGTGGACTGAAATGCCAGCACAGCCACATGTCAGCAGGGTGAAAACATGCTGCATTGTTACTGCTGTCAGCCAGGCACACAGTGCCTGAATTCTCATCACTTCCTCGGGCTATAGGGCTGGCACTTTTCTCTGGTCAGCTCAGTATCAAGCTGAGCAATAGAGCATTGGCCTTGAACTTCTGATTGGCACTGTAACTGAAAGCACGGTAGTAGTTCTTCCAGACTTTATTATTTTGCAAAAGGTTAATTGTAGCTTTTAATCTTTTAAAATATTAAATGGCCCCTTTATAGATTGTGGTTTTGTACTTTCAGCCATACGTGGCTTCTAAATCCAGCAGAGAATTGAGAGAAACCCCTGACCTTTTACAAATGCCATCACAGGACCAGTCTGTGGGCCAGACAGCTGCAGCCTGGCTGACTGGGTCATTGTCCCCAGCGGGGTGCACTGTGTCCATTTTAACAGCTCTAGCTTCAGAAAGAAACAAAGCTTGTCTGAGTCACTTTAGTGTGGGTTGAGAGCATCTCAGAGTTTTCGGTTGAGCTGTTGAAATGGAATGTTGCTATCTATATGCCATATCTCTCTATACCCATTCCCATGTCTCATAACAAGGTTGGATGAATACTTTACCTGGTAAGAAATTCAGGCTTAAGAATTTTAGAACAGCTGAGCAGTGGATAGTTGGGCACTATATGGAGAACAGGATGAAGACCTTGGAGTTGCTGCTTCTCTCAAGATTCGACAATTGCTGAAATCTGGAAATTTCATTTGCAGCTTAATCCAGGGACTTGGTCAGATCCTGGGTGGGGGGAAATGGCTGATTAATGGTATCAAAAGGTGATTAGGTTTGCACCGGGAAATTGCTTTCTGCAAGAGCAACCTGGTTTCAGGTCAGTAGGAGTGTGAAGGGGCAGAATTAGGGAGGCTTGGAGGAAAGTTGTGCCTCAGCCTCTTGTCCTGAGCCTCCCTAAGGCCAGTCTGCAACCTGGTTCCTGACAGTGGGGTCAAGTAGCAACTCCTGTGATCCTCTCAAGATTTCCTGTCAAAGCCTGTAGTGTTCTGGAAAGAGCCTTAGATAGGGGGCAGGAAACATGGGCTCCAGTCACAATACCCCTCTCTGCTCTAGATAAGACTTAGCCCATCCGATTTCTGTCCTGAAAATCTTTGGTTTCTGGGGTTATTTTCTTGTTCTGTGCTATTTTGTGCATTTTTACCTTGGTTTTTCTTTTTTAGAAGAGTGACCAAGTCTTCTAAGTAACCTCTACAGCTCCTTGCACTTATTAGGGCGTCAGCTTCTTCCTTTGCTTGTTCGTCTCACACAGCTAGCACTGTACTTATAAGCTGTGAGGGGCTCGCTAGCCTTCCTGCTTACTCCTGCTTCCCATAGATTTCATTTAATCCTCACAGCCACCTCTGAATTAGGCTTCCCTCATGTATTCAGTCAACAAACATTTGTTACAGTTGTGGTTGGCAGACATGATGATCCCTGCTCTTGTGGAGTTTATAACTCAGTTTAGTAAACCAGGTAGTTAACAGATACAGTGATGGGAGAGTACCAGAGAACTGAGCCTAGGTGAGGAGGGAGGCTTCCTAGGAGAAGTGCCGTCTTTGCCATGACCTGAGGGGTGACTAGGCACAAGCCAGACTGCAGGTGGGGCCGTGCCATGGAGCTGAGGTAGCATCCCACACCTTGGAGTCAGGAACACTTGGTTTGAGTCCCAGATTTGCCACTCTGTAGACATTGGAAGGCAAATCACATCCCCTCTCTCACCACTTTTCTTACCTGTAAAATCGTAGGGAATTGACAGAAATACAGGAGATAATGCACCTGGGGTACCTGGGCCATAAGGTGAGCTTAAATGTCAGCTATTATTATGAATAGTAATATTAGTGTTTAAAAAACCATATGCTTATGATTTCTTTATAAACTCTAAACAAATTGTACCTTAATAAACTGTCAGTAGGAGAAAAATCACTATGGCTTGAACAGAGGGTGAGGTGTAGGGGCCAGGGAGGCATGAAACTGGGCAGTAAGCCACCTGGACCCTTTTACAGGTGAGCAAAGCAAGTGTCTGAGGGATAAGCATCACCTACCTTGGCAGGAGGTAAGTGGTGCAGGCATGATTGGAACCCAGGTCTGTCAGATTCCCAGTACTTCTGCTAAGGTAGGTGAGTTGGTTTCAGCGCATGTGTTTTGACCAGCAGTCTTTTGTGTAATTGGATACGATCAGTGTAGGGTCTCATTTAGGCTAACAAATGATTGTTCACAATAAATGTGTAATTCAAATCCTGATTTGTGTGCTGTGTTTATTTGTTTTTTAGCAGCTGTGGACTTTAGCATCTGATGAATCTTTAACACAAAGATAGGAACATGGTAGTTCAGGAAGGAGGAAATTTGAAGATAAAAGGGAAGGAGAAACCACAGCAGCTGGTGATTCTGAAAAGATGGGGGTAGGGAGAAGAAGGGCCAAGCCAAGCCCAAGCAGAATAAAGGAATTTGGGTCCCCTCCAGGCTTTCGCAAGAGAAGGAAAGCATCTCCTAGATTCTCTTTCTATGCCTACCTACTTCTTGCCTCTCACTTCTGCCTCCTGCAGTGCAGCAGGTAAGGTTTTGTGCTTTTGAACTGTGTAGGTAGGACTTGAAACTCCCTTCTCTCTTTCACATTCTTCTGAATCAGGTTGTTCTGGGATTCCTGAATTTGGCAAGTGGTAGAGGATGACCTTTATCTGTCAGAGCTGTCAGCAAAGAAGGTAATTGCATACTCATCTCAGAACTGTGCCCATGTGTGAGCGAGCACACAGGCTGCAGCCAGCAAGAACTCCACAGTGGCTGTTCTTCAGCTAAGGTGGTAGCTCAGGTTGCTGGGTTGAATGCCTGGCTTTGTGGCTAAAAACCGAATCCCTGAAGCACTGTGGAAATGGTTGCTCTTGTTATCCAGGGACAGGAATTTTCCTAGGAATAATAATTGAGTAGCAGTTGGTTAGACTGGGGCAGAGTAACAGCTCAGCACCTGAAACTGACCTGTGAACAGATGAGCTGGTGTATGTATCTCAACACACATGCCTGTATGTCTTGTTTTGTTTTCTAAGTCTAAAAATCAAAAGAATAAGCTAAAAAAATGATATGTTTGTCTATTAATTATCTTAATTTTCCTATAGAACTATGAGTTTTTCAAAAGCCTCCTACATAGAATACTCTTATTAATATTTCTGAGTTTTTAATATTGCAGGTTAACTTTTAAAAGGGATTTTGAATTTCTACAATAGATTTCATTAGGTGATTACTTAGATTATCTTCTCTCATTTAATTATGCAAAGCATCTAATAAAATGGCAGAAAACTGCCATGTACTGAATGACTGTCTCTTATCACTAAGACTGAGTGTGTTGAAAGCATGCACAAGAAGAGAAAGGAAGGCTTTGCCCATTCTATTCATAGTTGAGCCAAGGGTCTAGGGCTAAAAAGCTTGAACCCAATAACTGGCCCTGAACTGTCTCTTATATACTAGTCCTGAGCCCTATGTGGCTGTTGAGCCCTTGAAGTGTAGCTAGTTGGAATCAAGATGTGTTCTAAGCGTAAAGTACGCACTGGATTCTGAAGACTTGGTATGAAACAGAATGTAAAATACCAGTAATAATTTTTAATATTGATTACATGTTGAAATCATAATTTTGATATGAATTTAAATAAAATACATTGTTTAAATTAATTTTACCTGCTTTTTCTTTCTTAATGTGGCTCTTAGACCATTTAAAATTACACATTTTCAGCAAGGCGCAGTGGCTCACGCCTGTAATCCCAGCACTTTGGGAGGCCAAGGTGGGTGGATCACTTGAGGTCAGGAGTTTGAGACCAGCCTGGCCAACATGGTGAAACTCCATCTCTACTAAAAATACGAAAATTAGCCGGGCGTGGTGGCACACACCTGTAATCCCAGCTATTCAGGAGACTGAGGCAGGAGAATTGCTTGAACCCAGGAGGTGCAGGTTGCAGTGAGCCAAGGTAACGCCACTGCACTCCAGCCTGGGCAACAGAGCGAGACTCCATCTCAAAAAAATAAAGTAAAAATAAAATTACATATTTTCATGATCACATTTATGGCTCACATTATATTAATATTTCCATTGTACAGCACCTCCCTGGACAAGTCTGCATTTTCTGATTTAGGAAAGACGAAATGAAAGCAATTGGAGAGAAACAACTTTTATCCCTAAGTTTCTCTTATTCATAAATCAGATAATTAACCTGTACAATCCCAGCAGTTTCAAATGGGAAAAATCCCCACAGCTTACTTTACTCTATTTCTCAGAGACTGTCCTTTTCTTGGAGAACAGTTTCATGTAATATAATACTTGTCTTTTTTTTCTCCTTTAGCCCTTCTAGTCTGGTGGTGAGTGGTTGATAAACATAATGCAGGGATTTTTGTCTGAAATTCCAGTATCATGTTAATCCTTTTTTTCTCATTTGGTGCCAGTATCATGTTAATTCTACTGGCTTTTGTACATGTATCTGTAATTCTATGTACCTGGAAATAACGAAAAATATTTTATATGGTGATTTGTCGCAGTAATGTCTATCTTATATCAAATTGTGATTATCATAATTCAAAAACAGCCATTAAATAAATGCTGAGCATCTCAGCTTAGGTATTAGGATGGACGAAGGCAGTATCACACATAATCCATATTCTCAAGTAGCCTCTACTCTAGCCAGCAGATGTGTGCTCAGAGTGAAATGATTCAAGAAGAGCAATTGCATGCAGGGACTGTATGGCCAAATGGCTCATAAATGACACTGATAACAAGTGGCTGTTTTGATCTAATAGAGTTCTCATCAGCTCCAACTTCCCCCCGCCCTTCATGGATTCTTCTTGGTTTTAGTAGCTCTGCAAGCATAAACAACCTCTGAAGTATCTTAGAAAAACGATTATATCTGCTTCAAGTTCTTTATTAATCTAGTTGCCTTTAGAACTTTAGCCCTGGTAAACCTGTTATATATGTAAGACAGTATTTTCTGCAACCAAATTGAATAAGAAGAAAGCTGTGTGTTCTGTGTCAGGAGATCTTTGGTGAAAATGGTTGTGCTTAAAAAGACAAATAAATATATTTATAGAAAACCCTACTCAACAGCAGAATGCATTTTTTTTAACTGCACTTGGAACCAAGATAGACCATATAACAAGCTTAAAAGAATTGAAATTATACAAAGCCTGTTTCCTATTATGAAATTACACTAAAAACCAGTAAGAGAGATATCTGAAAATTTCTCAAATATTTGGAAATTAAGCAAAATACTTCTAAACAGCCTGTGGGCCTAAAGATAAAGTCATAAGGGAAAATAGAAAATATTTTTAACTGAAGGAAACTGAAAATACAACCTATCAGAAATTGCAGGTAATACAGTGCCTAGAGGGAAATTAATAGTATTAAAAGCTTGTTAGAGGATGGGTGTGGTAGTTCATGCATGTAATCCCAGCACTTTGGGAGGCCAAGGTGGGAGAACTGCTTGAGACCAAGAGTTCAAGACCAGCTTGGGCAACATAGCAAGACTCCATTTCTACAAAGATCTTTTTAAAAAAATTAGCTTGGTGTAGTGACACGTATCTGTAGCCCTTGCTACTTGGGAGGCTGAGGTGGGAGGATTAATTGAGCCCAGGAGTTCCAGGTTACAGTAAGTTATGATTGTGCCACTGCAGTACAGCCAGGATGACAGAGAAAGACCCTGTATCAAATACATAGATGATAGATACATACATATATACATATATATGTGCATACATACATACGAAAAGAAAGATTTGAGAGAAGCACAAATTACCAGTGTCAGGACTGAAAGAGGGGGCATCACCATAGACACTACAGATATTCACAGGATTATAGGGAAATATTGTAAACAACATTATGCCCAGAAATTGGACAACATAGATAAAATAGATAAACTCTTTGAAAGATACAAACCAAAGCTTACTCAAGAAGAAATAGATAACCTAAATAGTCCAATAGCAAGTAAAGAAATTGAATTCATAGTTTGGGACCTTTCTGCAAGGAAAAATCTAGGCCCAGATAGCTTCATGGGCAAATGCTATCAAACCTTTAAGGAAGAAATATTATTAATTCTACACAAACTTCCAGAAAATAGAGAAGAGGGAACACTTCCCAAATGCACTTACCTGCATTTTCTGAGGCTCATTAATACCAAAAAACACTGCAAGAAAACTATAGACCATTTTCCTTCATGAACTTAGAGGGACAAATGAACAAAATATCAGCAAAGTGTTATGCTGGTAAACTGGCTCTCCAAAAAAAAAAAAAAAAAAAAAAAATCTTGATTTGACTATTCCCTGATTTCCGTGATGTAGCAACTCCCACTGTTGCCAGTTGAAAGCTACCAACGTGAAGTCACTGAACATGGAGTTAGGAAGAGATGTGTAGAATCCGTTCTTGTGAGCTGATACAGCCCAATTTCAGCACATCATGACTCATACATCCTTAATCCTGAGAATGCAAGACTGGTTCAACATTTGAAAGTCAATGAATGTAATTTGCCATAAGAACAGACTAAAGAAAAAGACAAAAAAACTGTGAGCCAAAGAAAGTACTTAGTTCTACATTTAGCAAAAATACACCCACCCAAACGGATGCTCTGACAATACAGTCCACTTCAGGCCCCACTGTGATCTGTAATTGTCATCTTTTTCTCTTCATTGCTCTGATTGTTGCTGTTTCCTCACAAACGCCTCTTCCCATGGCCACTGCTTGCTCACTCAATATTGTTGAATAGATGCTGCTCCTGTCCGGTCATTCTTTGGGAGGAGGGAGAGAACCTCCCAGCTCAGGCCAAAACATCTACTGAGGTATATAAATCCATATAATTGGCTCATAAGTTTCACACTCTTTCCCCCATGACAAAGAGATATGTTTGTCCATTTTTCCTTCCACTTCACACTTAGGTGCTCTGTTTGTGACAACTTGTCTCTATTATGTTTACTACAGTGGGGTCATAGGATACGGGAATGAAGACCTAATTCTCTACTCTTTTGGAGGCACCTTTGGATCAAGAATCCTGTCCTTTTAAAAAATCTTTGTCCCAACTCCTAACCCATTGCTTCGCACATAGATTCAATGCGTGTTTTAATAAAAGGATGAATGAAAGAATTCTGAGGAGTCCTCATTCTCATAGGCTTTCAATTCAAGACTTTAGTGTGAGACTCAAATACTTAGCATGGAAATGGCTATTGCTTGAAAAGAATGACAGTCCCAACTCCCATGTAGTGAGCTTTAGCATCTCTCTGCTCATTACAAAGACATGTATTTTTAAAAAGTTGGGGAGAGTAGGAAGATATCAATTAAAACTCCCCAGAGGACTTCTTTTGTGAGATCTGGGCTACTCATAACCTGAAAAAGTATTTGAGGCAGGAGAAGTGTTCAGTGATGAATGATGATGACAGCTATGAGATTAGCTTTAACACAGTGTATAGTGTATTAGGCTTTTGTGTATGTATTTTTTGTCATACATTTCAGTGTTGGCTCTTTTAAAAAATCAAGATATGTAACACAAAATCATTTATGTCCAATTTGGCAGGGGGACCTGGAGCACAATTTTACCCATTTAAGTTACTATGTATCTTTGAATTTTGATATATTATTGATTATATTTACGATGTATTTAATGCCTAATTCTCAATCATCTGCTTTACTGCATGGTTTCAATGAGGTACATATTGTAGTGCAACAGAAGTGGAGAGGTAGTTCTCTGAGTCCTGTGATAACATGAATTAATACCTGAAATTTCAAAGATTCCAACTGGGCTGGGAAGAGCATGTGTTTAGCTAATTAAGAAGGCCAGACTGGGTGGGATTAATCACCCCAAAGGAGGTCAGGCAGAGAGGCTTGCTCAGTCACATGAACAAATCTTCTGAGTTTCCTGATGTGCTTATAAGCTTTAAAAAAAGAAAGAACCTTTTATTTAGGATAATGAACATTGCCATTTTTCCTCCAAATCCAGATTTTTGGTTATCAAAAACCTCCTCAGTTCCAGTTATCCTCCCAGCTAAGCACTTCTCTTTGCAACCTGTAGTCATTGGTGAGCTGATATCTGTGTCGTGATCAAGTTTGGTTTCAGTGTCCCAAATACCACAGTGTTCATCATTTCACACTAAATCAGATTTGCGATTATTCTGATATTACTAATGGAAGTTTTTCTTCATCAGGGATGGATGAATGAGATTTACAACTATGATCCAGAAACCTACCATGCGACTTTGACACATTCAGTCTTTGTTCGACTTGAGGGTGGAACCTTAAGACTTTCAAAGCCCAATAAAAATATATCCAGGAGGGCCAGCTACAATGAACCCAAGCCAGAGGTCACCTACATCAGCCAGAAAATCTATGACCTCTCAGACAGCAAGGTGAGCCTGAGCAATTTTGGAAGGATAGCTTAGATGAATGAAAAGCATATGGCATCTTGGATGCTTAACTGCATTTTTTTATACCCTAAAAAGGTTTGTGGTCGTTGAACAGTATACCTTAGGGGACAGTACCTCTCACACTTTAAAGTTTATGCACATCACCTGGGCATCTTGTTAAATGCAGATTCTGATTCAGTAGCTGTGGGCAGGGCCTCGGGCCTGCATTTTTATGAGCTCCCAGATGATACTCAGGCTGCTGGTCCACAGACCACAACTTGAGGAACAAGTGTTGTGCACTCAGAATTCTGCCTTTAAAAGCTAATTATTTCAGTCAAACAAAAAGCTGTGTGGCTATGTGTGGTGATTCTGCGGTACTTAACTATTGAAGTCTTTGTACATGTGCAAATGATAGATATGCAAAATAACTACATTTTGATTAAGTATTATATACTTCTATTTTTGTGAGAAATGTAAATTATGTATTCCACAAAGCTATTGTTTCTCTGTTCTTACAGTTCATCTGAATGATCTTTAGATTTCTCCAATGTGAGAGAAGTACTTAAAATAGTTTTTATATAAGTTTATTCTTAACTTGAGTTTGATACTCAAGGTTGACTTTAGCTTCCCATCTAGATTTTAGCTATCTTTTTTTTTCTTCCAACTTAAGTTTGGTCCAAGGTCATTAAATTCAGTTGATAGCCAAACATAGTTGATGATAAGCAGCTAAACATTATTATTGTGCTACTGCCACCTGAAAATTACGGATATTTATAACTCTCGCAAAATTATTAAATGCCTACTTTGTGGAATGATTTTGAAGAATAACAAGACACTTCTGAAAATTCCAGTTTCTGTAGTCATGTTATGAACAAGTGTTGAAAGTTATTTCATATTCATCATTTTAGTCAAAAAGTCTATAAGGTTTGCACTTTGTGCTATGCATAATATTAATGCATAGTGTAGCCAATCTTTAATATATAAATCATCATTTTTCTTTCTCTGTAGATTTATCTTGTACCTAAAACTTTGGCTCGAAAGCGAATCTGGAATAAAAAGTACCCCATTTGTATCGAGCTTGGTCAGCAAGATGACTTTATGTCTAAAGCTCAGACTGATAAGGAGACTTCAGAAGAGAAGCCGCCAGCTGAGGGAAGTGAGGACCCTAAGAAGCCACCCCGCCCTCAGGAGGGAACAAGATCTAGCCAGCGAGATCAGATACTCTATCTCTTTGGGAGAACTGGCCGAGAAAAAGAGGAATGGTTTAGGAGATTTATTCTGGCATCTAAGCTAAAGTCGGAAATCAAGAAGTCATCGGGTGTCTCTGGAGGTAAACCAGGTAATGATGTTTGTGCTAAATGCTTATGCATTTTTAAAGGGCCACTAGGGAGAATAGAGAAAGAATGCCAGGTAGGAAGGAAGGAAGGAAGGAAGCCCACCCTGAACTGATGGTTGTCTGCCACCTAATGTGCATTCTCATGACTCATTTACCATCTAGGCTGATCACTGCAGCCGTCTGTCCCAAATCATTTAACCAATGATGGATCCATTTGCAGATGATGTTTATTAGCCTTTGCTGGTTATGTTTTATTTGTATATAATGTGACTCCCCTGAGAGAAGCAGCAACAGAAAAACCCTGGTTCTGAGATGGCAGGTGAGTCAGGGAGATCCTTCAGGCTGGTACTTTCGAGCACCTGACCCTCAATATGTCTTCCGAGCCTGAGCTTGCCATAGAATGCAGAATCCTTGCACTTCCTGACCATTCAGGTCAGATCGTGGTCATTCGGATTGATAACCATGCAGCACCTCTTTGCTCAGCTTTGGCTGGGCTTGGAGCTGCAAGAGACACAAAACCAGTAAAAAGCAGTAGCTCCCCTGTCCTTCAGGTGTTGTGCCTGTTATGCAAAACTGGCACGTATGAGTCAGGTGTTCACAAATTGCCATGCTAAAATGAGTGTGGTGTAACAAATAATTGGGACAAGACCAGTGTGGGTGTTATTAGGGAAAGCTTTCTTACATGGATCTGAAACAAAGACTAGGAGGGAGCCACTCTGGGGCTTTCTCTAACAAGGCATTTGTGTTGATCCGGGAGTTATGCTGGTCACATGAGTGTCACACATTGCTTCAGAGTGCTTTGGTTCCTTCCCCTGGAACATAATCTGAGCCTTTGCCCTAACTCCTTTGCTAACCTTCCATTCTGTCAGCTTCAACACCAGATTCCATCCTAATCCCAGCACTGAGATCTAAGAAGTCCCTTTTAAGAATCAAGACGAATGGGGAGATTACTAGATATATTTATTTCCTAGGGCTGCTGGGACAAAATACCACAAGCTGGGTGATTTACAACAGAAATGTATTCTCTCACAGTACTGGAGGCTGGAAGTCTGAAATCAAGGTGTTAGCAGGGCCATGCTCCTTGTGAGACTCTGCATAGAATCCTTCCTTGCGTGTTTGCAGCTTCTGGTGGTGACCATCAATACTTGGCCCGCAGCCGCATCACTCCACACTGGCCTATCATCACATGGCATTGTCTGTCAGTGGCTCTGTGTCTTCTTGGAAGGACACCAGTCATATGGGATTAGGAGCCCACCCTGTTTCTAGTATGACTTTATTTTAATGAATGGCATCTACAATGACTCTGTTTCCAAATAAGGTCACATTCTGAGATACTGGGGTTAGGACTTTAACATATTTTTTGGAGGACACAATTCAACCCATAACACTGAGTAAAAGAAAATTCAAGTGGGTAAGAACTCCTCAGCACCAGGCACTGCCTAGCTCTCCTGGTAGGTCTAAACCTGTGCTGCTTCTTACGGTAGCCACCAGCCCCATGTGGCTTTTGAACACTTGAAGTGTGGCCAGTCCAGATGGAGGTGTGCTCTAAGTATAAGATGCACATTGGATTTCAAAGTCTTAGTCCAATAAAAGAATGTAAAATATCTCATTAATAACTTCTTATATTGGTTACATGTTGAAATAATATTTTAGATATATTGGGTTAAAAATATATTCAAATTAATTGTATTCTTTTTACCTTTCTTTTTCTTTCTTTCTTTTTTTTTTTTTTTTTTTTTTTTTTGAGATGGAGTCTAGCTTTGTTGCCCAGGCTGGAGTGCAGTGACACGATCTTGGCTCACTGCAACCTCCGCCTCCCAGGTTCAAGCAGTTCTCCTGCCTCAGCCTCCTGAGTAGCTGGGATTACAGGCACCCGCCATCACGCCCAGCTAATTTTTTATATCTTTAGTAGGGACAGGATTTCACTATGTTGGTCAGGCTGATCTTAAACTCCCAGCCTCAAGTGAACCGCCCACCTTGGCCTCCCAAAGTGCTGGGATTACAGGCGTGAGCCACTGTGCCCGACCTCTTTTTACATTTTTAAATGTGACTACTAGAAAATTTAAAATTGTTTATGTGGCTCAGATTGTATTCCTACTGGAAATATAAAGGTCTACTGGTCTAGGCACTGAAGCTCAGAATCAGGTAACCCACGGGGGTATATGGGGCCACCAGGAAACACCACCTTAGGTACTTAGGGGCCCCCCAGAGCACCTTCAAAAGAGGCATGTTATTCATGGACTTAAATAAAGCATTTGATTATTTTTAACGAGTTCAATTTTTGGAAATCCTGCCAAAAGTTCCACTCAGCACACAACAAACATAATGGTAAGAGTCAGAGATGTGGGAAAACCTTCAGTGCACTCACTGGTACTAAAGCAAGGCTCACACACCACTAATGTCTTCGTACATCTGTAAGTCTGGGTTGCCTTTGAAAGCTATGAATTGAGATATTTATGGTAAGTTTAAGCCACCAAAAGTGTGATTAAACTAGTAGCAAGGTAAATTGGTGAGCACTGTGCTGTTCTTCAAAACCATCTCTGAATCAGTGACTACATAGGTGGTCAGCCGTGAAGGTAGGACTGGTCTGATTCTCTGAGGCCAGGTACATCTATCAGTACCAAGAAGTTAGAAGTCTTCCTGCTCGACGACCTGCCCTGTCCTCTCCCTCAGGGATGCTGTCACCAAAATCATAGATTTCTCTAGCAACACGGATTGTGCTTCTCAGACTTGAATGTTTGACGGGATCTTAAGATGCAGGTTCTGACTCGAGGTCATGGGTGGGGCTGAGATTCTGCATTTCCAGCCAGCAGTGCCCAGGCTGCAGGTCAGGAAAGGCCTCCCGGAGGAATAAGAATCTGGAGACAGCAGGAAAGCCACATGGTCATTTGGCAGAATTCCAGTATGGTCTCTGCACAGGAAGGTCCTTGACTTTATCAGGGGCTATTGTCCATGAGACCCACAGTGCAGTGACGACTCCTGTGCTTTGTCCCACTCAGGGGAAGGGTGAGGTGATGTGAAGAGGCTGTTCTGTGGGCAATGAGCACCAGCCAGGCCTCGTAGGGGGTTCCTTTCCTCCTCTACATGGAGTGTGGCTCAGTCACAATGGGATCAGTTTGGTTTGAAGTGTTGGTATCATGCTGCCCTGTTTATTTCATCTTTTTTTCTCTTTTTTACTATTAACTAAACTGTAATCTTTATTTGGATTTCACTGGTTTTTCTACTAATGTCCTTTTTCTCTTCCAGGATCCAATCCAGGATATTAAATGTAATATTAGTTTACATCTATTTTTTAATGTTTTTGATGTAGCTTTTATCCTAGCAATTAAAAAAATGCTAAACATGAAAACGGTATAAGGATAATAAAAGTTACAAAAATGTATTTTTATAGTTATGCAGTGTAAAATATTAAAGTGCTGGAAATTATCTGGCTAAAATTTAAATTAAGAAATGGCTTGCGTGACCCTTTGTGAGGCTCTGGGGAATTATGGTTCTGATGGTTGGAGCCTCTTAAGAAGAAAATGGTTTGATTTGATTTTTTGATTTCTTTCTTTCTTTCTTTCTTTTTTTTTTTTTTGAGACAGAGTCTTGCTCTGTTGCCCAAGCTGGAGTGCAGTGGTATGATCTTGGCTCACTGCAACCTCCGCCTCCCAGGTTGAAGCGATTATCCTGCCTTCAGCCTCCCCCAGTAGCTAGGACTACAGGTACAGGCCACCATGCCAGGCTAATGTTTTGTATTTTTAGTAGAGATGGGGTTTCATCATGTCGGCCAGGCTGGTCTCGAACTCCTGACCTGAAGTGATTCATCTGTCTCGGCCTCCCAAAGTGCCGAGATTATAGGCGTGAGCCACCGCGCCCAGCCTGGTTTGATTTTAACCACTTTACGTTTCACCTGGCCATCAGAGTAAATCTAAATAAAATTGTTAGCATCAGGCGCATCCCATGCTTAAAACCTCTGGCGCAACAGGGTCAATATTAAATTCGAGGTTGGCTTTTGAGGCACTTTGCAGTCTGTTCCTGGCTAATCTCTCCATCCTCATTTCCTATCCTCTGCCCCCCGTACTATGCTTAGAACTTCACTGAATCTCTCACTGGCCTCCAAACATACTGTGCCCTGTCACTGCTTTTTGCATATGCTGCTTCCTGTACCTGGAATACTCTTCCCCACCTGGGCCAGGAAAATGGCAACTATTCCCTCAAGATACAGCGTAGATGTCACTGCTGTGAAAGTCAGCTAGGGTAAGCACCGCTCCAGTCTCTTGGGCAGAGGTAGTCACCCCCTTCTTTTTGCCCAGAGAGTCCCTTAGTTGTGCTACAATTTTGACACTTGTTACAGAAGATTGTGATTTATCTGCTTAGGTGCGTGAGTTCAAGGGCAGGGATTATGTCTTCTTTTTAGCATGGTGTGCTTGAAAGTGCTTGATGCATAATTTGTCGAATGAAAGACATCTTTGGAATTGCTGTGAGCTTGTGGATGAACAATTAATTAGCTCTCTACCCACTTTCCATTTACCCCTGATAGCACTGACAAGTTCGCCACTACTTGGGATGTGTTGGTCCTATATTTGACCTTTTCCTAAAAGATCATCAGGAGAAAAGAGAATAGTACCTACCAACTATATTTCTTTACTTCCATTACTCTAATTATCTTGGAGAGGAATAAAAACCGTTCTTAAAAATTACCTTAGAGAAAAAGGTACTTTTCAGGGTGGGAAATAAACTTATAAAATTTTTTTTTTTTTTTTTGAGATGGAGTCTCGCTCTGTTGCCCAGACTGGAGTGCAGTGGCATGATCTTGGCTCACTGCAAGCTCCACCTCCTGGGTTCACACCATTCTCCTGCCTCAGCCTCCCGAGTAGCTGAGACTACCGGCGCCCACCACCACGCCCGGCTAATTTTTTGTATTTTTAGTAGAGATGGGGTTTCACTGTGTTAGCCAGGATGGTCTCGATCTCCTGACCTCGTGATCCGCCCGCCTCGGCCTCTCAAAGTGCTGGGATTACAGGCGTGAGCCACCATGCCCAGCCCCTTATAAATATTTTTAAACAGTCATTTGATAGCATTGTAGCTGCTTTTCTCAGGGAGTCCGCTTACTTTGCAGTTGTTTTCTTCATTGTGTGAATAGCCCCCGTCTTCTTGGCTCCAGGGCTTTTGCCTGCACACAGCAGACACAACAGTCCGTCCGGGCACCTGACCCACAGCCGCAGCAGCAGCAAAGGCAGTGTGGAGGAGATCATGTCACAGCCAAAGCAGAAGGAGCTGGCAGGCAGCGTGCGGCAGAAGATGCTTCTCGACTACAGCGTGTACATGGGCAGGTGTGTCCCCCAGGAAAGCCGAAGCCCCCAGAGGAGCCCCCTGCAGAGTGCGGAGAGCAGCCCCACAGCTGGGAAGAAGGTAAAGCTGGCTGCTGGGCCGGACCTTTTTCACTTTTCGACTTAGACACATTTCTTCATGCGTAAGTGCTCCGAAGCCCTGTTGTGGGCACTGGGATAACAGTGGTACACAAGACAGAGAAGGACCCTGCCTTTGGGGAACTTGTAATCTACTCAGGAAGACAGCAAGAAACAAGCACCAGGTGGTGGGAAGAATGAAAATAAAGTCAGACAAGGGAGGAGGGGAAGTGGCCAGAACTGCTATTTTATTTATTTATGTATTTATTTATTTTTAATTTTAAAAAGTTTGTACTGTTTTTCTCTGCTATTTTGGATGGGTGGTCAGGAAGGGCCTCTTTGAGGAGGTGACTTTTGGGCACAGACCTGTTGGTCACGGGGGAGTGAGCCATGGTGATGGGTGTGGGAGGAGCACTCCAGGTGGGAAAAGCAGCAACCCAAGGGCCCGCTGTAGGCATGTGCTTGGAATATTCGAGGAACAGCAAGGAGGCCTGGCCGGACAGTGAGCAAGGGAAATGGGGAGGTAGGGAGGCTGGAGGATCAGGATGGGAGGCCATGGGAGGGTTTTGAGCAGGGTATGATGTTGACTGATCTAAGTATAAAAAGATAAGTGGCTCTTGGTGGAGAACTGGCTGTAGAGGGAAAAAAGGAGTGGGAGGTGACTGTCATAGTGAAGGCTGGATCAATGTGAAGGTAGTGACAGTAGGTGGTGAGGAGAGGCTCGGCTGGGGTGTGCTTGGCAGGAGGCGCTGGCTGGATTTGCTGACGTGAGAGAACGCAGAGGCCAAGATTTGCACTTTGACCTGAGCAACTGGATGATCACTAGGGGTTGTTGCAGAATCACTGGTGATTCAGGTCTCATTCCTCCAAAACCATTGTATTTTCAAATTCTCAGTCTCCTCGGCTATGCCCAGTGCTTTTGAAGATTTACCATGAACATTCTTTACAAAGTGTAACCGGACACGGACTTAGGATCATCTCTGATAAGATAACTCCTGTAAGCTGCCAGATGCCAGGCTCTGTTAGGCACTTTAATAGAATTACTCTGCTCTCTTGAACAGTCCTGCAAACTAGACAGGATTGTCTCCATTTTGTAAGCGGAGAAACTGAGGCTTGATGAAGTTAGGTAGCCTAGTCACACAGTTGCTAAGTGATGGAGTGTGCAAACCTCACCTGAGAACCCAGGGGCCCCTTGGCTCGCTGAGACTATTTTGCTGGGTTATTCTGAAAGCCTGCTTGGCCTGAGGCCTCCTGCCTCTACTTTGCACACTCTTCAGAGTCACAGTCTCTGCCTGGGGGACACTTAACCTCTCTTTCATATCCAGGTGTTTGACCTCTTTTTTTTTGAGACAAGGTCTCGCAGTGTCACCCAGGCTGGAGTGCAGTGTCGTGAACATGGCTCATTGCAACCTCGACCTCCTGGGCTCAAGTGATCCTCTCACCCTCCTGGGCTCAGCCTCCCAAGTAGCTGGAGCTACAGGTGTGTGCCACCATGCCCAGCTAATTTTTGTATTTTTTGTAGAGATGGGGTTTCACCATGTTGCCCAGTCTGGTCTTGAACTCCTGAGCTCAAGAGATGCACCTGCCTCGGCCTCCCAAAGTGCTGAGATTACAGGCGTGAGCCACCGCCCTTGGCTGTGTTTGACCTCTTACAATGACCATGTGTATTTCTGTTCTTAATGAGAAGCAAGCCATTGCTCTTGATCCGTTGATCCTCTTCAGTGTGGAAGAGGTCACTCACCTGATCTGTTTGAATTTGTCAGGGCAATAAAAGACCATATGCCTCTGCTGGCCTGCGACCCACTACCTCTGCACTGAGTCACCCCAGCTTTAGTGGGAAGCAGACCTCCCTCTAGGCAAGAGTGGGGTGATATAAAACTTTTCTACAAATGGTCCTGTTTACCACTGGTGAGTTTCCCCTCCCTCCAAATGCGAGGCTGTCAGCTGTCTGGACTCTCATCAGACTCAAGAAAATCAAGAGGAGAATTGTGCACTGACGTTAAGAAAATTATCCAATAAAATGCTTCCTTTTGAAAGATTTCCCCAAATTAAAAAACAAACCTGATTTTAGAGCTTTGTTTCCTTGGTTTGTGTTACATGTGCATATTGTATGCTATGTTCACTGGGGTCCCTGATGTCACAGCCCAGCATTGCTGTCAGGGGCTCTCTTGTTCCAGCCACCTGGCACTTACCCTTTAAGCACCCAGACATTTCTTTTCCCTCTTCTAAGTCTGATGACTTTTTTTTTTGAGATGGAGTTTTGCTCTTTTTCCCCAGGCTGGAGTGCAATGGCGTGATCTTGGCTCACTGCCATCTCCGCCTCCCAGGTTCAAGCAATTCTTCTGCCTCAGCCTCCTGAGTAGCCAGGACTGCAGTCACACGCTACCACGTCCGGCTAATTTTGTATTTTTAGTAGAGACGGAGTTTCACAATGTTGGCCAGGCTGGTCTTGAACTCCTGACCTCTGGTGATCCACTCTCCTCGGCCTCCCAAAGTGGTGGAATTACAGCGTGAGCCACTGTGCCTGGCCTCTGATGAAATTTTTTTTTTCTTTTTTTAGTTGGAGTCTCACTCTGTCGCCCAGACTGGAGTGCAGTGGTGCTGAAAATTTGAATTAGAAAATATCACTATTTTGGGGGGCAAGGGCCTAGTTTTCCAAATGTTTAGTGCCTGGTTTGGAAGGGGATTTAATTCAGGAAACAAGGGAACTCTTTTTTAAAAAATGTCTGAAAGTGCAATGGTACCACTTCCAGCATGGGTACATCAGGAAGAGAGACTCCACAGGTCAGCTGCAGATTTGCTCAGGGGTGTGAGTCCAGGGAGGCTGCTGGTTCTGTGTGCCCTGCATTGCCTGCCTGGGAGAGAGGCCATGGTTCCTGTCCTCCAGTAGTGAGGCTCTGGTGTTCAGGTTGCATAAGGCACTTCCACTCTCCATTTCAACAGACAGTTTTAAAAAATGTTAGAGATAATATTAACATATGCCACCCCGGTATGGAGAGTCCTGTCCTTATTACTACTCGTCGTGCTCATCATCTCATATCTATAAACTGGATTACAAGATATTATTACCTGTTTGGTGTTATCAGAAGATGAGAATGTTACAGAGCAAATAGGAGTCAAATAGAAACCAGGAAGTCTGTAACTGGCAGAATAGTTTTCCAGGGCTTCCCTTGCTACCCCCACAAAGTAGGCTTTTTAAACACTTAGAAGTTGAATTGGAAAATGTTTTTGTTGCACTAAGTTAAAAAATGAAGCTATATATCCAATTTAAAAATAAATTTTAAAAAGAATTCAGACAAGAGTGCTAAAACAAATCAGTGGAGAGAAAGAATAGTCTCTTCAACAAAGGTGCGGGAACAACTGGATATCTATGGGCAAGAGAATGGAGCTGGCCCTCTACCTCACACCATACATAAAAATTAACTCAAAATGGATCATAGACCTCAATGTAAGAGCTAAAACCATAAAACTCTCAGGAGTAAAATTTGTGACTTTGGGTTCGATAAACCTTCTTAGCTAAGATACTAAAAGCATAAGCAACCAAAGAAAAGATAGGTAAATTGGACTTCATCAAAATTAGAAACTTTTGTGCTGCCAACAATACCATCAAGACAGTGAAAAGATAACCCACAGGATGGGAGAAAATGTTTACGAATCATTTATCTGATAAGGTTCTGGTACCTAGAAATATAAAGGACTGGTACCTAGAAATGTATAAAGGACTCTTACAACTCAATAACAAAGAGATAAATAACCAGATTAAGCAACGGGGCTGGGTGCAGTGGCTCACGCCTATAATCTGAGCACTTTGGGAGGCCAAGGCAGGAGGATCACTTGAGCTCAGGAGTTTGAGGCCAGCCTGGGCAACATATTGAGACTCCATCTCTACAAAAAAGAAGAAAAAAAAAATTAGCCAGACATAGTGGCATGTGCCTGCAGTCCCAGCTACTCAGAAGGCTGAATCAGAATTGCTCGAGTCAGGGAGGTCAGAGCTGCAGTGATTAGTGATTGCACCACTGCACTTCAACCTGAGCAACAGAGCAAGACCCTGTCTCAAAAAATAAAAGGGTAAAGGATCTGAATAGACATTTCTCCAAAGAAGATACACTAACGCCCAAATAAGCAAGCACATGAAAAGATGCTCAGTATCATTAGTCATCAAGGAAATGTGAATCAAAACCACAGTCAGATGTCACTTCACACCCACCCAGATGGCCACAATGAAAAAGACAGATGGTGGCCAGGCACAGTGGTGGCTCACACTTGTAATCCCAACACTTTGGGAGACTGAGGCGAATGGATCACTTGAGCTCAGGAGTTCGAGACCAGCCTGGGCAAGATGACAAAACTCCATCTCTACCAAATAAATAAATAAATAATAAAAATTTTTAAAAAGATAGATGATAACAAGTATTAGTGAGGATGTAGAGAAATTGGAATCCTTGGCCGGGTGCGGTGGCTCACGCCTATAATCCTAACACTTTGGGAGGCCGAGGCGGGTGGACTGCCTGAGCTCAGGAGTTTGAGGCCAGCCTGGGCAACATGGCAAAATCCCATCTCTATTAAAAATACAAAAAATTAGCCAGGCATGGTGGCGCATGCCTGTAATCCCAGCTACTGGGGAGGCTGAGGCACGAGAATCACTTGAACCTGGGAGGCAGAGGTTACAGGGAGCCAAAATCATGCCGCTTCACTCCAGCCTGGACAACAGAGTGAGACTCTGCCTCAAAAAAGAAAGAAAGAAAGAAATTGGAGTCCTCATACGTTGCTGGCAGGAATGTAAAATAGTCCAGCCACTGTGGGAAATAGTTTGGTATTTCCTCAAAAAGTTAAACAGAGTCACCATATGAGCCAGCAGTTCCACTCCTAAATATATATCCAAGAGAAATGAAAATACATGTTTACACAAACACTTGTACACAAATATTTATAGTAGCATTATTCACAATAGCCAAAAGTGGAAAATGGTGGGGCACAGTGGCTTGCGCCTGTAAGCCCAGCAGTTCGGAAGGCTGAGGTGGGTGGATTACTTGAGGCCAGGAGTTCAAGACCAGCCTGGCCAATATGGCGAAACCCCATCTCTACTAAAAAGACAAAAATTAGCCGGGCGTAGTAGTGCACGCCTGTAGTCCCAGCTACTCGGGAGGCTGAGGCACAAGAATGGCTTGAACTCAGGAGGCATAGGTTGCAGTGAGCCGAGATCACACCACTGCACTCCAGCCTGGATGACACAGCAAGACTCTGTTTTAAAAAAAAAAAAAACACAACAAAAGTGGCAAACAACCCATATTTCCATTAACTGGTGAGTGGATAAAGTGTGGTATATGCATAGATGATAATATTATTATGCAATAAAAATAAGTTTATTATGCAATAAAAAGGACGCACTGCTACAACATGGATATGCCTTGAAAACATTAGTGAGGGGAGTCAGTCACAAAAGAACACATTGTATGACTTCATTTATAGGAAATGTCTGGAATAGGCAAATTCATAGAGACAAACTAGTTTCCTAGACTGGTGGGCAGGGGGATGGGGAGGAGTTGGGGAGGAATAGGGAGTGACTGCTAATGGGTACAGGGTTTATTTGGGGAGTGACGAAAATGTTCTAAAATTGACTGTGGTGATAGCTACACAACTCTCAATATACTGAAAACTATTGAATGTACTCTATTTTTAAAAATTATTTTTGTGGTAAAATACATAAAGTTTGCCATCTTAATCATTTTAAAATGTATAGTTCAGTAGAATTGAATACATTCATAATGTTATGCATTGACCCCCACCATTCTCTTCAACTTGTATAATTGAAACTCTATACTCATTAAACAGTAACTCCCCTGTCCCCCTCCTCCCAGCCCCTGGCAACCACCATTCCCTGTCTCTCGGATTTTGACTATCCTAAGTACCTCATATAAGTAGAATTATACAGTATTTGTCTTTTTGTGACTGACTTATTTCACTTAGCCTAATGACCTCAAGATTCATCCATGTGGTAGCGTAAGTCAGAATCGCCTTCCTTTTTGAGGCTGAATCATGCTCCATTGTGTACGTACGCCATTTTGCTTATCCATTCCTCCATCGGTGGGTGCTTGGCTTGCTTCCACATTTTAGCTATTGTGAATGATGCTGCTCTGAACATCAGTGTACACATATCTTGTTTTGAGACCCTGCTTTCAAATTTGTTGGGGTATATAGCCAGAAGTGAAATTAGTGCATCTTAAGGGTAATTCTGTTTAAATTGTTTAAGGAACCGCAATACTGTTTTCCACAGCAGCTATGGAAGGATGGAAAAATTGTATGATCTATGAATTATATCTAAGTAAAACTGTAAAAAAAAAAAAAAATACAAAACCAGCCGGGCATGGTGGCTCACACCTGTAATCTCAGCACTTTGGGAGGCCGAGGCAGGCAGATCACCTGAGGTTGGGAGTTTGAGACCAGCCTGACTACCATGGAGAAGCCCCGTCTGTACTAAAAATACAAAAAATTAGCCAGGCGTGGTGGTGAATGCCTGTAATACCAGCTACTTGGGAGGCTGAGGTAGCCTCCCTTGAACCTGGGAGGCGGAGTTTGCAGTGAGTCGAGATCGCGCCACTGCACTCCAGCCTGGGCGACAGAGCGAGACTCCTTCTCAAAGAATACAAAACCATGTAGCCAGATCTAATTTTGCTTTTTTTTTTTTTTTTTTTTTTTTTTGAGATAGCCTTGCTCTGTGGCCAGGGTGGAGTACAGTGGCACGGTCTCGGCCCACTGCAACCTCTGCCTCCTGGGCTCAAGCGATTCTCCTGCCTCAGCCTCCTGAGTAGCTGGGACTATAGGCACGCACCACCACACCCAGCTAATTTTTGTATTTTTGGTAGAGACGGGACTTCACCATGTTGGCCAAGATTGTCTCAATCTCTTGACTGCGTGATTTGCCCGCCTTGGCCTCCCAAAGTGCTGGGATTACAGGCATGAACCACCACGCCCGGCCTAATTTTGCTTTTTAAAAGTTCTGTATTCTTAAATGTATATATACACTGAAAAGAGACTGAAAGAAAATATAGTAAAACTGTTTTAAATAATGTTTAAAATGTTTTAAATCTGAGTAGCAGGTTTATGGGTGTTTTCTGCAGTGAATATGCATTGTTTTTATAATCAAGGGAAAGAAACACACAGGAGTAGGGTCCTCCGCTGTGTCATCTCCTGGACCACACTGTCCCTTGTGCAACCCCCCTGGCGGTACACTGGGTGCGGCCAAAAAGGAGTGGGGGCACTACACACTCTTTGTAATAGAAAAACTGGGCTGGCCTCCTGGCCATTTGTAATAGGAAATGTTACACCACAGACTTCAGTAAATCTGTCCTACTTTAGTTTTAGAGGTTAGTTTTAAATAACACATATCCCAAGAGTGACGCAGTTTTGATGGGCTTGCTTCAGCTTCAAACCATTGAATTTTCTCTACACTTATTTGGAAGCCATTTTTGGAAAGTTACCATTTCTTAGTGTGTTTATACAGTTGAGACAGCGAAATGAATATCCTCCACACATTTCATCCTATAGCCAAATGGCAATATTAGGAAATGTATGCACATTGTTTCTTTAAACTCTTAAATTTTTATGACATTCGTTGGGCCTTCCTAGCAGGCTGTTGAATCCAGGTTTTGCTCATAAAAGCTTCTTTGATGCATTATCGATGTTCTGCTCTGGAATTTTTCTTTGTTCCCAATGAGTCTGTGGAGAGAAGCTTATTTTGGAAAAAGGAACTGTTGAAAAAACAACCTGCTTGTCGGTTATTTCAGAAATTTGTTTACCACATCATATGCCATTGGCTTGGACATACATTGTGAAATAGCCTTTGTTTCTTGCTATTTTGTGCTAAAACTGTTTCCTGTGAGTAACTAGGGTTGTAAAGAAAGGCTAATAAAGGGTAGATGCTCCCTCTAGGGAAGGGAAAAAGTAACTTATTCTCTTGTATAACCTACAAATCTAAAATAAGACACGTGGTGTCTTACGTGGGCAGCAACTTAGTACTGTCTGAGGGGCCAGGTGGTCATTGCCCTTGGATGAGTGTTTATGCAGAAGTCTGTATAAATAATCGGATGGGACTCAAAGACAGTAACCTCAGAAAAGCTGAATGAATTACCCTTGGGGCTGGGAAGGAGATGTTCAGTCAGAGAAAAAAGGGATTCAAAAAAACAGTGCAAGTTATGGCATGGCCAAGCATTCACCGCTGCAGACTCTTGCCCTTCCATCCAGGACCTAGTGGTGGAAAATGTCTTGGTTAATGACAGAAAACGTCACAGCACTCGAAAAGCCCAGAGAGAATAATCCATGTCCATTAAGAAGGGTGAAGCAGATCCATGTCTTCTGAAATGGGCTGACCAGCATGCTTTCTTTTTTAAACCATTTTTTTTTTTAAATGAGACTCACCAACGTTCATAAAGGAGACCTTTGAAAACTCAAATGTGAAGGACTCCTGTAAAATATAAAGTCATGCAGTGACATGTGATTGAAAAACGTAAGCGAACCCTAGGCCCCCAGCAAGAGAGGGCACAGGCTGTGGCAATGTATGTGGAGTTGGTTCCTGCTGGTGGGTTCGTGGTCTCACTGACTTCAAGAATGAAGTCTCGGACCTTCATGGTGAGTGTTACAGCTCTTAAAGGTGGCACGGACCCAAAGAGTGAGTAGTAGGAAGGTTTATTGTGAAGAGCAAAAGTACAAAGCTTCCACACTGTGTAAGGGCACCCAAGCAGGTTGCCGCTGCTGCTGGCTAGGGTGGCCAGCTTTTATTCCCTTATTGTCCCTTCCCATGTTCTGTTTTTGTCCTATCACAATGCCCTTTTTTCAATCCTCTCTGCGATTGGCTACTTTTAGGATCCTGCTGATTGGTGCATTTTACAGAGTGCTGATTGGTACATTTTACAGAGCGCTGATTGGTGCGTTTTATAGGGCACTGATTGGTGCATTTTACAATCCTTTTGCTAGCTACAGAGTGCTGATTGGTACATTTTTACAGAGTGCTGATTGGTGCATTTTACAATCCTCTTGTAAGAAAATTTCTCCAAGTCCCCACTCCACCCAGGAAGTCTAGCTGGCCTCACCTCTCAGCAAGACTGGCAGACGGGTGGGACTGAGCAGTGTGCTGGCTCAGGCACAGCTCAGTGACTGGTGAACACCAAGCTTCAGAATGAGTGCACGGAGCTATGTGCTGTAGACCTTGGGAGTACTCACAAACAATTGGATCTGCAGATTCAAATCCATACACACCAAGCAACAACGTGTGCACCACAGCACTGACCCAGGCACACAGCTTCAATGTGGGCACAGTCACAGCTGCTCAGAATGGATAGCACTGGCACGAATGCACAAGCACAAAGCGTGGAGGTGATGAGAGTGTCTGGTGTGTGTTATAGCTGCAGCCAGCCCATGAGGGCAGAACAGATGCACTTATAGTAGCCATAGAGGGAGGGGAAAGGGGGAATAATTCACAGATTCTGCATTTCTAAATCTTTTCATCTTTGCTTTCCAAAGCTCATTGTTTCTGCAAGGCTACAGTCTAATTAGAGACCTCAGCACAGGAAAATGTCTGCCATATCAGGGGGCCAGCTCCCCTTCCCCCACCCCCACCGCCACACACAGGACAGAGCAGATAGAGGATGGGAGAACAGGACTGTGTGTCAGGCGCTGCACTCATTTCTAAAATGGAAGTAAAGTTCCTGTCTTTCCAGGGTATTGTGAGACATGAGTGGACCTGAGACAGGAATGTGCCCATAGGGCTGGCATGTGGTCAGTGGACAGCTGCTACATTACTGAGCTCTCAGCCCGTGCCTGCACCAACCACATAAACCTTACAACACCGTCTGTGGGTGCTGCTGTTTACCCTTCTTTATCTCCATCCCTGACCCCCTCCAGGCCAGAGTGCACAGTCTAATGATTAGCCAAGGAAATCGGAGACTTGGGTTTACTTTCTCCCCCACCTCACACATTGGCCACAGCAGATGCTTCAGATGGATTGTATCAAATGGAAGTAAGGATCAGGGTATTTCGCTGGGCCGAGATTGGTGAGAACAGCTGTAGATGTTTCATGGAAGCCCTGAGAGCAGCTCTCTCTAATCCAGATCTGTGATTCATCGTCTTGCCTGTTCATTACATTACCAGGGGAGCATCTGAAACTCCTGATGCCCACTGAAATCAGTGACTCTGGGGGTAGGATCCAGGCATCAGTATTTTTAAGCATCCCGGGAATATTTTGACCTCACAGGGTTCAGGCTGAACTTGAGTCCTGGCCATTGGGGAACTGTGGCGTCTGCCCGGATGAGCACCAGCTTGACAATTACACGTCCAAGCCTTAGCTTGAAGAAAGATGGGCAGGCATTTTATCAGATGTGTCACTGATGCATAATGTTGATACCAAGCTAATTTGGACGCAGAGCAGTTTGGCTAAGCTAATAGTATGAAATATTAGCTGGTTTACAGGAAGACTGGTAGAAAAAGAAAACAGACAAAGAGAAGGTTTTAGCTGTGATGGCAGCTTTCGTTTCTCCCCTTTCCTAGTCACCAATACAATGTGGGACTTGTAATTTATAGGGAAGGAGTATGACTCGTGTGGTCTCCTGTTTCTATAAGGAGGGACCTTCAGTGACTTTATAAAAATAAGCACCTGTCTTATTCTCCAGTTGCTTTCTAGCTAATTTTGGTCCCTTTTCTTTTGCCAGTTGCCAGAGGTTCCACCCTCTGAGGAGGAAGAACAGGAAGCCTGGGTGAATGCCTTGCTTGGAAGAATATTTTGGGACTTCTTAGGAGAGAAATACTGGTCTGATCTGGTGTCTAAGAAGATCCAAATGAAACTCAGCAAAATAAAGGTATCACTTTCCACACAAGAGGCTTCTAATCCTCTATACTTCTTCATTTCTGGAAATTTTGTACCCTTATGTCCTAAGTGAAAAATAATTTGGTTTAAACGTATAACATATGAGGGTAGTAAGTTCTCAAACAGCACATCTGACCTTGATCACAGACTGACCTTATGATTAATTGCATCTGGGGGCTTAGTGAACATTAATGTTTACTCATTTTCTTGTGTTGCCCTCATTGTTATCCACTCCAGGTGATAATCCAGAATTTAGTTTGGGAAAATGTGAGCTCTTATAACCGATTCGTCTTATATAATTGTTATTTTTAAGTTGGAAATGAACTTAAATTGTACATCCAGAGCCCACCCAGCCCCACAGCAGTCTAGGCCACATGGTATATCCTCTGAGGAAAATACAAATTACTTAAGGCCTCTTAGTATACTCACTGAAGAAAATGCTAGACTACTTAAGGCCTCTTAGTATACTGACTGAGGAAAACACCAGACTACTTAAGGCCTCTTTCCCAGGCTGTGCTCCCTCTCAAGCTGGGAAAGTTAGCATTGCACTTTAAATGTGTCTGTGTTTGACCTTTACTTTTTGGCCAGATGGTACTTTATTTTGGGCTCTCTCCTGAAGAAACACTCTGGTGCTAATCCAGGGCCAGTTGGAAGTGAGTTTGAACTGTGTAAGTATGGCTGTCATTAAAAGACTCATTTGCCAACCAGGAGACCTTATTGAGGATCTTGAGGTTCTTTAAAATTAACTTTTTGACCCAGTGAAGACCCAGCCAAGAAGAGTCACTTTGGATCCCAAATTTTCACTGAACAGTCAGTAGCTTAAGTCAGTAGCCCTGAAGTTGTATGGATCAGAGACATTTTTGAGAAGCAGAAGCCTATGATATCCTTTCACTAGAAAAACACGTTGACACAAAATTTTGCCCATTATTTCAGAAAGTTCAAGGACTCTAGATTAAGAAACTGTGAACTACGGTAAACTAGATTAGAAGGAAAATATGGGCATAGAGGAGCTTCAGGTTGATTTCTTTTGTTCCTTTGGGTAAAGAACAGAGCTTTTCCTGGCCTTGTCAAGCTCTGGCTGCTGTCTGTGGGCCAGTGTCCCTTCTTCCCCAGCTCCTGAGAAAGAGGAAGGAGGGGCTGCCTTCTGAGCCAGAAGGGTGGATTTCAAGGCAGATTTTGGGGGAGGGCTCTGTTGACAGGTGTCAGCCTGTTTGTGTTCCTGAGGTAGTTTGAGGGTTGAACGTGCTTCTGCTAGCCAGTTCCATAGCAGGAGACAACAAGTAGCAGTAACCCTCTGTGTTGGGAGATGCAGTGTCAGCAGCCAACCTAGAGCTCACTCAGCCTCTCCCCATTTTTGGAAATGATGGAAGGCTTGAGTTCCCAGGTCAAGGCATATGGGTAGGGCTGGCCCTGCTCTTTTCCCAGGGTCTATCTCGAGCCCTTCTGTAAGCAAGAGGGGCCCTTCCCTGAGCAGCAGGGCTGCAGTTCTTGGCAGTGTGCAAAAAGAAAGCAGGACATACTTGAACTCCAGGTGGGATGCTGCTCCCCTGCTACATGCATTCCAAAGCTGACTTGAGCCAGGAGTGCTGGTGCACACCTGTGGTCCCAGATACTTGGGTTGCAGAGGCAAGAGGATGACTTGAACCCAGGAGTTCTGAGCTATGATCGCACCACCAAACTCCAGCCTGGGTGACAGAGCAAGACTCTCATCTCTAAAAACAACAACAACACCAACAAAACCAAACTGGTTTGAGAGGTCCCACCCTTCTCTCTTGAGCTGGAAGTCCACAGAGCCTCTGCCCTATTTGTGAAGGTGCCCCCGTCCTCCTGGAGAAAGTTGAGGGAAAGTCTGTTTTCATTTTCTCCCGTTGATAATCATGGAGGCACTGGTAGTTCACAGACTTAAACTTCCTTTTGTTTTTTGAGGTCAGAAGTACTAAAAGGTTAGAATGGAGAAGTGTGGCCTAGATCCAGCAGTGCCAGAGGCTAGAGGTGGGCATTGTGTTCCCTCAGTGTGTTCCATCCATACCCTCCACCCGCCTCCTGATCTGCTGCACTGTGAAGTGCCTGCAGACCAGAGGAGCCCCTGGTTACAGAATAAACAGGAAAGCAGAAGGACATTACCAAATTCTGAAGCTGTCACCGCCCCTACGAAAAGAACTGATTGCCACCAAATATCCAAGTACCCCTGGGAGGAACTAAGCCTTAAGCCTAGTAGTGAGTGGGTATTGGTTAATAGCCAGTCAAGAGCCAAAATGGGAATAGGGAAGTGGTATCTAGAGGAGCCTGAGCTTTCCCCTGTGACACAGATCTCCCTGATCCCCTGGTTTCCCTGGAAGGCCTGACATATGGAGAACTCTTTGCTGGCCTTGCCCTGTAGTCTCGGATTGTCAGCCTTGCACATGATCATGACTCATGTTGTGAAAAAGCAGCCCTGTGTGTGCAACTGGTGCCCAGTGATGGGTTTAAAACAAGCTGAGTTTCTGCCCCAGTAGTAAGTGTGCTCTTGGCCTTAGCCAGCTGCTCAGATAACCGCCCTAGGGCCCTCAGTGGTTATGAGCCTCTTGTGCCTGTGTCAGCAAATGTTGCTGAGATCGCATACAGCTTCTAACTTAGCACCCACCAGCCTGAGAACGTCCCATACCCTTGAATGCCTAGTCCCTAATTGGGTTTACTCCAGAGGGTAAAGAATGTGCCCCTGGATTTCTGTCTCACTGTGGTACCCTTTGGGTGGGAAGAAAACAGTTTATTGTCGAAAAGAACAGGAGGAATGACCTTAACAGAAGAAGGCTGCTCAAGGGCAGGGATGTGAACTAGGAGGGGAGTATATGAGTGCTGGAGGGTTGGTTATAGATGTTCTGGGGTCTTCGGGTTGGATAGATGGGCAAATAAATAGGAAACCAGGCCCTCTGATCTCCCCTCCCCATTCTGCTTACTAGTAGGTAGACACCTTCCCCTGCCAAGTCCTCCTCAGTCCCCAGGTCCTTCAGGTCCCTCCTTTGTCTCAGGTCCTGTCTCAGGTCCTTCCTTTGCCTTTGCAGGGACTAGAGGTTGCAGAATGGCAGGTAGTGGTTGACAGGGGAAGAGAAGGGACAGTTATGTTCCTGCTGTCTCTTTATTCACTCCTGTGGCTCAGTGTCAGACTGACATTCCCATAGAAACACCGTTGGATGTCTGGGCATGGTGGCTTATGCCTGTAATCCAGCACTTCGGGAGGCCGAAGTGGAGGAAATCTTGAGCCCAGTAGTTTGAGACCAGACTAGGCAACATAGTAAGACCCTGTCTCTACAAAAAAAAAAAATTATCCAAGCGTGGTAGTGGTACATGCCTATAGTCCCAGCTACTCAGAAGGTTGAGGTGGGAGGATCGCTTCACCCCAGGAGGCTGTGGCTTCAGTGAGCCATGATTGCACCACTGCACTCCAGCCTGAGTGACAGAGCGAAATCCTGTTTCAAAAAAAAAAAGAAAAGAAACACCATTGGAGGTGACAGTATTCCCTGGCTCACCCTTGGAAGTCTCTCTAACTTGGCATGCTCCTGAAGCACAGCATTTGAATGACAGTAGTGGACAAAAAGGACAGGGCAATTGTGCAAGACTTTGGTTACATTCTTAGCCAAGTAGCATTTTATAGGTTGGTAGAGAGGCCAATACCACTTATAACATTGATGCTTTGGAAAAAGGTTCTCCAAATATAGCAAACACCAATTCAAAACTATGCCTTTGAACACTGTCTACTCACGTTTTGTTCGTCATAGACATTATAACCTTTTTAACATCCCCTCCACAAAAAATCAGAGATTACATTCTCTGATTGGTGAATCCTGAAAGCTTATGTTTCTCTGCAGGGAAACAGCTGAAGAGGTCCAGCCAAGTTAGGTATTAAATTCATGCCTGACTAGATGCTACCTCATTTTATGTGGAATATTTAGTTTACATTTAATTTTTAAAAACCTCTTAATTTTATTCTAAATTTTATAAAACTATTGTAACATTCAACTGGAAAAATACTTATGAAAATAACTAAGAGAATTCTGGGAGAAAAAAAAAGGAGAGGGACTTGCCAGATTTAAAAGTATATTATAAAGTTAAAAGTGTATTATAAAGCTAAAATATATTATAAAGCTAAAGTAGTCAAAGCAGTTTGATACTGGTAGAAATTCAGTACAGACTCCAGTGCAGTGGGAATTTAGCACTTAAAGATGGCGGAACAGATTAGTAGGGCAAGTGTTGGTTGCTGAATAAATAGGTCGAGATTGCTGACCAACCATTTGGGGGAAAAATTACACTAGATCCCTAATTTACATCTTACATTAAAATTATGAATGGAATAAATATTTTAAGAAATACATATACATCCACAAATCCAAGCAGAGAAAATATAGATGAATTAATTCTATAATCTTGAGATGAAGTAGGAATTTTTAAACATGATGCCAGTATTCTTATGTTATTTCCTGTAGAATAAATTCCTACGGATAGATTTGGGGGTGTGTATTAGTCAGGGTCCCAGCAGGAAGCAGATGGCACACTCAGATAAGTAACTCTGGGGAGAGTTTGCTGAAGGGAAGATTTATAAAGGTGTGGGCAGATGGAGAAAAACTCGTAGGGAGAGTGCTACACTCCAGAACTAGCAGAAGTGGGAGCTGTTACTCTCTCTGGAGCAGCAAAGGCAAGGAGAACTTGGACAGGGCAGCTGTGTGGAGAGGCTTCCTGTGTTACAGGAGCTGTGGCCTTCAGTAGATGGGGGGGACAAATGCCCAACACTCTTCTCCGTGTGCCTCCCCATCAACTGCCCATTGGTGTATCCCATTGGCCATGCCCAACCAGAAGCTGGAGGGTAAAAGAGACCGTTGGCACAGTTCACGCAGACCAACCACTGGGGATAGAGTGTAGATCTGGCAGGGCAAACAGAAAATGTTCAGCATGAGATCAAAGGATGTGCTATTTTTCTTTTTTTTTTTTTTGAGACGGATTCTCGCTCTGTCACCCAGGCTGGAGTGCAGTGGTGCGATCTTGGCTTGCTGCAACCTCCACCTCTCAGGTTCAAGCAATTCTCCTGCCTCAGCCTCCTGAGTAGCTGGGACTACAGGCACGTGCCACCACACCCGGCTAATTTTTTGTATATTTAGTAGAGACGGGTTTCACCGTGTTAGCCAGGATGGTCTCAATCTCTTGACCTCGTGATCCGCCCACCTCGGCCTCCCAAAGTGCTGGGATTACAGGCGTGAGCCACTGCGCCTGGCCAGCATGTGCTGTTTTTCAAGGATTTTCATACACATGTAAGTTTGCCTATCGGAAATGTAGCAATTTCTCTTCTTTTCTTTTTTTTTTTTTTTTGACGCAGAGTCTCGCTCTGTCCTCCAGGCTGGGGTGCAGTGGCACATTCTCAGCTCACCGCAACCTCTGCCCCCAGGTTCAAGTGATCCTCCCACCTCAGCCTCTCCGAGTAGCTGGGACTACAAGTGCATGCCACCTTGCCTGGTGGATTTTTGTATTTTTTGGTAGAGTTGGGGTTTCACCATGTTGGCCAGGCTGGTCTCGAACTCCTGACCTCAAGTGATCCATCCACCTTGGCCTCCCAAAGTGTTGGGATTACAGACATGAGCCACCGCACCTGACCTTGTTGTAGCAGTTTCTTACTACCCACTGAGAGTCTGAGAGAGGTCTGTTTTCCCATACTTCAGCAAATGTGGGGTACTGTTAACCAGCATGGCTGGCTCCTTCTCCATAGGTGGCCTCTGCTCAAATGCCACTCCTCAGGGAAGCCATCCCTGACCTCCTCAGCCAAAACAGCCACCCCCGTGTTCCCTCTGCCCATTACCTGCTTGATGTTCTTTGCAGCACTAATCACTCTCTGGAAGTATATTGTCTATGTATTTACCTGTTTCTGCCTTTCTATTATAAACCCCGTGAGAGCCAGGCCCTGGCCTGACCTCTTCATGGCTCTGTCTGGAGTACGAAGCCTAGTACATGATGTGTGCACATTACGTTTTCGTTACATAAATGATATGTCCCCAAAACCTTGGCCACCATCCTCTCCGGAAGCATGTTGACTTGCAACAGCATGTTTTGTAGGTTGCTCATGGGTCTCACTCATTGTTTGCTTGTTTCCTCTAGCTCCCCTACTTTATGAATGAGCTCACTCTGACGGAACTTGACATGGGCGTGGCTGTGCCAAAAATCCTCCAGGCCTTCAAGCCTTACGTTGATCACCAAGGTAACTCCTAACTGACCATTCTATGAGTGTTAAAATATATCCTTTGCTGCAGATTCAGTACCATGATGGCTTTGTGTTTGGAGGGTGTTGAGGACTTTTTAAATCATCTGTTTCATGTTGAGTGTCTTTCTGTTCTTACCAGTCATGGCCTTAAAACTGATTTGGGGCCGGGCATGGTGGCTTACGCCTGTAATCCCAGCATTTTGGGAGGCCAAGGCAGGCGGATCACCTGAGGTCAGGAATTCGAGGCCAGCCTGGCCAACATGGCAAAACACCGTCTCTACTAAAAAAGTACAAAAATTAGTCGGGCGTGGTGGCGGGTGCCTGTAATCCCAGCTACTCAGGAGGCTGAGGCAGGAGAATCGCTTGAACCCAGGAGACGGAGGTTGCAGTGAGCCAAGATCGTGCCACTGGACTCCAGCCTGGATGACAAGAGCGAGACTCTGTCTCACAAAAAAAAAAAAAAAAAAAAAAAAAGATTTGGAATAGATCCAAGCTCCCATCCTAAGTCTTTTAGTCTCTTGGTTATTATAGGGCCTCCTCCAGCCCAGTGATGCACACATGCCAGCTGATGGGGCCTGTGCTTTTGTAGGGGTTGCAGCCCTTGCCAGGGCATGAGGCAGTGGCTGGATTTCAGTTCCGCTCACCTCTCATGGCCCTCACGGGTGCAGCTGCCCCAGCCCTAGCCGCTTGCCAGGAGCTGCCTCTCCTCACATGTGTTCACATCCTTACCTCTCCTGACTTGTAGGTTCCAGATTTTTTGACTTTCATGTCTTCTGTCTTTATGTTCCTTGCTACTCCTAGTAGGTGCTCAGTACATGTTTGAGAAATGAAGACGTACAGTATATTCAAAGGCAATATTTTGAGAGTAGGGCTCCTTGCTGGAGGAAAGTTCTCAGATTTGAGTTTTTAAACATGTTACTAAGACATTATTTATGTCTGCTTTTGTGGGTGGGGGGTTAAAGAGTTGATCAGATTGTAGAGAGTTTGTGTAACATGATGATGATGATGATGTAAGGATTTGTATCTCTTATGTCACATAAACCATAAATACGGTTTTAAAAGGATCTTGACAGGGAAAATTTAGTACACAGGAGTTTGGTAAAAAAAGAGGAATGAGCCAGGTAGGCCAGAATAGCCCATTAGCATGCAGAGAGAATTCTCACTGACGTTTTTACTGTAGCCTCCCTTGGCAAGTGAGCCTCTTTCCACTTCAACCATATTTACATTTTTCCTAAAATGGCTTAGGAACAAGGTAGGAGAAAAACTAATTATAGCTTTTCAAGAGAGTGATAGTTGTTTTAAAGTAAATGTTTTATAAAATTTGTAGAGCATGGAAGCTACTTTTCTCTCTGGCTGTATCAGATGGTTCTTGAATTGTGTTTAGTGAAATCAGTTTTTCTGCTGTTGTGTACATTTGATGTAAATATGAAGAGATTTTTCTAGCACTATAGTTAGCAGCTCTAGCATATCTCTCCAGCAATATTTCAGTGGACAACCCATCCATGTTTTTCGCATCACATCAATTTCAGAGAAAGAAAGACCAGGGTAGTATTTGCACATCCAGAGAAGTCCATCTAATTCCTGCATGTTGAGCTCACCTGTAACCCCTCAATTATGTCTATACCTTGATGAATCTGGGTGTGTCTAGGTTTGGGAATTTCTGGTTCACTGAAAGTAAAAGTAGAAAACCTTTCAATTCTTGGCAAATGGCTGAACTAGAGTGTTTTTAACCCCATGCAAAATTGTAAAAGATGCATTGGCTGAGTGCGGTGGCTCACGCCTGTAATCCTAGCACTTTTAAAGGCCAAGGCAGGTAGATCACTTGAGACCAGGAGTTCAAGACCAGCCTGGCCAACGTGGTGAAACCCCGTCTCTACTAAAAATACAAAAGTCAGCCGGGCATGGTGGTGTGTGCCTGTAATCCCAGTGACTCAGTAGGCTGAGGCACAAGAATAGCTTGAACCCAGGAGGCAGAGGTTGCAATGAGCCAAGACTGTGCCTCTGCACTCCAGCCTGGGCGACAGAGCGAGACTCTGTCTTAAAAAAAAGAAAGAAAGAAAATAACAGAGCTTTAGAAATAAGATGAAGATGTAACCTCGGGCCCTAGCATCACCCTGGCCTGTAATCCCAGCTACTCGGGAGTCTGAGGCCTGGGCAACAGAGCGAGAATCTGTCTCAAAAAAAAAAAAAAAAAGCACCATCTATGTGTTCACTGCATAGCTAGCTAGCATCTTCACTCCATCAGTGTACAGCTGCTACCTTTCTTCCTCTAACTCAGGTGGCCTCTCTATTCCTTTTTGCTCTTTGCCTCTTTAGAAATGTATAAGAAGCTGGTGAATGATCAGCTAACACAAACCTCATGTGAGGCTTAAAGAAACTAAATAATAAGTGTGCACGCTCTATTTTCTAATGTGTAAGCAGCCTCTTATCTCAGGACTGCCCTTTGCTGAATTTGTAGAAATTTCCGAGGAGAGGGGAGCAGGGCCACAACCAGGCCCCTGTGGCTTTGAACTCTGCAGCCTCTCAGGGCAGCTTTGGTCAGGCTTTGAGTAAAATTCACCAAACACCTAAGTGTCAAGCTTCTTAACTGTTCTTCTAGAGCAGGAGCTATGGTGAGATATTTCACTATATAGATCAAAGCTTTGCCAGTTTTTAATCCATTTGAGGCTATTTAACTCCTTTCAGGGTACGTTTTTAGAGACTTGCCTGCTTGTGTAACAAGGGAGAAAATGGTATTAAAGGAACGATAAAGACATAAAGCCAGTGGGGTTTTCAAAGTTTGATCAAATCAGGTTTTTCCAAGTCCACAAATGATGCATGTATGATGATAAAACAGAAATGACCGTGAAAGAAATAAATAAGCATTTTGGATTCCAGTGCTCTACGGGGGAATCTTTCCTTTTAGTGAAATTTGAATCTGGGTGACAAGCAAACTGACTCTGAAAAGCAGAGCTCACCTTCCAGGGAAATGCGACCCAGGTGAAGGAGGCCTTCACAGCTCTAAGGAGCGCCACCTCCTATGGGATCCCCTCACATTCTTTTTAAAAATATTTCCTGGCTTGTGCTTGTTTGTTGGAGGAATATGTTCAGAAGGGATATTTTGGCCACAACTGGTTGGATTATCCCATCCTAGGGATGCTCTTCTTGAGGCAAGAGGCAGCACTGGTTTTGAGCACCAGCTCTGGACCCGACTACCTGGTCCACAGCTTCGTGGCCTCAGGCAAACCCCTGAACCACTTCACTTCCTCATCTCTCAAATAGGGATTCTTTTTTTTTTGAGATGGAGTTTCACTCTTGTCGTCCAGCCTGGAGTGCAGTGGCATGATCTCAACTCACTGCAACCTCCACCTCCTGGGTTCAAGTGATTCTCCTGTCTCAGCCTCCCAAGTAGCTGGGATTACAGGCACCTGCCACCATGACTGGCTAATTTTTATATTTTTAGTAGAGAGGGGGTTTCTCCCTGTTGGCCAGTCTGGTCTTGAACTCCTGACCTCAGGTGATCCACCCACCTCAGCCTCTCAAAGTGCTGGGATTACATGCATGAGCCACTGCGCCCAGCTCAAACAGGGATTCTTACAGCACCTACTTCATAAGCTTGTCGTGAGGATTAAATGAGTCAATACAAAAAAGGCACTAGAACAGCATCTGGAGCAAGGAGGAGCTCTATGCATGTCAACTAAGGATTGTTATTATCATGGCTGCCTGGATGCTGCTGTTAGGGCATTTAGCATGGAGGCGGCCATAGTGTCCAGTTGACCATCCTACAGATCAAAGCTGGCAGATCCTACTAGGATAAACAAAAACAAAACAAAACAAAACAAAATGGCATTCTCAGCTTTCATGGCCTTGCTGCTGTAAGAAGTCAAGTCTGTGGTTCTTCTGAATGAAATCGCACACAATGGCCATGTTGGCTTGTCCCTGTTCCAACACACACAACCTGTCTCAAGTGAATTGAATGAGGTTAAATGACCACCTTTTCCAGAGCAGCCTCACTTCCCACCAAAGGCAGATGGCTGGACGATAGGCAAGCTGTGTCCCTTAGAAACTGGCTGTGCTCCTCCTGCCTCAGCTCTGACGCCTCCTCACTCCACACACACCCTGGAACTAGCTGCTCTACCTGTGGGATATATATGGATTTCCTTTCTTTCCTTTAGGCCACACAGCAAGGTCCAGAAACCTGTGTATGTTACCCTTCCCCCACCAGACTGGCCTCCTCTACCCAGCCCTCATCCCTACCCTGGGCTGCCACCTCCAGGGCCTGCCACTCAGCCAAACTCTTTCCAGTCATTTTATTAACTCCATTAGGGTAATGTTTGTTCATTCATTCAACAAATACTCATTGTGGGAAAAACAGAAATATTCAGGAAAGGTAAAAAGGAAAATATTACCCATCATCCCACCATTCAGAGATAACCAGGGTTACCTTTTTAGTACATTTTTGGTATATGCTCTCCAAATCTTTTTTCTTATGGCTAAAAATTTAGAAAACATAGCTCTTTTTCAAAACCCTTGAAGAACTGGGAAGACTTGAAAGGGCAGTCAGATTGCCTCAATCCACCCTGCCATGTGTGTATGAGCCAAAGCCCAGAGAGGGGTGACTTGCCCGGGTCAGCAGCAGCCTCACACTTCCAACCTGTTTCATGGAGTCTAGGCCCCATCAGAGGCTGCCCATGAGCACTGGCTCTACAGCCAGGTCACCTGTGTTTGGGTCCTGCTCGTACACCATTCAGCGGTACAACTGTGGGGAAGCCACTAACCACTCTATACCTCAGTTTCCTCATCCTTCAAGTGCTGATGGCAGTCCTGCCCGCCTCGTTTGGGTGTGGTAGAGATGCAGTGTTACGTGTAAAGCACTCGGAGCACGTGGCACGTAGTAAGCATCAGTGTTAGCTGCTGCTCTCCGGCCACTGTGTTAGTATTAATAAAATCATCCTGAAGAGGCTGGGTGGGGGCCGCTTCTGTCAGCAGGTTTTTATCTTCTGTGCCTGAGTCCAGCGGTTTCAGAACAGGTGCCCACAGGTGTGTCAGCAGCGTCAGAATGATCCAAGGATGCAGACCACAACCCCTCAGGCTTAGATGAATTCATTTAGTCTTCGGGATGTTTGCAACATGAATTTAAAACTGCAAATAGCCACTGAGTGTCCACACAGACAGAGGACCCGACTGGGTTTTGCCTTGTTTTCAAGATACCAAATAACAGCCCAAATTTAGACTGAATGTCTCAGATTCTATGGAAATATTACCATGTCCCACAGAAATAGAAACCTTGTCTGTCTCCAGAGCTGCCCTTAGTCATCTGGACTGATATTCCAGACCTTAACCCACGTGCCTGGTGCCTTCACATCCAGTGTTCCAGACTGGATCCTACCAGGATCCACTACCTGTGTGCCTGGTGCCTTCACATCCAGTGTTGGGAGTGATGCTACTTTGCCACCTGAGTAATGACAGAAAACTGGAGCCAGAGTCAGTCATGACTTGCCCACTCCTCCTGCCACACGTGCTTCAAGAGTGACATCAGAGGGCAGCTACAGCCACTGGGGCTGCCTGGGCCTGAGCACCAAGGCAGGGCCATACTCTAGCACGTGGGGCTGATAGGAGTGGCTCTGACCAGACTGTGCTACGGGAAGAAAAACACTTAGTGTGGAAAGGGCTTAGTGTGGGAAGGGGAAATCATACCTCTTGTGGAACATGGGTCGGGTGGGGGACAGGGGACCCTGATTTGCAGCTTGTCAACCTTGAAGGGGTGGAGCTCTATTTCAGAGGACAGTTACAGGTAGATAAGGCTAAAAATGATGTCTATCATCAAAGACACATCCACACACAAGGAATTGCTAATTTTCTGTAGTATCTGAATGAGCAATATGGCACCAGTCTCTTTGCCAGGAGCACAACAGTCACTGGTGTGTTCTTCCCAGAGCTGAATAACTCCAACATCTGTTCTTGATAATGTTATCAAATGTTCCATTTTAAGAAGTTTTGTTCTTTGGATGCCAAATATTGACTTTCAGAGTGAAATCAGCTGTTAATAGTTACAGGTAGAAGGAAATGGAGGAGAAAATAACGTGAGGACCAAGTTCAGGTGTGCAGGGTTTTGGTTCCCTTAACTACTCCCAAGCAGCAGGTGCCCTCTCAAGCCTACTCCAGTGAGACAGATGCCTAAATAGTAATAAAACAGTGAACTGCTGTGTGAGATTATTAGATTCACATGGCCACGGGAGGACTGAGGCCATGGGGTCTGTTAACTGGAAAACCAGGCCGAAGGCAGAAGAGCCTCTTGTGGTTGTGGCCACCCCTTATCTGTGGGGACATACGCCAAGGCATTTTATGATACCAACTGGCATCATGGTCTGAGCTGCAGCAGCTGGCCTAGGCCACTTTTATTTTTCTTCAAACATACACTTCCTGAGGGCAGGGGTTCATCTCAGTGCTTTTGGCTCTGATATTGTACATTAAGAACGCATACACGCTTTTTGGTGGAATAAGCTGTAATTTTTGCCACAGTGTCTCTGTGTAGTGGTGGTAGTGGTAATTGATCCTGCCGCTGTGAAACTGAAGAGTGGAAAAACAGCATCTGAGCTCCTTCCAGGTCCTTGTACACAGACTAAGTCTTACTACATTGTCACTCGTGTTGCTGCATGAAGTGCCAGGGTTTTTTTTTTTTTTCTTCTTCTTCTTTTGAGACAGAGGCTAGAGTGCAGTAGGGCGATCGCGGCTCACTGCAACCTCTGCCCCCCAGGCTCAAGCCATTCTCGTGCCTCAGCGTACCTAGCAGCTGGGACTACAGGTGCGCACCACCATGCCTAGCTAATTTGTGTATTTTTAGTAGAGACGAGGTTTCACCATGATGGCCAGGCTGGTCTTGAACTCCTGGCCTCAAGTGATCCGCCTGCCTCAGCCTCCCAAAGTGCTGGGATTACAGGCGTGAGACACTGTGCCCAGCCTGAAGTGCCAGTTTTATAGGGGCTCGTTAATAATCGGGTGCCACTGGTTACCACTGGACAACCTCTCAACATGATGTGGAATAGACCCTTCGTATGCGTGCCTCCAGCCCCCTTTCCCAGAGAACCTCTCAGGACTGCCTGCTTACTCCTATTTAAAGGCATCAAAGATTATCCCACTCCTCAATTTCTGGTTTTGTTCTTGAGCACCAGCCAGGGCACATGGTTATAGAAAGTATTTTCAGTGAAATGCCTACAGCTAAGTCTTAACCATTTGTCAAGACTACAAAAGAAAGGGCCCTGTAACCGCATTCCTCTAGATTAAGTAGCATTTAGCTGGGTTACAGTGGAAGATGGTGCTCATGGGGCAGTGTATGTCCCCGTGTGCTCATTGTTGCTATGTTAGTCCCCAAGGGGAAGACAACCTTTCTAGTAACTGTGAATTTCATCTTTCAGTCTTGCAAGGCAGGGGCCTCCTGACTCACCTGTCACGTAACCGGTTGGTCTTTGCTCCAAGTTTTGGGAGTTGCCCGTGTCCCCAGGTTTTCAGGTCACGTTCTGCCTGCTGAATCATTGTTACAAAAGCAAATTTCTCCTACACTTAATGCTAAAATAGTCTTCTTACCCTCATCTGAATGCAAGCACATCATATTAGAGTCATTTGTTGGAATATTTATTTACCATTCATGTCTGCTTTTAAAAGTTCTTAAACCATTCCAGGCCAGGTGCAGTGGCTCACACCTCCCAAAGTAATCCCAGCACTTTGGGAGGCCAAGGCAGGTGGATCACTTGAGCTCAGGAGTTTGAAATCACCCTGGGCAATATGGCAAAACCCCATCTCTACCAAAAATAAAATATATATATATGTTAGCCGGGCATGGTGGCGGACCCCTGTGGTCCCAGCTACTCAGGAGGCTGTGGTGGGAGGATCACTTGAGCCTGGGAGGCGGAGGTTGCAGTCAGCCAAGATCGTACCAGGTGGCACTCCAGCCTGGGTGAGAGTGAGACCCCATCTCAGGGAAGAAAAAAGTTCTTAAAGCATTCTTGACTCTTTCATATTTTTATGAGTGCCAGGGCTGAGCAGGGCCCTGTGAGTGGGTCTCATGAGGTATATTCAGTGTTTAAAACAGACCCCTCACCCAGGCAGAGGCTCAGTCAGATGCCCAAGCCTCATCCTCAGATATCAGGCTCCATGGCTGACCAGTACAGCCTCTTCCCTGGCAACAGCAGCAAGGGAGACAGAGCAAGAAGTAAGGGTGGGCTGGTGAATGCAGAAAAAGGGAGGCTGCCTGGTCAGACTGTGCCAGGTGCCAGGGTGTACACAGCTCTCCCTGAAAGAGGCAGTATAGGTCTCCTTGGTGCAGACAAAGGTACTGATGGCACAGAAGTGAAGAAACTTCCAGTGAAACACAAGCCCCAATCTATGTGACTGGGCTCCTTGCTCTTCCCTGGGCCTTCCTCCACCTCCCAGCTCCTGGCAGGGACGCTGGACCACACATCATTTGGTAGAATGTCCCCGTGACTGGGCATGAGCCAGCAGTTTACTAAGCCTAAATCCATATATCTTCATTTAAAAAACAGACTAGCAAAACTTTCCATTTTGTAAGAAGTATAATTCTGGTGCCTTTAATATGTCCATTTTCAAAGGCAACGCATACTATTAATATTTATTAGAAACTTGACTAGAATTTTCAAAAGAAACGATTATGTTTGGATGTATATAGTAACTAGGTAGTTTGAATATTAATTTTCAAAGCTGGAAATACTATACAACAATAAATATCTCCTTTATTGTTGTTCTTTTACATTGAGTTTAAATCTATTAATATTAGCCTTTTGCTCTAATCCCCTTTCTCCTGAAGTGATTAAAAACTAAATGTCTTTATTAAAGCAGATATACCCTTTATTTCCAGTAATAGTACCTTTGAAGAGCAAGCTAATTAATTCTTTCTAACTGCTTAATGTAAACAAGAAATACAACAGTTTTGTGAGTATTGCTGCAAAGAAGATAATCACAATTGATCTCCATATCACTTAATTAAACCAGGTCATTCATGGAAAATAATTACCTTCCATTATGGTAAAAAGAATTTGTTGAAAACAAAATGGAAATCATCCTGCCTTTAGTGAGGAATGACACCATTAGTGCTGGGTGGGGTTAAGCAGTGGTTTTATCTGAGGTGGTGGCCGTGTAGGGGATGGGCTGTTTACTGTAATTGCTTGAAAACAATGCTGTATGTGAACGATGGTTTTAGATTAATTTCCTGCTTCCTTTTAGATGTCATTTGTCATGTGAGGATCTATAAAAGTTTATTAACATTTAAACACCCACTTAAAGGATCACATTTTGATAGAAAGTCCATGAGGTCTTCTGGAGCCCCGAGTCTGAAAAATCACAGAAAAATACTTGACAAATCATAGAATCCTCAAGTAGAAGAGGGTCATGAGATAAACCCTGTTTGCATTTTAAACCACTGAACAGCGGCCATTGCAGTAAAATTCCATGAAGCTACAAGCCTTTTAGATATGATCTCATTGGCATAGTATCTTTCCTAAGGAGCTGATTTTTAGCCTAAGGTACAAAGTGATTATGCAATTGTATCTGGATAATCCTGGGAATTGAAAGTTAATTCTTTGGTTCCCATCAGTGGGCAGTTTCCAGAAAGAAAGGAAGGTCTTAAACGTTTTTGTCACTCTTCCTGTTAAATCTGAGCCATTTTCTGTGTCCCACTCCCAATACTGGAGAATTTTAAGAAAGACAGCGGTTCTCATATGTGTCTTTAAAGAACAACCCAGCTTACAGAGAAGTCTTAGCACTTCCCTTGTGCCTCGTAACTGGCTGGGCATCAGCATGCCTTGTCCTGGCTTTGCCCTGGGTCAAGCCATTTTCTTCCGCTAGGCATATGTCTTCTTACTAAATACAAGGAGATTTTAGAAGCCAGAGGATGGGACCCTTCCAATGCTGACTTGTGCACTGAATTCCCCAGGATCCTGTGAATGGGTCCTCAGATGCTGGCTGTTTACCAGGGGCTCGATGTATTCCATGACCTGTTCTCGTGTGTGTCGATGGCACAATGTGCTCTCAGTCCTCTTCTCAACTAGAGTAGTAGACGATACATGGACTTTCAGTATGGTGCCTATTTAGATATTTTTAAATGTAAGTCATTTATAGTCATGTGTTTTTTTGAGGGAAAAAAACCTTCTGTTTTTTCACCATTTCTCCAGGACTCTGGATTGATTTGGAAATGTCCTACAATGGGTCCTTTCTGATGACTCTCGAGACCAAAATGAATTTGACCAAACTAGGTAAAGAGCCTCTTGTTGAAGCCCTGAAGGTTGGAGAAATTGGCAAAGAAGGGTAAGGGGCTATATATGAATTTACTAATCCAATCCTGGGGCACCAGCTTCTCCCTCCAGCCTTTGAGAAGCAGATTTGATGTGTAGTGGCCCCTGGATGTTGAGTGAGCTTCTGTGTAAGTGCTCCTGGACCAGAGCATTTCAGGGAATGGTTTCCTAGTCTCATCCCCAGTGGCCTGTGAGTTCCCAACCCAGCTCAGCTGTGACAGCGCCTTTGACCTCAGTGCTGGTGGTGGTACACATGGAATTGATTACCCAGAAAACATCACTGACTCAGACAAGCAGGGCAGACTCATCCGAGCAATAAAATGATCCTCGAATAGAATCATGAAGATCCTTCCGGTCATAAACAGCAATATGTGGAGCAGGCTGAATCTACCTGCTTTAATCACAAAGTCAGAATTATTTATAATTAGATGATTGATTTTGTAGCACAGAGGGTGCTCCTAAAAGTGTTTTGAGAAGCATTTTCCCTAAATAATACAATATTGACTTGCGTAGTAAATCCCTCTCTTTGTAGATAGTGTATCTGCTGCCTAGGGTTTGTCTGATTTAGTAAATATTCCAAAATTGTGAGGTAACTCATGAAGCTTAATTTTTTTCCCTCTTAAATGCCTAGAATAGATAAACTGGAACTTTTACATCCTATTCTCCTTAAAATTACTGCTTTGACTATAAATTTAAATTATATTATTGTTTTTACCAAATTAAAAATGTTGACTAGAGGCTACTTCTCACATCTTTAGCCCTTTGCATGGAATCAACAGTATGATGACATGAAAATGTCACAAGGAGCTACCTCCATGGGGTCTAAATATAAGATACTGGCTCTTAGACTTTTGCTTGGTTCTGGTACTGACCTAATGCTTTTATTCATGCTTGTGGTAGTAGCAGATTGGGGGAGCTGGGTTATGCATTGGAGAATATTCTTTTACTTAGATTATTCTGATTTATTCAAGTTACTTAATGAAATGTTTCTATTTTAATAATTGGAGAATTTTACCAGCTATATGCAATCTAACCGGTGTCTGTGCTATTTTCCTTTCATTTTTCTATTTGTTAAAATATGTTTGGATTCGGCAATCTGTGGATTTATATTTTCTGGTGAGTGTGGTATTTATCAACTCTCCACATAGCATTTCATACCCTGTAACTTCTGAGTCTTGTTCGGTCCCATGTGAAACCATGAGGAAACCTGTCTTTTCATCACGTTCTTGGACATAAAGGCATCACGTTCTTGGACATAAAAGCCTGAGAGAACCGACACCAGGAGTAGTTAAGAGGCTTTCCTGACAGGGAAAGTCTTATAGACTTCCCCAATTTGAATTGCTGGAGTCCTGATCTAGTCAGACTCAATTCCTTGTCCTGCTGTCCCCACCCCACCCCCACGCATAGCTGAGCACATTAAATCTAGCTCATGACGACAGAGTTGCAGAACCAGCTGCCTAGAAAATGAAGCACCTGAAGCAGAAGCAGTCTTGAAAATGAGATCTAATAAAAAGGGAGTGTGGCAGAGCAACCTCAGGCAGATGCGTTTGTGCAAGGAGCCCTTTCTAGAAACAGCACCATGTGGGCACAGGGGCACAGGGACTCCATTGCAAAGGGGGTCTTGGGCACCGGGGGTGGCAACCAGGCCGGTCCCTGAGGTGCTTGCCACGTATGCGTCCACATTCACTGCTATTCATGCAGCCCTCGTAGCCCAGTTTCAAGTTCATAAACTCTGGCCGATCAGAGGGTGGACGTGTTTCTGGAAAGCTGTGCTTCTCTAGACTGAGTGAAAAAAAGATCCTCTGCTTTAGGAATGTGATGGTATTATATTTCACTTATATTTCTAAAGTACTATTTTTTTCTAGAACAGTCTGTTATAAAATGTTTTGCTTCTTCCTGTGAGGGTGTTAAATTATATGTTGATGTGTAGTTGGCTATCATTTGTTTTTAAAAGTAAGGAGGAATACAATCCAGCAGCACTTCATTTGGGAGAAAAAGGCCCAGAAAAATGGACCCTTACCCCTTTTTTCAGAAAGGACCCTTTCGGGAACCTGAGAGCACTGGGTCCTTCTTTCTGCAAATGCTTCCACATGCACCATTTGGCTCACAGTTTCTAGGAGCATTGTGAATCTCTGAAAGCCCATCCGTGGTTAAGAACCTAATCCCAGAAGTGATTCCAGAATCCACTTCACTTCCTCAGTCATGAGGTTTACGGAATCACCACGCGGCTTAGTAGCAGAGGAGGGACAGGGGTCAGCATACTTATTAGCTGTTTGAAGCGTGTGACCTTTGGAACTGACATCTTCCTTAATATTAAACCTCCAAAGCACGGAACATCTGAAGAATTGGCCAGCAGCAGCCCTTTCCTGCAGGCTCTCCCTGCAGCCCATGGCCACCTGTCCAGGGCTTCACTCCACATCAGGGTCTGCTCCCTGGTGTCCTGCCTGGCAGGGCCTCGGCTTCATCTCACTGCTTTTCTCAGTCCCTGTTCAAGTGTGCAAATGATTGTGCTTTTGCGGAGTCTCTGAGGAGATGCTGCTTAACCTGTGAGATGTCCTCCTTACTGGTAGGAAGTTTGTTCACCTTTAGTTAGCACCCTGAGGGTTAGACTGAGATTTTAACCTGTGTAGCTTTGCCCTAGCAAAGTCTCTTCCCTTTGAAATATGTGTCTGCTGTATTTTCATGGGCATTTTTCCTTTAGTCTTTTCCCAAATAGTCCTTTTGTCGCACACTGCAGGTAACATAACATACAACATTCAGATGGGATTGAGATAGTAACCTGAGCAGCCTCTGCTTTAGGAACTGCCCTGCAGAGGGCCAGAATGAGTTAGTTAAAGGGAGCGCTCTGCCTTTTGGGTGGCCTTTAAATGGAAAGTGGCATGGAAGTGAAGTGTTTCCTATAAGGCACTTGGCCTCTTCCTGCTCCACCACTGCAGTCTGGGCCCTTTGTACAAGTCCCCAAGTCAGAAGGTGGCCCCATCTGACCTCTTTTGGGTTACTAGTTCACATCTACCCCAAACTACCCATCTGCCCCCAGGCCCCTGGTGTTCTGGGCACTGAGTGCCTGCAGTTTACACTGTGACTCAGTCTAGTTTGTGGGTGTGTATGCACATGTGTGCCTGTGGCAGGTGTATAGAACTGATTTTCTCAAAAGAAAAATTAGTGCATTCTTGAGTGTGGTCTCCCTCAAAGCAAACATCTCACAGGGCTTCTTAATTTAATTATGCGTCTTCATTTAAAGCATTTTGGGGGCTTCTTTTTAGAATTGCCTCCACAGTCCGTGACATTCTTTTAGCTATCCTGAGTGACAGCAAATTGTCCTGCTTTGTAGATGGTTTGGACCTTTGAGAAATTGCTAGAAGTCATCAGAGGTGGTGGTCATTATGAGACCAAGAAATAAAATATTTGGTCTAAGAGTGTCAGTGATAAAATAATTCACTTTTTCTTATATATCTGACATTTCCAAAAGATTTTTGGCAGAAGGAACATAACTGGAATAAGCCTTTTAAGGTGTCTCTTTGAAAGGATACCACACTCATCTGGAATTCTGAGGTGTGTTTAAAACAAGTAGGCTAATTACATTCCAGCACGTCTTCTACAAGTAAGTGTGGTGTATCTTCCTCTGAAGTTCATGCTGAGGTCATAAAATGCATGTTCATTTATAAAAATGAATATCAGGCAAACACTGGGCTACACTTATAATTCCTAAGTATTGGGTGCCGCATAATACTGCCCCCAGCGCGGAGAGCAGAGGTACCACTCGGTCAAAATCAGATTTTCACATCATCTGATCAGCTTGAACTGGTACAGCATTACCTAAAGTGTTCACTTCAAGCCACAAAATTTGTCCTGTTCTGTGACCTGCAGAGGATTAACTCAGTAACCTGAGAGCTTGCCACAGCGCTCAGCCTCTGGCATCTTCTGCCCAGGGTTGGAGCTGCCAGATGATATGGCCCAGTGGGGACACAAGGAGCAGTGGCTCAGCAGATCTCACTGGGGTCCCAGAGCTTGCAGGCAGCCTTTTGTGCTTTGTGGGTGAGGAGCAGGCTCCCTGTGCTGTGGGGACAGATTTCACACCTGGCAGCATGAGGTCAGAGAGCCTCAGGCACTGCCATCCTACTGATGGAGAACTCTGATGCTCTTCTGAGAGGGGCGTGTGATCTTTGGGGATTTACATCTCTGACTTTCCTCACCCAAGACCCGGTTTAGGCTTTCATAGGAATTGAATTTTGCTATATACATTTTAAATATAAGATTCCTGTGAGGGCTGCCTAACCACAGCACACTCTGATATGGCTCTGCAGCCAGTGGATACACATAAGCATTTCCTGGACCAGCCAGGCCTCTGGTGGAAGGAGGAAGACTCAGTTACGTGCTGTCCCATGGCCAGGGACAAGAGGCTTTTGTTTCTGCAGAGGGAGTTTCCCTTTAATGTGGAAGTCCAGCCTGTTGGCTGGAGCACTGGCTCTAATGTTTCAGAGTGGGGGTAGGGAGGAGCTGTGTGTCCTGCCAGGGAGGACACAGTCCGGGTCCTCTTACAGCCGGCTCCTGTTTCCAGTGTAGAGGTTTCAGTCCTACCCTCCCAGTGCACAGGGCTGGGGCCACTGCCGGGCCTTCAGTTCCACACTGGCATGTGTGCTGTGCCCTTGGGTGCCTTTGGCTCCTGTTGGTCAGGCGATAACTGTCCCCGTGGGCCTCTGGTGGCCCAAGGACAGCATCAGGAAAACCAAAGGACTGCAGCTGCAGGGAGATAGGCCCTGAGCCCCACTGCCTTCCCTTGTCCATGTAACTGTGTCCTTGTCAAAAATACAATGACCAGCCTCTGCTTGGTGACCATTTGGTTGTGTAATAGTGTTCAGAGACTACTCTGTCCCTTGTTCATTTTGTCCCATTTAAGTCTCTGGGCTCAGACACAGCCCTGCCAGTACTTTCTGAAGCAAAGCCACGGTCCAGGGAGGAAGCTGCTTTCTATAGGCCCGAGGCTCAGCCCAGAAGCCCCCAGGTCCCCTCCGACGGGAACTGGACCCCTCACCTCTGCGGGTAATCCAGCAACCCCACACCTCTGGAACTGAGTATCTGCCCTGGAGAGCTGAGTGAGGGACACTGCTGTCCCATGAGGCTTTCCCTTACTTCAGTCAAAGGAATGGTCTTTAGACATGTATTTTTCCGGAAAATTTCCTGGGTTCTCATGTCAGTTGCTTCCTAGAGTCTCCTGAGACTTTTTGTGTGTGTGTGTGTATGTGGTTGTTGGCTTTTTCTGTGACCCTCAGGAGATAGGGCAGGTGTGGAGTGAAATACGTAATTTCACTGGAAAGGAGTCATGAGTCAAAACTCACTTGGAGGGTTACTAAGCCAGAAAGCATCAGAGTTGCTGAATTAAGCCAGAGCCAAGGGACTTGCCTCAACATCCCATCATCAGTGAGAAGTGGCCATGTCACCAGTATAAGCTGTCACCTCACTCTTGCAACCATCCGCTCTTTCTGTTCATCCTCCCGTGTGGCTCCGCTGCACTGCTGGTTGAAATCACTGCATTTTATGTGCGCATCACACTCCCACCTCCTGTCCTTCTGACGCATGCTCAAAAGCAACCTCTTCTGGGTCCAAGGCCTCTGTGGTCCTGTCAGAGGCCTTGGTGCTGAAGAGTGTCCTGAGCATCTGCGCTGATCCAAGGATTCTTGGATTGGGCCTCTTCTGGTTTGGGTGGGTTGGAGAGAATGACGAGATGTAGTTAACAGTTACATCCCGACCCTGTTGTGGTTGAGTGTGTGTGCATGGGTGTGTGTGTTCTCTTTCTAAGCAGAGCTTGGGTGAGGGCAGGCAGTGGTGGTGACTCTCTCTCTGTCCAGTTGCAGGCCCCGGGCATTCTGTCTGGCGGACAGCGATGAGGAATCCTCCAGCGCTGGCTCCTCCGAGGAAGACGATGCCCCAGAGCCCAGCGGGGGAGACAAACAGCTCCTCCCAGGGGCTGAAGGGTGAGTGGATCAGTGCTTCTGTGCCTCTGAGTCTCCAGGGATCAGGACAGCAAGTTGGGAGTGAACCTTGTTTCCCTTCCTTCCTCTGTGATCTTCCTTCCTCTTTAATGTTGAGTAGATGGTTTTTTTATTAATATCCCAGGTCAGTGGTCTGTTTAAATTCCAGGCAACCAAGCAAAAAGACCCATATAGCTTTCCTTACTAAAATGGCTTTCTGCTGCTGTTTGATTAAATAATAGAGAAGTTGAAGGGTGTGCTGATGATGAAAAGCATCTCCCTGAGCCTTCAGAAGGAACCGAGCATACACCCCCTCCCCCCGGAGAGCCTCCCTCCCCTCAGCTTCAGCTGGAGTGCATTTGCTTCTGTTGAGCTGCAAGTTCCTGCAAAGCAGAAACATTCAGATGATTTTCTTTGGCGAGTTTTGAAAGCGCTGATGACTGAGCTGATCTTTTGGATCATGAACTTCATTTGGAGGGGGTTACTCTTTCCCTGTTAACTTGGGCTGTGAAATGATCAAAGTGCTTAAATAGCCTATCCACAATGATCTTTTAATTACATAAAGTGAATTGAAGAAACTAAAAGAAGCCAAATAATTCAGAAACTTTTATAAGAAAAAACCAACCTATTCACTTTTGAAATCCTACAGGAGATGAGAATTCAGATGTTTGAGGAGTTGGTGCCAAAGTTTGTGTGTATTATTTACAGTCTAGCTGCTTGACCCTCTTAAGAATGATTGCTTTTCCCTGAACACATACTTTTCCTCATGTTCTGGAACTGTGGGGGATTTTAAAAAGCAAATATCCTTTCTTCTGAGTCTCATGGTACATGTGACCTGATACAACAGCTTATTTTCTTGGCCTGTGAGCACGTCAACTTGGTGTAGCATTTTGTTTGTTTGTTTGTTTTCTTGAGACAGCATCTTGCTCTGTCACCCAGGCCTGGAGTGCAGTGGCACGATCATAGCTCAATGCAGCCTCAACCTCCTGGGCTCAAGTGATCCTCCCATTTTAGCCTCCCGAGTAGCTGGGACTACAGATGCACACCACCACTCCTGGCTAATTTTCTGTTTGTTTTTTGTAGAGATGGGGGTCTCACTGTGTTGCCCAGGCTACATTTTTCTTTAAGAAGTTCCAAGCCCTTTGAAAAGTAATTGCCACTCAAGGTAGCCATGTGACACCACCTAAAGACAGTCCATTAATTACTGATTTATGTCCTATTGATGCAGCATGATTTGTTACTTGCTGCATGGAGATTATGAGATTGATATGTCATTGGATTTCTGTCTGGTATTGGAGTAGTATAAAGGAGGACAGGTGAGAAACCTCTGCATGAGGACTTTGTCCAGCTCTCCATTGTCAAGGTTTGGACTGTTTCAGACATTTACACCTTCTCTGAAGTAGTAGTTCTCAACTGGGGGTGATTTGGCCCCCCAGAGGACATTTGCCGATGTCTGGCAACATTTTTTATTGTCATAACTAGGGGGAGTGCTATTGGCATCTGGTAGGTAGAGACCAGGGATGCTGCTGAACACCCTGCAATGCACAGGATGCCCCCCGCCCCAACACAGAATCACCACATCCAAAACATCGAGTGGTGCTCTAAAGTAAGGGGAACGAAGAGCCACAGGTTTTTGTCTGTGAAAAGAGCAAAGTTTGTGCTAACCGCCCTTTGTGTTCCACATTTGAAGGTACGTTGGAGGTCATCGAACAAGTAAGATTATGAGGTTTGTTGATAAAATTACCAAGTCAAAATATTTCCAAAAAGCAACAGAGACAGAGTTTATTAAAAAGAAGATCGAAGAAGTCTCCAACACACCCCTGCTGCTCACTGTTGAAGTACAAGAATGTAGAGGAACCTTGGCGGTCAACATTCCACCACCCCCGACTGACCGAGTATGGTGCGTAGAGGGCCCTCAGGGACAATAAGTGATTCCTCCTATTGCATGGCCACAGAAATCCCAGCCTGCTTAACCTTGAGGTTATGGAAAGTACCTTCTCCCGGGCAGAAGCACTTCCAAACAATTTTCATGGGACCTTAATATTAGTTGCAAATCTGATGGTACTTTCTTCTGTGAGTGGTGAATTCACATTCAAGAATTCATGTTCACATGGTAGGAAAAGTTAAAGTCAATACATGAAGTTTATGAGATAAGCTGTTTCTATTATTGGTCTTCCTCCTCTGTAAAGCCAACTGTTCTGCCAGTAATAACAGCTGTCATTTGTAGATAGCGCCTTTATTCTCTGCCTGGCCCTGGTTGTAATTGCATTACCTGATTAGTCCTCATAGCATCCTGTTGAGGTAGATGCCATTGTTATCCCTACTTTAAAGATGGGGATCACACATCCAACAGAGTCTGGGAAGTTAGGGAGACTTCCCTGAGTTAGGCCTCAATGCTGAGGAGTCAGGAGCATGTGCATTTGGTGTCTGAGGACTGGATTCTCAGCCCCAGCTGCATGTTAAAATCACCTGGGGACTTGCTAAAAATATAGCTATGCCTGGCCCATCCCCCCGGATTTCAGGGGTCGGGGGTGATGAAGCCAGGGTTGAGAGTCACTGAAATAAATTACTGATGAGTTCAGCATCACTGCCTGTGAATCTCAATTTAAAATTGACATGCTAAGTCCTATAAAAATGGGCATAAGTGTAAATAGTGATTGCATAAGAGATCTCATTGTACCATAAACTACACTCATAACAAAAATATAGCTCTGTTCTATCATAGAGTAAAACCAACATGCTAGTACATACCATCGGTATTCAGAAGGATTTGTAGGAATGATCAGAAGAGGGGTTTTGAATTGACTAACCATTTAACGATAATGCTGGTATTTCCCAATAAAACTTTAAAATGCCTTTTTATACTTTTTTAAAGTAATATTTTCATTGTTAAAAAAAAGAGAAAGATTGGGAAAAGGTGAAAAATAGATAAATAAATAAAAACCCATAATCTCACCATCCAGAAATAACCACTGTTAATATATTGTATGGTCTTTCAAACCTTAAAAAAATTTTAATAGTTAAAATTGATACATTTCTTCTCCTTACTGCCAATTCTTTAGATTTATCAGTTTTAAATGCCTCTGCTCAGGGGGAGATAAAATAAAAGGGCTCTAGGATAGTGCTACCCAAGGCATGCTCAAATGCTGAACTATGTGTTATTGATCCATAAAGATAAGTATAGAGTGTTTAGAAATATTTATGGCAACTTGACATTTTTACTGTATTTCCAAAAGCACTGGTCCAGGACAGATTTAAGGTTTTAGATAGTTGATAGCATACAGGGTCTTGTCTGGATACTTTGCCAACAGTTCTGATTGCCAGTCTGCTCCCTCGGGAAGTCATACAAAGCGTATTGTTGGGGTGTAGGATGAAAAAACAGGTTTCAAACCTTATTGATCGACATATGCACAGGAGAATGTAAGGGGAGTTCACCCTACTTCTGTCAATAGTCCTCTCTTGGGGATGACATTCAGAGAGAGGCAGTGTGTCTTTCACTCTCTGCTTTATCTGCTTGTATGTATGTTTTGTTTTTGTAATGTACATATACTACTTTTATAAAAATTGAAAGAAAAAAGGTTATTGCCATTTTAGAAAAAAACAGAAACCAATGCCCAGGTCATGGACTTTTCCAGTGGTGCTTCCTGGCTCTCTCAGTTTGTCAGAACTGTTCTAAATCCGCCACAGCCCTAACACCATCCAGGGAACACAGGGGGTTCACAATTCATACTTTGTGTGTGGAATATTTTTAGAGGGCATTTTCAGAAGAAAATAACATTTTAAGTAGTGATAAAGCCCCATGTAAATGAGAACTGTTTGCTGTCAGTGCCTGTCTCATTCCTTGCTTTGCTTCTAAATGTGGTTATTACTTGTCTTCAAAAAGGTATGGTTTCCGAAAGCCACCACATGTGGAGCTGAAAGCTCGGCCAAAACTTGGAGAGAGAGAAGTGACTTTAGTTCATGTGACAGACTGGATAGAGAAGAAACTGGAGCAAGAGTTTCAGGTAAACCTCTAGTGTTATCTAGTATTTCACACCAAGTATAGAAGCTCTGGGTTTAGCCGAGGTTCTGAACTTCAGCTGGGTCAGGATCCTCTTTTGAAAATCTGATGGTGACCTTCATCCCGGAAGAGTATTACATTTGATCAAATATGGGAATAAAACTTCAGGTACAGTATCAAAGCCCTGAAACTTATCCACAGAACATTACTAAGTCATCTTCAGAGGAAACCCAAAAGATTTGGGTCAGAGCAAAATGATGATGTCTTTTCCCAGCAAGCCTGCCAGGACTGTCAGGCTTTGTTTTCTCTTATGCAAGGCCTGGCCTTGCCCAACTCTTAGCACCCGGCCTGTGGGCAGGGAGGCTGCCCCCTGTTCTTGTGTGCTGTTCACCTTGCTCAGTTTGTTCAGTTCAACAAACATTCCTGGAAACCCTTCTGTGTGCCAGGTACCACCTGCCCTGGGAGTCCAAAGATGAATCTGGCCTCTCCCTCCCCTGGGTAGCTTCTAGTGTAGTCTGGGAGTTCATTAAGCCAGAGCTTACTCTCTCAGCTTTTCTTTCTGCATTTGGCCACCAAAGGTAATAGCAGTATAGCTGAGGCCCTAGGATGAGCTATTTCCATCAAACTTTTATCAGATATTTGAAGCACAGTTGTCTGTCGGGGTTTTATGGATTAGCAAACTATTTACTTTTAATGAAATTCACCTTTTGAAGAAGACCTACATTCTTTTTGCAGTGGTATATTTTGAGTTACTGCCTTAAAAAAATCCTCTTATTTAAAAACTAGAGATTAAACATAACTGATAACCAATTTCTGAAAAAGCTTAATGTCATCACCAAATAGAAAAGTACTTTGAACCTACTGAGGGGAAAGAACATCATGCCTTTTATTTTTCCCTTTTTCTTTCTTTTTTTTTTTTTTTTTTTTAAGACAGAGTCTTGCTGTGTCGCCCAGGCTGGAGTGCAATGGCGCCATCTCGGCTCACTGCAAACTCCGTCCCCCAGGTTCACACCATTCTCATGCCTCAGCCTCCCGAGTAGCTGGGACTACAGGCACCCGCCACCACACCCAGCTAATTTTTTGTATTTTTAGTAGAGATGGGGGTTTCACTGTATTAGCCAGGATGGTCTCGATCTCCTAACCTCGTGATCTGCCCACCTCGGCCTCCCAAAGTGCTGGGATTACAGGTGTGAGCTACCATGCCTGGCCTAATTTTTTGGTATTTTTAGTTGAGACAGGGTTTCACCATGTTGGCCAGGCTGGTCTTGAACTCTGGACCTCAGATGATCTGCCTGCCTTGGCCTCCCAAAGTACTGGGATTACAGGCGTGAACCATCGCACCTGGCCATTAGCTTACATTTTATCGCTAGGATTTATTAATAAAAGGATAATTCACATGGAATATGTGTTCTAGACATAGTAACTGGGAACTACTGTGAACAGCTTAAGCCAATTCTCTTAAATTGTTGGATATATATCAGTGCATATGGGCAACCTTATTATATGTATACAAAATCAAAGGCCACTTCTGCCTCCGAGCTGATATATTAGAGGATTCTCGTATCCATGCGCTGGTATGATTCCTCAACTCTTTCTAAAGTATGTATGGTGGGAGAATTAGTTTGGAATGCATAGCAAGTTTTTATATGTACTTTTAAAAATCAGTCTAAGCCCTAAAATTATCAGAACAAAGGAGGGTGACAGCCTGGCAAGGCATTCTTCCACATAGCTGTTCTTTAATATCTTCCTACAGAAAGTTTTTGTCATGCCAAACATGGATGATGTTTATATCACTATAATGCACTCAGCCATGGACCCTCGCTCTACTTCCTGCCTCCTGAAAGACCCACCTGTGGAGGCTGCTGATCAGCCATGATGGGTGATGTCAGATGTTCCCCATATTGTGACATCGAGCTGGATGTGTGGGGTTCTTGGCCGCCATCTGTACTGTAGCACTGGCCTCTGTGCCACAGCTACTGTTTCTTAAAGGACTGCTTCTGCCCTCTGCCTGCCAGTGCCCATTCCACTGTGAGGTGTCATTCCCTGCATCTAGTGACAACTGTCTGGATTGCCTGCTGCAAAGCTTTGATTTGGCAAAGGAGACCATGGAAGAATCATGGTGGATCCAGAAGTTATACGTGACCCACACCATGGCTTTTAAAAGTCTACCCATGTTTGTGGCAGCAAATGAGCACAGTAAGAGCAAAGCTGAACAACTTGCCTCCTCTACTCCTCCAAAGCTTTTCTTCAGGCAGCCGGTGCACAGTGGACTTTTTCACTTCTATACTTTGTATGCGGCCTTCCACACTTCCAGAGAATGTCAGTGTGCAATGTGTCTGGAGGGTGGGGAGAGGAATTCTGTGAGCCTTTTCATTTCGGTGACAGAAGAGATGGGCAGAGCAACTTATTTTCCACATTAAATTGTGCATTTGGGAAGCAAGTAGCCATAGTACACACACAACACGCTATCAGCTTGGGTAAGGACAGTGGGATTTATGTGAACATCAGGCAAAGCCATGAGATCAAACCATCCCAAGCCTTTCACCAATGAGGTACAACCACCTGGGGGCTAGCTAATCTTGAATGTTTTCCTGAGACAGGAGCGTATGTGAAAACATCAAACACTGCACATGACAGGATGGGTCCTCTCATACAGATGGGATGGGGTTAGAAAGCCAGAGCCAGTTTTTCCATCTGGCGTTTCCTGTGTCCTCCAGGTTTATATGGGAATCGAAACAGTTTGTTAATCTGATTGGGAGAGTTCCATGGGCAGATTTCCCTTCCTGAAGGCCAAAACGGAGAACTGCTCTCTTTAATTATTTCAAGAGTCAAGACCAAAAGTTTGCTCAGCATCACACTACATCTCAAAATTAATGTTGCCAACTTAATTTTGTGCATTTGTGTCAGAATGTTTAGTTTACAAGGTTGGGGGCTCTCTTTGCTTCGAGAAGTAAACCTAATACCATTTTTTTATTGTTTAAAGCTGCATTCAACGTCAAAATTACCTTGGGTAACTTTTGATAACTTACATGTGTGGACAAAGCTAATAGTGGTTTTTTAAACAGCACCTTGCCTGAACATGACTTTAAAGAAATTAATATATTGAAAACATGTTTGAACCCTTATTTTAATTGCACCATTAAAACATTTGACTTAAATTGTTTGACCATTCCAGTTGGTGTACTGTTCTGATTTTTCGTTGTGTAGGCCGATCTGCCTGTCAGAGTCCACGTGTCCTGGTCACTGGTCTTTATAATTGTTGTGCAATAACTAAAGGCTAAGGACTAGATGCACTATCGTGTAAAGAGATTACACATGACTGTACCATGTTGCACTTAATCAAATAGTATGTGGGGATTTAAAATCGCTTGCATTGTTTCACAAAATAAATATCTCAATGTCAAATACTAGATAAGCATCTAAGTCATTTCTACGGAATCCTGTTCAGATAGGGGCACAATAAAATGAGTACAGAGCACCGGGGCCCTCACCTGGCAATCGCAGCTTTCATTTACTGCGTTGATCACTGCCCAGTCCTAAGGCTACAAAGCCATCCTCACTACATCCTTCAAACTATGTGCCATTATCTTCAGCCCACATTTAAAGAATCCAGTGAAAGTTCGTAACTGAGGGGGTAGGGCAGTGGTGCTCCTGGGCTGCAGTTTACACCCTTCATTGTCTAGTATAATGTTAATTCGGGACACCTTCATTCATCGAATGTCCATGTAGTGAACGCATACGTGCATCCTTGCCCACCATTGCTGCCCTGTACTCAGAACTGATGCACCTTTCACTGGAGCCCTTGTGGAAGATCTTTTACCAATCACTGAATCTGGACTGTGTAACTAGGTGTCTATGTTGTCCCCAACCATATATAAAATCTAATTCACCTTCACAACCGCCCTATAATTTTGAACTGTTTAGGAGTGACAGATTAACCTGCCCAAAGCTTTAGTCCCATGCTTGTCAGTACTCCTGCATGGTTATTTGTAAACAGGTCGATTACCCTTTAGTCAGGAGTTAACTCAATGCAGTTCCACACCGAATCTGTTTATGTCAAGTACACAACAGCCCTGCAGACGCCATTCCACGCTGCCTTCAACTAAATCTGCGCGTCTGATGGCAGACGCGACAGCCTGGGACTTATGTCGAACTCACGGCGAAGGCACAGCGCGCGCGATACACTCAGGGAAGGCTGGGCTGGGGAACGTATGGGAGCAGAGGGGCACTCCTTACGCATCAAGAGTCCGCGTATCCCCGTCAGCCACCGCCCCCCTAACACGCCATTCCAGCCTTGGTATTACGGATTGAGGCCTGTCGTGGCAAAACAGCTGGAAAATTGCCCAGCCTAGCAGCCGGACAGTCAGGTTACTTCTTGTCGCTCGCGGTTAAAAAGGCCGCCCGCGGGAGGCCAGGCGGCCCCAGTTATGCGCAAGCACATGCTCTAGCGCTGCAGATTGACCCCCGGCGCCACGAGGAAGCTCGGCGGGGGCTCAAAGACAGCGCGTCGCCAACGACACACACCGACACCAGGGTTGGGTTCAAACCACTTTATTGACGGGAATGGGGTGGCAAAGCAGCAAGGACGATGACATCCGACGTCCTCGGCTGGGAGCTACAAGAACGAGAGTGATAGATCAGCGGGTGTGCGCGCGCCCGCCCGCCAGCCCCCTCCCAGCTCCGCTCGGGCAGGCTCAGACTCCAGTTCGCATCACCCGCGTCAGCAGTCTAACACGTGCTTTAATTGGAATGTCATCACAGCAGGCCGGCCCCCCTACGCCTCCCTGCTCCCGAGCCACGACCTCCGGGGCCCACCCAGCCAGACGACCCGCCAGGAATACAACCTGACCTCCCGGAACCTGCAGGCGCTGAAAGACAGGGGAGCGTCGATGGCGTTCTTTTAAAGGAGCAGACCAGCGCTGATGGGCGGGCTTTACTGCCATTAACCAATAGCAAGTTCACCTTGCGACCACGTGCGCGTAAAGTTGTCTGGTGACTGGTAGTCCTTGCTGAGTCCTCCAGAGGATAGATGGGTCACATACCAACCATAGAGATGGGAGTCGCTCAGTCTCAAATCCATTTGCGTTTCAGCGACTCCACCGCCAGCTGGTAATGAGCGCATCTCTCCGCAGTACGCAAAAGAAAACTTCACCAAGAGCAGGCGACGATGATGCCTAACTTGGATGACATGTTCTGTGCCAGGAGCTAGGATAGGAGTTGAGAATGGAAAGTTAAAAACTGTCCCCAAGTGCAAAATAACCTGTCGTGGTAGAAAGAGCTTGTATTGAAAATGGACCGATCTGCACCACATCCTGACTTTGTGATGCGTTCGCTCTGTGACCTTGCTCAGTTAACCTTTCTGAGATTCAGTTTCTGGAAATTAGGAATACCCCCCCGCCGCCCCCCCCCAACACACACACACCGCGAAAAAAAAAAATTGTAAGGATTCGGTGAATTAATGCCAATTGCCTGGCACATTCTAAGTGGTAAACAAAGGTATTTAAAGGGCAGAGTGATGTGAAAAACTTCCTGGGATTGCAAAACTTTAATAAATACTAACATAGCGCTATGAACAGCCTACTGTAGAAGCCCAAAGGACAGAAAGCCTGACTTTGGGAAAGCTTCGCAGAGTTGATTGAGCCTGTTCCCCGGACATACAGGTGGATGAATGATAGTTTGCTTAACTGGGGGAGGACACAGTACACCAGCAGTCACAGTCGCCGGTTATCTTTATTGCCTCCCTGTTTTCCTTGGGAATTCTTTTCCTTTTTTTCCTCTTAATACGGAAAATTTATTGTTTTGTGTGTGTGTGTGTATGTGACAGTGAAATCATTTCACCCTATGGGTTTGTAGTTGAATGGGCTCTTATTTTCCTTATTTTCTATATAGACTTTAAATTCAAAAAATTCCTCTTTGGCCGGGCGCGGTGGCTCACGCCTGTAATCCCAGCACTCTGGGAGACGGAGGCGGATGGATCAGGTCAGGAGTTCAAGAACAGCCTGGCCAACATGGCGAAACCCTGTCTCTACTAAAAATACAAAAATTAGCCGGGCGTGGTGGCAGGCCCCTGTAATCCCAGCTACTCAGGAGGTTGAGGCAGGAGAATCGCTTGAACCCGGGAGGCGGAGGTTGCAATGAGCTGAGATCGCGCCATTACACTCTAACCTGAGCAACAGAGCGAGACTCCATCTCAAAAAAAAAAAAAAAAACCTCTTTAATCCAAAGCAATAATGACTTTGACAAGTGTTTAGTAGTCTCTATTTATTTTTGTTGCTGTTTTAACTTTCGTTATCTCAACATTTATTACATTATGGTACAGTTTCCGCATTGGGCAATGTATGAAAGTTTTCTTTGTGACCTAAAATATCAGTTTTTATAAGTGTTCCACAGATTGTTGAAACGAAGATGTTTTCACTATCAAGTACAAACATGGTATAAAATATTTATTTATTAATTCAACCTTAGTTGTGTTGTAATTACATTGTCCACAGCTCTGCTTTGTGTATTATGTACTTGCTTGGAAGTTGGCTGTTGGCTTTGATTGTGATGTGTTAAGATTATGCCTCAAATACCAAATGCCAGTGAGGATGTGGAGCAACAGAAGCTTTGCTCCATTACTTGTTTCGTTTTGTTTTTTGAGACAGTCTCACTCTGTTGCCCAGGCTGGAGTGCGGTGGCACAATCTTGGCTTACTGCAACCTCCGCCTCCCGACTTCAAGCAATTCTCCTGCGTCAGCCTCCCCAGTAGCTGGAATTACAGGCATGCACAACCATGCCTGGCTAATTTTTGTATTTTTAGTAGAGATGGGGTTTTACCATATTGGCCAGGCTGGTCTCAAACTCCTGACCTCATGATCCTCCCGCCTCAGCGTCCCAAAGTGCTGGGATTACAGGCGTGAGCCGCCGCGCCCGGCCTGCTCTTTTCTTTTCTTCTCCTCTTCTCTTTTCTTTTCTTTTCTTTTTTGAGACAGAGTCTGGCTCTGTCGCCCAGGCTGGAGTACAGTGGCACTATCTTGGCTCACTGCAACCTCTGCCACCCGGGTTCAAGCGACTCTGCTGCCTCAGCCTCCCTAGTGCTGGGACTACAGGCACGGACCACCATGCCCGGCTAATTTTTGTATTTTTAGTAGAGACGGGGTTTCACCATGTTGGCCAGGCTGGTCTTGAACTCCTGACCTCAAGTGATCCACCCGCCTCAGCCTCCCAAAGTGCTGGGATTACAGGCATGAGCCACCGTGCCTGGCCTGCTTTTTTATTTTCTTGACAGTGTCTTTCAAAGAGGAGACATTTTTAATTTTGATGAAAATCTAATTTATCAATTTTTTAATAGACAGTACTTCTGGTTTCATATCTAAGAAATCTTGGCCTAATACAGATTTTTCTTTTATATGGTTTCTTCTAGAAGTTTAATTTAATTTAATTTAATTAATTAATTAATTTATTGAGACGAAGTCTCGCTCTGTCACCAGGCTGGAGTGCAGTGGTGCGATCTCAGCTCACTACAACCTCTGTCTCCCAGGTTCAAGTGATTCTCTTGCCCCAGCCTCCCGAGTAGCTGGGATTACAGGCGCACGCCACCATGCCTGGCTAATTTTTGTATTTTTAGTAGAGATGGGGTTTCACCATGTTGGCCAGGATGATCTCAATGTCTTGACCTCGTGTTCCGCCCACCTTGACCTCCCAAATTTCTTGAGATTACAGGCGTGAGCCACTGCGCCCGCTCTTCGAGAAGTTTTATAGTGTTTGCTCTCGCATTCAGGTCTATTATCTTTTTCAAGTTAATTTTTGTGTCTAGTGTGAGACAAGAGTTAGGTTCATTTGTTTGTATATGGATATTCACTTGTTCCAGCACCATTTGTTGAAGAGGATATCCTTTCACTTAAAGTACCTTGTCATGTTTGTAAAAAAAAAAAAAATTGACCATATATGAGTTGGTTTGTTTCTAAGCAGTATCTTCTTTTGCACTGTTATTTATCTACCCTTTATTACCATTGCTTTATAGTACATCTTAAAATCAGATATACAAGATCTGTAACTTTGTCCTCTTTCAAAATTATTTTGACTATTTTAGGTTGTTTGTATTTCCAGAAACATTTTAGAATCAGCTTGTCAATTTCTACAGAAGACCAGTAGGAATTTTGCCTGAAATTATATTGAATCTGTAGATCAATTTGGGAATAATTGACATCTTAACAACACTCAGTCTTTCATCCCATGAATACAGTATATTTCTTCATTTAAGTCTTATTCATTTCCCTCAGCAATGTCATAGTTTTCATTGTACAATCTTGCATATATTTTGTGAAATTTATCCCTCAGGATTTCATTTATAATGCTATTATGAATGATACTATATTTATTCTTTTTTTTTTAGTCAAGCCTCTAACATGAGAGATACTATTTTTAAATTTCAATTTCCAAGAGTTCATTGCTGGTATATAGAAATGCAATTTCTATTAATTTAAATCTAATTTTACTAAAATCATTTTAATAAATTTTTGTAATTTGGTAAATTTTTGTAAATTGATTCCATCTTCTGTAGGGTGGGTACAATCAAAGGTGAACTTGAGAACTGGCTTCTATTTTTTGCCCCACCTCATCACAAGCTTTTTCCACAGGTGCCCTGGAAGCAGTTGAGGCAGAAAAGGCCCATGGGTTATTTAGAAGAATGATGTTAATTTCCAAATAGTGACCGGGAATGGTGGCTCACGCCTGTCATCCCAGCACTTTGGGAGGCTGAGGTGGGCGGACCACAAGTTCAGGAGTTCGAGACAAGCCTGGCCAATATGGTGATTACAGGCACATGCCACCATGCCCAGCTAATTTTTTTTTTTTTGTATTTTTAGTAAAGACAGGGTTTCACCATGTTGGCCAAGCTGGTCTTGAACTCCTGACCTCAAGTGGTCCACCCACATCGGACTCCCAAAGTGCTGGGATTACAGGCATAAGCCACTGCACCTGGCCTATATTTTTAAATATTTATTTATTTATTTATGTGTTTTTATTTTATTTTTGAGACATGGTCTCACTCTGTCACCCAGGCTGGAGTGGAATGCAGTGGTGCAATCATGGGTCACTGCAGCCTCACCCTCCTGAACTCAAGAGATCCCTGGGCCTCAGCCTCCTAAGTAGCTGGGACTACAGGAGTGCACTACCATGCCCCGCTAAGTTTTTAAATTTTATTTTAGAGACAGAGTCTCATTATGTTGGCCACACTGGTCTTGAACTCACAGTCTCAGGCAGTCCTTCCCCCTCTGCCTTCCAAAGTGCTGGGATTACAGGTGTGCGCCACCATGCTACCCTCCTTTTTTTTTTTTTTAAATTGGCAACACTTCATTCCATAAAATAGAATAAGTGTTTCCAGAATGTGTATTCTTTTGTTGTTGGGTATAATGTTTTATAAGTGTAAAGGAGATCAAGGTAGTTGATAGTGTTATTCAAATCTCAATGGGAGGGTGGCGATTTTGCCATCCAGGGAACATTTGGCAATATCTGGAGACATTTTTGTTTTTCACAACTAGGAGGGATGCCCTGACACCTATTAGGTAGTGTTATGGGTTGTATCCTCCAAAAGGAAATGCTGAAGCTGGCCAGGCATGGTGGCTCATGCTTGTAATCTCAGCACTTTGGGAAGCTGAGGCAGGAGAATTGCTTGAGGCTAGGATTTCAAGACCAGCCTGGGCAACAAGCAAGACCCCCATCTCTACAAAAAAATTTAAAAAGTTAGCCAGCCACAGTGATTTGTGCCTGTAGTCCCAGCTACTCAGGAGGCTAAGGCAGGAGGATGGCTTGAACCCAGGAGTTGGAGGCTGCAGTGAGCCATGATCGTGCCACTGCACTCAAGCCTAGGTGACAGAGACTCTGTGTCAAAAAAAAAAAAAATGTTGTAACCTTAACCCCCATCACCTGTGAATGTGACCTTATTTGGAAACAGGGTCTTTACAGATATAATCAAGGTGAGTTCATAGGATGGGCCCTAATCCAATTTGATGTTCTTATAAGAAGCAGGATAAATTTGGATACAGAGACACACGAGGGGAAAACAGCCATTTGAGGACAGAGGTAGAGATTGGAGTTAGTCTGCCACAAGCCAAGGATACCTGGGGCTCCCAGAAGCTGGAAGATGCATAGAAGGACCCTTCCCTAGAGGGTTCGGAGACAGCGTGGCCCTGCCAACACTTTTGTCTCAGACTTCTAGCCCCAGAACTGTGAAAGAATAAATTTCTGTTGTTTTGAGCCACCCAGTTTGCAGTACTTTGATATGGCAGCCCTAGGTAACTCATACAGATAAAGACCAGGGATACTGCTAAACATTCATATATATGTTTGTTTATTTATTTATTTTTGTAGAGATGAGGTTTCACCATGTTGCCTGGGCTGGTCTCAAACTCCCGGACTCAAGTGATTCGCTCTCCTCGGCCTCTCAAAGTGCTATGATTACAGGCGTGAGCCACCACACCTGGCCTGCTGCTAAACATACCACAATGCACAAGACAGCCCCCCACAACAAAGACTGAGCTGGTCAATTACAAGTAAAATTAAAAACTTGGCCAGGCATGGTGGCTCACGCTTGTAATCCCAGCACTTCGGGAGGCCGAGGTGGGCGGATCTCCTGAGGTCAGGAGTTCAAGAACAGCCCGGCCAACATGGTGAAACCCAGTCTCCACCAAAAATACAAAAATTAGCCAGGCGTGGTGGCTCACATATAGTCCCAGCTACTCAGGAGGCTGAGGCAGGAGAATCACTTGAACCCGGGAGGCAGAGGTTGCAGTGAGCCGAGGCAGCGCCACTGCACACCAGCCTGGGTGACAGAGTGAGACTCCATCTCAAATAAATAAATAAATAAATAAATACAAACAAACAAATTATCTGGCCAAAAATGTCAGTAACACAGAGGCTGAAAATCGTTCTCTTATAATTTAGTGTCTGCCTACTTATCCTATCAGTAAATGAGTGTTGAAATCTAATCTAATTGTGGGTTTATTTTTTTCACCCCATCAGTTGTTTCAATTTTTCCTTCACGTATTTTCAAACCGTTTTTAGGTGTTTACACGTTTAGGATTGCTATGTTTTGTGCATGAACAGACTCTTTATCATTGTGAAATGCCGCTTTTTATCTCTGGTAACATTCCTTGTATTAAAGTCAGTTCCAATGTCAGTATAACCTTTCCAACTTTCTTATCGGTTTCACAAGGTCTATCTTATTTTTCTCCATCTTTTCACTTTTAGTCTACCTATGCCTTTGTATCTGAAGTTTAATTTTTGTAGTCATCATATAATGGTCTTGATTTCTTTCTTTCTTTCTTTCTTTTTTTTTGAGACAGAGTCTCGCTCTCTTGCTCTGTTGCCCAGGCTGGAGTGCAGCGGCATTATCTCGGCTCACTGCAAGCTCCGCCTCCTGGGTTCACACCATTCTCCTGCCTCAGCCTCCTAAGTAGCTGGGACTATAGGCGCCCGCCACCATGCCCGGCTAATTTTTTTGTATTTTTTAGTAGAGACGGGGTTTCACTGTGTTAGCCAGGATGGTCTCGATCCCCTGACCTCGTGATCCACCCGCCTCGGCCTCCCAAAGTGCTGGGATTACAGGCGTGAGCCACCGCGCCCGGCCGATTTTTTTTCAGCTTGGTCATTTTCAGCCTTTTACTTGGCCTGTATAGACCACTTATATTTTTATAATAGCTTTATTGAAGAATAATTTACATACCATACAACGAACTCATTTAGGTAAAAATTCAGGCTGGGCACCGTGGCTCATGGCTGTAATCCCAGCACTTTGGGAGGCCAAGGTGGGAGGATTGCTTGAGCCCAGGAGTTGGAAACCAACCTAGGCAACATAGGGAGACCTCATCTCTACAAATAATTTTTAAAAAATTAGCCAGGCACGGTGGCGGGGCACCTGTAGTCCCAGCTACTCCGAAGGCTGAAGCGGGAGAATTGCTTGAGCCCAGGAGGTTGAGGCTGCAATGAGCCATGATCACACCACTGCACTCTAGCCTGGGCAACAAAGTGAAACTTTGTCTCAAAGAAAATAAAGTACAAATTCAATGGCTTTGGTGTATTAACAGAGTTGTGCAGCCATCACTGCCATCGACTTCAAAATATTTTCATTAACCCAAATAGAAATCCACACTCCTTTATCATCACTCTCCAGTCTCCCTCATCTGCTTCCCCTTCCCTAAGCAACCGCTCATCTACTTTCTGTCTTTCTAGATTTGGACATGTTATATACACAGAATGGTACAACATATGGTCTTTTGTGACTGGCTTCTTTCACTAAGCATAACTTCCTCAAGGTTCATCCCTATTGGAGCATGTATCAATACTCCATTGCTTTTCAATTGTTAAATATTCCATTAAATAGATAATGCCATATTTTGTTGATCCATTTCAGTTGATGGACACTTGGGTTGGTTCCACTTTTTGACTATTATGAATAATGTTGCCATGAACATTTGTGTACAAGTTTTTGTATGGGTGTATTTTTTTTTATTTTTATTTTTTAGACAGAGTTTTGTTCTTGTTGCCCAGGCTGGAGTGCAATGGTGTGATCTTGGCTCACTGTAACCTCTGCCTCCCGGGTTCAAGTGATTCTCCTGCCTCAGCCTCCTGAGTAGCTGGGATTACAGGCATGCGCCAGCATGCCCAGCTGATTTTTTATTTTTAGTAGAGACGGGGTTTCGCCATGTTGGTCAGGCTGGTCTCAAACTCCCGACCTCAGGTGATCTGCCTGCCTTGGCCTCCCAAAGTGCTGGGATTACAGGCGTGAGCCACTGCACCCGGCAGTGTGTTTTAATTTCTCTTCGGGAAGTATTTGCTTTTTAATTGGGAAGTTCCCCTTGTTTTTTTGTAATTTACTATGCTGACTATGTTTTGTTTCATTTTGTTTCATCTTCTGTAGTAATTTGTAATCAAGCCACCTTTTAAAATTTTCTAAGTTCTCTCTAGTGCTGTTCGTAAATACTATGTAAAATTATGTAATTTTTACATATATATAAATTATATATATATAATTTCAGAATGCTTTTTATTTTAATGGAAAACGTAAAGTAACTGACCAGCTGACACAACTTGAAAACCCAGAGGAACCACAGCCGGGCATGGTGGCTCACACCTGTAATCCCAGCATTTTGGGAGACTGAGGTGGGCGGATCACTTGAGGTCAGGAGTTCGAGACCAGCCTGACCAACATGGTGGAACCCCATCTCTACTAAAAATACAAAAATTAGCTGGGCACGGTGGCACACACCTGTAGTCTCAGCTACTCGGGAGGTTGAGGCACAAGAATCACTTGAACCCAGGAGGCAGAGGTTGCAGTGAGATGAGATTGTGCCATTCCACTCCAGCCTGGGTGACAGAGCAAGACTCCGTCTCAAGAAAAAAAAAAAAAAAAAAAAAACCAGAGGAGCCAGACTCCAGGCAACACTTGCCCCATGGCCCCACTCAGCCACCGTGCTGACAGCATCATCCTAAGGGCAGACCCAGCAGCTCCTGGGCTCCCTGCTCCCTCACATGCATTCCCCCTGAAGATTTTTCATATCATGGGTTCATCCTGAACCAACTACTGTGGGAAGGGCTTCCATGAAGTTACTCGGTGCTTTCCTTTCCCCAGGCCTTTGTTCAGATCCTCCTTGTGCCTCTAGAATGTCCTTTCTAGTCAAATCTGACAGATGGCACATTCCAGACATCACTTCTTCCATGAAGCCCTCCCTGCTCTATCCATCCACCACCTTCCTTCCTGATCTCTCTCTTGATGACCAAAGTTCTGTTTCTCTAAGTTTATTCCCTCCCTCTTGCACTTTTCACAGTCAGTCTTTATTATTATTATTATTATTATTATTATTATTATTTTTAGATGAAGTTTTGCTCTTGTCGCCCAGGCTGGAGTGCAATGGCATGATCTCAGCTAACTGCAACCTCTGCCTCCTGGGGTTCAAGTGATTCTCCTGCCTCAGTCTCCCAAGTAGCTGGTACTAAAGGCATCTGCCACCACACCCAGCTAATTTTTGTATTTTTAACAGAGACAGGGTTTCACCATGTTGGCCAGGCTGGTCTCAAACTCCTGACCTCAGGTGATCTGCCTGCCTCGGCCTCCCAAAGTGCTGGGATCACAAGCGTGAGCCACCACACCAGGCCTTCACCATCAGTCTTGTACCTTGGTTATTTCTGTGCATGTCCTGTATCAACCTGAAAATTCTCTAATATTTCCTTATGGCACTAATCCCTGGTACTTGGAAGCCTTCAGTGATTTTTGTTGAATGAATGCATTGTAGTTATCCATGTAGAGGTCAAAGATGAAGTCATCTGCGAAATGAAGCTGACTACATTATGGCTAAAGTGCCTTTCTGCTCTAAAATTTGGTATATAAAAGGCCGGGCGCGGTGGCTCATGCCTGTAATCCCAGCACTTTGGGAGGCTGAGGCGGGTGGATCATGACGTCAGGAGTTCAAGACCAGCCTGGCCAAGATGGTGAAACCCCGCCTCTACTAAAAATACAAAAAATTAGCCAGGCTTGGTGGCAGGCACCTGTAATCCCAGCTACCTGGGAGGCTGAGGCAGAGAATTGCTTGAACCCGGGAGGCAGAGGTTGCAGTGAGCCAAGATCACGCCACTGCACTCTAGCCTGGGCGACAGAAAGACTCTGTCTCAAAAATAAATAATAAAATAAAATAAAATTTGGTATATAAAATATGTTAAATGAGTCCTCCTAGGAAGAAAGGAAAGAGAAAATAGATAAGGTCTACATATTAAGCCTCAAGCAATGTACTGGCTGGCCACAGGGGCTCATGCCTGTAATTCCAACACTTTTTTTTTTTTTTTTTTTTTGAGACAGAGTCTTGCTCTATCGCCCAGGCTGGAGTGCACTGGCACGATCTCGGCTCACTGCAATCTCTGCCTCTGGGGTCCAAGTGATTCTTCTGCCTCAGCCTCCCGAGTAGCTGGGACTACAAGCACGTGCCACCACGCCCGGCTAATTTTTGTATTTTAAGTAGAGATGGGGTTTCACCATATTGGCCAGGCTGGTCTCGAACTCCTGACCTCCTGATCCGCCCTCCCTGGCCTCCCAAAGTGCTGGGATTACAGGCGTGAGCCACCGCACCAGGCCAAATCCCAGCACTCTGGGAGGCTTAGGCAGGCTGATTGCTTGAGCTCATGAGTTTGAGACCAGCCTGGGCAACAAAGTGAGACCCACTCGCCTGGCATCTACAAAATATAAAAAAATTAGCTGGGTGTGATGGTGCCTGTCTGTGGTCCCAGCTACTCCAGAGGCCGAGAAGAGAGGATGGTATGCCCCTGGAGGTTTCAGCCTGGGAGGCAGAGGTTGCAGTGAGCCTAGATCACACCACTGCACTCTAGCCTGGGCAATAGACGCAGACCCTGACTCAAACCCCGTCCCTACCCCCACCCCCTGCCCCCCAAATAAACCACACAGAATCTGGAAGGAGGAAAAAAAGCAGAGACACAGGAGGAAAGCCAGAAAATGGTAATATCCAAGGAGGAAAAGTTCAAGAGAAAAGAACCCTTAATATACCTGAATTGAAAAGAGGCCCGGTGGCTGGGGGGAAAAAAACAAACCCAGGAATTAGGTCCAAAGGGATTTTACAAGAGGAAGAATGTTTATGAAGTGCTTGAGAGAAGTTTCCAGAGAGTTCTGTGGAATTAAGCCAGACCTCAGGGGATTAGGACGGCCTGGCCAGTGAGGAAGTGGAGGTACTTTGAGAGATGGCCGTTTCCATCTTGGTGCTGCCTTGGCCCTTTGAGAATATTAATGTATATAAACTGGGGACACGGATACTTTCTGTGGCGGTGTATAGACTTGGCACAAATGCGTGTGAAATACAACACCCAGAGACAAGTGAACAAATAACCAGTCAGGATTAGCCTAAGCTACCCCACAGGGTAGAACCTGGGAGTGGGGTGGTGAGTGATAGGTAGCGGGGCAGAGGCCTTGTCTCTTAAAATTAAATAACATCCACTACATCAGGCAAAGGTCATGGTCTTAGAGTAAAGATAAGACAAGATGATACCATAAAGCATGTAGTTGCACATTTCCAAACAGCAAACAGCCAATAAAAAAGATAATAAGAAATAATCACTTTTTACTCCTTATGGTATAATGTGAAAAAAAAGAAATAATCACTTTTGCAACCTAAGAAAGTGTGTAGTGAGTGGGATTCTGTGGTAAAGGGAAGTTCTTAAACAAGTGTCACAATCTTTTCAAATCCAGTCATCCTAGAACAGGAAAAGCCAAAGTCCTATTTACCTAAAAACCAAAGTGTTCACAGTGAGAACAACTTTTAAAATGTCCCTTAAACGTGACGGGAGGACGGAGATGAGAATTTAGCTTGCTATCAGAGACTCTTGCTTCATTGTTTTTTGTGTTTGTTTGTTTGTTTGTTTTGAGACAGGGTCTCGCTCTGCTGCCCAGGCTGGAGTGCAGTGGTGCTATGACAGCTCACTGCAGCCTCCACCTCTCAGGCTCAAGCAATCCTCTCACCTCAGCTTCCAGAGTAGCTGGGACTACAGGTGTGCACCATGGCACCTGGCTAATTATTTTATTTTTTTGTAGGGACAAAGTGTCACTATGTTGCCCAGACTGGTTTCAAACTCTTAGGCTGAAGATACCCGCCACCTCAGCCTCCCAAAGTGCGGGATTACAGGTGTAAGTCACAGCGCCTTGCCCCTTTATGGTTGTATTAATATTTATCCCATAACTACTTCCACACACTCTGTAGGTTCAGTTCAAGAAGCAGCAGCAGCGATATCACTAAAAACAACAACAACAAAAAAACTGACTTGATTTATTCTGATAAAGATACTATTCCTTTGAAATGTTACTGGAGTTTTCAACCATGACCTTTCTTTCTGGTTTTACTAGATTTTTCTTTCAAGTCTCCGCCTTCAAAGGTATCTATCCTGTCACTAGCTATCTGCAAATCAACCTCACAAGCATTTTTAAATGAGATTTTGAAGGGTTTTAAACACAAATGAGACAGGCACAAGCTCCTTTTTTGGGTCATAATTTATTACACTAGAGGGCGATATTTGCTAAACTAAAAGGGATTCATGGTTGCAGGGATGAAGGCTGGACATCATGATTGAGCTGGAGCCCTGGATCTTGACTGCCTTCAGTGTACGGTGGAAACTGCAAAACGCACAGGTCTCTGGGCTCTGCCCCTGGACATTGTGAATCAGTCAGGGAAAGGGGTACAAGAAGTTATTGGAAATATGTTTTTAATTTCTTTTTTTTTGTTTGTTTTTTGAGATGGAGTCTCACTCTGTCGCCCAGACTGGAGTGCAGTGGCGCAGTCTTGGCTCACTGCAACCTCTGCCTCCCGGGTTCAAGAGATTTTTCTCCCTCAGCCTCCCAAGTAGCTGGGACTACAGGCGCACACCACCACGCCCGGCTAATTTTTGTTTTTTTAGTAGAGACAGGGTTTCACCATGTTGCTCAGGCTGGTTGGTCTTGAACTCCTGACCTCGTGATCCACCTGCCTCGTCCTCCCAAAGTGCTGGGATTACAGGTGTGAGCCACCATGCCCAGCTTTTTATTTCTATTTTTTTGAGACAGGGTCTTGCTCTGTCGTCCAGGCTGGAGTGCCATGGCACGATCAAAGCTCACTGCAGCCTTGACCTCCTGGGCTCAAGCCATCCTCCCACCTCAGCTTCCCAAGTCACTGGAACTACAGGTGTGAACCACTATGCCTGACTAATTTTTTGGTTTTTTGTTTTTTTTTTTTTACAGAAACAGGGTCTCACCATGTTCCCTAGGCTGGTCTTGATCTCAAGCAATCCTCCTGCTTCGGCCTCCCAAAGTGCTGGGATTACAGGCGTGAGCCACCATGCCTGGCCTGGAAATCTGTTTTTTGTTGTTGTTGTTTTGTTTTGTTTTTTTAGCTCTCCAAGTTTGGGAACCAGTGGTTTAAAGGGAAGTGAAAATAAGATTTTCTCCCACCTCCCCATAGTCAGATCCTGCTGTACTTCTTTGTTGAATCTGATGTATATATGTTTCTTACACTGGTGGAAAAGAGGCCTTATCTTTACACTAAGACCATGACCTTTGCTTTATTCAGTGGATGTTATTTAATGTGACTTGCAGAAAGGTCATTTACTGCCCATTTGCAGGTCTTTTATATGGTCAGGTCCACTTCAAAGGCACCCTACAAAATATTCCATTTCTGTTTGTGTTTATCAGTGCTATCAGCTTTTACTTTATCATAAGCAAAAAGCTGCCTAAAGAAGTACTTGACTGTAGAGCAAGATTATGGGCAATGCCACCATAAATAAAACCAGTGCTTATCTGTCTGGATTGCCAATCAAGTGAAGAAGTGCATGAAGCATGTGGACGATGCATAAGAAATTCAGAGAATGGGGCCGGGCACAGTGGCTCACGCCTGTAATCCCAGCACTTTAGGAGGCGGAGGTGGGCAGATCACGAGGTCAGGAGTTCGAGACCAGCCTGGCCAACATGGTGAAACCCCGTCTCTATAAAAATACAAAAATTAGCCAGGCGTGGTGGCAGGCACCTGTAATCCCAGCTACTCGGGAGTCTCAGGCAGGAGAATCGCTTGAAACCGAAAAGGCAGAGGTTGCAGTGAGCCACGATCGTGCCACTGCACTCTAGCCTGGGCAAAAGAGTGAAACTCTGTCTCAAAAAAAAAAAAAAAAGAAAGAAATTCAGAGAACATGTAACAGTGCAATTAAGCCCTGGGGATTTGGTCCAACTGAGTGTAAGATAAATAATACCTAACTGTCCAGGCTTCTTGGAACAGATTTTTTTTCTTTCTACGATCTTTAAAACTGATTTATGAGTGAAATTGAGGTCAGCATTCCCCTTTGTGTTTCATCTGCTGATGTTACAGGGTCACAGTGACATTTTGAATTGTAAAAGGGCTGCCAGAGTTCCAGTACAGCAAATTTTCCCCTCCTAGACTTACTCTGTTTGAGAAAAAGCACCAGAGGGGGGGATGTGAAAGTGACATTTTTCAGTCAAGCTTCTCTTTTAAGTCAAGTATACAGGGTCTAACAGATGCTGTTGTCAGCTGGCAAACTGGACAGGTAATCACTAAAGAGGTCCTCCCAAGCCAGGTGTCGTGGGGCACACCTGAAGTCCCAGCTACTGGGGAGGATCTCTTGAGCCCAGGAGTTTGAGAGCAGCCTGGGCAACACCGTGAGACCTCATCTCTAAAAAGAAAAGATAAAAGGTCAAGAAATAAAGAGCTCCTCCCAGTTTCAGGGCTGTAGGCCTCCCTGGAAGCCCGGCTATACTGCTCAGGAGTGCTGGGCCTCTCAGTACATCTCTCTGCCAATCCCAAACCTCTGTTTGCATTTAGACATTCAGGTAACACTTTTCAAAATGTCTCTACTGTTTTCACAGTTGCCAAGATTCTTCCCACTCTTACAGAGATGTGTTGGAGTCTCCAGCATGCGGTAGGACTTAGTCCCTTCACTGTAATCCAGGCCTAGGGGGTTAGGAATGGGGAGCTCTATTTGCAGGATTTGGGCTTACTGTCATTTTGGTCTGTTTTAGTTGGATAAGATTGACCACAATGCACACAGACTGGACATTTGGCCAGTCCCCCACTACTACTTTGTTGTTTTGTCTAGGAGTGCTTATTCTTTTCCTTCAAACCTGAAAAATCTTAGGCTCTCATATAAGCAAGTCAGGAAAAATTAGAGAATTTCATAGCCGTTTTCTTTTTCTCCTAGGATAAGTTAGATACCTTTCCCTGGGCTCCAAATCTCAGTTTACTGTCTTTCCTTGCAAAAGACGTGTCCTCCCTACCCATGTCCCTCTCAGTGGAGGCCAGTGCCAGTGACCAAACAGCTGCCGAGCTCTTTAACTCTAATTAGTACTCCACACCCTCACATAGACCTTGCAGGAGGCCTCAACCCACCCACTCCCTCCAACGAGTTGTGACGCAGACCATCTCAAACTTCACATCCACACGTGTCACATCAACGCACGTGACACAAGTGGCCGAAATGGTTTCCTCCTTATAATTTTTGGTGAGTGACTTGGCCGTGGTTCATTCCAAGCGGAAGTGATGGCTGGTGGATATGACTTGAGGGGAATTCCTGAGGGCAAGGAAAAGGAAGAAAGGGGCCCCAGAGAAGACGAGGCACAGCTGGAGAACCCTAGGGCTGTGAACACTGCGACTGCCGCGCGGGGCAGCTGCGCCGTGTTTGCTGGAAGCCTCCGGTAGCTGCTGAAACCTTCGCTCCGGAGGTCGCCTCGGTAAACCTTGCGGATGATTCCACCACGGCGGAAAGACGAAAAGGAGGCTTCTAGGCACCCGGGACCGCCCGTGTCCCGCCCTTTTCCCCGATGAAGTCTGACGCGGCAGGTCCCTCGGCAGGGTTAATGGGACGGCCTGGTGGGGCATTGCCGGTCTTTCCCAGCCACAGACAAGCTTCGCGCCTCGATCCCCCAGCGCCCCCAGACGCTGGATGCCGAGGCCTGGTCCTTTACAGCCGCCGACGCCTCATGAGCGAAGCCAGCCAGATGCCAGCACCGCCTTCGGCCCCGCCCCGAGCCAGCCCCTCCCACATCCCCGCCCGGGGCACGCCCTCGGCCCGCCCCCATCTCCGCCCCGAACACGCCCCTAGATTGGCCCCGCCCCGTCCCCGCCCGCAACTCCGCCCCGACCGGAAGAAGCCGCGGCACCCAGCGCTTATAGGGCCGGGAATGGGGGTGCCGCCGCTGCCTAGTCAGTTCTGCGTCCGCTGAGGCTCGGTCACCGCCTCGCTGTCGTCGCGGCGCCCCCGCCCCGTCCTCTGTCCGTACCGCCCCCGGAGCCAGGGCCGAGTCCTCGCCATGCCGGCCCGGCGGCTGCTGCTGCTGCTGACGCTGCTGCTGCCCGGCCTCGGGGTGAGTGACCGGGGAGCGTGGGGTGGAGGACAGCTCGCGACGGCCGGGTCGGGGCCGGGGCAGCGTCGCGGCGCCGGGGCTGGAGTCCGAGCTGGGAGCGCGACGGCGGCGGCCAGATGCCCCGTGAGCCCAGCCGTGGGAGGCTCGGGCCGGGCGTAGGAGGCGGCACCGGGCCGGGAGAGCTTCCCTGACGGGAGTCGCGGCCCCACCGAGGCGTCGGCCGCCCGAAGAGCCTCCCAAGCCAGCGCGGCTGTCACGGGCAGCGGCTCCCCGGACCCCGCGGGCTCGGGCGCAACTTCGTGGCGTCCTGCACGGCACTTGGGGGTCCCAGAAGGCCCCGGCCTGAGGAGGCCGCCCACCTGCGGGACCCTCCTCCTCGCGGGCGGGCGCCGGCGCTGCCTGGCGGGGGCCGCGGAGGAGCCGAAAGGGCGTTGGGATCCAGGGGAAGGGTCTGTCCTGCGCTTCGAATCCTTGTTTGAACTTTTTAAAAATTCGAAAACTTTGGGGAACGAATGCAACAGGGAGTAAGGACTCTCACCCGAGAGCTGGCTTCTGCCACTTGCCCTGCCGGTTTCTTGGTACTGGGAGGCTGCAGGCTTCCTTCTGTGCACCGAGACTTCCTTGAGCAAGTGGAGCTGTGGGAATTGCACTCTTGGAAGATCCCGCATGGGTTCGAGGTGAGGCCGCTTCAGAACCTCAAATGAAAGACTGTCTCCTCGTGGGAGAGCACCTGGGGCCATCAGAAATGTCTTTTCATCTTTTTCTGGAGGAGACGAATGATAGGGCCTGGTTTACATTCATTTAACTCTTTATGACCTTCACTCAGCTGTGGATTTGGGGGCACTTTGTGGGAGACTTGGCTTTTTTTTTTCTTCTGGTTGGAAGAACCTAAATTAGCGAATGTTTTTCACAAAATGTATTGTTCAGGATGTGAGCGTGGCAAATTTGTCCGTGTTCTGTTTAATGACCTCTTTAAAGGTACTGTGTACTCTTTAATAGGGATATCATGTACCAGGTGTCCCAGTAGAGCACTGACATGTGTGTGCCTGAGTGCCAGCCACCGTGTGAACTCTTTGGAGGTTTTGCATTTTAGGTAAATAACTGTCTGTACTCTTGGAGTAACAAGAATTTGGAAACAGGAGAAGTAAATAAATAAGGTTGCCTTTTTCAAATTCAGGGTTTTTTTTTTTAAATAAAGGAAAATTTGTAGACTCTTTATAATAGAACTTGTGGAAGTTAAGTTTTTCTTTCAAATAAAAACCCCACTTTTACAACTAAGGTCAGGTTTTGAACTTGAGCACCTCACCTTGGATTGGTAACTACTGCCTGGCATCTGTTCACAAACGAAGGTATAAGCAGAATGACCAAATGTTTGACATGAATTCGATCATTTCATAACGTCAAGGGATAGGTGTATAATGGTTTCCTTTGCCACATCTTTCCTTTTGCTACTTTGTCACTGGATTCTAGTGTTTGGTTATTGAATAACTTAGGCTAAAGAGCCAAAAATAACGATTTAGCTGTAGTTGGAACTATAGTTTCAGTTCGTGTAAATATTTCCAATTTGTATTTAGAAATCCAAACTTCTCAGAGTTCATGATAAAATATTCCAGACCCTTATCAAAAGGTTATAGTTTAGCGTAACTATATTTAGGTGAAAGGTCAGGCCGGGCCCGGTGGCTCATGCCTGTAATCCCAGCACTTTGGGAGGCTGAGGTGGGTGGATCACTTGAGGTCAGGAGTTTGAGACCAGCCTGGCCAACATGGTGAAACCTTGTCTCTACTAAACATACAAAAAAAAAAAAAAAAAAAAATTAGCCGGGCGTGGTAGCGCAGGCCTGTAATCCCAGCTACTGGGGAGGCTGAGGCAGGAGAATCACCCGAACCTGGGAGGCAGAGGTTGCAGAGATGGAGTCACTGTGCTCCAGCCTGGGTGACAGAGCAAGACTCTGTCTCAAAAAAAAAAAAGAAAGGTCAGAATTTCACTCCTAGAATTTTCTCCCAAGGGTTTTTACCCCCAAACATAGTAAGAATTATTATTTTAAAATTGTAAATGAAACTCATAGCAAAGTTTGCAGTTAAACCAGGCAACAGTGATGTGCAGAACGCAGTGGGTATAAAATCAGACAAACCTGAGTTCTAACTGGTCACTTGCTAGCTGTGCCCTAGGCATATTCTTTTACTACTACTACTACTACTTCTTTTTTTTTTTTTTTTTGATATGGAGTTTCTTCGCTCTTGTTGCCCAGGCTGGAGTGCAATGGTGTGGTCTCAGCTCACTGCAACCTCCGCCTCCCGGGTTCAAGCGATTCTCCTGCCTCAGCCTCCCGAGTAGCTGGGATTACAGGAGCCCACCACTACACCCGGCTAATTTTTGTATTTTTAGTAGAGACGTGGTTTCACCATGTTGGCCAGGTTGGTCTCGAACTCCTGACCTCAAGTGATCCACCCACCTTGGCCTTCCAAAATGCTGGGATTACAGGCATGAGCCACCGCACCCGGCCATGATTTTACTTCTTAGAGACTCCTTCCTGATAGGTGAAATGGGGACAGCTAACATGTGAAAGAAGGCACCACCTTCACACGTGCTTAATAGATAATAAATGTAAATTCTCTTTATGCTCCAAAGATGCTTTTTACTCTAAGCCATCATTTTTTGAATGTTATACTATGCCTCTGCAAGAAATAGTTTTTGATATTTCTTTTTGATTGATGTAGTAACTATTGCATTGGAGGCAATACTGTGATTTTCTTTCAGTGTGTGTCTTATTGAGCCAGACATTGACTCATTATGAGTTGAGACTTTAGGCTACCAGATCCAAAACGCAATAACATTGGTATTATTAAGCACTTGAGGCTGTCTTTTGTTAATCCAGAATGTGCTTATTTAGTCAGTGAGTTTTTCCTTTCTTCCTAGACCTATATCTTGCTCCTAGAGTTGGTTAGGGTTACATCATCACTGTCAGCAGTCCTCATTTTATGGTTATTTAGGTGCCACATCTCTCAATTACCAAAGAGATCAGTACAATGTGAGGCAAAGTACCTTTTTTTTTAAAAGCTATAAGATATCAGATTTCTTTCATTTAGCCAATATTTTGGTTTTAGAGGGAGGTTTTTAAAAAGTCACCGAGAACTGAGGATCATGTGTGTATAGAAACACTGTAATCTGATAGATGAGTCTTAACTAGCAATGTCTTTGCTTATCATTTATTCTGACAGTGATCACCTGCATTAATTATCCTAATAGGCGATATCAAGTGTTTATACTGAGGCCATAAGTAGAATGTTCATTGAGTTTGTTATCAGGGCTGCTGATCATGAAATTAAACTGTAGTTGTGCACATGTGTATTGTTTCATTAACTTGCCTGCCTATTCAGCCTTCTGCAGTAATGTAGCTTCTCAGAGCACAGGAGAAAAATGTATCTGAGAGTTATTCGAGAGAGAGTTCAACAATAGCCCATATTTCCGAACATAAATCTAGTGAGCCGCATTAAAGTTTCTTCATGTCTGGATGGAATAGTGTCACTTGCATAGGTCTGAGGGTTTCATTATTTGCCTGCCCCAGATTTGGACTCCGTTTTTCAGGTGAAAGAATCCTTGGATAACTGTTTCATTTTCATAGGAAACCTCTTTGGTTTCGGGATCCAAAGTAATATGTAGGTTCAATATTTTGTAGGTTTTATAATCAAATGTCTCCCTAAAGAGATGACATAGGGAAGAAAAGCCTAATGTATCATCTTAATGGATTCAGTTTTTATTATGCACAAATAACTGGGCTTGTAACCTAGGAATATGATTAGAGCGTGATGCTGGCTTAAAAAATAGGACTGGTGAATCACAGTTTGTGAATAATAAACTACTGGTTGGAAATATTTCCCAGAAGCAGTTTTTTTTTTCCTTTCTATCTTTACCTATATCCCATGTTTGGTTTCAAACTTCCCTGCCTTAGAGCAACACAGCTGGTTTTAGACAGTCTTTCTATCAATATCTTATAATCTTTGCTCATGTACAAACATACAGCAAATACAACGGTATAAAAATACGATGTTATCTATTTTTGTTCACTTTTTCCCCACAGAACATCTTCTGTAACCCGGTAGAAAATGTTCTGAGTACACCATCACATTTGTCACTTTAGTAGCACCTTAGTAAACCATCATCCATGTAAAAAAACATTGAGCTTCTCAGCCGGGCTTGGTGGTTTGCGCCTGTAATCCCAGCACTTTAGGAGGCCAAGGCGGGTGAATCACTTGAGGTCAGGCGTTCGAGAGCAGCCTGGCCAACATGGCAAAACTCCGTCTGTACTAAAAATACAAAAATTAGCTGGGCAAGGTGGCATGCACCTGTAATCCCAGCTACTCGGGAGGCCGAGGCAGGAGAATCGCTTGAACCTGGGAGGTAGAGGTTGCAGTGAGCTGAGATCACACCACTGCACTGCAGCCTTGGCAACAGAGCGAGACTCTGTCTCAAAAAGAAAAACAAAAAACAAAAAACATTGAGCTTCTGTGCCCAGCCGTGGGTTGGGGACTGGGGTTATAACTGATCAGGGTTGATGTGGTAATAAGCCGAGCTTTGCCTGCCAGTCATCTTGCTGTGGCCATAGGGATCATAAAGAAAGGGGTATTTTCATTTTTTCAATTATTTTATGTTTGGTGCTTTCTGTATGATAACAGGGGAAGATATTTTTTTTTGAGGCATTATCTCAAAGTAATCATATTCATTGTAGAAAAGTTAGAAAGGATAGATAAGCCTAAATTAAAAAATAAAAAACAAGCCTTCTATTATCTTATTTTCCAAACATTACCTCTATGAAGATTTTAAACAATTTTATTGAGATATAATTCACCTATCATCACAATTCACCCATTTAAAGTGTACAATTCGGTGGGTTTTAGTATATTGACAGAATTCTGCAGTCATCACCACAGTCCATTTTAGAACATTTTCATCATCCCAGAAATAAACTTCATACCTATTAGCTGTTACACACCGTTTCCCCCCAAACCTCCTAGTCCTTGGCAACCACAAATCTACTTTCTGTCTATAAATTTGCCTATTCTGGACCTCTTATATAAATGGAATCATACATTATGTGGTCTTTTGTAACTGGCCTCTTTAACTTAGCATCATGTTCTCAAGGTTCATCCATGTTGTATAATAACATGTGTCAGTACTTTGTTCCTTTTTATTGCTGAATAATATTCCATTATATGAATATACCACATTTTATTTATCCATTGTATTAGTCCATTTTCATGCTGCTGATAAAGACATACCCGAGACTGGGCAATTTACAAAAGAAGTAGGTTTAATGGACTTACAGTTCCACGTGGCTGGGGAGGCCTCACAATCATGAAAAAAGGTAAGGAGGAGCAAGTCACATCTTACGTTGATGGCAGCAGGGAAAGAGAGAGCTTGTGCAGGGAGCTTCCCATTTTTAATACCATCAAATCTCGTGAGACTTATTCACTATCACAAGAACAGCACGGGAAAGACCCATCCCCATGATTCAGTTGTCTCCCACGGGGTCCCTCCAACAGCACATGGGAATAGTGGGAGCTACAAGATGAGATTTGGGTGGGGACACAGAGCCAAACCATATCATCCATCCATTGAGGGACATTTGGATTGTTTCTGCTTTGGGACTATTAATAATTCTGCCATGAACATTTGTGTACAAATTTTTGCGTGGACATTTATTTTCACTCTTCTTGGGCATATATCTAGGAAAGAGATTGTTGGGTCATATGGTAACTCTTTGTTTAACCTTTCAAGGAACTGTCTGACTGTTTTCCAAGGCAGCTGCACTATTTTACATTCCCACCTGCAATGTAGGAAGGAGGGTTACAGTGTCTCTTATACCCTCACTGATACTCGTTATTACCTATCTTTTTAATCTTAGCCATCCTGGTGGATGTGGAGTGGTAACTCATTATAGCTTTGATTTGCATTTCTCTAATAACTAATCTAATATCTTGACATATGTTCTTTCAGATGCTTTTTCTGTGCACATATTTACAGGTAATACTTTTCTTCCCCACACTGGAACATATAGATCTATGTCAATCAGCTTAATTCTGCAACATTATTCTTAATTGGCTGCGTAGTATTTCTCTGAATGGAATGGATGTACCATAATTTGACCACTCAATCATTTAGATATTGAGGCTGTTTTTATTTTTTTTTATTTTTTCACTACACAGATATGTTTTTATTTTCATTATAAAAATTATAACAATGTAATGAACTTTCTTGTTGCTAAACTCTTGAATGAGTTTTAAGTGCTTAGTTATTTCCTGGAGATAGATTCCTAGAATTGAAATTTGCTGATTGTATGTAGTATTTTACAGCCCTCTCCCCCAGCCCTAAGCAATGTTGAGTGTTTTAAAAACAAAACTAACCTTAAATTGTTTTTATGATAGGCGGTTTAAAGTATGCTATTTTCTTTTATCAGTGGCCACTTTCTTTTAGGAGCGTAGACTTTAAAAGTTGGATGAAAATAGAATGTTTACATTTTGTTTATATTTTGAAGATGTAAATAAACCAAGGCAGTCTCTGGATGATACCCTTTGTACCTAAAAGCTATTGAGAAAATGTTTTATTTGGATTTGTTAAATGACTCATTTGTGGGGTCCTTTAGTTTGCAGTGGTTTCAGATCAACTTTCTAGGAGATGTGGCACCCATGAGCACCCTGAAATACCTCGGGATAATTCTCTGGTTTTGAGGGTGGCCCGCCTCCTACAGATAAGATTCTTTGTATGGTCGGTTGTGAGGCCATTTAAAACTTTTGCCTTAAGACTTCATAAATCAGAGTTGATACATTGATTGTCCCTTTTGGAGGCTGCAGTTCTTAAAACATGTGGCTGTTTTTCCTAGGAATATTTAAGTACCACTTGATAATAAAGTACTACCTTTTGCTGGGATTATCTACCTGGAAAAAAAAAGGGAACAAAAAATTAAAAATAAAATGTAATATCTGTGGTGTTTTATTTTTTGTTTTGTTTTGCTTTTCCTGCAAATTTATTCTTCCAAAAAAAATGTCCCTTTCAAAATAATCACCCTTTGGCGTGAATTTACGGGTTATTGAAATCAGTCTTAAAAAAATTTCCAGTTAAATTTAACAACTTATCTAACCCATTTAATAATTCAACTTTAAAACAAAAACGAACCTTTGAAAACAAATATTTACTCTTAAGCCAGTTATCCTTATACAAGTTAAAACATTCTCCAATTCCTTCCAGTCTTTGCTTAATAGGACTTTTACATGATTCACACTACACTTTTGATCAAAATTGTTATTACCCAGTTTGATCACACAATTTATTGAGGACACTTGGATTTGGTTTTCAGCTATTTATTAAAATGAAATCCATCCTAAAGTGAACAGGATTTTTACCATTTAGGGGATTCAAAAGTATATTCTTTGAAGGGAATTTCCAAAGAATTCCAGAAATATTTTGAGCCCTAGAAGCATGTATGAATAGATGTGTAGCCTCCCAAGATAACTGGAATCAGAGTGCATTAGACTGCTTGATGGGCTCTCGGCCATGTAGTCCAATGAGTCTCAATTTTTTCCCCTTCCAGCTGCACATAAGAAATATGGCGCACATCCCTCAGTAACAGTATGAGCACATCAGAACCTAGGAGGGTGGTGTTTGGGGCACCCTCTCTCAGGCATTACCCTCCTCTCCCAAGCTGAGAAAAATTACTACCCTGCTCTGTCTTCCAGAGCAGACAGATGGGAAAAGGCAACCAGCAAGGGCTGGTAACCTGTCCAGGGTCATGTGTGAGTGGCAGAACCAAACCTTAAACTTGATCCTCCTACCTCCCTTTGAAGAGAAGCCCCTGCAGTGCTTATGTTCTGGTGCGTATGTTGGGACAAACCAGTCTGGCTACCCTCAGTCATACCCTGAGGAGCTGACCAAACTATGTGGCCATGAGAGAAGGATCTAGAGAAGGTCTAGGCCAGTAGGCTTTCTTGTAAGCTTCAGGAAAATACCCAGATAATGTTATTTTTCCTCCGTTAAGAATCATGGCCTTCTACCCTTTGTTGCAGTTGTGCGAAGATGCCATTTTGAGATGGGAATGCTGCCTTCACCTGAGAGTCTCCATCAAGGAAATTGGCCATTTTCAACTGTAGAGTCAAATCCAGCAATCATGGAGAGAGTAGGGATTAAAAGCCTGCTCGGCTGGGCACAGTGGCTCACGCCTGTAATTCCAGCACTTCAGGAAGCTGAGGCGGGCGGATCATAAGGTCAGGAGTTCAAGACCAGCCTGGCCAACATGGTGAAACCCCATCTCTACAAAAATACAAAAATTAGCCAGGCATGGTGGCGGGCACCTGTAATCCCAGCTACTCATGAGGCTGAGGCAGAAGAATCGCTTGAACCTGGGAGGCGGAGGTTGCAGTGAGCTGAGATCCTGCCATTGCACTCCAGCCTGGGCAACAGAGACTCCGTCTCAACAACAACAACAAAAAATTGCCTGCTAAGCCTAATTCACAGTTTAAGCTAATTTCTTTGCTTGGAGTCTAATAATATCCAAGCAGGTGCATGTTTTCAGTAACATCTCGCCTAGTCATATGTCTGAAAGAACAAAACTGAAAGTTCTTTCCTTAGAGGCCTTTAACCCAAGCCGCTCTTCTCTAGCTCAGTCACAGCCTTCACCAAGAAGTCCTGAAAAGATAGAACTCTTGCATTACCGTGCTGGTTCTGGGTGTTTGCCTTTGCAGAGGCGCCACCTGCCAAGCAGTTCTGGCACCAGGGAGCAGGTCTGTGATGACAGGAGAGAGACAGTGGCTGTGACTCTGGCTCTTAAACCACAATGGAGGGATTCAAGTTAGCTTAGGTAGCTCTCAGAGGAGACTAATGAGGGAAGGAAGGAGCAAGGGGGGAAGGAAGGTGCCCCTGGGAGTGTGTCTCACTTCCCTTGCTGGTTCATCCGAGAAGGCAGGGACCCTGGCTTGCTGATGGTTGCATCCTCTGTGGCATTTAACGTGGCATGCTGGTTATACCCACTGTAGGGGGCACTCAGCAAATATTTATTGAATTCTTCTTTGAGACTCATTAAGACCAATAAAGGGGCTGTATTATATCATCAAGCAAGTGGGTTGTGGATGGGGGTGGGAGGTATTGCTTCAGCTATATTTTATATTCTTTAATGGGATTGCACCAGTTGTGTGTCTTTCTACAGAACTAGAGGAGCTTTCAGGATATTTGCTTGGGTGGACGTGACCCATAGTGTGTAGTGTTCTTTTGGTGGGCTCTTCTTATCAGTAATGAGATTAATTTTTCCATTGCCAAACTCCATGAGGTAAACAGTTTGTGATTATTTCATGTCAGTTTCATTTTTCACTCAGCATGATGTTTCACTGTTAAAAAAATGAACCTTGGCCCAGAGTTGTCCTCTCATGTATTAAACATGACTTCCTTTGTTAGTAGACTAATTTATAATTATAATTCAAAACCATCCCATTCTCCAGTGGATTATTTCCCCCCTCTCTGTCAGATGAAGGAATAATTGTTTGTCTGGGCTGCAGGAGTGTCTGTCATGGAAACCGAATTTTTCTGTACATTCTCTGAACAAACAGTGCTGTCACATCCCTAGAACCTGACATTGTCATTGATCTCCAGTTGAGTCAGAGAAGTTTGTTGACCAAGGTAAATCAGATCTCTCTTCTCTTAAAGCAAATGGCCCATGACTCCTGAGGGGCCACTAGGAGTGAGAGAATCACCTGTACAGGGGGCCACAACTGTGGCTAGGAATGTGTTACTTGAGGCGGTGCTTCCCAGCCATGACTCAGTCACCTGGGGAGCTTTTTAAAAACGCTGTGCTGGGGCCCCATCCTATGTGAATGAAATTGGAATCTCTGGGAGTGGGGGCCGGCATCTTTTCTTTTTTAAAAAAAAAATGTTTAAGGCCAGGCTCAGTGGCTTACACCTGTAATCCCAGCACTTTGGGAGGCCAAGACAAGAGGATCACTTGAAGTCAGGAGTTTGAGACCAGACTGGGCAACAATGAAAGACCCCATCTCTACCAAATAAACCAGCAAAAAATGTTTTAAGGCCCAAGTGACTCTGATGTGCAGCCAGGATGAGGCCTTCAAGTAATTTTTGTACCTTAATCCTGGAAAGAACAAATGCATCTCCAAATTCCCAGTCACGTCACAGAGCACGGGACCAGACTAGACACAGCATTTGGCTCATTTTACAGAGAGGTTAGGATTGATAGAGTCCGCTAGTTAGTGTTAGAACTAGAAATAAAGTTCTAACTTTATTTCTAGTTCTAGGCGTGGTGGCTCATGCCTGTAATCCCAGCACTTTGGGAGGCTGAGACGGGCGGATCATCTGAGGTCAGGAGTTGGAGATCAGCCTGGCCAACATGGTGAAACCCCGTCTCTACTAAAAAAATGACAAAAATTAGCCAGGCGTGGTGGCGCGTGCCTGTAATCCCAGCTGCTTGGGAGGCTGAGGCAGGAGAATTGCTTGAACCCAGGAGGCAGAGGTTGCAGTGAGCCAAGATCCCACCACTGCACTCCAGCCTGGGGAACAAGAGTGAAACTCAATCTCAAAAAAAAAAAAAAAAAAAAAAAAAAAAACCTAGAAAAAAAGGAACCTAATATTACATTTTCTCTACTGTACTATATCATTCAACTTTTAAAGAGCAGGTAATTTAATGGATTTTTTCCTTTGAATACAAACTGTTGAAATTGCTTTTATCAGCTTTAACTAATAGGCCTTATATTAAAACATATTTAGTTACTGAATTGTAAGATGTTTAAATGTTTATTTAAAGTTACCCGACTTATGCTTGTTTATTTATTTATATATTTGTTTATTGCCTTTTCCATATATTAAGAGGCTTAAGAAATCAAAACAATGTTGTTTTCCAGGCTCCTTCACAGTATCCTGATGGGTAAAATCATCTTCATGGTTTTAAAAGAACCTTCCATAACAAAAATGAAATAGCCATTGCGAGTGAGGAGAAGGGATTTGTAGAAGGAGTGAGTTAGTTAAAGCACAAGAAGAAGCTTGTGAACCAACAGGAACTTTCCTATCAGGGTGGGAACATATGTTTTGGAAGCAAATGGTGGGAGGGTGCAGGCTGTGACACTCCCTTCCCCTTTTCATGTGAGAGCTGGCTATTAGCCTCATTGCCTGAGTCAGGCAGAGTTCCCTCGAAGGGTTTTTATAGCAGGTGCCGAGCTGACAAGCCCAACTGTAGAACACAGGAGAGGACCAGTCAGTTGTCTCAGCTCCCGGACCCATCTCAGTTGTTTCTCAGAGGATCTTTATTAGCTGGTTTAGAAACAGGAGGACACTTGCTTTCAAGCATCACATTGAGTGGGCTGGACCAAATCCAAAACTCTGCTGGAACCAAGTTGACAAATGTCAGTAGAATTGGGAGCCCGCTCTTTGAATACAACCTTGGAATGGGGCTTGGCACCTGGCCTGAAAGCGCTGTGTGGACTCCAGCACCAGGGCTGTTTCCTAATTTAACTTAATGCTTAAAGGAAATCCCAAGTGGCAGACCAGTTCTGCACTCCTTGAGCAGATAGGCATTTAGCTGTTTTTAAATGTAAAATCATTTTAGCTGTTTTTAAATGTAATCATAGGGCCAGTATCTTGTTTCTATATGTGTGTTTGCCCCATATGATGAAATTGTATGCATTCTTTCAGCAAGTGAGAGTCCGGAGGTTCTGTACTAGCTAGCTGTGCAACTTTGGGCAAATGAGTTATTTCCCCCTCTGCTTCCTCATCTGTAAAACAAAGCAACGGAACCAGAAAATCTCTTTGGTGGGCCTGTTTCCAAATGTCTTCCCAAATTAGGATCACCATTTAGGTGAAAGCGACTAGTCCCCCAGCCGCCTCTTTTTCTGGTGCAGCCTCATACGGGGAGGTAGAAGATGGGAGGGCTGCTTTGCTTTGAGCCTCCCAGCTTCCTAGCTCTTGAATGTAGTGAATTTCATCTGTTCATCCATTTATTTATCAACTTTTTGAGTACATATTTTATGCCAAGCACTGTTTGAGATGCTTGGGAAACATGAACAAAACAAAGACCCCCGCCCTCATGGAACTTCTACCTAGTTGGTTGGGATAGACAACAGCATGGTAAATACATTATATAGAATGTGATAAGGTGATAAAATTCTGCAGGGGTTGCAGGGGAGAAACATAGAGCAGAGCAAGGGAGATGGAGGCCTCGTAAGTTGCCACACACCGTGGTGTGGTTTCATCGGCTCTCGCTCACCTGTCTTGTATAGGGCCTAGGGCCTTCCCTGACCACTGTACTCTCGTAGACTAGATCCCTTCCTGCACTCCAAATAGCACCACGTCACTTAGTGTTGGGGTAATGTACAGGTTGGTGCTCCTGTTTGTTTCTTGTCTAATCTTCTGGAGGACTGGTGTTGATAGTCCTCAGGTATGTCTGAAAATCCTGAGCAAATATGAGGGACTGAGCGTGAACATTGTTGATTTTTCTTTACTTTCTATTTCTTTTTTCTTTTCTTTTTCTTTTTCTTTCTTTTTTTTTGAGATAGAGTCTCACTGTGTCGCCCACACTGGAGTGCAGTGGCGTGATTTTGGCTTACTGCAACCTCCGCCTCCCGGGTTCAAGTGATTTTCGTGCTTCAGCCTCCCGAGTAGCTGGGATTACAGCCATGTGCCAATACGCCCAGCTAATTTTTGTATTTTTAGTAGAGACGGGGTTTCGCCATGTTGCCCAGGTGAGTCTCAAACTCCTGGCCTCAAGTGATCCACCTGCTTTGGCCTCCCAAAGTGCTGGGGTTACAGGCATGAGCCACTGCGCCTGGCCACATTGTTGATTTTTTTAAAAATTTTTATTATTTATTTATTTTTTGAGATGGAATCTCACTCTGTCGTTGAGGCTGGAGTGAGGGCAGTGGCATGATCTCTGCTCACTGCAAGCTCCGCCTCCCGGGTTCACACCATTCTCCTGCCTCAGCCTCCCAAGTAGCTGGGAATACAGGCACACGCCACAACACCTGGCTTTTTTTTTTTTTTTTTGTATTTTTAGTAAAGACAGGGTTTCACCGTGTTAGCCAGGATGGTCTCAATCTCCGGACCTTGTGATCCGCCCACCTCGGCCTCCCAAAGTGCTGGGATTACAGGCATGAGCCACCGCTCCCGGCCACGTTGTTGATTTTTAAGGATAACATGATAAGACATTAAATCCTGTCAGGGAAACCTCAGAAAACCCCCACAACTCAGAGGGGTCAGAACCAGCCATTCTTTGATTTTTGTGATGGCTGTGCACCCAAATACACAAATGGGTGTGTTTGTGTGTGTGTGTGTGTGTGTTATTTTTTTTTTACATTAAATAAGATTACATTTTTTTTCCATTGTAGGAGTATTTGTAACATCTCCCGATAAATTGAAATGCGGTAAGAAAGTTCTAAGAACAAATTTGGGGAATCTCTGACCTTTAAAGGTACTACCTCATTATGAGCAATCCAGTGACCTTATTCTAGAATTCTGTTAGGGTTCGTTTTCCACTTGCCATGAGCTGGTTTTGCAAAGAAGAAAACGGTTTCCTTTATATGTGGAGATTAAGAACAAGTTTATCTGTAGTTTTGGTGCTCGACTAACTGGGAACCAAGCCACAGTTGCTTGTAAAACGGACCCTAAGTTATCTTGATCTTGATGGTTCAGTGCTTGGAAATCTCTGGGGCTTTCGGTGCCTGGTAAAAGTTCAATCACTTATCTGATTTGTGGTTGGCAGAAGAAAAGGTATCACCCTTTCAGTTTAGGAGATGGTTGCTTTTAGAGTCTATAGTAGGTAGGTGTGCCTGGGAATCAGCCACCTGGTCCCATGTAACATTAGTTGATTTTCATGGTATTTCTTTTCCCCATCCTGAACCTTAAAGTGAGTCAGATTATTACTAATTTCTAATGTTGCAATATTTTGAGATAAGCGGAGACACTTAGATGTTGCAAGACCAGGATTGGAAATGACTATGTTCAAAGGCATTAGGACTTCTAAACTCTGTCAAATTGTTATGCGGATTTTGGGCATGTTTTGATTGGTTGGGGCTAGAAGAAGCTGCAGCAAAGCCTGAGGAGAGATGAGGGTCTGGTAAGTCATGGATCATCATGCTTCAGAGCTGCAGCCACCATCCACCTCAGGCTTCTTACTTTCTTGGAAACCCATGCCTGGAAAAATCTAATGACTTGCCCAGAGCTCAAACCAGACCATGCATCTGTGTGCCCACCTCATCTTCTGTCAGCTTCATTCACCCCAAAAGCATCTATATGTTCCAGACTCATGAGGATACCTGAGGAACTTTGGTTTTGTTTTTAAACCAAAGAGTTTTGAGAGGATAAAATAACAGGTTTTGAAGCTATATGGACACAGGCTAGGGCAAGGAGTGAGAAGACAGCTGAGCAGGGTAGGGTGGGACCAGACTCTTGGAACTGCTCTGGGCAGGACCTGGATATGCTGCCAAGTCAGCTTTCGGGAAGTTCGGCCATGGAACTTGCCGTCTTTTTTTCTGCATTACACGACTCTCCTGCTAGACGGCAAACCCCTTGAAGCCAGGAGTTTTACAGGCCTTGGGGCGGCATTGCCTTGTGTGTAACAGGACCCTTCTTTCTGCATATATGTAGGATAAGAGTCCAGCTTAGGGGCAGGGTTGGAGTAAGTGAACTAGCACACAGGAGTTGAAATAGAAGAGTCAGCCAACAGGAAGAAGTATGAGGCAGGGAGTGCCTGGAAGAGATTGGCAAATCCTGAAGTCCTTGCCAGCCTACTTGAGTAATGTGAGACCATGAGCCAATGACTTACCTTGTCCTGTAAGTTTAGTATCCCCAAGATTTCTGCCTCTTGTAATGAAAATAGTCCTGGCACTGACTGCAGGTACTGTGGAGATGGGGCGCCTGGAAGATTAAAAAGACGGGAAGGTGCAGGTTTAACTCCTCAACCCTTCAGAGGGAGCTTTCTGATTCCATGCATGATGGCTAGTCAGAGAAATGGCTCCCCCTCAAATGAGGAGTCTTAGGAAGCAAGAAAACCTGCCTTGGGGTTTGTTCTGAAGGCCACATTTCATCACAAAAACAGCCATATTTACTACGCTCTCCTACGAAGTTCTGATGTGTTCTGCTAATATTCAGCTGTAAACCAGCTAGGCAACATCAGTCGAATGTTAGTATAAATTAAAACACTGGAGGAGACTCACCGAGAGTGTGAACAGATTGTGGTTGGTGTATTACACGCCTCACCTTAGGGAGAGTGCTTTTTTTTCTTCCAGGTGGCTTTACAACGATGTGAACAGCAACCTTCCTGTTCTTTCCTTCAGCTGCATAGATAACAAATAAGACACGTAAAAAAAAGATTCTGACTCTTGTGGCCCACGCCATTCTGGGACTTCTCCCCCAACCTCACCGTGTCCCATATCCCCTCTGCCTTCTCTGTCCAGCTACACTGGTCCACCGGGTCCTCAAACACAACAAATTCTCTGCAGTCTCAGAATTTTGCATAGGCTATTCCCTCTGCCCAGGAAATTCTTCTTTCCTTCTCCCTTTCCTATAGATCTTAACTCAAACATCATTTTTAACACTGTGCTTCCCCCACCATCACAAGACCAGATGCTCTTCTTCTGTTATGCTGTCGCAGTTTCCAGTATGTCCCTTTCATGGCACTTACTACAATTTGTCATTTTATGTTTGTGTCATTATTGATTACTGGGGTCTCCTATTGGACTGTAAGCTCCATGAAAGCAGGAAACCAGATCTCATTTGTTGTGATTAGATCCTAGTGTCTCATACAGTTCTTAATGAATAATAGTAACTGACACTTACATGATGCTTACTGTATATTAGGCCCGTTCAAGAGCTTTACTTATGTTGACTCAACACTCCTTGCAAAAGCTTTTTTTTTTTTTTTTTTAGCATTTACCTTCTTATTACAGTCTTTGAAAGCCCATGGAATTATTCTAGGGACACAGAGGACTTTGTGGCATAGATTTAGGTAAAGGTCACCGGGCACGGTGGTTCACGCCGGTAATCCCAGCACTTTGGGAGGCCGAGGTGGGTGGATCACAAGGTCAGGAGTTCAAGACCAGCCTGGCCAAGATGGTGAAACCCCCATCTCTACTGAAAATACAAAAATTAGCCGGGCATGGTGGTGGGCGCCTGTAATCCCAGCTACTCGGGAGGCTGAGGCAGAGAATTGCTTGAACCCAGGAGGTGAAGGTTGCAGTGGGCCGAGATCACGCCACTGCACTCCAGCCTGGGCGACAGAGTGAGACTCTGTCTCCAAAACAAAACAAAACAAAAAAATTGCCTGGCGGCATGGTGACTCGTGCCTATAATCCCAGCTACTCCAGAGGCTGAGGCGGGAAAATTGCTGGAACCTGGGAGGCAGAGGTTGCAGTGAGCCGGGATCACGCCACTGCACTCCAGCCTGGGTGACAGAGCGAGACTCTGTCTCAAAAAAAAAAAAAGATTTACGTAAAGGGCAAAATGCTCTGGAAAAATAAAGTGTTAGATACCAGGGAGATTTGGCCATAGCTGGAAATGTTTAACTCTGCGAATACTTGGAGCCACTAATTATGTATACTTGTTTTATTCATAATTTGTAATGGTCTAGGATAGCAAAAGTAATGTGAATCATGGTTGAATTTAATAAAATGTTTTTAACCTCATCCTAAAATATCCACTGATCCATCTCATTCAATGGCAATATGCAGTGGTTAAGGGAACATAAAAACAAACATCCACACAGCTGCACAGTTCTCATGAAAGTCTATCTCATTATTGGTGGGGGTAGCACATTTAACAGCTTAAACATATAGGTCACTGCATGATGCCGCACTGGTAACTAGATAGCCAGGGAACCAACTAACCAGTAACTGTTAAAATATTTAAAATACAGCTTTTGTTTAGATCATCCTTTGGATCACCTTCTTGGGAAAAAAGCCTGCTAGTCACAGTGGAAATATATTAAGGCCCGATCTTCTGATATCCATTCCCAGAGGTTTCTTTCAGCTAGATTAAGCCTCCACCTCCAGAGCACACCCAAGTTTGTGATCTCCAGCATTGATGATCTCTTGTCTACCAGAGCAGACAGTGTGAGCCTCACACCAGGCCTCAGAGTCTGTGTGTAGCCCACTCCAATTAGACTAGAGTTGGTGACTTTTGCATTTACTGGTTTATGATAAAGGATACAGATGAAGAGACGCATAGGGCAAGGCATGCGGGAAGGGGCATGGAGATCTCATGCCCTTGGGGTATGCCCCACCCATCAGGAATCTCCATGTGTTCAGCTGTGCAGAAGCTTTTCCCAACAACTTTTTAAAGTTAATTAGCATTATCCCCATTTTATGGATGAGAAACTGAAGGCACAGAGAGGTAAGTGATTGCCTGAGGTGGTCTGGCTCCACAATCTACCTTTTTAACAACCACATTATACTGCTCAGGAACTACACTGAACTTAACAAGTATCTATTGAATCGTTTAGCCGCAGCATCATAGGTGAGTTTCCAAATGATGGAAATACAATCCCATAACTTAAAATATAGTAATGTTTACTGACAACCTCCTCAGCAGTTATACTCTGCTTCCTTCTTCTTCTTCTTTTTTTTTTTTTTTGAGACAGAGTCTCGGTCTGTCGCCCAAGCTGGAGTGCAATGGTGCAATCTCAGCTCACTGCGCTGTCCACCTCCTGGGTTCAAGTGATTCTCCTGCCTCACCCACTCGAGGAGCTGGGATTACAAGCATGTGCCACCGTGTCCGGCTAATTTTTGAGTATTTAATAGAGATGGGGTTTTACCACGTTGGCTAGGCTGGTCTTGAACTCCTGACCTCAAGTGATCTGCCCACCTTGGCATCCCAAAGTGCTGGGATTACAGGCATGAGCCACTGCTCCCGGCCACTGCTTCCTTCTTGAACACCACGAGCCAAACATATTTTAACTCTTCCTTAATTATTCCTGATTGTCTCCTAGCACCAGTTGTTACATTATTGCTGTCTGCCCATGAGGGTAAGAGATGAGGAGCAATGGAGGTAAGAGATGAGGAGCAGTGGATTATCAGGTTTTTGAGTTTGGTTTACTTCCTGATGATTTCTTTGGCTGCCACCAATTTTTTTTTAAATTAAATAGTCTCCCTTAATATTTGTATAACTCTTACTTTTGAAATTCTCAATATTTGTTTTGCTTTCTTAGTGTTTAGAGAGATGTTGCTATTCTTCAGTTTTTAAAAGAAAAAACAAATGTGGAAGCTTAGCCACCTTGCCCCACAATCCAGATGCCCAGGTCCACTTCTGGGACCTAGAGAAGATGGCAATAAGATTGGATGACCTGGCCGGGCGCGATGGCTCATGCCTGTAATCCCAGCACTTTGGGAGGCTGAGGTGGATGGATCACCTAAAGTCAGGAGTTTGAGACCAGCCTGGCTAACATGGTGAAACCTCGTTTCTACTAAAAATACAAAAAATTAGCTGGGCATGGTGGCATGTGCCTGTAATCCCAGCTACTCGGGAGGCTGAGGCAGGAGAATCGCTTGAACCCAGGAGGTGGAGGTTGCCGTGAGCCGAGATTGCGCCATTGCACTCCAGCTTAGACAACAAGAGTCAAACTCTGTCTCAAAAAAAAAAAAAAACATTGGATGACCTCCAGGCTAGGCGGAAGCCTGACCAGGGTAGTGACTTTAGAAAGAGAGATTCCTGGGAAAACTGAGAATGACAGCAGAGAATATCCTTTATAGGATCATTATAGCCATTCCACAATGTGTACATATATCAGAACATCATGTTGTATACCATAAGTATATATAAATTTTATATGTCAATGTAAAAAATAAAAACAAACTTTTAAAAAATATTTTATAATATGGTCCCTTGTCCATTCCTGCCTGGGACAGCCATTTTTCCCTTTTCACGAGGGAGTTCTTCCTTTGATGTCTGGAAAGGCCTCCTCTTTGAGCCCATAGGTTTGCTATCTTCTGGCTGGTAATTCTTTCCTGCTTCTGTTTCCTGCCGACCACTTGATAAGCTGGAGAAAGCAACGTTGTTCGCTCTTGGCCGGTTCCTCATGCTTTGCCCCTTTTTCTGAGTCCTGTTTTCGAGCCTCAACTCGGAAGGTTTGGTTGTGCCAGCACAGTCTTCCCAGCAGTTTCTTGTGCTTTCCAATCTCTATTCAAACGTGTGAGGCTGCATAAAGATCGCTTCTCAGAGAAGCCTAGATAATAGAAAACCTATGCTGAAATTACAGAAATCTGATGTAATATTGACATGAAAAAGTCAGTATCAGAATAGGCTTTCTTTTGTGTGAGCATCTTATTGCTACCAAGTGAAGCAGCCATAGCTTACTGTGTGGGGCCCATCAGTTTATGCTTGGTCATTAAAATGGGCCTTACAGTTCAAAGGAGTTGTCCTGTGCTGATCAGTAATGCGCGTTTCCTTGGCACTGACATTAAAAGAATGTTGGCTTCATCAAAGGAATTGGCAGTGGCTACATTATCATCGTCTTCATCAAAGGACATTTTTTAAAACCATTAGAACTGGGCTGTTCAGGAGATCTATTATATAACATGGTGACTATAGTTAATAACAACATATTATATACTTGAAAATGGCTAAGAGAGTAGATTTGAAATGTTCTCACCACAAAAAAATGATAAGTATGTAAGGTAATGGATATGTTAATTAGCTTGATGTAGCCATTCCACAATGTATACATACGTCAGAACATCATGTTGTACACCGTAAGTATATATAATTTTTATATGTCAGTGTAAAAAATAAAAACAAACTTTTTTTAAAAAGACTGGTTTGGGTAAGTGTGTATTGTAGGAATTTTTTTATGGTGGTTAAAGCTGAGACCTTTGACCTTTTGTTGTGTTATTCCCATTCCCACCCACTTAGATGTACAGTGAGATCTCAGGAATTTTCATGCTGAACATTTTTTAAAGACCCCTCCCTGTATAATTTGCAGTGCCATTTGGTATATTGGGTTTCTATAGAGACTCTAAAAATTACATTTTGGTCTCATCCAAAAGATCCAACCCTCATATCAAAGTGGAGTGCTGATCTTCATCTACCCCAGCAGGATTCAAAGGGGGAGCTTCAGGCCTGAAGTAATTTAGGCTTTGGCTCTCAGTGAACCGTGATTTAAAGTAGTGAAATTATAGTGTGGCATAGTGGGCAAAAGGGCTAGACGGGGAGGCGGAGACCTTGGTTCCAGTCCTGTGTCTATGGTTAACTGTCTGTGGTGCCCTGGGCAAGTCACTTCACCTCTCTGAGCCTTGATTTCTTTTCCTGTGAAATGAGAGGGTTGGGTAAGGTAATCTCTTCGGTCCTTTTCATCTCAAAAATTACACATCCCAGAAGCAGTAAACAGTCCCTACTGGTTGATCTGCATTGTGTGGAACCGCATGGACTTAAAGGATTATCCAGCTAATTGGAGAGAGGAAGGTGGTATGGTGGCCTGGGCCGGTAGAGAAGTGTGTGATCCTCAAATCAACTTCAAACAATGGGGGTCCTGGCTGGCAGAAGTCAGTCAAGCCAGATATCTCAACTCGGGGTGTATTTCATAGTACTTCTTTTCTAGCCTAAAGTTTGGCAACATCTGGCCAGTGTAGGTAGCAATTATGTCATAAATACAGTTGTTTGTAGGTAATTTTAATTTAACTAGAGTATTTTTCCACTTTCTACTTGACTCTCCTGTCTACTCCTCTACTGTCCCCTGCAAGAAATTCCTAACTAAATATGAAGAGCAAAATTGACAGTTTCAGATTAGTTGCTGTTACCAGGACTGAAAAACTTGGTATGTAATTAAATTTTTTTCCCTTGGGGTTTCTACGTGAGGACTTCTTTTTTTTTTCTATTTTTTTTGAGATGGAGTTTCCCTCTTGTCACCCAGGCTGGAGTGCAATGGTGCGATCTCAGCTCACTGCAACCTCTGCCTCCTGGGTTCAAGTGATTCTTCTGCCTCAGCCTCCCAAGTAATTGGGATTACAGGTGCCCGCCACCACGCCCAGCTAATTTTTTGTGTTTTTAGTAGAGACGGGGTTTCCCCATGTTGACCAGGCTGGTCGCGAACTCCTGACCTCAGGTGATCCACCTGCGTTGGCCTCCCAAAGTGCTGGGATTACAGGCATGAGCTACTGCACCCGGCCAGGACTTCTTAATAGTAGGTTTAACTGCATATGAGTAGACATACTCAAATGGATAAAATTTGACTTTTTGTAAGGCCAATGGTGCACATACAAATTTATAGTCTGTCAGGCCTGTATTAGTTTAGTTTGTTTAGGATGTTTCTCCATTAAAGTAAATTAGCCTGATACGTTTCTTGGTTGTTACTAGATATCAGTTGATGCTGTTTCCCTTTAGCAAAGACAACAAAATAGAGTAGTGACACCTGCATTCTAAAGCTCAGCCACTAAATGAGCATGTAACCTTGGGTTTCAGTTTTCCTAAAGTGTGGGATTTGGCTTAGCTCCCCAGGTATCCTGAGGGACCTTAGGGATTTGATACCACCCTAAGAAAAAGGGCTTGTTTTCCTAACCACGTCAGGGAAAACGATTTCATGTAGCACCATTCATGTCCAGATATGTTTCTTCTTCCAATGATGGCAATGTAAGTTGATGGCAGAGCAACCATGAACATAAACAGAACTGCAAATGGTTGAACTCAGACACTCAGCCCAGGCCCCAAAACCAGTTTGGGGGGAACTGTATTCACCTATTATGAAATTAGCATACCTTTGCATTCAGGAATACAGTGGATTTATGAGGTACTTTTTTTTTTTTTTAATCAGATCTATTAAAGGAGGACAGTAGCCTAAACTGAAGAAGAGTCCTAACTGTCTTGGGTGGTGGTTAATTACACCATACGGCAGACTTGCCACAAACACTGAAAGTTTAACTCTCTCAGCTGCTTAGTTTGGAAACCACACAGTGCTGTTCAGTTAGGCCTTGGCCTTTTCTGCATCCCAGCTAGACACTTGACTCCCATCCAAAGCAAATGTCATGGTTGCCTTTATTGACTTAATATCAGGAAACATAACAGCCGATAGACTGGTTAGAAGGAACTGTATGGTTGATGGATTATTGCTGACCTACACACAGGTAAACGAAGTATAACAGAATTTGGAATGATTTACTGGTGGACTGAAATCTTTAAAACAGTAAGACTTTTGTTTGTGTCTATGGCTGATGTTTTAATTCAGTTCTGAATGTTCTTCCACAGACAGGAGACTAAAAGTAGTGAAATATTTGTTACTCACTGTTCAGGTGGCTGTATAGAAATCTCCATATTTGGGTATAAGTACTTTGCTGCAGTATGTGTAAATGAGATGAGGGTCAGGGAACAGGGTTTGATTTGAATAAAAATCTGTTTTGTAGGCCAGCCGCTCAAGCCTGTAATCCCAGCACTTTGAGAGGTGAGGCGGGAAGATTGCTTGAGCCCAGGAGTTCAACACCAGCCTGGGCAACATAGTAGGACCCCATCTCTACAAAAAATGAAATAAAAAGCCAGGCATAGTGGTGCATGCTTGTAGTCGCAGCTACTCGGGAGGCTGAGGTGGGAGAATCGCTTGAGCCCAGGAGGTCGAGGCTGCAGTGAGCCATGATTTGTGCTGCTGTACTCCAGCCTGGGTGACAGAGCAAGACCCTGTCTCAAAGAAACAAAACAAAACAAATTTTTTTTGTATCTGTCTTAATTAAGTCTTTACTTAACATAACTTCAAAGATAGTCCTTTGTGAGCGGAGAGTTGAGCCCCTCCTGATCATTGTGAGGCTTTTACTCTGAGGGCTTGCTTTAATCATTGAGAGAGTTTTATGTCATGGACCTTTGCACTTACTGGGCACTGATTTCAGTGTTCTACTGCTTTGGTGAATTTTTGATGTCTTTTTGGCCATGATCGGACAGTCTCCTACTATGTGATGAAATGGTATTAGAAAGCGGTACTCTGCTGGCTGCCTTTATAAAGCAGAGAATCACAAATGCCCAGGCTTTGAGTTTATAGTCTGAGACAGATAATATTGCTGCAAGTAGAAGAATTGTAGACACAGATGTCCTTGTTTTGAATATCCTTTAGTGCCTTTCAAGGGTCTGTGTTATAGAATACCATTTTGAGGTACTTCTTCCTGTTGTTTTGATGTTACTGCACAGGTTGAGTGAGAGAGAGCTTGTGTGTGTGTATAAGAAACCCTGTAGGACTGGTGTCCTATGAGAGAAAGAGACAGCGAGCTTGTGTGTGTGTGTGTGTGTGTGTGTGTGTGTGTGTGTGTGTGTGTGTGTAAGAAACCCTGTAGGACTGGTGTCCTGTTATGGCATGCCAGAAAGTGTCTTACTGGTATTTCTTAAAATCAGCTGATCCATCCTGTGGCTTTCAGCCGGTTATAGCCAGCAGAATAATCCAGTCTATTTGCCATTACTCATTATTAACCCCTACTTTCTTATCCATCTAGACAGCACCCCTCACCACATCCACATGTGTGGTGGATCAGCCTTATCTTGCTTTTTTTGATAGGTGCTTTGGCATAGGCACATTCCCCTGTGTGGCATGCCCTTCCCACCTCCAAGCATGATTGCCAAGGTTAATAATTATAAGCTCTAATTCCTTAGCACATTCTAATCCACTTGAAATCATTATTCTACATTTAGCAACATGCACTTTTAATTGTTCTCAAGATTTCATATGTCCTAACTGGGCAGTAAAACAAAATATCTTGGAAATCTTTCTTATATAATCCTTCTCTCACTTGCATAACTTGTTTCAAGTCTTACCTTTAATACTGTAATATGTATTCAGTAGCCAACTAAAAGGAACCCTTAACGCCAATTTATTGCTTTACCTCTGTGCCAACCATCCAGTAGATTTGAGTCCTGGCAAGGAACCCTGCACTGCAAAAGGCAGCCTGGCTGTTGTTGGCAGGTTGCGGGTTCCAGGAACTGAGGTACACATGGTATTGTATGATATTCTATTGTCCTTGCTCAAATTATGTAAGTATTTTTAGTTTGGAGGAATGGTTTTCTTTCTTTTTTTTTTTTTTGAGTTGGAGTTTTGCTCTTGTCGCCTAGGCTGGACTGGAGTGCAACGGCACCATCTCGGCTCACTGCAACCTCCGCCTCCCAGGTTCAATCGATTCTCCTGCCTCAGCTTCCCAAGTAGCTGGGATTACACCATGCCTGGCTAATTTTTGTATTTTTAGTAGAGACAGGGTTTCACCACGTTGGCCAGGCTGGTCTCGAACTCCTGATCTCAGGTGATCTGCCCACCTTGGCCTCCCAAAATGCTGGGATTACAGGCGTGAGCCACTGTGCCCGGCTGTTTTCTTAACCTTAAATAAATAAAACTAAAGTTGGGATTATGCAATATAACAGTAATCCAATGAACACAGAGGACTATTAGCAAAACAAACAAAAACACACACACACAGAGAAAAAACCAGCCTCTGAACAAATTCTAGACATTGGTGTGATATTCCTAAAACAAATTTTTATTATTAGCCAGATGATTATATAAACTTCTGGTCTGTTGGAGTGGAGGTGTGATGGGAAGAAGATTCATAGAAAAGATTTTTATTTGAAGTCTTTTTTTTATTATTATTATTTTTAAGCTTATGCCTGTAATCTCAGCAACTCAGGAGGCTGAGGTGGAAGGATTGCATGAGGCCAGGAGTTCAAGACCAGACTGGTCAATGTAGTGAAACTCCCGACTCTACAAAAAATTTAAAAATTGGCCAGGCTGGTGTCACACACCTGTAGTCCCAGCTACTTGGAAGACTGAGGGGAGAGGATTGCTTGAGCCTCAAGGCTGCAGTGAGCTCTGATCGCTCAACTGCACTCCCACCTGGGTGACAAAGACCTCATCTCAGGAAAAAAGAAGAAAAAAGAGAGAGGGATGTACAGTTGGGTTGGACTTGATCCATTTACATGCCACCTGAGAAGTGTGTGACTCTCTTGTTCACAATCGTAGGTTTTCTGTGTGTGTGTGTGTGTACACGCCTTTTTTTTTGCAGGGATAAGATGCTCCAGTTTTGTAAATGGAGCAGAGATTATAAACCTCGTTAAGTATAGATCACTGGAAAACTGTGGGTATGGAACACGTGTGCATGACACTGTATCTTGCCATTGACTTAGAGGTGAAAAGTCTGTGCCATTTTAATGATCTTATTTCTGACCCTTTTTTTTTGAGATGGAGTCTCTCTCTGTCACCCAGGCTGGAGTGCAGTGGTGCGATCTTGGCTCACTGCAACCCCTTCCTCCTGGATTCAAGCGATTCTCCTGACTCAGTCTCCTGGGTGGCTGGGATTACAGGTGTGCACCACCACGCCTGGCTAATTTTTGTATTTTTAGTAGAGACAGGGTTTCACTATGTTGACCAGGCTGTTCTCGAACTCCTGACCTCAGGTGATCCACCTGCCTGGGCCTCCCAAAGTGCTGGGATTACAGGCATTAGCCACCACACCTGGCCCTGACCCTTGTTATCAGGTAGTCAACCTGGGAATCAGTTCTTGAAATGTATGTCTGAAATTGACAAGCTGCATTTTTTTTTTTGGCAAAAGCAACATTTCTGAAACCCCTGATAAGGAACATTCAGCTTTCACACGTTCTGAATCTCAGAGGAGCTTGCAGGGTCTTCCCTGCTGTACTTACCATTGCAGGGGGCAACAAGGCAGTGGTAAGTGGAAACAAACCAAAACTTCAGTGATAAGGCTGCTGAAATCAAGCCCTGTGTTTTTTGTTTGTTTATTTGTTTGTTTTATTTTGAGACAGAGTCTGGCTCTGTTGCTCAGGTTAGAGTGCAGTAGCACTGTCTTGGCTCACTGCAACCTTTGCTTCCCAGGCTCAAGCAATCCTCCCTCCTTGGCTTCCTGAGTAGCTGGGACTACATACATAAACCACAACACCTGGCAAATTAATTTTTTTTTTTTTGTCAAGATGGGGTCTCCCTATATTGCACAGGCTGGCCTGAAACTCCTGGGTTCAAGCAATCCTCCTGCCTGGGCCTCCCAAAGTATTGGAATTACAGGCGTGAGTCACCATGCCCAGGAAGCTGTGGTTTTTTTGCTGGTTGTTCTCTAGCCACTGATGAGCTTGCCTCCCTGCCTGACCAGTCAGTCCCAAATGCAAGTTTAGAAACTGGTGGTTTTTTGTTAGAGGCCATTTCATTTGTTTTTGTGCTGTTTGAACACCTGTCTGCCCCTGTGTCCATAATTCTCTTTACTGAAAACTTTTTCTAAATGAAGTTATTTCAGAAGGCATTTAAGAAAATATTTTTTTCTTACCTGAAATATATATAAGTAGTTAATTAATGGAAGAGCCCTAACAATTAGCTGAATTCACAATATTAGGGAATGATTAAATTGTTGGTGATGTACCTTTCAATCATCTCTGCATAAGCAGTTGATAGCCACTTCTGTATCTTTGTAGTAAATGCAGAGTGAATGGTGGATTTTATGAATGGGGAAGCTGCTGGATTTTGTGTAACATTGCTTTTTTTTTTTTTTTTTTGAGATGGAGTCTTACTCTGTTGCCCAGCCTGGAGTGCAGTGGCGTGATCTCGGCTCACTGCAGCCTCCGCCTCCTGGGTTCAAGCGATTCTCCTGCCTCAGCCTCCCAAGTAGCTGGGATTACAGGTGACTGCCACCACATCCAGCTAATTTTTGTGTTTTTAGTAGAGACAGGGTTTCACCATGTTGGCCAGGCTGGTCTTGAATTCCTGACCTCAAGTGATCCGCCCACCTCGGCCTCCCAAAGGTGCTGGGATTACAGGTGTGAGTCACCACGTCCAGCCGTAACATTGCTTTATGATCAGAACATTGAACATCAGGATCCAGTGCTGGTCTTGTGTTGGCTTTCATAGGAGGGAGACTTGCTGCAGTCCAGCTGAGTAGGGCTGCAGTGAGGACCCTTATACTGCTGAAGCCCACTGAGTGACACATGCTGGACAGAGTCTGATGTCTGTGGGGACCAATTAGCTAATGGATGTTTAGTTTTAGGCTAGACTAGATGCCTGCCACTACCCTTCCCACCCTCCACAGTTACTGTTGGTTACTTCCTACAAGTCACCATCAAAGCCAGGAGTATATATTCCACTTTTTTTTTTTAACCTCCCAACTACTAGTTTTAAAACTGAATCAAATTTCAAATGGTTGTTAACTTGAAACAGATCTGCAGACTCGACATTTTCTTTCCATTTTCAGGCTCTCTGGAAACCAGTGTGTGTGCCGTAGGGTATGTTGCTTGTAGAGAAAAGTGAGCACTGAGGACTGAAATGGCTGGGCAAAGACAAGGCACAAGTTCATCTTTGTGAAGCAGCGTTTTTCAGTGTTCAGGTACAAATAGTTCTCAGCTGTGCTCAGTATCACACAAGGCATCTGGAAACATGTTTAATTCATGTTAGCTATAGCAACTACATTTGAACTCAGGCATGTTCATGCTTTTAAAAATGCCAGAGGGGAAAAAGCCAGAAAATTTGTCATTTTTGTTTGCCTTATGAGAGAATAACACTGTTCCGAGTGGCTCCCAGGAGTTTCGATTTGGTACAGTTGAGAGCCTTGAGAAGAACCTGCCAGTTGTAATAGTTTGTGGCATTTCTGTAGACATTGTGATTGACAGAATTCTCAGTTGCCAAATTCAGCTTCTCTCTAAACTTTGTATTTTTGAGATTTTTCCAAGACTAAATTAGTCATGTGATTAGTGTTGTTGTTGTTTTTGTTTTTGAGACAGAGTCTTGCTCTGTTGCCTAGGCTGGAGTGCAATGGTATGATCTTAGCTCACTGCAACCTCTGCCTCCCGGGTTCAAGCAATTCTCCTGCTTCAGCCTCCCAAGTAGCTGGGATTGCAGGTGTCTGCCACCAGGCCTGGCTGATTTTTTAGTATTTTTTTTTAGTACAGACGGGGTTTCACCATGTTGACTAGGCTGGTCTCAAACTTCTGACCTCAGGTGATCCACCCACCTCGGCCTCCCAAAGTGCTGAGATTACAGGCATGAGCCACCGGTCCCGGCCATGATTAGTGTTTTATTTTGATCCATAAACCAATTGTAGAATGTTGCTCTTCCAGTGGCTTCCAAGATGCTCAGACAAGGCAGGTGGCTTTTGTTTCCACTAGTGCTTCCACTAGTAGCAAAGGAGCACTGATATGTTTTGGTGAATATTAACCCTTTTTAATATTAATACTGTGATAAGATATACTTGGGGGCACTTAGTTCATTATGGTTGTACTGTAGGCTTTAATAACAGCAAACTCTTCTTATTCTTGGATGCATACATTCTTATTGGGAGACCCCTGTGTTTCTAAACTCTGGTCCCTTGTTTGGTGGAGATTAATGATCAAAGGTGGTTGACTTGCCTACTATCCTGAGGTGGAAAGTGCTTCATGTGGAACTTAGGCACTTGCTGAAGCTCCTTCGAATTCAAGCTTCTCTCCTACCTGCTAGCTTGTCCATCTCCTTTCTACTTTGTGAAAACTTCTACTTTGTGAAAAATTTGCTAATCTACAGATTAGCAAATCATATTATTGGAAGTTTAAAAAATGAGAAAAGAAGAAATATTGCTATAATTTTGCAGTATTGTTTTCCCTTTCTTTTTTTTTTGGAGACAGAGCCTCGCTCTATCCCCCAGGCTGGCGTACAGTGGCGTGATCTCAGCTCACTGCAACCTCCACCTCCTGGGTTCAAGTGATTTCTTCTGCCTCAGCGTCTCTAGTAGCTGGGATTACAGGCACCCACCACCACGCCCGGCTAATTTTTGTATTTTTAGTAGAGACGAGGTTTCGCCATGTTGGCCAGGCTGGTCTCGAACATCTGACCTCAAGTGATCTGCCTGCCTCGGCCTCCCAAAGTGCTGGGATTACATGTAGTCATGAGTCACCACGCCTGGCCCTTTTTTTCCCTTTTTCTATCTGCATTTTTCCTCATTGGGTGTGTGGTGGGGACTGTTTGGGCTGCAAGTGACAGAAACCTAATTCTAACAGGCTTAAGCAAAGAGGGGAATTTATTGTAAGGACTGGAGGGTCTCTGAGCCCAAGGGCAAGAACTTAGCTGGGCCTGAGGAGCTGTGGAAGCCAGGGTGGGCTCTCCCAGTCCTTTCAGTCATGTTTCTTCTCAGGCTGCTTTCTGTTTCTGTGTCTTTCTCATTCAGCTTTTTCCATGTGGCAGAAAACACATTCACAGAGCTCTCTGAAGTTTTATTTCCATTTTATTTATTTATTTATTTATTTATTGAGACAGAGTCTCACTCTGTCACCCAGGCTAGAGTGCAGTGGTGTGACCTTGGCTCAGTGTAACCTCCCTGCAAACTCTACCTCCCAGGTTCAAGCAATTCTCCTGCCTCAGCCTTCTGAATAGCTGGGAATACAGGCACATGCCACCATGCCTGGCTAATTTTTGTGTGTTTAGTAGAGATGGGTTTTCACCATGTTGGCCAGGCTGGTCTCGAACTCCTGACCTCAAGTGATCCGCCTGCCTTGGCCTCCCAAAATGTTGGGATTACAGGTGTGAGCCACCACGCCTGGCCTTATTTCCACTTTAGCCACCCAGAGTTTAACTCACTTTCTTGTGTGGCCTCCCAAGACCTGTTGTACAGAGTGGTTATTCCTGTGGTAACTTTGGGGGGTGGAGGAGGGCTCAGCAGGGATTTCCACTTCTTGGCCCCAGGTATGCATAATTTGCCCTTTCATTTATTCATCCTCCAAACTGTCACACCTAACATAATCCAGCCATCCCACACCAAGCTGCACACCCATTCCCCCTCCTCAGTGGCAGACAGCCCCAATTCACTTAGCCCCTGTTTACTCATGAACTCCCAGTGGCCTTGTCATAGGGCCACAGTTCTCCAGGCCCAGGTACCTGTGGTTCAGGTGGCTTGTCACCATCTGGACCCTCTGGGCTGAAATAATTCTAACCACTCCCAAACAGTGACCTTTGCATCCCCGGCTAGGGCAGATACCACCCTTGAGGCTTATGTTTTCCTGGCCGATTTATACTCTGATATTAATTTCCTAGTTCCAGAGGTAGAATTAAAAGCACTCTTCTTCCTCAGACTTCAGGCTTTGCACAGAGTAGACTCGGTAGGTGGCAACACAGCTTACTGTCCTTTCTCCCATTCCAGGGAGTGGGCCCAGGCCCTGGCCCTGGGCAAAGCGAAGAGGTGGGATGTGCAAAGTTCTAGCAGCTGTTTCACTCCCTCCGTTGGTGGGTCTCCACCACAGAAAAGGAATACGGGACCCCAGAGTATTTGTCCTGCCACCTCAGGCTGCCCCAGAGAGAGCCTGTGGGGCCTTCCCTTTGAAGGATTAACTAGGCATCCTGGCTCTTACCGAGAGTAGCCGGGCCTTCTGGGATCAGGCTCCCATGCACAAATAACCCCAATCCTTTTACATTTAATGCTCCATACTTCTGTATTTCAAAAATAGCATTTGTGCCAGAATTCAAACTGTTGCAGTATAAGCAAGTTGCATTGGCATTTTTTTTTTTAATTGAAGACCTGGGGAAAAAGCTATTTGTAGGATAGTATGTGACAAAAGAAGAGAAAATCTCATTACAAGGGTGGGGTTGCTGAAGGGACCCCTACCTCAAAAGGGAAATCTTATCCAGGAAACCTTACCAGCTGTCACCTGCATATGCGTCCGTGTGTACATGTGCGCACACACCTGCTCCCATGGAAACCCTGTGGAATGAGGGTACAATTCCTAGCAAAGCCAGAAGACAGGCAGACAAAAAAAAAAATCTGTCCAGTATAATTGTAACCACAGTGGATATCAAATCTTGGATTCTATATTTAATTGATAATGTATATAAGCATTTTTCTATATTGTAGATTTTTCCAAGTGTTATTTTAATGATAATTATTTCACTGAACATATGTCTTTATTTATCTTAGCCATTTAGATATTATTGGAAGTTTGGTTCTTTCCAGTTTTTGTGTTTATAAATGGGACGTCATGAGTATCATTGTGCACAGAACTTTTTCCATTTCTGGAGTTATTTCTTTAGAGTATAGAAGTGGAATTACAGGATCAAAAACTAAGAGCACTTTTATATTTTCCAGAAAGATGATACTAGTAATTTTCAGTGCTACTAGCAATGGATGGGAAATGTCACAGCCTTTGGTTATTTCTTTTAAAATTTTTTTTGTTTTGTTTTAAGTTTGTTGAGAAAAAAGGTACATTTTAATTTAAATTTTATTTTTATTCTAAGTGAGGACCAGTTTGGGGTTATGCTTTTTATTCATTTACTTTTATAACATATCTTTACTGGAATCTTAGTGTTTTATTTTATAAATTCTTTGTATAATGAAAGCTGTTTTTCCTATTTTGCTTTAAGCATTTTCCCCTAATTCTTTGCTTTTTAAAATTTCATGAATGTGTGTATGCGTGGGTATTGGCATTCTTTTTTATCATAACGTCTTATGAGATGCCCAGGTTTTAGAGAATAGAATAGGCCCAAGAGAAGGAAGTCAGAAAGCTGAGCATACTTTGCCCCTCTGTTTCAGTGGAGGTTGCCCATGGATTATTTCAGAATTCTTGTCCTTGTAATGTTAGGTCATGAGCCTGCCTGTCTGCAGGCAGGATCACTGCTTAGAGTGAGGTGACCTGGGTTCTAGTCCTGACTGAGTGGGAATTTAGGCTCTCCACCTTCCATTTCTTCATCTGTAAAATGGAGGGTTTTAGTAGGATAACCTTGGGAGTGGGGGGTCTGTGATTGTACATGCCCAAGGTGAAGAATCATATCAACATTAAGAGTCTTCTACATCTCGTTGCAGATTTTTGGAAGTACCAGCACAGTGACGCTTCCTGAAACCTTGTTGTTTGTGTCAACGCTGGATGGAAGTTTGCATGCTGTCAGCAAGAGGACAGGCTCAATCAAATGGACTTTAAAAGAAGGTAATTTGGATTTGGTCCTTGGGCGACATGGACATTTGCTTAACTGGTTCCACAGAAACATATTCTGGAGAAAGAGAAAACATTACTCATTATCTAATAAAATAAATAAGAAATAAAGAAGAATGGGATCAAGAGAGGAAAAGGCATTCTGCTCAAAGGACGTTTATAGCTTTGCTGTGGTTATCCACTAAGTGCATCAGTTAAAGAAGCACGTTTTATCTTCTTTTTTGCTTCTGTTTAGACTTCATGTTAAAATGGCTCTAGGCTTTTCTATTAATAGCTCTAGCTAGTTGGTCTTTATGAAGACATGCTGCACTAAATTTGTTCTCATGATTAGAATCTTGTAATCATAATTACAAGAAGGTATCTTCTCAACACCTCAAATTACTCATTTGTTTTTATAGAGGCTGAAATAATAGAGGGCTGTAAGATTTGACATTCATCCAAGTTAACCACTTTATTGGGTTGTTATGGTGAGGGGAATAAAGACTGAGCTTCTTTCTTACTTAACATACCATGCGTCCATGTTATGATCTGATCTTCCTGGTGGTAACTAGCAGAGTCAAGCCCTACAGCTGGGAAATTGTATTTGATTTCCAAAGTAATCTTTCCAGATAAAGCCATGCAAATCCCAGGATTTGGGACTTTCAGAGTCATCTATATTATTTAATCTGTCTAGTAATAAATCTCATTTGGCCCGAGGTTCGGGTCTGAACAGCATCGTTCTCTTTCGTCACTACTCTGTGACTCATTACTTTCACGAGCACAGCCAATGTTTTTCCTTCCTTAATAAAGTGTTCCAAAACAGTATGCTAGATGGAAAAATATTGGCATATGTCAGAAGGTCACACATTGTCTTGTGAATTCAGCAGCAAACCTCGTTACCATCCATAGATGATGGCAGCTGGGTTACCACAAGCCATCCTGCCCCACCTGCATGGGCCCTGCTTGGATCAGCAGGAACTTTAAGCAGCCCAAAGACCAGCTCTCTCAGGAGTGTGTGGCCACAGGAAGACTGTAGAGTGTTTTATTACAGGTTCCAAGAACATCATCTGTACTGTATCTCCATCACATTTAAGCCTTTTAATGTTTTTAAAATGAAACAGAGTCCTTCAAACTTCAGGATTTCCTATTTTGTCCAGAGATGAAAATCAACAAATCACACAAGAATTGAGAGAAACACTTTGGCTGTGGAATGTTAGGGCATGTCTTTCAGTTTCATTGTTCCCAGGCAGGGCATCTTCACCCTGAGCCACTTCATTCTGCTTTGCTTTTCCCTGCACATAATGCTTTAAGTTGGTTTTTTCCAAGTCTTCATTTCTGCAAGTAATGTCATCTGTATGCAACAAAACTGTGTCCTCTCCGTTACTTAGTCAAACATAAGAATTAACCTGTTTTCTCTTCTAACTTAGAGCTGAAAGAATTTGCCTCTTTTTAACTCAATTGAATGTGTATTTAGAGAACCTAGAATGTGAGAGATACTGTATAGCAGCAGTGCCCAACCTTTTTTGCATCAGGGACCAGTTTCGTGGAAGTTTTTCCATGGACCGGGGGAGCAGGGGCAGGGAATGTTTTGGGATGACTCAAGTGCATTACATTTATTGTGCACTTTATTTCTATAATTATTACTACATTGTAATGTAGAATGAAATAATTATACAACTCACCATAATGTAGAATCAGTAGGAGCCCTGAGCTTCTTTTCCTGCAACTAGACAGTCCCATCTGGGCGTGATGGGAAACAGTGACAGATCATCAGGCATTAGATTCTCATAAGAAACATGCCACACTACACTTGCATGCGTAGTACACAATAGGGTTCACACTCCTATGAAAATCTAATGCTGCCACTGATCTGACAGGAGGTGGAGCTTAGGCAGTAATGCCAGTGACAAGGAGCGGCTGTAAATACAGATGAAGCTTTGCTTGCTCACTCACTGCTCACCTCTTGCTGTGTGGCCCAGTTCCTAACAGGCCACAGACCCATCCACAGACCAGTATGGGTCCACAACCTGGGGGTTGGGGACCCCTGTTCTGTAGGACCCCAAAATGAAAAAGGCAGACCTTGTCCTCAAGAAGCCCATGATCTAAACCCATGGTGAAAATATGAGAACACAGGACTTCAACACAGCCGAGTCCTGTAACCACTCATGAGAGGGACTAGTAATGTGCTGTGAGCCCACATCCATTTGGAGGGCAGGAGGCTCTGTGAAGTGGGGTGTCAGAGGTAAACCCTGGTGAATGAATTGAGTTCAGTCAGGAGTGAGGCCTGGAGAAGAGCGAAGGAGGCAGCAGGTCTAGGGTGCAGGAGCTTATCCCGTTTAGCAGGAGCTTAGCGTTTCCAGGTAGAGGGAGGGAGGATTACAAGGGGATGTTGAGCCTTACTGGATGGAGCACTTAGGCATTTGTATCTGACTGAACAGGAAATTGGGAGCTGTTAATGTGATTGAACAGGTGAGTGACTCAACAGGTGCTCGCTTTTCGATGACTCTAGCAGCTGTGTGTGGGATGACTAGAAACAGGAAGCAGACCTGGAAAGGGAGGAGGGATGGGAAGGGTGAGAGGCAAGCCAGAAATAGAATCAGTAGAATCTAGTGACTGACTAGGGAGGAGGAGTTACAAGACACTTAAAGAAGAATTAGATAAATCCAATTAAGGTCTAATAATTTCTTTTCTTTTCTTTTCTTTTTTTGAGACAGAGTTTCCCTCTGTTGCCCAGGCTGGAGTGCAATGGTGCGATCTTGGCTCACTGAAACCTTTGCCTCTTAGGTTGAAGTGATTCTCATGCCTCAGCCTCTTGAGTAGCTTGGATTACAGGCATGCGCCACTATGCCTGGCTAATTTTTGTATTTTCAGTAGAGATGGAGTTTCACCATGTTGGCCAGGGTGGTCTCAAACTCCTGGCCTCAAGTGATCTGCCTCTCAAAGTGCTGGGATTAAAGATGTGAGCCACTGTGCCCAGCCTAATAATTTCCAGTAGTATTCATGATGATCTGTTTTTCTAAGAATAAACTGGCATGTTTTAGTTCAGCCCTGGATACCAGTGGCCTTGACTTATATTTCTATACAAAGATTAAAGATGGTAATGTGCAGATACCCTGAGTTTTCAGTTTAATCTTGTGGTTATAACTGAAGATTTCAACATTTTTCTAAATTGTTAAATATAGATAAATGATAAAGGTATCCAGATGCTACTCTAGGTCCTGAGGATACAGCAAGTGAACAAAACAGGCAAACCCTTTTATCATAAAGCTTTCATTCTAGTGGGAAAACAGGAAATCAGTTACTTAGTAGTGACGAGAGGTTTGAAGAAAAAATGAAGTGGGGACATGGAATGGGCAGTACCAGGTTGGGGTGGGAGTCTGCAGTTTTAAACAGGGAGGGCTCCACGGAGAAGGTGTCATTTGAGCAAGAGCTCAAGGAGGCAAGGGAGTCTTGTAGACAGCCGGCATAGCGGGTCAAAGGTGGAGTGTCCTTAAAAAAAAAAAAAAAAAGAAAGGATGGGAGTGTCCCTGGCACGGTAGAGGAGGAGCACAGAGTTGATGTGGCGGGAGGAGATCAGCTCAGAGAGAGATGGGCCAGTCATACAGGGCAGGAGGGACCCAGCGCTTCCTTTACTTCACATGTACTATAAAGTTGCTTACTGAAACAAAATTTATAGTCAGTAAACTACGTATACACAGTTTCAAAAAGAAATAAACATATTACCGAACTGGTAATCTAAAACAAATAATAGGAAAGTATTTTTTTAATCACATAGATATAGCATGTAAATGCTCGGACACACGCTGACACTCCCCCCAGGAACAAATGCTGTGCCTGTTGATGCAGATGGAGACAAGTGCAGGATAGTTTACCACCATAGCCACGGCAACTGGATTTCCAGGACGGTGAACTGTTCTTGGTAGTGTTTCAAACAAAAGAAGTACAGCCTTACCTGCCTTACACAGTAGTTACGTTCCAAGAAAATTCTGTATATTATGAAAAAGTACATTTGTGCTTATGTGTAAAACAGGCTATAGCCTCGGATAATTAGTAAAGGGTTTTGGCCCATGAGAATGTCTGGCAGGACATCAGAGTGGCATGCAGATGCAGGGCAATCCTTGGTTGTACAGGACCGCTAGCATCCCTGGTCCCCCACACTTAGTGCCTGTAAAGTCCGCTAGTCTCTGTGACCACCAGAAAATACCTTCATCGATTTCTCAAGCATTCCCTGGGGAGCTGTGCTCTCCCTACGGATACCACTGGTGTAGGGCCTAGTGGCTGGTGTGAGGACATTGGCTTTTCCTCAGCCGTTGGAGGAACCTGAGGCAAGGAGCAACATGCCCTGTTGTTCTGGACTGAATATTTGTGTCATCCTTCCACTGCCATTCATAAGCTGAAGCCCTGGCCCTCAGTGTGATGGTACTTTGAGATGGGGCCTTTGGGAGATAATCATGAAGATGGGGCCCTTAGGATGGATGAGTGTCCTTATGAGAAGGGAGAGACCAGAGCTCGCTCATTCTCTCTCCACCATGTGAGGACATGGTGAGAAGGTGGCCGTCTGCAAGCCAAGAAGAGAGCCCTCACCAGAAACCAATCTCAGACTTCCAGCTTCCAGAACCATAAGAAATAAATTTCTGTTGTTCAAGCCCTCTAGTCTATGGTATTTTGTTATAGTAGTCTGAGCAGAGTAAGGCACATGGCCTCCACTTTACAAGATCAACAAGTGCTGTGTTGAAACTGAACAGATGGGGCCAGGAAGAAACTGGGAGGCCAGGCAGGGGTGTACTGCACTAGTCCAGACAAGAGAGGATACAAGCTTGGGTCTGAGTCTCAAAGAGGGATTCAGAGCTGAATGGAATAAACTTGCTGATGCAAACACATACCTTTAACTCACCAAACTGGGGTTCTTCAGAATAGAGGCCTGCAACTCCATTCGGCTGTTTACTTTTTTCAGGAGCCAATGAACTGGACATTTTTATGTATTTATTTACTTTTTTTTTTTGCTTTCTGTGGTGGTTTGGCAGGTGCTTTTGTTCCTCAGCCAAACGTGTTGTAGTTCCCAGAAATGGTGGTTTCTTACACCATAGTGGCAAATTATACGTAATAGAGAAAATGCGTTTTGTTTTCTGGAACTCATTTGGGTTGTGACATTTTACTTTAGGGGCCATCCTTCTAAGCACTGATTTTGTAGCTGTAGTCTGTCTTTCTCTAAAACCTCACCAGTGAATAGAGTTGAATATATTTCATCTCTGTACTTTTAGACGAAATGCAAACTGAGAATGTTGCCATCATGTTTTGTTTTAGATTAGCTTGCTTTGGCCTGATGGAGTTGAGAGGACTTTCTTTAGTATTTCCAGGGCTGGTGTAGGGCTTCTTGAGCTCACCTTAAAATACTAGTTAATGCTGATATTTAACACTCAAATCCCCATCAAATTACAGGTTATTCTATAGCAACCCTGCTCTATTCTTTTCTGTCTCCTTTCCAATAATAGTAGGCATGAAGAGCTGGGTCAAATTAGAACCATTCTTTACTAATCATGAAAATCTGCTAAATATGCAATATGACTACTCTCCTAGCCAGCTGGGCCCAGACTCCGGAGATGTCCCTTGAGTGGACATTTAGATAAATGATAAAGCTATCCAGATACTACTCCAGGTTCTGAGTATACAGCAGGTGAACAAAACAGGACATAATACTGGAGATTTCTTAGGAGGGAAGAGTCAGAACAAAGTTATTTGAAATTTGAAGACAATTTTATTCTCACGTGAGTGTCTCTTTCTAAACATGTGCCTCTTGCCACAGTTCCTCCCTGTGCTGACAGAATCACGGCCAAGCAGTATAGAAACTAGAGAAAATAGAATGATGCTGTGCTACTTCCCCCTTGATGCCCAGTGGTCACCAAGCCCTGTCATGCAGACTGGGAAGGACCCTGCAAACCTGACTCCTCTCTGGCCCCATTGCTGGTGCCTTAGCCAGGCTCTTGGCACTTATTTCCTAGGTGAATGCAGCAGCCTCCTGACCACCATCCATGCCCCCCGCACCTTAGCCCTCTCGTTCACTCATCACACTGCCCTCAGATACACCCCCAAAAAGACCAATTGGACCTAGCTGTACCCCTGCCTGCTGAAATGCTCTTGGTGTTGTCTATAGTGGTGGCGTTGTGCCTGCATCAGTGTGTGTGGTGTGTTACCTGTGAATGATGAGGAAAGGATAAATAGGGAGCGTGAGCATCATCCATGATGGGTTGGCCGTTTCAACAACTGGCCCTTCACCACTGCTAGTTTGAGAAGTGCTGCTCCACAGGGTCAAGTCTAAGCTCCTTAGTGCATGTGCAAGGCCATTCGTGGTCTCTCACCGCCGCCCCCCCGCCCCAACTCCCTGGGCTCCCTCCCCTGCCCAGCAGGTGCCCTACTTGCAGCCATGTAACTCCTTACCAGGCCTTGGAGACCTCTGGCCTTTGCTCATGCTCCCTCTCTACCAGCAGCCTGCAATGTTAGACAAGCTCCTGTTCATCTGTGAAGACCCCATTTACCTCCCTGGCTTCTCAAGCAGGGTGAGCCCATTTTTTCTCTGGGTTCTGGAGGTGCTTTTCTGAACCCTCTGTTGTGGCACTTCTGGCTTGTGTTGTAAATTTTTGTTCTCATTTGCTTCCTAGTGGATTTCTACCTCCTTACTGGGGCTCTGGGCAGCCAGGATGCTCAGTAAATGTCCAAGGCACTTGATGCTGACTCGGGTCCCAGAACTCTTCTGCCTGGACGTCTTTTGGGAGTCCTGAGAAACAAATGGGACTTGACTGCCTTCTCAGGATGAATCATTTGTTGCTTGTATCATAGTCATGACAGTTTCCGGTTCTGGTTTCTGATCTTGAGTTTTGCATGGCCTTTGGCAGTTGGTTTTTCTGTCCTGCTTTAGGCAGTGTGTGGGACTCTGGAAGAGTTGGAGATCTGTCTTCAGAAGTGCAATGGAAACATGAGAAGGGGAAATTGTGAAAAGTGATGATGTTTTGTTAATAGATCTAACCTGTTTTCTCTCAAGGACTTTTCTAGGCTTACAATATGCATCATCTACCTTTTTACCCTCACTGCTTAAGTATAAGAAAGGTGTTTATTTCCTCTTCATTGTTGTGAAGGATTGAAAATTAAGTTTTATGAAAGGGGCTGTGAGAGAAACCTGTTTTTACTTTTGAGCATCTTGGAAATGTGTTGGTTCTTTCTTTTTTTGTATTTTACTTTTAAACATAGACGGTTTAAAACATATCCAAATGTAGAAGTATTATGTAAAGAACCCCCATGTACTCATCACTCAGCTTCAACAGGGACTGGTTTGTATCTAGCCTTGTTCACCTGCACCCCCACTCACTTTCTTCCCTTATTTTTGGGACTTGCTTCAAAGTAATGCATTTCTCATTTCGGATGGCTCCTCTTAGCAGCTGCCACACACGTAGTAGCGTGGATCTCAGCTCCGATGGGTCGTCTTTGCAGCATTGGTTGGTGTGTGTTGGAATATGGTTGTGATTGTTGAAGTACATGGATAAAGTGCCTTATTTTGTCTGTGACTTAGTTACCTGTCCCTTTGTTCACTTTTGAGTGTCTGGTTTGATGGCACTCCATCACTCAGGAATGAATTCTGTGAAGTTATGACATCCTGAGAGGCATTTGGACACAGGCTGTAGTGTTGAATTGTCTTCAGTGCCTTCATGATTGATTATAACGTTCAGTGTGTTTTTTGGCCTGAGTTACTTCTGCCAAAGTAGAGATAAATGAGAACGCAGTAGACTTCAGCTGCTTTTAGTATGGGCAGTTTTCCGGATTACTTGGTCATTTCTATGTGATCGTCTTTGCCAAGTGTGACACTTCGTGACTTATGGAGGTTACCTCCAAAGAAAACTTATTACATCCTTTTCCAGTTCTGCTGAGATTAGAAATTGAGGAGCTTTTGATTAGATGTCTTTAAAAAAAAATGCTTTCCTCATGAAAGCTGAACTGTAAAGAATGTTTGAGACTTTCTGTCTTAAAATTTGGACCTAACAGCTTTAATGGGAGTTTATGGCTTAGGTTAATGAAGTGCTTTTTCTCTGGAGGGAAGGAATGAGCTGCCACTGGGGAGAAGTACTCCCTAATTGGGCCACTCGAATGTATGAAACATATTTGGGAGACTGAAGGTTTGAGTTAAGGAAGGGTGAATGGCTTTGTTTCTGCCAGTAATTTTTTTTTTTAATAAGAAAACAGTATTAGAACCTTAAGCACATTCTTGAGAAAATAGCAGTTGTTTACCTCATTCAGACTATGCCTTTCTAGTTTCACTGTTACCTGTCAGCCAGGGTTAAAATCTCCATGTCACCTTTAAATCGTTCCTTTCTCCCACTGCATTTATCTAGACAGGGCTCAGTTTTGCTGACACTCTTTTCCCTCCTGTCTGTTTCTGACTCCCCTCCACCCCGGCTCGGGTCTATCTGTTGCAGCACCTTTGTGATTCCTTCTCCCTTTTTCCCTTCATTTTGTGCCTCAATGCCCGCCTGTCTAACTTGCCTTCAGAGGACTTGTACAGGTTGAATATCCCTTACCCGAAATGCTTGGGACCTGAAGTGTTTCTGATTTTGGATTTTTTTAGGTTTGGAATATTTGCATTATATTTACCAGTTGAACATCTCAAATCTGAAAATCTGAAACCCAAAATGTTCCAGTGAGCATTTCCTTTGCACATCACGTTGGCGCTCAGGCTTCAGATTTTGGAACATTTCAGATTTTGGATTTTCGGATTTGGGATGCTCACCCTGTGTCACGTTCCTCTTTTTTTTTTTTTTTTTTTTTTTTTTTGAGATGGATTCTCACTCTTTTGCCCAGGCTGGGGTGCAGTGGCACGATCTCGGCTCACTGCAAGCTCTGCCTCCCAGGTTCACGCCATTCTCCTGCCTCAGCCTCCTGAGTAGCTGGGACTACACGTGCCTGCCACCATGCCCGGCTAATTTTTTGTATTTTTAGTAGAGAGAAGGTTTCACCATGTTAGCCAGGATGGTTTCGATCTCCTGACCTCATGATCCACCCACCTTGGCCTCCCAAAGTGCTGGGATTACAGGCGTGAGCCACTGCGCCCGGCCCACATTCCTCTTTTTCTCAGAGGCTTCCAGTTGGACTCTAGTGACCAACATTCCACATCACAAAGTTTTCAAGGCTTTCTTCCCCATGGTGTCACTGCCTGCAGTCCAGCTTCATTTGTGTTGTTCCTCAGGAGGAACATGTCACACTTACTGAGCCTGCGTCCTCTGTCCCGTGAACACAGTGACATTTTTTCACTCATGTTGTCTTGTCATCCCTGTGCTTGGGGCCGGCTGCCTTTATGAGGGTTTTCTGCTCCGAGTATTCCGGTCCCCACCTAGGAAAGCCTGTGGTGCATGCCCCATGTTCTAGCAGTTCGTTATGTGTGGTTCATGTGTATTAGCTTCGTAACTCAAACCATAAGCTCCCTTCTTTATCCTGCATGGCACTTAACAGAGAACCCAGCTGAAGCAGATATCTGACAGTTGTTTCTGAGATGTGTTTGGCGCATCTCAACAGAAAGTTACTAGTAGCAGGGTTGTCAGTCCTCTTCCTCCTCGGCGGGGAATGGGGGTGCATGTGTGTAGAGGATTACACAGACTATAAAGCATTTGAGACTTCATCTCTGCTCTTTGGGTCCTTAAATACCTTTCAAAAGGTATTTTGAATACCAACCCAGAACATTTAAAATCACTGCTAGGGTTACACTTAGAAGGGACTGGTTTGGGGACTTTCTAACTGTGTGGTAATATCTTAGTTGTGCAGAAGAGAGAGCTGATTTCCATTGCTGCGTTATGGGGGTCAGAAGGGTGGTCAGATGGGGTCAGAAAGAACAAGGTGGAGGAGGGCAGTAAAGCCAGAGGTCATCTAGAGTCCAACGGAAAAGCAAAAGCAGGGTGTTCCAGAAATATCCGTGCTCATCTGGGAAAGATAAGAGAAGGATCTTGCAAGGCTCCTTGAGCTCCAGTTAAGTGAGCAACCTGTTCTTGTGGCTTCTGTAATCAAAGGGATCTTACTTCTTCCTACATGGAAGGAAGTCTGCCCAGAGCTACCTCCAGAGAGAGGCCGTCAATCTCGAAGTCTGGTTTGAAACAATTATTTAAATTTTGGTTGATTGCATCAAAGACATTTTTCTGTTCAGCTGACTTATCACCCCATGTTTTCCCCAGGCCCTCACGAATTTTGCCAGCCCTGCATTTAGGGAAGCCTGGGATGGTCCTGACAGGGTCCTTCATGCTCTTAACTTGGGTTTCCCTTCAGTCTCTCTGTGCCCTGTGCAACTGGAAGAGCAGGCTCTTCAGAATTATGCCACAGGTGAGAGCAGGAGGAACAGGCCATTCTCTCCAACCTATTGCAGATGTTTGCCTTAAATAGCTTCTGTTTTTAGCTTTTTTTTTAACTTTTCATTTTATAAAAACTTTATACATACCCCAAAGTAAGAAGAGTAGTATCATGAAACCATGTACCCAGCACCCAGCTTCAATAATTATCAATGCGGGGTAATCCCTGTCCCTCTCCCTTAAATACTTTTCAAAAGGGCCAACCCAAAACATTTACAGTCACTGCTAGAGGTACACTTAAAAGGGACTGGTTTGGGGACTTCCTGAGTTTCTAGGTTGTGTGACTGGGTGGAAGTGGGACCCACTAGCCAATCTGGGGAATGTGAACTGAGGAGCAGGTCCTGGGGGTATGGCCTTGGGCTGAGACACCCATAGCAGTTGCAAGTGGGACTGGGTCAGGAGTCCAAGGGAGAACATCCTCAGATGCCATGCGGAGGATTTGCAAGTGTTGGTTTTGATCACGGGAACTTGACAGTGGCAGTTCTGATCTTATTCTGAGGGTAGGGGCCGGAGGGCAGTGAGTGGAGGAAGGTAAGAAGGCAGGAAGGTGGAACAGAGGATTCGGAGCAGTGTAGTTTCCCCACATGGCTCAATCACCCAGCTTGGGTTATAAAGGCAAATTCCTTGTCTCTACCTACAAAGCCAGCTTCCTGGGGGAAGAACCTAGGAATCAACATTCTAAAAATTCCATAGGAATCTCTAATACATTGCTGGTGGAAATATAAAACAGTACTACCAGTTTTGCAAACTGTTTGTCAATTTTTTGTCAGAGGTAAACAATATGATGCAGCCAGTCCCCCTCCTTGTTTTAAGAAATGAAAATAGGCTGGGCACACACCTATAATCCCAGCACTTTGGGAGGCCACGGCGGGTGAATCACGAGGTCAGGAATTCAAGACCAGCCTGACCAATAGGTGAAACCCCATCTCTACTACAAATACAAAAATTAGCTGGGTGTGGTGGCACACGCCTGTAGTCCCAGCTACTCGGTAGGCTGAGGCAGGAGAGTCACTTGAACTCAGGAGGTGGAGGTTGCAGGTTGCTGAGATTGTGCCACTGCACTCCAGCCTGGGCGACAGAGCGAGACTCCATCTCAAAAAAAAAAAAAAAAAAAAAAAAAAAGGAAAGAAAAGAAAAAAAAAGAAATGAAAATAGGTCCAAATAAACACTCGTACACAAATGTTCACAGAAGCTTTATTCACACCAGCCAAGAAAATAAAAACAACTCAAATGTCCCTCAGCAGGTAAATAGGTAAACAGATTGTGGTAAATTCTTATAGTAGAATACTATTTGGTAATAAAAAAGAGCGAACTATGATACATACAACAATATGGATGAATTTCCAAGACATTATGTGAGATAAAGAGGCCAGGCACAAATGAGTATCTATGACGTGGTCATTTGTGAAATTTTAGAACAAACAAAATGAACTGGTACTTATCTGGAGCAAGATTTGGAAATACTGAATCCAAAGGGATGTGAAAAAATGTTTTAGGGTGATGGAAATGTTCTGTATCTTGATGGTGAAGATAGTTACATGGGTGTGTGTTTTTCAAGATTGATTGAACTGTAAACTTAAAATGGTTGCACTTTGGAGGAAAAGGAGAGTGTGCAGAAGAGCAGGCAGAGCCAAGAGGTTTTTGTGTTTATAGGCAAAGGAGGAGTTGAAGATCCTTGGAGACAGGATCTAGATGTGAGTGTGAAAAATCTATGAGTGTGAAGACAAAAGCATTGTCCCTTTATAGAGATGTGAAGGGAAGGGTGGAGCTGGGCAAATGTAGAAGACAAAGGGTAGGAAGTTTCAGCAAGCTCACTCAGTCTCCCTTAATATCCCCTATGACACAGAAGGCAGAGTCATTTGTGGAGAGACAGGGACCTTGAGGCAAGGAGTAGTTTGAAATATCAGCTACAGGGGTGAGAACAGAAGCCAGCCAGGATCTCCTAGTGGCAGGGGCCTAGCTGGCCACACCATGGAGATACCACGTATCATGGTATCTCCACTAATGATCGCAGTGTTTTCTACAGCTGTGCTCAGAAGGCTGGGTGGAGGAACAGGGACTGCTATGCAGATCCTGGGTTCAGGGTGAGTAGAGCTTATCTGCTGGATTATTAAAAGTGATCAACAATGGATTTCCAGGCTGGCCAAGAGTGGAAGTAGGAAAGAAACTGCGCTAGTTTGAATATTTGACCCTCCAAACCTCATGTTGAAATTTGATTCCCAGTGATGGAGGTGGAGCCTAATGGGAAGTGTTTGGGTCTTGGGGGTGGATCCCTCATGAATGGCTTGGCGCTGTCCTCATTGTAGTGAGTGAATCCTCACCCTATTAATTCCTGTGAGAGATGGTTCTTAAAAAGAGCCTGGCACCTTCTCCCCTCTCGCTGCTTCTCTCGCCCTGTGAGCTCTGTACACTCCGGTTCCCCTTTGCCTTCTGCCACTAGTGGAAGCAGCCAGAAGCCCTCATCAGAGGCAAATGCTAATGCCATGCTTCTTGTACAGCCTGCAGAAACGTGAGCCAAATAAACCTCTTTTCTTTATAAATTACCCAGCCTCAGGTATTCCTTTATAGGAACACAAACAGACTAAGACAGGAAATGACACTTAATTACTCCATTCAGCAAATACGTTGGTTACCACCTGTGTGTCAGGTATTGTTTTAGATCCTTGGGAAGATGCAGACAACAAAAAATAAATCCCAACCCTCCGTGGCCAGAGTTGGGCATTAAGTAAGCAATAAAATATACAGAACTACAGAGGTGGTAAGTGACATGGAGAAAAATTAAGCAGGGAAGAAGGGTTGGAAATCCTGGGCAGTAGGAGGTGATCATGGAAGACCGCTCTGAGGTGGCAACAGTTGATCAAAGACCTAGGCAGAGGAACAGCCAGTGCAAAGGTCCTGAGGCATGGGCAGGCCTGGCAGTGCTTGTTGAATACTTGGAGGCCGGCATGGCTGGAATGGAGTGTGTGGGAAATAGTGGGAGATTGTTAAAGGGTGACAGGTTGAAAGGGAGGGACTGCTTGGGATTTATGAACCACTGTGTAAACACTGGCCTTCACTGAGTGAGATGGGGAACCACCAAAGGATTTTGAGTCACAGAGAAGCTTAATCTGATTTATGCCTTTAAAAGGATCACTCTTCTCAGTGTCAAGGCATTGACTTATAGTCTTGACAAACATTTAATCCACATAGAGATGCCCCATGAGGTTGATGTTATCTCTATTTTTTTTTTCCTTACTGATGAGGAAATTGAGGCTCCACGAGCTTAAGTAACTTTGCCAAGGTCACTCAGCTGGTGATTGGCAGAGCCAGGATTTATGCCTTGGTTTGTCTGATTCCAAAGTCCACACAGATTAAGAGAGGAGGGAAGGCTTGAGAGACAAAGGGTTCCTATGGTGTTGAAGGGAATGGGAACAGGACACAGAATTATGGTTGGCATCGAAACAGACCACAGAGTTTGGCAACTGATAGCATGTGTTAGGGAGAAATAGACATCAACAGTGTCGTTTGAGTCATGGCTTTCTTCTAGGAGAATGGTGGTACTGTTAATAAAATACGGTAGTCAGGAGTAGAAGCCAGTCTCAGGCAAAAGACAGAGGGCGTGACTTGGGCAAGCAGAGGCTGAGGCGTTGGTGGGAAGTAGTGGGCGTGTCCAGTTGATCCAGAGAAAGGACCCGGGAGAGGGGAGCCTAGAACCCCACTGTGGTTAGGGTGGAAGTTATAGAGAGGCATGTGCTCTCTGAGTGAGAAGAAAGGCTGAAGGGAGAAGCTGGCAATGTTCCTCCCTGTGTGGAGGAGGGAGTGGGGACAAAAATTCACTGCTTTTGGGGACAGAAATGTTTAAAACTTTACCCTTATGAACTTGGACAAAGGAAAGATGTGGACGTCTGTTTTGTTATTTGAGCTTAAAGAAGTGATTTAGATTAGCCTAGCAATGAGCATCTTGTGACCTCACCCAGGATGTCAGTTCCTGCAGGTGTAAAACTTGTGCCATTCCAGGCCTCAGCTGGACACACGATGGGGGCCGGGGAGTGGAGTTGAGGCCAGTGGCTGCTCCCAGGGGATCAGTGAGCAGGTTTGTTTCTTTCCCGTGTTAATCCTGGGAGACCAAACCTTGATTTCAGCTATATTTTCCCTCTACCTTTACCAGATAACCTTACCTTTACCTTACATAACAGCCACTTTTTATATTTGTGAAGTAACTCCCCCACAACTTTTTTTTTCTGAAAGTAAAACAACTTGGTGACATTGGCTTTTATTCTTATCGGGCCCCATATAGATAGTGGCTTATTTTACAGCAGTATTTGTTTACATCCCTACAGGTAGGACAGTGTTTCTTTTCACATGGCTGAAAACTTTTTTTTTTAAAGCAAGAATCTTACCTGATATCAGTTCTCATTATTAAATCAAAACCACTTTTTCATGTTACTCTTTTAGTGCACATTTTCAGATAATGCTCTTTTTATTTTTGCTGACTTTCCAAAGATAATTTTCTCTTTAACCTTTTTTAATATGAAAAAATTTAACCATATGTACAGAGAGTAGTAAAATAACACTCCAGTGTTCCCGTGTCTCATCTTTAACTGTTATCAACAGCCTGCCACTTCTTGTTTTATCTGTCCTCCCCGCCCCCCGTATAATTATTTTCTGTAGTATTTTAAAGCAAATCTTGAATTCAGATGATTCTTAAAGAAAAACATTTACAGAATTAGGTCATTGTTACATTTCAGAAGCCAAGCAGCAGTGTGTCTGCCTCTGTCAGAACTGTCTTAATAATTGTGTCTTTACCTGGGCTGCAGCTTTGAAGAGGCTTATTCCAGGTGCTTATTTTACTGAGTGGATGGGAAATGCTAAGATAACCATAAGGCCCTCCTACTGGAGTTTATCTTCTCCTAAGCCTAGAAAAAAAAAATCACAGTTCTTAAACACCAATGTAGTTGTCCCGGGAATCTTCCCCTGTCTCCTGCCAATGTCCTGAATCTTAACTGGAACCTTCCTGATACAGGGCATATCTTGGGACCTGAGGCCTCAGTGTCAGGTGACCAGTGGATAAGCTATAGAAAACCAGGAAAATCTGCATCTGAAGACGAGTCTGTGTGACTGAGCAAACACTGTACAGCAAAGATCAGGTTATGAACAGGAATTTAAATCATGTTGGTCTGCATGTCTTGTTTCTGGTGAATTCCTGGAATTTGGCCATGTCCTCTTAATCTGTGTTTATCTGTGATACCTTTAAGTGGCTGAAACAAACAAAAAAGATGCCATTTTACTGCTGTGTTTTCTTCGGAATATGATATTCTTGCTCTTCTTGGCTTGCATGCCTTCAGGCCGGTGTTAAAATAACTGGGTTATTGCACCTTGACTAGCTTGTTTCAGTAGGATGAGTGTGGTGTGCCTTTATTTCCTGTCTCTTGCATCAGTCTGTTTGTGAGAGTGTACCGAGAGGTGATTAATGGGAAAGATAAACATGTGCTTACTGACTGAAAGTTCTTCCTGTTTCCTAGAGTGTTTTTGGTTTAGTGAGTTGTTTGTTTGCTGCCCACAGACCGCATATGGTGTGTGTACACCTCTGTTGTTGTGAACACCATATGCCTTTGTATAGGAGCTGGGCTTTTAAGCAAAGTCAACATATGATAAGGCTTAAAAGATTTTCCTTCATCCAATAATTGGATGGATTGGACAGCCGTCTGTCACCATAAGCAGAGCCTACAGAGTCTGGAATTCTGCATACAAAATCATGTAAGAATACTTGCTGTTCTTGCCCCCCAGAGATTAAGTTGTGTATAGCATGGCTGTGGGGTTTTGGTTGCTGGAAATACCTCATCGCTGTGAGTCTCCTGCCTGCGGACTTTTGGATCTGTCACTACACAGTGCTGCTGTGCCAGTGTTCATGCTCTCTCACTGCCACCACCATCTGCCCCTGGAATCAGGAGCTTCCTCTTGCTTTGTGCCCAGGAAAATCTAGGGAGGGAAGAATTCTGCCATTAATTGCTGCAAATGTAAAATTGACTTAGAGAAAAAAACGTGTTCTCAATTTAAAAAGTAATGCCTGCTCTTGCAGAAATTTTAAGATATAGAAAAGGTTGGGGGGAGTTGCATTTCCAACAAGGATAACTTACAATTAGCATTTTTGATCTTTCCATCTAATTAGGTACATTGAAGCCTTTCCCCATAGTTGCATTAATACTCTATGTACAATGTTATCTTTTCTCCTGAACATAATAGCATAGGTTTGTATATGTCTTAAAATTTTATTAGCCCTCTTAGAAGCCTTAATTTTTTGCCAAGTGGACATTCTATAACTTAACCATATTATTGGGTAGGTCATTTGTAATGCTGCTACGTACACATCTTTGTACAAAAACCATTTTCTATAGTTTATATTGTCTTTAAATTAGATTTTATAAAAATGCAATGGGGGGGCCAAAGGGAATGAACACTTGGAGGCTCTAGAATTGCCGCTCCAAAGAGGTGTGTCCATTTACTGGCCAATCAAAGTTAGTTCTTAAACCCATTTTACTTTTCCTAATGGGAATATGTAGAGCTACTCCAGGCATCGGACAAGGTAATGATTAAGGTTTTAGAAGTCTTTGAGGTGTCAGATAGTGATGCTCTGACCCCTTGTCCACGGTGTGTGGTGACTGGTTCTTCGTTCTGCATCCATCCCCCAAGTTATATGCAAGTTTCTTGAAAGCAGTTCTGTTCTGGTCTCAGTTCTCTATCCAGCCTCAGTAACTATCCAAGAGCTTACATTTGCATCATTGTGGATATGTTTTCTAAAAGATATGCACGGTGATACAAAAATGCATATAACCTTCACGTGCACTAGCCCATGTAGGTTAACAGGAGGGAGAAAGTTATTACCGGTACAACTTGGCCTGGTCCTGGGAAGCCTCTGGGAATCTTGACATTTTGGGATGTTTCTGATGATGGCTTTGTTGTTCTTTTGCACAGATCCAGTCCTGCAGGTCCCAACACATGTGGAAGAGTAAGTTTTCTGATTCGCTCAGTACTTCCCTTTAATTCAGTCTTCTTCATTCAATCAGTGTTTATGAGGCCAGTTGCTGGGAGTGCATATATGTGTAAGTTTGAGGAATAACAGTGAGTGACATATAAAGTCTTACAGGTGCTATGATGAAAGCTTGTGTTGAGGAGGAGGTGGTCAGTTTCCTGAGGGAGAAGGGTAGTGGTTTTAAAAAGGCTTATTTGAGATGAAACTCAAGTTGAGCTTTGAACTTAAACTTCCAAAGTCCTCAGGGGGACTGGACCTCTTCCTCTTTGCTGTGTCATATCATGGAGAAAAAAGGTGAATGTGACCTGCTACTACAGAGTGTGTGTTGGGGTAAAAGCTGGATAGCACTGGTAAGAGCCTTAAATGATGGCACAACCTAAGGAACGATTCAGCCAAGGGTTTCTGAGGGACTGTAGTTATAGTTTAGTCTTTAGCAGATTAACTTGACAAAAGACCACTTCACATCTGCTTCAAGGGAAGCTACTGACGGAGGGACCTTGATCTGTCCCCTTGGCGGGTTCTCTCTGATGTCAAGCTGTTAGAGTCTGCTTTTATTGCCTCCAGTTAAACAAAAAATATCTCTTGAAAACTAAAAGCAGATTTGTTCTACCTGTTTATGTACCATGCCATCCTATCAAATATTAATGGCTGGAGTTCTATATACAATTGATGTAGAAATTGAAAAGTGGACTTACTGGGTCCTTTTCACATATTTTGCCTTCATCCAGAGTGCTTTGACCAAATGATAATTTGTCTTCTATGGTTTTGTATGATTTTTCCTTTCAGGCCGCTTTTCTCCACTCAAGGATAGTGTATACCACCATAGGGGTATTTTATTTATCTGTGGTTGAAGTGAGAGAGAGTAGTGGGTGGAATTGTCTTATATACTCACTTATACACCTACACACAACCACCCTCCACTCTCTATTCCTCCATCATGGGTTTGCGTGGCTTTGGTATGTTGTTCCATGCCCTGGGCTGTAATTTATCTTTGATATTTATTATTTAATCTCTAGGCCTGCCTTTCTCCCAGATCCTAATGATGGCAGCCTGTATACGCTTGGAAGCAAGAATAATGAAGGCCTGACGGTGAGTATATTTAGCTGCTTTTTGTACTCCAGGGGTTCTAGACCAGCGGTCCTTAAGTGTGTCTGCACAGTGTCTTACTGTGTCTCCCACCTGGAGCTTTTAAAAACAACCCCTGGGGATTCTGATTCAGGTGGTCTAGAGAGGAGCCTGGGCATCAGTCTTTTCAGAGAGCTTCCTAAATGAGCTTTTAAATGTGGTGCCAGAGTTCAGAAACACGGATGCAGACCAGCAGGTTCTCATGGCCCAGCCCATACACTGGAGGATATAATGTTAAGAACAGGGTTTGCTCTAACTGGTGACCCTCACCTTAGGAGGGAGGGATATAGTTTGAAATGCTGTCTCCACCTGCCCCACCTTCCGATGACTCCTTAAGGGAGTCATGTGATATTCTACCCTCATTTCCATTTGAGAATCTAAACCAGTGGTTTTCAGCCTTAATTATACATTGTAATAACCTGGAATTCGAAAAAACAGCATTAGGACCTAGAACATAGGGCCCAATCCCAGAAGGTCCCGATTTAATTGATCTAAGTCATCAGGACTTTTTAAAAGCTCCCCAGATAAGAGAATTTAGAAACAGGCCCACACATATGGTCATCTGATATGTGACAAAGGTGACACTGCAGTGTCCTGTCTTGTCTTTTCTCTTTTCTTTTGAGACAGGGTCTCACTTTGTCACCCAGGTTGGAATGCAGTGGCACAATCTTGGCTCACTACAACCTCCGTCTCACAGGCTCAAGCCAGCCTCCCACCTCAGCCTCCTGAGTAGCTGGGACCACAGGTGTACATCTCCACGCCCAGCTAATTTTTTGTATTTTTGGTAGAAATGGGGTTTCATCATATTGCCTAGGCTGGTCTCCAACTTCTGGGCTCAAGCGATCCACCCACCTCAGCCTCCCAAAGTGCTGGGATTACAGACGTGAGCCACCACCACCCAGCTTACAGTGTTTTTGCAATAAGTGGTGTAGGTCAATTGGGATATCCATATAGGAATAAAAGTATTGACTCCTACCCCCCTACAACACATATAAAATCAGTTCCAGATAGATCACACATCTAAATGTGAAATGCAAAATAATAAAGCTTTAAGAAAAAAAGTAATGGAACCATCTTCATGATCTTAGAGTAAGTAGAGATTTATTAAGTAGGATATTAAAGAACACTATAAATTTAGGAAAAAATCAATATATTGATTATATTAAAATTAAGAACTTTTCCTCATTAAGAGGCCACAAAGTATTTGTAGTATACACATCCAACAAAAGTTCATATTCAGAATATATGAAGAAATCCTATGGTACGTTAAAAAAAGACAGCCCAATGGAAGAATAACAGAAGAGAATATCCAAATGGTCATAAACATATGAAAAGATGTTCCATTTTATTAGTCATTTGGAAATGCAAATTAAAGCCACAGTGCCATACTGCTACTCACCAGAATGGCCAAAACAAGGAAAGTAGAAAAAGAAAACATGTTGGTGATGTGGAGCAACCAGGACTCTCACCTACTGCTGGCGGAAGTGCAGGGTGGCACAAGTGATTTGGAAAACTGTTGGCAGTAAGTGCTAAAGTCCTTAGGACCCAGTAATGCCCTCCTAGGTTACAGACCCAACAGAAATGCACATTTGTGGCTGGGTGCGGTGGCTCATGCCTGTAATCCCAGCACTTTGGGAGGCCAAGGTGGGCGGATCACGAGGTCAGGAGATCGAGACCATGGTGAAACCCCGTCTCTACTAAAAATACAAAAAATTAGCCAGGTGCGGTGGCGGGCGCCTATAGTCCCAGCTACTTGGGAGGCTGAGGCAGGAAAATGGCGTGAACCCGGGAGGTGGAGCTTGCAGTGAGCTGAGATCACGCCACTACACTCCAGCCTGGGCAACAGAGCGAGACTCCATCTCAAAAAAAAAAAAAAGAAGAAATGCACTTTTGTTCACCAATGGACATGTGCCCAAATGTACAGCAGCACCATTTATAATAAGCAGAGGGTGGCCAAATAACATCCACAGTGGAGTGGAAAAATAAACTCTGGAAGCGGCATGCACGGTGATGAGGACCAACAGTCTATGACGACACACGCCGCGGATGACTCACAAGCGTGATGTTGAGCAAAACATGACAGACAAAAAAGGCCACACGCTGCCATTCACTTATGTAAAGCCAAAAACAGGAAAAACGAGTCTCTGCTGTTTTGAAGTTAGGATAATAGTTACCCCTGGAGAGTTATGGCTAGAAAGGGGGGCAAGAGAGGAGGGGGGCTTCTGTTTCTTCACCTGGATGCCGGTTACGTGGGTATGTTCACTTTGTGAAACTTGACTGAGCTGTGTGATGATGAGTGCTTTTCTGTTTGCGTATTATGCATCAGTAGGAAGTTTTTAAAGCTTCCAAGTAATTCTCATGGGCAACCAAGGATGAGAACCACTGATCTAGGCTGTAAGTGGATTGTGGACTTTAACTTGGGTGTTTTAAAATTATTTTGTGAATGCCTGTGACCAAAACAGAGGGGAGGAGGGCAAGTTTGTATAGAGCTGTGTGTATTTCACCTTCAACACTGCTCTCCGTTGGTTTCTCTCCACAGCTCTGTAGTCCCCATTTCTTAAGCAATTTGTTTGCCAGAAACTGGGGTGAGTGAGTTGTATAAGTTATCTCATTGGAATCTCTCAGCAGCCCTGTGGGTGATATCCCCGTTTTAGAGGTGTGGAAACAGCCTGGAGAAGTGAAGGAATATGTCCAGGGCTGAGTCTTCTAGTGTTGGAGTTGGTTCTTAAAGAGGATGCCCAGCCGGGCCTGTAATCCCAGCACTTTGGGAGGCCGAGGCGGGCGGATCACAAGGTCAGGAGATCGAGACCATCCTGGCTAACACGGTGAAACCCCGTCTCTACTAAAAAATACAAAAAATTAGCCAGGCGCAGTGGCGGGCGCCTGTAGTCCCAGCTACTTGGGAGGCTGAGGCAGGAGAATGGCATCAACCCGGGAGGCGGAGCTTGCAGTGAGCCGAGATCACGCCACTGCACTTCAGCCTGGGTGAGAGTGAGACTCCGTCTCAAAAAAAAAAAAAAAGAGGATGCCCTTCATCACTCCCTTGTGCTCCTTTCTGGGTTGTGGTTTAGCAGCTCCAGAAACAATGTTTCCCAAGCTTGGGCCTTGAATCAGGGCACCAGTGGCAGTGCTCAGCAGAGACCACAGGACTCCAGAAGACTAGAAGATCTGCAGTGCCTTTCTGATTCTCAGAAACACATGGCAAAACCCAGTCATTGCAGCCTCTCTGAAGCATTTTTCCTCCTCTGAGGCTTGGTTTGAATGTTGGGATGATGGGAAAATCCAAGTTATTTAGTATGCAAAGCTCTGCTTATTAAAGCTAGAGAGAAATCTTTTCTTTCTTGGAGAAAAAGGTGACCATGCAGTAGAGGCATTTCTATAAAAGCAGGTATCTATAGAACAATTTCAAAAACACAGAATGTTCTAAAAATAAAGTATACTGAAACAAGCATTAACCAAAAGAGCTCGTCAGATGTCAGCTGTAGACTCAGAAGAATCAGTTTTATGATGAAATGCAGTTGAAACATTTGGATTCCTTTGAGTTTCTTTTCCTGGCACCTATCTTAACTTCCTCTTTAAAACCAAAAGTCTCAATTTTTCTTGTTTTTCAATAGTGAATTATTTACTGAAGAAAACATCAAAACTCTTTTCCACCTCAAACTCTTGTGTTGCCCCTGTAATGGCGACTTCTCCTTTCCCTCGAAGCTTGAGCTTGGCACCAAGGTTGCATCCCTTCAGCATCAATGTCCTGGCTCCCTCCCATGGGGCTCTACAAAGCACTGTCATTTTACTCAGTCTAGCCAGCTCTGGCTCTGTATTCCAAGCCAGGACAATTCTTTCTTAGCATTTCAAAGAATATATAACTCTCCATATTTGTGTAAATCTTTTCAGAAAAGGTTTGTGTCACCCCTGGGAAGCACCCTGGACAGGAGACCTTGAGGGGCCTCTGCACATGGTGTCAAGTAAAGGAGTGGATGTTTACAGAGCTCAGGGACCTGGGAGCTTGTCAAAATAGATGTGGAAAATTAGCTGGGTGTAGTGGCAACATGCCTGTAATCCCAGCTACTTGGGAGGCTGAGGTGAGAGAATCACTTGAACCCAGGAGGCAGAGGTTGCAGTGAGCCAAGATGGTGCCACTGCACTCCAGCCTGGGCGACAGAATGAGACCCTGTCTCAAAAAAATGAAAATAAAAACACAGTAGATGTGGAAGCATAGGGTGCCCCCTTCTCCTTTGTATTCAGTTAGGAAAACTCTCATCTGCAAAGTGCTTCTCTCTTTTTAGCAGAATTAGGTAATAGAAACAAACTGCCTGGTAAAATTGTAATAATTGCACAAGACTTGGTTAACTTTTTTTTTTCTTTTTTTTTTTTTTTAAAGAAACTTCCTTTTACCATCCCAGAATTGGTGCAGGCATCCCCATGCCGAAGTTCAGATGGAATCCTCTACATGGGTAAGAGTTCCTGTCTCCAGAAACTTGTGTCTCTTTGATGTAAGTCCCGGAATCTGGGAAAGTGGCATGCGGAGAGAGAGGGCGCAGTCACCGCCTTGCCAACCCTTTCTTTCCTGGGTTGTGCTTCAGGTGCTGTTCTCCCCAGGATCAGCTGACCAATTAAGAAAGGGCTCCCCCAACTTGGGAGAAGAATTGACATCATTAATATGGTTACTCATTTAACAAGCTTTTAGTTGCTGTGTTGACTTAGTCCTGAGATTCCAAGATTGCAACATACCCAGTGGCAAATGGATGAAATTTAAAGTGAGTACAATCATCTAAGCCAAGGAAGGAAAGCCAGGCTCTGCCTGTTAATTATAGCGCTTTCTTAGTATTTCCTGCTATCAGAATGTTTGATAGAACAGCACTTAATAGCTTGCCTAGATAAACTGCCTTCATACCTATGGGGTCACAGCTTTCAAAGCATCAGATCACCTGCTTTTCTTTTACTATGTTGCTGCCAAAATGTCAATAAAAAAGCATTTGCAACACAAAGGAGAGCTGTATTTATCTTGAAATCATAGTAGCAATAATAGCCCGTATTTATACAGCAGCTTTCTTTTTGAGGAACTGAAAGTGCTTATTGCCTATTCATGCCTCGAGGAGCTTTATGTGTATTTCTGGGTCTCAAGTGCAGGCCAGACTTTTAAGGTTTTGCTCAGGACACTGAGACTCTTGCTTCCTTCCACACCTTCAGAATGAGGAACTCCCAGCCTAGGAATTTGGAGGAAACGATCGGCACAGATTTTTCTCTCTGTGGGCCGTGACCTGGGAACATCTGATAATCTTCTGACCATCCATGTCACTGTGTCCTATCTGGTCTTCCAGCTTTTGCCAGCAATTCATCACTTATAGTCTGCTTAGGATATTGTCTTCTTATCATCTTTGTGCTGTGGCCTCTTAGGCGAGTTCATTAAACATATTTAAGAGCATGGTAGTTGCCCAATCTACCCATTAAAGTAATAACTGAGTTATGTAAACTCTAGTGGTTCTTGAAGTAACCAGCTATGTCATGCTAGATGGAAAAGGTTCGTGGTCCTAGCTCTGTTCTCCTCTACCTTCAGATCATATTCATATTATGATTTTGTCAGTGAGAACAGAGTTGCGATCCATGGGTAAGTTGCACACATGTGGAGCAGGCATGTATGCAACATCTGTTAGAACTTTAGAGGTATAGCATTAGCAAATTACAGGCCAGGTGCAGTGGCTCACAACTGTAATCCCAGTACCTTGGGAGGGTGAGGCAGGAGGTTTGCTTGAGGCCAGGAGTTTGAAACTAGCCTGGTCAACATAGTGAGACCCCGTCTCTACAGAAGAAACATTTTTAAAAAATCAGCCAGGTGTAGGCCAGGTGCAGTGGCTCACGCCTGTAATCCCAACACTTTGGGAGGCTGAGGCGGGCAGATCACGAGGTCAGGAGATCGAGACCATCCTGGCTAACACAGTGAAACCCCATCTCTACTAAAAATACGAAAAATAAGCCAAGCGTGGTAGCACATGCTTGTAGTCCCAGCTACTCAGGAGGCTGAGGCAGCAGTATCGCTTGAACCCTGGAGGCGGAGGTTGCAGTGAGCTGAGATTGCACCACTGCACTCCAGCCTGGGCGACAGAGCGAGACTCCGTCTCAAAAAAAATAAAAAATAAATAAAAATTAGCCAGGTGGCCGGGCATGGTGGCTCACACCTGTAATCCCAGCACTTTGGGAGGCCGAGTTGGGTGGATCACGAAGTCAGGAGATGGAGACCATCCTGACTAACACGGTGAAACCCTGTCTCTACTAAAAAAAAAAAAAAAAAAAAATTTGCTGGGTGTGGTGGCACGCACCTGTAGTCCCAGCTACTCAGGAGGCTGAGGCAGGAGAATCGCTTGAACCTGGGAGGTGGAGGTTGCAGTGAGCCGAGATCACTCCACTGCACTCCAGCCTGGGCGGCAGAGCGAGACTCCATCCCAAAAAAAATAAAAAAAGAGCCAGGCATAGTGGCACATGCCTGTAGTCTCAACTATGGGGAGGCTGAGGCAAAAGGATGACTTGAGTCCAGGAGTTTGAGGCTGCAGTGAGCCGTGACCACACCTCTGTACTCCTCCTTGGGCGACAGAGCAAGACTCTGTCTCAAAAAAAAAAAAAAAAAAATTTCAAAGGCTCTGTGACCTTCTCCAGCATCTCAATATTCTTCTTCTAAGAGTCTCCAAAACAGGAGACTTTTCCAATAAGTTAGGAAGATAAAAATGACCACCAGAGATCATGCTTTACAAAATGGAAATACACGCATCACAGTGACTGTGTTGACCTTCACATTGGAGGCCCTTGCTACAGACTCTCCATTCCTAGGATGCTGTTGGGTATATACCATTGATACATATGCTTTGGGTTTTCTTAATATATAGTGTTATTTACTGTGCTGTCTGCCTGTCATAATCAGCTGACCAAGATTAGGGGGTATGGCCCGAGGCCAGGGAATTACTTACTGGCTGGGAACAGAGGCCGAGACAACTTTGACATCCTTAGCATCAGGTTGCAACCAACTCCACTGACCAGTCCCAGGTACTAGTTAATTATAGTCATAAACAGTAACTGTGGATCCTTCTCACATGGTGGCTGGTTATTAGGGAGGTTGAGAAATGTGAATGATGGTTATTAGGGAGATGAACCCCTGGGCACATTTCTGTATTTCTATAGATCCCAGTCCACGGGAAAAGGATTGCCCTTCACAGGCAAGACTTTTCATATTTAAAGCCACTCATCAAAGCAATAAAATCTAACTTGAAAGTTTGGGGAACTTTTTGAAACTATAATTATGTTATTGGGTTTGGAGGAATTTGTATACCATGTTTAGGTTATTAAATTATTATAAGACCTATGGACCTAAGAAGTTTTATTATCTCTGCATTACCATTTATATCATCACCTTAGAAATGACATCCTAAGAAATTCAGGTCTATCTCTCTCAATACAGAGCATCTTGGCTGCTAGTTTGGCAGCGATACTTTTTTCCATATGGTGTAAACGACGATGTGTTTTTGTGTCCTTTCAGGTAAAAAGCAGGACATCTGGTATGTTATTGACCTCCTGACCGGAGAGAAGCAGCAGACTTTGTCATCGGCCTTTGCAGATAGTCTCTGCCCATCAACCTCTCTTCTGTATCTTGGGCGAACAGGTAAGAAATGAACCTTTGTCTTCTACAACCTGCCTGTTTCCAGAAGATCGGAAGAAGCTCCCCAGCCTCCTTCCCTAGAAGGTGGCCAGAGCTGCTTTTTTCCAAACACAGGTCCCATCATGTCATTTTCCTTTATAAGACCCTTCAGTGTCCCCCCAGTGTGCAAGGGATACAGTCCAAACTGCACCACGGCCCAGAAAAACCCCTGTGACGCCGCTGCCACCTTTCTCGCCTCATTTCTCTCATTTCAAAGTTGCCTGGCCGGGCGTGGTGGCTCACGCCTGTAATTCCAGTACTTTGGGAGGCCGAGGCAGGTGGATCACCTGAGGTCAGGAGTTCGAGACCAGCCTGACCAACATGGCGAAACCCCATCTGTACTAAAAAAATACAAAATTAGTCAGGTGTGGTGGCATGTGCCTGTAATCCCAGCTACTCAGGAGGCTGAGGCAGGAGAATTGCCTGAACTGGGGAGGTGGAGGTTGCAGTGAGCCAAGATCAAGCCACTGCACTCCAGCCTGGGCAACAAGAGTAAAACTCCATCCCCCCTGCCCAAAAAAAAAAAAGTTTCCCAATTAGGATGAACTACCTGCAGCTCCCAGAATAGCAGTGTTGTTTTTAAAGACTTGTAGTGGTGTGGTCCTCTCCACCAGGTATGCCTGTTTTTGCCTATCTGGCAAATATCCTCTCTCACAACTGTACTCAAAAGTCACCTTCTCTGTGAAGCCTCTTCTGCAGCCTCACAGCCTGCACCCTGCTCAGGAACACCCGGCTCTCCCATTCTAGGGGCACACGTAGCAGTTAACAGGCCTGTAGTGGCAGCCATCTCACCCCTCGTCATTGTCCCTTGACAGGCATGGCTTGCACCCTCTTCACCGCACCATTTTGTGTTTCCTCCCTTTTCAGCCTCTTTCTTCTTAACACTTGGCACTGCATATTTATAAATTCAATGTGCCTACTTCCTGCCTCCCTCACTAGAATATCAGTTCCCTGAGGGTACGACTTTGTTTTGCTCAGCTGCTGTCTCTCTACATCAGGCATATTGCCTGATGTGTAGCAGGGGCTCAATGTTTGAATGTATGAATGGGTGGGTCCCATTATTGCAGAGACCTGCCTTACTTATTACCATATGTGCAGCACCTCACACATGTCGGGGATGCCATGAAAATTGTTGAACGATACTTAAAGCTAAAAGGAGAAACAAAAAACATTTAGAAGGAAGAAATTATACCAAAAACCTAGGATGAATTCATTACAATTGAGCACTACATTTAGGTCTAAACTTTCAGGCAGCCAAGGATTTGAAAAAAGAGAACCGTCCTGAAAGTGTTGGGGAAAGCACTGCATTTCTAAAACTCAGTGAGACTAATCTTGGGCCCTGCAGAAGCTGGCCGGGCTCTCCTGGAAATGGGTGGAAGGTCTTAGACTGTAGAAATCATGTATTCCAGCTTCTGACTGTAGTGACTGCTTAGGATTTATGTGTTTACCTTTTCCATTAAGTAAATTCTTACAGTGGCCCCAGCTTCATCCAGATATAAAAATTGCGTCATTCTCAGGTGAAATTGTGGTGTTCGAAGGAGCTGGGATATGCATGAGGTGGAATGTGTGTGCATAGGTGTGTAAATCCATTGCCTCCATTATCTATTGCTGCATGACAAACCACCCCAACTTAGCATTTTATTGTTAATGATTCTGTAGGGAATTCAGGAAGGACTCAACAAGAACCCATCATCTTTATTCCACATGCTTGGTTGGCCTCACTCATGTATCTGAGACTTCAGTTCAGTTCCGTGTGACCTTTCTCCATACAGATAGCCTGGACTCTTGATATGGCAGCGGGCTCCCTCTTGAGTAAAAATGGGTGTTACAGTGCCTCCTAAGGTCTGGGCTCAAAAGTTCCAGAACCTTCCTTCCACTGCAGTCTGTTGGTCAAAGCAAGTCTCAAGGCCAGCTGAGAATCAAGGGTAGAGATATAGACTCGGCTTCTTGATGGGAAGAGTAACATGCATTACAGGAATGGGAAGAATTGGTGGTAGTGACCTTTAGAGATGTTCTACTGCAGTCCTCCCTCAGGCTGCAGTAGTTTACAACCCTCCCACTCCCTCCAAAGACCCCCAAAGTCCAATCCCAGCATCAGTCCCAAAATCTCACCTCTCATTATCTGCATGAGGTCTGGAGGTAGATGATGCTCCTCAAGTGTGGCACCTCTTGATCGGAGACCTGTGAATTAAAGAGACAGGGTCTTTCTCCCCTTCCCATCCCCCACCCAACATGCAGTGGTGAGACAGAGACAGGATAGCTGCAGTAAACATGTTCACTCAAAAAAGGGCAGGAAAGAGAGACACATATCACACATTGGGCCTTAGTAATTCTGAAATCCAGCCAGGCACATGTTTTCAGGTTCCCCTCCTCCAGGGGTAGGGAATATTCCTTCATTAGGGCCCAGTTTTGCCCTCTGGGATTGGTTCCCTAATATAGTGCTCTCAGTGGCTCTTGGTTCTGCCCTCTGAGAAGTCCTTTCTTTTCCATAACAAATGGCCAGTTTTGTATCTTTCTCAGTCCGTTCCTTGTCCATTGAAATTTGGGGATCTAGAAGCCCTTTTTTTTCAATTTGACTGTCTCTGTTCCTTTTAGTCTATGCTGATACCACTCCTTTAAAAACTATGTGGGCTTCCCATGTGTCAAATTATAATTTATTCCATTAGATAAAAGCCATACCCACAAGTTTCTAGACTTTGGAATGTGAGTGCAATGGGACAACACATGGTTTTTAGAACTCCCTTGATGGGGGCAGAGGGTCTATGAGGGACCACCTTAAAATCTTTCAGAGGTCTCAAAGAAGGATCTTACAGCTTCAACTTTGATTTGGTTGATCTTTACCCTGAGCCCATTTTTTGTTGCTGGCAGTACCCTGGATTTGATCTTTTCCCTAAAGTTATTTTTTATATTGAGAATCTTTTCCAGCGATATTCAGTCCTGGACCCTTTATAGTTCCTCTGTATTCTGCTGAATGATTTCTTCCTCAGCTCATTTGTCTCACAATATATCATAGACAGCTAAGAGAAACCATTCAACATTTTCTGCCTTCTGTCTGGAAATCTCCTTAGTTGGATCCCTGAGTTGATTAGGTACTTTTTCTGTCTTCCAAGTTACTGCAAGCAATAGTCATGCTCATCATGGCACCCTCCACAAGCTGGGTCACCCCTTTTCCATTTTCAATAGCAGTGCCCCCTCTGCACTAGCAAGTCTCCACCAACCTTTTTATCAGCCTCCCAGCCTCCACCTGCCAGCTGGTCCTAAAGTCAATGCCACATGTTTTAGGTGTTTGTTATGGCGCCATCCTGCTTCAAGGTGCCAATTTTTAATTGTCAGCAATCCATTGCTATGTAATAAGGCACCCCGAAGCTTAATGGCTAACAACAACATTCTATTGCTTACACTTCTGTGAGCCATGAGTCCAAGGGCATAGCGAGGGTGGGTCGTCTCTGCTTCCACATGCTGTCAGCCAGTTTCACTCATGTGTCTGGGCCTTCAGTTCTCCTCACATTGCCTTTCTCTATCGACATGGATAGTCTGGACTTTTTGGCCTACAGTTTAGGGAGGATTTGTTTGTTATAATTAGATAAGGACCACACCTCAGTAGGTACTATGGCCCCTCCGTGGTAATGGGCTGGCTGGTCTGTGTTCTTTAGAATACACCATCACCATGTACGACACCAAAACCCGAGAGCTCCGGTGGAATGCCACCTACTTTGACTATGCGGCCTCACTGCCTGAGGACGACGTGGACTACAGTAAGTGCTCTCTGCTGGATTTCACAAGCTTGGGCCAGTACTTTTGACCTATGTGGAAACAGTGGCTCCAGAAAGTAGGATTTTCTTTTAAGATACTCTTTGTCACCAGGTTCTTTCTTTCCATGGACTTTTCATGGGCTTATCATAAATACTTCCCACAGTCAATGTGCAGGGGCCTTGGTGAAGTCTGAAGGGAAACCGAAGTAAAATGGTGACAAGCTTAGCCAGAGAGGAAGGAGGACATCCCTCGTTGAGTCTTTCTATGTCACAGAAGGAATTTACTGCAAGCCCATGGAAAGTAGAAGTAAAATCAGCATAGGACATTAACAACCCTGTCAAGAAGGCCACTCTGCAAATGTGACTCATCCCTAGTTATTTCTGCAGTTAACATTCACCCAACTCAAATGAAAACTAAAAACCAATTTGCCACCTTAACATTGGTATCAAAGTTGGACTCTGCTTTTTCTTGTCAAGGACCTAGAATATTTTCGTTTTTCTCTGAGGACTCCTTTGTGAATCTGATGGGACAGTGTCAGTGGTTCAGGTCTGACTTTCAGGGTGTTTTTTTGTTGTTTTTTTTTTTGAGGCAAGTTCTCCCTCTGTTCCCCAGGATGTGTGCAGGAGTGCAGTCAGGGCTCACTGCAGCCTGAAACTCCTAGGCTCAAGCGATCTTCCCACCTCAGCCTACTGAGTAGCTGGGACCACAGGCACGTACCGCCACTCCCCCACCTACCTGGCTAATTTTTTTTTTTTTTTTTTTTTGTAGAGACGGGGGTCTCACTATGTTGCCCAGGCTGGTCTTGAAGTCCTGGACTCAAGTGATCTTCCTACCTCAGCCTCCCAAATTCTTGGGCTTATAGACATGAGCCACCACAGCTGTCCCTGACTTTCAGTTTGATCGATGGGTTTCAAGTGACTGCTATGAAATGCCAGATTAATAGGCATCTCCACTGGCTCCTTCCTCCTCAGTATTTACTCTCACTTATTGAATAGAGTGTTAAAGAACATCACCAAATAAATTGCCTTTGGGAGAGTGATCCTGGCTTGTGTTTATACGCCAGCCAGCTCTCAGTGTCTTGATATTACAGAGACTAAGCGAGTTCATTGGAAACAAGTGAAATTGCTCAGAGGAGATCTGAGAATATTCCAGAAGTCTTGTTTCCTCTAACTGAGTGACTAGAGCCTGCCACAAGAGTAGAGGATGTGGTTGCAAGATGGGGTGAGACTCAGCATGCTTTGTTTATTTGATCTGTACAGAGATGTCCCACTTTGTGTCCAATGGTGATGGGCTGGTGGTGACTGTGGACAGTGAATCTGGGGACGTCCTGTGGATCCAAAACTACGCCTCCCCTGTGGTGGCCTTTTATGTCTGGCAGCGGGAGGGTCTGAGGAAGGTGATGCACATCAATGTCGCTGTGGAGACCCTGCGCTATCTGACCTTCATGTCTGGGGAGGTGGGGCGCATCACAAAGTGGAAGTACCCGTTCCCCAAGGAGACAGAGGCCAAGAGCAAGCTGACGTGAGTTGGGAGCTCGGGGAAGGAGAGGGCGGCCGTGGCCTTCGTGTTCTGGTGCTGTTGCAGTGTAGCAGGCCCTGCACGGGAGGCCAAAGACAGGGCAGTCTCTGAAGCCATGAGGAATATTCAGAGCCAAGACTGTTTCATTTGGAAACCTCAGAATACAAGAGCTGAGGGGCACCCATTAACACTTCAGAGTTATTAAATATTACATAAAAATCATGGATGGGAGGTGTCGGGCACCATGGCATACACCTGTAATTCCAGCTACTTGAGAGGCTGAGGTGGGAGGATTGTTTGAGCACAGGAGTTTGAGGCCAACCTGGGCAACATGGCAAGACCCTCCCCCTGCCACCACACACACACAAATAAAGGTATAGGAAAGAGACTGCCAGTGTAAGTATAGTTTGGATCTATCTTAGGTGGTAGGGATGCAAGAGATTTATTTTTTTAACTTTCTATATTTTCTAAGTTTTTAGGTTATATTCATTTTAAAAATCAGAAAAAATAGTTACAGTGTGTGTGTGTGTCCAAGACTCAGCAGGCTTCTGTTCTCCATCCCCCTCTTCATAGCCTATCACCGAGTCACTTAAACTCCCCAAGCCTCAGTTTCCTACTTTATATATAGAGTTGTGTGGAAGATCAAACAAGATAATATGCCGGCAAGTGTTTAGATTGTAAAACAGCATTCAAATGTAAGGTATTCGTTGAGAGAGGTTTAGATAATGTAGTGGATGACCGATCCCAGGTGGGCTCTTGACAGTAAGCAGAAGGGCCAGGAGGTGTAGCTCTCACCATTTTCTGTCTCCCTGATGTCCCACATGGGGACAGACTACACAGCTGGGGAACCAGAAGTCTCACCAAGTCTGGAATTTCTTATGCATCCCTTTTGCTCTCAGCATCCAGAGTAGAGCAGCTGACCATTTCTCAGGAGTTCTGTAAAACCTCCAGGATCCTTAGAAAGCACAAGGCAGAATGGGGGTAGTTCTGGTGGTCGCTGGAGTGATCGCTGGAGTGAAAGTGTGTTGTAGAGAGTCATCTGAGGGGCCTCGGCGGTGGTAGTAAGCACTCAGTCTCCTCTGTGGCCACTGGGCGTAGTCCTTTCTGCAGGCATCATGGGCATCGTCTAGTCCAGCCCTGCGATTTTGCTGAGGCTTGCCATTAGGTGGCTTGTCCATGTTTCTGCAGTGAGTGACAGCTGGGATGAAGTCCTGTGGTCCTGTTCCCAGGGCAGTGCCCCTAGCTTCACACCCCTACTGCGTTCCTCCATGTCTGGGGGGTTAATGTGGTCATCCCTGCGGGTGGTATTTGGGGTGATGATTACTCCCTTCTGTGGGATCTGGAAATTCAATGACTCTGGAATGCATGTATCTGTTTTTCTCCTAGGCCCACTCTGTATGTTGGGAAATACTCTACCAGCCTCTATGCCTCTCCCTCAATGGTACACGAGGGGGTTGCTGTCGTGGTAAGTCCACTACGGAGGGCTCGCAGCTGCCTAACCACTTCTGTTCCATTTTAGCAAAGAATGACTTTGCTATGCATGAGCATCCTGCAGGTTAAGAATGAAAAACACAAATCTTAAGTTCTCAAAAACAGTTTCTGCACATGCCACATTCTACTTTGAAAGAAAGATACATGACAAAAACAGCTTCTTAAAGCCGAGGAATCCCTGATTATTCCCTTTTGCTTTTGTGATCAAATCTAAACTCCCCAGGCTGGTGTTCATGGCCCTGCTTCATCCAGTCCCACGATGCCCTTCCTCCACCCTGTTAGTTTCTCTATGTGAGTTGCGTGGCCCAACCATGTGCACCTTCTCCCTGACTTCTACAAGCCCCATGTTCATCTTTCCCCGGGGCCTTTGTTCAGGCTGCTCCTCACCTCACACTTCAAATGCCCTTTCTTCTTCCTTTTCCCTACTCAAACCCTTTGCATGCTTTTGCAATCTCGCCGAGCCTCCTTGGGCCTCACAAGCCTGCCTCAAGCATTCTGTCTCTGAAAGTCCAAGGCGTCATAATCCTAGCTGTTTGTCCTGATCCCTACAATGCTTGGGCTGTGTGGTTGGCTCTCTTGTCTTCCCAGTGATTTGGGCGGCTGCTTCTGTGAATAGACAGCGCCTGCCTCTGTCATAGTTCCAGCAGCACCTGAGCCAGCACTGGGCGTGTGGCTGGACTTTATTCCGCCCCATTGGTTGCGTAGATTGTGACTAACAGAGATATCCATTCATTCTCCTTCACTTATGTCTGCTTCTCATAATAGCTTCTTGGAGTTCTACACACACACTTCTTGTTCCCCAGTACCCAGACATAAGAATCTAAAAAGACGTCCATAAAGACATCAGTGCAGCTTGTCACATCCTGAGGGAGAAGCTTCTTTGCCCAGACTTTGGGCCTTTGTGTCTTGCTCTGTCCTGGACTAGCCCTGCACTAGAAATTGCTCACCTTTCAGGACAGTGGCTGGGATGGTGTGCCGTGGGACCCGCTCTCCCTCCAGGGCTCCTGACCCTCACTGCACCCTCTCCACAGCCCCGCGGCAGCACACTTCCTTTGCTGGAAGGGCCCCAGACTGATGGCGTCACCATTGGGGACAAGGGGGAGTGTGTGATCACGCCCAGCACGGACGTCAAGTTTGATCCCGGACTCAAAAGCAAGAACAAGCTCAACTACTTGAGGAATTACTGGCTTCTGATAGGTAAGAGCAGGTCTCCCACAGTAGCCTGAGGTGACAGCGTGCTGCCTCCTGGTGGGCGACCGCCGGCCCTGGTAGTTACACCGTACTGAGCTCGGAAGGCCTTGTGCTCAGAGCCCTTCCCGGCTGGCCCCTGAGACCTTGGGACATTTTTACCCCCAAGGAAAATCAACAAGGTAGCTGTGTTTCTGAGTCAGTTTTTGAAAACTGTTTAATGTTCCAAAACTCAGGTACTAAATTAATGTAAACCTTGTGTGAGTATCCGACATTAAGCCCTTTAGAATGCATTTCCTCACTCCTCACAGCAACCCTGTGTGAGGTAGGTACCCTTGTCATTTCCATTTTATAGTTAAGAAAACTGAGACTGTTTCTATGGAAGAATTAACTTGGAGTCCACGTGGGCATGAGGGTGAGGGGTTGGAGAGGCGAGGGCTGAGGACCCGGGAGGGATTAAATCCCAGGATGGATTGAGAGCAGCAGAGTCAGGGGCTGGTTGTGGTTCTAGGGCAGTGTCATCCCAGGTGTGTGGGAAGGTCCCTTTTTTCCTCTTTCTCTTGTTTTTGCTGCCATCACTAATGGCCAGGGATTGAACTAGAGGCCCTGTCCCAAGAGAGATAAGTTGAGATGACACTTCTTGAGTTGGCAGTGAGTGTGACAAACGAAGGCGGAAGTGAGAAGAGCTGTGTTCCTGGCAAGTGTGCCAAGTCATTAGAGCAGGAGGGAGTTTTCTTGAACCCCATCTGCCCTTCCTGTGCCCCATCCCTCACTGTTCTGCCACCTCCCAGCCCCAGTAGGGGCAGAGCAGGGCAGGAGGTCAGTCGGGTGCTGGAGCACCCAGGGGCCGGTGCAGTTTCTTCTCTCTGTTCTCTTCCTGTCGTGCTTGCTGGTGACAGGTACTAGGGGAGAAAGAGGTCAGGGCTGGGGCTCTGGAAAAGAGATGTGGGGCAGCTGGGAGCATGTGGGGACCAGGAAACAGCAGGATCTGCCAGGCAGTGCGGTGTAGGTGGGGATGTGTGTAACCAGGTATTATGGGGGGAAACCAGGTATCCTTGAGCCCTGCTCGCTTCCTTTATAGATTGTCAAGGTCCATTTCTTTTTTCATCCTGTTTCCTTGTAGCCATTTTTATTTTATTTTTACCAAATAACGGGTAAAGGAGATGACAAAATAATAATACGTTTTTATTAACAGAAGTAGTTGGAGGAGCATGTATGAATAGGCCCATGGTGAGAAAAAAATAGCTAATGAGAAGAGGTCATTGCAATTACAAGGCTGCTCAGCATTATGTGCCAGTTAAGGGGCTCACAGACTGCCCACCAGTGATTAAGAAGTGGAATTAAGGAAATGTGTATATATGAGAATACAGAAAATATGGGGGCAGGGAGTCTTCATGGTTAACTTGTAAAATGAGATCCCTTTAAAATGGAAAGGTTGTCCAAGTAAGGAAACTGCGAAAACAGCAAAGTATAAGGAATCTATTAAGTGTAAGGATCCCACAATTCGAAAGCCTCTTCTGAGGACCTCCAAAGCTCGTCATCTTAAAATATGGCACTGAGACTATGGCAGTGTCTCCTGTTGACGAGGGCCACAAGTAAAAGGATATGCCCTACTATGTCCAGATATGTCCTTTCATTTTCTCTTTGTGGAAAGCATTAAAGATATTCCAGGTTGTCATTAATCGTGAAAATACAAGGATCCAATTAGCTTGAGAGGCATGGTCTGTGGGTTGCCCCAAAGCCATGGCCCTGACCTTGGGTGCTTTCGGCATCAGAGCTTAGTTAACTAGGCATATATAAGCCCGGGAGAGCCTGATTCAGTAGGTCTGGGGCAGGGCCTAGCCATCTGCTTTTTGCTCTGGAATCTGGACCTAAGAGATAATGATAGATGAATACATCAAGGAGACCAGGTAATATTTGTACAAAATATTTAGTGGTCTCATGAGTAAGGTTGTACAGTGGTTGGTCCAGTGTGTACAGCGTGATATCAGTGAAGGCCCAGCTCCAGGAGAAGCCTGTTTACAAGAAGGTTGACAGAAGAACTAGGGGGATTCAGGCTAATGCCTTCCATAGCAGTCTCTTGGCAGGTGTCCTACCAGACAGGTAGGACCCTGAGCACTGAGTGGGTGTTGTGGGAAGGGCAGGACACTGCTGCACAGCGTGGCATGTGGAAGAACACCTCACTTTTCTTAGACCGTAGGTCTCTTGTTAGTGAGCCTCAGAGTTACCCGCACATACTCACATTCGGATTCCTGGGCCCTACCAGCAAGTCTGATTCAGTGGTCTGAAGTGGGCAGACCACAAGTGGAGAAATCCTGCTCCCAAGCAAAGCATGTCTCAGAGCTCCTTGGTACACAAGAGAAACTAGTGGTGGCTCAAAACAAAAGTAGGTTTCCCTTAAAGAATGATATTATGTTGTAGATAGAGAACTGACCTAAAGATGGGAACTCAAAGAGGAATTTTCCAGATCAAGAAATGTACACAGCTTAGACTAGTTCCTGTTTGTTGTCATCTTGGCATGTATGTCATGAAATCTTTGATAGGTTTAGGGGAACAATGGAAAGATCATAAGGTGAAAGAGACGTGAGTCAGAGTGAGATCTGCTCATAGCCAGAGAACAGAAAGGAAAGTCAGCCAGGCTACTGGCAGCCTAATCTGAAACAGTGACCTGGCTCTTTGGGGCAGTATGTGGACTCATTTTTAGAGCTGAATGGATTATCAAGCCCTATCAAATCCCAGTTCCCTATTCTAGTCAGCTTTGTATCTCTTACAGCAATTTGCACACAATAGATGCTCAATAAATGTGTAATGAATGCTCAGTAGCCATGCGATAGTTGTGTAGTGAACAGCAAATGAACGTGGAGCAAGCTATGGCCCCATCCATCTAGCAGGTGTGTCCTACTGCTTTCTCGCAAGTAATGTACCACTTTCCCCGATGGAAGCTCACATTTAGATAATAGTAGGACTGGAACTCCACCTGAGCAATTTAAATACCAAGATGGGAATTCGGCGGCCATAGAAGAGTGATGTTACAGGAAAAAGCATTGAAAGGAGAACTCCTTGAACTTTTAATGAAGCCTCATCATACTTCACCTGTGGATCGGGCCCATGCAGCCCCACGAGCCTTGCGTCTGGTGCCTCCCAAATGTCCTGATCCCTGTCATGCAAGGATACTTCTTCACTCCTCAGTAGGAGACTTGGAATACTGTATTCTGCCATGAAGTAATAAGGGTCCTGCTTTGATGGAATTTTCTGGTAACTGCCACTCATTTTCTCTAACTCACAGTCCTGCTGAGAGTTTGCATTGTGGACCCCTCAGTGGGTAGCACCTGTTGCCTAAGTTTAGCATTGAGTGCCACCACAGCTCGGGAAATTGTTCTCACTAAAGGTTTTGTTTCCTGTCATAGGACACCATGAAACCCCACTGTCTGCGTCTACCAAGATGCTGGAGAGATTTCCCAACAATCTACCCAAACATCGGGAAAATGTGATTCCTGCTGATTCAGAGAAAAAGAGCTTTGAGGAAGTGAGTGAGGAAGCGACCAGTCGGGGGTTGTTGGTGTTAGGTGTTGGGAGGGTGAGGCATTAGACTTTGACTCTGCCTTCTGAGCTTGCAGCCTAGTCTGGGAGGGAAGAGGAATGCACCAGAATCCAAAGCAAAAAACATAAATGGTTAAGGGCTAGTGGAGAGGAATAGGAAGCAACTTGTGAAAGAAGGTGCAGGAAAGGCAGCAGGACCAAGCTAGGCCTGGACCTGGATGAATGGGTAGGATTTGGCCAGGTGGAGGGAGCAAGAGGGCACAGGAGGGAATGGAACAGCAAGGGCAAAAGCCTGGAGTGGGAAGAATGCTGGTGTGCCCAGCTCACAGGCTGTGGGGAGAAAGGCCTGGCCAGACCCGAGGCTACTAAGTAGGGGGTAGTAGGAAATGGGCTCACATGGGTAAAAAGGAACCATGTTACAGGGCCTGAAACAAGCCCTGTGGAGGAGTTTAAGAGTTGTTGAAGGCTGGGTTGGGTGTCTCACACCTGTAATCCCAGTGCTTTGGGAGACCAAGGCAGGAGGATCGCTTGAGCCCAGGAGTTTGAGACCAGCCTGGGCAACATAGCAAGACCCTATTGCTAAAAAAAAAAAAAAAAAAAAAAAAATTGTTGAAGAAGTGATGAGATCTGAAGTTTTATGAAGCAGACAGAGAGTGGCCTGGGACTATTTGCACAGAGTTCCAGGGGCTCTCTTAGCACACCTTGGCCTAAAGCCAGAGGAGAGGGAGTAGAAAGGACTCTAGACCGGGAGCTGAAAGCATCAGTTGAGGAATTCAGCAGCCCCACAGAAGTCAACCTCTTTCTCTTACCTCTCTCTCTCATCTGCTGGTGTCCCCTGTTAGCTTTACCCAGTCAAAAACCCCAGGGGGTTGGGGAAGCCATTGCTTTGGCCCATACAGGTCAGCCTTCTGGGGCACAGAGCCGGTGGAGGAGGTGGAAGGGTGGCTCTGCAGGAGGGAACCCAACATGGCCAGGGAAGGGGAAGAGGGGACGTCTGAGGCTTAGTGACCGATTCAGGCCTGGCAGCTTCAGCAGCCCTGCCATGGAGGGCCCAGGGACAGAGATGCACCTGGGCTACATGAGTAGGGTCAGAAGAAGAAGAGAATGGCTGACTGATGCCGAGACCAAAAGCACAACAAACTCAGTTGAGAGATTTAGATTTTATCCAGAGACAAAGGAAATTGTAGACTTTCAAGATTCCAGGGCACAGTATCTGTTTACCATCATCTACGGAAGTAGCCAGGTTGGAGAAATACATTGATTCCTAAAACAGCAATCTTAAACAGCATTGTCCTATAATCTTATTAAAGTCCTGCATATTCATTATTGAACACTTAGAAAATAAACACATACAGAAGAAAATAAGACAGTGCCCTTAATTTAACACCCAGAGGTAGCCACGTGTCAAATCTTTGTATTTAACCATCTGGTCTTGGATAACGGTCTTTGAAAAAGTATGTTTTAAAATACTCTCAGGTGCATCTGTATGGTGATGAGACATACAGATGTCCCTGGCCACATGCCCAGGTGCTTCCTATATACTCTGCAGGCTACAAACCCCCAAAAATGTGGGAGGCACTGTGGGAGAGGCATGAATAAGAGGGGTACACCTGGAGGGGAGAGAAGAACATTCTAGGCAGCCATCTGGGGGGAGGGGTGAAATGGCGTGAGCGTGTGGGAGGTTTAGCATGTGGGAAATTCAGCATGTGCCAGGGAGGCTGTGTTAGTTTTGTTGGGCAAATGATAACGGCATACCTAGAATACTAGATATTTGAAAGTGAGTCAATGCATTTTTCTAAATGCCTGTTCCGTGAAGTCTTAGAGATTCTGAGGAACTCTAGGGAAGCTCCATTTTTATCTGATTTAATTTTGGGCTTCTAAATTTTCTTTAACAAACGCTTCTGATGCTTCTTAAAAACTTTGAAGAAATAGTGGACTACTGGAATAAATTATAATTTTGGGATTGCACTGACAGTTTACAGGCAACACGAGAAAACTGCTTTATTGCTTTCTAGCCATGTGCCTCTGTATACGTGCGGATTTCCTTTTAATGTGAAATGGTATTATTAAATCAAATACCAATTTTTCACCAGACTTTGTTACAGATGACTTCAGTGTTTTCCTGGATACTGAACCTACCATCAAAGGAGGAAGTGTTTGCCTTTTTGAGGATTTTTGAAAAAAATATGTAGGGTCTGAAGACACCTGCCAAAAGTATTGCTCCAAAAACTATTTTTGAATAATGATAACCTCACTGCAAAGATGCATGGCCTCTCAAAGCAATTGCTTTGAAAGAGGCAACAGTTATCTGGCTACATGATCTTTGGTGAGCTTAAAACAAATAAAACCCCCTGCAGTACAGTCATATCCTTGTAAACAGTGATTGCTTCTCTTGATTGCTGGCCTCATCTGTATCTGGCTAGAAATTTTGCAGTGATGTCGCAACTCTCTCCCATGCAAGGTTATCAACCTGGTTGACCAGACTTCAGAAAACGCACCTACCACCGTGTCTCGGGATGTGGAGGAGAAGCCCGCCCATGCCCCTGCCCGGCCCGAGGCCCCCGTGGACTCCATGCTTAAGGACATGGCTACCATCATCCTGAGCACCTTCCTGCTGATTGGCTGGGTGGCCTTCATCATCACCTATCCCCTGGTAAAGCTCAACAATTCCCCTTTGCCATCCACCTATTTCTGGGGCTTCTCTGCCTGTCGCCTCATGTCAGTGAGATCCAGACAAAAACAACCAGCACATTTCTTTCCCCATTTAAAAGTCAGTGTTTGTTGGCCGGGCGGGCACAGTGGCTCACGCCTGTAATCCCAGCACTTTGGGAGGCCGAGGCGGGTGGATCACAAGGTCAGGAGATCAAGACCATCCTGGCTAACACAGTGAAACCCTGTCTCTACTAAAAATACAAAAAATTAGCCGGGCATGGTGGCAGGGGCCTGTAGTCCCAGCCACTCTGGAGGCTGAGGCAGGAGAATGGCGTGAACCCGTGAGGCGGAGCTTATAGTGAGCTGAGATCACACCACTGCACTCCAGCCTGGGCGACAGAGCAAGGCGACAGAGCAAGACTCCATCTCAAAAAAAAAGAAAAAAAAAGTCAGTGTTTGTTTATCTTCAAAAACATAATTAAAGAGACACTAGCCTCCCAGAAAAGGACAATTTTGTTCCTAAATCTTAGTGTTTTTCAGCTAAGAGCTGATTTATAAGCCTTGCTCAAAGATGATTTTGAATAGTTATCTGTATTTTTAAAGAATAAGGATAATAGATGAAGACCTTTCCTCCCTTAAAAACTGCCATTAGAACTTCTGCTGGGGAGAAGAACCAAAAAAAGAAAAAAGAAGCTGCCTGTGAGATCAGCTTGTGTGAAAAAGGCAGTGTGGCCATCCCTTTACTTCCTAGTTGGAAATGAGCAAGTTCTGTAGCAGAACAGGCCATGGGTGGGATGAAATATGTGAGGGGCATGGTCCTTCAGCAGGTTGCTCAGAGCATCGAGATGCTGTTACCTGAGAGCTCAGGAAGCTAATGACCCGCCCAGGAATGGGAATGACAGACTCTTTATGGCACTCCCCACTGGCACGTCTGCACCTGATAGTTTCACTTTTCACCTCACTCAGTCCTATGAGGTCATTATTATTGATCCCTTGTCCACAAAAGAAGGAAGTAGACCCTGAGAAGCTAAGTAACTTTCCCCACGGGTACCCAGCTAGTAGACGGCATTTCTAGGACTCCACCCCATGGTGGAGAGAAGAAGAGACGACTCCCTGGTGGGTTGGTGGCTCACAGAAGTCCCTTCAGTCCACCTCCTGCACATGGGTAGGGATGATCACAGATCGCTGCTACTTCAGATAATGACAGAATGAATCCTTCAGAGTATTTGAGAGGCATGTGGCCTCGGGGAAGGCAGTGGGATGAAAGGCGGAAGCAGGACCTCAGCCAGGCTCACCATGTGTCAGCCCCACTGCCACCTCCTGGCTATGTGTATGCAGATGTACTCTGCATACCTAGAATACTAGAGCTTCCTCACCTGCCCCTCTGGATTACTGAGTGTCTGTGCGCTAGCCTCTAGCCAACACACAGACACGGTGGGTGGCGAACCTGGGGCTTGCTCTCACCCACCACTGGCTCAGCCATGCTACCTGTGCTTCCTGTTTGGTTTCACCTTTGCAACAACTCTCAGACTTTCATGAAAATCACAGAATTTTAGAACTGAATGAAACTGGCACAGCCCTCAACCTAGGGCACAGTCCCTCCCCTGGTGGCCATCCAGCCCCTCCTAGGGTTGGGGAGTGGGCTGTATGAGCAAGGATCTAACTAGTCGGTGGAAAGACGTCCAGTCATCGAAGCAATTCTGCTTCCAGGTGCCTTCTCACTGGTCTCTTTGTGCCCTGTTGGGTCACATAAAGTACACATGCTCCCTCCGCCACTGGGACCTGTCCCTTCCCAGCTGCTTGTTTCCCTGTGGGAACAGCTGCCCTTGTCTGGATGTGGGTTTCTCTTCCCAGAGCATGCATCAGCAGCAGCAGCTCCAGCACCAGCAGTTCCAGAAGGAACTGGAGAAGATCCAGCTCCTGCAGCAGCAGCAGCAGCAGCTGCCCTTCCACCCACCTGGAGACACGGCTCAGGACGGCGAGCTCCTGGACACGTCTGGCCCGTACTCAGAGAGCTCGGGCACCAGCAGCCCCAGCACGTCCCCCAGGGCCTCCAACCACTCGCTCTGCTCCGGCAGCTCTGCCTCCAAGGCTGGCAGCAGCCCCTCCCTGGAACAAGACGATGGAGGTAAAGCCAGTTGCCATCTTGGTGCTATTTTATGTTTTATTCGAGCACCTCCTGAGAAGTCCAAGGAGTCTCCATAAGATTGTAAACTACCATTCTCAGGGGTTCACTGTGTTCTCCTCTAACTTCCACTCTGGGGGTCTCTGTGGGAAGGCTTCTGCCCCATCCCTTGGCATCTCCCCTTCAGAGGGCCTTCTGGGAACCACCCTGGCCATCCTCCTGTCTTTCTCCACAAGGGCTGGGCGTCGCGGCTGACCAGAGGTGAGCTGCCCATTGGGCTGAAGAGAGTTCCCAGGGCCAGCCGGTGGCCAAGTGTGGAAGTGTCACAGTTGGTCTGCTTTCCTCTGTGGAAGTTGGCTCAAGCCAGTTGTCAGAGCCCCAATTCTGAGGGAACTGGCACAGAGCTGGTGCAGGGAACTCAGAGCCCTCTGTCCCAAGGAGTCTCCTCGTTTTACATGTCCATTGCCGCCACCTGAATGCTTCAGTGCGGATCTTTACAGTGGACTTTGTGGTGGTTGTTAACTATTAAACCATTCTAACTATATCACAATGAATATGTATAAGTGTGTGAAACGCTATGGAGAATCCCTGCCTTCCAGAAGGTTTTAAGATATGCAATCGCACAATAAGGTAAAGGCGGAGACAGAATGCAGGGGCAGGGGGAAGAGGCAGTCCTGGGTGTACATGGGGAGTGGGCCTGGCAGGCTCTTGCTGAGCAGCAGTCTGGGGTGCAGTGCCTCTTAAATCCCATCTTTTAATCTGAGGTCAGGAAGCTTGTCACTATGTTAACCTCAAGGTTCTTTAGGTGATATCTGTTTGAAACAATCTCTTTTTCCTATTTTGTCCCAGATGAGGAAACCAGCGTGGTGATAGTTGGGAAAATTTCCTTCTGTCCCAAGGATGTCCTGGGCCATGGAGCTGAGGGCACAATTGTGTACCGGTGAGTGGATTAGCCAGCCCCCTGCCCTCACCGCCTGGTGTCTAAGTGCCTGTCAGGTTGCGAGCCTGGTGCCAGGCTCAGAGCACAGCAGGGTCAAAGCAGTGACCTAGACGCATGGAGTCCGGCCTCCAGGGAGCTTGCACACTGAGACAAGCGATGATTCCGGGGCCACCAGGCAGTCAGGCGGGGCTCTCTAGGCTGGGAGGCAGTAGGTGAATGCTGTGGACCCAGGTTCTCACCTCATTTACACAGCCTGACTCGTGCTTCCCAGACACAACTCCCACTCCTCATCCCGCAGGGGCATGTTTGACAACCGCGACGTGGCCGTGAAGAGGATCCTCCCCGAGTGTTTTAGCTTCGCAGACCGTGAGGTCCAGCTGTTGCGAGAATCGGATGAGCACCCGAACGTGATCCGCTACTTCTGCACGGAGAAGGACCGGCAATTCCAGTACATTGCCATCGAGCTGTGTGCAGCCACCCTGCAAGAGGTGGATTTATTTTTTTTATTTTGTTAACTTTATTAAAGTCATAGCACTTTGGGAGGCCAAAGTGAGCAGATCACGTGAGCTCAGGAGTTTGAGACCAGCCTGGACAACATGGTGAAACCCCATCTCTACAAAGAAACCAAAAATTAGCCAGGCCTAGCGATGTGTTCCTGTAGCCCCAGCTACTTGGGAGGCTGAGGTGGGAAGATTGCTTGAGCCTGGGAGATCAAGGCTGCAGTAAGCAGTGATTGTGCCACTGCACTCCAGCCTGGACAACAGAGTGAGACCCCGTCAAATTAAAAAAAAGTTACAGTGAATTGTACTAATTTTAAATGTAATAGCTTGATGAATTTTGACAAATGTCTATACCCATTTAACCACATACACAGTCAAAATGTGGAGCATTTTTATCCCTCTGGTTGTAACAGGGTGGTCCCCCCAGCATGCCTGGGCAGTCTGCTTGCAGTTGGCATGTCTCTCCCTCTTTGCCTCCAGGAAACCTGGACAGTTGTTCTTTCCCTCTTCAGTCATGGCTGGTGTGGGCTTGGAGGATGCCAGTTGGTAACTCCAGGCTTTAAGATCATCCAGCAAGCTCCTTTTGCTCATTTTCCAGGCTCACTTTGAAACCATATCAGTATCATTTGGATTCCTTTGTAGGTTTACTTATATGAGGCAATGAACTTGAGTTTCTTGCCTTCTTATCTTTCTCATTGTAAATTAGTAGATTTGGAGGTTTGCTCCTTGCTGGAAAACATGGATTTAGACAGAATGTTGTCAGTAAAACTTGCCATTTCTTTCTTAAAATGGTATCAAAGAAAGTGAGCCGAGGGGCCAAGTCCTGAGGACTGTGTGCCGTGACCTTGCTGTCATGTCTTTTGCAGTATGTGGAGCAGAAGGACTTTGCGCATCTCGGCCTGGAGCCCATCACCTTGCTGCAGCAGACCACCTCGGGCCTGGCCCACCTCCACTCCCTCAACATCGGTGAGAGGCTGCACTTTACCAGGCCAGCGGCCCGGGTGGGGAGAATCAGTGGCCCAGGTGGGGCTAACCAGTAGCTCGGGTGGGCCTTGCTTCTGTTCAAGCTCTTGGCTATATCACCAGTAGCAAAGATGAGTGGTGTAAGAATTTGAGGAGGAATCCGACATAGTTGAAAATCAGAACATTTGGAGGTGGCGGCAGGCATATTGGGAGTCTGACGAGGACACATTCCCCATTGGAGGAGGCCTGGGGTTGCTCCTGGTAAGCATTGGACTAATCTGGAGTTCTCTGTTAGTTCACAGAGACCTAAAGCCACACAACATCCTCATATCCATGCCCAATGCACACGGCAAGATCAAGGCCATGATCTCCGACTTTGGCCTCTGCAAGAAGCTGGCAGTGGGCAGACACAGTTTCAGCCGCCGATCTGGGGTGCCTGGCACAGAAGGCTGGATCGCTCCAGAGATGCTGAGCGAAGACTGTAAGGAGAACCCTGTGAGTAATAGGCTATGGCCCTTTGAAAACTACAGAACCAGCCCATTGTATCTTCAGGAGTAGAACCTTTAAATTCCAGGTTTGGGGGCTGGTGCCCGTGTAGCTGGAGAATGGCATTCCTTTCACCAAGAGCTTCTGTGTGAACATTCTGTGTCATCTCATGTTCAGCTGATTAAAGGGGCAAATGTGGGCAATTATCTATTTTTTTTCCCTATTCTTCCAATCACTTGTTTTTTTTTTTTGTTTGGTTGGTTGGCTGTTTTTTTGTTTTTTTTGTGTGACAGAGTCTTACTGTCACCCAGGCTGGAGTGTAGTGGCATGATCTCAGCTCACTGCAATCTCCACCTCCCAGGTTCAAGCGATTCTCCTGCTTCAGCCTCCTGAGTAGCTAGGATTACAGGTACCTGCCACCACACCCAGCTAAATCAATCACTTTTTAACCCCTTTTTAATTTTGGTAAACTGGGAAGTCAGGGCTTGCTTAGCGTGAGCAAACTTCAAGTTTTCATTATTTTTAAAATTTTGTTTTTGTTTTCTCAACTTATTTTGATAATTTTTAGACATAGAGAAAATTAAAAGAAAAAAATTTTTTAGAAGTGCGATCTCGCTATTTTGCCCAGGCTGGTCTTGAACTCCTGGGCTCAGGCTTAGCCTCCCAAAGTGCTGGGATTGCAGACATGAGCCACAGCATCTGGCTGAAAGAATGTTAACATGAATACCTGTGTATCTCCACCTAGATTCAACATTTGTTAATACTTTTGCCACATTTGCTTTATCTTTACCTATTACTGAACCATTTGAATATAAGTAGCAGGCATCCTGGCCCTTCATCCCTGAAGACCTCAGCACGTGTCTCCTAAGGAATACATTGTGTTTCCAACCACAATACCATTATCCCACCTCAACAGTTAATACTGTTTCTATCCATCATCTCATATTCAATCCATATTCAAATTTCCCCAATTAGTCCCCAAATGTCTTTTATAGAGTTGGTATTTTGCTACCTACTGGGTTTTGATACCTACTGGGTTTTATATACCAGGATGGAATCAGGTGTCTTGCGTTACATTTGATTCTGTCTCTTGGAATTTACAAATCTTTCCACCTATATTTTGTTCCATGTTGAAGTTCCATTTTGAAGAGTCCAGGCAGTGGGTTATAGGATGCCCCATTCTGGTTTGTTTGCTTTTTTCCTCATGACAGCGTTGAACATTTCTCTGTATTCCTTGTATTTCCTGGAAACCAGAAGTTAGGTGGAGAGGCTTGATTAGGTTCAAGTTAAATGTTTTTGGCACGAATGTTTTTGGCAGGTCTCTACATCAGAAAGCATGTGATGGCAGATTGTATCTGTAAGATTATTATCACCTCCTCTTAGTGATGCTACAGCTGATCTCTCTACCATAAGGGTTCATTTCCTCCTCTCTTGTTAGTATTTGGGGTGATACTTCAGCACAATGTGAATATCCTGTTTACTGACAGTCACTCACCCAGTGGTTTAGCATGTGTTGATCACCCTTGCCTGAAGTACTCAGTTGAGTAGAAATTCTTCTACATTGTTAGCTGACATTTTTCTGTAAAGCAGAGCTTTCTTTTCACTTTCTTCTCTCTCTCTTTTTTTTTTTTCTTAATCGCTATGGGCTCAAGGATTTTGAAACTAATGTTATAATCCATTTTAGTCCTTTTTTTGTTATTTACTTCTTTTGATACACAAATTGTTCCAAATTTGGCCAACCTGGAAACCCCTTCAAGCTGGCTTCTGCATCCATTTGCTGGGAGCGCACTCACACTTGAGCACCTTATTCTAGCACAAGTCGCCGAGGCTCACCTTGGACACTCCCCGATGGAGACCTGGGTGGGTCAGTCATCTTGAGTGGATTAGATATGGCTGCCTCTTATCCAGCTCACTGGGGACCAGCAGCTGGTCAGATCATCAAAGAAGTCAGTTACAGCGAAGAATCATAAAAACACGCACGCACGCCGTAACACTTAATTTTAACTTAAAGCAAGTAATATTAGCCCTTAAGTCATAGAAATCTTGTGCTGTAGGCTAAGGTCTTTTCAGATTTGGGTCTGACTGACTGGAGTCCTCATTTTCCCCCTTGCATTAAGCACACTTCTGTACCACTTCTGTGACTTCTGCATGGAGGCTTGGACACTTCAAACACTTCCTAAGCGATTTGAGAGCAGAAGCCTGGTTTTTAACGCTTCATGACCCAGTCCCTTACGGTTGAATCCACCACACCAAATGCCGCAGCAGCTCTTGTAACCATTCCCTTTCCTTTATCGAGTCTTTCTAAAGATTCAGCTTACCTCAGACTTCGTGGCACTCATGTTTAACAGCTTATGGAATATCCAAATTACAAGGACAAGTGGCAATAATAAGTTTGGGAAAGAACATAATTGGGGCCAGGCAGGTAGGAAAGATGCCTCTTCACCTTAGTGTTGTCTGTGCTGGGGACAGCAGGCTGCAGAGAGTGTGGGGGGCGTGAAAGACCCAGAGAGCTCTGGGAGTCAGGGGCGAGCTCCAGCTGTGGTGGCCATGTTCCTCCTGTCCCGAATCCAGCACCTTCCTAAGGGAAAATCCAGTGAGGTAGAATAAAGCATGGTAGGTTTGGAGATTGGAAGACCTGAGTCCCATCCTGGTTTATCACATCCAGCAGTGACCCTGAGCTTGTCATGCAACCTTTCTGTCCACGTTCTCATCTGGGGATGAAAGCATTTGCTCTGCTCGCCTCACAAGGTTGTTGTGAGGCTGAATGAGAGTGCTGTGTTGTTCAAGGTGTGTCTCCTCCAGCATGGGAGGTGATGAGCCCCTGCTTCCTCACACTAGACCCTCACTTCACCTGGTGGAGAATCTCAGAGGCAGGGCCTACTAACAGGGACCCAAGCTGTGCTCAGGAACCACCTTGGTATTACACCCCAGGTAGCATGAGCTAAAAAACACAAACGTACATTTCCCTCGAAGGAAGCTATTCTGTAGACACAGAATGGTTTCATGGGATAAGTGAGAGGCTTTCTCGGATTAACATCAAACATGACCTCCTTGGTAACTTGTCAGATAGTTTCTTTCTAGGGCTGTTTTTGAATCATAAGCTGTTTTATTCACTTATTAGCAATTTTGATACCTACTGTGTGCAGGCACCATTCTGGGCCCTGGGGGTACAGCAGGGAAGCAACGACACAGAGACCCTGTCTGTGAGCACTTTCGTGTTGGGGGTAAGGAATATATAACAGCCAGGAGGGCTTTTGATGGGCCAAGCACTGTCGTAAGCAACCATTTTTGCATATTAATGCATCTCTTTTGACAACAGCCCCATGCTGTCAGTGTCCTCATCTCACATGAGAGGGAACCAGGGGCTTCCAGGTGGCTCCAAGCCCAGGTTCTCCACTGGGACCTCTGACACCCATGCAGTGCTGCAGGTTAGCCCTCGCTGCTCTGTGCAGCTCACATATGTCAGCTGATTCTCCCAGGACACCTTCTAGGTGGCAGAAGCAGCAGCAATGCTCCTCCCTCCCTGACTGTGAGTGAGGATGAAAACTCTGCTCCCAGACCTCTCACGCCTCATGTCTCTTTTCAGACCTACACGGTGGACATCTTTTCTGCAGGCTGCGTCTTTTACTACGTAATCTCTGAGGGCAGCCACCCTTTTGGCAAGTCCCTGCAGCGGCAGGCCAACATCCTCCTGGGTGCCTGCAGCCTTGACTGCTTGCACCCAGAGAAGCACGGTGAGCGGTCCAGGGGTTGGGGTTGGGAGCAGCTCCTCAGCTGCCTCAGGTGGCCCTGCAGAGCTGGGCTGGTGCCACCTTTGCACTCACAGAGGCCGTGGTGCCCCAGCTGCTCACCCCGCAGGCCTCAGGACCTCCAGACTTGTGCCAAATCTGGTAGAGGGTTGGTAGGGTTATCTCTGGGGCGCCACCTTCTAAAGCTGAGATGCTCCAAGGTTCCTCCAGGTCACCAACTACTTGTGTGACCTAGGCAAAGCCCCCTTTGGAGACCTTCTTTTTCTACCTGGTGACATGAGGGTTGAATAATCAGAGGTCCCTTCCTGCACTGGCATTTGGGAAGACAAATTGTCTTCTCTCTTGGGATGGCGAGTGGTCAGTAGGTGCAGTCTGTGCTGGGCTGGGGACAGACAAGCTTTATCCTCACCCTCCTGGTCTCCTGGTATGGGTGCAACAAGTCTTTCTTCCAGACTTCAGGTTTTCCTGGGTGGTAATTGGCCCATGACACTCCAGTGCTGCCTTTTGAAAAAATTACAACTAAATTATTGTTTTGTTTATGCTTAATTTTTCTTATTATAGAAAACACAGATTAGCATAAAGGCCCATATATTCCCATTATACAGGGATGAATGATGGCTATTGATACCTTTGCATATACGTTATTCCAGTCATTTATCTAGACGTGATTGCATATTTTATAAAAATACAGTTAAATCCTGCATACTGTTTTGCAGCATGCACGTTTTTCAGCGTCACCTTGAATCTCTCTCCACGTCAATCCATATTTAGTCACAGCCGCACTTTAACAGCTCATGGCCCAGCGTAGGGAGGCACCGTAGTGTATCCACTTGGGCCTCTGATACTGGATGTTTACAGTCACTTCCTTCACAAACCATGCAGTGAGGACTCACCTCTTTGGCTGAGGTTTTGTGTCTGTTCCTAATTATTTTATTGGAATAAATTCCTGTAAATAGAATCATAAATGAGAGGGTGTGCAGCTTTTTAAAGTTTTTGGTATTTCACTGTGGCTTTGGACTGGTAGTCATGAGTTGCTTATTTTCCTCCTTTATAGAAGACGTCATTGCACGTGAATTGATAGAGAAGATGATTGCGATGGATCCTCAGAAACGCCCCTCAGCGAAGCATGTGCTCAAACACCCGTTCTTCTGGAGCCTAGAGAAGCAGCTCCAGTTCTTCCAGGTAGAGACGTCTGTTCTCTTTATCCAGAGTCTTCATTTAATGTTTTTCAGATTTTGAAAATACAGAAAAGGACAAAGAATAAAATAAATTGCCCATTACCCTAAAACTGGAAGATAATCATGGCTGATGTTTTAATGTTTTCTTCATATATAAAAGTATAATTGGGATCTAACCGTATATACAGTTTCAGAATCCCTTTTTTTAACTGTACATGATATTTTAAGTTTCTTTCATGTTAAAGTTCTAAAATTCCAATGACCATAGTATTCTATCATATGGATGTGCCATAATGGTTAAGCTTTATATTATGGAATTTCCAAATATATAATACATAAATGTTTAAATGCTATAATGAGCACTCCTTTATTCATCCCTCAGGTTCAATAAATATTAACCTTCACCCTCTCCCCACCCCAGGTTATTTCGAAGTAAATCTCAGGCATCATATAATTTCATTCAAGTGTCATAAGCTTATTTATTTATTTTTATTTTTTTTGAGACAGCGTTTCACTCCGTTACCCAGGCTGGAGTACAGTGGTGCAATCTTGGCTCACTGCAACCTCTGCCTCCCGGGTTCAAGTGATTCTCCTGCCTCAGCTTCCTGAGTAGCTGGGATTACAGATATGCACCACCACGCCTGCCTAAGTTTTTTTGTATTTTTAGTAGAGATGGGGTTTCACCATGTTGGCCAGGCTGGTCTTGAACTCCGGACCTCAGGTGATCTGCCCGCCTCAGCCTCCCAAAGTGCTGGGATTACAGGCATGAGCCACCAGGCCCAGCCCAAGTGTCATAAATTTCAGTGCTTTCTTATATTGTATTTGTTTCTATCATCTTTTACACAGTCTTGGCCCAGATCTCCTTTTGCTTAAAATAGGTTCTGCAAAGTTAGAACTCCTTTGGTGATTTGACTGTTTTAAAGCTTTGTGACAATGTCAGGTGACTTTTGAAGAGGTAATGTGTTTTTCAAAGTCTTCCATGTATGAATTGAACATAACTCACCCGAACGCCTCCTGCCCAGCACGTGGCTCTGAAAGCAGGCTTGTGGGGCAGTGCTTTTCCCCTTGGGTCCAGGCAGAGTGCAGCTTGGTGGGCACCGTACTGAGAAGTGACCATCATGCTCTCCTGGGGTCTGACTGGGGCCTTGGCCAGAGGGAAGCCCCCAGAATGTAAGCTCCTCGAGGACAGGAGTGCTTGACTGCTGCATTCACTACTGTGTCCCTGCCTCCTAGGGAGGACGCTGCCTGGCCCAACCATTCAGATGGATCGGGTTGGGAAGAGTTTAATGCTGTCTTCCATGTTGTAGCATATGGATTGGTCACTGTGTCCATGGACATAATGTGAAAATTCTCAAGTCCATATGTCTTCCAGGGACTTGTGAAAACTAACCAGGTCATTTTGATCGCAAAATATAGAACAGGAATAAAACCCACACAAAGGGACCTTCACCCACCAAGGGACAGGATTTAAATGCTTAGTATCTCCAGGTCATATGTCTCTCGAACACACCTGGCTTCCACTCAGGTCATTTAGCCGTAACAGCTTTGCAGCTCAGACACGTGTGTTCCCAGTGTACCCAAGTTGACAATCTAACCTCTCCACAGCTTCTCTCTGACAATTGTAAATTAGGAGTTCAGCCAGTCTGGCTTCATCTTCATCATAGAAAAGGCTGCTCTGAGAAAAGGGTCTCCTAAGGCTACTTAACATTGATGTAGACAGGGCTCACCACTCCCTGTGTCCTCAGCTGTCGACCTGTCTTACTGGTGGGACTTCAAGAGGCCATACTTGGGTGCTTCCTGACCCTCTCCTTATTACCAAAGTCAAATGCAGAGCAAGGTTTGAATCCCAACAGGAGCCTCTGGAGCCCATACTCTTGCCACCAAGTTTCCTCTTTGAGAAGAAGGCCCAGCTTCACAGGTCTTTTCTACTGGTGGAGGGAAGAGTGGCGACCCTCCACCAGTTATGGGCTTGAGCATACCCTGTTTCAGTGAGTAGACAAAGCACGGGATGCACATCAAATCTGAGCTTTCCTTTTCTTTTTGGTTTTGGTTCATTGGATATAGATTGCACTTGCGGCTCCGTACACATGGCGTGTGTGTGCACATGTGAAATTCAGGGTATGCGTTCGTGGTCTATATGCAGGTGTACTCTGTGACACCTCTCTGACATGGGAGAAGCTCTCTGTGGGCCTGTGCTTCGTGAGGAACAGAGCAGCTCACAGGGAAAGTCATGGATGAGGGAGGGAGGGGGCAGGGTGCCTGCTGCCCAGCTCTGGGGCAGGCTTATGTGTCAGTGATGATCTGTTACTGAGTCCCAGTCGCACAGCTCTCAGCATCTCCAGCACTGACCATCATCTGCTGCCCTTGTTTCTCTCACAGGACGTGAGCGACAGAATAGAAAAGGAATCCCTGGATGGCCCGATCGTGAAGCAGTTAGAGAGAGGCGGGAGAGCCGTGGTGAAGATGGACTGGCGGGAGAACATCACTGTCCCCCTCCAGACAGGTGATCATGCTGCAGCGTGTGAGAGGGCAGGTTGCAAAAGTCGCTGCCGCCTTTCCAAAAAGTAAACGTGGAAATGGCCGCTCCAGGCTGTTCAGGCCCCACATCCCACCTGTCAGGTTTGAGACTTTCTTGGGTGTGTCCTCTGTGGTTTGGTTACACTGATGTGTGTTTCATTTTTGTTCCCTAGAGTGACAGGTGAGTGATGGTGTCGTGCTCTAGGTGGTCATTTCTGACCTGGGTGTGATCACCAGGTGGGGTTCAGGGGGATACCACCCTTGGGTTGGATGGGAGGATCTGCTCCCATGCCTAGGTGTGGAGTGACCTCACCTTTCAGTCCAACTCCCTAATCCCAGGACCCCATGAATTGTTTTCTTTTAAAATGTATTAGTTTTAAATTTGATTACCCATTGCTTCCCTCAATGTTTTTCTAGACCTGCGTAAATTCAGGACCTATAAAGGTGGTTCTGTCAGAGATCTCCTCCGAGCCATGAGAAATAAGGTAAGCAGTTTGTAAATGCTGGGGAGGAGACCCAGTGGCCATGACATGGACACCTTCCTCCTTTCATCCATTCTTTATAAATCTTTTATCTGTACTGGCATTCTCATCTCTCAGGAGCTAGGCGGCTTCAGCTGGACTTGGCAAACTGCAGGCTGTTGCCTCTCTTACGCTGATTTTCCCTTCAGGGACGTAGGTGCAGGTGAAGCTCCGGGAAGCAGTGCTCTGCGGCCCATGTCCCTCATGGTCTCTGGTCGCTGACTTTTGTGGGGCCCTCTCCCTGTCTGATGCAGCCACTGTGTGTAAACATGTATAAACATACCTCAAATGCGGGGACCCCACTGGGACGGACACTCCAATCTCAGGCGACTTTACTCCTCCTGAGGTGGCCAGGAGTGTCTCCAGGTCCTGACTGTCACAGAAGGCCTGAGCACCCCCTGGACTGGCTGGGCCTTGCTCACTTCAAGGCCTCCTCCTGAGTGAGGGTAGCAGGCGAGATGACGGGGCTGGATTCTTGGATACATAAGCCTTTTTTCTTTTTCTTTACCAAAAACCAACACTCACATTCTGTCTCTTCCTTGCATGATGAAAGGGTGTTTTGCCAACATTTCCCGAGCTTTCTAACCCCTTTCTAATCTCCCGAGCTTTCTAACTCTTTGCAGAAGCACCACTACCGGGAGCTGCCTGCAGAGGTGCGGGAGACGCTGGGGTCCCTCCCCGACGACTTCGTGTGCTACTTCACATCTCGCTTCCCCCACCTCCTCGCACACACCTACCGGGCCATGGAGCTGTGCAGCCACGAGAGACTCTTCCAGCCCTACTACTTCCACGAGCCCCCAGAGCCCCAGCCCCCAGTGACTCCAGACGCCCTCTGAGCGAGGGCGGCCCCTCTGTTCTGGTGGCCCCAGCTGTGACTGAGGGCCTGGTCACCACAATTAGAGCTTGATGCCTCCCGGCTTTGCAGGGAGACCAGGCTTCCCAAACCAAGTGCCTTGAGCTGCCTGCTCTGCAGCCCACAGAGGACAGTGCTGACCCCAGGAAGTGGGAGAAGTGGCCCCTCGTGACCTACAGGGAACTGGGAAGATGCTGGCCCCAAAAGCCTTACGGTCATGATGTCTGCAAAGGAGGGCCTCAGAGACAGCGCGAGTAGCACCCCCAGCCATCTACTGGATAAACTTGCTTCAGACTTTTTAAATTCCTGCTTAATGTCAGTCTACAGGCCTTTCAGGAAGGGAGAGGAGGGAATCGTACATTTTGCTTGCGTGCTGGGACAGCTAGGCTGAGATGCACCAAGTACAGCCTTCACTGGAGACCGGAATTGAGAGGTGGGGGATGCTGAGGAGGGGGAGGACGGAGTTCAGAGGGTGTCGTCCTGCAGTGTGAGATTTCTCATTGATCACAGATGTGCCCAGAGTAGCCCAGGTCACTGTTAACTAGTGTTTCTGCAGAGGCAGCAGGAGCCATGAGCATGAGGTGTGGCATTAGGGACTGGTCAGCTATGCATGCTGGCAGGTGGGGTTGTGTCTGCAGGTCTCAGAAATGAAGAGGCTGCTCTGTTCTGGAGGCAGCCGTGGCCCAGTGCCAGTGGCCAGAACAGTGGCCTTTGGTGGGTGTGTCCCGGGCCATCTCGGGGTGGTGCTCAGGAGCGCCTGGGGCAAGAGGTAAAGAGTTCCCTGGCCTTCAAGGAGAGCAGCGAAGACCCAGACAGGGGCCAGCCTTCAGGACCAGAGGGAGGCCGCCGAATGGGACCCTCCTGGTCACCAGGAGAAAGCCCTGGGCCAGCGAGTAGGCAGTCAAACTCCTTCGTCCCCAAGGCCGGTGGAACAAGAGGCTCGTGGTGAGTCAGGGCCAGGGTGGGTGGCCAAGGCCAGGGTCACCGTGTGCTTCATGGGCCAGCTTTTTTGTTTTTCTTGGCAAATTTTAATAACTATATTTTGATTATACTGTAGAATGCTATGTCAGCATAAGTAAGCTAAACTTGAAGCTTTCTTGTGAAGAATAAATGCAAGATAGAATACATCTTCTATTTTTTGTGGTACCAAAAATCACCATCCCCTCAAGAGTGTTCATGTATAGAACATTCTCTAATGCTGAAGAGTAAAACATTATAGCAACACTATGTAAATGTATTGAACAGTATCAAAGAAATAGTCTCTAAATTGTTTGTACCATATTTTTTTTTCTAAACTTAACATAATTTTTAGCTTTAGTTTCAGTCAAAACTTTGTCTTTTCTCTCCCGAGAGCCTTAGAGGTTAAAATGCAATCAGCCTACCGTGTAAGGAGATGTTGTCCATGTACTTTCTCCAGCCAGTTGGGGGATCATTGCAGCTCAGGCCTGGTGAACTCAGAGATTCCATTCAGTATTAAGAATGGGATTGTTGAATTTTACTCACAGAGAAATCACTGTTTCTTCATGTTGTAAGATGTTTTCTGTTTGTGTATTTGTATCATGGTTACTCATCAAAAGCTCTCATTCTGCCTTTGTAGAATTCAGTTCCCTTCCTTTCATCATAGCTAAAGTGACTTTTTTCCCTACTATTAACGTGATCCTACATCCTTAAATCTCATCGATTACCTCACTTAGGCCTTGGAACCTTGGCCCTTGGTCGGTGTCCTTGGCGTCTTCTAAGCAAGGCTGTGCGTTGTTCAGAAACGTGGCCAGACCGCATTTCCTGCTGCTCCCATGCCGCATGCCAGGTGGCCTGAGACAGAGCTCCCCATACGGCTGCAAGGTGCTTTACCTGTGGGCTTTGGCAGTAACCCAAGAGAGGATCAGAAGGTGGAGAAGGTGCCACGAGTGATTTAACAGGCCTGCCACAGGGAGTGCCCCCAGCCCAGCTCGTTCTCAGCACAGGTTTTCTCTTTGGGAGTACCCAGGTGATTTCTAGTGACCCAATTTTGTGTCATCTCCCTGTTTTAGCCCCACTTGCCTAGAGACAACTGTTTCCGATGCCTTTTCTGCTTATCATACTAGTTTCTAACCACGCAGATTTCTCAAAATCATTTATTCAATGTATTTTATTTGAGCACTTAGTGTATTGAGCTAGGCAGGATATAGGGTGCCGGAGATACAGCGATGAACAAGACAGGCAAAACTTCTGCTTTCCTAAAACTTGTGATGAGAGAGAACAATAAAAAAGTGTTGCTGCCACAAAGAAACCAAAGTGTGTGGGGAAGGGCGCGTGTTTGCGGTTTACATCTCTTCTGTCCCAGAATCACAGGGATCTGGTCCGGTCACCTCTGGTCTTTCCTCTTAGTCGCCTTTAGGAGCCCTGGTTCCCGTCCATCCTCTGGGGGGTTTGTTTGAAGAGATCTCGTGTGGGTACTTGTCATGAAAACACCTTGGGCATCATCTGGTGTATCCAGTTCTAGTCTCGAGAATTCTGGTTTCCCACTGTGCTCAGCAAGTGGAAAGTTCTTTTCAGGCCAGAACAGCTCTGCACCATCACATATCGTGTTGCGGCTTAGCTGTTTGGTCTGTAGTTCAGGTTATGGGACTTCTCCAATCCTGGAAGGCTGTTGAGCTTTTTAGAAGTACTGTACGCTATCTTCAAGATGGAGCTTGGTCACATCTGTTAGGAATCCAAAGGACACTATGACTTATTTAAATCTTGTCTTACTAAACCTCTCTTGGGCACGTGTGCCAGAATTTCTCTTGTTGCTTCTTGAGTCTTTTTAATTTCAGTGTTTTTTCGTTTGTTTTTTGTTTTTTTGAGACAGAGTCTCGCTCTGTCACCCAGGCTGGAGTGCAGTGGCACGACCTCAGCTCACTGCAACCTCCGCCTCCTTGGTTCAAGCAATTCTCCTGCCTCAGCCTCCCGAGTAGCTGGGATTACAGGTGTGTGCCACCACGCTCGGCTAATTTTTTATATTTTTTTTAGTAGAGACGGGGTTTCCCCATGTTAGGCAGGATGGTCTCGATCTCCTAACCTCGTGATCCGCCTGCCTCAGCCTCCCAAAGTGCTGGGATTACAGGCTTGAGCCACCGCACCCGGCCTAATCTCAGTTTTTGAAGTGCTCCACAAGTCATTAGGCACCAAAACATTTTCACCTGGGGAACACTGGCATTTCCCTGATTAGCTGTGAAGCAATCTAGTGGCTAAGTGTGAAATCCTGGGTGCGCAGGTGTTCTCACTCCCGCCGTGTTCTCAGTGCAGTGGTGGTCAGAGGCCCTTCCAAGGAGACATCACTCTGATCAGTTACAGATAGATGTTCTGGAAGATCTGCAGGTGAGTAGATCCAGCAGAGTTTCTTCCCACCAACTCTAGAAGAAAGGGCCTTATCAGAGTTGACCCTGAGCCTTTGGTAAGGTTTTGTGTGCATGCGATTCAGTTATCTTTGGCAATTCTTTTCTTGCTGCAGTGAGAGATTAATTGGTTGCTGATCAAACCGTTCATGCAGATGGGGGGACCTTTGGATTGTACGGCTTTCTCCTCTTGGCTGCTTTCTTTTCAGGAAGTTGGACTTTGGCCAGGTTTGGCTTTCCCAGAGCCGTTCCTTTCTCTGTCCTTTCCTTGGGTCCTCATGGTGTGCCCATTGGATCCTTGGCCTTGTGATCCTCTGGGAACTGGGGGCCAGTTCCACTTTTGCAGCCTTCTGTGCTGGAAGAGAAGCCCAGCGCCCTGGAAGGAGCCTCTTTAAGTCCCCCATGTCGCTTTCTCTCTCTGCTCTTTTAGTGTCTGAGATTGCCTTTCTTTGAATTTCCCAGTGTTTCTTTTCCTTGTCCCTTCCCTCACCAACCTGGAGTTATTTTGGTTGACTATGTCCTGGCTTTGGCTTCTCCTGGCAGGAAGTCATCAGGCATCCTCTCCAGGTGAGCCGAAATTCCACCCTCCCAGGTTGGACATCATCTTTTAAACCCAATGGTCTACTCCCCTCCTTCTTTATGAAACAGTGATTTCCCGTGAGTAACTCTGGTTCTGATTTTTTGTACCGGCGCTTAAATTCTTTCTGTAGACGTTGGAAAGCCACAAAGAACGTGACTGCAGTGAGCCTCCCACTGGAGCAGCCTTAACCAACACTTTGGCCAAAGCCCCCCCACCTCCCCTGTGTACTGTGTGTGTGTTTGGTGGATACAGTATTCCTTTTCAGTGTCCCTAAAGCTGTGATGGGGAGTCCCCACTTACCTAGAAAGCATTACCAGTCACCTACTCTGCATTCTCAGATGTAAACCTTGTGTAGTGTTCTTTTTGCAATGACCTATTTATTTAACCTATTTATATTTATTTAATTTTTACTCTGAAATGTATCCAGTTACAATTGTACTTGCTTAAAGCACATCAGATTTGTTTTGGACAACACCCTTGACCATTTTAAAACTGGAAAAGTGATACTGTATCCTTCCATGGGATGGATGCTTTACAGTAGTCTTATTATTAAAGGGTGATTAATTTGGTCGGGGTAAAATGTTAATTTTTAGGTGATTTTTAAGAATTCTGTGCCATTATGTCTTCTGTGTGGATGGTTAATTGTTTAATTAGTACGTGTTAATTGTGTGATACAGTCTTCTTTGTGGAACCCAAAATCCTCTTTTTAGCTTTATATTTTATAAACTGCCAGATTGTACAACTTTTATGTGCATTTTTAAAGCTTGAAGACATGAGGGTCATTATCTAAGTTAAACAGCCTATTTTTGTGCCTCCTGTACAGTTTTATAATTCTGCTGATGGCGGCATCTTATGTCGAGCCAACCACAATAAAGGTAGTTTTAGATTTTGGAGTCAGTCTCATTTTCTTAAAGATTCAAATACCATTCTCAGATAGGCTGTGCTCACTGTCCTTCTGGGTGGCCGGGGCTGGATTATGAGGCCTTTGCAGCTGGCTCGGCTGGTGGGGGATGGGTGTCCTCATGTCCACAGCAGGGTCCGGGGACTGGAACACCCTCCATGGTGGCTGTGTGTCAGAAAAGCTTCTTTGAAACCTTGCAGGAAGTTCCCAAAAGTACTGATTTGGGCTGAATTCCAGGAAGGTGGCCAGCTGGGACAGTCATGCCACGTGGTGAGAATTGGGCTTCAAAGCAGAGTTTGGGGCATGTGTACAGTAGGTAGGATACCAGACCAGGAAACCCAGGAGGGGAGAAATGCCATTGAGACCAACAAGGGCTGGGAGTGCCCCCAAAGAGTGGGACAGCGGCGTGTGGAATGAGCTCAGCTGACGTCTGCTTGGACTTTGCAATCCTCCCAACACACCTGCTCCTTCCCCTGCACCCTCTCTATGGAGAAATCAGGTGAGGCTCCACTTGCTCTTGCAGTGCCAGGCCGGGGGCAGCTTACAAGGGAGGACCCCAAGGGCCCACCTGCCCCAGGACAGCTTAGCGGGGGCTGCATCCAGGCTAGCTCCTGCCCTCCGCAAGCTCCACCTGCCACCATCCCATCCTACTCGCCTCACGCCTCGCAGGGCACCAGGAGCGACCCTGAGGCCTCTGGACACACACCTCCTCTGAGATGCAGTCTTGGACACAGCCAACTCCAAGGGTGAATGAAGGGCGGTGAGGTGTTGTTGTGTCACCGGTAGAGGGTTGTGACTGCAAGTTGCCCAGGTTCTTGGCGTTTTGAACAAATAATTAGACAAAACGCCCAGAAAAGCACAGAAAGAATGAAGCAACAAAAGAACGAAAGGGATTTATTGAAAACAAAAGTAGGCTCCACAGTGTGGGAGCGGACCCAGGCAGCAGCTCAAGGGCCCAGATACAGAATCTTCTTGGGTCCAAATATCCCCTTAGAAGATTCCCATTGGCCACTCATGCTCACCTCAGGTAAATGAAGTGGTAGCCTGCAATCAGTTGGTTGCAGACAGCAGCCAACCAGAGGCTTAAGTGAAGTTACAAAGGTCACACCCCTGTGCGAAACATCTGATTGGTTGCCAAAAGCAACCAATCAGAGGCTAGGATGAAGTTACAAAGTTATACTTCTATGCAAATGAAGACTCAGTCTGCAATCAGTCTGATTGGTTGTGGACAGAAAAGATCAAAGGGAGTAGCCTCTGGTCCTTTTGTTACTTAGGCGTGGAAAGTTAGGGTTTTCCTTTCGATTTAGTTCTAGGAAGTCGGCGTGAAACAGCCTTAGGTTCCCTGCCTCCCGACCCTACTCTCCTGCCTCAGTTGGCTGCCTTGTCTCACTTCATGTGGCAGCAGAGACAGCTCTTGGATTCTCACCAGGGCTGGGACTGAGTCTTGAAATGGTCCAGGCCTGGGAGGAGGGCAGGCACGACCTGGATGTACTTCTGGGGCCTGGGGACAGTTGTCAAAGATGGGGCACAGAGGCAGGGTCTGCAGCTTTGCGTGCCAAGTCCATACTGGACTGCAAAAATGTTCTTTTCCAGATGTTTGATCCATTTCATAAAATATAGCCGGATCAGTGTGCACACATCTGTATTCTGTCAGTGAGTGTCCTTATTCATACTACCTCAGTATCTGTTCCAGTAGTCACTTCCACGCGTCACTCCCAGATCCTCGTGACAGTCACCTCCCCTGTCTGCCTTTCCATGGTGGGCCAGGCACCCGTGCTGGAGTGTCCTGTGCCTTGGGGAAGTCCCCTGATGACCTTATTCCTCTCTCCACAGACCAGTGTTTCCTTCGCTATTGAAAACATTTAACATCTTTCACTTTAGCAAGAGACTGACCAGACCCTGTGCCAAGGCCAAAAATCAAATCATGAGCCCACCTATCTCCAGGCCAGTTGCTGTGGGCCGAGGGTCAGGGCTGATTAGAACATGGCAGCCCTGGAAAACCTACCCTTGAAGGCTGAGGGAGCTGAGAGGCTGAAAAAAGAGGGTGACAAACCCAGTTTTCTCAGAAACATTTAATAGGGACATAGAGATAGAAGCCATGTCTCAGGCAGCCATAAGATGAGAGGGTGGATCCCTGCACTGCTACCTTCCAGACTCAGGATTTGCCTAAGGACCAGGATTTAGGGTAAGTGTACATTTGCAATTACATCAACCTTTTTTGACCTAAGGGTAAGTACGTGAAATTAGAAATCTTAGAAGCATTCCCAGAACTAGGGTTAATCGAGGTCAGCGTGTGGGATCAGCTTCCAAGCTGGAGTACCTTTAGCCCCCACAGTGGGGGTTGAGGGGTAGGACTGGCCAGACAGTAACTGAGTAGACTTGGCCTCTGAGCAAGGTTTGGCCGGTCAGTCCTGTAGGTGGCGACTGTTGTGTTCTTCCCTTTCTTCTCATCCCTGTGCCTCTTGAAACTGCCCTTTCTCTTCCCAGCCCTGCTCCCCTACTGGTTGAAGTCGCAGAGGTGCTCCTGGAGTTTGCTTCCAGGTGACACAGAGCTGGAAAGAGTAATCACCACCAGGACTATGGCCCAGTGAAGTTTCTAGAGGATAAGCAGAAGCTGGAATGCTGACCCAAGACGCAGAGGATGACTGGGAGGCCTGCTTCCGTGTTAAAGAGAAAGTGATTGGGTGAGGGCGGGCCGGGGGAGCCTGTCACTGACCAACAGTGACCAGGAGAGGCCTGGCGCTCCAGTCCCATGTCCGTACTGGGCCTGATGTCCCCTAACGATGGGGCTGGGGACTGAGACAGGGCCATGAGAGGTGATGTGACAGTGGGGGAGAAGACGGTGACAGGGTCAGGGGTTGGAGGGATGTATGTTGATGGAAGAAAAGGCCATGGAACTGGAAAAGGTCAGGAAGTGGACTCTTTCCAAGACCCTGGGCTTAAGCAATCCTCCTGCTTCAGCCTCCCGAGCAGCTGGGACTATAGGTGAGTGCCACCATGCCCGGCTAATTTAAAAAATTTTTTTTGTAGAGACAGGGGTCTCACTTACGTTGCCCAGGCTGGTCTCAAACTCCTGGGCACAAGTGATCCTCCCACCTTGGACTCCCAAAGTGCTGGAATTAGCGACGTAAGCCACTGTCCCTGGCCGACATTTTCACATACAGTATAAAAGAATTTAAAAAGATTGCCACCCACAAACCCACAACAAAGGAATTACTGGCAGATACATACTAACAAAAAGGAATTCAGGAGAAGGTAGTGGGATACTAAGACCCACGATGGTAAGTATAGAAGTTTGTGTGTTTATTTTAGAGATGATCTCACTATGTCATCCAGGCTGGAGTACAGTGGCCCAATCATAGCTCACTGCAGCCTCAAACTCCTGGGCTCAAGTGATGCTCCTGCCTCAGCCTCCCAAGTAGTTGGGATTACAGACATATGCAACCCCCCTGGCTAATTTTTTTTATTTTTATTGTTTGTAGAGAAAAGGTCTAAAACTCCTGGGCTCGAGTGATGCTCCCACCTTGTCTCCTGAAGCCCTGAGATTAGAGGCGTGAGCCACCACACCTAGTAAAATTATTTAAAATTAAATATTTCCATTAATTTCTCTTTGAAACCTCCCCCTCCCAAATTTGAGTCTAAAATTCCCACATATTTAGGGAGAGGGGTGCCAATGTTTGGCAGATGTCTGCAAAGGCTCTTGACCTGCTTGGTGGGAGGTTATAGATAATGGTCAACTCTAGACATGGTGAAACAATGAGCTTAAGTAGGCGAGTTAAGTGGGGGGTGACTGCAGGACAGGCAGAACCTTTCAAATTACTGGGGCCAGGTGAGGAATGGAACAACAAAATTCAACCCACTAACTATGTGAAAGAGGTAAAAACCTGGTAAACAAGAAAAGTACAGAAGTAGGATAAGGGAAAATTTCAAATGACAGAAGTCAATGGCATATAAACTCACTTACTGAAGTGCAGCAGTCCTCAGGCTGGACTCTTTTTAAATTTAAACCTCTAAAATTGTTTGAATGAGTAACTTATGCTTAGGATTCAAAAGTCCAAAACGGGGTCGGGTATGGTGGCTCATGCCTGTAATCCCAGCACTTTGGGAGGCCAAGGCTGGCAGATCATGAGGTCAGGAGATCAAGACCATCCTGGCCAACATGGTGAAACCCGTCTCTACTAAAAATACAAAAAATTAGCCAGGCGTGGTGGCGGGAGCCTGCAGTCCCAGCTACTCGGGAGGCTGAGGCAGGAGAATGGTGTGAACCCAGGAGGCGGAGCTTGCAGTGAGCCGAGATCGCACCACTGCACTCCAGCCTGGGCAACAGAGCGAGACTCAATCGCAAGGACAAAAAACCAAACACCACATGTTCTCACTCATACGTGGGAATTGAACAATGAGAACACATGGACACAGGAAGGGGAGCATCACACACACCGGGGACTGTTGTGGGGTGGGGGGAGGGGGAAGGGATAGCATTAGGAGATATAACTAATGCTAAATGATGAGTTAATGGGTGCAGCACACCAACATGGCACATGTATACATATGTAACTAACCTGTACATTGTGCACATGTACCCTAAAACTTAAAGTATAATAATAATAAAATTAAAAAAAAAAAAGAAGTCCAAAACGATAAAAGGTGAAATGCCTCCCTCTCCCCTCCCTGGCCCCTTCTGGTAAATCCACCACCGAAGTAGACTGTCTCCTTTGGATTCTAGGGTATCCTTACAGTCGTTGTTTAAGCAAACATGACTTCATATTCTTTCTCCCACTTTTTTATGCACATACTATGCACACTAGTCTGAATCTTGCTTTTTTTTCTTCTCTTTAGCAATATTTCTTTTTAAAAGTTAAGCTATAAAGCTGAGTACAGTGGCACACACCTGTAGTCCCAGGTACTTGAGAGGATGAGGTAGGAGGTTCACTTGAGCCCAGAAGTTCAAGGCCAGCCTGGGCAACATAGTGAAACCCTGTCTCTTAAAAAAAAAAATGAAAGATTAGGAGGCTGGGCCGGGAGGATAACTTGAGCCCAGGAGTTCAAGACCAGTCTGGACAACATGAAAAAAACCCACCTCTACCAAAAACAAAAACAAAAACAAAAAAAACAGAAATTAGCCAGGCATGGTACACACACCTGTAGTCCCAGCTACTCAGAAGGCTGAGGCGGGAGGATCACTTGAGCCTAGGTAAATTGAGATTGCACCACTATACTCCAGCCTGGGCAACAAAGCCAGACTCTGTCTCCAAAAAAAAAAATGAAAGAAAAATTAAGATATAATTTACATATAGTAAAATGCATAGATCTTAAATGTGCAACTTGGTGATTTTTACATACATTATAAAAACCAGTATAACCACCTCCCAGATCTAGACATGGAGCATTTCCACCTCCCCAGAAGGTCCTCTTTTGCCCCTTTCAGTCCAAACACACCTCTCCATTCCCCAGGGGGTAACCACCCCTCTGGCTTCCATCACCATAGATTAGATCCATCTCCTCTTACTCTTCATAGAAATGGAAGCATGCAATATGTTCTCTTTGTGTCTGACTTCTTTGACTCAATATTGTTTCAGATCATCCCTGTTGTTGGGTATATTAGTTATTTGTTCTTTGTTGTGTAGCATTTCATTGTATGAATACGCCATACTTTACCTGTTGGTGGACATTTGAATTATCAGTTTTAGCTATTATGAATAAGGTGATTATGAACATTCTTGTATATACTTTTTTTTTTTTTTTTTTGGAGACGGAGTCTCGGTCTGTTGCCCAGGCTGGAGTGCAGTGGCTCGATCTCAGCTCACTGCAACCTCCACCTCCTGGGTTCAAGTGATTCTCCTGCCTCAGCCTCCTAAGTAGCTTGGATTACAGGCACATGCCACCATGCCCGGCTAATTTTTTGTAGTTTTAGTAGAGACGGGATTTCACCATGTTGGTCAGGTTGGTCTCGAACCCCTGACCTCATGATCTTCCCACCTTGGCCTCCCAAAGTGCTGGGATTACAGGCATGTGCCACCACACCTGGCCATATATATCTTTTTATTATATACTTTAGCAATATTCTTGAAGATCCTTCCATATCAGCATATAGGTGCTAATATTTTTTCACATCGTCTAGTATCCCTTTGTATGAATATATAATAACTTACTCACCCATCCCTTAGTGATAGAGGTTTAGGTTGTTTTCAGTCTTTAGATATTACAAACGATGGGTCAATACTAGGTCCAGTGGTTCATGCCTGTAATCCTAGTACTTTGGGAGGCTGAGGCAGGTGAATCGCTTGAGCCTAGGAGTTTGAGACCAGTCAGGGCAACATGGCAAAACCTTGTCTTTACAAAAAATAAAAAAAATTAGCCAAGCATGGTGGCAGGTGCCTATAGTCCCAACTACTCTAGAGGCTGAGGTGGGAGGATCACCTGAGCTTGGGAGGTCAAGGCTGTGGTGAGCCATGATCATGCCACTGCACTCCAGCCTGGGTGACAGAGTGAGACCCTGTCATCCCCGTTTCTGCCCCACAAAAAGATTTTACAGACAATGGGGCAATGAATGGTCTGGACCTAATGTCTGTCATTTTGCACATGTTGCAATTCTATCTGCAGGATAAATTTTTAGAAGTGACGTTACAGTTATCTTTTGTTGCAAAGTGATAAATTACTCCAATATGTAGTAAAACAAACAAACAAACAAACAAACAAAACAGCTTGAAATAGCAATCATTTGTTTGCCTACAACTCTGTAGGTGGTTGGGTGGCTCTTTCAGTCAGGGCCAGCTCAGCAGGAGGTGGATGGTCTAGGATGGCCTTGCTCATCTATCTGAGTCGTGACTTGTCTCTGCTCCACGCGGTCACTCATCCTTCCGTGGGCTTGCCTGGGCTTCTTCACAGACCACAGCATTCCAAGAGAGCACAGCCAAAGGCTCAGAGCCTTTGGAGGCCTAGGCTCTGGAACTTGTCAGTGGCATTTCTGATGACTTTGTTGATCTACACAAGTCACAAGCCCAGGCCAGATTCAAGGAGTAGAGAAATAGACTCCATCTCTTGATGGAAAAGAGCTTCAAAGAATTTGTGGTCATTTGCGGTGTATCACACTCACTTTGAAATATGGATTATGTTATAAAACAGTTATTCCAGGTTTTCTTACAGATTTCTAAGGTTTCTTTTCTTTTCTTTCTTTTTTTTTTTTTTTTTACATTTTGGCTTTTGGACCTTTTAGAATCTATCCTGGTATATGGTGTGAAGTATAGGTCTAGCCTTATTTTTTTCTACATAATTTACTGAATAGTCCATGACTTCCCCCATTTATTTTGAGATGTCACCCCTATCACATTATTAAACTATGATGTGTATTTAGGCCTATTCCTGAAATTTATATTCTGTTCTAATTATCCCTGTCTATTCACGCACTGGTCTCATACTATTTTATTATTGAAGGTTTATAAATTCATATTGGGTTTTTAAAAAGAACTCATTTATATGCTGTTTACAAGAAATAGCAAAAGCAAAATACTGTGGTGAAGCAGACAGTGCCAGTTATTCACCCAAGATTCATCCTCCCCTCTTACTAATGGAGACCCTATTTTTTTTAGGGAAGCAACGTGCTCATTTTAAAAGGCTGAACTCCCCAGACTCTCTTGCAGCTGGTGGTGTCCATGGAACCCAGTTCCAGGCACTAAGATGTAAGTGGAATTCTGCTGGGTGCAGCTTCATAGCAAGCTCTCATTTTTCTGCTAAAAAGGACTGTTCCATCTGCATGTCTCTGTGTCCTTTACCCTTGTTACCTTTTCCTGTCTGGAATGCTGTCACCGACATGGAGGTACAGTAGCTCTCTCTCAACCAGGAGGTCTAAGTTATGCCCTAAATACAGAGGAGCATTGGCTGGGCACTGTGGCTCATACCTGTAATCCCAGCACTTTCAGAGGCCGAGGCAGGCAGATCACAAGGTCAGGAGATCAAGGCCATCCTGGCTAACACGGTGAAACCCCATCTCTACTAAAAATACAAAAAGTTAGCTGGGCATGGTGGCAGGTGCCTGTAGTCCCAGCTACTCAGGAGGCTGAGGCAGGAGAATTGCTTGAGCCCAGGAGGTGGAGGTTGCAGTGAGCTGAGATTGCTCCACTGCACTCCAGCCTGGGCAACAGAGCGAGACTCCGCCTAAAAAAAAAAAAAGGCTGGGCGCGGTGGCTCATGCCTGTAATCCCAGCATTTTGGGAGGCCAAGGCGGTCAGATCACGAGGTCAGGAGATCAAGGCCATCCTGGACAACGTGGTGAAACCCCATCTCTACTAAAATACAAAAAATTAGCCGGGCGTGGTGGTGCATGCCTGTAGTCCCAGCTACTCAGGAGGCTGAGGCAGGGGAATCTCTTGAACCCAGGAGGCAGAGGTTGCAATGAGCTGAGATCGCACCACTGCACTCCAGCCTGACAACAGAGCAAGACCCCGTCTCAAAAAAAAAAAAAAAAAAAAAAAAGAAAAGAAAAAAATACAGAGGAGCAAATGGTAGAATGGTAGAAGAAGCCCAGTTGGTTGATGCGTCTTTGATGTTCACCTCTTCTGGACCACAGCCTTCAGACTTCTTGTGTGAGAAAAAAATCTTACTGACGGAGCTGCATTAGTTTGTTTCTACTACATGAAGTGAAACCAATTCCCAATCAATGCACACGGGAAAGCTGAAAATAAAGACATAGGACCTGGGCGCAGTGGCTCACACCTGTAATCCCAGCACTTTGGGAGGCCAAGGTGGGTGGATTGCTTGAGCCCAGGAGTTCAAGATCAGCCTAGGCAACATGGTGAGACTCCCATCTCTACAAAAAAAAAAAATACAAAAATTAGCTGGGCATGGTGGTGTGTGCCTGTAGTCCCAGCTACTCTGGAGGCCGAGGTGGGAGGATTGCTTAAGCCAAGAGGTGGAGGCTGCAGTAAGCCGTGATCGGGCCACTGCACTCCAGCCTGGGTGACAGAGTGAGACCCTGTCTCAAAAAAAAAAAAAAGAAAAAAGAAAACACACACACACACACACACACACACACAAACCATAGAAAGAGAGACGGAAAAGCTCAACACTGTTCAACACTGTAAAGATGTCATATGTGACCTCAATAAAAATCTGAATAGGTTTCTTGTAGAATTGCATAAAGAACAGTAACCAATGACTAGGAGAGCTCTGAAAAAGAATAATATTAGGGCATTATCCTTCCAAATGCTATAATATTATAATTAAGACAGCATGGGCCGGACACGATGGTTCACACCTGTAATCCCAGCACTTTGGGAGGCCAAGGCGGGTGGATTTGCTTGAGCCCAGGAGTTCAAGACCAGCCTGGGCAACACAGGGAGACCTTGTCTCTACAAAAAAATACAAAAATTAGCTGGTGTGGTGGTGTGCACCTGTAGTCCCAGCTGCTTGGGAGGTTGAGGTTGAGGTTACGTGAGCCTGGGGAGGCCTAGGCTGCTGTGAGCCATGATGGTGCCACTGCACTCCAGCCTGGGCAACAGAGTGAGACCCTGTCTCAAAATTTTTTTTTTTTTTAAATAAATACATAGAAAAAGATGTAGCAAACAAATATTAACAAAATGCTGGTTTAGCAATACCAATCAGATTCTATAGAATTCAGACAAGATCAGGCATGTTCAGAGTGCTATGGCTGGCTATAGACAGAATTCAAAAAGAAAAGGATTGAATGGGACAGAAAAAGATATTTCATTTTTATCAAAAAAAATAACTGAATAGAACATATAAGGCACGAATCCTTAGACACCTAACAACATAGCTTCAAAATATATAAGGCAAAAACTGAACTACAAGGAAAAATTGTCAACAATGGATATTTTAACCATTTTTCTCACTGATCAAATAGACCCCCAAAAATTTAAGATGTGGAAGATTTGTACAGCACAATTAGAAAGACCGATCAAATAAATGGTAAAATATTTTCATAACCAGTAAGTGGGGTCCAGAAATACAACCATATGATTTGCGGAGCTGCCTTATTTTGAGGTTAATGAGTGGCCTTGGAGAGCCTGCACAGCTGGGGTTCCCCATCAGCCCAGGCCAGCTAGGTTTAGTGCCACCTGGTGGCAGTTGTCTCCTCCAGAATAAAACACTTAACCTTTACAAGGTGGAATATGTTTTTATTTATATTTATATATTTTTTGAGACAAGGTCTTGCTCTGTTGCCCCCCTAGGCTGGAGTGCAGTGGTGGGATCACAGCTTACTACAGCCTCAACCTCCTGGGTTCAGGTGATCCTCCCACCTTAGCCTTCTGAGTAGCTGGGACTACAGGCAAGTGCCACTATGCCCAGCTAATTTATAAATTCTTTTTTAGAGATGGGGTCTCATTCTGTTGACCAGGCTGGTCTCAAACTTCTGGGCTCAAGCAATCTACCTGTGTCAGCCTCCCAAAGTGCTGGAATTACAGGCATGAACCATCGCACCTGACCAGAATATGGTGGTTGTTTTTTTTTTTAATCTTCTTTGTGCTTAGTTCAGATTGTCTTTCATGAATATGAATTACTTTAAGAATAAAAAACTACATTTTTCTAAGCCCCTACCCTTCTTGTCTATAACATGAAGAAGGCAGTTTGAATGAGCCCTAAGATTCCTCTAGCTACACAGGGCTACGAGTCGGCACCAAACAAGCCTCCCAGCTCTTGACATTGGCTGCACCGACTCTCCTGGTTTATAGCTGCATCTGCTCCAGGGCCCTCAAGCTTGTGGCCTGGGCTGAATCACCCTCTGCTCTGAGCCTGTCATTGTTTCCCAGGCCTTTCCCATCTCAGGAAAATTTTCCCCAGTGTTATCCTCTCCCTCTCTCAGCCCCAGGTCTAATTCATTCCTTACTTTTTTTTTTTTTTTTTTTTTGAGACAGAGTCTTGCTCTGTTGCCCAGGCTGGAGTGCAGTGGCGTGATCTCTGCTCACTGCAACCTCCACCTCCCAGGTTCAAGTGATTCCCCTGCCTCAGCCTCCCTAGAAGCTGGGATTACAGGTGTCCGCCACAACCCCCGGCTAATTTTTATATTTTTAGTAGAAACAGGGTTTCACCATGTTGGCCAGGCTGGTCTTGAACTCCTAACAGGTGATCTGCCCACCTCAGCCTCCCAAAGTGCTGAGATTACAGGCCTGAGCCACTGCACCTGACTGTCCTCTACTTTTGTAGAACACATTACTCATCTCTTTGCTCATCATTTTCCCCCCACAGATTTGGACTCACCAGTTGACACATTTAGGGCAATTTCCCAAAGTTTATATCTCCAAATATTAATTCCAAAGCTATTAAATTATTTAAAAGGCCTCAATCACCAAATCTGGGAAATGCCAGATTAAATAAAAGTTCCATATTTACAGCAAGACTTTTCAGAGGCTTTTAACATGACAACAAAATATTCTCCAAGAGGAGATATAACACATTTATCTCCAATTATTGCCTTTGATTTAAAAAAATCAACAAAGGAAGTATGTTTGTTATGGCAAAGACAATGCTATATTTTCACCAAATCTTTTTGCATTTTCCTCTTTCTGGGTACTCAGGAAGACAACACTCTCAGCCACCACTGCAGTTAGGTTGGGGCCATGTGACTAATTCTGGCCAATGGGAGTAGAAGAGACATGTGTTGCTTCTGAGCCACAGTCTTGAGGAGCAGAACACGCTCCTCCAGCACCTTCTCCCTTGGACACAGTGATCGGTGATTGTGGAGGCCTCCCAGCTACTCGGGAGGATGAGGCACTAGAATCGCTTGAACCCAGGCGGCAGAGGTTACAGTGAGCCAAGATCGCGCCACTTCATCCAGTCTGGGCGACAGAGCGAGACTCCATCTCAAAAAAAAAAAAAAAAAAAAAGTGTGTGGCACCTCCTGCTCCTGTTGCTCCTGCTTTCGCCGTGTGATGCATCTGCTCCCTCTTTGCCTTCTGCCATGATCGGGAGCTTCCTGAGGCCTTCCAAGAAGCAGATGCTGCTACGCTTCCTGTACAGCCTGCAGAACTGTGAGCCAATGAATCCTCTTCCTTTATAAATTACCCAGTCTGAGGTATTCCTTTACAGCAATGCGAGAACGGCCCACCTCCTTCTTCCGGGGCTGCAGAGGGAAGAAACTGAGGGATAAAGAAGGATGATGGTGAAAAGAAAAACATTTTAAAACCACAGCTACTGCTTAGCACACCTGCTCCTCCCCTCCCACGGGTGAACCATGCCGGCCTCTCGATGTGGCAGAGTGGGGAAATATTTGTTTTTTATTTATTTTTTTAGACGGAGTCCCGTTCTGTGGCTCAGGCTGCAGTGCAGCGGGGCGATCTCGGCTCACTGCATCCTCCGCCTCCTGGGTTCAAGTGATTCTTCTGCCTCAGCCTCCCGAGTAGCTGGGACTACAGGTGCGTGCCACCACGCCTGGCTAATATATATATATATATGTGTGTGTGTGTATATATATGTGTATATATATATGTGTATATATATGTGTGTATATATATGTATATATATGTGTGTGTATATGTATATATATATGTGTGTGTATATATATGTGTATATATATGTATATATATGTGTGTGTATATGTATATATATGTGTGTGTATATATATGTATGTACATATAGATATGTATATATATTTGTAGTTTTAGTAGAGACGGGGTTTCACCATATTGGCCAAGCTGATCTCAGACTCCTGACCTTGTGATCTGCCCGCCTCGGCCTCCCAAAGTGCTGGGATTACAGGCGTGAGCCACCGCGCCCGGCCCAAATTGATTTAAAACGAACAAAAACAAAAACAAAAAACAACCTCATCTCTCTCTTGGATTTTGCCTCTGCTCCCTGCCTCTGGCATCTTTCCTAAGGAAACTGTTTATTTTCCCACCTGAGTTCCTAGTAAAGCATCTCAGTTTTATTCCCTCCTTTGCAGAAAAGCTTAGAGCAAGAAAAATGGCAGCTGGCAGGTGCCTTCACGTCCAGGGTTTCCAGAGAGAAAGCATCTCTCCTCCGCAGAGACCCTCCCACGCTCTCCCTCCCTCAAATTAGTGCATCTACATAGACCGCCCTCCTTATAAACAGTCTCTCAGGGGATCCTAGCCCATTCCAAATCTACCTGTGATTGCAGAATCGCAAGGAATGTGATTTACCGCAGATCGCGGGGCGTCGTGTCTTTTAGGGGACCTGCTCACTTTGGCCACTAGGTGGCGGGCAGTGCAGCCCCTGCTCCTGTCGACCCTGAGCGTTCAGCGTTTCCGCCGCCTCCGCCCCACTCCGTAGGGGGAGCTGATGAGATGAGGTTGAGGTCCAGGAAGACGTCAAGGGCTTGGTTTTGTAAACAACTCCATTCCTCGCTCGCTGATAAGTTTTCTAAGTGATGCATATTCACAACCTTGTCCCATCCAAGGACCCAAGAATTAACACATTACATAATATGGACAGCCCCCTCCTGTCCAACGGGCATGATTTTGGGGTCTGATATTCTGTGGATCTGTGCAATAGTCAACACACGTGCTGGGATGTCCTTGGGCACAGCCTACAAGGACACAGATAGGTGCACGTCCGGGCACCAACTCACAATAACCACAAACTTTGTTGAGTGCTTCCGTGTACCAGGCTATCAGCCAGCGTTTTACAAATCATCACACTTTCCTCTCAGAAGCCCTTGAGGGGGGGTCTGAAGGGGGTGAGAGGGGCTCCCTAGTATGAAAGCTCAGACGTTGGGTCCCAACTGCCTGGATTGGAATCTTGGTTCAGCCTCTTGCTGGCTGTGTGCCAGCTACTGCCCGCCATCTACTGTACCATGTCTCACGTTCTTCATCTGTAAGAGGCATAACAACAGTATCGAGTCATAGGCTTGTTATGAGGATGAAATGTGATGATACTTACTGTGGAGTGCTTAGAACAGTGTGTGGCATATGTAGTAAGCATGTCACAAACGTTGGCTATTATTATTATCCCATTTTGCAGATAAGCAAACTGAAGGTCAGAGAGGTTACACAACTTGCTCAAGGTCACACAGCCTTATAATTCCACTCTGCCAGACTGAGCTCACAGTCTCTGTTAGTCAGTCTATAGGCTGGTGACACCTCTAGTTTCTACTTGTGGTTTTGATTAGCTGGACGCTATGTGAATTGAGAACACTTTCGTATTCCGCTGAAACAGTGTGGTCCTCATTTCTAAGAAGTTCCCGGGTGATACTGATGCCAGCAGCAGCGTCATTACCTGGGAACCTGTTAGAAATGCAAAAAATTCTCAGGCCTCCCTCCAGACCTACTACTCAGGAACTCTAGGGATGGGGCCCGGTGGGCTGTTGCGGCAAGCCCCCCAGTGATCCTGACACACGTTCAAGTTTGAAACCCCTTGCTATAAAATATGTGTCTCCTAAAACCAAGCTGCTAGCTTACATTCAATAAACATTTACCTAGCATGATCTTGGCAGTTCAAAGAGGAATGTGCCAGAAACCAAGCAAAGAAGAAAAAGAAATAAATGGAAATGGAAAGTGATCTGCTCAGAGGCCACAAAGTTGAGGGAGGAGGTTTCCAGAGTGGGATTTGGCCCAAATGTTGCCTGAGGAAGTACGTAAAGGGGTCTCAACTCTGGCTACACAACAGAACAGCAGGACTGTGTGTGCAGCTCACGAAGTGGGTACACAGGGTAATCTGCAAGTTCTGGGTGGATCTAGCACCTGGATTGTTAAAACTTGCATAGATGGCCAGCGTTCATACTTTCTGCTTGTTTGTACAAAGTCATTCTTCTAGAGTAATTGTTGTAAAATTGCTAGGCAAGGTGGCAGGTCTGATAAGATTTGATGACGTAATGGCTCTTAGTCGCTAATAAGAGGCTTTTGTGGAGTGGCGTGTCACAGCCAGCGAAGGCTCAGCTCTGTGATCTTCGCCTGCCTCACTTGGGGGACCAGAAGGCAGCTTGTCTTGGAACTGCCTCATTCACAGAAGACCCCATTGAGTACAGAAACTGCACATCAAAGGGAGGAGTAAGGAAAACAAGATGGTGAATCCTCAAAAATTAAACAAAATTACCTTTTTAATTTTTTTTTTTTGTAGAAACGGGGTCTCACTTTGTCACCCAGACTGGTCTTGAAGTCCTAGGCTCAAGCAATTCTCCCATCTCAGCCTCCCAAAGTGCTGGATTTACAGGTGTGAGCCACTCACCTCAGCCAGAATTACCACTGAAAAAAAGAAAAAAGGTTAAGATGGTAAATTTTGTTGTGTATATTTTACCAGTATGATCCAGCATTTCCACTTCTGGGTACATGCCCCAGAGAATTGAAAGCAGAGTCTCGATCAGGTATTTGTACAACCCTGTTGATAGCAGCACTATTCACAATAGCCAAAGGTGGAAGCAACACAGGTGTCCCTCAATATATGAATGGATGAACAGAATGCAGCACACACGCACAATAAAATATTACTCAGCCTTCAAAAGGAAGGCAGTTCTGGCCAGGCACAGTGGCTCACTCCTGTAATCCCAGCACTTTGGAAGGCCGAGGCAGGCAGATCACTTGAGGTCAAGAGTTCAAGACCAGCCTGGCCAATATGGTGAAACCCCGTCTCTACTAAAAATACAAAAATTAGGTGGACATGGTGGCAGATGCCTGTAATCCCATCTACTCAGGAGGTTGAGGCAGGAGAATCCCTTGAACCTGGGAGGCAGAGGTTGCAGTGAGCTGAGATCACACCATCACTGTCCTCCAGCCTGGGCGATAGAGCAAGACTCTGTCTCAAAAAGAAAGGAAAAAAAAAGGATAAAAAAAAGAAAGAGCCAGAAGGTGAGGTACCATGATGCCAACCTTGGACCAATCATTTGACCAGGAAGGTGGAGCTGAGTAGGAAGATGGAAGCTTCCCAAAAAACTTGTCTAAAGTAGAAAAAGAAGGGGTTATCTTTAAAAAAGGGTGAGTCCAAACATGGCTCCTGGAGAAATTGTCCCAAATGGGACATCCACCCCCATTTGTGTCTATGACAGATGCCACCAAAACATTAAAGTCACGTGGGCCCTTCAAAGCTCTGGGCCCTGCTGCCTCCTTCCCACCATAGTCATTTTATATTGGCTCTGTTTTGCCAGCAGTATGACAAGGAGATTCCAAAAAGAACTGAGCTGAAGAAATTGATGCACACAAGCACCAAGAGAAATTGCGCCAGAGCAATGTGTGGCCTTGACTGTCCTCCTGGCCTCTGAATGGTCTAATTTGTGACTTTGCTAAGCCAGAAGTTTCAATGTGCTGTGAGGCTGGCCCGTGGGAGCAAGATCCTCTGCTCGTGGGTGAGCCTAGCTGGCTGCCCGCCACCCACCTCTGCACCCAGTGTTCATACTTTCTGCTTGTTTGTACAAAGTCACTCTTCTAGAGTAATTGTTGTAAAATTGCTAGGCAAGGTGGCAGGTCTGATAAGATTTGATGAAGTGATAGGTCTTAGTCACTAATAAGAGGCTTTTTTGGAATGGTGTGTCACAGCCAAGGAAGCCTCAGCTCTGTGATCTTCGCCTGCCTCACTTGGGGGACCAGAAGGTAGCTTGTCCTGGAACTGCCTCATTCACAGAAGGCCCCAGTGAGTACAGAAACTGCACATCAAAGGGAGGAGTAAGGAAAACAGGATGGCAAATCTTCAAAAATTAAACAAAATTACTTTTTTTTTTTTTTGTAGCGATGGGGTCTCACTTTGTCACCCAGGCTGGTCTTGAAGTCCTAGACTCAAGCAATCCTCCCACCTCAGCCTCCCAAAGTGCCGGATTTACAAGTGTGAGCCACCAAGCCCAGTCAGAATTACCACTAAAAAAAAAAAAGAAAAAAGGTTAAGATGGTAGATTTTGTTGTGTATATTTTACCATTATGATCCAGCATTTCCACTTCTGGGTACATACCCCAGAGAACTGAAAGCAGAGTCTTGAGCAGGTATTTGTACAACCCTGTTTGTAGCAGCACTATTCACAATAGCCAAAGGTGGAAGCAACACAGGTGTCCATCAGTATATGAATGCATGAACAGAATGCGGCACACACGCACAATAGGATATTGCTCAGCCTTCAAAAGGAAGGCAGTTCTGGCCAAGCGTGGTGGTTCATGCCTGTAATACCAGCACTTTGGGAGGCTGAGGTGGGCGGATCATTTGAGGTCAGGAGTTCGAGACCAGCCTGGCCGACATGATGAAACCCCATCTCTACTAAAAATACAAAAATTAGCCAGTCGGCACGTGCCTGTAATCCCAGCTACTCAAGAGGCTGAGGCAAGGCCAGGCACGGTGGCTCATGCCTGTAATCCCAACACTTTGGGAGGCCAAGGCGGGCGGATTGCCTGAGCTCAAGAGTTTGAGACCAGCCTAGGCAACATGGTGAAACCCCATCTCTGCTAAAATACAAAAGAAATTAACCAGGCGTGGTGGCGTGCACCTGTAGTCCCAGCTACTCAGGAGGCTGAGGCAGGAGAATTGCTTGAACTCGGGAGGCGGAGGTTGCAGTGAGCCGAGATCACACCACTGCACTCCAGCACTCCAGCCTGGGCGACAGAGTGAGGCTCCATCTCTACAAAACAAACAAACAAACAAACAACAACAACAACAACAAAAACACTGAGGCAAGAGAATCGTTTGAACCTGGGAGGCAGAGGTTACAGTGAGCCAAGATCACACCACTGCACTCCAGCCTGGGCAACAGAGCGAAACTCCATCTCAAAAAAAAAAAAAGAAAGAAAAGAGAAAGAGAGAGCTCCAGAGATGGATGGTGGTGATGGTTGCAGAACAATGTGAATGTACTTAGTGCCCCAAACTGTACACTTAAACATAATTAAAATGGGCCTAGCACGGTGGCTCATTCCCAGCATTTGGGAGGCTGAGGTGGGAGGATTGCTTGAGCTCAAGAGTTTGAGACCAGGCTGGGCAACATAAGCAACACTCTGTCTCTACAAAAACTACAGAAATTAGCCAAGCCTGGTGGCTGCACACTTGTAGTCCCAGTCACTTGGGAAGTTGAGGAGGGAGGGTCACTTGAGCTCAGGGGTCAGAGGTTGCCACGAACTGTGATTGTGCCACTGCACTCCAGCCTAGGTGACAAAAGCAAGACTCTGTCTTAAAAACAACACAACAAAAAATTGGCTGGACGCAGTGGCTCTTGCCTGTAATCCTAGCACTTTAGGAGGCCGAGGAAGGCAGTTCACTTGAGGTCAGGAGTTCGAGACCAGCCTGGCCAACATGGTGAAACCCTGTCTCTACTAAAAATACAAAAATTAGCCAGGCGTGGTGGCAGGTGCCTGTGGTCCCGGTTACTCTGCGGGCTGAGGCACAAGAATCACGTGAACTCGGGAGGCAGAGGTTGCAGTGAGCCGAGATCACACCACTGCACTCCAGCCTGGGTGACTGAGACTCAGTCTAAAAAAAAAAAAAAAATTGAAATGGTAAATTCTGTTGTGTACGTTTTACCACAATTAAAAAAAAAAAAAGCGGAATGGGAGTGGAGCTAAATGAGGCTAGTTTAGGGTGGGAACCGGGGCACAGGAAGCACGTCACTTCTGGTGGGGAGTGGGGGGAGGGAGAAGACTGAATAAGCCGTGAACTGGGCAGCTGTGACACGCGCACCTTGTCACCTTGTCACCAATTTCCTGCCCGGGATCCCAGAGCTACCCTTCTTGGAGCCCACAGGGGTAAGGTTGAGCTTCTCACTTTCCCTCCAATGAAGCGTGGCAGCATGGGAAGGATTTTGGCAGTGTCGAGGTCTGAGTTTTAGTCCGTTCCCCTCTCTGGGTCTCAGTTTCTCGCTGGTAAGTGCAGGGGTTGGGGAATCCCCAGCGCTCCTGTGGCTCGACATTCTGCACTCTGTGAAGCTCCTGCCCTGCCCTGCTGGGTCTCTGAGCTCACGCACTTGCCCTGGCGCTCCTTTCCTGATTTGTCTCCCCTCTCTCCTTCCTCTGCTCTGCCATCTCGGTGGCCGATGTAGAAATGTGGGGCTGCCTCCTTATTTAGGGGCCCACGTGGGCTGTGATCTGGACCATCTGAGCTGATGCAGAGGGGAAGGGACAGTCCCTGTTCTCCCCGGCAGGCGTGGTGGGTTCATAATGAATCTCAGTCACTCACTTCCTACCTGCCTCGGTTCGAGGGGGTCTTTCCTAACCCATGGCTCACATTCCCATGAAGCCTCTTCTTTCTAGGCACGTAGAAAGGCCCTTTTTCCCTTTTATTATTTTTGTAAAATTTACTAGGTAACGCATAAAAAGCTTATGTAACATACATATACATCATACTGCACAGTAATATACCAAACACACCTGAAGCTGCCACTCAGCACAAGGATGGAGTATCACCAAACTGCAAACACCACTTATCTGCTTTTTTTTTTTTTTTTTTTTTTTGAGACAGAGTTTTCATTCTTGTCGCCCAGGCTGGAGTGCAGTGGCACAATCTTGGCTCACCACAACCTTCGCCTGCTGGGTTCAAGCGATTCTCTTGTCTCAGCCTCCCAAGTAGCTGGGACTACAGGTGCGCATGCCACCATGCCCAGCTAATTTTTGTGTTTTTGGTAGCGACAGGGTTTCACTATGTTGGCCAGGAGAGTCTCGATCTCTTGACCTCATGATCCGCCCACCTCGGCCTCCCAAAATGCTGGGATTACAGGCGTGAGCCACCACACCTGGCCACCACTTGTCCACTTTTATGCTACTTGCCTCCCACCCACAGGTAGCCACCCTCTGGAATTTTGTGTTTATTGTTCTCTTATTTTTAAGTGCTTTATTACATATGCATCTCTATTTATTTATTTATTTATTTATTTACTGAGATGGGGTCACACTATATTTCCCAGGCTGGAGTGCAGTGGCTATTCACAGGCATGATCATAGCACACTACAACCTCGAACTCCTGGGATCCAGTGATCTTCCCACCTCAGCCTCCTGATTAGTTGGGACTACAGTCTTGAACTGCTGCACCTGGCTATGCCTATTTATTTTTATTTTATGAAACAGTTATATAGCGTTACTGTGTGCTAGGCACTGTTCTAAATGCTTTAAAATATTTACTTATTTTATTTGTTTAATCTGCACAAAAACCCTATGAGGAAGATACTATTATTGATTCCTTTTTGCAGATGAGGAAATTGAGGCACAGAAAGATTAAGTGATTTGCTCAAGGTCACACAGATAGTGAGAAGTAAGGCCGGGAGCAGTGGCTCATGCCTGTAATCCCAGCACTTTGGGAGGCCAAGGCAGGAGGATCATGAGGTCAAGAGATAGAGACGGTCCTGGCCAACAAGATGAAACCCCATCTCTACTAAAAATACAAAAATTAGCTGGGTGTGGTGGCGTACGCCTGTAGTTTCAGCTATTCGGGAGACTGAGGCAGGAGAATAGCTCGAACCCGGGAGGTGGAGGTTGCAGTAAGCCAAGATCGCGCCACTGCACTCCAGCCTGGGCGACACAACGAGACCCCGTCTCAAAAAAAAAAAAAAAAAAAAAAAAAAGAGAAGTAAACACAAAGACATGTCTGGTTCTTAGTGTGACAGCGTTTCTAGGGCATACATCTAAGAATGGAACTGTGAGTTACAGGGTATAAGAATATTCCGTTTACAAGATAATGCCTAATTATCTCTGAGAGCACCAATATACACTCTCATCAGCAGTTAGAAGGGTGCCTATTAACCTACGGCCTCTCCAACAATTGGTCTTGTCATATTTCTTAACTTTTGCCAACCTAATACATATAAAATAGTATCGGTCCCATTGTAATTTTAATTTTAATTTCCCTGGCTACTCGAGCTAAATAATCTTTTCACTTGTTTAGACATGTTTCCTTTTCTTTGAAATGTTTCTTTGTGTCTTTTTTTTTTTTTTTTTTTTTTTTGAGATAGAGTCTCACTCTGTCACCCAGGCTGGAATGCAGTGTCGCGATCTCAGCTCACTGCAAGCTCCGCCTCCTAGGTTCACGCCATTCTCCTGCCTCAGCCTCCCGAGTAGCTGGGACTACAGGTGCCCGCCACCATGCCTGGCTAATTTTTTTGTATTTTCAGTAGCGATGGGGTTTCACCATGTTGGCCAGGATGGTCTCGATCTTCTGACCGCGTGATCAGCCCGCCTCGGCCTCCCAAAGTGCTGGCGTCACAGCCGCACCCGACCTGTTTCTTTGTATCTTAGTCAAAGATACCAATTGTTGATTTTATGATTGACAATTTCGAGGTCTTGCCCCAAGGATATGGAAATACTCTCCTACATTTTCTTATAAAGAGTTTCTTTCACATATAAATCCTTAATCTAAATGGAATTGATTTCTATATTTGGTGTGAGATAGGGATACATTTTCCCCTTTTTTTCTCTATATGGTTAATCAATTGATCCTGTGTCATTTAACAGGCTCTTCTCTTACCCAGTGATCTTCTATGTCATCTTTGTCATGCATCAAAGTTTCAAACAAGCATAGGTGTATTTCTGGGCTCTTTATTCTGTTTCATCAGTTAATTTGCCTATACCTACGCTAACACCATATTTTACAGAAAGTCTTAATATCTAGCAGAGCAAATCCCTCACCTTATTCATTTCCTTTAGGGGCGTCTTGGTTCTTTTGTTCTTCCATATAAACCTTAAAATCAGCTTTCAGTTTCCATGAAAAACCCTACTGGGGTTAATTGGAATTGCACTGACCCTATAGATCAGTTACAGAATAATTTACATCTTTATAATATTGAATTTCCTATCCATGAACATGTGTTATCTCTCCATTTATTTAGATTGTCTTTAATATTTTTCAATAAAGTATTATAATTTTCTTACTATAGGTCTTATAGTTCTAGGTTTTGTTAGTTTTCTTGCTCTACTTTTTTGACTGTTATAATTGATGTATTTTTTAAATTATGTTTTTGTATGTTACTGATACACACAAGAACAACCAATTTTTGAATATTGATCTTTTAGCTAGTTGCCTTGCTAAAATCTCTTATTACTTTGAGTCACTTGCCTGATGATTCTTTTGGATTTTCTACCTGGGTAGTCACGCCATATACAAATACCGATGGTTTTGATCGCCTTTCCTTCCTTCCTTCCTTTCCTTTTACTGCAATGTGTAAGACCTTTGGTACAATATTAAACAGAGGCAGAAATCATAGGCATCTTTGTCTCTTCCTGATTTTAAAGGAAATTCTCCTAAGATTTACTCATTAAAAACAACATAGAAGTTTTATGTAAGTTTTCTTTATCAGGTTAAGGACATTTGCTTCTAATTTGCTAAGAGCTTGTATCATAAAAGGGTGTTGAATGTTGTCAATTTTTTTAATCTGTTGATATTATCGTATGTTTTTTCTTTTTAAATCTGTTAATGTAAGTTTTAGTTTGGTCTCCTTTTGCTCTAAAGCAGAATCCTTTGTTCCAAAGCAGAGGCTGGAGCAAGGACTTAGATTCAGATAGGTTATTTGAGAGGTGATTCCAGGAAGCAGGGGGTGAAGGAGCAGGGAAAACAGACAGGAAGGAAGGAAAAGCCCATTTAAAGGAGGGTGACTGATGTTGCAGCTGTAGGCGACGGAAGCTTATTCTGCTGAGACCTCTGATAAAACTACAGGATGTCTCTCAGAATTGCCCACTGGCAAGAAGGAGGCTGGAAAGTATATCCACTGGCTCCTGTTCCCCAACTGGGTAAGGATCGCATTCTAGGGACCTTAACTCTCCCACACTTCTGGGAATCACTAGCTGGCAAGTAAATTGTTCCTAAAGCATTGAAGAAGACCCTGAGACGAAAAGCAAAAAGAAGCATAGTATAAGTTTGGGGGTAGGTGGAGGGGCACTGGCAGCTTAAAAGGGAGTCTAGGCTTGCACAAAATCATCCACTGTAGGGACAGCTGAAATCAGCAGAGGGCAGAAGTGATATGACACAGAGCACCAAAGTCTACTATTACCAACATAATAAATAATGTTTATAGACATTTCTTCGTTGTTAAACCATCCTTGCAAACCTGAGATAAACCCAACTAGAATGTGATGCCTTTTGGTTTTTACACTGCCGGATTTGATTTACCAGTATTTTTCTTATAACTGTTGCATTTATAGTCATGAGTGAAACTGGCCTCTAATATTGCTTTCTCTTCCTGTACTTGTCTTGTTTAGATATTAAGGTTACACTGGCCTCATGGAAAGAGTTAATGTTTTCATTTTTTCCATTCTCAGAGAGAGTTTTTATAAAATTAGAATTACTAACCAGGCACAGTGCTGTATGCCTATAGTCCCAGTTACTCAAGAGACTAAGGCAGGAAGATCTCTTGAGCCCAAGAGTTTGAGACTAGCCTGGGCAATACAGCAAAACTCCATTTCTAAAAAAAATAATAATAATAATTTTTTTTAAAGAGTTACCCTTACTTGAACTTCTGCAAAACCATCTAGACCTGGTATTTTCTTCATGGGAAGATCTTTAAATTACGGATTCAAGTTTTTTTGTTTTCTTTTATTTTTTTCTTGGAGACATGGTCTCACTTTGTTACCTAGGCTAGAGTACAGTGGCGTAATCTCGGTTTACTGCAGCCTCAACCTCCCAGGCTCAAGCCATCCCCCTAACTCCACCTCCCAAGTAGTTGTGACTACAGGCGTGCACCACCACGCCTGGCTAGTTTTTGTATTTTTTGTAGAGATGGGGTTTTGTCATGTTGCCCATGCTGGTCTCAAACTCTTGGGCTTAAGGGATCTTCCCACCTCAGCCTTCCAAAGTGCTGGGATTAGCCGTAAGCACTTTCTTGGAATTACCTGTGAGCCACTATGCCCGGCCCTGATTCAATTTCTTTAATAGTTATAGAACCATTTAGGCTTTTTATTTCTTCTTAAATAAGTTTGGTAAGTTATATTTGTCTAAGACTTGATCTACTTCAATTCCTATGTTGTAGCATAACTTTTTTATAGTCTTCTTTATTTTTCATTGTGGTAAAATACACATAACATAAAATGTACCAAATTAACCATTTTTAAGTGTACACTTCAGCAATTAATGCTAAGTATGTTCTCATTGTTTTGCAACCCATCTCCAGAAATTTTTCCATCTTGCAAAACCAGAACTAAATCCATTTAAAGGACTCTCATTTCCCCTCTCCCACAGCCCCTGGCAACTACTGTTTCACTTTCTGTTTCTATAAATTTGTATAGTTTTCTTTCTTCTCATGTTTACGTTTCCATTTACATTCCTAATCATGTTTACGCATGCCTTCTTTTTCTTTATATATCGATTTCACTGGAGACTTGCCTATCCTATTGAGTTTTGTAGGGAAGGGTTTTTTTGTAATATTTTTTATTTTAATAGAGAGATAATATCGCACTATGTTGCCCAGGCTGGTCTCAAACCCCTGAGCTCAGGTGATCCTTCCGCCTTGGCCTCCCAAAGTGCTAGGATTATAGGCATGAGTCACCATGCCTGGCCATCAGACTTATTTTCCTTCTTTCTTTTTCTTTCTTTCTTTCTTTCTTTCTTTCTTTCTTTCTTTCTTTCTTCCTTCCTTCCTTCCTTCCTTCCTTCCTTCCTTCCTTCCTTCCTTTCTTTCTTTCTCTCTTTCTTCCTTTCTTTCTCTCTCTCTCTTTCTTTCTTTCTCTCTCTCTCCCTCCCTCCCTCCCTTTCTTTCTTTCTTCCTTCCTTCCTTCCTTTCTCTCTCTCTTTCTTTCTTCCTTCCTTCCTTTCTCTCTCTCTTTCTTTCTTTCTCTCTCTCTCCCTTCCTTCCTTCCTTTCTTTCTTTCTTCCTTCCTTCCTTCCCCTCTCTCTCTCCTTCTCTCTCTCTCTCTTCCTTCCTTCCTTCCTTTCTTTCTCTTTCTCTTCCTTCCTTCCTTCCTTCCTTCCTTCCTTTCTTTCTTTCTTTCTTTCTTTCTTTCTTTCTTTCTTTCTTTCTTTCCTTCCTTCCTTCCTTCCTTCTTTCAGATGTGATCTTACCATGTTGCCCAGGCCTGTCTCAAATTCCTGGGCAGGGGCAATCCTCCTGCCTTGGCCTCCCAAAGTGCTGGAATTACAGGCATGAGCCACTGCATCTGGCCCAGAGTTCTTTTCTAATACAAGCATTCTAGGCTATAGATTTCCCTCCAAGCACAACTTTTGCGCCTCGCAGAAATTTTAACATGATATTTTCATTATCATTCAATTTTAGGAATTTATAAATGTGTCATTATGATTTCTTCTTTGACCAATGCATTAGATTATGTTTTTAAACTGTCAAATATATAAGCGTTTTAAAACTCATCTTCTTGAAGAATTTGTATTCTCTACTTTATAGATGCAGTTCAAGCATTTACACCACTGATTTTTTTTTCTGTCCGCATCATTACTCATAAGTAAGAGACATATGTTAAAATTTCCTGTTGTGATGGTGGTTTTACCTCTTTATAGTTCTATATGGGAGTATATAGAACTATAAAGAGTATATATAGAAGTATATAGTTCTATATAGAAACTTCTATATAGAAGTTTAGAACTATTGTAACTTCCTGGTGAATTGACCCTTTATTCTAGGTACTCACTCTATCCCTAATAAATGTTTTTGTCTTTAAATTCATTTTTGTCTGATATAAATATAGCTTTCCAAGCTTTCTTTTGGTGTTTGCCTAGTATATCTTTTTCATCCTTTGACTTTCAACCAATTCCATATCCTTATGCATGAAGTATGTCTCTTGTAAACAACAAACAACATAGAGCTGAGCTTTGTGTTTTAGTATTTTTTTTTTCTTTTTTGAGATAGGAACTCACCCTATCACCCAGGCTGGAGTGCAGTGGCACGATCTTGGCTCACTGCAACCTCCACCTCCTGGGTTCAAACAATCCTCCCACCTCAGCCTCCCAAGTAGCTGAGACTACAGGCACACATCACCACACCTGGCTAATTTTTGTATTTGTATTTGTTTTTGTATTTTTTTATTTCTTGAGACAGAGTGAGACTCTGTTGCCCAGGCTAGAGTGCAGTGGTGCGATCTCAACTCACTGCAAGCTCTGCCTCCCATGTTCAGGCAATTCTCATGCCTCAGCCTCCTGAGTAGCTGAGACCACAGGCACACGCCACCATGTCCAGCTAATTTTTGTATTTTTAGTAGAGAGTGGTTTCACCATGTTGGCCACGCTGGTCTCGAACTCCTGACCTCAGGTAATCCACTCGCCCCAGCCTCCCAAAGTGCTGGGATTACCAGCATAAGCCACCACACTCAGCTTTCTTCTTAATTTTTTTTAACTAAGGATTGTTTGGATTGTTTTTATACAATTTTAAGCCTCTCTAGTGGTTTAGAATTTATATACTTTATCTCTACTGGTTTTCCTTGAAATTTTACATGTTCTTTTAATATTTGACAAAAATTGTAGAGTCACTATTCAGTATACATGGAGGGATTGGTTTCAGAACCCTCCCAACAGATACCAAAATTTGAGGATGCTCAAGTCCCTAATATAAAATTGCATAGCATTTTCGTATAACCTACACACATCCTCCTGTATACTTTAAACTACCTCTAGATTATTTAGAACATCTAATACAGTGTTCCACATCCCTTCATTCACGTGGATTCAACAGTACTTGGTGTGCAGCAAACCCAAGTTTTGCCTTTTTAAATGTTGTGTAAACATTTTAATAATTTTTTTTTCTTTTGAAACAGAATTTTGCTGTGTTACCCAAGCTGGAGTGCAGTGGCACAATCTCAGCTCACAGCAACCTCCACCTCCCGGGTTCAAGCAATTCTCCTGCTTCAGCCACCCGAGTAGCTAGGATTACAGATACACACCACTATGCCCGGCCAATTTTTATATATATTTAGTAGAAATGGGGTTCCACCATGTTGTCCAGGCTGGTCTCGAACTCCTGACCTCAAGTGATCCACCCGCCTCAGCCTCCCAAAGTGCTGGGATTACAGGCATGAGCCACCTTGCCCAGCCTAAAATTTTTAAAATAATAGACACAGGGTCTCACTATGTTGTCCAGGCTGGTTTCAAACTCCTGGGTTCAATCAATCCTCCTGCCTCAACCTCCCAAAGTGCTGGGATTACAAGTGTGAGCCACCATACCTGGCCAGTATTTGCCTTTCTATGCCTGTCTTATTTCACTTAACATATTGTCCTCCAGGTTTGTTCGTGTTGTCAAAAATGACAGGATTTCCTTCTTTTTAAGGCTGAATAGTATTCCACTGTATATATGTATCAGATTTTCTTTATCCATTCATCCACTGTTGGGCACTTAGTTTGATTCTATATCTTGTCTATTGTGAATAATGCTGCAATGAACATGGGAGTGCAGATATCTCTTTGACATGCTGGTTTCATTTCATTTGGATATATACCCAGTAGTGGGATTGCTAGATCCTCTGTAGTTCTACTTTTAATTTTTTGAGGAGCCTCCATTCTATTTTCCATAACAGCTGTACTAATTCACATTCTTCCTAACTGCATGTAAGCATTCCTTTTTCTCTACATTCTCATCAACACGTATCTCTTTTTAAAAAGTATTATTATTGTTTTTTTAGAGACAGGGTCTCCCTGTGTTGCCCAGGCTGATCTCAAACTCCTGGGTTCAAGGGATCCTCCTGCCTCAGCCTCCCAAAGTATTAGGATTACAGACATGAGCCATCATGCCCAGCTGTCATCAACACTTATCTCTTGTCTTTTTGAAAATAGCCATTCTAACAGGTGTGAAGTGATATCTCATTGTGGGTTTAATTTGCATTTCCTTAATAATTAGTGATGGTGGGCACTCCTTAATATACCTCTTGGCCATTTGTATGTCCTCTTTTTTTGAGATGGAGTCTCGCTCTGTCACCCAGGCTGAAGTGCAGTGGCGCGATCTCGGCTCACCGCAACCTCTGCCTCCCAGGTTCAAGCAATTCTCCTGCCTCAGCCTCCCGAGGAGCTGAGACTACAGGCGTGTGCCACTACGCCCAGCTACTTTTTTGTGTTTTTAGTAGAGACAGGGTTTCACCGTGTTAGCCAGGATGGTCTCCATCTCCTGACTTCATGATCCACCCACCTCGGCCTTCCAAAGTGCTGGGATTATGGGTGTAAGCCACCACGCCTGGCCCATTTGTATGTCTTCTTTTGAGAAATGTCTGCTCAGGTCCTTTGCCCATTTTTGTTTATTTTTTTCATCTTTCTCTTTATTCTGACAACATTATATGGCATTAAATAAAGTCCAAGAGACATTGGGCTGGTCTGTGCCCATTTTAAAATTGTGTTTTTTTTTCTTGCTATTGAGTTGTTTGAGTTTCTTATATATTTTGGATATTAGCCCCTTACTGCATGTATGGCTTGCAAATATTTTCTCCCATTCCTTATATAACTTAAAATGTGTCCTCCCTCCTAAAAATTCCAAGTTAGAACCTTAGAATGCTTTAACTCCAATCCTTCCTTATATATTCTTACCCAGTATTTTAGTTTTGAACTTCTAAAACTTCTCAAAATAAACATTATAATGATTAATATTACCATTATTGTAAACAATATTTGTTTGGAGTTGTGTACTCATTTGCCATTTTATTTTCTTGCCCTTCTTTGCATAGCAAACTGTTCTGTAATCATTTTTTCTTCTTACTGAAGCACATTTGTAAATGCTCATTTAGGTATTTTGGGGGATAAACTTTTTGTTTATCTGTTTTTGTTAACTTTGGTTCTTGAAAGATGGTTTTGCTGGGTACACAATTCTAATAGTTTTTTTTTTTTTTCTTTCAAACAAGAGAGGAAAGTCACTGGATTAGGACCCTGTCAGAGCATAATCCTTCCAAAGCTCTGTGGGAGAGATGAGTTCACTTTCTAAACTGAGACTCTAATCTCCCCTCCCCTCAAAAATTCTCTCACGTTTTCCAGAACTATCTTAACTCCTCCAGTTTTATAGCCCCCTTCCTTGAGAAACTTAGGGATCCAGAGAGCAAAACAGGAGACATTTCATGGTGAAAACAATTTTCCAGGAAGGACCCCGAGTTTCTTCTCTCTTCTACATCATGGTCAGTTTCCTCTTATTCCTGTGTTACAGGACCAACAGGTGTGTAGGCCCACTGCTGTGCAGCAACAGGCCAATTACACTGACACAGCAGGGTTTCCTGCAGAGAAAAAGTTTAATGATCCCGGGGTGCCAAATGAGGAGATCGGGGAGACCGTCAAATCCATCTCCCCAAAGAGTTCTGGGCTGGGATTTTAGAGGACATTGTGGAGGGCAAGAGGCTGGTAAACTGGGGTCAATGACTGGTCGAGGTAAGGGGATAAAATCACTGGAATATGGAAACTGCATTCTTTTGTGAGTCAGCTCCTCTTGGGGTCCTTCAGGCCAGCTGGCATCAATTGGGTCCTGCAGACTGGCTGGCATCAGTGGGGTCCTTCAGACCAGCCTGCATGAGTACTTTCACTGGTATGCAGGACCTGAAAGAATATCTCAAAGGGAAAACTTAACATTTTATAATGTTCAAGCTGTTACCTTTAGAGCAGTTAAGGGAACTCTAATCCTATGACAGAGTCTGCATAATTCTGGGGCAATAGGCACCGAGCAACTATGAGGAAGCAGGTCGAGAGCATGCTGACCTAATGATTAATGTTGAGTGTGCTGCAAGCTCTTTTCCTGTCGTGGACATTTTGTAGGGCAAGCCCCACAGTAACTCTCTGTATGCAAGGTGGTGGGCACCTGTAATCCTAGCTACTCAGGAGGCTGAGGCAGGAGAATCACTTGAACCCAGGAGGCGGACGTTGCAGTGAGCTGAGATTGCATCACTGCACTCCAGCCTGGGTGACAGAGCGAGACTCCATCTCAAAAAAAGAAAACCTTTGTGCAGGCCTAACTCAAAGTGCCCATCCTCAAGGAGTAAGGTACCATGATTGGCCTTGTTTACATTATAAGGTCAGCCTTGTGGACTTGGGAAGCAGAGACTTTAGCAGTAGCAGGAGGAAGATGCTGGACAAAAAAAAAAAAAACAGTAAATGCTTAGGACCTAAAACTAAAAACAGCCTTCGCCCAGGCTTGTTTAGGACAAACTCTCTCATTCATTCACTAATCCATGCATGCACCCATCCATCTACCAATTCAACAATGATGAAGCACCTACTGTGTGCCAGGCAGTGTCCTACACTGGGTGGATGTAGCAGTACATGAGATTCAGCTTCTGCCCTCACTGTTGATGGGCCAGTGGGGAGGCAGGAAGGTTGATGTGTCAACGGTTAGAATACAGTAACTATTTCTAACAAATAGATGGTCACATGCCCGGTGTGTCCCAGCCAAGCAGGGCCTGCCCAGGAAGGATGGGAGACATCACAGGAGGAGATGGGGGGTAGGAACTGGGGCCTGTGCTTTCGGGGAGGACGTTGGGCTGCAGAAGCCTTGCTTGAAGAGGGAATCAGGCTGGCCCTGCTGTGTATGCAGGTGGGATTCCCAAGCACTGTCCCTTCCAGAAGCTGTTTGGAGCACTCCAGGCATGGATCACCCCACCTTCCCACAGTCCCTCACAGTGAGGCAGGCCCCAGAACCTTCCTCTGGCCTTCTGCTATGTTGCTTTTCCCTCTTGAGGGTCTCCTGGGAACCAGGCTCCTAACAATCCTCTTCTTGCGCCTGCTCGGGCGGGCTTCAACAGTCACCATGGCAGGCTATCATTCATGGTGACTTCATTTTTTCTAGGTATGTGATCTTGAACAAGTCATTTAACCTTGACGTGCCTCAGTTTTCCCATCTGTGAGATGGAGACAGTAACAGTACCTGCCTCAGAGAGTTAGGGGATTAATTGGTTAATATTTATAGAGTGCTTGTGACAGTGCCCGACTTGTAGTAAGTAAATGTTTACTATTATTATTATTGATGTTGTTATTGTTATTATTATTCTGACTCAGTGGAGGACACAGAGTCTCCACTACAGCAATGTCCCCATCCCCACCCTTCTGTCCCAGCCCCTGGCTTGGGTTTCAGGAGTGTTTCCTGCTCTCAGGACTTTGCTGGCCCCACATGAAATCAGATTCCTTCAGGCTGGGGGTGAAACTCCACCCTGTTCTCCTTTTCTCTGCTGGCCCCAGGCCCTGCCTCTTCCTCCCTGCATCATTCCCAAGTCCAGCAACCCCGTCCAGGGACTTCCCTGGGTCCAGGCTGACAATGGCAGCCCTTGATGGTTGTGTACAGTAGTAACCGCCTTTGCCCTCAGCAGTGAGGGAAGGGCAGGACCTCACCCTGCCCTCCCAACCCGGAATGGAGCTTGGCCAAAGTCCTGAGGATTCTGGGGCATCCCTTTGGAAAGGCCCCATCAGGGGTTCCCCTGAGAAAGCAAGAAGTCCTGCTCTTTCCCTGCCTGGTTGCAAAAGGGATCTTAGGCAGAACTGAGGGATGAGACTGTGTGGCGATCCCCCAGGAAGGTCCTCTCGTCCATTGAAATCCCTCCCTTACCTGCTCACTGCTTCTGCGGATTCCTCCCTAGGAATAAAGTGAAACACCTCAGGCTCCAACCCTCCCAACCCAAGGCTCCCTCCTGGAGGGAGAGAGAGGATGGAGGACATCAGGTAGGCCAGGAAATGAAGGCCATGGTTTGGGGGTGTGGCTGCAGCCAGACTGACCCCATTCTCTGTCTGTGCCTGGGTTGCTGGGGACTATTATGGGATGCATTTCCTGAGGCTCTGGGCCTCAAGTTGGCCCTGAATCAGCTGAGTCAAGATCAAGTCTAGGTTGAAAACTGAGTGAGGGCCAGGTGCGGTGGCTCAGGCCTGTAATCCCAGCACTTTGGGAGGCCAAGGCAGGCAGATCACCTGAGGTCAGGAGTTCAAGACCAGCCTAGACAACATGGTGAAACCCCATCTCTATTAAAAATACAAAATTAGCTGGGTGTGGTGACGCGATCCTGTAATGTCAGCTACTCTGGAGGCTGAGGCAGGAGAATTGCTTGAATCTGGGAGGCAGAGGTTGCAGTGAACCAAAAATTGTGCCACAGCACTCCAGCCTGGGCGACAAGAGTGAGACTCCATCTCAAAAAAAAAAAGAAAAAGAAAAAGAAAAGAAAACTGAGTGGGATGTGAAGGTTTATGCAGAATTGCACCAGGCATTTAGCAGGAGAAGCTCAAATTGCCCTCCAGGCTTCCTTAGAAAAGCCCAAGTCACTGTCCCCTTTTGCTATGGTAACTGCAAGTCCTGGACAGGTCCTGGCCTTTGGATGCTTGTCTCCCAGGCATGACTCCAACAATGCATCCCATGGGATTTGGGGTTCCCCAGATCTGGGGCTTGTAGGCCTGACTCTCCCCTGTGCACACGTCTCATACACGCATGCGTGCACCCATTGCCTGCCCCGCCCCTTGCACAGGGAGTCAGCAGGGAGGACTGGGTTATGCCCTGCTTATCAGCAGCTTCCCAGCTTCCTCTGCCTGGATTCTTAGAGGCCTGGGGTCCTAGAACGAGCTGGTGCACGTGGCTTCCCAAAGATCTCTCAGATAATGAGAGGAAATGCAGTCATCAGTTTGCAGAAGGCTAGGGATTCTGGGCCATAGCTCAGACCTGCGCCCACCATCTCCCTCCAGGCAGCCCTTGGCTGGTCCCTGCGAGCCCGTGGAGACTGCCAGAGATGTCCTCTTTCGGTTACAGGACCCTGACTGTGGCCCTCTTCACCCTGATCTGCTGTCCAGGTAAGCCAGTTTCCTGGGGTTCCTGATTTGGCACATGCCAGCCGAGAGGGTGGGGGTGCCCTGTTCCCTGTGGCTTCAGGTGGAAGAGAAGTCCCAAAAGTTGCTGAGGTTCTTAGGTTTTTTTGTTTTGTTTTAAGACAGGGTCTCGGTCTATCACCCAGGCTGGAGTACAGTGGCATGATCATGGCTCACTGCACCTCCCTGGGCTCGGGTGATCCTCCCACCTCAGCCTCCTGAGTAGCTGGGATCACAGGTGAGAGCCACCATGCCCAGCTAATTTTTGTATTTTTTGTAGAGATGGCAGGGGCTGGTCTCGAACTCCTGGACTCAAGTGATCCACCCGCCTTGGTCTCCCAAAGTGCTGGGATTACAGGCATGAGCCACCATGCCCAGCCTGCTGAAGCTTTTTAAATTTTTTATTTTTATTATAGGCAGGTTCCTGTTCTGTTGCCCAGGCTGGAGTGCAGGGTGTGATCATAGCTCACTGCAGCCTCCAACTCCTGGGCTCAACAATCCTCCTGCCCCAGCCTTTGCACTGCTGGCCCCCTTCCCCTGGATCACTGCCCCCAAGTATCTGCAGGGCGTGCCACGCCCCTGCATGCCTTTGCCCACAGAGTCACCATCTGGGTGAGGCCTTCATTGAGCACAGTATTTAAAGTGGCCTCACCCCCACTCCCTGCTCCCTTTCTCGGCGCTTTCCTGCCATCTGACCGCTGGGTGCTCTGCCTGTCACTGTTTACTGGAGCTCCGCCAGGGCAGTGTTTGGTCTACTGTGATCACTGCTGTATCCCCAGAGCCTGATGCTTTGGACATAGCAGGTGTTCAAAAAGTGTTTGTGCAAGAAAGGAAGGGAGGGAGGGCTACAGAGGGCCCTCTGTGGGAGGGCTTTATGGGGGAGGGGACATTTGGGCTGACCTTAAAGACTGAGTCGGATCCCACTCCATGGAGTTGGAGCACAGCCTGAGGAAGACTAATCTGGAGCTGATGGGCAGATGGGCTGGAGGAAGGAGAGCCAGAGGCAGGGTGTCAGCTAGGGGGCTGGAGGAAGGACAGCCAGAGGCAGGGAGCCAGCTGGGGGGTGGCCTCCTGGTCTAGCCGGGGCCATGACACCTGACAAGGGGAAAGTAGCAGCGGGGTCCCCAATGACCTTTCCTCTTCAGTCCCTGACCCAGGAGCCAGACTGCCTCAATGGACAGCTCCACTGGAGGGCAGGGGGTGGGGGGATGACACGACTGCCCAGTGTTTCTGGTTTTCCAGGATCGGATGAGAAGGTATTCGAGGTACACGTGAGGCCAAAGAAGCTGGCGGTTGAGCCCAAAGGGTCCCTCGAGGTCAACTGCAGCACCACCTGTAACCAGCCTGAAGTGGGTGGTCTGGAGACCTCTCTAGATAAGATTCTGCTGGACGAACAGGCTCAGTGGAAACATTACTTGGTCTCAAACATCTCCCATGACACGGTCCTCCAATGCCACTTCACCTGCTCCGGGAAGCAGGAGTCAATGAATTCCAACGTCAGCGTGTACCGTGAGTGGCTGTGCTGCGGGGCCCTCCTCTCCCCTGGGACAGAGGCTGTGTCTACTGAATGCACACAGAGCCCCTCTGTGCCTGCTCCTGGGCACTGTCATCGTGGGGCCCTGCCTCCCTGAGCTCCTGGGGTGACAAGGGGCAGGACCAGGCCAGCCCTTGGTTGGATGCCTTGAGCCCGCTGGCATCTCAAGACGCAGACAACCCACATTTTGAGTCTTGCTTAGGGGAGGACAATCTAACCAACATTTAGCCAAATCCAGAAGTCATTTCCCAACATAGCTGAGTCACCAGAGCACCCCATGTCCCATGCCAAGTAGTGGGGTCACCATCAGGGGAGCTGAGCCTGTCCATCTCATGGCAAGAAGGTTGAAGTGTCGCCCAGGGTTTTTATCTTCCCCTCAGGGCCCACAGCAAATGTGTGGCCATCACACTCCACCTGCACATGAGCCATGAAAACCTTCCAGATGGGCTGGGATAGGACATCTTGGCGCTAAGGGTATCACCTGGGTCCATTCCATCACCAGTTTCAGTGGATCAATGAACAGAAAAACATCTTAAATCCAACATATTTTCTCGGGGTGGGAGGTGGGGTGAGTGGAAGTGAAGTATTCTAATTCAAAAGAGAATCCAGGGCACCCCCTCGGGTGGTTGAATACGTGAGGAATCGTGGTGGCCATGGCCCTGACCCTGGAGAACCTGGGCAGGTCTGGCTCTGGCCTCTGCCTCCTAAGTGATGAACTTCACAGCTCAGTTCCTCCAGTGCCCAGTTCCAGTGAGCAATGCCCATCTAAGTCTCTCTCAACGTGATCACCCAACTGTTTAATGTTTGAAATTTATATTTCATTTCTGAAGGAGAGGAGACAGACCCAAACTTTTATATCTTTCCAGTTGGCTGTACAATTTCTGAACCTTGTCCTTGTAGACACCTGGTCACCGGAAACCATCATGTCTGTAAAACTACCACACAGTCCAGCCTCCATCCTCAACTGCTGCCCTCTTCCTCTCTGCACTGGAGCCGGCCAGGCCACCTCCTCCCCAACCGTGGAACACCATGGTGACAGGAGATGGCCCTGGCCAGGGGGAGGCTGCTGGGACTGCACCCCCATCCTGACCAGACCTCCCTCCTTTGTCCCCTGCAGAGCCTCCAAGGCAGGTCATCCTGACACTGCAACCCACTTTGGTGGCTGTGGGCAAGTCCTTCACCATTGAGTGCAGGGTGCCCACCGTGGAGCCCCTGGACAGCCTCACCCTCTTCCTGTTCCGTGGCAATGAGACTCTGCACTATGAGACCTTCGGGAAGGCAGCCCCTGCTCCGCAGGAGGCCACAGCCACATTCAACAGCACGGCTGACAGAGAGGATGGCCACCGCAACTTCTCCTGCCTGGCTGTGCTGGACTTGATGTCTCGCGGTGGCAACATCTTTCACAAACACTCAGCCCCGAAGATGTTGGAGATCTATGGTGAGGGGGGATCCGTGGATGGAGTTGGGAGTGATAAGTCACTTTCAGCCCCTCGGGGGAAGAAAAATCTTGAGTCCCACTTGGGAAGCAAACACCCAGGAGCCCACCCTTCATCCTGAGGCTTCCCTCTTACTCTCCCTCTTCCCTGAAGTTCTTTCCAAGTCCCCAGCTTGGACCTCAACTGCTCCAGAGGTCGGGAGAGGTCAACTAGTTCCTCGGCCACCATCAAGCCCCATGACCTTGACGGCTCTCCCTGGCCTTGGCTCCCCTCCACAATGAGAAGTTTGGCCTGACTGCCCCCACTGAGGTCCCCAGAGCTCTGCTGCTTGGTGACCCTGGACGGCCGGCACACAGGGAGCCTGGCATGAAGTTCACTCAGCTCTGCCCAAGAAGGGGCTTGGCTGGGACCATGCCACCCTCCAGGCCACGGTGTCCAGCAGCTACACACTGGTCCCATGGCTGCTGACAAGGGGACATCTGCCCTCACAGCCACACAGAAGTCCAGCTGGTAGCCTGAGCCCTGGGCCACCTTTTTTCCAGATAATAATTTTAATGCAGACACCATTCACCACTCATCTCTGCAACTGGGGTGACTGCTGGATGCATGAGCGGGCGGCGGGGTCTGGGGGTCTGGGTTGGGGGTGGACTTCCACTCCCTTTTGGTCCCTGGTAACTGGGATCACAGGACGTCTAAGACCCTTGCCCCCTCCCTCCCCAGAGCCTGTGTCGGACAGCCAGATGGTCATCATAGTCACGGTGGTGTCGGTGTTGCTGTCCCTGTTCGTGACATCTGTCCTGCTCTGCTTCATCTTCGGCCAGCACTTGCGCCAGCAGCGGATGGGCACCTACGGGGTGCGAGCGGCTTGGAGGAGGCTGCCCCAGGCCTTCCGGCCATAGCAACCATGAGTGGCATGGCCACCACCACGGTGGTCACTGGAACTCAGTGTGACTCCTCAGGGTTGAGGTCCAGCCCTGGCTGAAGGACTGTGACAGGCAGCAGAGACTTGGGACATTGCCTTTTCTAGCCCGAATACAAACACCTGGACTTAGCCCTGTGCCCACAGTGTCTCCTCCTGGGATAACAATGGCCAGGGAGGGGAGCCACCATGGGGGACCCCTCTCCCTAGATGCCTCCCTCCCCACCCTCTCCTTCACAGGGGCCTCCCAGCCCATGCAACAGGCCCCCATCTGGCCCGAGTAGCTCATTGCTACTGAGGGAGGGTGGGGGAAACACACCCTGGCCCAGGGGGCAGAGGACACACTGTTCCCACCTGGCCCCAGGAGACCTCAGGCCACTCCTGGCCACAGCAGGACAAAGCTCTGACCTCTCCTTTCTGCCAACAGAGCTGCTTCCTGGGATGAGGGGTGGGGGGCCCAGCGAACTGACTCTGCTCAGGGGCGCTGCCCAGCAAAGTCTCTCCCCGACCACTCTGGGCCCCTCCAGCCACCTCAAAGGGGCCTTCAAAGCTGTGGAAAGCAGAAGGAATCCCCCCCTCCCCTCTTGCTCCATTACTAGGCTGGAAGGAGACCTCATCATCCCAGAGAGAGGGGTGAGGGAGAGAGGGTGGGGGCTCTGTTCCCAGGCCTCCCCCTGCTCCAGGCAGGAAGCAGTGGGGCAGAGGCGGGCTGACGTGGCTTCAAGGGCCTGGGTGGTGCTCTAGGGAGCTCTTACACAACAGCACAGATCCGGCCCGTCCAGGAACTCATTGGCGTGGGGCAGGGACTGATTTCCCCAGGAGAAGAGGGCCTGGCTGAGGTTGAGGGAGTGAGAAGGACTGCCAGCCATGGGCACCGGGGAGTCGACAAGAGAGGTGCAGGAGGCGGCTCCGGGGCTGTATCCAGAGCAGGAAGCTGGTGCAGTTCCCAGGGCCGGGGTCTGTCCTCATAGGAGGCTCTCGGCATCATAGTAGTCTGGGGAAACAAGAACCTCATCTTGACTCCCTCCTGTCTCAGTGGACCCCAAAGAGGTAAAGGGAAGGGGACAGGCCAGTTGCCTGCAGCAGTGATGTTAGGAAACCCCCAAACCCCACCAGAGGGCACAGGGCCCTCCTGGCCTCCTGATTCACTCCCAGGCCTGGGCCCCGCTGCCCACCACCCCAGCCCTACCTGAAGCCGGGGGTACATCAGCACCCACAGTCCCTGTGGCACTGGGGGGTGGGGGTGGGGGCACAGCTCTCCTGAGATGGGGGAAAGAAAAAGACCCCCATCAGAGGCCCAGGGGTGGCCTCTGGAGTTTCACCCACAAGTTATCTCCACCGACCACCAGCCCCTGCACAGCTCTTCTGCAACTTCCAGCCCAGAGCAGAACCCTGGCAGCACCCAGCCTCACTTACACCTCCCTTTCCCTGGAGGCAGGACAGTGCTGAATCCTGGGCACGTCCTGCAAGTAGGGCTGACAAGCAGGGGTGGGGAAGAAGGGGGCTGGCCAGGGCAGCAGGGCACCCGGGGAGGGCATCAAATAGGGCAAGTAGTGGTGGTGAAACACCAAAGGCCCTTTCTCCCGCACGTCCATCTCCTCCTCCTCCTCCTCAGGCTCTTCCTGTGGAACCTCCAGGTAGACCTGGGGATTGTGCAAAACAGGGAGGGGAAATGAGAATCTACCATCAGGCTCTCCCCACCGCCACTCCTCCATTCCCCTAAGTTATTTCCTCCAGATAGGCTTTGTAAGAATGGCTTGTGGCCAGGCATGGTGGCTCACGCCTGTAATCCCAGCACTGTGGGAGGCCGAGGCGGGCGGATCACAAGGTCAGGAGATTGAGACCATCCTGGCTAACACGGTGAAACCCCGTCTCTACTAAAAATACCAAAAAAAAAAAAAAAAAAATTAGCTGGGCATGGTGGTGGGCGCCTGTAGTCCCAGCTACTCAGGAGGCTGAGGCAGGAGAATGGCGTGAACCCGGGAGGCGGAGCTTGCAGTGAGCAGAGATCGAGCTACTGCACTCCAGCCTGGGCGGCAGAGCGAGACTCCATCTCAAAAGAAAAAAAAGGAAAAAAAAAAAAAGAATGGCTTGTGTAGGCGGGGCGCGGTGGCTCATGCCTGTAATCCCGGCACTTTGGGAGGCTGAGGCGGACGGATCACAAGGTCAGGAGATCGAGACCATCCTGGCTAACATAGTGAAACCCCGTCTCTACTAAAAACACAAAAAAGTAGCCGGGTGTGGTGGCAGGCGCCTGTGGTCCCAGCTACTCGGGAGGCTGGGGCAGGAGAGTTGTTTGAACCCAGGAGGTGGAAGTTGCAGTGTGCCGAGATTGCATCACTATACTCCAGCCTAGGTGACAGAGAGAGACTCCGTCTCAAAAAAAAGAAAAAGAAAAGAAAAGAAAAAAAGAATGGGTTGTGTTTATTGAGCGTTTACTACATGCGGACAACAAATTGTGGAGACATTTACTCCTGTAGCTCAAGGACGTTGAGCAACTTGGCCACCCAGTTGATTCCAGGTGTGACCCCCAGAGCTGGGGCCAGGAGTCCACTGAGCTGTCCCCGGCCTCACCCCCGGCCCCTGGACCCACCTATGTGTCATCACTGAGGACCCAGGGGTGAGGGGTGGCAGTAGCTCCTCAGGGTCTCCTTCTGTCTGGATTCCTTGAACCCCTCTCCGCCTCCTCCGAGCTGAACAACATTCTCTCTCCACCCAGTCCCTGCTTCTCCTGACCTCAGGATGCCCACTATTGGCTGAGTAAGGCTCAGCCTTAGAGCTATATGCACATGCATGCACACACACGCTTGCACACACCCCCACTTGCACACACTTGCTTGCACGCACACACTTGCTTGCACGCACACACTTGCCTTCACAACCCGCTCGCACACACGTGCACGCACACCCTTGCACACGCACGTGAACACACACTTGCACACACATATGCATGTACACAGCCTTGCACACACACACGCATGCACACAGACACCCACTTGCACACACATACACACACACACTCTTGCACACACACACTGCCGCACACGGTTTCCCCCATTCTGTCTCCTGACTCTGCCCCTGCCAGCCTGGATGGGGGACACACCCTTCGCCTCCTCCAAGGGTCAAAATCCTACCTGGCTTTCAAGGGCTGGTTCTAAGATCCTCTGCTCCTCCAAGGAGCCTGTCCCCATCCCCCAACCCTATGTGCACTTGTGCTTTGTACCTCTCCATGTGCCATCACAGCCAACCTGGCTTTGTATCCCTAACCATTCATTTATTCATTCACTCGTTCAACAAATATCAGCTGAGCCCCTACACGGTGTCAGGCACCAGGCCAGACGCTCATGATGCATGGGGCAGGGTTACCAGGGTGCCTACCTTCCTGGAGCCTTAAGTCCAGTGGGGGAGGCACTACAGGGAAACCTCCTTGAAAACAAGACCTCGGTGGTCTGGACTTTGGGGGGTCTCTTCCCCGCCCCAACCTTTCATGGAGGCTGAAACATGACAGATGCCAAACAGCCCCAGCCAGAGAGACGGGCTGGCTTCCTGCTCCTCTGTCTCCCAGTTCTTTTCCCCCCTGAACAGGAACCCCAGGTGGATCCGCATCCCTGGACCCACAGGTGAGCGACCCCGGCGGCCCACCCACACGCACCTGAGGGCAGGGCGAGGCAGGCCGGGGCTGCAGCGCTCCAGCCACCAGGCGACTCAGCAGCAGCTGGTGCATCTGCGCGTTCTGCAGCATCATCAGTTCCAGCAGGTCTAGGAAGCGGGGTTCAGCAAGCCCACGCCGGGCCTCCGAGTCCCCCTCCCCCTGACACCCCTGTCCCGGGGGTGAAGAATGGGTTGGCGGGTTGTGCTGCGGGGACTCCCAGAGGATGTGCGAGGCAGAAGAGGGTGAGTGGTGGTGATGGTGGGGGTGGGGTGGGGGGACCCGGGAGTCTCACCTTCCTTCACGCGGCCTGGCTGCGGGGGCGCAGGTGGGACGGCCCACGAGAGGGGCTGCAGGAAGGTGACCCAGGGCTGGGGGTGTGCGCGGAGTCAGCCAGGTGGGGTGGGGGGAATGGATGGGGACACGTCGCGAGCCCCAACCCCCCCGGCCAGTGGCCTCCCTAACCCCGCAGGGGCCAGGTTCTCTCCTCCCCGCCCCGCGGCCTCCCTGCTCCCTGCCACGCCTCTTCCTCTCGGTTTGGGGCTGTCTCTCCTCGTCCCCCACCCCTCCAGGATCTGGCCCCTCCAGGGACAGCTCCCCACTCTGCCGTCTCCCAAGCTAAGGCAGGATCTGCTCCCGGGCTCAGCCCTCACCGTCGGGACTGCGCTCTGCGGTGGGGAGCGACCCCAGCTTCCGCCCGCCCCAGAGGCCATGGCTGGCGCCGGTTGCCTTGGCGACGCCGAGGACGCCAAGGTCTCTTCCCACGCATGCGCGGAGCCCGCCCGTGCTCCTGGGTCTTCCATCTCCCTGCTCCCTCCTGTCTCCTCCTCCGCGGACTTGGGGTCCCCAGGAGCCCTCCCCCGCCACCAGGAGGCCAGTCTCCTCCCCGGCATGTCCACCTCCCGCCGCGCTGCTCGGGGCTCCCCTCCCCTCCCCTTGCTGGTTCCCAGAACTGGGCCTGGGTTAGTGCGGGGAAGGGGGGTGTGTTTGTTGAGTGAATAAGCGAGTGACTGGGGAGGCTTGGTTTCGGGGTCCCAGAGCCCGATTGACTCAGCTGAAAAGTTCAGGAGAAACAGAGACTTTTGCAGGAGCAGGCTGGGGGCTAGGGCAGACGAGTGAGGAGGACAAAGGGTCTGTTCCCTGTCACTCTGACAGAGAGAGGGGCTTCCTGCCAGGAAAGAGTGGTTTCTGGAGCAGACCAAGGAAGGAAACACCGCCCGAATTCACGGAAGAGGCTGAGGACTCTGGCTGGAAACACGTGGCCGGCTTCTCGCCTCTCTCCTTGCGGCTATTTGCCCTGTTTCCTGGCCAAGGTGAGCCACTGCTCCTCAGACGAGGAAAATCGTGGTGACTTCAGCACCCGCGTCCCCAGTACTGTCTCCCGTACTGGAAAAGTTACCAAAGCACGCGTTCTTTTGACAGGAAGTTAGCAAGGTCTTCCTTGCTTAAGAACAGGTGAAGGGGGAGATCTATTTCTGCAGCTGTGACCATCCTAAGATAGGCCCCCGGCAGCAGTCAAGGAAAATCCAGACAGGAAGCTGGGCTTAGCACCCCGAGTAGCCCTTCCCCCACTCTCCATGTCAGCTCCCCTTCCTGCCAGTCCTGGAGTAAGAACCAGAAAGACCATTCCCACCTCCTCCTTTGCTCCGTAGTACCTGTCTCTAGGGGAGCAGGCTTGTGGGCATTACTTTACTGTCCCCATGGGTCTTATGGCTTCAACAGCCATTAACAAGCTGAGATCCAGGCACTGGGGTCACAGCCCCCCAGTGAGTAGAACACAGAGATGCCTCTCTCCATCTCCATTCTCATTCCAGGTAGAAAGAGAACAAGCCATTTTGCTCATCATCAACAAACCTTGACCAAGGAAGTGTCTGCGTGTGCAATGTGCCATCTGAACCCTGGAGGCATAAGCAGTATGGTCACTTGTCCCAGCATTGTTGGGAAGTGAAAATGTATCCATGGAAAGAGAGCAGAAAGATAAGACTACGCCCCGGGGATAATGAAAAAGAGAGGACTTGACCGCTGAGGGATGGAGTTCCAAGGAAGTCAGTCCTTGATGGGGCCAAGCAGCAGGGGAAGACGGGCGCTATCAGGCTGGGGACAGAGCCCAAGCCAAGACCCAGGTGTATGAATGGACAGGACCTGAGATGACCCGGTGGGTCAAACTGTCTGACTGTAGAAGAGGAGCTGGGCAGAGAGCAGAGGTCCAGGGACAGGCCAAGGTTTGGAATGCCAAGGTTTGGAATTTAGGCTTGGCCCTGTGGGTAATGGAGAGCTATCAGTGGGTTTCAAGCAAAAGGGAGATACCAAGTGCTGTGGCCAGCCATGTTTCAGGAAGATTGTTCTTGTCCACCTTTGTTTATGTCAACCACATTTAGAAGTAACAAATGTCTGATAGGGGGTCAGGTGCGGTGGCTTGTGCCTATAGTGCCAGCTACTCAGGAGGCTGAGGCAGGAGGATCGCTCAAGCCCAGGGATTCAAGGATGCTGTGAGCTACGATCACGTCACTGCACTCCAGCCTGGGAAACAGGGTGAGACCCAGTTTCTAAAACAAACGAACAAACAAATGTCTGATGGGGATGCATCCTCCCAATAGAATACTATTCAACCATGGATAATGTGGGAATAGAATATCTCTGTTGATGTGAAAAGTTGTCCAAGACAGTTGAGTCAAAAATATCAGTAAGCATAGTAAGATCTTATTTTTGTTTTAAAAATCATATGCATAAGTCCAGGCACGGTGGCTCACGCCTGTAATCCCAGCAGTTTGGGAGGCCAAGGCAGGCAGATCACTTGAGGTCAGGAGTTCGGGACCAGCCTGGCCAACATGGTGAAACCCTGTCTCTACTAAAAATACAAAAATTAGCCGGGAGTGGTGGCGGGTGCCTGCAATCCCAGACACTCAGGAGGCTGAGGCAGGAGAATCGCTTGAACCTGGGAGGTGGAGGTTGCAGTGAGCCGAGATCATGCCACTGCACTTCAGCCTGGGCAACAGAGACTCCATCTAAAAAAAAAAAAAATTCATATGCATATACATGTGTGTATGTACATGTGTGTGTGTGTGAATACACATACACACACACACACAGATCCAACTGTGGAGCAGCTGTCAGAGTTGGCCGACCCGCAGCCTCCCCTAGAGTCTTCTGCAGAGGGTTCCTGCCCTCACCTACAGCCCCTCCACCTGAGGACACCTGGCCACAGGTAAGACAGGCCAGAAGGTGGCACAGGAGCAGCCCACAAGCAATAATGGATGGGAGTTGATAGCTAAACTCGCAGCCTCCTGGTCTCAGTGCGACAACTCTGAGGTGTCTCCCACAGAGCCTCTCAGTGATGCCTGTGGGCTTGTGCCCAGGTGGCCCACAGTGACCTGCTCAGAAACACACACTTTACTGCCTTTTCTCCTCTCCCTGTCCCTTCTCCACTCTCTCGTAGTGCTCATTTGGATCTCCTTCCAAAGAAACGACTGCTCCCCAAGCCTGTGTCAGGGTCTGCTTTTGGGGGATCCCAACGAAGACATCAGCCTCCTACTCGCTCCACATCTGCCTCCAGGCTACTGAAAACTCCTGGAAAAGGGACTTAAGTAGCTCTATGATACATCTGCATTCAGAGATGTGAAATACTGAAATAGACATTGAAGAAAATGAGTTTGGGTGTACAATGGTCAATAGATTCAACTGAAGCAAGGCTGGAGGCAGGGGGCCCAGCAAAGAGGCTGCCACACTTGTCCCTCTAAGGAAGCCTGCAGTGGGCTAGAGGTGGCCGTAGAAAACAGTCAGGAGGAGGTGATCATTCCAATCCCTCAGAGGTAAAAGGGCATGTTAACCGCTTGTGTTTTGAAAAACAAGGCTGAGATCAAAACTATCTGACTTATGGTATTCCATTCGATGTATTTGTCAAAAGAAACGGAAGCATTTGCCATGAAGAAAGGAAAGCCACACACTTATCTGCCTGAGCTATTTTGCTCATAGAAGATCTCACATCAGCGCAGCAGAATAGGAGATGACTTACTTTCCTGCTATTTGACTTGCCTGCTATTATTTTCTTTGAGACACTGAACACTCCACCTATTTCTTTTTTATTTTCTTCTCAATAGGAACTCTTGTTGGCCTCTTTGGATTATTTTGTTTTTCAGATTTTTTTTTTTTTTTTTTTTTTAGTGATCCAAGACAATATGTGCTAAAAGTCCTCCCCATTGCCTTGGTAAATCTATTTCTGGGAATAAGCTAAACATAGGAGAAGATTTATACTAAAAAATGTTCATCATAGTGTTATTTTTAAAGGGTTAAAAATTAAACATTTGGCAGGACATGGTGGCTCACGCCTGTAATCGCAGCACTCTGGGAGGCCGTGGCAGGTGGGTCATTTGAGGTCAGGAGTTTGAGACCAGCCTGGCCAACATGATGAAACCCTGTCTCTACTAAAAATACAAAAATTAGCCAGGCTTGGTGGCGGGCACTTGTAATCCCAGCTACTCGGGAGTCTAAGGCAGGAGAATTGCTTGAACCCAGGAGGTGGAGGTTGCACTGAGCTGAGATGGTGCCATTGCACTGGGCGACACAGTGAGACTCTGTCTCGAAAAAAAAAGAAAAAGGAAAAATTGAACATTACCCAATGTCTAATAATAGGGGGATGGTTGAGTGAATTAAGGCAGTTCACTCAAAAGAATATTGTGCCATTATTAGAAACCATGGAACTGTGAAAATAAGCTACCTCCTCTTTTCCTCAGATGGAAATGGAGAGAAAAGGGCCCTTTCTAAGAATTCAAGTGGAAATTTCAAAGCTATTTTTGGCACAGTTGAGGAAGCATTGTTGAGAGAGTGACCCCAGCAAATCAGCCCTTTCCTTGGGTGCAGTTCCTAAAGATACACAAATTGGAAGGAGCTGCAATATCAAAGTTGAAGGAAAGGAACTAAGTATTGCTCTGCAGAATTATGTTATTGACTGGATATGCAGGAGAGAGAGAATCTTGAAAATTCAACAGTGAAGAAACCTCAACTTTCTGCCTAGAGGCTCTAGCTGCACTGTTTCTGCAAATTATGGTTATCCTGGTGAGATACTCGGGTGTGCTTTTGTCCAACAGACACCTGCAGGTACTCTGAGGACTTACAAGTGAGCGCATTGCATAGGTGGGATGCCCCGTGATGGGGACCTGGCTTTGAGGTCCCACTCCATTGGAACTGCACTGTGGGGTGGAGTACCAGAGCCTCCCCTCCCAGCCCCCGGAGTCAGGGTGCCACCACCCATGGGGGAGCATCCTGATGCAGCTCCCAGGAAATCACCCCAACCAAACCACTCATGGAGGAAGCTGACTGAGCAGGCTGGGGTTGGGGTGGAGTGGGGTGTGACCAGGCCAATTCCTGTGTGTCAGGTTCTGAGATGTGGTTCTGTTTTGCAGAATTATTTTGTTTGTGGGTAACTGAAACTCAATTTAAACTAGGTTAAGAGAAAAGGGTGGGCTTTTTTGGCTCATGTGACAGGACAGTAATGAAGTTGGTCTATAGTTTAACTGGTTCAGAGACTCAGTGTCTTCAGGTCCCTCTCTCCTCCTTCCTTCCCTCCCTCCCTCCTTCCTTTCCTCCTTCCCTCCCTCCCTCCTTCCCTTCCCTCCCTCCCTCCTTCCTTCCCTCCTTCTCTCCCTCCCTCCTCCCCTTCCCTCCCTCCCACCTTCCCTTCCCTCCCTCCTTCCCTTCCCTCCCTCCCACCTTCCCTTCCCTCCCTCCCTCCCTCCTTCCCTTCCCTCCCTCCCTCCTTCCTTCTTTCCTTTCTTCCCTCCCTCCCTCCTTCCCTTCCCTCCCTCCCTCCTTCCTTCTTTCCTTTCTTCCCTCCCTCCCTCCTTCCTTCCCTCCTCCCTCCTTCCTTCCCTCCTCCCTTCTTTCCTTCCTTCCCTCCCTTACCCTCCCTCCCTCCCCCTTCCCTCCCTCCTTCCTTCCCTCCTTCCCTCCCCTCCCTCCTTCCCTCCCTCCTTCCCACCTTCCTCCCTCATTCCCTCCCTCTTTCCTTCTTTCCTTTCTTTCCTCCCTCCTTCCTTCCCTCCTTCCTTCTTTCCTTCGTTCCCCACCTTCCTTCCCCTTCCTTCCTTCCTCCCTCCTGACTCTGCCCCTGCCAGCCTGGATGCCAGCTTCCTTCCTTCCTTCCTTCCTTCCTTCCTCCTTCCTTCCCCTCCTACATCTCTGCTTCTCTGTTTGATGTTCCTGTTTCCTCCTCCTACAGACAAGCTTCCTCCACACATGTGTGAAGGAGACACCATGGCTCCTTCAGACACATTTAGAAACTCCCAAGACGAAAGAGATTGTCTTTCCTCTAATCTCAGTACACATAACTCCCAGGGAAGGACTAGGATTGGTTCAGCTTGAGTCTTGTCCCCAGGTTTTGGATGAACCACTATGGCCCAAAGGATTGGCCAGAGGTGGGTAACATGCCCTTCCGTGTGTTAGGGGAGGGGGTCATCCTTTAAGCAGCAACTCCACAGAATCACATACTTGGATGGAGTAGGAGAGGAAGCCACTTCCCAAAGGAAGGAGTCAAGAGAGGGAAGCATTCGTTCCCCTTAGGTTGTGGAGAAAAAGCCATATTTAACATACAGCTTTTTTTGTCCAATCATTCCCATCCCTAGTCCAAAGGCACTTTGTGCAAATTAGAAAAATTAGCCCCTTCCCCTAGGCGTTTTGCTGCCATCTTTCAGAACATTATCATCTTAAGTTATACTAATCTACACTGACTTCAAATGTGCTTGGTGCCCAGAATTGTGTAGTATGCAACCCATGCAACTGAATGTAGCAGCCCTGCCCGCTCGTATGTGGTAATCCCCTTCAATTAGTCCAATTGCTCTTTAAAAAAGGTCTTGCCCTGTAGAGCTTTGGGCAGTGGAGAGGCAGAAACCAAGGAGTAGAGCCATAAATGGGAATGACAGCAGCTCCTACCCCCTCTTCTCCCATGCCCACAGACAGGGAGCAGCGGCCCAGTGATTATCGGGGTGGTGACCAGCAGTCCCAGATGGTGACCAGCAGCAAAGTGAACTGAAGCCACAGCAGGGCTCAGGGTAATGAGAGGGCCCCCGAGGAGCAGCTTCAGGAAGACAGCATGAGAAGGAAATGGGAAAAAACATTTTCTTTTCCTCCGAACGCTAGAAGAAGCAGACCCTTGCAAAGAAGAGGTGGGGCTGGGCAGGCACTTGGATTACATCAGCGATGAAACTCCAGTGGGTAGGAGTGGGTATGTGTGTGGCTGTAGTTGTCGGTATCTGGGCTTGTGCTGTGGTGTGTGTACACACATGGGCACTTGGTAAGAGTCTTGTGTCTGTGCAATATGGCGTTTGTGTTGCTGGGGGCACAAGTGTGCCTCTGGGCGCATATAGAAGCCGTGTGTGTGTGCACAAGCCCGCTCTGCGGGTGCGAGCATGTTTGGGCGTGTCTCTTCAGTGAGCAGAACCAGAGGAAGAACCATGTGCATGTGCCCCTCCACTTACCATGGGCTCTGTCCCAATAAACCCATCATGAAGTTGAAAAAATCCTAAATGGTCCAGGCACTGTGGCTCACGCCTGTAATCCCAGCATTTTGGGAGGCCGAGGTGGGCGGATCACCTGAGGTCAGAAGTTTGAGACCAGCCTGGCCAACATGGTGAAACTCCATCTCTACTAAAAATACAAAATTAGCTGGGTGTGGTGGTGGGCACCTGTAATCCCAGCTACTTGGGAGGCTGAGGCAGGAGAATCACTTGAACCTGGGAGGCAGAGGTTGCAGTGAGCCAAGATGGCACCAAGGCACTCCAGCCTGGGCAAAAAGAGTGAAACTCCATAAAAAAAAAGAAGAAAGAAAGAAAAAGAAAGGAAGGAAGGAAGGAGAAAGAAAGAAAGAAAGGAAGGAAGGAAGGAAGGAAGGAAGGAAGGAAGGAAGGAAGAAGGAAAGAAAGAAAGAAAGAAAAAGAAAGAAAGAAAGAAAGAAGAAAGAAAGAAAGAAAGAAAGAAAGAAAGAAAGAAAGAAAGAAAGAAAGAAAGAAAGAAAAAGAAAGAAAGATCCTAAATGGAACCATCACAAGTCAGGATTCTCTGCATAGAGAACACCAGCGTCACACCTAGGTTTAGAAAACAGCTCTGGGGGTGTGAGGCAACTCCGTGGGGACCACAGGCCACAGACAGAGGAGGGCTGGGCAGAGATGGGCATCGGGCCTGGCAGGAACTTCTTGAACCACGGGCAGGCCTGGCCCCCAGGAGGGGCTCGGCAAGGACTGAGGCTGTGTCCACAGGGTCTGGGCGGAGCTGCTGTGGGGACGGGGGGTGGGCAGCGCCTCCCCAGGCCTCCCTATGCTTCTGTCGAAGGCTGCTCTGACCTGGGCTCAGCTCACTCGGGGCCCAGGGCAGCTGCCGGAGCTCTGGGCTGCCAGGAAAGATGGTGGCACGGGACTGCCAAGGCTGACGGATTTGGGAGAACAACGGTTGGGCGACAGAACTCCCCAGGGGTTTCTCCAGCTGGCAGCCAGGGGGCACTTCATAGCGGCTCCACCAGGGGTCACCAGAGCCCCAGAGTGGAGGGAGGAGGTGGGGTCCATCAACCTGGCCCCCAGCACAGCCCTCCCTCAGCCCGGGACGGATGTCCAGCCAGGGGGGTGGGCGTGGGGGTGGAGAAGGGACCTGGATATGTCTGTGTGGTCCAGCTAAACAGCTGGGGGCGGGGGTGTGCATGCACTTGTGTGTGTCTGGTGTGCGATGTGAGGGTACGGCTGTGGGTGTATAGATGGGCATACGCTTGGCGCACATCTAGTGACCATGCTAGTGGTACTTCTCCACATGAATGGGAGCATGTCACATGCATGAAATCCATAAACACAGGGGCATGGCTGTGTGTGCGCGTGTGTGTGTGTGTGGAGTGGGTGTGGGTGTGTGTGGCTGTAGGAGTGGGTGTGGCTGTGGCTGTAGTTGTGGGTGTGAGTGTGTGTGCTTGTGCTGTGGTGTGTGTACACACAGGCAGGCACTCAGTAAGAGTCTTGTGTCTGTGCAATATGGCATTTGTGTTGCTCAGGGCACAATGTGACTGTGGGCACAACTAGAAGCCATGTGTATGTGCACAAGCCTGCTGCGCGGGTGTGAGTGTGTTTGTGCGTGTGAGCTGGCGGCATGTGTGTGAACGGGTGTAACAGCAGAGGAAGCATCTGCGTGAACGTATGAAGGGTGATTTGCACATGACTGAGCCTGTGGGAGCACAGCTTTTGTGTGGGTGCGTCCGTGAGTGTGCACTCGAGTGACTGTGAGAGTGAGCCAGCGACTGTGTGAGTGTAAGCCAGCGCGTACCTCAGGAGTGCTTCTGGGAATAAGTGTGGAGATTCGAGTATGAGATGAGCCTGTGTAAACTGTCGAGGTTGGGAGAAGAACCACCTATGTGGGCTAATACATGTGTCCCAGTGAGTGAGTGTTTGTGTGCCCTTGTGAATGGGTGCGTGTGCCCGGGAGTCTGTCACTCCTGGAGCAGTGAGGCTGGAGCCCAAGTGGTCGCAGGCTGAGCCCAGAGTACACCCGGCGAGGGAACTGTGGCTGAGGCTCCCACCTGAAGATTGGCCCAGTCCTCAGGTTTCACTCATGACCCTGTGACATCAGCGGCAGCAGCTGTCCTCGCCGGCCCGGCCCCCCAGCCAAGTCCCCCAGAGTTCCAGCCCCAGCCTGAGGTGGGCACGGCGCTCTGGGCTTGTCAGCAACCGCTCTGCTCCCGTCCAATAGTGAGTACTGCACCCCCACACCCGCCCCAGGCCGGGTACCCCGAGGGGCAGGCCACCCCGAGGGGCAGGACTCTCTGGCCCCAACCCCAGCCTGGCTCCAAGGAAGTCACCACTTTGTTCTGGGTACTGCTGACCGCCTGCCCACTCTGCGGCCCGACCCTGCTCTGTCCCGCAGCCTCTGCCGAATCTTCTGGTGCCTGGACCCTCTCTCCAGCCCCAGACTTGCCTCTCTCTGTCCCGTCATCGGTTCCCTCTGCCCCGGCCTGGCGAGCTGTCCTTGCCCTCAGCAAGGTTCCTTGTTCTGGTCACAAACAGCCCAAGGGCTAAGGCTCGGCTCCGGAGGGGCATGGGTGACCCAAGGGACACAGAACGGGGCTGCAGTTTCTTCAGGAGAGGAGAGCAAGGAGCCGAAACAGTGACTTTGCTTGGCCTGTTTGCATGGCTCAGAGGCAGGGCTGTGGGGGGAGGAGTGCGGCAGGAGGCCGGGGTGGGGGGTGCTGGCGGCTCCTTTGCTCTGCTGAGAACAGGAATCTGCGAGATGCCAGCAGAGGACACATCCCAGGCTTTGCCCACGTCCCTGCCCCTCCCCCAGCCCACCCGGCACGGCTGGGCTCTTTTCCTAGAGAAGTCAAGAGCGCTGAGCCCTGCCGGGAAGGCGAGGGGGACATGGGGACGGGAGCCAGAAAGCCCAGCTTGAGGGGAAAAATATGTGACCACAGCAAAAAGGGTACTCTGGGGGACCAGAAGGGGTCTGGGGGCGGGGGGTCTTAGGAGGAGACACAGGGCCGGAGAGTGGGGTCCGGGGGTCGGGGCTGGCACAGAACACAGCCCCCTCCCTTCCTCCCTGCTGGGGTGGGCCGTGGCTGGTGGAGAAGGCAGAGTGGCCTGAGTGGAGTTGGGGGGATGTAGTTTGGAGGCAGGGAGGGCTGGTTCTACCAGGACCCTCCGGATTCTTCTGGGCCATCCCCAAGTCCCCTGCCTGTGGCCAGTGGCCTCACTCTGTGTGGCAGTGGTATGGACAGCTATGGTCACTGTGCTAGCATTTGGAGCCACATCACCTGTGCGGGACCACGTAAATAGACCCAAGGGCCTTGGAACCTGTGTCAGGCAGGGCAACCGAGCAAAGATGAGCTGGGTAAGGGCCTGCCCAGCCCCCTGGCCACATGTGCCCTGCCCCCGGGCTCCTCAGCAGCCCTCCCCCTCTCCATCCCTGGCATCTCTCAAGGAATTGTGCTGGGATTTTAGGGGGCTTGGGGAAGGCAACGGAGGGTCCTTCCTAGGTGGCTCCCATCCCAGCCTGGCCCTGCTCATCATTTCTGGTTGGAAACCTGCATGGGGTGCGAGCTCAGCCTCAGGGGTCTTCTCCTCAGCTCCAGGCTGGCCTGAGTGTTGGTCGAGACCTGCTCTGCTGACTTACGTCGCCAGGGTCTCTGCCATGACCCCAGGCCAGGCCCAGGGAAGCCCCGAGTTTGATGCTGAAGACATAGAACTCCTTGTCAAGTGTTGGGGTGGTTCTGAAAAGGTGTCTGCCTTTTGGGGGCAACTCTGGCCATCAGAAAGGAGGACAGATCTGATGGTGGTGGGGGTGGGGACAGTGCATCTTCAGGGCAGGGGCGGGGTTCTGAGAAGGCTCCTGGAGGAGGCTTAACCAGAGAGGCAGGAAGGATTGGAACCTTCAGGGAGGGGTGGAAAGGCTCTCTTCAAACGGAAAATCTGGCCCTGAGGCCTCAGAGAGCAGCTTGGGAGAAGGGAGGGGACGCTGGAGGAGGGTGTCAAGGACCAGGGAACAGGTTATAGAAACAGTCAGGCCCTTGACTCCTGTCACTTCCCCGGGGCGCACAGCTCACGAGTGGACAGGGCTCTGTCCACAGAAGCCAAGGCCCCCGCTCCCTGGGGAGGAAGCTGACTGGTGCAAGGCAGGGTCGGGGCAGAGGGCAGTGGGTCTCATGGGCAGCCCTACGGCTGGGGCAGATGTGGGGCTCCCAGCAGTTCTGGTGACTTCGGCAGGGGTCCCCAGCCCTGCTGTGGCAGGGACAGGCCAGGTCCCCCGTGGCTCCATTGGAAGGTGCTCGTTGGGGCTGGGGGATCCCAGGTTCCCTGCAGCACCCTCACCCCAGCCTTTCATGCATTCTGGCCCCCATTCTGCCTCATCAGCAACAGCTATTTTTATTCCCTGCAGTTTTCAGTCAACAGCCCTTGTTGGGGGGATGGGGCTGCTGGAGGAGAGAGGGGGGCTCAAGGAACCCAGGGACAGTAGAGGTGGTGGGGAAGCCACAGTGCCCGGGCAGGGCCCTCTGCCAAGAGCCCTCGCGTAAAAGGAAAGAGTGAAACTCCAATAGTTGCTGGCCCCCATCCTGTTTTTGAACTGGATTGTGAAACCAGGCACCCCCACCTACCCCATAGGTGCTTGAAGGTCATGGTCCACCTCCTGATTAAGAGCCCAAGTTTCTTTCAAACCCTGAGGGCCAGGCTTCCAATCCCAGTTTACTATGTAAATACCATCTGGTGAGTTACTTATCTCCCCTGTCCCTCAGTGTCCTCATCTGTCAAATCGGGGTGATAACAGGATCAGGGTGAGAATTTGATGTGCTCGTGGACATGTGAGGTGCCTGGAACAGTGCTTGGCATGTAACCAGCTCTACATACGTGTTCAACAGTATTATTGTGGCTATTGCCAGTCTGTGACCCTGACATAAAATGTCTCATCCCAGGGAAAAGAAGAGAGAAAGAGTTACAAGAAGGATGGCTTTGTTCAGTTCTGGGCACCCTTCGGAGCTGGGGGTCAGGGATGGGCTTTTTTTCCCTATCTGGTCTCCCTTGGGTGAGGGACCTTTTTTTTTTTTTTTTTTTTTTTTTTTTTTTTCAGATAGAGTCTCACTCTGTCACCCAGGCTGGAGTGCAGTGGTGCAACCTCGGCTCGCTGCAACCTCCACCTCGCAGGCTCAAGTGACTGTCCTGTCTCAGCCTCCCAAGTAGCTGGGATTACAGATGTCCGCCACCACACCCAGCTAATTTTTTTTTTTTTTTTTTTTGTATTTTTAGTAGAGATGAGGTTTCACCATGTTGACCAGGCTGGTCTCTAACTCCTGACCTTCAGTGATCCACCTGCCTCAGCCTCCCAAAGTGCTGGGATTACAGGCTTGAGCCACCATGTCCAGCTGGGTGAGGGTCCTTCTATAAAGTGGACTGCAGAGCCCCTTCCATGAGGGCCTGTGGTTTGCAGATGTGGCCATGATGGCCATGACGCCAGAGCGGCAGAGCAAGGTCCTTCCAGCCCACCTTTCAGTAAGCTCTGCTGTCAACACTTAGCTTTTTTTGAGGTTGGCAAGTTCGTGATCAGTCTAGCTTTGGAGAAGGCTCTCCAAAGAGTAGCTGGGGAGGAAACACCCCTGGAGTACTTTCTGCAGTGGAGGACTTTCCCAGAGCGAGCGGCAGGGCGCATCTCCTGAAGGGGGCGTGCTCGTGGTCGTGGGAGCAGGGGAGCTGGGTGTCAGCCTTTCCTTCCTCCAGGTTTCAGGCTGTTACTGAAAAGCCTCTTCTCTAGTGCTGGTGACTGTGCCCCCAGCTCCCCTGTCTCAAGTCGGGAGGACTCGAAGGCCACCCTCCCTGGATGGCTGGGGACAGATGGAGGGAATGGGGAGCCAGGTTGCCTGGAGTTCTCCAGGCCCAGGAACAGGTGTGAGCAGGCCTCTTGGTGGCCTCTCCGTGGACCCACTGCTTTGAGGAGCAAGGAGGGGAAGGGAGGTGGCTCTATGTTCAGGGGCGATGTGTCTAAGGGCAGGGGAGGTGGGCTTAGATGTGTGTGTAGAGGATGTACACACACCAGTTTGGGGGGCCATCATGCTCAGGGGCTCCTTAAAAAGATCTGATGCCAGGCATGGTGGTACACACCTGCAGTCCCAGCTACTTGAGAGGCTGAGGCAGGAGGATCAACTGACCTCAGGAGTTTGAGCCCATCCTGGGCAATATAGTGAGACCATATCTCTAGAAAAGATTGTAAAAGAAAGATCCAAGCCAACAGAGGGCAGGAAGCCCTGGGCCTGAGTGGAACAAATTAGCCTCCCCACCCTTTTGAGCAGCTGGGAAATGACTCATAGAGGCAATGAGTGTGTGTGTGTGTGTGTGTGTGTGTGTGCGCGCGTGTGTGTGTGTGTACACTGGCGAGGGCATGTGCATGCATCTAAGTAGGCCATATGGGGGTCAGGGGATATATGAGGGTGAATTGGTGCAAATTGACCTGTGGTTCTCTTCCCCCCACTGACCCCTCCCACACACAGCTCCCAGCACAAAACCCCAGGAGGCCTGAGCACGACCCTGCCAGGGCCTACCAGATGCCGACCCCAGCCCACACCTCTCAGGGGCTTGGCCCAAGGATCTGGTCTGCCCTTCGAAGGGGATAGATGGTTGAGAGTCAGGCCAGTCCAGGGAGCAAACTGAGTGGGACCTCAACCTGGGCGGGCCCCGTGCTGAGGGAGGGCAACTATGCCCAGCCGAGTTCCCCAAGGGGCTGGAGGGAGGCCGAGTCTGTAGTAGCAGGCGCAGGGGCTTGGCATGAGAGAGAGCTGCGTTCAAGACCTGGCTCCACCGCTGGTTAGCTAGGATGATGAAAGCGAAGTCCCTGGGACAGTGCCTGGCACGTGATAAGCTCCAAATGAACATGTCCATGATAACTTTTCATCTAGAAATATTTCTCAAGCCTCCACCTCATGGGCCTGTGCACGTCAGCACTACAGGTGACTGCACGGAGATTTGGGGGCCAGAAACCAGCCCCTCCCACGCTATGGAAAATCTTTCCCAAGCTGACTGAAGCTCAGAATTCCACATCTTACAACAAATTCTTTTAACTTAAGGCTCAGACTTGGGAGGAGAAACCCACTCTGGAACCTTGTGTCTGGGGAGAAAAGGCTTCTGGGGCCGACAGATGAGCTGGGAGAAGTTAGTGGGAAGTGGGCACGGTGCCTGAAACCCAACCAGCATGTTTGTGGGCTTTTATTTCATCAGAACTGAGCCTGCTAGAAGCACTCTGGGTAGAGGAAAAGGGTCAGGTTTGGGAGAGGAGGAAGAAAGTTGGGGAAAAACTAACCAGTTGGCAGGGTGCGGTGGCTCATGCCTGTAATCTCAGCACTTTGAGAGGCCGAGGCAGGTGGATCACTTGAGTCCAGGAGTTCAAGACCAGCCTGGCCAACAAAAATTAGCCACGCATGGTTGTGGGCACCTGTAATCCCAGCTACTTGGGAGGCTGAGACTGAGAGAATCGCTTGAACCCGGGAGGCAGAGGTTGCAATGAGCCGAGATCGTTCGTGCCACTGCACTCCAGCCTGGGTGACAAAGTAAGACATTGTCTCGAAAGAAACAAACAAACAAAAACAAAAAAACTAACCAGTGTTCTTGGAGAGCCTTTGGAAATTGTCAGGGAATGGGGCTGATAGTGAAAGGAGGGCCTGCCCATGCATCCTGAATAGGAAACCAACCATACAGTAGGTGCAAAATAAACATGGCCACCACTGTTACTCTTATCCCTTGGGTAGAACAAGTTATTAGGCCAGTTGAATCAGGAGCTTAAAACAGGGAGGCTTGTTCTGACCCAGTGAGCCCCCATGGAAAATGCAATCAGCTTTAGCCCACCCCTCACGCAGGAGCCCACCCCCACATCACCCCAATTGGTTTCCGGAACTCTCTGGGCCTCTGAGTGTCTGGAGGTTTCCATCCGAGGCTCCTGGCTCCAGGCCTCCCTCCAAAGTCTCTCAGAGCAGATTTCCTCTGCAGAGTGTCAGGCCAGGAGGGGAGGGCCACCTGGGGTGACTTCCTCTAGGCCCCTGCCTGCCAAGGCACAGGCCACTCTTCCTCCTTTCCAGGCCCCAAGCGCTGGCAGAGAAACAATACAGCTACCCCCTTCCCGTCCCCACCCACAGCCTGCCCCAGCTGAGAAAATGTTGTGACTTGAGACTTACAACCCGGGGGACATAGGGATGGATTTTTCACTCCTGGAGCTGGGCCATAGCAGGAACACAGGAATTTGGGAAGTGGGCCACCCGGATGCCCGGTGCTGTCTTTGGCCAGGAAAAAGAAGTCTGGTCTGTTTCAGACTCCCAGGAAGTTCCAATTCTGAGCCCCCACTGCAGGTGAAGCTTGGGGGTGGGGGTGGGGTCTCCACTGGCCACAGATGGCACTGGATCATTTTGCTCCCAATCCATAGAGAAAACAGCTAGATCCTTGTGGGTGGCTAGCAGCTTTGCTAGAGATGAAGAGCATGCTTGGTTGGCAAGAGGGGAGGTGGCTGGTGCCTGAGCAAGGCCAGCAAGCAACCCGCCACCTCTGCATCTGGAAGGATGTGCCCTGGAGTTAACAGGGAAGGCAGTGAGGGGCAGATTACATTCATTCTCAATCTTCCAAAAGAGTACTTGTATTAGTTTTCATGCTGTTGATAAAGACATACCCAGACTGGGCAATTTACAAAAGAAAGAGGTTTATTGGACTTACAGTTCCACATGGCTGGAGAGGCCTCACAGTCATGGCGGAAGGCAAGGAGGAGCAAGTCACATCTTACGTGGATGGCAGCAGGTGAAAGGAGAGAGAGAGACCTTGTGCAGGGAAACTTTCCATTTTTAAAACCATCAGATTTTCATGAGACTTATTCAGTATCATGAGAACAGCACAGAAAAGATCCACCCCCATGATTCAATTATCTCCCACTGGGTCCCTCCTAACATGTGGGAATTATGGGAGCTACAAGATGAGATTTGGGTGGGTACACAGAGTCAAACCATATTAGTACCTTACAGTGGCTTTTTTTTATTATTATACTTTAAGTTCTAGGGTACATGTGCACAACATGCAGTTTTGTTACATATGTATACATGTACCATGTTGGTGTGCTGCACCCATTAACTCGTTATTTACATTAGGTATACCTCCTAATGCTATCCCTCCTGCCCTCCCTCTGCCCCACGACAGGCCCCTACAGTGGCTTTTATATTCCAGGCTGGCAGAGGCATGGCTGAGACCACTTGGGGGATTTCAGGCTGATGCACTTCAGCTGGGTGGATTTCTGGATGTTTGAAGAACTCTTGCCAAAAGTGTAGTTGTCCCATGAGGGAAGGTTCTAGAAGGATATAATGGGGATAGGGAGGGAGATCTGTCCTGAGATTTGCCTGGCCAATAATTTGGGACAGGATCAGAGACACTTAGCTGTGAGGGATGGCCTTGAACTGAAGGAAAATCAAGATCCAGCTGACCTTCAGAGGACTGGAGGTGAAGAGGTGCAATGAGCAAAAGGAACTTAAGTAAAGGAAGATGTAAAATCTTGCACCTGGATTTATATTAACCTTGTATCCTGCAACCCTGCTGTTATCATGATTAGTACTAGAAATTTTCGTGTTTATTCTGATTTTATACTTAGACAATCACATCATTTGTGAACAAAGATAGTTTTATTTCTCCCTTCCCAGTCAGAATACCTTTTATTTCCTTTTCTTGTCCTATTGCATTAGCTAGGACTTCCTGTCCAATGCTGGAAAGCTGTGGTGAGAGGGGACAGCCTTGCCTTGTTCATGATCTTAGTGGGAAAGCTTTGAGTTTCTCACCATTAAGAGCAATGTTAGGCCAGGCGTGGTGGCTCATGCCTGTAATCCCAGCACTTTGGGAGGCCGAGGTGGGTGGATCACCTGAGGTCAGGAGTTCAAGACCAGCCTGACCAACATGGTGAAACCCGGTCTCTACTAAAAAAAAAAATACAAAATTAGCCAGGCATGATGGTGCATGCCTGTAATCCCAGATACTTAGGAGGCTGAGGCAGGAGAATTTCTTGAACCCAGGAGGCAGAGGTTGCAGCCGAGATTGCTCCATTGCATTCCAGCCTGGGCAACAAGAATGAAACTCTGTCTCAAAAAAAAAAAAAAGAAAAGAAAAGAAAAACAAAGCAATGTTAGCTGTAGGTTTCCTGGTAAACACTCTGTTAACTTCAGGAAGTTTCCCTCTACTCCTAGTTTGCTGAGACTTCATCATGAATGGGAGTTGCATTTTGTCAAATGCTTTTGCTGTATCTATTGATATAATTATGTGATCTTCTTTAGCCTGTTGATGTGATGGATTACATTAATTGATTTTTTTTTTTTTTTTGGGACAAGGTCTCACTCTGTCACTCAGGCTGGAGTGCAGTGGTGTGATCACGGCTCACTGCAGCCTTGACCTCCTGGGCTCAGGTGATCCTCCCACCTCAGCTTCCTGGTTAGCTGCGACTATAGGTGGGCGCCACGATGTACAAAAAGTACACCCAGCTAACCTTTTGTACTTTTTGTAGAGTTGAGGTTTCACCATGTTGTCCAGGTTGTTATTGAACTGTGCTCAAGCAATCTGCCCGCCTCAGCTTTCCAAAGTGCTGGGATTACAGGGATAAAACAATGTTTCCAGTCTGATTTTCAAATGTTGGACCTGCCTGGCATACCTGAGATAAATTCCACTTGGTCATGGTGTATAATTCTTTTCATACATTGTTGGATTCAAGATGCTAATATTTTGTGAGGTGCACATGGGTTTAAAAGAAAAAAATCAGTTGCACAGTGCCTAAGAAGGGGAAGACCTAATTAGATCACAGCTCATGAGGAAAAGACCTAGGAGTGACTGCAAACCCCACCTTTGTTTGGGCTGCGGAAGAAGTGATGCCATCCCGGAATGAATGAACATAAAGGGTGTTCAGGCCAGGGAGAAAAGGCCTCTGTGATCAGACTATATCTGGAATTGGGTGTTCCGATCTGGCTGCACCACAGAGAAAGACAATGCAGGGCTGGACCCACTCCAGAGAAGAGCTGCCTCGCCCTCCAGCGTCCTCAGCCTCGGCTCCCTGCCCACAGACAGCTGGACCCAGCCTGGCTCTCTGATTCCCAACCCCTCCTCCCCCACCCCATCCCTGTCTGCTCAGCACTTCCAGGCCCCCAGGACAGCCTGAATTTGCCCACCACTTCCGCCCAAACGTCCATTTCAATGGAGGTTCCACGGGACTTTTTGCTTGTGAAACGGACTCCAGCCCTGGCTCCTGAGGAGCTGGGTTTGAGTCTTGGCTCAGCCTCTCATTTATCACTCTCTAAAATTATCTTATTTGCTTCCCTATTTACTGCCTGCCCCCTCCCTCTGGAATGCAAGCTCAGTGAGGACAGGGACTTTGCCACTGCTGCAGTCTGCCCTGGCACCCAGACCACAGCCCAGCACACTGTAGCAGGTGCTCAGAAAATGTTTGTTGAATGAATAAATATGTGAGCTCTGGGTGGGTCCTGGTCCCCTCTGGGCCTTAGTTTCTCCATCTGCAAAATGTTGCTCTCAAGTCCTTGTGACTCCAACATTCTTTTTTTTTTTTTTTTTTTTTGAGACAGAGTCTCACTCTGTCATCCAGCCTGGCATGCAGTGACACAATCATATCTCACTGCAGCTCAAGTGATCCTCCCACCCCACCTCCCGAGTAGCTGAGACTACGGGCACGTGCTACCATCCCTGGCTAATTTGTTTCATTTTTTAGTAGGGTCGGGGTCTTGCTATGTTGCCCAAGCTGGTCTTGAACTCCTGAATTCAAGCAGTCCTCCTCCCTCGCTTTCCCAAAGTACTGGGATTACGGACGTGAACCACCGTGCCCAGCAGACTCCAACATTCTTAAATTCACTGGGAGGAGGTTGCTTGGAGCTCCCCCAGACCCTCAGCTGCCACATCTCAGGGGATAACCCAGGGGTGGAGGCAAGTGGAAGGAGAGCGGGAGCCGTCATCTTGGCCCCCATTACTCCTGCCTGTGGCCTAGGGACCCACATGGAGATGGCCAGCCCATCACCTGCCTTATCTCTGGGAGCTTTGTTGGTGCTTTGTCCCTGCCAGGAAGTCACAGTTCGTACATCCCAGACGTCCTTCCATTCCTCCACTGCTGCCTGTTGAAACAACACAGCTCATGCTCTCTATTCTAGACACACGGAAATTGTGGGCCAGCGGACCACACATGCTGCCAGTGATGGCACCACCCCAGCCCACCTGCCCTGTGAGGGGCTCTCCGAGGCTGCAGGTTGAAGTCCAGACCCTCAGGCCTTCAGCAAGCCCTGGCCCAGCTGCCATCTTCCCTGCCCCCAAGCCCCTAAACAGCTTCCGTGCTACACATGAGTGAGTTCCCTGCGTCCTGCCTCTGTCTTTGCTCTGGCTCTTCTTGTCCCCTGGGATGTCCTTCCCCTCCATTTCCCTGTGTTCCTAACTCACTCATCCTTTGAGGCCCAACTGAAAAGCCACACCTTTCCTTCCCCTACTTGGAAGTAACCCTCATCCACTCAAACTCCCAAAACACAGTCAACTCCCCTCTTGAGGGCAGGCCTCACCTTCTCCTTGTGTCTCGGACACCGTGTGCCACGTCCACCTCCCCCAGGACTGTCAGCTGTGGCAGCTTTCTGTCCTACTCATGCCCAGCTCAGCTTCCAGCCCACAAACAGAATGAATAAATGGGTGGATGAATGAATGAATCAACAAAACATATCAGAATCCATTGTGTCCCTGGAAAGGTCTGTATCCAAGGCCCCATTCGCTCCTTCATTCAACAGACACTTATTAAGTGCCTACTGTGTGCACAGTGTTGGGACTGGCCAGGGCAACCAAGACAGATACAGTCGCTGCTCTCTTGGCATTTCAGCCTAGCGAGGGTGACAGAAAAATACACAAGGCAAATAAGCCAGTGATTACAAATTATGATATATGATGTCAAGGAAAATACAGGGGCCTGTGACGGGGAGTAAAGGAGAAGGAAGGCCCCTTGGAAGAGGGGTCGTTTGAGCTTAGCACAGAGGGATGAGAAGGAAAAACCACGTGAAAGGGGAGAGGAAAGAGGGACCTGGGGGGAACGGGAGCTGGGTGGAGGCCAAGAGCAGGAGCCAGCGCAGTGGTCAAGGAGCTGGAAGGAGGCCAGTGGGACTGGAGTAGAGAGACGAGGGAGCAGATCAGGAGACAAAGGTGAAAGGTTCGATCACCAGGCCAGAGAGGCCACTATGGTAAGGTTAGGTTTACTCTACATGCAACAAGAAATTACTGGAGAATTTTATTTTATTATATTTTATTTTGTTTTTGTTTTTTTTTTTTGAGACAGAGTCTCACTCTGTCACCCAGGCTGGAATGCCGTGGTGTGATCTTGGCTCACTGCAACCTCCACCTCCCAGGTTCAAGTGATTCTCCTGCCTTAGCCTCCTGAGTAGGTGGGATTACAGGTGCCGCCACCACGCCCGGCTAATTTTTGTATTTTTAGTAGACACGGGGTTTCACTATGTTGGTCAGGTAGGTCTTGAACTCCTGACCTCAGGTGATCCACCTGCCTCAGCCTCCCAAAGTGCTGGGATTACAGGCATGAGCCACCGCGCCCAGCCTGGAGAATTTTAAAAGGAGAAACAGCATGACTAGTTTTTGTTTTTAAAAGATCAATAGCTATTTTAGGGGACTGATTCGGAGGGTGTGTGTGCAAAAGCAGATAGCAGGAAACAGGCTATTGTAAGAGACTATTGTGGTATGGACCCAGGGAGATGGAAAAATGTCAAATATAGGAGTATGTGGGAGATGATATTAATAGAACTTTGGACAGGCTTGGTGTGGAAGGTGAAGAAAAAGGAGAATTCAGGGAGATACCTTAATTTTTTATTTGAGCAGCCAATAGCAGTGATGCCGTTTCCTGGGTTGAAGGGTGGAACAGTGGAAGATGCAAACGTCTGATTGCAGTTGGGAGGGTGTGAGCCATCCCGGTGGAGCCGTCTGGGGGCAGTTGAATATACCAGCCTGGACGTCAAGGGAAACGTTTATCACATTCCCATGACATTACTATTATTTTATTCATGAACTTATTATTTTATAATTAATTTATTATTTTATTGTATTTATTGATTTTTAGAGACACGGTCTTGCTCTATCGCCGAGGCTGTAGTGCAGTAGTGCAATCACAGCTCACTGCAGACTCCACTTCCGTGGGTTCAAGTGATCCTCCTGCCTCAGCCTCCCGAATAGCTGGGACTATAGGCACACACCACCGCACCCAGCTAATTATTTTGTTTTTTGTGGAGACAGGGTCTCACTATGTTGCCCAGACTGGTCTCCAATTCCTAGGCTCAAACGATCCTCCCACTTTGGCCTTCCAAAGCACTGGGATTACAGGCGTGAGCCACCGTGCCTGGCCCCATGACATTATTTATGGTCATAGGAATGATGCCACCCTGAACCAGCTCGAACCCTGAAAAACATTAGAGATTGGGGACAGAAATCAGGACAAGCAGAGGAAAGTGATACGGAGCAGCCAGGGATGTGGAAGGGAAACAGCAAGCAGCTTCCATGGAGGCTGTGAGAATCAGGTGCTTCCAGAAAGGGGCTGTGGCCAACTGGGCTGCATGCTTCTGAGAGGCTCTGGGAGCTGAGGACAGAAGCGTGTTCACTGGACTTGGCAGCAGGGAGGGTGTTAGTGACTTGACAAAAGTAGTTTCAGTTGAAGGGGAAACGGAAGCCAGGTTGGAATGGATTGGAGAGAGAATGAAAGGTAAGGAAGTCAAGACAGCTGGTGTAGACACTTTCCAAGAAGTTTTACTGTGAAGAGGAAAGAAAAATAGGGCAATAGATGCAGGGAGGTGTGGGGCCAGGAGAATAGTTTTGTCACCACTGCCATTGTTTTTAAAGTGGGGGACACTAGAGTCTGTTCACAGATGGGGAGAGGTGGATGGGCAGTAGAGAGAGGGCACCTGGAGAGGTCTTTGAGAAGCAAGAGGGGCTGGGGTCCTGAGCCCCAGGAAAGCCTGACCCTTGCTTCTTATTATTATTCTAACAGGATAGAGGAAGACGGGGTGGGATGGGGAGATGGTTCTGTGGATTTGACAGTGTGTGTGTAGTGGTTCTTCCTTCCTCAGGGAAGACCATCAGCTGGGAGGCTCATGGGGAGGAGCGCGGAGGTCTGAGGAAAGAGGAGAAGGCATGAAATAGTTGTTTTCAAAAAGTGGAAAAGTGAGCCTACCAGAAAAATCCACACTACAGGGCTGGCAGGATTGAGGACAAACCCAGAATATGTGACCATGAATTTACGGTGAGCTCAGCCTAGTCATACCATTTCCCCAGCCACATTTCTCCAGCTCGGGGCTGACTTTGGAAAACCAGAGCTGGGGACATGCAGTTAGGGGTTCCCCAGGACTGTGTGATAGAAGGAGAGAGATCCCTCCTTCTGGGATCTCTCCCTGGGAGCTGTGGAGGAGGGACCAGAATGATGATCTTCTAAGTAAGCCTAGATGAGGAGGGACATGAAGTCAGAAGCAGGTGGAAAGGGAGAAAGTGCAGGGTCAAAGAACTGAAAGTGCCCAAAGATTATAGCAACCGGGCCCCTGAGCCAGGAGCTGAGAAGGTGGCAGGGGCAAAGGAAGAGTTTGAAGTGGTGATTTCAGAGGAGATATGGTTTCTGGTTATGATTTAGGTTCAGGGTATGCTTAAAGGAGAAAAGAGCTAAGGTAGAGTGTCCCTGTGATTCACTCACTTATTCATTTGATAAACTTTTATTGAGCTGGTGACACAAACAAGGGGAGAGTTCCACCCAGCCAGGGTACCCAGGGAGGGCTTCCTGGAGGAGGTGGTTCTTGTGTGGGTTGAGTCTAGAAAGATGAATGGAAGCTCTCCAGGGAGACAAAGAAGATGGGTGCTCTGGGAGGAGAGCAAACCACAAGCAAAGGCATGGGGGTTAGGGCAGGGGGGTGGAAAACAGCTTGGCCCATTTGTGAAAATGGAGGTAGCATGGCCAGAGGATGCGGGAAGGGTAGGCAATGAGGCAGGGATCTGATCATGGAGGGCCTTGGGAGCCCTGGGTAGGGCTTAGGACGTACTCCTAAGCAGTGGAAAGCCATTGAAGATTTAAGCAGGGGGTGAAATTTGTGACTTTACAAATATTTATGGCAGTCTAGGGGAGAGCCTGGTGGGAGGTGTTTCTTTGGTTGGTTTTTGAGACAGGGTCTCACTCTGTCACCCAGGCTGGAGGACAGTGGCACCATCATGGCTCACTGCAGCCTCGAACTCCTGAGCTTAAGGGATCCTCCTGCCTTCGTAGCTGGGACTACAGGAGCATGTCACCACGCGGGGAGGTTATTTGAACAGAACAGGTGAGGGGTGGAGGGTGGAGAGGGCAGTGACACTGGAGAGGGAGCATCAGTAGGGTGTGGAACTGGCCAGATCTACCACCATGATGCTTCGGGCAGCCACCAACCAAAGCCAGCTTCAGCAAGTGGAACCAGTGAGGACATTCCTCCCCTCACATTACAAAACAGCCAGACCTCAGGGGTAATGGAGGAGTAGGAGAAGAGGAAATTAGGAGGAAGTGAACATTTTGAAGGGAGAGGTGTACGCTGTGCAAAGAAAACAGGCTGCAGAGCAGGCCCCAGAGAAGAAGCATCTTCCAGGGGCAGGGAAGGGGCAGGTCCCAGAGCAGAGCTGGGGAGAGTGGCCGGACGCACAGGTGATGTCCTGCTCCCAAGAAGAAAGGCGGTGTGCGGTGTGGGAAGCTCAGGAGGGCCAGCGGGGAAGAAAACACTGGATCTGTCCCCTGGGGAGCTCTGGTGACTCAGGTGAGAGTCATTTCCTCGAGTGCTGGGGTTGGGAGCCAGACTATGTGTCTGTGGGCTTTTGTGGCCCTACTTGGGCTCGTGTAATGAAAAGAGTGAGCAGTATCAGGACAGGAGGATCATCACAGCAGGGACTGCAGACTGGGTGGGTGCACAGCAGCCCTGGGGTCTCTTCAAGGCCATCTGGCTGGTTGGCGCCTTCTGTGTAGTGACAAGCAGCATGTGGGGGTGTACGTGGAGTGGGTGATGGGGAGGAAGGTGGCAAGGTATATGACAGAGCTGTGAGATGCAACTGGGAAGGTCTGCATGTGGGGTGGCTCCAGGCCGGGTGTGCGTGCATGTGCCTGTGTGTGCAAGTGTGTGCACATGCACGCCCACGCTCACGACAGGGGCCAGTGAGCAGCTGAGGGCAGGGTTGGCAGGAATAAGCAGAGTCATCCCCGTGGAAACACGACTCCCTGGGTGCTGTAAGGAGCAGCTGGGAGCCAGGCACAAGGGCGTGGCCAGCTCTGCCCAGTGGCTCTGGCCTCTCCCTGGCCACCCTCCCCACCTGTTGAGCAAGCCTGAGAAGCGCCCGTGCTGACCAGGGCAGGGGCGCTGCTGCAAGGGTCAAGGCCCACTGGGAGAGGTCCACCCTCAGGTGTGGCTTTGGGGGTCTCTAGGGGTCTGTCCAGGTCCCTGTGGTGCAGGGGTGGCTCCAGGTCTGTCCATGTGGGTCTGGCAGTGGCTGCCTGCAGCTGGTCTGCAGGGGTCTCACTGCAACTGCCTGCTGATGTGGTCATTCCCCCAGGGCCATTTGCAATAAGTGATCCCCCTTCCCTTCCACAGGAATAGGCTCTGGAGGGCTGGGCAGAAGGGGAGAGGGGCCAGGTGGGGCCCAGACCACACAATGCTCACAGGCATCAAAGGCTCCTTGTGGATGCCCCTTCCCCCAATCCAGCTTGTGCTGGGACCACCAGCCAAAAGCAGTCCCCAGGAGCTCTAGCCCTGCCCCCACCATTGGAGTTGTCCATCTCCTTGTCCCTGTGACCTTCCCTGTACGTCTTCTCTTCCACGTTAGCACCTGCAGCTCTCCAGATGCAATGTTCCTCTCCCAGTTCACCCTGCCTGCCCAGTGGGCTAGAGCCCCCAGGGCTGTGGGAGGGAACTGCTAGGAGACCCCTGCCGGGCCCAGGGCCCTTTCTTCTTCCCTCTCCCAGCCCAACACCAAGTACCCCAAAGATCAGGAAAGAGGAATCCACACCCACCCCCATCTTTCTTTTCCCTTCCCTCCAGGCCAGGGATGGCAAACACAGGCAGAGGCACCACGGTCTTCCTCCTTGCGCCCCTGGCAGACATCACTAATCAATCACAGCAACCTTTTTGCACAGAGCCTGGCTGCCACCTTCATGGTCTCCACCTACATCTCCAGGTGGCCAATATCAGGATCCACGTCGGCCCTCAGGGTGAAGTCCCTGTGCCAGTCCCACTTTGATCTAACCCCCCAACCAGGCCCCTCATCCTGGCCTATCCAGAGGTCGCCTGAGCACAGCCAGCTGTGGTTCTCTCTCTGTCCCATTAGGCTGAAGCCACACAGTTCCCGGAGCTTGGGCCCAGGAGGCAGTCGAAGGCACTGGGGTGTTGACCCCAAGTCCCAAGGCCACAAAGAATCTGGTTGGTTTGCCGTCGGTCCTGAGGGCAGCCGCTGCCACTTCTGGGGAAAGTGTGGTGGGGGGGCCAGGGGTGATGCTCTGTGCCCAGCACCTGTGCAGCAGCAGCACCTTGCAGGCACATCTCCCAGTCCTGATAGAGTCTGCACGCCCACCTCCCCGGCTCGGCCACTGGGCAAGCAGGAGGTGAGGAGTGGACGGCCCGCCCAGGGAGGGGCGGCCGCCCAGCACCCCGGGGCTGCGCACTGCAGCTCCCCAGGCCACCCACCACCCTTCTGGTCTCTGAGCCCAGGATGCGAGGATGGCCAGACCATCTCTGTGCACCCTGGTGCCTCTGGGCCCTGAGTGCTTGCGCCCCTTCACCCGGGAGTCACTGGCAGCCATAGAACAGCGGGCGGTGGAGGAGGAGGCCCGGCTGCAGCGGAATAAGCAGATGGAGATTGAGGAGCCCGAACGGAAGCCACGAAGTGACTTGGAGGCTGGCAAGAACCTACCCATGATCTACGGAGACCCCCCGCCGGAGGTCATCGGCATCCCCCTGGAGGACCTGGATCCCTACTACAGCAATAAGAAGGTCTGGGCCTGGGAAGGCTTCCTCTGTCTGTCTGCCATCCATCCATCTGTCTGCCTGTCTGTCTGTCCCTGGGTCTCACAGCCTCTCTCCCACCTTAGACCTTCATCGTACTCAACAAGGGCAAGGCCATCTTCCGCTTCTCCGCCACACCTGCTCTCTACCTGCTGAGCCCCTTCAGCGTAGTCAGGCGCGGGGCCATCAAGGTGCTCATCCATGCATATCCTGCCCAAGATGGGAGAGGCGGGAGGGGTTAGGGATGGGCGAGATGGGGTGCTGTGGCCCAGGAGACCCTCTATCACCTCCCATCCTAGCTGCTTCCTCACTTTCCTTGACCCTGCCCCACGCTGTTCAGCATGTTCATCATGATCACCATCTTGACCAACTGCGTATTCATGACCATGAGTGACCCGCCTCCCTGGTCCAAGAATGTGGAGTAAGTCTCCCTGCTCCCTGAGCTCCCCAGCCCTGGGACACAGCCCATCTCAGGTGTTTGCACCTCTGTGTGGTGCTGCTCTTGTCTTTCAGGGAGACACACTGTCATTGTGACCCTCATCCACACCTTGAGTCCCTGGGGTGGCCATGCTATCACTCGCTAGTGTCCTTAGCCACCTGAGTGGCATATTTCATTTCTGTGTCCCTCCCTTCTGGGGGTCTGTCGTTGCCACACTGACCCCTACCCAGGTGACATGCCTGTCCCGGCCGGCCCTCTCCCCCCCAGGTACACCTTCACAGGGATCTACACCTTTGAGTCCCTCATCAAGATACTGGCCCGAGGCTTCTGTGTCGACGACTTCACATTCCTCCGGGACCCCTGGAACTGGCTGGACTTCAGTGTCATCATGATGGCGTGAGCAGGGGCCCCAGGACATCCTGAGGCTGGGGTGGGTGAGGGGAGGGGGCCAGGCCTTAAAGAGGGAAGCTGCCTGGGCTGAGGGCTGCAGGGGACATCGGTCAGTTGTGCAGATGGGGAGCTGCACAATTCTAGAAGCTGCCATTCTCAGGGTCTGGCTCAGCACTCTCCTGATGGACTCCTGATAATCACATGAGGCAGCCCTGACCCACAGACCCATGGGTCCTCACCTGCTGGGTGAGCCGGGCTATCTTTGCCATCCCCACTCCCCCAGAGCTCCTGCACTGTCCTTCCCAACCCTTGGGCTCCCAGAGGAGCTTTGGGGGTGTCTGCCCTGCCCCCCAGACCCTGTGGTACCCCCAATTTCTTGGGAATCCTCATCCCAGGCCTGGAGGAGCCCTGATTTCTGTCCTACCACCCACCCCAGGCTCTGACAGTCCCCACCCCCCTCCACCCCCTACCCAGGTACCTGACAGAGTTTGTGGACTTGGGCAACATCTCAGCCCTGAGGACCTTCCGGGTGCTGCGGGCCCTCAAAACCATCACGGTCATCCCAGGTACTGGGGAGGTGCAGGGACCCTCTGCCTGAGCTGAGAGACCCCCGTACCATGTGCAGGCCTGGAACCTGACTCAGTGTCACAACACTCCCAGGCTGGTGTTTTTGTAGAACTCACAGCAAAGCCTGGACATACAGGGGCCCACGTGACCAGAGGGCAGATGGGGTCCTACATGGAAGGATGGGCGTTTGAGAGGCAGCATGGCAAGTTGGTTAAGAGCACAGACTCAGCTGGGCATGGTGGCTCACGCCTATAATCCCAGCACTTTGGGAGGCCAAGGCAAGTGGATCAACTAAGGTCAGGAGTTTGAGACCAGCCTGGCCAACAAGACAAAACCCTGTCTCTACTAAAAATACAAAAATTAGCCTGGCATGGTGGTGTGCACCTGTAGTCCCATCTACTCAGGAGGCTGAGGCAGGAGAATCACTTGAACCTGGGAAACAGAGGTGGCAGTCAGCCGAGATCACGCCACTGCACTCCAGCCTAGGCAACACAGTGAGATTCCATCTCAAAAAAAAAAAAGAAAACAAATTAGCTGGGCCTGGTTATGCTCTCCTATAGTCCCAGCTACTTGGGAGGCTAAGGCGGGAGGATAGTTTGAGCCCAGGAGATCAAGCCTGCTATGAGCTGTAATTTTGCCACTGCACTCCAGCCTGGGAAAAAGAACAAGACTCTGTCTCAAAAGAAAAAAGCACAGATTCTGGAGCCTGACTGCCTGGGTTCAATTCTCACCTTTACCACTTCCTAACTTTAACTTTGGGCAAGTGCCTCGCCCTGTCCATGTCTCAGTTTCCTTATCTGTGGCATATGGAGACTCATAGTACCACTCCTTGGATTGTTGTAAGGATTAAATGCCTTAATATCTGTAAGGCCCTCACAGCCCCTGGCCCATGGTTTGTGATATACACGTGTGTGCTCAATAAAATAAGCAGACAGAGCAGAGAAGAGAGAGACACAAAAAGGCTCCATGAGGAAAAGTCCAAGCTCTGAGAGCTCAATTAGGAACACACCAGGCACCTGCTGAGCAATAAGGTCAGAGCAATTCCAAAGTAATGCATCAACAAGCATGAAATCAATAGAATCCGAACATTCAGACCTGCAAAAGAGCATGTGGAGAAACTGGAGATTCTCTCCCAGTAAAGGAGAGAAAGAAAAAGGATAGAGATCAGGCTCTGGGAAGAGGGAAAATTGTTAAATCCTAATATGAGAAAGTACCTGAGGCCAGGTGTGGTGGCCCATACCTGTAATCCCAGCACTTTGGGAGGCCGAGACAGGTGAATCACTTGGGGTCAGGACTCTGAGACCAGCCTGGCCAACGTGGTGAAACCCCGTCTCTACTCAAAATACAAAAATTAGCTGGGCGTGGTGGCATGTGCCTGTAATCCCAGCTACCTGGGAGGCTGAGCAGGAGAATCACTTGAATCGAGGAGGCAGAAGTTGCAGTGAGCCGAGATCACACCACTGCACTCCAGCCTGGGCGACAGAGCGAGACTCTATCTCAAAAAAAAAAGAAAAGAAAAGAAAAGAAAGTAAGAAAGAAAGTACCTGAGCTATCTTCTAGTCTAAAGCCCTCTGACTGCAGCCGAGGAAGGTGTGAGACCCAGGAGAGGAAGCACTTCCCAAATTCCACACTGTACATTGGCCACTGAGCCAAGACGGCATTGCCTTTCCTCTGTGCCAGCTGCCAGCATCCTCGGGGCGCAGGAGGGCTTTTATAAGGAGGCTGCCGAGCATTTGTTTTCCATATCAGGATAAGAAAAGGAAATGAAGTCATATTAACGCAAGAGGCACTACGATTAGGCCCAAGGAAGAAGTTACGGCTCTTCCACAGGTGATGGGAACCTGCCCCTGGGATTATTTCAGCATCGTTTATGCCTTTGTCTGTCTAAAGAATATAATGATGTTTCAAGTTCAGTCTAGAGCTTCTGCTGTTCCTCGGGTGCTACTAGGCATTTTAAGGAAAAGGGTTCTGTGGTCAAATATGTTAAGGATACGTGGGATTAAAGTTTTTGTTTAATAGGCCAGGTGAGGTGGCTCATGCCTGTAATCCCAGCATTTTGGGAGGCTGAGGCAGGCTGATTACTTGAGGCCAGGAGTTCGAGACCAGCCTGTCCAACATAGCGAAACCTCATCCCTACTAAAAGTACCAAAAAAATGAGCTGGGTGTGGTGGCATGCACCTGTAATCCCAGCTACTTGGGAGGCTGAGGCAGGAGAATCACTTGAACCCAGGAGGCAGAGGTTGCAGTGAGCCAAGATCACGCCACTGCATTCCAGCCTGGGTGACAGAATGAGACTCTCTCTAAATAAATACATAAATACAAATAAAGTTTTTGTTTATTTCTGCAGGACTTTTCAAAGCCTTTGATAGGATCAACTACATAATGACTCTCCAAGAGCAGAATCTAGAACGCAGCTTTTCCCAAACATTATCAACGCCCCCTTTTTAAGGGCACAGCATGGGAGATTAGCGTTCTGTTGAACACACTTTGACAGCGCTAACTTAGTGACATGTATTAAGCTCTGCTGTATGCCTTTGTTTGCTCTATAGGTCAGGCAACAGCCCATCAGGTCTTTATAGTTCATTCTCCTAGTGGCTGAGCGTCTGTGGCCATTTGAGGGCTCCAGATTGAGGATGTGAACAGAGAAGGGTGGAGTTAATTTCAGAAGGCTTCGGGGAAGTAGTGGTGCTCAGTAAGTCAAGCCTTGAAGATGGAGTAGGAAAAAGCTTGGCGGTGGGGGCCGCGGGGGCTCTGTTATCACCCTGCCCTGCCCCCTGCCAATATCCTTGCCCTCTCTGCGGTCAGGGCTGAAGACGATCGTGGGGGCCCTGATCCAGTCGGTGAAAAAGCTGTCGGATGTGATGATCCTCACTGTCTTCTGCCTGAGCGTCTTTGCGCTGGTAGGACTGCAGCTCTTCATGGGAAACCTGAGGCAGAAGTGTGTGCGCTGGCCCCCGCCGTTCAACGACACCAACACCACGTGGTACAGCAATGACACGTGGTACGGCAATGACACATGGTATGGCAATGAGATGTGGTACGGCAATGACTCATGGTATGCCAACGACACGTGGAACAGCCATGCAAGCTGGGCCACCAACGATACCTTTGATTGGGACGCCTACATCAGTGATGAAGGTAAGAATGGGGAGGGTGACGGGCAAGGGGGATCCTGTCCCAGTCCCTAGGGTAGCCTCTGACTCCACATTTTCTTTTTTTTTTTTTTTGAGATGGAGTCTCACTCTTGTCACCCAGGCTGGAGTGCAAAGGTGCCATCTCAGCTCACTACAACCTCCGCCTCCCGGCTTCAAGCGATTCTCCTGCCTCAGCCTCCCGAGTAGCTAGGATTACAGGCATGTGCCACCAGGCCCAATTAATTTTTGTATTTTTAGTAAAGATAGGGTTACATCATGTTGGCCAGGCTGGTCTCGAACTCCTGACCTCATGTGATCTTCCCACCTCGGCCTCCTAAAGTGCTGGGATTACAGGCGTGAGCCACCGCTCCCCGCCCTGTCTCCACTTCTTATGAGACAAATAGTATGGCGAGGACCTGAGCTTAAAGCTAGCACTTGGCAGCCTGTGTCACCTCTGACTAGTCACTTGATCTCCCCAGCCCTCCGAATCCTCACCTATAAAATCAAGATAACAATACCTTCCTCAAAGGGTTACTGCAGCAACAAATGGCAAACTGTTTTAAAAACCCTAAAGTGCCAGGCACGGTGGCTCACGCCTGTAATCCCAGCACTTTGGGAGGGCGAGGCAGGCAGATCACCTGAGGTCAGGAGTTCCAGACCAGCCTGACCAACGTGGTGAAACCCCGTCTCTACCAAAAATACAAAAATTAGCCGGGCGTGGTGACGCATGCCTGTAATCCCAGCTACTCCAGAGGCTGAGGCAGGAGAATCGCTTGAACCTGGCAGACAGAGGTTGCAGTGAACCGAGATCATGCCATTACACTCTAGCCTGGGCAACAAGAGTGAAACTCAGTCTAAAAAAAAAAAAATCCTAAAGCTCTCACTATGCAAAGCAAGAGTCTATAGTTCCTACTCCCTAACCTGTGCACCCCCTGTCCTCCTTCATCACACCACATTTTCACATGCTCACATCCTGGCAGGGTCACCATCACCCACCCACACACCCACATCCTATTCACATATGCATCTTCACAGGCACACATGCCAGAAACACACACATTCTCACACAGCCACTGTTAGTCTACATAGCGCCTTCTTGCAAATTAGGAAAAGGTAACCCTTCTCACCCTGGCACCTGGATTCCAGCCCCCACTCACCCTTCACTCAGGGGCCCTACATAGGTACACAATAACCCCATGCACACACGTACACGTTCCGTCTCTGTGCCACTGCTGCGTCATGACTTTTCGTCCACACTGGGCACTGGGCTGACAGGGCTCAAGCTGAGCTCCCTGCCGAGTCCCTACCCAGAGACCTTGGAACTTGGAGCTGTCCTTAAAGGACGGGGAAGAGGCAGCCAGGGAACATCCGTTTGGTTTATGTGGTACGCGCAGACCTGTCCACAGGTGTGCAATGGGCGCAGGTGCTCACACTGTGTCCATGTGGGTGACTTGCCTCCTTTGTGGCCTCTGACTCCCAAAGGGAACTTCTACTTCCTGGAGGGCTCCAACGATGCCCTGCTCTGTGGGAACAGCAGTGATGCTGGGTGAGTGATGCTAAGGGATGCAGAAAAGGCACCCCAGGGGTCTTGGAAGGTGGGAGCTGATTAGAGATGAGGACCTGGGGGGCATGGGAGTGCAGGGAAACCTGTGGGCATGGATGGAATACTTTTCTGTTTGGGGGACACAGGCAGAACTGACGGAATTTTTCCCTTGGGGTCCCTATCTGCCCCCAGCTGGAGTGCTCCTCCCACCCTAAACCCAGCCCCCTGTCCTATTCCTAGGCACTGCCCTGAGGGTTATGAGTGCATCAAGACCGGGCGGAACCCCAACTATGGCTACACCAGCTATGACACCTTCAGCTGGGCCTTCTTGGCTCTCTTCCGCCTCATGACACAGGACTATTGGGAGAACCTCTTCCAGCTGGTACAGCTGCCCCCACCCTGCCCCCCAACCCTACAGCCACTCCCCCTCCATCCCTGCAGCCTCTTCAGGGCCTGATGGGGCCTACCACAGGATGGCCAACCCCCGAACTGGGCCATCTCCTCATGGACTCCCGCAGTGCCCTTATAGGAGCTTGTGCTCTCTGAAACTAGACACCTGCCCCGAGCCAAGCCACAGCTTTAATTCTTTCCACACCTTTGCTTTCAGAGCCAAGGTCTGGACCTAGCATAGGCACAAGCCCAGGACCCCCTAGGCCTCATGATAGCCAGTAGGGCAGCTTAGAAATCCAATGCTGCCTGCCGGGCGCGGTGGCTCACGCCTGAAATCCCAGCACTTTGGGAGGCAGAGGTGGGCGGATCACGAGGTCAGGAGTTCGAGACCAGCCTGGCCAACATAGTGAAACCCCATCTCTACTAAAAATACAAAAATTAGCCGGGTATGGTGGCACGGGCCTATATTCCCAGCTACTCAGGAGGCTGAGGAGGGAGAATTGCTTGAACCCGGGAGGCGGAGGTGGCAGTGAGCCGAGACCACGCCATTGCACTCCAGCCTGGGCGACAGAGCGAGACTCCGTCTGAAAAAAAAGAAAGACAGAAATTCGATGTTGCCCATACTTTATTTGCCTTCTACTGTTTGCAGGGAAGGCAGGCTGAGCCTGGAGTGACAGTGCCTTCTGATGCCATGTGATGTTTCTAACATTGATGGTGTTGATAACAATAACAAAAATAATAACAGCTACTGGCTGGGTGCAGTGGCTCATGCCTATAATCCTAGCACTATGGGAGGCCGAGGCAGGCAGATCACTTGAGGTCAGAAGTTTGAGACCAGCCTGGCCAGCATGGCGAAACCCATCTCTACAAAAAATACAAAAATTAGCCAGGTTTGGTGGCAAACACCTGTAATCCCAGCTACTCAGGAGACTGAGGAAGGAGAATCACTTCAACCTGGGAGGTGGAGGTTGCAGTGAGCCGAGATCACACCGCTGCACTCCAGCCTGGGCAACAGAGTGAGACTACGTCTAAAAATAAATAAATAAATTGATTAAATAATAATAATAGCTACTATTTGTTGAGTTCTTACTAGGTGCCAGGCACTGTGGCAAAGCTAGAATTCAAGCTGACCCCAAACCCATGTTCACCAATTTTCTATCCTGGCTCTCTGATAACAGGATGCCTGGCTTCGGTCCTCCTCTGAGCCAGGAGACCAGAAACGTTTGAGTCCCAAGTAGATATTTTGAAGTTCCCCAGAACATGGCTCAGCATGCCAATGACGGCCATCAGTCCCCCAGGCTCTGTGAGGGAGGGGCTCTGCTTACCCATGCGGGCAATGGATGTATGGAAAGGGGCACTGGGTCAAAGGAGGTGGACGTCATGGGACCCCTCCACTCCCTCTCCCTCCACTCCCAGACCCTTCGAGCAGCTGGCAAGACCTACATGATCTTCTTCGTGGTCATCATCTTCCTGGGCTCTTTCTACCTCATCAATCTGATCCTGGCCGTGGTGGCCATGGCATATGCCGAGCAGAATGAGGCCACCCTGGCCGAGGATAAGGAGAAAGAGGAGGAGTTTCAGCAGATGCTTGAGAAGTTCAAAAAGCACCAGGAGGAGCTGGAGAAGGTCTGGACTCAGGGAAAGGAGATAGAGGACCCAGGGTTCTACCTGCCCTCAGCCGGGGCTGCCACTGGCTTCTCCCTGGGGGGCCGAGGGTGAGGGAGGGTACAGGGGTAGGGGTTTTGAGGCAGAAGGAGCAGAAGGCCCTGGGCTGGGAGCTTTGCTGGTGGCAGGGGGATGGAGGGATCCAAGCAGTAGAAAAAGCATTTCTCTGCTCTGTGCCTCAGTTTCCCTGTCTATAACAAGGAATCTGGAGTAGCTAAACCTGAAGTATTCTTCCAGCTCAAATATTTCTGATTTTGTGATGCTTTCTGGGTAGTGGATAGGTCCATACTGAGGGAAGGGCAGGTCCTGATGAGGCCACAGGGAGCGGCTGACCAGTTTCTCATTCTGTCAACAAGTGGAGGGTTAGTCAGGGCATCAGAGTCAAGGGTCTTCAGGGCAGAGGGTCTTTAGTCACTTTGGTCCCTACCCTGTCACCCCCACCACCATGGAGGTTGGTCCCTCCCCCACCTGCACTAAGTTTGACACAGGCCAGGAAGAGGGGCTGCCACCCTGAAGGACTCTGGAAGAAGCTCTGAGGGTCAATTAGTCCATCCCTCTGGCTCAGAGCTGGACTTCCTGCCAGTCACTCTTGCTGGTCTACAGGCCAAGGCCGCCCAAGCTCTGGAAGGTGGGGAGGCAGATGGGGACCCAGCCCATGGCAAAGACTGCAATGGCAGCCTGGACACATCGCAAGGGGAGAAGGGAGCCCCGAGGCAGAGCAGCAGCGGAGACAGCGGCATCTCCGACGCCATGGAAGGTGAGTGCCTTGTGCCCCCGTGCCCACTTAGGTAGGGGTGGAGCCTGGCTGGACTGGATTCAGGAGGATAGGGATGCCATGGAAGGTGAGTGCCCTGTGCCCCCTCTACCCATTCAGGCCCCTGAGGTCAGGGTGGGGCCTGGCTGGACCAGCTTCAGGACAGTAACTTAATATTGGCATAGAAGAAATGGCTATATTTATACTATATTTATCACAGCCATTTCTGGCTGTCACAAATATAGTCCTGTCTTAACCTGGCCCAGTTCTAGCTGCAAGGCCAGGCTGCTATGGGAACTGGGGGCTTCCGGGAGGGCCTTGGGGACTGCCCAATGGGAAGCACAGGCTAATAATACTAACCAGAAGGCCCAATGTTCCGGAAACTGGACATCCTGCTCCTCAAGTGTTCTCTGGGTAAAAGTTAAAGGCCAAAAGTCAAATTCTGCCCAAACAGAGTGACAGACTCCCCAATCCCTGTGCCACATGCTGAATCTCAGAAGAATAAGGATGTCATGATGAGAGAGGGTGAATAGACACGACACGACAGATGGATGGACAGATGGATGGACGGACGGATGGATGGATGGATGGATGGATGAGAGGGAGGGAAGTAGGGAGGCAGGAGGGAAGGAGGAAGCACAGGAAAAAGGGACAATAGAGAAAAGGAATTCTGACACACAGAGATGTGGTTCCCTCCCCAGGTCGGCTTGCCTTGTGCCAGGGAGTTGGGGGCCCTGCAGGACTTTGCAGATCTCTAGAGGTCACCATGTCACCTGACCTTGTATGACAGGTATCCAGGTGCCCATATGCCCTGCCAGAGGGTACCCAGGGAATGCTGGGGGAGGAGGCCTCTCCACCCTGCCGTTCCTGGGACCACTGTGAGAAGTTTTGGGCCTCAGACACTGTTTGGGCACCTGCAGAAGCACAGGGTAGGGGTGGAGGTGCAGACTGGGGAGGCTTTGAGTGACACTCAGTGTGCTAATTACTGGGTGTGGGAGGGAGGTTCAGCCACCCTCCCCGGCATGAATCCAGGGTCTCCATGGGGCTGCCACCCACTCCAGTCCCTTTTCTTTGTCTTTGAAATGGGAGCCACTGATTGTATTTACCGGGAGGCACTGATTGTATTTACCTGCTGTGATGAGTAAGTGAGATCGTGCCTGGGCCAAGGACACTCCGAATGTGTCCCCACCGTGCCCCATATTTCCACACAGCCAAACAGCCCACCAAGGCCAGGAGGAGGAGGAACAGCTTTGTCCCACGGTCCTTACAAAGCACTCGTGGCTTTGGGGTGGCAAGAACAGGGGATGTTTCTTGAAGGCCACTGTGGTGGGAAAGGATGGACCGGCTGGGGACACTTTGGAGGGGCCGGTATTACCGACAGTGCATCCCCGAGGGATCTGTCTGTGCAGAGTTGCACTAGCCAGCAGCTCATGGGGCTGGAACCCAAGCCCCTGCAGTGGCCTCCCGCCTCTCCCTGGGAACTCGGACCCAGACAGATTAGGGCATCTCACAGGCCAGGCTCGCAGCCCTGGGCCTCTGGCAGGGGGTGGGCGTCCTGTCCAGCTCCCTGAGGGGTGGGGCTTTGTGGGGTGAGTCAAGAGGGCGGGGCTTGAGGCAGGGCATTGAAAGGCGGGGCTTGGGGAAAAGTTTGCTGAGGAGGTGGTCCTGTGAGTTACTGCACTAAGGGGCGGAGCTTCGGGAGGAGGCGGGGCTTCCTCAGGAGTTGGGAATGTGGGCGGGGTTTAGAGGGGACGGACATGAGGATGCGCTCTGTGAGGCGGAGGAGCTTGGAGCCGGGGGTGGGGCTTTGAGGAGGTGGGGCTTTGAGGGGCGGGGTTGTGGGCGGGGTTTAGAGAGGTGTGTCCGGAGGGTGATGCGGTGAGTGGTGGTGGAACTTGAAGTAGAGGGCGGAGCGCTGAGGACGCGGGGGTTCCAGGGGTGGGGCTGTAGGCGGGGGTTAGAGGGCGGGATCTGGAGGGTGCTCACTGAGGCGGTGGAGCTTGGAGCCGGCCGCGCTCAGAGCGCGGGGCTTTGGGGTGAAGCCATGTGGGGCGGAGGTTACAGGGGAGGTGACAGTAAGGGTGACGCAAGAGGCGGTGGAACTTGGAATAGGCCTTGCTAGAGGGTTGAGATGTGGAGTGCTAAGGGGCGGGGCTTGGAAGGTGGAACAAAAGCTCTAGCTGGAGCCGGGGGCACGTGAGGGGATAATCCTCACCAGATACCTGCTACCACCCCTCTCCCAGAACTGGAAGAGGCCCACCAAAAGTGCCCACCATGGTGGTACAAGTGCGCCCACAAAGTGCTCATATGGAACTGCTGCGCCCCGTGGCTGAAGTTCAAGAACATCATCCACCTGATCGTCATGGACCCGTTCGTGGACCTGGGCATCACCATCTGCATCGTGCTCAACACCCTCTTCATGGCCATGGAACATTACCCCATGACGGAGCACTTTGACAACGTGCTCACTGTGGGCAACCTGGTAGGGAGGGGCGGGGGAGGGGATCATTCATGGGCAGGATGGGAGGGGGTAGGGCCCAGTGGAGCTGTCTGGCTGTATGTAAATATAGGGCACGGTGGGGGACACATGCGGACAGCTGGGGTTATTTTCCCAGCATATGGGAGGCATGAGTTGATGTGGGGGGGGGTACTTGGGGTGATCTGTGGCACACAGAACTGGGGTTTCAGGACATTTAGGGGCAGGGAGATGGGGTTGAGGCGCTGGGCTTCCTAAGGTCCAGATTCTTGGGGATCTGGGATCCAGACCATGCCCTGGAAGCAGGGGTGAGGAAATGGGGGTGTGGAGATAGGGGTGAAGGGGCTAGCTGACAAGTCTGTCCACTTCCAGAAGTTGTCATGGGCCTGAAAGGAGCCAAGGGATCTGGCAGTGTGACCTATAGCCCTGGCTACCCAGGACCAGTGGGCTGCAGGGGTTACTCCCCCAACCCTCACCTATTTCTCCAGCGTGGCCAGGCTTCTCCTCTCTCCAGCCCTTTCCTGCTCCACTATTGTTGACACCACTGATCCGCCCGCTTATCCAGGCCCATTAGGAGCATTATCACCTCATTGCCGGCCCCAGAGGAGCCTGACAAAGGGAAAAGCCGCCTCCTCCTCCAGCCCTGCCCCACCCTTCCCAATTCCCTTTGCAATTTTTCCAGGACGGCAAATGGGCGAGATGCTCCCCAACCCTGAAGGTTAGGGGAAGCCAGGGAGAGTAAGATTTGGGGTCTGGGAGAGAACCAGGGCTGGGTGGGTGGCACGAGAATCAAACCCTGGGCTCCCCAGCCTTCGAGGCAGGCACGTCTGTCCTATAGAGGTGCCGAGGCAGCCATGGCCAGGCTGGGCTGGAAGGGTAAGGGCGTGCTCTGGACTCGTGGCACAGCTGCTGGGATGTGCGTGATGGACCGGGCCTGCCCGCTTGCCCACCCCCTGCCCACACTATGCTGCTGCCTTGGCACCTGCTGTGGCCAGGGACAGCCTCTGGGAGGGGCTCAGCATGTGCCCAGGCAGGCTGTGGACCCAGGGCAGCTGGTGCCTGGCAGGAGGGGGGCCGTGCCCAGGGAGCTTTCAGGGACTGTGCAATCCTCAGATCCCATGTCCAGGGTTGGCAGGGGAAGCTCTGGTCTTCTTCTCACTGATTTTGCTCCTTTTGGTCCCTGCCCTAAACCTTTGAGTCTGCCAAGATTTGCAAGATCCTGGGAGTGGTCCCTGTGGAGAGGCTGTAGGCATACAGACAGGATGCTGAACTGAGCACCTGAGAACTGGGCTTGAGATGTGGCTCGTTCCCATGTGGGTGCTGTGATGCCAGCTAGCTGCCCAGCTAGCTGAGCCTCAACTGCTCATGTGTGGAATGCATGTGAGAATCCCTCCCAACATTGTAGAGATCAGGATACCAGTGAAGTCACAAAGTGAACCACAGAGCGCCCTGCAAATGTTGAATATTATGACAGGGTTGGGTCTCCAAGGAGTGAAGTGCCTTGCCCACTGTCACAAGGCCAGAAATGAATGGGAACGGGTCTCAGAGTTGTACCCACCTAGGCCCTATGACTTGGCCTTTGCCTCCATCACTCACTTATACACACACGGGCCATGCATGCCACTCCTGCTCCTCTCAGGGCTCTGGACCCCTTCCCCTCCGCCCCCGCAGCCTCTGCCAGGAGGTGGGAGTTGGGTGGGAGACTTCCAGGGCCCTGGGCTCCCCGAGGCTCTGTGACAGGGCCTCATGCCACCCCCTAGGTCTTCACAGGCATCTTCACAGCAGAGATGGTTCTGAAGCTGATTGCCATGGACCCCTACGAGTATTTCCAGCAGGGTTGGAATATCTTCGACAGCATCATCGTCACCCTCAGCCTGGTAGAGCTAGGCCTGGCCAACGTACAGGGACTGTCTGTGCTACGCTCCTTCCGTCTGGTACACAAAAGCCCCAGGGCCAGGGGCTGGGATGGGGGTGGGGTGAGGAGACTAAGGAGGGTGGGCACAGGGATGGGAGGAGAAACCCCAGGAAGCTAGAGGGCTGAAAACGAGGCCTCCTCTGCCTTGTGCACACCTGTTACCTCTCAGAACCTTTCTTACCTGTAAAACAGAGAAAAGGAGAGCCCTGTCTTCTTTCATAGGGCTGCTGGGGGGACCCAAGTGACAGAGGCCAACACTGGGTTTGATTCCTTAATGACCTTGAGCAGCAGTGGAGCAGGAACTCCAGCCCCATACTGCAGACCTGAAAGCCGGGGCTCTGGAAGTTCATTAGGAGTAGGATTGGGACCTCTGAATTTCTGTCTTTTCACCACCCCATAAGGAGCACTATTATTCTTTTTAAAACTTTATCAGCTGGACGCGGTGGCTCACGCCTGTAATCCCAACACTTTGGGAGGCCAAGGCGCGTGGATCACCTGAGGTCAGGAGTTCAAGACCAGCCTGGCCAACATGGTGAAACTCCGTCTCTACGAAAAACACAAAAATTAGCTGGGCTTGGTGGCGCACGCCTGTAATCCCAGCTACTTGGGAGGCTGAGGCAGGAGAATCACTTGAACCCGGAAGGCTGAGGTTGCAGTGAGCCGAGATCGCACCACTGCACTCCAGCCTGGGTAACAGATTGAGACTCTGTCTCAAAAAAAACAACAACAACAAACTTTATCAAGGGATCTTTTCATGCATGCACAAAAGTATAGAGAAAGTATAATGAACCTCCACGTACCTATCACCCAGCTTCAACAACTATCAACATTCTACAATTCCTGTTGCATCTGTCCCCCAATTTTTATTGTGAAAGCAAATCCCAACATATAATTTCACTTGTAAATACTTTAGTCTGTATTTTTTTTTTTAGACAGGGTTTCTCTGTCACCCAGGCTGGAGTGCAGTGGTACGATCACTGCTCACTGCAGCCTTGACCTCCCCAGACTCAGGTGATTCTCCCACCTCAGCCTCCTGCATAGGTGGGACCACCATGCCTAGCTAATTTTTGTAATTTTTGTAGGTCAGGGTTTCGCCATGTTGCCCAGGCTGGTCTCCAACTCCTAGGCTCAAGTGATGCACCTTCTTCGGCCTCCCAAAGTGCTGGGATTACAGGTGTGAGCCAACTGCTCCCAGCCATAGTCTGTATCTTTAACAGATAATGACGAATGACATTTTTTCTCTTTTCTTTTCTTTTTCTTTTTCTTTTTTTTTTTTTTTTTAGTGGAGTTTTGTTCTGTAGCCCAGGCTGGAGTGCAGTGGTGCAATCTCTGCTCACTACAAGCTCCACCTCCCTGGTTGAAGCGATTCTCCTTCCTAAGCCTCCTGAGTAACTGAGATTACAGGCACTCGCCACCATGCCCGACTAATTTTTTGTATTTTTAGTAGAGACAGGATTTTACCATGTCAGCCAAGCTGGTTTCCAGCTCCTGAGCTTAAGTGATCCACCCGCCTCGGCTTCCCAAAGTGCTGGGATTACAGGCGTGAGCCACCGCGCCTGGCCTGGACTTGTTTTCTTTTTAACACATGAAGGGCCTGAGGTGGTAGAATGAGTGTTCCCATTTAGCAGAAGGGCACACTGAGGACTCAGATGGTGTGGGGGGCTGGAGATTCAAGCTACTCGACACTGTTCTTTCTCCTAAGGCTGGGGCTGCCTTGGGTGGTGGTCCCTGGGCCTCATTCACCCTTGCCCTCCCTGCTTGGCAGCTGCGGGTCTTCAAGCTGGCCAAGTCGTGGCCAACGCTGAACATGCTCATCAAGATCATTGGCAATTCAGTGGGGGCGCTGGGTAACCTGACGCTGGTGCTGGCTATCATCGTGTTCATCTTCGCCGTGGTGGGCATGCAGCTGTTTGGCAAGAGCTACAAGGAGTGCGTGTGCAAGATTGCCTTGGACTGCAACCTGCCGCGCTGGCACATGCATGATTTCTTCCACTCCTTCCTCATCGTCTTCCGCATCCTGTGCGGGGAGTGGATCGAGACCATGTGGGACTGCATGGAGGTGGCCGGCCAAGCCATGTGCCTCACCGTCTTCCTCATGGTCATGGTCATCGGCAATCTTGTGGTGAGTGAGGCTGGCTGGGTGGCCCCTGCCCTCACCCGGGAAGCGTACAAGATGTACCTGATATTTGACTGTTTTCTATCTCCCCAACACATCCTCTCCAAAATGGCAATTTTATGTGGTTTAACCCCGTAGTTCTCAAATTTTAACCTGTGTAAGAATCACTTAGGAGTTACTTAAAACATAGATCCCCGGCCCCACCCCCAGAGTGTCTGATTCAGCAGCTCTGGGCCTAGGCCTGGGGACCTGCATTTCTGACAAGCTCCGAGGTGATGCTGATCAGTGGATGCTGATGGTGGTTCTGGGACCATGCTATGAGTAGCGCTGTTGGAACCTAGTGTTTTGAGTAAAGCAACATGATAATGAGTCAGACAGACCCACATTCCAGTCCCAGCTCCTTTGCCATCATCTGTGTGACCTTGAGCTAACTGCTGCTCTCTAGTCAAGCTGGGTTCTCTAACCCTCACATAGAAGAAAAACAACAGGGAGTTCATGAGGTCACTGCAAAGATGATGCCATAGTGTGTACAAAGGCACAGTTTTGTGGGGGAACCTGGGCCTCCTGGCCTTCTCCCACCCTCTTGACCTCCTCTGCTCCAGGGCCTATGGTCCAGGCGCCGAAAAAGAGAATCAGGCTGGATGTGGTGGCTCATGCCCATAGTCCCAGCACTTTAGGAGGCCAAGGCCAGGAGTTCAAGACCAGCCTGGGCAACATAGCAAGACACTCTTATCTCTACAAAAAATGGAAAAATGAAAAAAATTAGCTAGGCATGGTGGCACACACCAAACCCAGCTATTTGGGAGGCTGAGGCAGGAAGATGGTTTGAGCCGTGGACTTCAAAGCTGTAGTGAGCTGTGATCCTGCCACTGCACTCCAGCATGGGGGGGCAGAGCAAGACCCCATCTCTAGAAAACAAAAAAGAAACAGGTGCAGATATTGGGAAAATGCAGAGATGGCATAAACTGCATCTCTTCTGCCGCTTACTGTGGTTCAGGGCTTGGCATGAGGGGCTGGTGCAGAGGAAGGGGCCAGGAGGTGAGAGCCAGGGTATAGGGCCATGGTCCAGCTGGCCAGCATTTCTGCGGCTAGGGCCTCTGGAGGTGACCCTGACTTCTCCCCTTCTTGGGGTGGCAGTGGAGGTCACTCCTGCCAGAGCCCTGCAGTGCTGTGCCCAGCTGCCCCCTGCAGTGGCTGGTGCTGCCCTGGGCAACAGGGACTGGGAAGACGCCTGTCCCCATGTTCCCCAAAGGCCTATGGAATCCCTGAGCTGCAGCGACAGAGCTTCTCAGATATTGCTGATCTCTGGCTGGGGGCAGCACCAAGAGAGGGAAGGGGGTGTCACCTCAGCTGCAGAAGAAGACTATGCTGCAGCTACAGAGGAGAACCCAGGCCTCCTGTCCCTGAAAGGAGGGTCTTAGGGAGTGGGGAGAGAGAGGGAAGGTGCCCGGGCCCAACTTTGGGGCAGGATTGGGGATGGGGAGAGCAGACCCTGAGTAGGAGTTTGTTGATGTAAGTCTAAGGACTTGGGGGTGACTGAGTCTTCAGGGAGTTGCTGTTTCTATGTGTGGAAACTCAGAAACGTTTTAAATCCCCACTTTGCCACTCACTGACTGGGAAACCTCGAGCCCGTTATTTAACCCTTTGGGCCTCAGTTTTCCCATCTGGAAAACGGGGATGAAAATGGGGATGACTCTTTCACTGGGTGGTTGCAAGGATTATGTTACGCATGCGCTTACAAGTGCTTACCAAAGTGCCTGGCCACGTGGCTGGGAGTACAGGTGTTGCAGGCGTGCGGCAGGGCAGTGCTGGTTTAGGTTCCCGCCACCAGGGCGATGCTCCTGTATTGGCAGTGGGGGGCCTACTGTATGTCAGTCCCTGCCAAAGGGAGTTACTGGCATTGCCCCTAATTCTCTCAGCCACCCCATGAGACAGGTAATGTTATTTCCACACTCTCGAGGAGGCACTGCCCAGAACCACACAACTAGTGAGAAACAGAGCTGGTGCTGGAACTGGGTCCATGTAACTCCAGTAACGATAACATCAATGACAACAGTATCGTAATAATGATAACGTCAGCATCAGCAGAAGCATGGTGACAGCTGACATTTATTTAGCATTTACCCAGCATTCTGGGTGCTTCACATGTATTCATTTCACCTCATCCTCACGCCCACCTGTGAGGGGCGCGCTGGTTCATGTTTTATAGATGAGGAAACAGGGGCTCAGGGAGGTGAGTCTGTCCCGTGTGTGGGACGGGAGCCCCTGCAATCTGGCTGCAGAGTCTGGAACCAGTACAGGCCCTGCTTCTGTGTGCCTGTCACCCCTATCACACAGACATGCACACACGAACACACCACTGACATCCTTTCCCAGCCCAGCTCTGTGGCTCTCCCAGTTTGCTCAGAGGGAGTGGAACGGCCCAGGGAGGTGGCACTGTCAGCTCCTTGGGCACTGTCCCCTCCCACCACCTCCCCAGGCTTCAGAGAAGCAGGTGTCTGCCAGAGGCCACCAGGGCACCCTGCCAGAGAGTGTGAGGACCCGCATCCCCTGCACCTATGGCACTTGGTCACTTCCTGCGGGTAACTGTGAAGAAGAAGAGGAAGTGACTAGGTAACCCAAAGCACAGAACCCCCAGGGAAATTGATGTCGGCCCCCTCCCCTCCTCCCTTCCCCCATGCCTGGGGCAGCTATTTCTGTCTTGGGCAGGAGCCGTGTGCAAACCCTGCTGACCCAGAGAGCAGCTAATTCCCATCTCAGATGTGTTTCTGGCAACTGGATGCCTCCCCCCAGAGAGGGAGAAGAAAGACTAATGCGTTTTGGTGGGGGGCAAAGGCAGAAAAGCCTCTAGGGGACATGGCGGGGAGGAAGGGAGCCATGGAAATTCCCCTAGCACATTCTCTCAAAGAGCGTTTTCAGATAGTTTTTAAAGAGAGTATTTAACATGATTAACAGAATATAATCAACAGAATGTAGTGAAGACAATGACGAGAAGACCTTGGAGGAGGCTGGTGAGAGCCAGGAGTGAGACCCGCCGAGGAGACGGCCAAGGGTGGCGGATCTGCAAGTGCAGGCTCCCCAATTCCCCATGCCCTCTCACTCCCCCAGGGCTCCGAGGAAGAACCTGGCTATGCTTCTGGCTGATGGGAGCTGGGACCCTCACCCCAGCCAGGATTCTCCTTCCTCCCACTGCCCAGGGCCAGGCAGACTGGTAGAAGGAAGGGTGACCACATTAAAGACCTTCAGGGCTGCCATTCACCTTGTAGGCTAAGTGAAAGATGCCTTCTAAAGTTATACAATGACTAGAATCCTGGTTCGAGTCCTGGCTATGCTCTGTGTCCTAGAGCAGGCCACGCCACCTCTCTAGGACTCAGTTTACTCATCTATAAAATGCTGAGCTGGCCTCAGAGTTCACCACACTCTTCCTACACCTTGTATAACTTTCTTTCTTTCTTTCTTTTTCTTTTTCTTTTTTTTTTTTTCTTCAAGGCAGGGTCTCGCACTGTCACCCAGGCTGGAGTGCAGTGGGTGCAATCTGGGCTCACTGCAACCTCCGCCTCCCGGGTTCAAGTGATTCTCCTGCCTCAGCCTCCCAAGTAGCTGGGATTATAGGTGCACCACCACGCCCAGCTAATTTTTGTATTTTTAGTACATGGTTTCACCATGTTGGCCAGGCTGGAGCACCTTGTATAGCTTTCTATTATTTCAAACATAATAACAGCCAACATGCGTTGAGTGCCTACTGTGTGCTCTACTTGTATTGATGGGTTTTTTGTTTGTTTTTTGTTTTTTTGTTTTGTTTTGTTTTGAGATGGAGTCTCGCTCTGTCGCCCCGGCTGGAGTGCAATGGCGTGATCTCGACTCACTGCAACCTCCACCTCCCGGGTTCAAGCGATTCTCCTGCCTCAGCCTCCCAAGTAGTTAGGACTACAGGCGCATGCCACCACGCCCAGCTAACTTTTTGTATTTTTAGTAGAGACGGGGTTTCACCATGTTAGCCAGGATTGTCTTGATCTCCTGACCTCGTGATCCGCCTGCCCCAGCCTCCCAAAGTGCTGGGATTATAGGTGTGAGCCACTGCGCCTGGGCTTTTATTGATCCTTTAATCCTCACAACAATGGGAGGAACACTTGGATAATCTCCTTTTTACAGATGAGGAAACTGAGGCACAGGGCAGTGAGGCAAATTGCCTCAGAGCACACAGCTAATAAACTGGGGTTCAGAGCCCTGCAATGTGGTTTCAAAAGCTGTGCACTCCAGTCTCTGCTGCCACCCAAACCCACAGTATTGCATGTGATTGATCTGCTCTCTGTCTCTGCTGGTCTGTGAGCTCCCTGAGGCCATTCATGCAGTGACGGGGGCTCAGGAAATGTCTATCCACTGGAAAATAAAGTGGGTGGGGGTGCTGGGGGGGAGCAGCAGTAGCCTCCTAAGTCTTTCCGTAGGGATGTGGGACAAGAACCAGAATAGATGGAGTCGGAAACCCCAAGAGGAGAAAAGAGGGTAAATAGTAGGTCAGATGTCCCTTCCAGAGTAGCAGGGGCCAAGCTTCTGCACTCCAGGAGTGCGGGGTCTATAAAGTCCCACTTAACAGAGGTGGAGAAGAAGGCACAAAAGATAAAGGTTCCCAGTAAGTCCTGGAAGCTCGGCGACTTGAGCCCAGTTCTTTGTTCCGCATCCTCCAGAAGTGGAGGTAAAGGACAGTCATGGGCCAGGCACCGTGGTGATGCCTCTAATCCCAGCACTTTGGGAGGCCGAGGCAGGCGGATCACTTGAGGTCAGGAGTTTGAGACCAGCCTGGGCAACATGTTGAAACCCCGTCTCTACAAAAAATACAAAGATTAGCTGGGCATGGTGGCACTTGAACTTGGGAGGTGGAGGTTGCCGTGAGCCGAAATCGCGCCACAGCACTCCAGCCCGGAGTCTGGAGGCAACAGAGGGAGACTCCTCCATCTCGAAAAAAAAAAAAGAAAAAAAAGGACAGTCATGGAGAGAGTTCCTGTCCCCCAGCAGGCCTCCCTAAACCCTGCCTCTGCCCTGGGTAGCAGAGTCCTCTCAGAAGCCCAAGCCTCAGTTTCCCCATCTGCAGAAGGGATAATAACCATCACCTCCATGAGCAGTTGTGAACACCTCTTAGGTGGCGTTCTTTTAAATGCCCAACATGTGGTAGTTTGGATCTGTAGACCGAGGACCCCTGTGCTGGCTGAAGGTGGCACCCTCTGGGTCCCGGGGACTGATGTGAGGCTCCCCCTGACCCCATGCCCCAGGTCCTGAACCTGTTCCTGGCTCTGCTGCTGAGCTCCTTCAGCGCCGACAGTCTGGCAGCCTCGGATGAGGATGGCGAGATGAACAACCTGCAGATTGCCATCGGGCGCATCAAGTTGGGCATCGGCTTTGCCAAGGCCTTCCTCCTGGGGCTGCTGCATGGCAAGATCCTGAGCCCCAAGGACATCATGCTCAGCCTCGGGGAGGCTGACGGGGCCGGGGAGGCTGGAGAGGCGGGGGAGACTGCCCCCGAGGATGAGAAGAAGGAGCCGCCCGAGGAGGACCTGAAGAAGGACAATCACATCCTGAACCACATGGGCCTGGCTGACGGCCCCCCATCCAGCCTCGAGCTGGACCACCTTAACTTCATCAACAACCCCTACCTGACCATACAGGTGCCCATCGCCTCCGAGGAGTCCGACCTGGAGATGCCCACCGAGGAGGAAACCGACACTTTCTCAGAGCCTGAGGATAGCAAGGTGAGCCGGGGCTGGGGCTCAGACAGACCCGGCTTCAAATTCTCCTGTGACCTGGAGCAAGCCCTAAGTCCTCTCTGAGCCTCAGTTTCTCCAGCTGTAAAATGGGGGTGGTGCCCTATGGCATTGTTGCAAGCATTATGTGAGACGCTGTATGTAAAGCATGCAGTCCGCGCCCTGTGAGTGGTGGCAGTCACTATCGTTATTGATGTGGTTATTATGATCAACCCTGTCTGTCCAGAAACCCTGATTCCCTCGGACCAGAACACCTGGGCCCCTCTCACCAGCAGGTGGTGCCCTTGGACATGCTGCTTTTACCTGGGCACCGCAGCTCCAGGACCAGGACCTGAGAGGCCTCTCTTACATATTCTCCTCTGGGTTTGAGGCCCCTTGCCCAGTCCTCACACTTATCCTCTATCTCTGTTTAGACCCCACCTGGGTCTGCTCCCAACCTCCCAGTGTGGGCCAAAGTGCCAGATCCAGGCAGGGGATTCAGGAGAGGAGCTAGGGGCCAACGGGAGTTGAGGACAAGGAGGACAGAAGCCTCAGGCAGGAGCCCTGACCCCTCAGCCATGCAGGGGGTGTGCTGCTGGGCTCAGATGCCCCTCCCCACCCCTCCACTGCGAGGTCGAGGAAGGGACAGGAACGCAGCGGTGGTAACCCCCAGCAGCTGAGGCTGAGGCTGAGGCTGACCCTGCCTGGGTCTTGAGCCCCCTTCCCCACTGTCCAGCTCTGGCAGGGAAAGGACTCATACAGGAGCTAGGACGAGGGCCCCTGCCCACCCCTGCACCATCAGCCTGAGCCTAATGAACTTTGCCCTGAAAGCTTTTGACTCCTTATTCCCCCCAAATATGCTGGCTTACCAGGAAGCGAGTGCCTGTGAGCTATAAATACCCAGGCAACTGTGGCACAGACCTCGGTATGAGGCACTCAGGTGGCGGGGGAGCTGGAGAGCACCAAAGTCCCAGGCTCCCCGGGGCCGGGGCCGGGGCCTGGGGACTTGTTCAAGGAGGGCGAGCACAACTCCAAGGGAGATTTAGGGAGTTGAGTGCACAATCGGGGCAAGCAACTCAGTGGATGCCCTGGCTGACCTAACACTCTGTGCCTCAGTTTCCCTTTTAGTCTAATGAAAACAAGGACCCCCACCCCGGCCATGGTGGTTTTCTGGTCACCACTCTGGATACAGAGCTGCCCCCCAAGTTGCCCTCTTCTTCCTTCTCTTCAGAGGCCTCACCCTCAGCCTTGAAGGGGTCCCCTGCCGGGTGGAGTCTGGGGCCGGGAAGCTGGCCTGGCCCAGCAGGAGGAGGTGGGAGGAAGCCTGGCCCGGCTGGAGCACCCGCCTCCCCCACTCCCGCTCCCAACACTGATCAGGTTCCCTTGGCACTGGATGGAGGCTTTGGCTGGGGAACATTTTCCACCCTTTCTGGATTCCTCAGCCAAACAGACCCTGCGGGTGGGAAGGCTCAGACGCTAGGGGCACCACACGCCCATGTTCTGAGGGCTGTGATAGCCTGGCTCCATCCTGACCCCTTTTCATACCCCTGCCCCCTCAGAGCTACCTTCAGGCCCCCCATGCCTCCCAGACCCCCCACTCGGGCCGGGGTCCCCGCCTCCTCCCTTATCTGAGGCCTTCGCATGTGTCCTCATGCCCTTACCGTCCCTTCCCAGGCATCAGCCCCGCCCCACTCCTTATATAAGTGTCATGCGGGCATGACCAGGGCCACCTACGTCCCCGTGGTTCCTCGACCATCCAGGGCTGGATGAATGAATGAATGGATGAGTTTGCTCCTCCCTCTCTTCTTCCCTTCCCTTCTGGTCTCCCATCCTGCCCCATCTGGTAGGAGGATGAGGGGGTCTCTCAGGGACCCAGATGTCATGTGACCCTGTGGCCTCCGCAGAAGCCGCCGCAGCCTCTCTATGATGGGAACTCGTCCGTCTGCAGCACAGCTGACTACAAGCCCCCCGAGGAGGACCCTGAGGAGCAGGCAGAGGAGAACCCCGAGGGGGAGCAGCCTGAGGAGTGCTTCACTGAGGGTGAGGGCACCCCTCACCTCATCTGGGTGTCTCCCCCAGGCCTGCAGCCCCTGCAAGGGGCAGGCTACACCAGGACCAAAAGCACACGGACCTGGGGCTGCCTGGCCATCCCCGTGCCTCACGTGTCTAGGGGTGGTGGCAGTGCATGCCCAGAACTGTGGTGCAAGATCCATGCAGAGCCCTTGGTGCAGACCTAGCTTGGAGCCAACGTGCAGGAGTGTGGGTGTCAGCTCCTGAGATCCTCCCCTCCATCTTCAGGGAGCAAGGCCTTCAGGACATGGCACTGGAGAAATGTCCTTGTCCATAGAGCTTGCTGGGCTGTGCAGGATGGAGACCGCCTGGGCGAGGTGGGGGGTGGGGCAGCACTGGGGCTGGGGGCCAGGAGGCCTTTCCTCTGCATGCCCATCCCCAGCAGCCATTGACGCATGTTGGATCCAGCTGTGAAGGGAGGTCCTGAGTCCCCCATGTGAGCCAGATGGAGCTGGGTGAGGGAGGAGGTGGGGGCCCTGGGTCTGGGAGCTGGAGAGGGGCATCCTGGGATGCCATGGGAGGGCGCTGACTGTGCACCCCAAGGCAACCCCAGGCCCATGATGTGGTGCCTGTCCCTGTCCCCCCTCACCCCATCAGCCTGCGTGCAGCGCTGGCCCTGCCTCTACGTGGACATCTCCCAGGGCCGTGGGAAGAAGTGGTGGACTCTGCGCAGGGCCTGCTTCAAGATTGTCGAGCACAACTGGTTCGAGACCTTCATTGTCTTCATGATCCTGCTCAGCAGTGGGGCTCTGGTAGGCACTGCCTGGGAGCACGGGTCAGGGGCAGGGGCCAGGCCCACAGCAGGTCCTCTTGGGGCTCCCTGTCTCCACACACAGGAAGGGCCATGCTCTGGTCAGTCCCAAACCCTGAGAATCCTAAAGGAACTCGCTGTGCCTCCGGGATAGGTTATAGGATGTGCTGACTTTCTAACATGGCAGAGGTGCCTCCCTTATTACGTGGGTGCTGACTTTTGTGCACTCTCTGCTGATAAGGAGGCAGGAGACCCCTGGGAACTGGGGGCGCAGGACTGAAGATGTGTCACTGTGGACCTGCCCAGCAGATGATGGCAATTTGCTGTTGTTGGGCTTGGAGAAGGGGGGCTGAGGGATTCTCCCCACTGGGAAACGCTCTCATCCCCATGATGGGTGGTGGGAGTCCAGGAGATGCGGACAGCCTGTCCCTTGGGCTGGGCCCCCACGGCAGACCCCCGGGAACCAGCAGCATAGAGCAGGGCAGGGGACCTGGCTGCCACCCCAGCCTGCTGGACCCCAGCCACCCTGGTGGTGCTGGTGCCCCCAGGCCTTCGAGGACATCTACATTGAGCAGCGGCGAGTCATTCGCACCATCCTAGAATATGCCGACAAGGTCTTCACCTACATCTTCATCATGGAGATGCTGCTCAAATGGGTGGCCTACGGCTTTAAGGTGTACTTCACCAACGCCTGGTGCTGGCTCGACTTCCTCATCGTGGATGTGAGTCCCCCCACGCTGGCCCCGTAGCTACATCCAGAGGCTGTCAGTGTGGCGGGGACCTCAGGAAGCCCACGCCCTGAAGGGCAGGACCTGCCCGAGGCCACCCCCAGAGTCAGACCCTCAATCAGTGCTGCCCTTCTCAGACAGAGCTGCCCAGGGAGGGGTTAGGGACTGGGAGGCCTTCCCTTCTCCTCAGGGAAAGGAGGCCTTGGGGGAAGACAGCAGGCAGGAGGGCTACTTACCATCCCTGCCAATAGGAGTGGAGGAGTTTCTTACTTCATACATTTTATTTATTTATTTTTAAGATGGGATCTTGCTATGTTGCCCAGGCTGGTCTTGAACTCCTGGGCTCAAGCAATCCTCCTACCTTGGCCTCCCAAAGTGCTGGGATTACAGGTGTGAGCCACCATGCCCGGCCAGGAATGGAGGATTTTCTTAGCCTCTTAGATGGGCTCACAGGCCTCCCCGAAGGAGTCGGGTACCATCCCTCCTACTCACAGTCATCCCCAGTTGGTTGATGACATCACTGAGGTGGTGCCAGGCTCCTACAGGTACTGGGACAGGTCCCAGGGCTGCTCTTCCCACCGGACAGGACCACCCACTAGGGAGGGGATCTAAGGGAGACAACCAGGAGCTGTGAGTCCAGGAAGACCCCCGTGGCCTGGGCTTGAGGGGAGGCTGGGGGCCTTGCACGCACTGATCCCCTCACCCCTCCCCTGCAGGTCTCCATCATCAGCTTGGTGGCCAACTGGCTGGGCTACTCGGAGCTGGGACCCATCAAATCCCTGCGGACACTGCGGGCCCTGCGTCCCCTGAGGGCACTGTCCCGATTCGAGGGCATGAGGGTGGGTGCTGAAGGGGCCTCTGGGGTGGGCTGGGGATGGGGGACCGGCCACCTTCACTGCAGGGTGGAGGGTGCATGTCTATACTCCAACCACCACCAGAGGGAAGCAGAGAGCTTGGACCCACGGCCCTGCCTGAGGCCAGGTCTGGCCCCCACCTCCCCTAGCTGTCCTCCCCGCAGGCCATCTTCTGCCTGCCCCATTCCCACTCTCAGCCCCCGATCCAGCCCGCCCTTAGCTTACCTCTGCCACTACTTGAGGGGAGCAGAGACTGCAGAAGCACCCAGGAGGGCCCCACGGCCAGGGAAGAGGAGGAAGGAAGGCAGGTTTATGTGGTGTTTATGGGTGGTTTATGAGTGGGTTTATGGGTGGCCCTCCCCAGCCTCAGACTGAGCCACCCAGGGCTTTGAAACAAGGTGCCTGCACCCTGGCTCTGAGCCTTCCCCTCACCCCCCACTGATGAGCTTGGCGTCACGGTTGGGGCCATGCCCTTGAGCTTGGGGTCAGTTTGGGGAAGATCCACTCAGGCCCTGGAGAGCGGAAGTGGCAGGTAAACACAGGGTTGCGGCGGGGTGGGGGGGGGGGCAAGAAAAATGGGACTTCCCCAGGAAGAGAGATCTGCTGGGAGCAAGACCTGCTCCAGCGGGACAAATTTCTGCAAATCTAGAGGCCATGGCGAGCCCCCCCAAGCGGCCCCTTCCTGTCCCTGCAAGAGGCCAGCCGAATGCTGGGCCCTCTGACCCCCCAGAGCCAGGGAGCCCTCCCGTTGAGGGGAAACAAGCTGCCTGTGGCCATGCAGCTGGTCAGTGCCCCAACCAGGAACAGAGCTCCCCTGGGCACACCAGGCTTGTGCCACCCACTCTAGAGGTCATGAAATGGCTCCTCCTTAAAAAGAGAGGGGTGTCAGATCCAGCCCAGTCTGCAGTGGTCAGGTGGGCTGTGTGACTAGGGCTGGTGGGGATGGGGCTTCTGTCCCAGAGCTCCTGCTGCTTCAAAGACCCTGGTGCCCTCTTTTCTGTGCCTGTGTCTGGGGCTCTGGGGCTGAAAACCCATGAGCAGGGGCTGGGTCACGTGAGCTGAGTTTCCTATGGGGGCTGAGCAAAGAGTGTTTGTCTCCTGCCTGGTGACCTGTGACCAGGCTGCTTCCAGAGAAACCCAGCACCCCTACTCTGGGCTGATGGCTCCAGTCAAGCAGAGAGCCCTCTTGACCACCAGGCCTGCAGCTCCCTCCCCCTCCCCCTTACCACCCCCAACCTGCACACACACAGCCCAGCAGGTCGGCCCTCCTCTAGGAAGCCCTCCCTAATTGACAATGCCCAGCTCTGCCTGGTCCCCTGGGTGGCGTAGAGATGTGGAGCCCTCTCTCAGAGGCTGGGAGAGGCACTGGCAATGGACCCCCTGGCCCCCAGGTGGTGGTGAACGCCCTCCTAGGCGCCATCCCCTCCATCATGAATGTGCTGCTTGTCTGCCTCATCTTCTGGCTGATCTTCAGCATCATGGGTGTCAACCTGTTTGCCGGCAAGTTCTACTACTGCATCAACACCACCACCTCTGAGAGGTTCGACATCTCCGAGGTCAACAACAAGTCTGAGTGCGAGAGCCTCATGCACACAGGCCAGGTCCGCTGGCTCAATGTCAAGGTCAACTACGACAACGTGGGTCTGGGCTACCTCTCCCTCCTGCAGGTGGTGAGTGTGACCCACCACCCCTGCCGGGAACCTGGATGGAGGTGCCCCCCACCCCGGTCCTCTCGTTGTACCCAACCCCAGTGTCACTCCTGGTTAGGGGACCGCCCACCCTGCTTCCAATGCTGTGGGATCCCCAGGCAGTGTCTAGACCTCTCTGGTCTTTATTTGATGCTAGCCCAGTGGGGCTCTGGCAGGCGGCCTCTGGCAGGGGAGGACCAGGTTGGGTGGGGGAGGGAAACTCATGGATGATGAAAGCAGGGAGCAGCCCCCCGGCTCACTCCCCAACCACACTCTCTCAGGCCACCTTCAAGGGTTGGATGGACATCATGTATGCAGCCGTGGACTCCCGGGAGGTGAGTCGGGGTCGCTGAGATGTGGCTGGTGAGCGAGCCAGGGAAGAGGACTCAAGACAGGAGGGAGACTTGGCAGCACGTTCTGTCCCCGAGACTTGGCAGCCCTGGGGGTGGATGGGTCCTGCCCTCAGGGCTGTGGGGGGCAGGGAGAAGCCAGCGTGCAAACCCACGCCGTCCCACCCTGTGGCTCCCACAGAAGGAGGAGCAGCCGCAGTACGAGGTGAACCTCTACATGTACCTCTACTTTGTCATCTTCATCATCTTTGGCTCCTTCTTCACCCTCAACCTCTTCATTGGCGTCATCATTGACAACTTCAACCAGCAGAAGAAGAAGATGAGTATCAGCCCAGCCCCTCGGGCCCTCCCGGTGCTGGGCCTCCCTCCTGCCTCCTTTGTCCACTCTCCATTGCACAAACCCACAAACGCTGCCTGAGCACCTACCAGGTTGTTGGTTCAGGCAGCTAGCTTGGGTCCCAGTCCCACCAGGCCACCTTGAACAAGTGGCTTGGCCTCCATGAACCTCGGTGTCCTTATCTGTAAAATGAGACTGCTGGGCCAGGCACGGTGGCTCATGCTTGTAATCCCAGCACTTTGGGAGGCCGAGGCGGGCGGATCACAAGGTCAGGAGTTCGAGACCACCCTGGCTAACGTGGTAAAACCCTGTCTATACTAAAAATACAAAAAAAATTAAAAAAAGAAATTAGCCAGGCGTGGTGGCAGGCATCTGTAATCCCAGCTACTCAGGAGGCTGAGGCAGGAGAATCGCTTAAACCCAGGAGATGGAGGTTGCAGTGGGCCAAGATCGCGCCACTGCACTCCAGCCTGGTGACAGAGCGAGACTCCATCTCAACAACAAAAAAAAAGACGAGGCTGCTACAACCTGCCTTGTGGGTTACTCTAGGGCTCAGCGAGATGTTGATGAAAAGTAGCCAGAAACAGGCTGCAAGACAGCATTGATCCCCACTCCCCTTCCCTCCCTTCTCCTCGGTCCCGCATTCTCCCCTTGTCCCTCCATCTCTGACCCTCCCGCTTCCTCCAGGCTGATCAACAGGGGCGGGGGCTGCCTTAAAGGTGAGGTGCCCCACTGAGGTGGGGGTGGTCCTGGAGGCAGGAAGGGGAACTGCACCTCAACCTGACAAGCCCTATCCCACTATACTTAGGGGGGAAAGACATCTTTATGACGGAGGAACAGAAGAAATACTATAACGCCATGAAGAAGCTTGGCTCCAAGAAGCCTCAGAAGCCAATTCCCCGGCCCCAGGTACAGACCTCTGGGCCCCCTGTCCTGTGTGTGCTGCCAGGCTCCTGCCTAGGGGACTGATGGGGGTAAAAGGTTTCCTGCCTTCCACCCACCAGGCTGTGTCCCTGGGTGAGGTTAGGCCCACCCCAGGGGCAGGGGACTTGGTCTACCTGCAGGGAGGGACGCCTCTTTGTAGTGCCACAGAGACACCATATGCACAGAGGCTGTCCATGAAACTCTAGTGAGTGCTTTACCCTCACTTGGTCCCACGAAGCTCCTCAGTGCCCACCTACCTCCCACCTGGGACCCCAGTGGCCCCTGGGGCAAGGGCTCCCACAAGTGGAAGGAGGAGGATGTCCAGACACCCTACCCAGGAGCAATGACTTTGGAAGAAAGGGGAGGAGCATCTGGGGGATCTTGAAGGGAGGACCATGAACCCCATAAAATGACCTGGTCCCAGACCTGTCATGATCTGATGGGTCACCCCTCCTCCCCTGGCTGACTCCACCACAACCCCCAACACCTCCTTTCTCTCTCTCTCTCTCTCTCTCTCTGTCATCTCTGTCATCTCTGTCATGCTGTGGTGCCATCCTGTGCCTCCTGCCTGTCCATGTCCTGTCTGGGCCTGGCCACCCCAACTCCTCCACATCCACTCCCACCCATGCTGCAGAACAAGATCCAGGGCATGGTGTATGACCTCGTGACGAAGCAGGCCTTCGACATCACCATCATGATCCTCATCTGCCTCAACATGGTCACCATGATGGTGGAGACAGACAACCAGAGCCAGCTCAAGGTGGACATCCTGTACAACATCAACATGATCTTCATCATCATCTTCACAGGGGAGTGCGTGCTCAAGATGCTCGCCCTGCGCCAGTACTACTTCACCGTTGGCTGGAACATCTTTGACTTCGTGGTCGTCATCCTGTCCATTGTGGGTGAGCGGGGCGGGCTGGACCGGCAGGGCAGCACTGAGCTGAGGCACTCGGGAAGACCCATCCTCACACGGACACACCTGCCCCTGCACCCTCACACGCTCACCCAGACACATGCCTGTGCGTGCCTGCCATTCACTCTCAATGCACAAAGGCACATGGTGTGCACACAGGCAGATCGTCACCCGCGCACACATGGATGCACCTCAGGACACACAACTGACCAGAAGACGTGCACTCAGGTGCCCACATACTGAGCGAAAAGTGTAAAAGATGGTTCCATGTCTGTGTGCACTGAGAAGTGCACAGTCATGCGTGTGCTTATGATAGAAAGTAGCTGCCATTTATTATCAACTGTGCTGTGCGCTTGACAGGTGTTATCTCACCTGTTGTTCATAACAATGTCATGATCAGGAACTGTTGTTCCCATTTTACAGGTAAGGAAATTGAGGCACAAACAAGTGAAGTGGAGACCCAGAGTCACGCAGCTGTTCTGTCTCCCTCTCTCTCTGTCTCTCTCTCTCTGTCTCTTTCACACACACACACACACACACACACACACACACACACCAGTGGCATTTGCAAACAGCCTTGGGAATGGGCCTTACACTCCCCCACTTCAGGGTATCCCACCTCCAGTTCCATCAAGACAAAGCTGCAGCCCCTGGCCCCAAGACCCGTGGGAGAGCCCAGCCTCACCTGTCAGTCATCTGGGCTGTGCTCTGAGACTTGAGCAGAGCACACCAGGCCGGGCCCCCTGAGCCCCGCATGCTCCCCACACCCTGTGCCGGCCCCCCTCCCCAGTGGCAGCGTCCTCACTAGCTTCTCCCCGCAGGCCTTGCCCTCTCTGACCTGATCCAGAAGTACTTCGTGTCACCCACGCTGTTCCGTGTGATCCGCCTGGCGCGGATTGGGCGTGTCCTGCGGCTGATCCGCGGGGCCAAGGGCATCCGGACGCTGCTGTTCGCCCTCATGATGTCGCTGCCTGCCCTCTTCAACATCGGCCTCCTCCTCTTCCTGGTCATGTTCATCTACTCCATCTTCGGCATGTCCAACTTTGCCTACGTCAAGAAGGAGTCGGGCATCGATGATATGTTCAACTTCGAGACCTTCGGCAACAGCATCATCTGCCTGTTCGAGATCACCACGTCGGCCGGCTGGGACGGGCTCCTCAACCCCATCCTCAACAGCGGGCCCCCAGACTGTGACCCCAACCTGGAGAACCCGGGCACCAGTGTCAAGGGTGACTGCGGCAACCCCTCCATCGGCATCTGCTTCTTCTGCAGCTATATCATCATCTCCTTCCTCATCGTGGTCAACATGTACATCGCCATCATCCTGGAGAACTTCAATGTGGCCACAGAGGAGAGCAGCGAGCCCCTTGGTGAAGATGACTTTGAGATGTTCTACGAGACATGGGAGAAGTTCGACCCCGACGCCACCCAGTTCATCGCCTACAGCCGCCTCTCAGACTTCGTGGACACCCTGCAGGAACCGCTGAGGATTGCCAAGCCCAACAAGATCAAGCTCATCACACTGGACTTGCCCATGGTGCCAGGGGACAAGATCCACTGCCTGGACATCCTCTTTGCCCTGACCAAAGAGGTCCTGGGTGACTCTGGGGAAATGGACGCCCTCAAGCAGACCATGGAGGAGAAGTTCATGGCAGCCAACCCCTCCAAGGTGTCCTACGAGCCCATCACCACCACCCTCAAGAGGAAGCACGAGGAGGTGTGCGCCATCAAGATCCAGAGGGCCTACCGCCGGCACCTGCTACAGCGCTCCATGAAGCAGGCATCCTACATGTACCGCCACAGCCACGACGGCAGCGGGGATGACGCCCCTGAGAAGGAGGGGCTGCTTGCCAACACCATGAGCAAGATGTATGGCCACGAGAATGGGAACAGCAGCTCGCCAAGCCCGGAGGAGAAGGGCGAGGCAGGGGACGCCGGACCCACTATGGGGCTGATGCCCATCAGCCCCTCAGACACTGCCTGGCCTCCCGCCCCTCCCCCAGGGCAGACTGTGCGCCCAGGTGTCAAGGAGTCTCTTGTCTAGCAGGCAGCATCGGGGTGGCCCACTGAGTCTCGGCATAGTCCCCAGAGCTCCCCCGTGGTGCCTGCACACAGAGTGAGGGAGGAGGGCTTTGAATCTGGGACTGTGCCTGGCTCCCTGATGGGGGACAGGATTTGGCCACACTGGGGCTGACACCCAGGCCCGAGCGCCTGCGTTCCCAGACCATGGGAAATGGGAATTGCGCTCAGGGGCTCCATGCTGGGTCTGAGGCCCCTGCCTCCAAGATTTAACCTGCAAGTTGCTCTGACCTCCTCTGGGCCCTGTCGCCCCTCCTTTTGGCCTGGGGGAGGTCAGAACATTCGAATCTCTGCCCCTCACTTGAGGAGGAGCTGGCCTGCGGTGGAGGGATCAGTTGCCCCCCATCACCAGAGTCTTAAGGGTCACTGGCCTCTCCCCAGGAAGTGGCTCAGACCCCTCAGCCCCAGCCCAGACAAAGATGTCTTAACCTCAGGGAGTGCAGACACCTAACCCCAGGGCACTGCCAGCCCACCCCCTTTGACTCTGGGGTGCAGCTTCACCCACCAGGCCAGCTCAGGAATTCCCTGGAAAAGGGAAATGTGACTGGTTCAGAAATAGCTCCTCAAAGCCTCAAAACCTGATTGGCCACTGGATCCTGCTGCTTTGGGCTGGGATGGTGACTCCTGAAACCTCTTCCTAGGCCACGTCCAGGTCCGTAGCTCCCCTGGCTGGCTCCTAGGGGAAGAGCAGAAGGAAGGATGCCACTTGGGAATGAATTGTCCTTTTCTAGGAAGCACGGGGGAGTGAGACAGGCTGGGTCCTGCCAGCTGGATCGCTGCACATGGCCTGAGCATCCAGACCTGAGCGGGAGTCAGGGACCTGCTGCTCAGTAAGAAGATTCTCGCCCCTTCCCTCTCTCCCTGCCTCACTCCTCCGTGAGCACCACCAGGGCTCCAGGAGCCTCATCCAGCCTCAGAGATCTCCCTTCTCATCTCCCCACGCCCGTCTCTTTCTCACCTTTCCCACCTCTCTCCCCAAAGTGATCCTAAGAATGTACAGTTGAGCTCAGGTTAGATATTTCGACCCTGGGGCGTGCAGCAGGGAAGGCCCAACTGGTTCAGGCTCAACCTTCCAACTTCCTGTGGCCTGAAGAAGCACTTCTGCTGCATCGCTGTTCTGGGCATGGCAGGGCCAGGCCTCTGCTGGCTCAGGAGGAGGGGTGAGAGACCTGCTCAGGCGTCGCTGGATTTATTCACTTGTGTGTGTACCTGTGGCTGTGTGTCTGCTTGTATGCTTTTATAGGCCTGTGTGTATAGCTGTGTGTGTGTTCAAGTGCGTGACTGTATGTGTGTGTGTGAACCACTGTGTACTGGAGCCTGCATTATGCACGTGTCTGGGTATCTTTGTATATATGTGTATATATGTGTGCCCTGGACTGTTTCAAGGTCCATGGAGTACGGCTGGTGTGTCATACTGTGCAGGCCTGTCCCTGGGAGTGTTCCCGTGCCTGGGAGAGTGGACCTGTGCTGTGAGTGTGTGGATGCGTGTGAACGCATGTGGTAAGGTGTGTACTCAGGGCATTCTGTTGGCCTAAGTGCCTCTTCTTTTTCTTCTTGTTTCTCATGAAAAGTTTGATTAAAATTCAGGAAGCAGCAAAACCTTCAAAACAAGACATGTATGTGTGCTTGAGTGTGTGAACACGTGTGTGTGTGTGCACATCTACATGCCATGCCTATGGGCCAGAGTTGTCTTTATTGTCCACCATGCTCTCTCACCTGCTCCCAGTCCTGCCTGAACAGCCCTCTCTCTCACTCCCCTCTCCTCCCCTTCCTGTTTCTCGTTGTCACACCCATGGCCTCAGCCCTGCTCCCTGCCTCCTGCCTATGTCTCCTCTATGGAAGGAGGCCTCCACTCCTTCCATCTCTTCCTTCAGAAGTTTCGTCTAATGGGGGCAGTCTCCCCTTCCTGGCACATTGCCCCTCTGCCTTGCCCTCCTGGGCCCTGGGCTGGCACAGCCCCTGGAGCCTCAGAAATCTGTTTGATTGGATATTCTCCTCGGACTGTGTGCAGGTTGCAGAGGAAGAGTAGATGAGCCGGGTCCGGCCTCTCCCTGCCTGTGGCCCCTCCCCTGCAGACGGATGCCCATTCCTGCCTGGTCCAGTGGGGAACAGGTCCCACGCCAGGCCAGCAGGCGGGCTCCTTTGTACAGTTCTTACAATAAACCCTCCTTGGTGCCTCTGGTATGTGGCTTCTCCCTTCTGCATGTCAGCATGTGGATGCGGATGGGGGCTGAGGGCAGTGAGAAGCAGAAAGGGTCGGTGGGGATTGGAGCCAAACGTGGAAGACACGGGAGCCTCTCAGGGGGCCAGGCAGGATAAGGAGGCCCCAGCTCCCCGCTCTGGCCCAGTCCAGCTCTCTCCAGCCTCCTTACAAAAGCCCCTTAGCTGGAATCCAAGAGACCAGATAGGATCAGGGGTCAAGACCTGGCTCCCACAACAGGCAGCACCACACTCCCTCTCTTCCAGGTGATCCCTGTTGGGACTCTGTGTCCCCAGCTCCTCCTCCCCAGAGGCCCCTTCACTTCTCTGCCCATCTCAGAGGCCTCAAGGTGCCTGTGGGGTACACAGCACAGCCTCTCCCTCTCCTCAGAGGCGCTGACCCCAGGACTGACTTCTGACCCCAGATAGCCCAGGGTCACGTGGACCCGTGACTAAGAATATTCTTATGCGGCAAGTTTAGCCCACAGCCCCCAGAGAGTGAAATATAATCTTGTATGTAATTTTCTTTTTCTTTCTTTCTTTTTTTTTTTTTTTTTTGAGATAGGGTCTCACTCTGTCACCCAAACTGGAGTGCAATGGTGCAATCATGGCTCACTGCAGCTTCGAACTCCAGGGCTCAAACAATCCTCCCACCTGAGCCTCCCACCTGAGCCTGGGACTACAGGCACACGCCACCACACCTGGATGGTTTTTTATAGAGATGGGGTCTTGCTCTGTTGCCCAGGCTTGTCTCAACCTCCTGGCCTCAAGTGATCCTCCTGCCTCGGTCTTCCAAGTTGCTGGGATTACAGGCATGAGCCACTGCGCCCAGCCTGTAATTTTATTTTCTGTAACAACTTCTGACTCCCAGGGCTGTATTCTTCCAGACAAGTAAGCACTTAATTCTTTTCAGGATTTCTGCACCCTCTCTTCCTGGGTCCTGAGGTGATGTAGCACTGGCGTGGGGGATGGGGAGTGGCCCTCAGGCTGCCCCCCAGTGTCGTTCCATTGTCTCTGCGGCACCTTCCACCTTGCAGCTCTCTGTGCGTGAGTGCGAGGGGAGGTGTGGAGAATCTCTACAGGGTTGTCTGAGTGGTCCCAGGGTGCTGTCTTCCCTCCCTGGAGTGGGAGCTTCTTCTTACTTTTTTTTTCAAAATTTTTATGTCAATAGTTTTGGGGGTACAGGTAGTTTTTTTTTTGGTTACCTGGATAATTTCTTTAGTGGTGATTTCTGAGATTTTAGTGCACCTGACACCTGAGCAGTGTACACTATACCCAATATGTAGTCTTTTGTCCCTCACCCCTCCCTCAACGTTCCCCCACTGAGTTCCCAAAGTCCATTATATCATTCTTGTGCCTTTGCATCCTCATAGCTTAGCTCCCACTTACAAGTGAGAACATATGCTATCTGGTTTTCCATTCCTGAGTTACTTTACTTAGAATAATGGCCTACAGCTCCAACCAGGTTGCTGCAAAAAGATGCTATTTCGCTTCCTTTTTTTTTTTTTTTTTTTTGAGACGGAGTCGCACTCTGTCGCCCAGGCTGGAGTACAGTGGCGCGATCTCGGCTCACTGCAAGCTCCGTCTCTCGGGTTCACACCATTCTCCTGCCTCAGCCTCCCAAGTAGCTGGGACTACAGGCGCCTGCCACCACGCTCGGCTAATTTTTTGTATTTTTAGTAGAGACAGGGTTTCACCTGGTTAGCCAGGATGGTCTCAATCTCCTGACCTCGTGATCCGCCCACCTCAGCTTCCCAAAGTACTGGGATTACAGGTGTGAGCCACAATGCCCAGCCTATTTCACTCCTTTTTATGGCTAAGTAGTATTCCATAAAGAGGTGTATATATACCACATTTTCTTTATCCACTCATAGGTTAGTAGGCACTCAGGTTGGTTCCATATCTTTGCAATTGTGAATTGTGCTGCTATAAGCATGCGTGTGCATGTGTCTTTTAGAAAATCAAAATTATATCAAGTATCTTCTCCAACCACAGTGGAATAAAACTAGAAATCCACTCCAAAAGGAACCCTCAAAATTATACAAATATATGGAAATTAATCTGTTCTTGAGTGATTTGGGGGTTAACAATAAAATCAAGATGGAAATTTAAAAATTCTTTGAAATGAATGATAATGACACAACTTCTCAAAACCTCTGTGATACAGCAAAAGTGGTAGTAAGAGGAAAGTTCATAGCATTAAATGCCTACATCAAAAACTCTGGAAGACCACAAATGCCTCAAGGTACCAGAGAAACAAAAACAAATTAAACTCAAACCCAGCAGAAGAGAAGAAATGAGAAAAATCAGAGCAGAACCAAATGAAATTGAAACAAACAACACAAAAGATCAATTAAAACAAAAAGTTGGGCCGGGCACAGTGGCTCATGCCTGTAATCCCAGCACTTTGAGAAGCCGAGGCGGGCAGATCACGAGGACAGGAGTTTGAGACCAGCCTGGCCAAAATGGTGAAACCTCATCTCTACTAAAAATACAAAAATTAGCTGGGTGCAGTGTTGCACGCCTATAGTCCCAGCTACTTGGGAGGCTGAGGCAGGAGAATCACTTGAACCCAGGAGGCGGAGGTTGCAGTGAGCTGAGATCATGCCACTGCACTCCAGCCTGGGCAACAGAGCAAGACTCCATCTCAAAAAAAAAAAAAAGCTGGTTCTTTGAAAAGATAAAATTGATAGACCATTAGCAAGATTAACCAAGAAAAGAGAGAAGATCCAAATAAGCTCTATTAGAAATGACACTGGAGACATTCTTTTCACTTTAAGTTCCTCCAGACCTCGCCTGGAGCCCTCTCTGGCATCAGGGACAGGAAGATTTGCAGAGCGCAGGGTGCTCAAGCCCACACATCCTTTGAGCCTTGAATGGTGGAAGAAAAAAGGCCTCATATTGGGTGAGAAACAGAGACAACTTGGGACAACAGTCACAGCTACCCACCTCCCCAGGCATCCGTGCCACTCCTCGCACTCCTCGCCCTCCTCAGGGCGTGCCGTCCACCACATTCACCAAGTACCTCAGATGCAGGATGGCCTTCAATGTGCACAGCTGCCCTTCGACCAACGCACTGTTGGGGCCGGGCGCAGTGGCTCACGCCTGTAATCCCAGCACTTTGGGAGGCTGAGGCGGGTGGATCGCTTGAGCTCAGGAGTTTGAGACCAGCCTGGGCAACATAGTAAAACCTGTCTCTACAAGAAATACACAGATTAGCCAGGTGTAGTAGCATGACCTGTAGTCCCAGCTACTCGGGAGGCTGAGGTGGGTGAATCACTTGAGTCCAGGTGGCAGAGGTTGCCGTGAATGGAGATTGCACCACTGCACTCCAGCCTGGACAACAGAGCAAGATCTTGTCTCAGAAAAACCCCAGAAAACAACAACAAAAAAACGCGCTATTGGGCTTATTTCTATTTTACGAAAATGAGGAACCTTGGTCACTGAGAGGTTAAGAATGGGTGTTGCCTCATGGGTGCTGTTGGCATGTGGGGCAGGGAACTCTGCTTTGCCAGCCAATGCCCCTCCCGCCCCAGGCACCCACCGGTCATTGAGACCAGCGCGATTGCCCTGATGCATGTGCAGACGCTCCCTCCGTTGGGGCAGAGCCACCCTTAGTAGAGAACCACTGGTAACCTGGGGAGGTTTCCTGGCTGCTACACTGCTGGGTCAGGACTCAAACCCACGTCCTTCTTAGCAGGTCTTTTCCCAGTCACAGCAGCCCAGCAGATCCAGGACACCTGGGCTGGAGAAGGAGGCAGGGGTCTGAGCTCTTCTTTCCCTGAGGTTCTTCCCCCTCCCGGCATCCTAGGGTGGCTGGGGGTCGCTGCCTTCTTGCTTCCCCACCCCCTGAGCCCCTTGTCCCTTCGCCCGACCCTGGCCCCCATTCCTTATTTTGATGTTGCCTTCCTGGAAAGGGAGGTGTCGTCAGAAGTCAGAATGTGAAGCCCCGGGCAGCCGAGGGCAGAGGCAGGGGTAGGCTTGTGAGGCCTCCTGTTCTGGGAAGAAAAGGGCATCATGAGCCCAAAATGGGGCTCAGGGCTGTTGTCACCAGTGAGGGAACAGCACGGCTCAAAATGTGACAAATAACCCTGCAGGCGGTGGGGCCCCCGCTGCCTCCGCCCCTCCTGAAAACAGATCCCTGCCCGGCATGAATGGGAATGAAGCCCAAAGGCCACATCTGCATCCTTGTCCACGGGATGTGTGTGTCTTCCCTCCCTGGAGTGGGAGCTGCTTCTCACTTGTTTTTTTAAATTTTTTATTTCAATATTTTCTGGGGTACAGGTAGTTTTTTTGGTTACCTGGATAAGTTCTTTAGTGGTGATTTCTGAGATTTTAGCGCACCTGTCACCTGAGGATGGGTGCCAACTGCCCCCCACCAACCTCCGTGCCCCCTACAGTCCGCTGAGCCCTAGGACCAGCTCCAGAGTAGGCCCCACACCACAGGGTCCAGGCAACACACCTGTGTGAGCATGCACATACACACACACACACACCCCCCACAAACACGTGTGCCCCAAGCCTTTCCCAGTTATACCCCCCAACTTTGGGGAGACACTAGCCCCAAAGTTAATGAAGGACTCTGTCGTTAGGGGCTCAGGAAGAGTATTTCCTAAACCATGAGACTCCCAGATTTTGCCCCACTCCCCCCGGGTCAGTCTCTCTCCAGCCACCCTCACCAGCATGCGGGCCCATGGGCCTCAAGCTGACCTCAGGTGATGTTTATATTTCTGAGCTGTTTATTCCATGAACTGAACATCTGACAGCTTTTCAGAGAAATGTTTTTTCATTTGGAACATCTGGAAACAAGAAAGAACATCTGGGGCTGCCCGGAACGGGCTGTTCCTCGGATGAAACCTTAACCCTCCTGCCCCTGACTTCCGTGGCTCAGGTCCTGGCCTGCACCCCTTGAGAGTGGCCCCCACCTTATCAGGTCCGAGGCCTAGGCCAAGATCTAAAGAGGGACCACCCAGACCCTCTGCCTTCCAACCATGGCATGGGAGGTGGTTCTGCTTCTCCCTAAATCCAGACAGACCTGCCCCAGCACAGACTGGAAAACGGAGGGTTGTGAGGAGAGTGAGAGGTGGACAGAGGGCACCGACGATTTAGCATCTCTTCCTCTCCTGGGGGTCGAGGATGAGAGACAAAAAAGAAGCTGCCAGGAAACATAAAATTCAGAGGGCTCAGCTGCAGGGCTGAGGTCTGCAAGCATGCTGTGTACACTTGTGCATGTTGTGCCCTGCACAAGGGCATCTCTGAAGGGGCTGCATTGGACCCAGGGGCAGGGGCGCAAAGGTGAGTTTATATCAGTTCCTGAGCACTGTGGCTCCATCCAGCACTCTGAGGACAGGCAGGATACAGCTGGAGGACCTGAGGGCTCCCCCACACCAGCTCCTGTTCCCTGCCCAAGACCCCCTGGACCTGCAGACAACAATTCAACGCACTCAGAGTCCCACAGTTAAGAACTCCCTGAAGAAGCCCCCAGTGGCTGCGTGGTGGATTTTCGCAAAGCTGTCTCCACCTACATCCACCCTGTTTGGCAGCCCCTACATACTCTTTCACAGCATGAGGAAGGGAGGCCTCTCACCAAGACCTGGACTGAATCTTCTCCCAGTGGCTGCCACACTTGACCTGCTCTTGCTCCAGAACCTCTGTGGCTCCCATCCTCCACAGGGTCAACTTCCAACATGGCTGCCTGCACTCCAGCCAAGAGGCTCTGCTCTGGGCCCCTCCAGATGCCTGACCTGGGTCTGTGGCTGCCCTGTCCTTCTTCAGTGCTCCTCTTCCCGCTGGGTGAGGAATAGTTCAGGACAGAGGAGCTAAGTTCAGGTTCATTCATAGGACAGGTGCCTATTTCGCTCACGGCCCAGGAATAGAGACTTGCCGGGCTCGGCCCTTCGGGGAGTTGGCAGACGGCAGAGGGGAGGCTGGCTGGCCCAGGGGATGACCACCGGTGGGGTAAGCACAGACAGAGGGGAGCACAGGCTTCCCCCAGAAGACTGAGAGGCCCCCCAGAGGCATCCACAGAGGACCCCAGCTGTGCTGCCCAAGCTGGGCGACCGCCAAACCTTAGCGGCCCAGCTGACAAAAGCCTGCCCTCCCCCAGGGTCCCCGGAGAGCTGGTGCCTCCCCTGGGTCCCAATTTGCATGGCAGGAAGGGGCCTGGTGAGGAAGAGGCGGGGAGGGGACAGGCTGCAGCCGGTGCAGTTACACGTTTTCCTCCAAGGAGCCTCGGACGTTGTCACGGGTTTGGGGTCGGGGACAGAGCGGTGACCATGGCCAGGCTGGCGTTGTCTCCTGTGCCCAGCCACTGGATGGTGGCGTTGCTGCTGCTGCTCTCAGGTACAGAACCCACGACGAGGCCTGTGGGGTTTGCTCTCATCTCCAGCTGTCTGGGCCCTGCGGCTCTGCCTCCTGCTTGCTCCACCCTCCTCCTCTGTCTCTCACTCTTTACCGCCTGTCTCCCTCTCATGGCCCTGGGGCCTGGGTCTGTGGGTGTCAGCTGCACGTGGTGATGGGCTCAGGAGCCTGTGGCCCCAGTTCCTCTCCTGCCTGGAGAGCATCAGGCTGAGCTGGGCATGAGGAGCAAACCAGAGTTAGCAACCAGGACCGTGGAAGAACTAGGCTCAGGAGGAAGAGAGGCTGAGGGCGGTGCCTGGGGGTCGGGAGGGGAGAGGCTGTCCCAACCGGACCCTGGAAGATGCAAGATCCAAATGTGGTCCCCTCCTCTGGGAGGTGAAAGATCCTCCGGGCTGTGACTTTCTTCCTGTCTCTCTTTAAAAAAAAAAAAAAAAAGAGAGACAGGGTGTCCCTATGTTGCCCAGGCTGGTCTCAAACTCCTGGACCCAAGCGATCCTCCTGTCTTGGCCTCTCAAAATACTGAGATTTCCCTGTCCCTCCTGTCTCATTCAGATGCCTGCTCAAAGCCACCATGAGGGTCAAAGGCAGAAAGGGGGCTGGGGGCAGGGCTTCCGGTACCCCCACCCCATATCTGTCTCCCAAGTACTGGGGGCAGGGAGGACCGAGGGGTCTTGAAGCTGCTGTCATGGAAGGAGGAAGTAGCTCCGGGAACATAGAGGGCATGCAGGGGTGGGGCAGCCCAGGCCAGAGGAGGCCCTGACTGGCCCCGCCCACTTCCTCCCACCCAGCAGCTGAGCCAGTACCAGCAGCCAGATCGGAGGACCGGTACCGGAATCCCAAAGGTCAGTAGCCTCGCCTGCCGCTTCTGAGGGCAAGTTGTGTGCGACTATGTCCTGTGTCCGACTATGGTCCCTGTCCTGGGGGCGGTCCGCCTTCCCACCCTTGCCTGATCTCCCCATCCAGGATTCCCATCCCCAGGCCTCCTTAGGATCTCCTCTGAGCCCCACCCCCAGCCCACTGTCATCCTCATCAGACACATGCCCTCCAGCCTTGGCCACTGAAGGGCTGGGCTAAACTCTGGGTCATAGCAAGGGAGCCTGGGGGTTCCTCTAGGACTCAGGCCCGGGCCTGTCTAGCTGGGAATCTGGCTGAGTCTCGGGTGAGCCCTCCAGTGCAGGGTCACTATGTGAGGGGCTCAGGGATTCCCGGGCAGTGCTCACTAAGAACAAGGCAGTCGAAGCTGGAAAGAGGGTTCTGGAACAAGAAGTGGACCCAGTCCCTGCAGGAGGGAAGAGGGGGATGATAGAGGGAAGTCATGCAGGGAGGGGGTCGACTGAGGAAGGTCTCAGTTGACAGACTAGGAATTTGGCCTTTATCCCTGGAGGAACGGGGGAGACTGAGGATTTCAAGCCTGTGCAGGGCAGCCCAGTGAAAGGAGGGGCCAGGCCTGTGGGCCTCCAGGTCCTGGGGGTGTGGCCTGGGTCAGGCTGTTGTAATGGGCATAGGAAGGAATGGCAAGGTCCCAGGGCTCTTCCAAAGGAAAATCGAAGGGGAGGTGGGGCAGTCGGGAAGAGGTGGAGTCTGAGAGCTTGGCCGTGGCTTCTCATGTGGCTCAGCCTCTCACGTGGCTCTGCTTCCCAACTCCAACCTCAGCCTCCTGCCTGTCCCACACCCTGAGAAGCAAGGACTAAGCCCAGGGAGTCTGTGCCAGCCAGGGCAGGGGCCTGCTGCTGGGGCTGGCACTCAGGAAGATGCCAAGCGGAATGCTGAGCCTGGCCTTGGCACCCACAGGTAGTGCTTGTTCGCGGATCTGGCAGAGCCCACGTTTCATAGCCAGGAAACGGGGCTTCACGGTGAAAATGCACTGCTACATGAACAGCGCCTCCGGCAATGTGAGCTGGCTCTGGAAGCAGGAGATGGACGAGAATCCCCAGCAGCTGAAGCTGGAAAAGGGCCGCATGGAAGAGTCCCAGAACGAATCTCTCGCCACCCTCACCATCCAAGGCATCCGGTTTGAGGACAATGGCATCTACTTCTGTCAGCAGAAGTGCAACAACACCTCGGAGGTCTACCAGGGCTGCGGCACAGAGCTGCGAGTCATGGGTGTGTGCCAGGTGGCTGGGACGCTCCTGTAGCTGTCCGCCCCACCCTAGCCCGGCCTGCCTCTTGTGGTGATGGTCATGGCCCTAGAGCACTCAGGAGAGCCACTGGGACCTGAGGGAGCTGCCCTTGTAGGCCTAAAAGGTGGACTGTGGCCCAGGCTCACAACCCCACCCCTGTCCCCGCAGGATTCAGCACCTTGGCACAGCTGAAGCAGAGGAACACGCTGAAGGATGGTATCATCATGATCCAGACGCTGCTGATCATCCTCTTCATCATCGTGCCTATCTTCCTGCTGCTGGACAAGGTGATCAGGGGACGGGGGAAGCCTTGGGGGACCGCAGAGGAGGCCACCGCATAGGCCAGGCATATGCAGGGTCTCCATCTCCCCAGCTCTCGTTGTGGCCTTCTTGGTCCAGCCTGTCCCCACTGGCTCACCAATTCAATCATTCCTTCCTTCCTTCCTTCATTCAGCTGTTCTTGCAGAATGCACCTCACTCCTGACCCCTCACCCCTCTCCCTGGCCCTCCCCAGCCTGGCCCAGCAGGGGATGGGGCTGGGGGACACTAACACTCTGATCTCCATCCCTCTCCGCCCCCAGGATGACAGCAAGGCTGGCATGGAGGAAGATCACACCTACGAGGTAAGGAGAGGGGCAGGCCCAGCAGCTCTGAGTCCTCGGGGTCAGTGGCCACTATCTGCTGGTGTGGTTGGGGTGTGGTCCCGGCCTGAGTTCCACTTAATGTCTCCAGGGCCTGGACATTGACCAGACAGCCACCTATGAGGACATAGTGACGCTGCGGACAGGGGAAGTGAAGTGGTCTGTAGGTGAGCACCCAGGCCAGGAGTGAGAGCCAGGTCGCCCCATGACCTGGGTGCAGGCTCCCTGGCCTCAGTGACTGCTTCGGAGCTGCCTGGCTCATGGCCCAACCCCTTTCCTGGACCCCCCAGCTGGCCTCTGAAGCTGGCCCACCAGAGCTGCCATTTGTCTCCAGCCCCTGGTCCCCAGCTCTTGCCAAAGGGCCTGGAGTAGAAGGACAACAGGGCAGCAACTTGGAGGGAGTTCTCTGGGGATGGACGGGACCCAGCCTTCTGGGGGTGCTATGAGGTGATCCGTCCCCACACATGGGATGGGGGAGGCAGAGACTGGTCCAGAGCCCGCAAATGGACTCGGAGCCGAGGGCCTCCCAGCAGAGCTTGGGAAGGGCCATGGACCCAACTGGGCCCCAGAAGAGCCACAGGAACATCATTCCTCTCCCGCAACCACTCCCACCCCAGGGAGGCCCTGGCCTCCAGTGCCTTCCCCCGTGGAATAAACGGTGTGTCCTGAGAAACCACACACAGGCTCGTGGCATCTTATGGGTTTGGGGTGGATAGGAACATCTATGTGGGCACTTCTGTTGTTTGAATGTGGCATCTGTGAGCCCTCGAGGGTGTGGGAAAGGTAACAGCCACCCCTCCTCTCCGAAGACCCAGTTGGAGCCTGTGGTCGCATCCCCGTTTCTTCTCCCTGGAACGGGGCTGCATGCCAGGCCCTAGCTGGACCCAGAGCAGCTGGCCAGTGACTGGGCCTGTCCTTCCCCTCAGCAGGGACACCCTCATCTTGCACTTCATTCAGCCGAAAAGCGGCAATTGAGTCCCACTCTGCCTCCACCTACAGGAAGCCCTCCCAAAGCACCTGGGTCCTCGCCCAAGCCCTGCTCAGACCAGCCTATGCAGCGGCGACTTAGCTACTGCCTTGTGCTACTCACACTGGCCTTGGTTCTCCAGGCAAACTGGAAGCTCCCTGAGGGTAGGGGTTTCCCTGCCTCTACAACACTCCCACCCCCACCTCCCAGGAAGCCTAGGAAAGCTTGATGCAAAGCCATCAAGAGTGAGATCCTGAAGAGTGGAGCTTTGTATGGTGAAGCTTTGGGGTTCTTAGCCAGGGGACCCCTTCAGACTTTCCCAGCCTCATATCGGAGGTCCCCTATGGCCCCAGGGTCCTCAAACAATGGTCCCTAGGGCCCTCCAGCTCACCAGCTGTGGGAGGTACTGGGAACAGCTGCCAGCTGGGAGACCAAGTGCAATCAACCTGCACGTGCAAAGCCTCCCTCCCAAGCCAGGCTGTGCTCCACTTCCTGTTGACCCTGGAGGGAATCCTTCGAGGCCCCTCTGCTATTCCTGCTCTGAATTCCAGCAAGGGAGCACCTATGCTGTGGGAGCTGCCAGTTTAACTGGGGAATCAAGACCAGCACAGGGGAACTAGTGAGAACAGTGCCAATTTTCACCAGATTCCCTCTGGAATTCCAGGTGGGGCAGGTGGGTAAGGCCCCCACGCCTGCAGTTTCAGGTAAATCTCTCCACCACCCTGGGCCAGGCTGGGCCAAGCCAGGCGGCCCCTGTGTTTTCCCCAGTCTCTGGGCTGCTGGAGGGAACCAGGTTGTTTTGGCATCAGCCTCTACTGAGCCGGAGCCCTTCCTTTCCTGCTGCTTTGCATAGTGGCACTAATTCCGTCCTCCTACCTCCACCAGGGACCTAGGCAGCCGGGTAGATGGTGGGAGGAGGCTTCACTTCTCCCCCAAGCAGGGTCTCCACCTGCTTGAGGCTGCCCTGGGTTGGGGGAGGCCTTGGCTTTACCTAAAGACTTTTTAACACCTCTGAACAACTCAGTTTCCCTGAGACTTTGAAGTTCTTGTTTTATTTATCTATTTATTTACTTATTTATTTATTTGCAGACAGAGTCTCACTCTGTTGCCCAGGCTGGAGTGCAGTGGCACCATCTCCGCTCACTGCAACCTCCGTCTCCTGAGTTCAAGCAATTCTCCTGCCTCAGCCTCCAAAGTATCTGGGATTACAGGCGTACACCACCATGCTTGGCTAATTTTTGTATTTTTAGTAGAGATGGGGTTTCACCACGTTGGCCAGGCTGGTCTCAAACTCCTGACCTCAAGTGATCCATCCGCCTTGGCCTCCCAAAGTGCTGGGATTACAGGCATGAGCCACCGCGCCCAGCCCGAAGTTCTTGTTAACAGAGAATCATTTGAGCATAGACCTTGGCCCCTCCACCAGACACCCCCAAAGGGCTTGACTTCATGGGTTATAATGTAGGAGCCCTCCCCGGTCTGTTTTTCTGTTTTAAGGGCTTACACTCTGGGGGACATCATGTCTGTCTCCCCAGAACTGCCATAGGCAATGGTAATATAGCTGGGTACTGATGGTGGGGACAAGAAACATCTCAGGTTGCTTCATCTGCGAAATGGGAATCCTAAACCCCATCCGAGGGAAAGAATTTGGACTGGACATTGTTTTGTAAAAAATTATCACAATAAAATTGAGGGCCAGGCGCATTGGCTCATGCCTGTAATCCCAGCACTTGGGAGGCCGAGGCGGGTGGATCACCTGAGGTCAGGAGTTCGAGACGAGCCTGGCCAACATAGTGAAACCCCGTCCCTACCAAAAATATAAAAATATTAGCCAGGCATGGTGGTTGGTGCCTGTAATCCCAGCTATTTGGGAGGCTGAGGCAGGAGAATTGCTCGAACTTGGGAGGCAGAAGTTGCAGTGAGCAGAAATTGTGTCACTGCACTCCAGCCCAGGTGACTGGGCAAAACTCCATCTCAAAAAAAAAAAAAAATTGAGTTTGTGTCCTTTGGGTGTACAGAATTTTAGCAAATGTATAGATTTGTATCACCACCACCACAATCAGAACAGAGAATATGAACCAAAAGCTTTTATTGGGCCCAACAAATACGTATTGAGCACCTCTTAAATGCAAGAAAACTGGATTGAACACCTCCATCTTCATTTACACTCTGCCTGATGTCCCTGGAAGAAGGTTGCACTACCTGATTTTTACAAACAAGGAAATCAAGGCCCAGGGAAATTACCATAACTGGCCAAAATCACACCTAGACCTTCTGGCTCCAAGTCCAGCCTTCTCCCCACTACATCACGGCCGCCCCTCTTGAAGGGCATTGCAGCAATAAGACCCTGAACCGAAGGAGGAGGGAATCCAGGGACAACTTTGGCTATCTTCAAACGTTTGTGTTTTGAAGGGGGATTTGCTTTTCCTATGATTCACGAGGTTTGAGGCCCCAAAGGCCCCACCCCTTCTTGCCAAGGCCTAGTAGGAGGCCTCTGAGCACCCTCGAGAGGAAGCCACTGTGCCATCCCTCCAGGACCCCAGCTCTACAGCTGCCCCCTCTGCCTGCCCCCTCCCCAGAACACAGCTCTGAGGCCCCTGGTGGGCACATGCCTCACTGCCCACTGGGGGAATCCAGCCAGCTCCCCAGGGACCCTGGTTGAAGCACAGGCTTGTTCCTCCTCCATTCTAGCTTGACTTCCTCCCCTCTTGCTGCAGGTGCTGCTAGGGTTGGGGTGATCTGACCCAAGGTTTTGGGTGTTTTTCCAGCAGAATTGGAAACGAGAGAAAAACAAAACAAAACGCAAAAAACGGTGGCTATTTGGGTCCCTTAGTAGGTGTCTGGTCTGGCTGAGGTTTCTCTGAGGGGCCTCTAAAGCCATCTCAGGGCCGGGTGCGGTGGTTCATGCCTGTAATCCTAGCACCTTGGGAGGCTGAGGCAGGTGGATCACATGATGTCAGGAGTTCAAGACCAGCCTGGCCAACGTGGTGAAACCCCATCTCTACTAAAAATAAAAAATTTAGGCCCAGTGCGGTGGCTCACACCTGTAATCCCAGCACTTTGGGAGGCTGAGGCGGGCAGATCATCTGAGGTTGGGAGTTCCAGACCAGCCTGACCAACATGGAGAAACCCCATCTGTACTAAAAGTACAAAATTAGCCAAGCATGGTGGCGCATGCCTGTAATCCTAGCTACTTGGGAGGCTGAGGCAAGAGAATCTTTTGAACCTGGTGGAGGTTGCGGTGAGCTGAGATCACGCCATTGCACTCCAGCCTGGGCAACAAGAGCAAAACTCCGTCTCAAATGAAATGAAATTAGCTAGGCATGGTGGCACATGCCTGTAATCCCAGCTACTGGGGAGGCTGAAGCAGGAGAATCACTTGAACCTAGGAAGGGGAGGTTGCAGTGAGCTGAGATCCGAGATCATGCCACTGCATTCCAGACTAGGCGACAGAGTGAGACTCTGTCTCAACAATAACAACAACAAAAGCCATCTCGGAACATGGTATTTGGGATCTCTGTCTGCTCTCTTTGGATCACCTCAAGAAGTGGGTTCAGAGCCCACATCTGTGACATTCCTGAGTGTGTCTCAGGTCTACAAGCTGCTCCTTGTATGTCATCTTCTGGTCCTGCCATTGACTCAGCTGCAAACAACCACAAATCTTCCACTTGGGACACCTGCCTCTCCCACCCAAAAGACTTTACTTGGAAACAGGTGACTGCAGAGGACAAAAATTAATGAGCATTATCTCCTGACTTAAATCAGAGTGTAGTTTGTTAAAACACACTTAGACTGATCCTAATATAATTTTCAATTTTTTAAAAAAGGCATCCCCCCTCCAGACCTAATACCACTTTCCCCATGTGGCAGGAGGGGAAGGCAGAACTTCGTGTAAGTTAATGAGTCCGTATAGAACATTCCTGGGAACTTGGGCACTCTGCCTTGTCACCTTTTGCATTTGACAATCAAGTTCCTGTCCTTGTTATTTTATTTATTATTATTTTTTTTTTGAGACAGAGTTTTGTTCTTGTTGCCCAGGCTAGAGTGCAATGGCACGATCTTGGCTCACTGCACCCTCCACCTCCTGGGTTCAAGCGATTCTCCTGCCTCAGCCTCTCAAGTAGCTGGGATTACAAGCGCCCACTACCAGGCTCCGCTAATTTTTGTATTTTTAGTAGAGACGGGGTTTCACCATATTGGCCAGGCTGGTCTCCAACTCCTGACCTCAGGTGATCCGCCCGCCTCGGCCTCCCAAATTGCTGGGATCACAGATGTAAGCCACTGCGCCCTTCCCTGTCCTTGTCATTTTAAAATAATTATACCAGCAGGAGGACGTCCAGACACAGCATGGGCTACCTGGCCATGCCCAGCTGGTTGGACATTTGAGTTCTTTGCTTGGCACTGTCCTCTCATGCGTTGGGTCCACTCAGTAGATGCTTATTGAATTCCTGGGCCTGGGGCTGTGGCAGCTGCCTCGTCCCTTCACCTCCTGGCTTATTCTCTCCCTCCATATCTTAGCAATTTCTTCATGGGAATGTCCCCAATTAGAAATTTCTATTATACCATTATATTACCAACATATATATATATACCTGGCCGGGCGCGGTGGCTCATGCCTGTAATCCCAGCATTTTGGTAGGCCAAGGCGGGTGGATCACCTGAGGTCAGGAGTTCGAGGCCAGCCTGATGACCATGGTGAAACCCCATCTCTACTAAAAATACAAAATTAATCGGGCATGGTGGCACATGCCTGTAATCCCAGCTACTCGGGAGGCTGAGGCAGGAGAATCGCTTAAACCCAGGAAGTGGAGGTTTCAGTGAGCTGAGATTGTGCCATTGCACTCCAGCCTGGGTAACAAGAGCAAAACTCCATCAAAAAAAATAATATATGTATATATATATTACAATTTTATATATATATACACATTATGTAATTTTTTTTACCATTTTATATATATACATTACGTAATGGTAAAATGTTTTCTCTGCCCCCCCAGTAGATTGTTAGCTCCAGAAGAGAAAGGATCATGTCTTTGGTTTATCTAGATATGTCCATCGGCCTGGTACAGTCTCTGGCCCATGTTATAGGCAACAACTACTTGTAGAATCGGTGAATGCATGAATAGAAGAATGAGTGAATGAATGAATAGACGAAAGGCAGAAATCCAGCCTCAGGCCGGGCGTGGGTGGCTCACACCTGTAATCCCAGCACTTTGGGAGGCCGAGGCGGGTGGATCACAAGATCAAGAGATGGAGACCAACCTGGCTAACACAGTGAAACCCCGTCTCTACTAAAAATACAAAACATTAGCCGGGCATGGCGGTAGGCTCCTGTAGTCCGAGCTACTAGGGAGCCTGAGGCAGGAGAATGGCATGAACCCAGGGGGGCGGAGCTTGCAGTGAGCCAAGATCGCGCCACTGCACTCCAGCCTGGGCGACAGAGCAAGACTCGGTCTCAAAAAAAAAAAAAAAAGAAATCCAGCCTCAAAGAGCTTACAGTCTGGTAAGAGGAATAAAATGTCTGCAAATAGCCACAGGACAGGTCAAAGGAAGGAGAGGCTATTTCCAGCTGAGGGCACCCCATCAGGAAAGCACCCCAGACTTCCTACAACTACTAGACACATCTCGATGCTTTTCACTTCTCTATCAATGGATCGTCTCCCTGGAGAATAATCCCCAATGTGAAATTACTTAGCACGTCAAGTTAGGTAGATCCTTGTGTACTTCTTGGTTGTTCAGAGATCATCAACCAGTGCAAACAATCCCCCCATCAATACACAGCAGTGTCTGCCCCTCTCCTCCCCAAGCCTTCCGAGGCCCTTCCTCCGTGCCTGAACCCCCTGGACATATCATGTGGCAAACTGAAGGGTCCAACGAGATACAGGAAGTGAAACACGATGTACACTGAAACGTGCAATACAAATATGCAGCATGAAGTGCCTCGGTTCACTAACCCGAGCTATGCTGGGTGCTTCTTTTCTACCACTTTCCTTAATGCCTATGGACACCTCATTCTGTGGCTGAAGTTCCTTGTGTTCAATTCCCCCCATCTTCATTGAACATCCTCTGTGCAGGGACTTGACCCCTGTCCTGCTAGCTTTGCACTGAGGCAAGTTTTGTCCATGCCTAGTAGTGCCACCATCTTTACTAGATGAGGTTTCTAAAGAGCTTGGCATGGAAGGAAAGCCTGGGGGGCCTTAGAAGCCATCACTTAGGAACTGGGAGAGCTCCAGGCAAGCCACCTTATCTCTTTGGGCCTCAGTATCCTCACTCACATCCCCATGGTCAGTAGAGTGCCAAGCACATAGTGGACACGCAGAAGTATTGATCATCTTCCTCACCTCCCCTAGGAGAGCCCTTGGGAATCCCCATATAATATTCTCTGAAGACCTCAATCCAATGAGCCAAGTAATTGACTCGGTAGCAAACTCATGGAAAGGACATTAGAAGCCAAAAGGAGGTAGAGTATGTCCCAGTACAATAACCAGCCTCTGATCTCAAGGAAGAAAGAACAGAGCTGCAGGTGAGAAGTGTGCGCCTCAAATCACCAAAGTGAGAGTGGAAGGAGCACCCACCAGTCCCTTGGAGGCGATCCCTAAGACCGGTGAGAATGGCTTCGAAAAATGTGATCGTCCTCAACCCCACAGTCTTGAACCTAACAGGAGATCTTGAAGCCTGAAAGACACCACTTTAGGATCAACAGCAGATCTGTGACTTTCCACAGCAGGCACACAGAACCCTAGAGTTAGTCGAGGTTGGACATAGGAAGGGCTTCCAAACACACAGAGAAATTCATGGATCCTAAATTATAAAGGGAGGTTCTTTAAAAGAACCAAGATGATTCTGAGATTTATCCTGAGCTTTTTTTTTTTTTTTTTTTTGGATGCAGAGTCTCGCTCTGTCGCCCAGGCTGGAGTGCAGTGGCGTGATCTTGGCTAACTGCAACCTCCACCTCGCGGGTTCAAGCAATTCCCTGCCTCGGCCTCCTGAATAGCTGGGATTACAGGCGCCTGCCACCACACCTGGCTAATTTTTGTATTTTTAGCAGAGACGGGATTTCACCATCTTGGCCAGGCTGGTCTTGAACTCCTGATCTCATGATCCACCCACCTTGGCCTCCCTAAGTGGTGGGATTACAGGCGTGTGCCCAACTTTTCCTGAGCCTTTTGAGGCTGACACCAGAGGTGAGAAGCCCAGCCTCTCCCCACTGGCCATGTGGGGAGAGGCTCCAGCCTGCAGCAACCAGGGATCTGGCCTCAAGTGATGCCCCAACAGTGGGCGACTTCCCAGTACTGTTAGGAGAATCCCAAGTCTAATTCAAAGTTGATTTTTTACTAGCAATGAATGATAGACATGGTCTCCATTGCTCAAGGCTCTGGGAAGATCTAGACTAGAGAAAACGATCACCGACTTCTACCCACACCTGTGGGCCTCAGTTCTTCCCTCTGGTCCATGGTTACCACAGTAACCCCTTGTAAAGGTGTTTCCCCAGGGGTCCCTAGAGTCCTCTGAGTCACCATAATTCTGGGTCAACAGAAATGGAGAGGTAAGAGGAGACACTCCCCTGCCCTGGCTGGTCCCACGTGTTCATGGCAGTAACCTGTCTGGGGAGCCTCGCCACCCCTGTGTCCACCTGCAGAGTTATGCAGTGGTCCCCAACTAGGGCCCCTGCCACCCTCATTCCTAAGGGAGGCTGGAGACTTCTTCCATGGCCGAAAATCCACATCTAAGTCCCCGGCACTAGCAAAAAGGCCCTGTCATGGGGGCTCCCTGCCCCAGTTGAGATTGGAGGAACATGGAAGAAGCTAAAATAACTAAATAACTCAGTAGCATCACACTACCTGCTCTGGAGAAAAAAAAATTTAATATTATTATTTTTTGTTTTTTGAGATGGAGTTCTGCTCTGCTGCACAGGCTGGAGTGCAGTGGCGCAATCTTGGCTCACGGCAACCTCTGCCTCCTGGGTTCAAGTGATTCTCCCGCCTCAGCCTCCCGAGTAGTTGGGATTACAGGCTCATGCCACCACGCCCAGCTAATTTTTGTACTTTTAGTAGAGATGGAGTTTTGCCATGTTGGCTAGTCTGGCCTTGAACTCCTGACCTCAAGTGATCCACCCACCTCAAAGCCACCCAAAGTTTGGGGATTACAAGCGTGAGCCACTGTGTCCGGCCTGGAGAAAGGACTTTAAATGACGCAATGTAGGAAGAGCAAGGTTGTGGAGATCTGCTGCCCTGGCTGAGGTAGCTCATGCAATCAGTCTCTCTGAGCCACAGTCTCTTGATCTGTGAAATCGGAAGAAAATAATACCTCCTTCACAAGACAAGTGGCAGGTCAGATGTGAGAATGCACAGGCAGGCCCTCGGCAACTGGAAAAGCTCTATACAGATCTGAAAAGGAGGAGGAGAAAAAAGAGGAGGGGCTTCCATGGCTGGACAGGGCATCTTTCTTTTTCTTTTTCTTTTTTTTTTTTTTTTTTTTTTTGAGGTGGAGTCTTGCTCTGTTGCCAAGGTTGGAGTGCAGCAGCACGATCTCCGCTCACTGCAAGCTCTGCCTCCCGGATTCACGCCATTCTCCTGCCTCAGCCTCCCGAGTAGCTGGGAATACAGGCGCCCGCCACTACGCCCAGCTAACTTTTTTGCATTTTTAGTACAGAGTGGATTTCACCTGGTTAGCCAAGATGGTCTTGATCTACTGACCTCGTGATCCGCCCGCCTCGGCCTCCCAAAGTGCTGGGATTACAGGCATGAGCCACCGCGCCCAGCCTGATAGAGCATCTTTCGGCGTGATGTGTTCTGAGTTCCAAAGCTGAGGAAGAGACTCAAATCTTCAAGAGCTCTTCTAACTTTGAGATTCTCTGATGGTTTCAGGGCTATGGGAGGAAGAGCTTGTGGTCCGTGTCTGCTCCCGGGATTTCTGTTTCTTGGTTTGTGTCTCTGCTGCAAGTCCAAGGAGCTGGGGCAATACCTTGAGTCTGGGTTCTTCGTCCCCAGGGACCTGGGGGAGCCCCAGCAATGCTCAGGGAAAGGGGAGAGCAAAGTGTGGGGTTGGTTCTCTCTAGTGGTCAGTGTTGGAACTGCATCCAGCTGACTCAGGCTGACCCAGGAGTCCTCAGCAGAAGTGGAATTCAGGACTGAATCGTGCTCACAACCCCCACAATCTATTGGCTGTGCTTGGCCCCTTTTCCCAACACACACATTCTGTCTGGTGGGTGGAGGTTAAACATGCGGGGAGGAGGAAAGGGATAGGATAGAGAATGGGATGTGGTCGGTAGGGGGTCTCAAGGACTGGCTATCCTGACATCCTTCGCCGCGTGCAGGTTGGCCACCATGGCCTGCGGCCAGAGGGCACCCACGTGACCCTTAAAGAGAGGACAAGTTGGGTGGTATCTCTGGCTGACACTCTGTGCACAACCCTCACAACACTGGTGACGGTGGGAAGGGAAAGATGACAAGCCAGGGGGCATGATCCCAGCATGTGTGGGAGGAGCTTCTAAATTATCCATTAGCACAAGCCCGTCAGTGGCCCCATGCATAAATGTACACAGAAACAGGTGGGGTCAACAGTGGGAGAGAAGGGGCCAGGGTATAAAAAGGGCCCACAAGAGACCAGCTCAAGGATCCCAAGGCCCAACTCCCCGAACCACTCAGGGTCCTGTGGACAGCTCACCTAGCTGCAATGGCTACAGGTAAGCGCCCCTAAAATCCCTTTGGGCACAATGTGTCCTGAGGGGAGAGGCAGCGACCTGTAGATGGGACGGGGGCACTAACCCTCAGGTTTGGGGCTTCTGAATGTGAGTATCGCCATGTAAGCCCAGTATTTGGCCAATCTCAGAAAGCTCCTGGTCCCTGGAGGGATGGAGAGAGAAAAACAAACAGCTCCTGGAGCAGGGAGAGTGCTGGCCTCTTGCTCTCCGGCTCCCTCTGTTGCCCTCTGGTTTCTCCCCAGGCTCCCGGACGTCCCTGCTCCTGGCTTTTGGCCTGCTCTGCCTGCCCTGGCTTCAAGAGGGCAGTGCCTTCCCAACCATTCCCTTATCCAGGCTTTTTGACAACGCTATGCTCCGCGCCCATCGTCTGCACCAGCTGGCCTTTGACACCTACCAGGAGTTTGTAAGCTCTTGGGGAATGGGTGCGCATCAGGGGTGGCAGGAAGGGGTGACTTTCCCCCGCTGGGAAATAAGAGGAGGAGACTAAGGAGCTCAGGGTTTTTCCCGAAGCGAAAATGCAGGCAGATGAGCACACGCTGAGTGAGGTTCCCAGAAAAGTAACAATGGGAGCTGGTCTCCAGCGTAGACCTTGGTGGGCGGTCCTTCTCCTAGGAAGAAGCCTATATCCCAAAGGAACAGAAGTATTCATTCCTGCAGAACCCCCAGACCTCCCTCTGTTTCTCAGAGTCTATTCCGACACCCTCCAACAGGGAGGAAACACAACAGAAATCCGTGAGTGGATGCCTTCTCCCCAGGCGGGGATGGGGGAGACCTGTAGTCAGAGCCCCCGGGCAGCACAGCCAATGCCCGTCCTTCCCCTGCAGAACCTAGAGCTGCTCCGCATCTCCCTGCTGCTCATCCAGTCGTGGCTGGAGCCCGTGCAGTTCCTCAGGAGTGTCTTCGCCAACAGCCTGGTGTACGGCGCCTCTGACAGCAACGTCTATGACCTCCTAAAGGACCTAGAGGAAGGCATCCAAACGCTGATGGGGGTGAGGGTGGCGCCAGGGGTCCCCAATCCTGGAGCCCCACTGACTTTGAGAGCTGTGTTAGAGAAACACTGCTGCCCTCTTTTTAGCAGTCAGGCCCTGACCCAAGAGAACTCACCTTATTCTTCATTTCCCCTCGTGAATCCTCCAGGCCTTTCTCTACACCCTGAAGGGGAGGGAGGAAAATGAATGAATGAGAAAGGGAGGGAACAGTACCCAAGCGCTTGGCCTCTCCTTCTCTTCCTTCACTTTGCAGAGGCTGGAAGATGGCAGCCCCCGGACTGGGCAGATCTTCAAGCAGACCTACAGCAAGTTCGACACAAACTCACACAACGATGACGCACTACTCAAGAACTACGGGCTGCTCTACTGCTTCAGGAAGGACATGGACAAGGTCGAGACATTCCTGCGCATCGTGCAGTGCCGCTCTGTGGAGGGCAGCTGTGGCTTCTAGCTGCCCGGGTGGCATCCCTGTGACCCCTCCCCAGTGCCTCTCCTGGCCCTGGAAGTTGCCACTCCAGTGCCCACCAGCCTTGTCCTAATAAAATTAAGTTGCATCATTTTGTCTGACTAGGTGTCCTTCTATAATATTATGGGGTGGAGGGGGGTGGTATGGAGCAAGGGGCAAGTTGGGAAGACAACCTGTAGGGCCTGCGGGGTCTATTGGGAACCAAGCTGGAGTGCAGTGGCACAATCTTGGCTCACTGCAATCTCCGCCTCCTGGGTTCAAGCGATTCTCCTGCCTCAGCCTCCCGAGTTGTTGGGATTCCAGGCATGCATGACCAGGCTCAGCTAATTTTTGTTTTTTTGGTAGAGACGGGGTTTCACCATATTGGCCAGGCTGGTCTCCAACTCCTAATCTCAGGTGATCTACCCACCTTGGCCTCCCAAATTGCTGGGATTACAGGCGTGAACCACTGCTCCCTTCCCTGTCCTTCTGATTTTAAAATAACTATACCAGCAGGAGGACGTCCAGACACAGCATAGGCTACCTGGCCATGCCCAACCGGTGGGACATTTGAGTTGCTTGCTTGGCACTGTCCTCTCATGCGTTGGGTCCACTCAGTAGATGCCTGTTGAATTCCTGGGCCTAGGGCTGTGCCAGCTGCCTCGTCCCGTCACCTTCTGGCTTCTTCTCTCCCTCCATATCTTAGCTGTTTTCCTCATGAGAATGTTCCAAATTCGAAATTTCTATTTAACCATTATATATTTACTTGTTTGCTATTATCTCTGCCCCCAGTAGATTGTTAGCTCCAGAAGAGAAAGGATCATGTCTTTTGCTTATCTAGATATGCCCATCTGCCTGGTACAATCTCTGGCACATGTTACAGGCAACAACTACTTGTGGAATTGGTGAATGCATGAATAGAAGAATGAGTGAATGAATGAATAGACAAAAGGCAGAAATCCAGCCTCAAAGAGCTTACAGTCTGGTAAGAGGAATAAAATGTCTGCAAATAGCCACAGGACAGGTCAAAGGAAGGAGGGGCTATTTCCAGCTGAGGGCACCCCATCAGGAAAGCACCCCAGACTTCCTACAACTACTAGACACATCTCGATGCTTTTCACTTCTCTATCAATGGATCGTCTCCCTGGAGAATAATCCCCAAAGTGAAATTACTTAGCACGTCCAGTTAGGTAGATCCTTGTGTACTTCTTGGTTGTTCAGAGATCATCAACCAGTGCAAACAATCCCCCCATCAATACACAGCAGTGCCTGCCCCTCTCCCCCCGAGGTCTTCCGAGGCCCTTCCTCCGTGCCTGAACCCCCTGGACATATCATATGGCAAACTGAAGTGTCCAACGAGATATAGGAAGTGAAACACGATGTACACTGAAACGTGCAATACAAATATGCAGCATGAAGTGCCTCGGTTCACTAACCCGAGCTACGCTGGGTGCTTCTTTTCTACCACTTTCCTTAATGCCTATGGACACCTCATTCTGTGGCTGAAGTTCCTTGTGTTCAATTCCCCCCATCTTCATTGAACATCCTGTGTAGGGACCTCACCCCTGTCCTGCTAGCTTTGCACTGAGGCAAGTTCTGTCCATGCCTAGTAGTGCCACCACCTTTACTAGATGAGACTTCTAAAGAGCTTGGCATGGAAGGAAAGCCCGGGGGCCTTGGAAGCCATCACTTAGAAACTGGGAGAGCTCCAGGCAAGCCACCTCATCTCTTTGAGCCTCAGTATCCTCACTCACATCCCTATGGTCAGTAGAGTGCCAAGCACATGGTGGACACGCAGAAGTATTGATCATCTTCCTCACCTCCCCTAGGAGAGCCCTTGGGAATCCCCATATAATATTCTCTGAAGACCTCAATCCAATGAGCCAAGTAATTGACTCGGTAGCAAACTCATGGAAAGGACATTAGAAGCCAAAAGGAGGTAGAGTATGTCCCAGTACAATAACCAGCCTCTGATCTCAAGGAAGAAAGAACAGAGCTGCAGGTGAGAAGTGTGCGCCTCAAATCACCAAAGTGAGAGTGGAAGGAGCACCCACCAGTCCCTTGGAGGCGATCCCTAAGACCGGTGAGAATGGCTTCGAAAAATGTGATCGTCCTCAACCCCACAGTCTTGAACCTAACAGGAGATCTTGAAGCCTGAAAGACACCACTTTAGGATCAACAGCAGATCTGTGACTTTCCACAGCAGGCACACAGAACCCTAGAGTTAGTCGAGGTTGGACATAGGAAGGGCTTCCAAACACACAGAGAAATTCATGGATCCTAAATTATAAAGGCAGGTTCTTTAAAAGAACCAAGATGATTGTGAGATTACGTAGAGTTTTTTTTTGTTTTTCTTGATACAGAGTCTCGCTCTGTTGCCCAGGCAGGAGTGCAGTGGCATGATCTCAGCTCGCTACAACCTCCACCTCCCGGGTTCAAGCAATTCCCTGCCACAGCCACCTGAGTAGCTGGGATTACAGGCACCTACCACCATGCGCAGCTAATTTTTCTATTTCTAGTAGAGACGGGATTTCACCATCTTGACCAGGTTGGTCTTGAACTCCTGACCTCATGATCCACCCACCCTGGCCTCCCAAAGTGGTGGGATTACAGGCATGAGCCACTGCGCCCGGCCTATTCTGAGCCTTTTGAAGCTGACGCCAGAGGCGCGAAGCCCAGCCTCTCCCCACTGGCCATGTGGAGGCTCTCCCTGAGTAGTCTCTCAGCCTGCAGGAGCCAAGGATCTGGACCCAAGTGATGCCCCAACAGTGGGCAACTTCCCAGTACTGTTAGGAGAATCCCAAGTCTAATGCAAAGTTGATTTTTTACCAGCAATGAATGATAGACATGGTCTCCATTGCTCAAGGCTCTGGGAAGATCTAGACTAGAGAAAACGATCATCGACTTCTACCCACACCTGAGGGCCTCAGTTCTTCCCTCTGGTCCATGGCTGCCATGGTAACCCCTTATAAAGGTGTTTCCCCAGGGGTCCCTAGAGTCCTCTGAGTCACCATAATTCTGGGGTCAACAGAAGTGGAGAGGTGAGAGGAGACACTCCCCTGCCCTGGCTGGTCCCACGTGTTCCTGGCAGTAACCTGTCTGGGGAGCCTCGCCACCCCTGTGCCCACCTGCGGAGTTATGCAGTGGTCCCCAACTAGGGCCCCTGCCACCCTCATTCCTAAAGGAGGCTGGAGACTTCTTCCATGGCCGAAAATCCACATCTAAGTCCCCAGCACTGGCTAAAAGGCCCTGTCATGGGGGCTCCCTGTCCCAGCTGACATTGGAGGAAGGATGGTGGGGGAGGCAGGGACCTTCTTCTACTTGGAGCTCAGGGACCCTCTTCCATTCGCACCTGGCTCCTCCTCTTTGCTGGTGCTGGAAGGAGCAGGGGAAAGTGGTGACTCCACCCTCCCTTGGCCCCATATTTTTCGGAGCTGGTATCATCGATGACACCCCTCTTGGATCCTCACACAGGCCTGCCTGGAGAACAGCTCACAGCACAGTGCCCTCCCAGCAGGTGATGAGTCTGGGGTGCTGGTCCGGTAATGCTTCAGGAGTGACGGCAGAAAAAGGAGCTCTGTCTTCCCCTCTGAAAGTAGGGAGATGGCAGGGCCCCAGCATTCACATCCTAGGCCACAGGGGTGTGGGTGTTCAATGTTGGTTGCCAACACCACAGCCAATCACTTCTAGAAGCATTTGCTTGTTTGCTTGCTTGTGTTTCTACAGTGTCAAGTGCTACATGCTCTTAAACTCAGGGTGGGGGAAGATTTCACCACTGGAGAGGGTGGTCTTTCCTGCTCTTATCCCTGGGGGCATCTGATGCTTGTGACTTCCAGATGGTATGGAAATAGCCCCAACCCTGGGCACCAGGAGACAGGAGGCTCAGTCCTGGCCTTCTCCGCCTCAGCCTTGTCCTGCTGTGAGGTTTCCACAAGGCACCCCATGCCACTGGGCCATTCTCACCTGGGAATTGAGAAAGAACAATCTGCCCCTTATGGAAAGACAAAATGAGGCAAAGGGCCCCTGTGTTGGGGGCAGGATCCCTGCACTCAGAGGGATTTAGAAGCTGAAATAACTGGGTTGGGGGCGGTGACTCACGCCAGTAATCTAAGTACTTAGAGAGGCCAGGGAGGGTGGATCCCCTAAAGTCAAGAGTTCGAGACCAGCCTGGCCAACATAGTGAAACCCCGTCTCTACTAAAAAAGTACAAAATTTAGCCTGGCGTGGTGGCGGGCGACTGTAATCCCAGCTACTAAACAGGGTGAGGCAGGAGAATCACTTGAACCCAGGAGGTGGAGGTTGCTGTGAGGCAACATCATGCCACTGCACTCCAGCCTGGGTGACAGAATGAGACTCCAACTGAAAAAAAAGAAAGAAAGAGAGAGAGAGAGACAAAGAGGAAGGAAAGAAAGAAAGAAAGAAAGAGAAAGAAAGAAAGAAAGAAAAGGAAAGGAGGAAGGAAAGAAAAAGAAAAAGAAAGAAAGAGAAAGAAAGAAAGAAAGAAAGAAAGAAAGAAAGAAAGAAAGAAAGAAAGAAAGAAAGAAAGAAAGAAAGAAAGAAACTAAAATAACTAAATAACTGAGTAACACCACACTACCTGTTCTGGAGAAAGGACTTTTTTCTTGTTGTTGTGGTTGTTGAAATGGAGTCACACTCTGTCGCCCAGGCTGGAGTGCAGTGGCGCGATCTTGGCTCACAGCAACCTCTGCCTCCTGGATTCAAGTGATTCTACCACCTCACCCTCCGGAGTAACTGGGATTACAGGCTTGCGCCACCACACACAGCTACTTTTGTATTTCTAGAGAGTTGGTGTTTTGCCATGTTGGCTAGTCTGGCCTTGAACTCCTGACCTCAAGTGATCCACCCACCTCAGCCTCCCAAAGTGCTGGGATTACAGGCATGAGCCACCGTGCCCGGCCTGGAGAAAGGACTTTAAATGACACAAAGTGGGAAGAGCAAGGCTGTGGAGATCTGCTGCCCTGGCTGAGGTAGCTCATGCAATCAGTCTCTCTGAGCCTCAGTCTCCTGATATGTGAAATGGGATGATAATCATACCTCCTACACAAGACAAGTGGCAGGTCAGACGTGAGAATGCACAGGCAGGCCCTTCGCAACTGGATAGGCTCTATACAGGTGTGGAAAGGAGGAGGAGAAAAAAGAGGACGGGCTTCCATGGATGGATAGGGCATCTTTCGGCGTGATGTGTTTTGAGTTCCAAAGCTGGGGAAGAGATTCAAATCTTCAAGAGCTCTTCCAACTTTGAGATTCTCTGATGGTTTCAGGGCTATGGGAGGAAGCGCTTGTGGTCCGTGTCTGTTCCCGGGATTTCGGTTTCTTGGTTTGTGTCTCTGCTGCAGGTCCAGGGAGCTGGGGCAATACCTTGAGAGTCTGAGTTCTTCGTCCCCAGTGACCTGGGGGAGCCCCCCACCCAACCCCCTCCCTCCGCCCCGCCCCAAGGCTCAGGGAAAGGGGAGATCAAAGTGTGGGGTTGGTTCCCTCTAGTGGTCAGTGTTAGCACTGCATCCAGCTGACTCAGGTGGGCCCAGGAGTCGTCAGCAGAAGTGGAATTCAGGACTGAATCATGCTCACAACCCCCACAATCTATTGGCTGTGCTTGGCCCCTTTTCCCAACACACACATTCTGTCTGGTGGGTGGAGGTTAAACATGCGGGGAGGAGGAAAGGAATAGGATAGAGAGTGGGATGTGGTCGATAGGGGTCTCAAGGACTGGCTATCCTGACATCCTTCTCCGCATTCAGGTTGGCCACCATGGCCTGCTGCCAGAGGGCACCCACCTGAACCTTAAAGAGAGGACAAGTTGGGTGGTGTCTGTGGTTGACACTCTGTGCACAACCCTCACAACGCTGGTGACGGTGGGAAGGGAAAGATGACAAGCCAGGGGACATGATGCCAGCATGTGTGGGAGGAGCTTCCAAATTATCCATTAGCACAAGCCCGTCAGTGGCCCCATGCATAAATGTGCACAGAAACAGGTGGGGGCAACAGCGAGAGAGAAGGGGCCAGGGTATAAAAAGGGCCCACAAGAGACCAGCTCCAGCATCCCAAGGCCCGACTCCCCGCACCACTCAGGGTCCTGTGGACAGCTCACCTAGCGGCAATGGCTGCAGGTAAGCGCCCCTAAAATCCCTTTGGGCACAACGTGTCCTGAGGGGAGAGGCGGCGCCCTGCAGATGGGACGGGGGCACTAACCTCAGGTTTGGGGCTTCTGAATGTGAATATCGCCATCTAAGGCCAGATATTTGGCCAATCTCTGAATGTTCCTGGTCCCTGGAGGGATGGAGAGAGAGAAAAAGAAAACAGCTCCTGGAACAGGGAGAGTGCTGGCCTCTTGCTCTGCGGCTCCCTTCTTGCCCTCCGGTTTCTCCCCAGGCTCCCGGACGTCCCTGCTCCTGGCTTTTGCCCTGCTCTGCCTGCCCTGGCTTCAAGAGGCTGGTGCCGTCCAAACCGTTCCCTTATCCAGGCTTTTTAAAGAGGCTATGCTCCAAGCCCATCGCGCACACCAGCTGGCCATTGACACCTACCAGGAGTTTATAAGCTCTTGGGGAATGGGTGCGGGTCAGGGGTGGCAAGAAGGGGTGACTTTCCCCCACTGGGGAAGTAATGGGAGGAGACTAAGGAGCTCAGGGTTGTTTTCTGAAGCGAAAATGCAGGCAGATGAGCATAGGCTGAGCCAGGTTCCCAGAAGAGTAACAGTGGGAGCTGGTCTCCAGCATAGAAAGCAGTGGTCCTTCTTGGTGGGGGGTCCTTCCCCTAGGAAGAAGCCTATATCACAAAGGAACAGAAGTATTCATTCCTGCATGACTCCCAGACCTCCTTCTGCTTCTCAGACTCTATTCCGACATCCTCCAACATGGAGGAAACGCAGCAGAAATCCGTGAGTGGATGCTGTCTCCCCTAGGCGGGGATGGGGGAGACCTGTGGTCAGAGCCCCCGGGCAGCACAGCCACTGCCGGTCCTTCCCCTGCAGAACTTAGAGCTGCTCCACATCTCCCTGCTGCTCATCGAGTCGCGGCTGGAGCCCGTGCGGTTCCTCAGGAGTACCTTCACCAACAACCTGGTGTATGACACCTCGGACAGCGATGACTATCACCTCCTAAAGGACCTAGAGGAAGGCATCCAAATGCTGATGGGGGTGAGGGTGGCACCAGGGGTCCCCAATCCTGGAAGCCCACTGGCTTCGAGGGCTGGGGGAGAGAAACACTGCTGCCCTCTTTTCAGCAGTCAGGCGCTGACCCAAGAGAACTCACCTTATTCTTCATTTCCCCTCGTGAATCCTCCAGGCCTTTCTCTACACCCTGAAGGGGAAGGAGGAAAATGGATAAATGAGAGAGGGAGGGAACAGTGCCCAAGCGCTTGGTCTCTCCTTCTCTTGCTTCACTTTGCAGAGGCTGGAAGACGGCAGCCACCTGACTGGGCAGACCCTCAAGCAGACCTACAGCAAGTTTGACACAAACTCGCACAACCATGACGCACTGCTCAAGAACTACGGGCTGCTCCACTGCTTCAGGAAGGACATGGACAAGGTCGAGACATTCCTGCGCATGGTGCAGTGCCGCTCTGTGGAGGGCAGCTGTGGCTTCTAGGGGCCCGCGTGGCATCCTGTGACCCCTCCCCAGTGCCTCTCCTGGCCCTGAAGGTGCCACTCCAGTGCCCACCAGCCTTGTCTTAATAAAATTAAGTTGTATTGTTTCATCTGACTAGGTGTCCTTCTATAATATTATGGGGTGGAAGGTGGTGGTATGGAGCAAGGGGTAGGTGGGAAGACGACCTGGAGGGCCTTCAGGGTCTATTGGGAACTAGGCCACTGAAATATAAGAGGTTTGGCTGTTCCTGGGCCAGAAAAAGGCTGACATATCACTGCTGTCTATTACTCACTAAGGCCATTCCACCAGCTCAGTGGTCCCAGCTTGCTGGTCATAGCTCATTGGTCATCCCAGAGATGACTTGAAGGCATTTCTTCCTCCCCCACCATCACCAGCAACACCAAACCTAGCCCCCCAGGAGCGGGAAGAAATGAAAACAAGATGGGCTATTAAGTGCAGAGGCAAAAACTCCCCAACAGGTGAGGAAACAATGGCATAGAATTACTTGTGTTCGGAAGAATTTTAAGATGAATATTCCTTAAGCCCAACTACTCTCGGGAAATGAGAACAATGCAAAAATGAGTTTGAGACATATGGAACCAGAGCATTTGGAATCTGAATTAGGGCAAGGGAAGTGGAAGAGAGATTTTATTTGCGGGTTGTAAATGCAGTGCCAACAGGTGCCAGGTAGATAACAACGTAAGCAATGAGGGCTGGATGGCAGGGGATAAATCCCAGATGACACTCGCTTCCCTTCAGGGGATGCAACACAGAAGGGTGGGAACCAGCACAATCTGCAGAACTCAAGCCCCTGCTGAGGTGGGACCCAGCCCGCCTGTCACCATCAGGACTGCAGGGACACGGCTTCCAGACCTTCTGATTCTTTGAGACAGCCAGGACATCCAGACTGTTACGGGAAATCTAATATTTAAATAATGGCAACACATACTGAAAATCTTTTAAGGGCAAAAATTAACCCAAACACACATGGTCTCCAAGCTGTCTGTGAGCAATTTTGTTCTAAGAGATGTTGATTGGGGTAATTTGGTGTAAGGGAAAGAATCAGAAAGATTTGGGCTGTATGCAATTTAGTGTCGCTGAATAAATTACTTGACCAAGCTGAGATAATAATATATTGCTTTACAAGGATTATGTGAGGATTAAATGCAATGGTATTTTTGACATATTATAGTACTGAAGAAATTGTAGTTATTTCTGCATTGAATTTTTGGATGTTTTATAATAATAATAAACATCTGAGATGTTTATTATTTCCAAATAAGCACTAAAGAGCGGTGGTTAGTTAAGAGTTTACTCTCCCAAGCACCTTGGCTAAGTGACTGGTGACCTAAATCTATACTAAGATGCTCACAGGAACTCTAGTATCCAAAAATGATTTCATGAAGTCAGGAATTATTTTACAATGCAAATAATCAACCCCCTAATTAATCTTCTTTAGAAGTTCTGATTCTTATGTGCCATAATGAATTTTTTTGATAACGAGACCCACTTGTGTTCATTTTTGGCTATTTTGCAGTTAATAACTCAGTCCTTGGGAAGTGGTTCAAAGCTGAACTAATCAGAACTCTAGAGCTGCTGCATTTCTCAGCTCAGAAGACATTCCTGCATCTTACGTTGTTCTTCTACTATTGGAATTTAAAATTACGGCATTTTGGAGTTAGAAGGGCCTCATAAGTCAGTCTAGTTTCTTCTACTTTGGGAATCTTATCCTACAGCGTCCATTACAGTCAGTATTCCAATTACAAGTGTGTAGCACTAGAACCAAGGGAATCCCTTTCACAAGGCTCTTCATTCTAATAAACCACTCTCATTGCAGAAAACTATTTCTTGCACAAAGCTGGAATCAATATTCCTGCAATGTCCTTCATTTGGCCTTAAAATTATTTAGAAATCTCAGTCTTTAGAAGTCGATGGAATGAGCACAATTATAATTATCTCTCGGCTTGCGTGTTTTAAAAGGAAATGTGAGCCATCTTAATAAGTATTTGTTGAATGCACGTGACAGTGGAATGACAATGTCCAGCGCCTACTTGGGTGGCTAAGAGGGTTCTAAAGTGGGGTGGTCATAACATATAACTGAACTGCAGGGGGAGCCACACGCCAGAGACTGTCCACCCAGCTCCCCTCGGGTATAGGAGAATCCACTCAACCACTGCTGGTTGAGAATTAGAAAGATACTACCTGACTTTGCACATTTTAGAATATAAAAAGACCTTAAAGACCATCTGCTTTAAACTCTTTGATTTACCTACTGTTAGTCTACCTTTCAGCTCATCAACTTGGTGTGGACGGCAATTTCCGCTGCAAATTTGAGATGCCTAGGGTGTTTTCTAAACGATGCATTCGTGAGCCCTCACTCCCTGAGATTCTGATATAATTAGCCTGGAATGTGGTCCAGGCAAGAGTAGTTTGAAAACTTTCCCAGGTGATTCTATCATGTAAACAAGGTTGAGAACCACTGTGTTAGGGACCGCAAAGATGAGACCCATGTGTTCACAGCTGTTGTATTGGTGGAACAGGGAAAACGGAGAAAAAGGAGACGAGAGGCCTGGGCCAGTTGTGGTGCCACCTGCTCCTAATTCCAACCAGTCATCTAAAAAGTGTTTATCGTGAGCCAGTCACAGAAAGACAAATACTCTCTGATTCCAGTTAGATGAGGTACTCAGAGCAGTCAAATTCGTAGAGACAAAAAGTAGGATGGTGGCTGCCAGTGGCTGTGGGGAGGGATGGAATAGGGAGCCATTTAACGAGCACAGGGTTTCAGCTGTGCAAGATGAAAAGGGTTCTGGAGATGGTTGGTGGTGAGGGTTGCATGACGATGTCAATGTACTTGACGTGACCGAACTGTACACGTAAAATGGTTAAGATGGAAATGTTTATATCTTCTCACAACTAAAAATTGTTAATAGTTTCTTTTGTTTTTGTTTTTGTTTTTGAGACAGAGGCTGGAGTGCAGTGGTGGGATCTTGGCTCACTGCAACCTCCGCCTCCTCCCGGGTTCAAGTGATTCTCATGCCTCAGCCTCCTGAGTAGCTGGGATTATAAGTGTGCACCACCACACAGGGCAGATTTTTGTATTTTTGGTAAAGACAGGGTTTCGCCATGTTGGCCAGGCTGGTCTCAAACTCCTGGCCTCAGGTGATCCACCCTCCTTGGCCTCCCAAAGTGATAGGATTACAGGCGGGAGCCACCAGGCCTGGCCCTTAATGGTATTTTCTAATGAAAACTCTTCCTGAAGATAAGATTATCGAGACTCGCACAGGGAAGAGTTCAGCAGGCAGAGCTCCAGTCATCCTTGACCCCTGGCATAATGTTTTACTGACTCTGTCATTTTTTTGAATTTACCCTAACCTAAAATGACCACTTCTGAATATCTTCCATGAGCATTGTTGAAATACACATGGTTGGTTTTGTCCCTTTATACACAGTTGAGAGCAGAACTGACCCCTTCCTTTTTCTTCTGAATTGTAGGGTCTGGGCTTCTCAGCCAAGACAAGCTGACACTTTGCCTGGATGCTTCTTTAATTCAGAAGGCCCTGGAGTGCTGAGGCACACAATGAGTACCTCTGGGATTAGGGTCACCAACTCGTCCTGGTTTGCAGGAGACTTTCTCAATGTCAACACTGAAAGTCCCACGTTCCTTCCAGGAATCCCTCAGCTCAATGCAAACTCAGCTCACAGGACTGGTCACCCTATTAGTAGTCCTAAATCTTAGGGCACCAAACTGGGGGGAAAGTAGGGGAAGGAGCAAGAAAAAGACTAGAAAAACCGGAAAGCTGTGCACAGTGTATATGACCTTTGATGGCCCTCATGGTTATCATGGATTTCTGATTCTTGCTTTGAGTTTACTGTGATTATAATGATGTGCTTAATTACCACTAGAATTATCAGTGTAATAATAAAAACCAACAAATGTGAACACATGTCTCCAGCACCATGCTAGTTTATTACAAGTATTATGTCATTTCTTTCTAACTATAATTCTCTAAGGTAAATACTATTATTAATCCTATGGTAAGAAGTCCCACTAACGATGTAACTTATGCTTTCTCAGGTCTAGAGAGAAAGACACCAGAATGTCACCCTGACCATCCTTGAGAGCATAAATGGCCAGGCACTGTGGCTCACGCCAGTAATCTCAGCACTTTGGAGGGCTGAGGCGGGAGGAGGTCACAAGTTCGAGATAAGCCTGGCCAACATGGTGGCACCCCGTCTCTTACTAAAAAATACAAAAATTAGCCAGGTGTGGTGGTGCACACCTGTATTCCCAGCTACGAAGGCATGAGAATCGCTTGAGCCCGGGAGGCAGTGTTGGGCTGGGCCCATCAAGCCACTGCACTCCAGCTGGGTGGCTGAGGAAGATTCTCTCTCAAAAATAATAAGAAAGAAGATAAAATTTTGGAGTATTAAAGGCCACTCTTCCTCTGGAGATAATCAAGGTAGCTGCAATTTAAGTATGAGCTGGTTGCTTTAATGTTCAGAAAGAATATGATCAAAACCATTTAGAGGGTGGGGCCTCCTCCTATAGACAATGAAGGCAACTACCCTTAGAAGCTCTATTATACTGGAAAAGAGATATGAGATCCTTCTTGCTTTAAGAATCAATGAAGCCGGGCGTGGTGACTCACTCCTGTAATCCCAGCACTTTGGGAGGCCGAGGTGGGCAGATCACCTGAGGTCAGGAGTTTGAGACCAGCCTGGCCAACATGACGAAATCCTGTTTCTACTAATAACACAAAAATTAGCCAGGTGTGGTGGTGCACACCTGTAATCCCAGCTACTCCAGAGGCTGAGGTAGGAAAATTGCTTGAAGCCAGGAGGCAGAAGTTGCAGTGAGCCGAGGTCGTGCCACTGCATTCCAGCCTGGGAGACAGAGCGAGACTCCGTCTCCAAAAAAAAAAAAAGAATCAATGAGAAAGGCCTGCCTGATCTCTGGTTGTGTGGATCCTTCGGGAAGGAAAGTGAACAGAGGTTCCAAGTCTACAAGGGAAAAAGCCCAGCCTACTCTGAAGAGCTTTGCGGGACGGCTCATCCAAACTACTGAGCTCTAAGAACTGGAAAGCTGGAAACCCCAGCAAGAGGACACCTGCAGAGCTGGACCAGGCCCCGAAGAAGCAGATCATCCTCCCTCAGAGATCTACAGCAGGTGGGAACCCAGATCTGCAGACCCGCTTGGTTTGAGGGTACTGTGTGGGACCATCTGTCAACACTGACACCCTGTAGCAGTGAGAAGCAAAGGCAGCAGCCGGCTGAGCCTCCAGGCTCGCCCTGCTGGAACTAGAAAGTCCAAGTGGCCCCCTTCTTCCTCCCTTTTTGGTTTTGTTTGCTTTTGTTTTTGTTTTGTTCAAGATGGGGTCTCGCTTTGTTGCCCAGGCTGGAATGCAATGGCACGATCTCGGATCACTGCAACTTCTGCCTCCCACAGTCAAGCGATTCTCCTGCCTCAGCCTCCCCAGTAGCTGGGATTACAGGTGCACACCACCATGCCTGGCTCATTTTCCCCTTCCTTGTTGGATTCGCTGTGCTTCAAGGCACTGAGGCCATGAGGCAGGGTTTGCAGATACAGGATATCTACAGCCCTGATGCGACTGATCCTGACACCAAAATGGCTGTGGATCCCTGCATGGTGTGGCTGTATACTCCTGTCTCTTAAACCTGCTTCTTAACTTACTTCCCCAAATGCTCAATTCAGGGAAGGTGGATGATTTATATTAGACTCACATGATGAAGGAGCAGTAGCTCCACCTAGTGGAAACATTGAGGTTGAAAAGGTCATGTTCGGGGATGATGCTATTTTATAAAGTCAAGATATTTCGTGTCCCTCCAGGAAGCCTTCCTTGATTCGAGTTATGCTTTCTCTTAACAATCTGTTTTCCCAGTCATAGGAGTTCATGCACAAATGTAATCTCCTACTTGTTTGTCTTGCTTTCCTAATAAATTTGTGGAAGCCAGGAACAATGTTTTGTTCACCACTGTATCCCCACTGCCTTGTATGTGGTGAAACCAAAGGGTTACTTTTACACTTAATCTATAGCACCAGACTCAGGGGAGGTCTGGGAAGAATGGGAAAACGTTTTCCCTCTGCTGTCTGATGCCATGGTTTTTTCTAGCTGGTATCTGCAATTTGGAAAGCTATGGACCTCTCTCTATCTGGAAGTCTGAACTTTAGCTTTTCTTTTTGCTTGTGTTTCCTTTGTTTTGCTTTTGAGACAGGGTCTGGCTATGTCACCCAGGCTGGAGTGCAGTGCATGATCTCAACTCGCTGCAACCCTCCACCTCCCGCGCCCAAGTGATCCTCCCACCTCAGACTCTCAAGTAGCTGGGACTACAGGCACGTGCCACTATACCTGGCTAAGTTTTGTGTTTTTTGTAGAAATGGGGTTTGCCATGTTGCCCAGGCTATTCGCAAACTCTGGGGCTCAAGTGATTCGCCCGCCTCAGCCTCCCAAAGTGCTGGGATTACACGCTGAGCCACCGCCCCGGCCTGAATTTCAGTTTTGAAAGCAGTTTACATAGGCTGCCACCCTGAGCTAATGCACCCCCTGCCCCGGGCTGGTTGTTTATGCTATCAACACGGTATTTTTTCCTTAGAAATTGTACTTAAAGTTATAAAATGCAGCCGGGAGCGGTGGCTCATACCTGTAATCCCAGCACTTTAGAAGGCCGAAGTGGGTGGATCACGAGATCAGGACTTCAAGACCAGCCTGGCCAAGATGGTGAAACCCTGTCTCTACTAAAAATACAAAAAATTAGCTGGGCATGGTGATGGGCACCTGTAATCCCAGCTACTTGGGAGGCTGAGGCAGAGAAATCCTTGAACCCAGGAGGTAGAGGTGGAAGTGAGCCAAAATCACGCCATTGCACTCCAGCCTGGGCAATAGAGCGAGACTGCATCTGAAAAAAAAAAAAAGTGATAAAATGCAACCATTTGACATAACAAGAGCTTTCAGCAATGACACAGAAGGGAAGGGAACTGCATTTGGACATCATAAAACCACTTTTATTTTTACCATAGCAACATTCCAGTGAACATTTCTTGACTGACTTGGGAGAAAAGATCTGGTTTTGTGATTCCTCACGCCTTCTCCGAGGGTGAATATACTCTTTCCGAAGGACAGGGAAGGAGGCTGAACCATAAAATCATATGAACATTTTCACAAGAGGATTCCTCTTGAAGCTTCAAGGAAATTGTTTACAGTCAGAAAAAAATATGCACTTCTTGATGAAAACAGAGAGTAAACATTGCAACTCTAACCTAGACACCTATATGGGTAAAAAAAAGAAAACTGGCAAATGCGAACTCACAGTTGATCACTCTATGAAAAGGAATTCAGAGATGTTTGGAGCTCTTAACCTAAGAGGCCAATTTCATGGAAGAACTCTACCTTCTACTTCAGAGACAGAACACTGGGCTAGATACGATGCTTGTCTGGCCCGAAGTGGAATTTCTTACCATCTGTATACTCCCCCAAGACCCACAACAGATGGTTACTGAGTTGCAGCTTGCCACTGATCCTTAATGATGTCAACAAGCTCAGCTCTGGGAGCTGGCACTCCAGAAGCCCAGGTCAGGGGAGCAAGGGAAAGTGGAGATGGGAACAGAGCTCTGATTCCTGGCCCCATATTTGATACTTACTCCCTTCAAAGTCCTGTCCATGGACTACAAATTTAGCTCCCAGTTAGTAATCAAAAACCCATGAAATATGAGTTGTATTTCTAAGATATGCCTGACTGTAGTATGATGTTTAAGAGAAAAGGGCAGTGAGAACCATGAAGAAACGGCAAGATCTTTTCTTTTTTTTTTTGGATCTAAGAGTGGACTGATGAAGCACCTGGCAAGGAGCAAGAGGCCTTCTTACAAATCAAACATTGAGACTGAGATTCCTAATGACTAGGGTGAGCTCTAAAGAGAAAGGTGGCTGGGTGCAGTGGCTCACACCTGTAATCCCAGCATTTTGGGGGGCCAAGGTGGGCGGATCACTTGAGGTCAGGAGTTTGAGAACAGCCTAGCCAACATGGTGAAACCCCATCTCTACGAAAAATACAAAAATTAGACAGGCATGGTGGTATGCACCTGTAATCTCAGCTACTGGGGAGGCTGAGGCAGGAGAATCACCTGAACCCAGGAGGCTGAAGTTGCAGTGAGCCGAGATCGCATCATTGCACTCCAGCCTAGGCGACAACAGTGAGACTCCATCTCAAAAAAAAAAAGAGAGAGAGAGAGAATGGTGAGATTGTGGACATATTGGACACACAGGACATGGGGCATGGGGGCCTGAAACACCGTTTTACAGGACAGATGTACACAAATAGGAATGCAGCCTGCCATTGTGTTTCTTCCTTTCTCCTCTATCCCTTCTCCCATCCCTGGGAAACCACAGTAGCAGAACTCTCATTCAATCAAATAGCTGTCAATTATATGAGTTGCACTTTTCTCTTCCTGAACAGCAAACTGGCTTTCCTCCTCTTTGTCCTCCTCTTTCTGCCTGTAGAGCAATTTCTTCCTGTCTACTTTGCAGGGCCGATAGCTCAAATACAGTGCTATGGTGATGACACCCACTCCAAGGGCAACGGTAATAATGACAAAGAGGGTAGAGCTGATTCCTTCATCCAGTCCTGCCCAAGCACAGAAGATAGAGTTAGGAAAGTCTGAGAGTACAAAGATCACCCACCCCAGCCCACCAGGCCCACTTCTGAGTCTCATTCTTCCCAACCTAGTAGAATCTTTCTTATTTTCATGCTTGGATAAGAATCCCAAACCCCTGAGGGGTTTCCATCCTGGGCCTGGCAGCAGGGCAGCAAAGGTTACCTTGAACAATGACAGCAATGTCTTTGCTGACAGAGCCCAGCTGGTTAGTGGCTGTGCAGCAGTAGGTTCCAGTGTGGTTCTAGGTTGCCTTCTGTGGCACTTCAAGGTCAAAGACCACCCCATTCCAGGTACACACCAAGGCTGGAGCTGGGTTTCCCTTTGGGACGCAGGCGAGCGTGTGTTCCATCCCTTCCAGCCAGGTCTGTTTGGCAGAGCAACTGGATTCCTCTAACCATGGCTTGTCTGCAAAAACAGTTTCCCAAAGAGCTGAGTTCAGTGCACCACACTCCCTCCCTACCTTCACCCCCTGCTCCCTCTCCTCCCCTCACCCAAATGCTGTCCCCTTCACCCAACAGCTTTCCTTCCCAAGGGAGCACTAGCAGCTCCCTGCTTTGAGCCAACTCTTCTTTCCCACTTTCCGTATGGGCAGGGAGTCCCAGATGAAACCTAGGGTGTTCTTATGGATTTGGACTAAAATATAATGCTGCTCTGTCCATGGTGGCCCTGGGGCCCCTGCTTCCCATGTTTGTTTCTCGGTGGGTAAGGAGCTAGGTAACAGTGAACTCAGAGATGAGGATTTTTCTACTTTTCTTTTTGGTTTTTTCGTTGTTTTGTTTGTTTCTTTCTTTGTTTGTTTGCTTGTTTTTGAGACAAAGTCAGTCTCACTTCTTCGCCCTGGCTGGAGTGCAGTAGTGTGATCTCGGCTCATGACAACCTCTGCCTCCCGGGTTCAAGCAATTCTCGTGCCTCAGCCGCTCCAGTAACTAGGATTATCGGCAAATGCCACCACCCCCGCTAATTTTTCTATTTTTAGTAGAGATCAGTTTCACCATGTTGGCCACGCTGGTCTCAAACTCCTGACTTCAGGTGATCCACATGTCTCAGCCTCCCAAAGTGTTGGGATTACAGGCATGAGCCACCACGCCGGCCTATCCTGAGCCTTTTGAAGCTGACGCCAGAGGTGCAAAGCGCAGCCTCTCCCCACTGGCCACATAGAGGCTCTTGTTGGGTAGTCTCTCAGCCTGCAGCAGCCAGGGATCTGGCCTCAAGTGATGCCCCAACAGTGAGCGACTTCCCAGTACTGTCAGGGGAATCCCAAGTCTAATTCAAAGTTGATTTTTTACCAGCAATGAATGATAGACATGGTCTCCATTGCTCAAGGCTCTGGGAAGATCTAGACTAGAGAAAATGATCATTGACTTCTACCCACACCTGTGGGCCTCAGTTCTTCCCTCTGGTCCATGGTTGGCATGGTAACCCCTTACAAAGGTGTTTCCCCAGGGGTTCCTAGAGTCCTCTGAGTCACCATAATTCTGCGGTCAACAGAAATGGAGAGGTGAGAGGAGACACTCCCCTGCCCTGGCAGGTCCCACATGTTCCTGGCAGTAACCTGCATGGGGAGCCTCGCCACCCGTGTGCCCACCTGCGGAGTTATGTAGTGGTCCCCAACTAGGGCCCCTGCCACCCTCTTTCCTAAGGGAGGCTGCAGACTTCTTCCATGGCCAAAAATCCACATCTAAGTCCCCAGCACTGGCTAAAAGACCCTGTCATGGGGGCTCCCTGTCCCAGCTGACATTGGAGGAAGGATGGTGGGGGAGGCAGGGACCCTCTTCTACTTGGAGCTCAGGGACCCTCTTCCATTCCCACCTGGCTCCTCCTCTTTGCTGGTGCTGGAAGGAGCAGGGGAAAGTGGTGACTCCACCCTCCCTTGACCCCATATTTCTCAGAGCTGGTATCATCGATGACACCCCTCTTGGATCCTCCTACAGGCCTGCCTGGAGAACAGCTCACAGCACAGTGCCCTCCCAGCAGATGATGAGTCTGGGGTGCTAGTCCAGTAATGCTTCAGGAATGACGGCAGAAAAAGGAGCTCTGTTTTCTGCTCTGAAAGTGGGGAGATGGCAGGGCCCCAGCATTCACATCCTAGGCCACAGGGGTGTGGGTGTTCAATGTTGGTTGCCAACACCACTGCCAACCACTTCTGGAAGCGTTTGCCTGTTTGTTTGCTTGTGTTTCTACAGAGTCAAGTGCTAGATGCTCTTAAACTCGGGGGGAAGATTTCACCACTAGAGAGGGTGCTCTTTCCTGCTGCCATCTCTGGGGGCATCTGATGCTTGTGACCTCCAGATTATATTGAAATAGCCCCAACTCTGGGCACCAGGAGACAGGAGGCTCAGTCCTGGCCTTCTCTGCCTTCACCTTTTCCTGCTGTGAGGTTTCCACAAGGCACCCCATGCCACTGGGCCATTCTCACCTGAGAATTGAGAAAGAACAATCTGCCCCTTATGGAAAGACAAAATCAGGCAAAGGGCCCCTTGTGTTGGGGGCAGGATCCCTGCACTCAGAGGGATATAGAAGCTGAAATAACTGGGTTGGGAGCGGTGGCTCATGCCAGTAATCTCAGTACTTTGGGAGGCCAGGGAGGGTGGATCACCTAAAGTCAAGAGCTCGAGACCAGCCTGGCCAACATAGTGAAACCCCGTCTCTATTTAAAAAGTACAAAACTTAGCCCGGCATAGTGGCGGGCGCCTGTAATCCCAGCTACTAGGGAGGCTGAGGCGGGAGAATCACTGGAACCCAGGAGGTGGAGGTTGCTGTGAGGCAACATCATGCCACTGCACTCCAGCCTCAGAGACAGAATGAGACTCCATCAAAAACAAGAAAGAAAGAAAGACAAAGAGAGAAAGAAAGAAAGAAAGAAAGAAAGAGAGAGAGAGAGAGAGAGAGAGAGAGAGAAAGAAAGAAAGAAAGAAAGAAAGAAAGAAAGAAAGAAAGAAAGAAAGAAAGAAAGAAGGAAAGAAAGAAAGGAAACTAAAATAACTAAATAACTGAGTAGCACCACACCACCTGCTCTGGAGAAAGGACTTTTGTTGTTGTTGTTGTTGTTGTTGTCGTTGTTGTGGTTGTTGAAATGGAGTCTCACTCTGGCGCCCAGGCTGGAGTGCCATGGCCCAATCTTGGCTCACGGCAACCTCTGAGTCCTGGGTTCAAGCGATTCTACCTCCTCACCCTCCGGAGTAACTGGGATTGCAGGCTTCTGCCACCACACACAGCTACTTTTGTATTTTTAAGAGATGGAGTTTTGCCATGTTGGCTAGTCTGGCCTTGAACTCCTGACCTCAAGTGATCCACCCACCTCAGTCTTCCAAAGTGCTGGGATTACAGGCATGAGCCACCATGCCCGGCCTGGAGAAAGGACTTTAAATGACGCAATGTGGGAAGAGCCAGGTTGTGGAGATCTGCTGCCCTGGCTGAGGTAGCTCATGCAATCAGTCTCTCTGAGCCTCAGTCTCCTGATCTGTGAAATGGGATGATACTCATACCTCCTACACAAGACAAGTTGCAGGTCAGACGTGAGAATGCACAGGCAGGCCTTTGACAACTGGATAAGCTCTACACAGGTCTGGAAAGGAGGAAGAGACAAAAGAGGACGGGCTTCCATGGCTGGATAGGGCCTCTTTCGGCGTGATGTGTTCTGAGTTTTAAAGCTGGGGAAGAGACTCAAATCTTCAAGAGCTCTTCCAACTTTGAGATTCTCTGTTGGTTTCAGGACTATGGGAGGAAGCGCTTGTGGTCCGTGTCTGTTCCCGGGATTTCTGTTTCTTGGTTTGTATCTCTGCTTCAGGTCCAAGGAGCTGGGGCAATACCTTGAGTCTGGGTTATTCATCCCCAGGGACCTGGGGGAGCCCCACCGCCTCCGCCCCAAGGTTCAGGGAAAGGGGAGAGCAATGTGTGGGGTTGGTTCTCTCTAGTGGTCAGTGTTAGCACTGCATCCAGCTGACTCAGGTGGGCCCAGGAGTCATCAGCAAAAGTGGAATTCAGGACTCAATGGTGCTCAGAACCCCCACAATCTATTGGCTGTGCTTGGCCCCTTTTCCCAACACACACATTCTGTCTGGTGGGTGGAAGTTAAACACGCGGGGAGGAGGAAAGGAATAGGATAGAGAGTGGAATGGGGTCGGTAGGGGTCTCAAGGACTGGCTATCCTGACAGCCTTCCCCGCGTTCAGGTTGACCAACATGGCCTGCAGCCAGAGGGCACCCACCTGACCCTTAAAGAGAGGACAAGTTGGGTGGAGTCTGTGGCTGACACTCTGTGCACAATCCTTACAACACTGGTGATGGTGAGAAGGGAAAGACGACAAGCCAGGGGGCATGATCCCAGCATGTGTGGGAGGAGCTTCTAAATTATCCACTAGCACAAGCCCGTCAGTGGCCCCATGCATAAATGTACACAGAAACAGGTGGGGTCAAGCAGGGAGAGAGAACTGGCCAGGGTATAAAAAGGGCCCACAAGAGACCGGCTCTAGGATCCCAAGGCCCAACTCCCCGAACCACTCAGGGTCCTGTGGACAGCTCACCTAGTGGCAATGGCTCCAGGTAAGCGCCCCTAAAATCCCTTTGGGCACAACGTGTCCTGAGGGGAGAGGCAGCGCCCTGTAGATGGGACGGGGGCACTAACCCTCAGGTTTGGGGCTTATGAATGTGAGTATCGCCATCTAAGGCCAGATATTTGGCCAATCTCTGAATGTTCCTGGTCTCTGGAGGGATGGAGAGAGAGAAAAAAAACAAACAGCTCCTGGAGCAGGGAGAGCGCTGGCCTCTTCCTCTCCGGCTCCCTCCATTGCCCTCCGGTTTCTCCCCAGGCTCCCGGACGTCCCTGCTCCTGGCTTTTGCCCTGCTCTGCCTGCCCTGGCTTCAAGAGGCTGGTGCCGTCCAAACCGTTCCCTTATCCAGGCTTTTTGACCACGCTATGCTCCAAGCCCATCGCGCGCACCAGCTGGCCATTGACACCTACCAGGAGTTTGTAAGTTCTTGGGGAATGGGTGCGGGTCAGGGGTGGCAAGAAGGGGTGACTTTCCCCCACTGGGGAAGTAATGGGAGGAGACTAAGGAGCTCAGGGTTGTTTTCTGAAGCGAAAATGCAGGCAGATGAGCATAGGCTGAGCCAGGTTCCCAGAAAAGCAACAATGGGAGCTGGTCTCCAGCATAGAAACCAGCAGTCCTTCTTGGTGGGGGGTCCTTCTCCTAGGAAGAAACCTATATCCCAAAGGACCAGAAGTATTCATTCCTGCATGACTCCCAGACCTCCTTCTGCTTCTCAGACTCTATTCCGACACCCTCCAACATGGAGGAAACGCAACAGAAATCCGTGAGTGGATGCCGTCTCCCCTAGGCGGGGATGGGGGAGACCTGTGGTCAGGGCTCCCGGGCAGCACAGCCACTGCCGGTCCTTCCCCTGCAGAATCTAGAGCTGCTCCGCATCTCCCTGCTGCTCATCGAGTCGTGGCTGGAGCCCGTGCGGTTCCTCAGGAGTATGTTCGCCAACAACCTGGTGTATGACACCTCGGACAGCGATGACTATCACCTCCTAAAGGACCTAGAGGAAGGCATCCAAACGCTGATGGGGGTGAGGGTGGCGCCAGGGGTCACCAATCCTGGAACCCCACTGGCTTCGAGGGCTGGGGGAGAGAAATACTGCTGCCCTCTTTTTAGCAGTAAGGCGCTGACCCAAGAGAACTCACCTTATTCTTCATTTCGCCTGGTGAATCCTCCAGGCCTTTCTCTACACCCTGAAGGGGAGGGAGGAAAATGGATAAATGAGAGAGGGAGGGAACAGTGCCCAAGCGCTTGGCCTCTCCTTCTCTTCCTTCACTTTGCAGAGGCTGGAAGACGGCAGCCGCCGGACTGGGCAGATCCTCAAGCAGACCTACAGCAAGTTTGACACAAACTCGCACAACCATGACGCACTGCTCAAGAACTACGGGCTGCTCTACTGCTTCAGGAAGGACATGGACAAGGTCGAGACATTCCTGCGCATGGTGCAGTGCCGCTCTGTGGAGGGCAGCTGTGGCTTCTAGGTGCCCGAGTAGCATCCTGTGACCCCTCCCCAGTGCCTCTCCTGGCCCTGAAGGTGCCACTCCAGTGCCCACCAGCCTTGTCCTAATAAAATTAAGTTGTATCATTTCATCTGACTAGGTGTCATTCTATAATATTATGGGGTGGAAGGTGGTGGTATGGAGCAAGGGGTAGGTGGAAAGAAGACCTGGAGGGCCTTCAAGGTCTATTGGGAACTAGGCCACTGAAATATAAGAGGTTTGGCTGTTCCTGGGCCAGAAAAAAGCTGACACATCACTGCTGTCTATTACTCACTAAGGCCATTCCACCAGCTCAGTGGTCCCAGCTTGCTGGTCACAGCCCATTGGTCATCTCAGAGATGACTTGAAGGCATTTCTTCCTCCCCCACCATCACCAGCAACACCAAACCTAGCCCCCCAGGAGCGGAAAGAAATGAAAACAAGATGGGCTATTAAGTGCAGAGGCAAAAACTCCCCAACAGGTGAGGAAACAATGGCATAGAATTACTTGTGTTCGGAAGAATTTTAAGATGAGTATTCCTTAAGCCCAACTACTCTCGGGAAATGAGAACAATGCAAAAATGAGTTTGAGACATACAGAACCAGAGCATTTGGAATCTGAATTAGGGCAAGGGAAGTGGAAGAGAGATTTTATTTGGGGTTGTAAATGCAGTGCCAACAGGTTCCAGGTAGATAACAATGTAAGCAATGAGGGCTGGATGGGAGGGGATAAATCCCAGATGACACTCACTTCCCTTCGGGGGATGCAACACAGAGGGGTGGGAACCAGCACAATCTGCAGAACTCAGGCCCCTGCTGAGGTGGGACCCACCCAGCCTGTCACCATCAGGACTGCAGGGACACGGCTTCCAGACCTTCTGACCTTTTGAGACAGCCAGGACATCCAGACTTTTACAGGAATTCTAACATTTAAACACTGGCAACACATATTGAAAATCTTTTAAGGGCAAAAATTAACCGAAACACACATGGTCTCCAAGCTGTCTGTGAGCAATTTTGTTCTAAGAGATGTTGATTGGGGTAACTTGGTGTAAGGGAAAGAATCAGAAAGATTTGGGCTGTATGTAATTTAGTGCCCCCGAATAAATTACTTGACCAAGCTGAGATAATAATATATTGCTTTACAAGGATTATGTGAGGACTAAATGCAATGGTATTTTTGATATATTATAGTACTCAAGAAATTCTAGCTATTTCTGCATTGAATTTTTGGATGTTTTGTGTTTTCTGATGGAGTGTCTAAATACCTGTAGTGAAATTATATTGTTTTCCTAATGACAATTAGGAAATAATAAACATCTCAGATGTTTATTATTTCCAAATAAGCACTAAAGAGCGGTGGTTAGTTAAGAGTTTGCTCTCCCAAGCACCTTGGCTAAGTGACTGGTGACCTATAAATCGATGCTAAGATGCTCACAGGAACTCTAGTATCCAAAAATGATTTCATAAAGTCAGGAATTGTTTTGCAATGCAAATAATCAACCCCCCAATTAATCTTCTTTAGAAGTTCGATTCTTAAATGCTATAATGAATTTTCTTGATAATGAGACCCACTTGTATTCATTTTTGGCTATTTTACCATTAATAACTCAGTCCTTGGGAAGTGGTTGAAAGTTGAACTAAACAGAATTCTGGAGCTGCTGCATTTCTCAGCTCAGAAGCCATTCCTGCATCTTGCATTGTTCTTCTACTATCGGGCTTTAAAATTATGGCATTTTGGAGTTAGAAGGGCCTCATAAGTCAGCCTAGTTTCTTCTACTTTGGGAATCTTATCCTACAACATCCATTACAGTCAGTATTCCATTTACGAGTGTGTAGCACTAGAACCAAGGGAATCACTTTCACAAGGCTCCTCATTCTATTAAACCACTCTCATTGCAAAAAACTATTTCTTGCACGAAGCTGGAATCAATATTCCTGCAATGTCCTTCATTTGGCCTTAAAATTATTTAGAAATCTCAGTCTTTAGAAGTTGATGGAATGAGCACAATTATAATTATCTCTCGGCTTGCGTGTTTTAAAAGGAAATGTGAGCCATCTTAATAAGTATTTGTTGAATGCACGTGACAGTGGAATGACAATGTCCAGCGCCTACTTGGGTGGCTAAGAGGGTTCTAAAGTGGGGTGGTCATAACATGTAACTGAACTGCAGGGGGAGCCACACTCCAGAGACTGTCCACCCAGCTCCCCTCGGGTATAGGAAACTCCACTCAACCACTGCTGGTTGAGAATTAGAAAGATACTACCAACTTTGCACATTTTAAAATATAAAAAGACCTTAAAGACCATCTACTTTAAACTCTTTGATTTACCCACTGTTAGTCTACATTTCAGCTCATCAACTTGGTGTGGACAGCAATTTCCGCTGCAAATTTGAGATGCCTAGGGTGTTTTCTAAACGATGCATTCGTGAGCCCTCACTCCCTGAGATTCTGATATAATTAGACTGGAATGTGGTCCAGGCAAGAGTAATTTGAAAACTTTCCCAGGTGATTCTAACATGTAAACAAGGTTGAGAACCACCGTGTTAGGGACCGCAAAGATGAGACCCATGTGTTCACAGCTGTTGTACTGGTGGAACAGGGAAAACAGAGAAAAAGGAGATGAGAAAAAGGAGAAAAAGGAGATGGCAGTTGTGGTGCCACCTGCTCCTAATTCCAACCAGTCATCTAAAAGTGTTTATCGTGAGCCAGTCACAAAAAGACAAATACTCTCCGATTCCAGTCAGATGAGGTACTCAGAGCAGTCAAATTCATAGAGACAAAAAGTAGGATGGTGGCTGCCAGTGGCTGTGGGGAGGGATGGAATAGGGAGCTATTTAATGAGCACAGGGTTTCAGCTGTGCAAGATGAAAAGGGTTCTGGAGATGGTTGGTGGTGAGGGTTGCATGACGATGTCAATGTACTTGACATGACTGAACTGCACAGGCAAAATGGTTAAGATGGAAACGTTTATATCTTCTCACAACTAAAAATTGTTAATAGTTTCTTTTTGTTTTGTTTTTGTTTTTGTTTTTGAGACAGAGGCTGGAGTGCAGTGGTGGGATCTTGGCTCACTGCAACCTCCGCCTCCTCCCAGGTTCAAGTGATTCTCATGCCTCAGCCTCCTGAGTAGCTGGGATTATAAGTGTGCACCACCACACAGGGCAGATTTTTGTATTTTTGGTAAAGACAGGGTTTCGCCATGTTGGCCAGGCTGGTCTCAAACTCCTGGCCTCAGGTGATCCACCCACCTTGGCCTCCCAAAGTGATAGGATCATAGGCAGGAGCCACCAGGCCTGGCCCTTAATGGTATTTTCTATCGAAAACTCTTCCTGAAGATAAGATTAGTGAGACTCGCACAGGGAAGAGTTCAGCAGGCAGAGCTCCAGTCATCCTTGACCCCTGGCATAATGTTTTACTGACTCTGTCATTTTTTTTGAATTTACCCTAACCTAAAGTGACCAATTCTGAATTTCTTCCATGAGCATTGTCGAAATACACATGGTGGGTTTTGTCCCTTTATACACAGTTGAGAGCAGAACTGACCCCTTCCCTTTTCTTCTGAATTACAGGGTCTGGGCTTCTAGGCCAAGACAAGCTGACATTTTGCCTGGCTGCTTCTTTAATTCAGAAGGCCCTGAAGTGCTGTGGCACACAATGAGCACCGCTGGGATTAGGGTTACCAACTCGTCCTAGTTTGCAGGAGACTTTCTCAATGTCAACACTGAAAGTCCCACGTTCCTTCCAGGGATCCCTCAGCTGAATGAACACTCAGCTAACAGGACTGGTCACCCTATTAGTAGTCCTAAATCTTAGGGTACCAAACTGTGGGGAAAGTAGGGGAAGGAGCAAGAAAAAGACTAGAAAAACCGGAAAGCTGTGCTCGGTGTATATGACCTTTGATGGCCCTCATGGTTATCATGGATTTCTGATTCTTGCTTTGAGTTTACTGTGATTATAAAGATGTGCTTAATTACCACTAGAATTATCAGTGTAATAATAAAAAACAACTAATGTGAACACATATCTCCAGCACCATGCTAGTTTATTACATGTATTGTGTCATTTCTTTCTAATTATAATTCTCTAAGGTAAATACTATTATTAATCCTATGGTAAGAAGTCCCACTAACGATGTAACTTATGCTTTCTCAGGTCTAGAGAGAAAGACACCAGAATGTCACCCTGACCATCCTTGAGAGGATAAACGGCCAGGCACGGTGGCTCACGCCAGTTATCTCAGCACTTTGGAGGGCTGAGGCGGGAGGACGTCACAAGTTCGAGACAAGCCTGGCCAACATGGTGGCACCCCGTCTCTTACTAAAAATACAAAAATTACCAGGTGTGATGGTGCACACCTGTATTCCCAGCTACTGAGGCGCGAGAATCACTTGAGCCCAGGAGGCAGAGTTGCACTGAGCCCATCATGCCACTGCCCTCCAGCTGGATGGCTGAGCAAGATTCTCTCTCAAAAATAGTAAGAAAGAGGGTAAACTTTTGGAGTATTAAAGGCCACTCTTCCTCTGGAGATAATCAAGGTAGCTGCAATTTAAGCATAAGCTGGTTGCTTTAATGTTCAGAAAGAATATGATCAAAACCATTTAGAGGGTGGGGCCTCCTCTTATAGACAATGAGGCAGCTACCCTTAGAAGCTCTATTATACTGGAAAAGAGATATGAGACCCTTCCTACTTTAAGAATCAATGAAGCCGGGTGTGGTGGCTCACGCCTGTACTCCCAGCATTTTGAGAGGCCAAGCTGGGCAGATCACCTGAGGTCAGGAGTTTGAGACCAGCCTAGCCAACATGATGAAATCCTGTTTCTACTAATAACACAAAAATTAGCCGGGTGTGGTGGCGCACATCTGGAATCCCAGCTACTCCAGAGGCTGAGGCAGGAAAATTGCTTGAAGCTGGGAAGCAGAAGTTGCAGTGAGCCGAGATTGTGCCACTGCACTCCAGCCTGGGAGACAGAGCGAGACTCTGTCTCCAAAAAAAAAAAAAAAGAAAAGAAAAAAAAGAATCAATGAGAAGGGGCTGCCTGCCTGACCACTGGTTGTGTGGATCCTTCGGGAAGGAAAGCGAACAGAGGTTCCAAGTCTACAAGGGAAACAGCCCAGCCTACTCTGAAGAGCTTTGCGGGACGGCTCATCCAAACTACTGAGCTCTAAGAACTGGAACCCTGGAAACCCCAGCAAGAGGACACCCGCAGCTGGACCAGGCCCCGAAGAAGCAGATCATCCTCCCTCAGAGATCCACAGCAGCTGGGAACCCGGATCTGCAGACCCGCTTGGTTTGAGGGTACTGTGTGGGACCATCTGTCAACACTGACACCCTGTGGCAGTGAGAAGCAAAGGCAGCAGCCGGCTAAGCCTCCAGGATCTCCCTGCTGGAACTAGAAAGTCCAAGTGGCCCCCTTCTTCCCTCTTTTTTTTGTTTTGTTTGTTTTGTTTTTTGTTTGTTTGCTTTTGTTTTTGTTTTCTTCAAGATGGGGTGTCACTCTGTTGCCCAGGCTGGAGTGCAATGGTGCAATCTTGGCTCACTGCAACCTCAGTATCCCGGGTTCAAGCGATTCTTCTGCCTCAGCCTCCCCAGTAGCTGGGATTACAGGTGCACACCACCATGCCTGGCTCATTTTTCCCTTCCTTTTTGGATTCGCTGTGCTTCAAGGCACTGAGGCCATGAGGCAGGGTTTGCAGATACAGGGTAACTACAGCCCTGATGCGACTGATCCTGACACCAAAATGGCTGTGGATCCCTGCATGGTGTGGCTGTATACTCCTGTCTCTTAAACCTGCTTCTTAACTTACTTCCCCAAATGCTCAATTCAGGGAAGGTGGATGATTTATATTAGACTCACATGATGAAGGAGCAGTAGCTCCACCTAGTGGAAACATTGAGGTTGAAAAGTTCATGTTCGGGGATGATGCTATTTTACAAAGTCAAGATATTTCGTGTCCCTCCGGGAAGCCTTCCTTGATCCGAGTTATGCTTTCTCTTAACAATCTGTTTTCCCAGTCATAGGAGTTCATGCACAAATGTAATCTCCTACTTGTTTGTCTAGCTTTCCTAATATATTTTTGGAAGCCAGGAACAATGTTTTGTTCACCACTGTATCCCCACTGCCTTGTATGTGGTGAAACCAAAGGGTTACTTTTACACTTAATCTATAGCACCAGACTCAGGGGAGGTCTGGGAAGAATGGGAAAACGTTTTCCCTCTGCTGTCTGATGCCATGGTTTTTTCTAGCTGGTATCTGCAATTTGGAAGGCTATGGACCTCTCTCTATCTGGAAGTCTGACCTTTAGCTTTCATTTTTGTTCCTTTATTTTGCTTTTGAGACAGGGCCTGGCTCCGTTGCCCAGGCTGGAGTGCAGTGCATGATCTCAACTCGCTGCAACCCTCCACCTCCCGTGCTCAAGTGATCCTCCCACCTCAGACTCTCAAGTAGCTGGGACTACATGCATGTGCCACTATACCTGGCTAAGTTTTGTGTTTTTTGTAGAAATGGGGTTTTGCCATGTTGCCCAGGCTATTCGCAAACTCCAGGGCTCAAGTGATTCACCTGCCTCAGCCTCCCAAAGTGCTGGGATTACAGGCGTGAGCCACCACACCAGCCTGAATTTCAGTTTTGAAAGCAGGTCAAATAGGCTGCTGCCCTCAGTTAATGCACCCCCGGCCCTGGGCTGGTTGTTTATGCTATCAACACGGTATTTTTTCCTTAGAAATTGTACTTAAAGTTATAAAATGCAGCCGGGAGTGATGGCTCAGGCCTGTAATCCCAGCACTTTAGAAGGCCGAGGTGGGTAGATCACGAGGTCGGGACTTCAAGATCAGCCTGGCCAAGGTGGTGAAACCCTGTCTCTACTAAAAATACAAAAAATTAGCTGGTCATGGTGGTGGGCGCCTGTAATCCCAGCTACTCTTAATCTATAGAGGCTGAGGCAGAGAATTGCTTCAACCCGGGGGTGGAGTTTGAAGTGGACCGAAATCACACCACTGCACTCCAGCCTAGGCAAAGAGCGAGACTCCATCTAAAAAAAAAAGTTATAAAATGCAGCCATTTGACATAAGAGCTTTTAGCAATGACACAGAAGGGAAGGGAACTGCATTTGGACATCATAAAACCACTTTTATTTTTACCATAGCAACATTCCAGTGAACATTTCTTGACTGATTTGGGAGAAAACATCTGGTTCTGTGATTCCTCACGCCTTCTCCGAGGGTGAATATACTCTTTCTCAAGGACAGGGAAAGAAGCTGAAACATAAAATCATATGAACATTTTCACAAGAAGATTCCTCTTGAAGCTTCAAGGAAATTGTTTACAGACAGAAGAAAATATGCACTTATTGATGAAAAGGGAGAGTAAAGATTGGAACTTTAACCTAGATGCCCATATGGGTAAAAAAAAGAAAACTGGCAAATGCGAACTCACAGTTGATCACTCTATGAAAAGGAATTCAGAGATGTTTGGAGCTCTTAACCTATGAGGCCAATTTCATGGAAGAACTCTACCTTCTCCTTCAGAGACAGAATACTGAGCTAGATAGGATGCCCGTCTGGCCCAAAGTGGAATTTCTTACCATCTGTATACTCCCCCAAGACCCGCAACAGATGGTTACTGAGTTGAAGCTTGCCACTGATCCTTAATGATGTCAACAAGCTCAGCTCTGGGAGCTGGCCCTCCAGAAGCCCAGGTCAGGGGAGCAAGGGAAAGTGGAGATAGGAACAGAGCTCTGATTCCTGGCCCCATATTTGATACTTACTCCCTTCAAAGTCCTGTCCTTGGACTACAGATTTAGTTCCCAGTTAGTAATCAGAAAACCATGAAATATGAGTTGTATTTCTAAGATATGCCTGACTTTAGTATGATGTTTAAGAGAAAAGGGCAGTGAGAACCATGAAGAAACGGCAAGATCTTTTCTTTTTTTTTTTTTGGATCTAAGAGTGGACTGATGATGCACCTGGCAAGGAGCAAGAGGCCTTCTTACAAATCAAACATTGAGACTGAGATTCCTAATGAATAGAGTGAGCTCTAAAGAGAAAGGTGGCTGGGCGCGGTGGCTCACACCTGTAATCCCAGCACTTTGGGAGGCCAAGGTGGCCGGATCACTTGAGGTCAGGAGTTTGAGACCAGCCCAGCCAACATGGTGAAACCCCATCTCTACGAAAAGTACAAAAATTAGACAGGCATGGTGGTGTGCACCTGTAATCCCAGCTGCCAGGGAGGCTGAGGCAAGAGAATCACCTGAACCCGGGAGGCTGCAGTTGCAGTGAGCCAGGATCGCATCATTGCACTCCAGCCTAGGCGACAACAGCAAGACTCCATCTCAAAAAAAAAAAAAAAGAAAAAGAAAAAGAAAAGAAAAGAGAGAGAGAGAGAGAATGGTGAGCTTGTGGACATATTGGACACACAGGACATGGGGCATGGGGGCCTGAAACACCGTTTTACAGGACAGACGTACACAAAGGGGAATGCAGCCTGCCATTGTGTTTCTTCCTTTCTCCTCTATCCCTTCTTCCCTCCCTGGGAAACCACAGTAGCAGAAGTCTCATTCAATCAAACAGTTGTCAATTATATGAGTTGTACTTTTCTCTTCCTGAACAGCAAACTGGCTTTCCTCCTCTTTGTCCTCCTCTTTCTGCCTATAGAGCAATTTCCTCCTGTCCACTTTGCAGGGCCGATAGCTCAAATACAGTGCTATGGTGATGACACCCACTCCAAGGGCAACGGTAATAATGACAAAGAGGGTAGAGCTTATTCCTTCATCCAGTCCTGCCCAAGCACAGAAGATAGAGTTAGGAAAGTCTGAGAGTACAAGGATCACCCACCCCAGCCCACCAGGCCCACTTCTGAGTCTCATTCTTCCCAACCTAGTAGAATCTTTCTTATTTTCATGCTTAGATAAGAATCCCAAACCCCTGAGGGGTTTCCATCCTGGGCCTGGCAGCAGGGCAGCAAAGGTTACCTTGAACAATGACAGCAATGTCTTTGCTGACAGAGCCCAGCTGGTTAGTGGCTGTGCAGCGGTAGGTTCCAGTGTGGTTCTGGGTTGCCTTCTGTGGCACTTCAAGGTCAAAGACCACCCCATTCCAGGTACACACCAAGGCTGGAGCTGGGTTTCCCTTTGGGACGCAGGTGAGCGTGTGTTCCATCCCTTCCAGCCAGGTCTGTTTGGCAGAGCAACTGGATTCCTCTAACCGTGGTTGGTCTGCAGAAACAGTATCCCAAGGAGCTGAGTTCAGTGCACCACACTCCCTCCCTACTTCACCCCCTGCTCCCTCTCCTCCCCTCACCCAAATGCTGTCCCCTCCACCCAACAGCTTTCCTTCCCAAGGGAGCACTAGCAGCTCCCTGCTTTGAGCCAACTCTTCTTTCCCACTTTCCGTATGGGCAGGGAGTCCCAGATGAAACCTAGGGTGTTCTTATGGATTTGGACTAAATGATAACCCTGCTCTGTCCATGGTGGCCCTGGGGCCCCTGCTTCCCATGTTTGTTTCTCGGTGGGTAAGGAGCTAGGTAACAGTGAACTCAGAGATGAGGATTTTTCTACTTTTCTTTTTGGTTTTTTTTGGTTGTTTGTTTGTTTTGGAGACAAAGTCAGTCTCACTCCTTCGCCCAGGGTGGAGTGCAGTGGCGCGATCTCGGCTCATGACAACCTCTGCCTCCCAGGTTCAAGCAATTCTTGTGCCTCAGCCGCTCCAGTAACTAGGATTACAAGCGCATGCCACCACACCCGGCTAATTTTTCTATTTTTAGTAGAGATCAGTTTCACCATGTTGGCCACGCTGGTCTCAAACTCCTGACTTCAGGTGATCCACATGTCTCAGCCTCCCAAAGTGTTGGGATTACAGGCATGAGCCACCACGCCGGCCTATCCTGAGCCTTTTGAAGCTGACGCCAGAGGTGCAAAGCGCAGCCTCTCCCCATTGGCCATGTGGAGGCTCTTGTTGGGTACTCTCTCAGCCTGCAGGAGCCAGGGATCTGGCCTCAAGTGATGCCCCAACAGTGGGCGACCTCCCAGTACTGTCAGGGGAATCCCAAGTCTAATTCAAAGATGATTTTTTACTAGCAATGAATGATGGATGTGGTCTCCATTGCTCAAGGCTCTGGGAAGATCTAGACTAGAGAAAATGATCATTGACTTCTACCCACACCTGTGGGCCTCAGTTCTTCCCTCTGGTCCATGGTTACCATGGTAATCCCTTATAAAGGTGTTTCCCCAGGGGTCCCTAGAGTCCTCTGAGTCACCATAATTCTGGGGTCAACAGAAGTGGAGAGGTGAGAGGAGACACTCCCCTGCCCCGGCTGGTCCCACGTGTTGCTGTCAGTAACCTGCCTGGGGAGCCTTGCCACCCCTGTGCCCACCTGCGGAGTTATGCAGTGGTCCCCAACTAGGGCCCCTGCCACCCTCATTCCTAAGGGAGGCTGGAGACTTCTTCCATGGCCGAAAATCCACATCGAAGTCCCCAGAACTGGCTAAAAGGACCTGTCATGGGGGCTCCCTGTCCCAGCTGACATTGGAGGAAGGATGGTGGGGGAGGCAGAAAGCTACATGGAGCTCAGGGACCCTCTTCCATTCCCACCTAGCTCCTCCTCTTTGCTGGTGCTGGAAGGAGCAGGGGAAAGTGGTGACTCCACCCTCCCTTGGCCACATATTTCTCAGAGCTGGTATCATTGATGACACCCCTCTTGGATCCTCACACAGGCGGGCCTGGAGAACAGCCCACAGCACAGTGCCCTCCCAGCAGGTGATGAGTCTGGGGTGCTGGTCCGATAATGTTTCAGGAATGATGGCAGAAAATGGAGCTCTGTTTTCTGCTCTGAAAGTGGGGAGATGGCAGGGCCCCAGCATTCACATCCTAGGCCACAGGGGTGTGGGTTTTCAATGTTGGTTGCCAACACCACAGCCAACCACTTCTGGAAGCATTTGCTTGTTTGCTTGCTTGTGTTTCTACAGAGTCAAGTGCTAGATGCTCTTAAACTCAGGGGGGAAGATTTCACCACTAGAGAGGGTGCTCTTTCCTGCTCTCATCTCTGGGGGTATCTGATGCTTGTGACCTCCAGATTATATTGAAGTAGCCCCAACCCTGGGCACCAGGAGACAGGAGGCTCAGTCCTGGCCTTCTCTGCCTTCACCTTGTCCTGCTCTGAGGTTTCCACAAGGCACCCCATGCCACTGGGCCATTCTCACCTGAGAATTGAGAAAGAACAATCTGCCCCTTATGGAAAGACAAAATGAGGCAAAGGGCCCCTTGTGTTGGGGGCAGGATCCCTGCACTCAGAGGGATATAGAAGCTGAAATAACTGGGTTGGGAGCAGTGGCTCACGCAAGTAATCTCAGTACTTTGGGAGGCCAGGGAGGGTGGATCACCTAAAGTCAAGAGTTCGAGACCAGCCTGGCCAACATAGTGAAACCCCCGTCTCTACTAAAAAAGTGCAAATCTTAGCCCGGCATAGTGGTGGACGCCTGTAATCCCAGCTACTTGGGAGGCTGAGGCGGGAGAATCACCGGAACCCAAAGGTGGAGGTTGCTGTGAAGCAACATCATGCCACTGAACTCCAGCCTGGGTGACAGAATGAGACTCCATCTCAAAAAAAAAAAAAAAGGAAATGAAGCTAAAATAACTAAATAACTGAGTAGCACCACACTACGTGCTATGGAGAAAGGATTTTTTTTTTTTTTTTTTTTGAGATGTAGACTCGCTCTGTCATCCAGGCTGGAGTGCAGTGGCGCAATCTTGGCTCACAGCAACCTCTGCCTCCTGGGTTCAAGCGATTCTCCTGCCTCAGCCTCCCAAGTAGCTGGGATTACGGGCTCGTGCCACCATGCCCAGCTAATTTTTGTATTTTTAGGAGAGATGGAGTTTTGCCATGTGGGTTAGCCTGGTCTTGCACTCCTGACCTTAAGTGATCCACCCACCTCAGCCTCCCAAAGTGCTGGGATTATAGGCATGAGCCACCGTGCCCGGCCTGGAGAAAGGACTTTAAATGACGCAATGTGGGAAGAGCAAGGTTGTGAAGATCTGCTGCCCTGGCTGAGGTAGCTCATGTAATCAGTCTCTCTGAGCCTCAGTCTCCTGATCTGTGAAATGGGATGATAGTCATAGCTCCTACACAAGACAAGTGGCAGTTCAGACGTGAGAATGCACAGGCAGGCCCTTGGCAACTGGATAAGCTCTACACAGGTCTGGAAAGGAGGAGGAGACAAAAGAGGAGGGGCTTCCATGGCTGGATAGGGCGTCTTTTGGCGTGATGTGTTCTGAGTTTTAAAGCTGGGGAAGAGACTCAAATCTTCAAGAGCTCTTCCAACTTTGAGATTCTCTGTTGGTTTCAGGACTATGGGAGGAAGCGCTTGTGGTCCGTGTCTGTTCCCGGGATTTCTGTTTCTTGGTTTGTATCTCTGCTACAGGTCCAAGGAGCTGGGGCAATACCTTGAGTCTGGGTTATTCGTCCCCAGGGACCTGGGGGAGCCCCCCCCCCACCCCTCCCACACCCACACCCACCCCCACCCCCACCCCCATCCCCACGCCCCGCCCCCGCCCCCGCCCCAAGGCTCAGGTAAAGGGGAGAGCAAAGTGTGGAGTTTGTTCCCTCTAGTGGTCAGTATTAGCACTGCATCCAGGCGGGCCTGTCTCAGGCGAGCCCAGGAGTCAGCAAAAGTGGAATTCAGCACTGAATCATGCCCAGAACCCCCGCAATCTATTGGCTGTGCTTTGGCCCCTTTTCCCAACACACACATTCTGTCTGGTGGGTGGAGGGGAAACATGCGGGGAGGAGGAAAGGAATAGGATAGAGAGTGGGATGGGGTCGGTAGGGGTCTCAAGGACTGGCTATCCTGACATCCTTCTCCGCGTTCAGGTTGGCCACCATGGCCTGCTGCCAGAGGGCACCCACGTGACCCTTAAAGAGAGGACAAGTTGGGTGGTATCTCTGCTGACATTCTGTGCACAACCCTCACAACGCTGGTGATGGTGGGAAGGGAAAGATGACAAGTCAGGGGGCATGATCCCAGCATGTGTGGGAGGAGCTTCTAAATTATCCATTAGCACAAGCCCGTCAGTGGCCCCAGGCCTAAACATGCAGAGAAACAGGTGAGGAGAAGCAGCGAGAGAGAAGGGGCCAGGTATAAAAAGGGCCCACAAGAGACCAGCTCAAGGATCCCAAGGCCCAACTCCCCGAACCACTCAGGGTCCTGTGGACAGCTCACCTAGCGGCAATGGCTGCAGGTAAGCGCCCCTAAAATCCCTTTGGGCACAATGTGTCCTGAGGGGAGAGGCGGCGTCCTGTAGATGGGACGGGGGCACTAACCCTCAGGTTTGGGGCTTATGAATGTTAGTATCGCCATCTAAGCCCAGTATTTGGCCAATCTCTGAATGTTCCTGGTCCCTGGAGGGAGGCAGAGAGAGAGAGAGAAAAAAAAAAACCCAGCTCCTGGAACAGGGAGAGCGCTGGCCTCTTGCTCTCCAGCTCCCTCTGTTGCCCTCCGGTTTCTCCCCAGGCTCCCGGACGTCCCTGCTCCTGGCTTTTGGCCTGCTCTGCCTGTCCTGGCTTCAAGAGGGCAGTGCCTTCCCAACCATTCCCTTATCCAGGCTTTTTGACAACGCTATGCTCCGCGCCCGTCGCCTGTACCAGCTGGCATATGACACCTATCAGGAGTTTGTAAGCTCTTGGGTAATGGGTGCGCTTCAGAGGTGGCAGGAAGGGGTGACTTTCCCCCGCTGGGAAGTAATGGGAGGAGACTAAGGAGCTCAGGGTTGTTTTCTGAAGTGAAAATGCAGGCAGATGAGCATACGCTGAGTGAGGTTCCCAGAAAAGTAACAATGGGAGCTGGTCTCCAGCATAGACCTTGGTGGGCGGTCCTTCTCCTAGGAAGAAGCCTATATCCTGAAGGAGCAGAAGTATTCATTCCTGCAGAACCCCCAGACCTCCCTCTGCTTCTCAGAGTCTATTCCAACACCTTCCAACAGGGTGAAAACGCAGCAGAAATCTGTGAGTGGATGCCTTCTCCCCAGGTGGGGATGGGGTAGACCTGTGGTCAGAGCCCCCGGGCAGCACAGCCACTGCCGGTCCTTCCCCTGCAGAACCTAGAGCTGCTCCGCATCTCCCTGCTGCTCATCCAGTCATGGCTGGAGCCCGTGCAGCTCCTCAGGAGCGTCTTCGCCAACAGCCTGGTGTATGGCGCCTCGGACAGCAACGTCTATCGCCACCTGAAGGACCTAGAGGAAGGCATCCAAACGCTGATGTGGGTGAGGGTGGCACCAGGGATCCCCAATCCTGGGGCCCCACTGGCTTCCAGGGACTGGGGAGAGAAACACTGCTGCCCTCTTTTTAGCAGTCAGGCGCTGACCCAAGAGAACTCACCGTATTCTTCATTTCCCCTCGTGAATCCTCCAGGCCTTTCTCTACAACCTGGAGGGGAGGGAGGAAAATGGATGAATGAGAGAGGGAGGGAACAGTGCCCAAGCGCTTGGCCTCTCCTTCTCTTCCTTCACTTTGCAGAGGCTGGAAGATGGCAGCCCCCGGACTGGGCAGATCTTCAATCAGTCCTACAGCAAGTTTGACACAAAATCGCACAACGATGACGCACTGCTCAAGAACTACGGGCTGCTCTACTGCTTCAGGAAGGACATGGACAAGGTCGAGACATTCCTGCGCATCGTGCAGTGCCGCTCTGTGGAGGGCAGCTGTGGCTTCTAGCTGCCCGGGTGGCATCCCTGTGACCCCTCCCCAGTGCCTCTCCTGGTCGTGGAAGGTGCTACTCCAGTGCCCACCAGCCTTGTCCTAATAAAATTAAGTTGCATCATTTTGTTTGACTAGGTGTCCTTGTATAATATTATGGGGTGGAGGCGGGTGGTATGGAGCAAGGGGCAGGTTGGGAAGACAACCTGTAGGGCCTTCAGGGTCTATTGGGAACCAGGCTGGAGTGCAGTGGCACGATCTTGGCTCGCTGCAATCTCCGCCTCCTGGGTTCAAGCGATTCTCCTGCCTCAGTCTCCCGAATAGTTGGGATTCCAGGCATGCACGACCAGGCTCAGCTAATTTTTGTATTTTTGGTAGAGACGGGGTTTCACCATATTGGCCAGTCTGGTCTCCATCTCCTGACCTCAGGTAATCCGCCCGCCTCGGCCTCCCAAATTGCTGGGATTACAGGTATGAGCCACTGGGCCCTTCCCTGTCCTGTGATTTTAAAATAATTATACCAGCAGAAGGACGTCCAGACACAGCATGGGCTACCTGGCCATGCCCAGCCAGTTGGACATTTGAGTTGTTTGCTTGGCACTGTCCTCTCATGCATTGGGTCCACTCAGTAGATGCTTGTTGAATTCCTGGGCCTGGGGCTGTGTCAGCTGCCTCATCCCATCACCTTCTGGCTTATTCTCTCCCTCCGTATCTTAGCTTTTTACTTCATGGGAATGTTTCCAATTCGAAATTTCTATTTTACCGTTATATATTTACTTTTTTGCTGTTTTCTCGGCCCCCAGTAGATTGTTAGCTCCAGAAGAGAAAGGATCATGTCTTTTGTTTATCTAGATATGCCCATCTGCCTGGTACAATCTCTGGCACATGTTATAGGCAACAACTACTTGTGGAATTGGTGAATGCACGAATAGAAGAATGAGTGAATGAATGAATAGACGAAAGGCAGAATTCCAGCCTCAGGCAGGGCGCGGTGGCTCACGCCTGTAATCCCAGCACTTTGGGAGGTCGAGGCAGGTGGATCACGAGGTCAGGAGTTCGAGACCATCCTGGCTAACACAGTGAAACCCCACCTCTAAAAATACAAAAAAATTAGCTGGGCAAGGTGGCGGGTGCCTGTACTCCCAGCTACTCGGGAGGCTGAGGCAGGAGAATGTCATGAACCCCAGGGGGCAGAGCTTGCAGTGAGCCGAGATCGCGCCACTGCACTCCAGCCTGGGTGACAGAGCAAGACTCGGTCTCAAAAAAAAAGAAAGAAAGAAATCCAGCCTCAAAGAGCTTACAGTCTGGTAAGGGGAATAAAAATGTCTGCAAATAGCCACAGGACAGGTCAAAGGAAGGAGAGGCTATTTCCAGCTGAGGGCACCCCATCAGGAAAGCACCCCAGACTTCCTACAACTACTAGACACATCTCGATGCTTTTCACTTCTCTATCAATGGATTGTCTCCCTGGAGAATAATCCCCAAAGTGAAATTACTTAGCACGTCAGGTTAGGTAGATCCTTGTGTACTTCTTGGTTGTTCAGAGATCATCAACCAGTGCAAACAATCCCCCCATCAATACACAGCGGTGCCTGCCCCTTGCCTCCCCAGACCTTCCGAGGCCCTTCCTCCGTGCCTGAACCCCCTGGACATATCATGTGGCAAACTGAAGGGTCCAACGACATACAGGAAGCGAAACACGATGTACACTGAAATGTGCAATACAAATATGCAGCATGAAGTGCCTCGGTTCACTAACCCGAGCTACGTTGGGTGCCTCTTTTCTACCACTTTTCTTAATGCCTATGGACACCTCATTCTGTGGCTGAAGTTCCTTGTGTTCAATTCCCCCCATCTTCATTGAACATCCTCTGTGCAGGGACTTGACCCCTGTCCTGCTAGCTTTGCACTGAGGCAAGTTCTGTCCATGCCTATTAGTGCCACCATCTTTACTAGATGAGGTTTCTAAAGAGCTTGGCATGGAAGGAAAGCCCAGGGGCCTTGGAAGCCATTACTTAGGAACTGGGAGAGCTCCAGGCAAACCATCTTATCTCTTTGGGCCTCAGTATCCTCACTCACATCCCTATGGTCAGTAGAGTGCCAAGCACATGGTGGACACACAGAAGTATTGATCATCTTCCTCACCTCCCCTAGGAGAGCCCTTGGGAATCCCCATATAATATTCTCTGAAGACCTCAATCCAATGAGCCGAGTAATTGACTCAGTAGCAAACTCATAGAAAGGACATTAGAAGCCAAAAGGAGGTAGAGTATGTCCCAGTACAATAACCAGCCTCTGATCTCAAGGAAGAAAGAACAGAGCTGCAGGTGAGAAGTGTGCGCCTCAAATCACCAAAGTGAGAGTGGAAGGAGCACCCACCAGTCCCTCGGAGGCGATTCCTGAGACCGGTGAGAATGGCTTCGAAAAATGTGATCGTCCTCAACCCCACAGTCTTGAACCTAACAGGAGATCTTGAAGCCTGAAAGACACCACTTTAGGATCAACAGCAGATCTGTGACTTTCCACAGCAGGCACACAGAACCCTAGAGTTAGTCGAGGTTGGACATAGGAAGGGCTTCCAAACACACAGATAAATTCATGGATCCTAAATTATAAAGGGAGGTTCCTTAAAAGAAGCAAGATGATTGTGAGATTATCATCAGCTTTTTTTTTTCTCTTGATACAGAGTCTTACTCTGTCACCCAGGCTGGAGTGCAGTGGCATGATCTCGGCTCGCTACAACCTCCACCTCCCGGGTTCAAGCAATTCCCTGCCACAGCCACCTGAGTAGCTCGGATTACATGCGCCTGCCACCACGCGCAGCTAATTTTTGTATTTTTAGTAGAGACGGGATTTCACCATCTTGACCAGGTTGGTCTTAAACTCCTGACCTAATGATCCACCCACCTTGGCCTCCCAAAGTGGTGGGATTACAGGTGTGAGCCAACGCACCCGACCTATCCAGAGCCTTTTGAGGCTGATGCTAGAGGTACAAAGCCCAGCCTCTCCCCACTGGCCATGTGGAGGCTCTTGTTGGGTAGTCTTTCAGCCTGCAGCAGCGAGGGATCTGGCCTCAAGTGATGCCCCAACAGTGGGCAACTTCCCAGTACTGTCAGGAGAATCCCAAGTCTAATTCAAAGTTGATTTTTTACTAGCAATGAATGATAGACATGGTCTCCATTGCTCAAGGGAAGATCTAGACTAGAGAAAAGGATCACCAACTTCTACCCACACCTGTGGGCCTCAGTTCTTCCCTCTGGTCCATGGTTGCCATGGTAACCCCTTATAAAGGTGTTTCCCCAGGGGTCCCTAACGTCCTCTGAGTCACTATAACTCTGGGGTCAACAGAAGTGGAGAGGTGAGAGGAGACACTCCCCTTCCCTGGCTGGTCCCACATGTTCCTGGCAGTAACCTCGGCACCCCTGTGCCCACCTGTGGAGTTATGCAGTAGTCCCCAGCTAGAGCCCCTGCCCCCCTCATTCCTAAGGGAGGCTTCCCTTACGAATGGCCAAAAATCCACATCTAAGTCCCCAGAACTGGCTAAAAGGTCCTGTCATGGGGGCTCCCTGTCCCAGCTGACATTGGAAGAAGGATGGTGAGGGAGGCAGGGACCCTCTTCTACTTGGAGCTCAGGGACCCACTTCCATTCCCACCTGGCTCCTCCTCTTTGCTGGTGCTGGGAGGAGCAGGGGAAAGTGGTGACACCACCCTCCCTTGACCCCATATTTCTCAGAGCTGGTATCATTGATGACACCCCTCTTGGATCCTCACACAGGCTTCCCTGGAGAACAGCCCACAGCACAGTGCCCTCCCAGCAGGTGATGAGTCTGGGGTGCTGGTCCGGTAATGCTTCAGGAATGATGGCAAAAAAAGGAGCTCTGTCTTCCGCTCTGAAAGTGGGGAGATGGCAGGGCCCCAGCATTCACATCCTAGGCCACAGGGGTGTGGGTTTTCAATGTTGGTTGCCAACACCACAGCCAACCACTTCTAGAAGCATTTGCCTGTTTGCTTGCTTGTGTTTCTACAGCATCAAGTGCTACATGCTCTTAAACTCAGGGTGGGAGAAGATTTCACCACTACAGAGGGTGTTCTTTCCTGCTCTCATCTCTGGGGGCATCTGATGCTTGTGACCTCCAGGTGGTATGGAAATAGCCCCAACCCTGGGCACCAGGAGACAGGAGGCTCAGTCCTGGCCTTCTCTGCCTTCACCTTGTCCTGCTACGAGGTTTCCACAAGGCACCCCATGCCACTGGGCCATTCTCACCTGGGAATTGAGAAAGAACAATCTGCCCCTTATGGAAAGACAAAATCAGGCAAAGGGCCCCTTGTGTTGGGGACAGGATCCCTGCACTCAGAGAGATTTAGAAGCTGAAATAACTGGGTTGGGGGCGGTGACTCACGCCATTAATCTCAGTACTTTGGGAGGCCAGGGAGGGTGGATCACCTAAAGTCAAGAGTTCGAGACCAGCCTGGCCAACATAGTGAAACCCCGTCTCTACTAAAAAAGTACAAAACTTAGCCCGGCATAGTGGTGGGCACCTGTAATCCCAGCTACTTGGGAGGCTGAGGCGGGAGAATCACTGGAACCCAGGAGGTGGAGGTTGCAGTGAGGCAAGATCATGCCACTGCACTCCAGCCTGGGAGACAGAATGAGACTCCATCAAAAACAAGAAAGAAAGAAAGAAGGAAGGAAGGAAAGAAGGAAGGAAGGAAGAAAGGAAGGAAGGAAAGAAAGAAAGAAAGAAAGAAAGAAAGAAAGAAAGAAAGAAAGAAAGAAAGAAAGAAAAAGAAAGAAAGAAGGAAGGAAGGAAAGAAGGAAGGAAGGAAGAAAGGAAGGAAGGAAAGAAAGAAAGAAAGAAAAAGAAAGAAAGAAAGAGAAAGAAAAAGGAAAGCAAGAAAGAAAAGAAAGAAAGAAAGAAAGAAAAAGAAAGAAGGAAAGAAAAGAAACTAAAATAACTAAATAACTGAGTAGCACCACACCACCTGCTCTGGAGAAAGGACTTTTGTTGTTGTTGTTGTTGTTGTCGTCGTTGTTGTGGTTGTTGAAATGGAGTCTCACTCTGGCGCCCAGGCTGGAGTGCCATGGCCCAATCTTGGCTCACGGCAACCTCTGCGTCCTGGGTTCAAGCGATTCTACCTCCTCACCCTCCGGAGTAACTGGGATTGCAGGCTTCTGCCACCACACACAGCTACTTTTGTACTTTTAAGAGATGGAGTTTTGCCATGTTGGCTAGTCTGGCCTTGAACTGACCTCAAGTGATCCACCCACCTCAGTCTTCCAAAGTGCTGGGATTACAGGCATGAGCCACCGTGCCCGGCCTGGAGAAAGGACTTTAAATGATGCAATGTGGGAAGAGCAAGGTTGTGGAGATCTGCTGCCCTGGCTGAGGTAGCTCATGTAATCAGTCTCTCTGAGCCTCAGTCTCCTGATCTGTGAAATGGGATGATACTCATACCTCCTACACAAGACAAGTGGCAGATCAGACGTGAGAATGCACAGGCAGGCCTTTGACAACTGGATAAGCTCTACACAGGTCTGGAAAGGAGGAAGAGACAAAAGAGGACGGGCTTCCATGGCTGGATAGGGCATCTTTCGGCGTGATGTGTTCTGAGTTCCAAAGCTGGGAAGAGACTCAAATCTTTTTTTTCTTTTTTTTTAATTATTATTATTCTTTTACTTTAAGTTTTAGGGTACATGTGCACAATGTGCAGGTTAGTTACATGTGTATACCTGTGCCATGCTGGTGTGCTGCACCCATTAACTTGTCATTTAGCATTAGGTATATCTCCTAAAGCTATCCCTCCCCCCTCCCCCCACCCCACAACAGTCCCCAGAGTGTGATGTTCCCCTGAGACTCAAATCTTCAAGAGCTCTTCCAACCTTGAGATTCTCTGATGGTTTCAGGGCTGTGGGAGGAAGCGCTTGTGGTCCGTGTCTGTTCCCGGGATTTCTGTTTCTTGGTTTGTGTCTCTGCTGCAGGTCCAAGGAGCTGAGGCAATACCTTGAGTCTGGGTTCTTCGTCCCCAGTGACCTGGGGGAGCCCCACCGCCTCCGCCCCAAGGTTCAGGGAAAGGGGAGAGCAATGTGTGGGGTTGGTTCTCTCTAGTGGTCAGTGTTAGCACTGCATCCAGCTGACTCAGGTGGGCCCAGGAGTCATCAGCAAAAGTGGAATTCAGGACTCAATGGTGCTCAGAACCCCCACAATCTATTGGCTGTGCTTGGCCCCTTTTCCCAACACACACATTCTGTCTGGTGGGTGGAAGTTAAACACGCGGGGAGGAGGAAAGGAATAGGATAGAGAGTGGAATGGGGTCGGTAGGGGTCTCAAGGACTGGCTATCCTGACAGCCTTCCCCGCATTCAGGTTGACCAACATGGCCTGCGGCCAGAGGGCACCCACCTGACCCTTAAAGAGAGGACAAGTTGGGTGGAGTCTGTGGCTGACACTCTGTGCACAATCCTTACAACACTGGTGATGGTGAGAAGGGAAAGACGACAAGCCAGGGGGCATGATCCCAGCATGTGTGGGAGGAGCTTCCAAATTATCCATTAGCACAAGCCCGTCAGTGGCCCCATGCATAAATGTACACAGAAACAGGTGGGGTCAAGCAGGGAGAGAGAACTGGCCAGGGTATAAAAAGGGCCCACAAGAGACCGGCTCTAGGATCCCAAGGCCCAACTCCCCGAACCACTCAGGGTCCTGTGGACAGCTCACCTAGCGGCAATGGCTGCAGGTAAGCGCCCCTAAAATCCCTTTGGGCACAACGTGTCCTGAGGGGAGAGGCAGCGCCCTGTAGATGGGACGGGGGCACTAACCCTCAGGTTTGGGGCTTATGAATGTGAGTATCGCCATCTAAGGCCAGATATTTGGCCAATCTCTGAATGTTCCTGGTCTCTGGAGGGATGGAGAGAGAGAAAAAAACAAACAGCTCCTGGAGCAGGGAGAGCGCTGGCCTCTTCCTCTCCGGCTCCCTCCATTGCCCTCCGGTTTCTCCCCAGGCTCCCGGACGTCCCTGCTCCTGGCTTTTGCCCTGCTCTGCCTGCCCTGGCTTCAAGAGGCTGGTGCCGTCCAAACCGTTCCGTTATCCAGGCTTTTTGACCACGCTATGCTCCAAGCCCATCGCGCGCACCAGCTGGCCATTGACACCTACCAGGAGTTTGTAAGTTCTTGGGGAATGGGTGCGGGTCAGGGGTGGCAAGAAGGGGTGACTTTCCCCCACTGGGGAAGTAATGGGAGGAGACTAAGGAGCTCAGGGTTGTTTTCTGAAGCGAAAATGCAGGCAGATGAGCATAGGCTGAGCCAGGTTCCCAGAAAAGCAACAATGGGAGCTGGTCTCCAGCATAGAAACCAGCAGTCCTTCTTGGTGGGGGGTCCTTCTCCTAGGAAGAAACCTATATCCCAAAGGACCAGAAGTATTCATTCCTGCATGACTCCCAGACCTCCTTCTGCTTCTCAGACTCTATTCCGACACCCTCCAACATGGAGGAAACGCAACAGAAATCCGTGAGTGGATGCCGTCTCCCCTAGGCGGGGATGGGGGAGACCTGTGGTCAGGGCTCCCGGGCAGCACAGCCACTGCCGGTCCTTCCCCTGCAGAATCTAGAGCTGCTCCGCATCTCCCTGCTGCTCATCGAGTCGTGGCTGGAGCCCGTGCGGTTCCTCAGGAGTATGTTCGCCAACAACCTGGTGTATGACACCTCGGACAGCGATGACTATCACCTCCTAAAGGACCTAGAGGAAGGCATCCAAACGCTGATGGGGGTGAGGGTGGCGCCAGGGGTCGCCAATCCTGGAACCCCACTGGCTTAGAGGGCTGGGGGAGAGAAACACTGCTGCCCTCTTTGTAGCAGTCAGGCGCTGACCCAAGAGAACTCACCTTATTCTTCATTTCGCCTGGTGAATCCTCCAGGCCCTTCTCTACACCCTGAAGGGGAGGGAGGAAAATGGATGAATGAGAGAGGGAGGGAACAGTGCCCAAGCGCTTGGCCTCTCCTTCTCTTCCTTCACTTTGCAGAGGCTGGAAGACGGCAGCCGCCGGACTGGGCAGATCCTCAAGCAGACCTACAGCAAGTTTGACACAAACTCACACAACCATGACGCACTGCTCAAGAACTACGGGCTGCTCTACTGCTTCAGGAAGGACATGGACAAGGTCGAGACATTCCTGCGCATGGTGCAGTGCCGCTCTGTAGAGGGTAGCTGTGGCTTCTAGGTGCCCGCGTGGCATCCTGTGACCGACCCCTCCCCAGTGCCTCTCCTGGCCCTGGAAGGTGCCACTCCAGTGCCCATCAGCCTTGTCCTAATAAAATTAAGTTGTATCATTTCATCTGACTAGGTGTCATTCTATAATATTATGGGGTGGAAGGTGGTGGTATGGAGCAAGGGGTAGGTGGAAAGAAGACCTGGAGGGCCTTCAAGGTCTATTGGGAACTAGGCCGCTGAAATATAAGAGGCTTGGCTGTTCCTGGGCCAGAAAAAGGCTGACACATCACCGCTATTACTCACTAAGGCCATTCCACCAGCTCAGTGGTCCCAGCTTGCTGGTCACAGCTCATTGGTCATCCCAGAGATGACTTGAAGGCATTTCTTCCTCCCCCACCATCACCAGCAACACCAAACCTAGCCCTCCAGGAGCGGGAAGAAATGAAAACAAGATGGGCTATTAAGTGCAGAGGCAAAAACTCCCCAACAGGTGAGGAAACAATGGCATAGAATTACTTGTGTTCAGAAGAATTTTAGGATGAATATTCCTTAAGCCCAACTACTCTCGGGAAATGAGAACAATGCAAAAATGAGTTTGAGACATACAGAACCAGAGCATTTGGAATCTGAATTAGGGCAAGGGAAGTGGAAGAGTGATTTTATTTGGGGTTGTAAATGCAGTGCCAACAGGTGCCAGGTAGATAACAACGTAAGCAATGAGGGCTGGATGGGAGGGGATAAATCCCAGATGACACTCGCTTCCCTTCAGGGGATGCAACACAGAGGGGTGGGAACCAGCACAATCTGCAGAACTCAAGCCCCTGCTGAGGTGGGACCCACCCAGCCTGTCACCATCAGGACTGAAGGGACACGGCTTCCAGACCTTCTGATTCTTTGAGACAGCCAGGACATCCAGACTTTTACAGGAATTCTAACATTTAAACACTGGCAACACATATTGAAAATCTTTTAAGGGCAAAAATTAACCCAAACACACATGGTCTCCAAGCTGTCTGTGAGCAATTTTATTCTAAGAGATGTTGATTGGGGTAACTTGGTGTAAGGGAAAGAATCAGAAAGATTTGGGCTGTATGCAATTTAGTGCTGCTGAATAAATTACTTGACCAAGCTGAGATAATAATATATTGCTTTACAAGGATTATGTGAGGATAAATGCAATGGTATTTTTGACATATTATAGTACTCAAGAAATTGTAGTTATTTCTGCATTGAATTTTTGGATGTTTTGTGTTTTCTGATGGAGTGTCTAAATACCTGTAGTGAAATTATATTGTTTTCCTAATGACAATTAGGAAATAGTAAACATCTGAGATGTTTATTATTTCCAAATAAGCACTAAAGAGCGGTGGTTAGTTAAGAGTTTACTCTCCCAAGCACCTTGGCTAAGTGACTGGTGACCTATAAATCGATGCTAAGATGCTCACAGGAACTCTAGTATCCAAAAATGATTTCATGAAGTCAGGAATTGTTTTGCAATGCAAATAATCAACCCCCTAATTAATCTTCTTTAGAAGTTCTGATTCTTATGTGCTATCATGAATTTTCTTGATAACGAGAACCACTTGTGTTCATTTTTGGCTATTTTACAGTTAATAACTCAGTCCTTGGGAAGTGGTTGAAAGTTGAAATAATCAGAACTCTAGAGCTGCTGCATTTCTCAGCTCAGAAGACATTTCTTCATCTTACATCATTCTTCTACTATCGGGCTTTAAAATTATGGCATTTTGGAGTTAGAAGGGCCTCATAAGTCAGTCTAGTTTCTTCTACTTTGGGAATCTTATCCTACGGCGTCCATTACAGTCAGTATTCCAATTATGAGTGTGTAGCACTAGAACCAAAGGAATCACTTTCACAAGGCTCCTCATTCTATTAAACCACTCTCATTGCAAAAAACTATTTCTTGCACAAAGCTGGAATCAATATTCCTGCAATGTCCTTCATTTGGCCTTAAAATTATTTAGAAATCTCAGTCTTTAGAAGTCGATGGAATGAGCACAATTATAATTATCTCTCAGCTTGCGTGTTTTAAAAGGAATTGTGAGCCATCTTAATAAGTATTTGTTGAATGCACGTGACAGTGGAATGACAATGTCCAGCGCCTACTTGGGTGGCTAAGAGGGTTCTAAAGTGGGGTGGTCATAACATATAACTGAACTGCAGGGGGAGCCACATGCCAGAGACTGTCCACCCAGCTCCCCTCGGGTGTAGGAGAATCCACTCAACCACTGCTGGTTGAGAATTAGATACTAGCTGACTTTGCACATTTTAGAACATAAAAAGACCTTAAAGACCATCTACTTTAAACTCTGATTTACCCACTGTTAGTCTACATTTCAGCTCATCAACTTGGTGTGGACGGCAATTTCTGCTGCAAATTTGAGATGCCTAGGATGTTTTCTAAACGATGCATACGTGAGCCCTCACTCCCTGAGATTCTGATATAATTAGACTGGAATGTGGTCCAGGCAAGAGTAGTTTGAAAACTTTCCCAGGTGATTCTAACATGTAAACAAGGTTGAGAACCACTGTGTTAGGGACCGCAAAGATGAGACCCATGTGTTCACAGCTGTTGTACTGGTGGAATAGGGAGAAAGGAGAAAAAGGAGATGAGAGGCCTGGGCCAGTTGTGGTGCCACCTGCTCCTAATTCCAACCAGTCATCTAAAAAGTGTTTATCATGAGCCAGTCACAAAAAGACAAATACTCTCTGATTCCAGTCAGATGAGGTACTCAGAGCAGTCAAATTCATAGAGACAAAAAGTAGGATGGTGGCTGCCAGTGGCTGTGGGGAGGGATGGAATAGGGAGCTATTTAATGAGCACAGGGTTTCAGCTGTGCAAGATGAAAAGGGTTCTGGAGATGGATGGTGGTGAGGGTTGCATGACGATGTCAATGTACTTGACATGACTGAACTGTACACGTAAAATGGTTAAGATGGAAACGTTTATATCTTCTCACAACTAAAAATTGTTAATACTTTATTTTTGTTTTTGTTTTTGAGACAGAGGCTGGAGTGCAGTGGTGGGATCTTGGCTCACTGCAACCTCCGCCTCCTCCCGGGTTCAAGTGATTCTCATGCCTCAGCCTCCTGAGTAGCTGGGATTATAAGCGTGCACCACCACACAGGGCAGATGTTTGTATTTTTGGTAAAGACAGGGTTTCGCCATGTTGGCCAGGCTGGTCTCAAACTCCTGGCCTCAGGTGATCCACCCTTCTTGGCCTCCCAAAGTGATAGGATTACAGGCGGGAGCCACCAGGCCTGGCTCTTATTGGTATTTTCTAATGAAAACTCTTCCTGAAGATAAGATTAGCAAGACTCACACAAGGAAGAGTTCAGCAGGCAGAGCTCCAGTCATCCTTGACCCCTGGCATAATGTTTTACTGACTCTGTCATTTTTTTTGAATTTACCCTAACCTAAAATGACCACTTCTGAATTTCTTCCATGAGCATTGTCCAAATACACATGGTGGGTTTTGTCCCTTTATACACAGTTGAGAGCAGAACTGACCCCTTCCCTTTTCTTCTGAATTATAGGGTCTGGGCTTCTAGGCCAAGACAAGCTGACACTTTGCCTGGATGCTTCTTTAATTCAGAAGGCCCTGGAGTGCTGAGGCACACAATGAGCACCGCTGGGATTAGGGTCACCAACTCGTCCTGGTTTGCAGGAGACTTTCTCAATGTCAACACTGGAAGTCCCACATTCCTTCCAGGAATCCCTCAGCTCAATGCAAACTCAGCTCACAGGACTGGTCACCCTATTAGTAGTCCTAAATCTTAGGGGACCAAACTGGGGGGAAAGTAGGGGAAGGAGCAAGAAAAAGAGTAGAAAAATCAGAAAGCTGCACACGGTGTATATGACTTTTGATGGTGCTCAAGGTTACCATGGATTTCTGATTCTTGCTTTGAGTTTACTGTGATTATAATGATGTGCTTAATTACCACCAGAATTATCAGTGTAATCACAAAAACCAACAAATGTAAACACATGTCTCCAGCAACATGCTAGTTTATTGCAAGTATTATGTCATTTCTTTCTAAGTATAATCTTCTAAGGTAAATACTATTATTAATCCTATGGTAAGAAGTCCCACTAAAGATGTAACTTACTCTTTCTCAGGTCTAAAGACAAAGACGCCAGAATGTCACCCTGACCATCCTTGAGAGGATAAACTGCCAGGCACAGTGGCTCAAGCCAGTAATCTCAGCACTTTGGGAGGCCGAGGCGGGAGGAGATCAGGAGTTCAAGACAAGCCTGGCCAAAATGATGGCACCCCGTCTCTACTAAAAATACAAAAATTAGCCAGGTGTGGTGGTGCACACCTGTATTCCCAGCTACTGAGGCACGAGAATCGCTTGAGCCCGGGAGGCAGAGTTGCGCTGAGCCCATCATGCCACTGCACTCCAGCTGGGTGGCTGAGCAAGATTCTCTCTCAAAAATAATAAGAAAGAGGATAAAATTTTGGAGTATTAAAGGCCACTCTTCCTCTGGAGATAATCAAGATACCTGCAATTTAAGCGTGAGCTGGTTGCTTTAATGTTCAGAAAGAATATGATCAAAATCATTTAGGGGTGGGGCCTCCTCCTATAGACAATGAGGCAGCTACCCTTAGAAGCTCTATCATACTGGAAAAGAGATATGAGACCCTTCCTGCTTTCAGAATCAATGAAGCCAGGCGTGGTGACTCACGCCTGTACTCCCAGCACATTGGGAGGCCAAGGTGGGCAGATCACCTGAGGTCAGGAGTTTGAGACCAGCCTGGCCAACATGATGAAACCCTGTCTCTACTAATAACACAAAAATTAGCCGGGTGTGGTGGCAGACACCTGTAATCCCAGCTACTCTAGAGGTTGAGAAGGGAAAATTGCTTGAAGCCGGGAAGCAGAAGTTGCAGTGAGCCGAGATTGCGCCACTGCACTCCAGCCTGGGAGACAGAGCGAGACTCTGTCTCCAAAAAAAATAAAAAGAAAAGAAAAAAAAGAATCAATGAGAAGGGGCTGCCTGCCTGACCACTGGTTGTGTGGATCCTTCGGGAAGGAAAGCGAACAGAGGTTCCAAGTCTACAAGGGAAACAGCCCAGCCTACTCTGAAGAGCTTTGCGGGACGGCTCATCCAAACTACTGAGCTCTAAGAACTGGAACCCTGGAAACCCCAGCAAGAGGACACCCGCTGCTGGACCAGGCCCCGAAGAAGCAGATCATCCTCCCTCAGAGATCCACAGCAGGTAGGAACCCAGATCTGCAGACCCGCTTGGTTTGAGGGTACTGTGTGGGACCATCTGTCCACACTGACACCCTGTGGCAGTGAGAAGCAAAGGCAGCAGCCGGTTGAGCCTCCAGGATCTCCCTGCTGGAACTAGAAAGTCCAAGTGGCCCCCTTCTTCCCTCTTTTTTTGGTTTTGTCTTGTTTTTTGTTTGTTTGCTTTTGTTTTTGTTTTCTTCAAGATGGGGTGTCACTCTGTTGCCCAGGCTGGAGTGCAATGGCACGATCTCGGCTCACTGCAACTCTGCCTCCCAGGTTCAAGCGATTCTCCTGCCTCAGCCTCCCCAGTAGCTGGGATTACAGGTGCACACCGGCATGCCTGGCTCATTTTTCCCTTCCTTTTTGGATTCGCTGTGCTTCAAGGCACTGAGGCCATGAGGCAGGGTTTGCAGATACAAGATAACTATAGCCTTGATGTGGCTGATCCTGACACCGAAATGTCTGTGGATCCCTGCATGGGGCAGCTCTATACTCCTGTCTCTTAAACCTGCTTCTTAACTTACTTCCCCAAATGCTCAATTCAGGGAAGGTGGATGATTTATATTAGACTCACATGATGAGAGAGCAGTAGCTCCACCTAGTGGAAACATTGAGGTTGAAAAGGTCATGTTCCGGGATGATGCTATTTTACAAAGTCAAGATATTTCGTGTCCCTCCAGGAAGCCTTCCTTGATCCGAGTTATGCTTTCTCTTAACAATCTGTTTTCCCAGTCATAGGAGTTCATGCTCAAATGTAATGAACTTTTTTGTTCATTACATACTTGTTTGTCTTGCTTTCCTAATAAATTTGTGGAAGCCAGGGACAATGTTTTGTTCACCACTGTATCCCCACTGCCTTGTATGTGGTGAAACGAAAAGCTTATTATTTTTTTTCTTTTTTCTTTTTTTGGAGACGGACTCTTGCTCTGTCCCCAGGCTGGAGTGCAGCAGAGCGATCTCGGCTCACTGCAAGCTCTGCCTCCCGGGTTCACGCCATTCTCCTGACTCAGCCTCCCGAGTAGCTGGGACTACAGGTGTCCACCACCATGCCCAGCTAATTTTTTTGTATTTTTAGTAGAGACGGGGTTTCACCGTGTTAGCCAGGCTGGTCTCGATCTCCTAACCTTGTGATCCGCCCCCCTTGGCCTCCGAAAGTGCTGGGATTACAGGCATGAGCCACCGTGCCTGGCCTTCCAAAGGGTTATTTTTATACTTAATCTATAACACCAGACTTAGGGGAGGTCTGGGAAGAATGGAAAAACATTTTCCCTCTGCTGTCTGATACCATGGTTTTTTCTAGCTAGTATCTGCAATTTGGAAGGCTATGGACCTCTCTCTATCTGGAAGTCTGAACTTTAGTTTTTGTTTTTGTTTCCTTTGTTTTGTTTTTGAGACAGGGTCTGGCTCTGTCGCCCAGGCTGGAGTGCAGTGCATGATCTCAACTTGCTGCAACCCTCCATCTCCTGTGCTCAAGTGATCCTCCCACCTCAGACTCTCAAGTAGCTGGGACTACAGGCACGTGCCAGTATACCTGGCCTAGTTTTGTATTTTTTGTAGAAATGGGGTTTTGCCATGTTGCCCAGGCTATTCGCAAACTCCGGGGCTCAAGTGATTCACCCGCCTCAGCCTCCCAAAGTGCTGGGATTACAGGCGTGAGCCACTGCCCCCGGCCTGAATTTCAGTTTTGAAAGCAGGTCAAATAGGCTGCTGCCCTGAGCTAATGCACCCCCTGCCCTGAGCTGGTTGTTTATGCTATCAACACGGTATTTTTTCCTTAGAAATTGTACTTAAAGTTATAAAATGCAGCCAAGAGCGGTGGCTCACGCCAGTAATACCAGCACTTTAGGAGGCCAAGGTGGGTGGATCGCGAGGTCAGGACTTCAAGACTAGCCTAGTCAAGATGGTGAAACCCTGTCTCTACTAAAAATACAAAAAATTAGCTGGTCATGGCGGTGGGTGCCTGTAATCCCAGCTACTCGGGAGGCTGAGGCAGAGAATTGCTTGAAACTGGGAGGTGGAGGTTGAAGTGAGCCGAAATCGCGCCACTGCACTCCAGCCTGGGCAACAGAGTGAGACTCCATCTAAAAAAAAAAAAAGAAAAAGTTATAAAATGCAACCATTTGACATAATAAGAGCTTTCAGCGGCCAGGCACAGTGGCTCACGCCTGTAATCCAGCCACTTTGGGAGGCCCAGGTGGGCGAATCAAGTCAGGAGATCAAGACCATCCTGGCTAACACAGTGAAACCCTGTCTCTGCTAAAAATACAAAAAATTAGCCCGGCATGGTGGCATGTGCCTGTAGTCCCAGCTACTTGGGAGGCTGAGACAGGAGAATGGTGTGAACCCAGGAGGCGGAGCTTGCAGTGAGCCGAGATCGTGCCACGGCACTCCAGCCTGGGCGACAGAGCAAGACTCTGTCTTAAAATAAATAAATAAATAAATAAATAAATAAATAAGAGGTTTCAGCAATGACACAGAAGGGAAGGGAACTGCATTTGGACATCATAAAACCACTTTTATTTTTACCATAGCAACATTCCAGTGAACATTTCTTGACTGATTTGGGAGAAAAGATCTGGTTTGGTGATTCCTCACGCCTTCTCTGAGGGTGAATATACTCTTTCCCAAGGACAGGGAAGGAAGCAGAATCATAAAATCATATGAACATTTTCACAAGAGGATTCTTCTTGAAGCTTCAAGGAAATTGCTTACAGACAGAAGAAAATATGTCCTTATTGATGAAAAGGGAGAGTAAACATTGCAACTCTAACCTAGACACCCACATGGGTACAAAAAAAAAACTGACAAATGCGAACTCACAGTTGATCACTCTATGAAAAGGAATTCAGAGATGTTTGGAGCTCTTAACCTATGAGGCCAATTTCATGGAAGAACTCTACCTTCTACTTCAGAGACAGAACACTGGGCTAGATAGGATGCTTGTCTGGCCCAAAGTGGAATTTCTTACCATCTGTATACTCCCCCAAGACCCACAACAGATGGTTACTGAGTTGAAGCTTGCCACTGATCCTTAATGATGTCAACAAGCTCAGCTCTGGGAGCTGGCCCTCCAGAAGCCCAGGTCAGGGGAGCAAGGGAAAGTGGAGATGGGAACAGAGCTCTGATTCCTAGCCCCATATTTGATACTTACTCCCTTCAAAGTCCTGTCCCTGGACTACAAATTTAGTTCCCAGTTAGTAATCAGAAAACCATGAAATATGAGTTGCATTTCTAAGATGTGCCTGACTTTAGTATGATATTTAAGAGAAAAGGGCAGTGGAAACCATAAAGAAACAGCAGGATCTTTTTTTTGTATCTAAGAGTGGACTGATGAAGCACCTGGCAAGGAGCAAGAGGCCTTCTTACAAATCAAACATTGAGACTGAGATTCTTAATGACTAGAGTGAGCTCTAAAGAGAAAGGTGGCTGGGCGCGGTGGCTCACACCTGTAATCCCAGCACTTTGGGAGGCCAAGGTGGCCGGATCACTTGAGGTCAGGAGTTTGAGACCAGCCCAGCCAACATGGTGAAACCCCATCTCTACGAAAAGTACAAAAATTAGACAGGCATGGTGGTGTGCACCTGTAATCCCAGCTGCCAGGGAGGCTGAGGCAGGAGAATCACCTGAACCCGGGAGGCTGCAGTTGCAGTGAGCCAGGATCGCATCATTGCACTCCAGCCTAGGCGACAACAGCAAGACTCCATCTCAAAAAAAAAAAAAAAGAAAAAGAAAAAGAAAAGAAAAGAGAGAGAGAGAGAGAATGGTGAGCTTGTGGACATATTGGACACACAGGACATGGGGCATGGGGGCCTGAAACACCGTTTTACAGGACAGACGTACACAAAGGGGAATGCAGCCTGCCATTGTGTTTCTTCCTTTCTCCTCTATCCCTTCTTCCCTCCCTGGGAAACCACAGTAGCAGAAGTCTCATTCAATCAAACAGTTGTCAATTATATGAGTTGTACTTTTCTCTTCCTGAACAGCAAACTGGCTTTCCTCCTCTTTGTCCTCCTCTTTCTGCCTATAGAGCAATTTCCTCCTGTCCACTTTGCAGGGCCGATAGCTCAAATACAGTGCTATGGTGATGACACCCACTCCAAGGGCAACGGTAATAATGACAAAGAGGGTAGAGCTTATTCCTTCATCCAGTCCTGCCCAAGCACAGAAGATAGAGTTAGGAAAGTCTGAGAGTACAAGGATCACCCACCCCAGCCCACCAGGCCCACTTCTGAGTCTCATTCTTCCCAACCTAGTAGAATCTTTCTTATTTTCATGCTTAGATAAGAATCCCAAACTCCTGAGGGGTTTCCATCCTGGGCCTGGCAGCAGGGCAGCAAAGGTTACCTTGAACAATGACAGCAATGTCTTTGCTGACAGAGCCCAGCTGGTTAGTGGCTGTGTAGCGGTAGGTTCCAGTGTGGTTCTAGGTTGCCTTCTGTGGCACTTCAAGGTCAAAGACCACCCCATTCCAGGTACACACCAAGGCTGGAGCTGGGTTTCCCTTTGGGACGCAGGCGAGCGTGTGTTCCATCCCTTCCAGCCAGGTCTGTTTGCCAGGGCAACTGGATTCCTCTAACTGTGGCTTGCCTGCAAAAACAGTTTCCCAAAGAGCTGAGTTCAGTGCACCACACTCCCTCCCTACCTTCACCCCCTGCTCCCTCTCCTCCCCTCACCCAAATGCTGTCCCCTCCACCCAACAGCTTTCCTTCCCAAGGGAGCACTAGCAGCTCCCTGCTTTGAGCCAACTCTTCTTTCCCACCTTCTCTATCGGTAGGGAGTCCCAGATGAAACCTAGGGTGTTTTTTTTGTTCGTTTGTTTGTTTTGAGATGGAGTCTTGCTCTGTCGCCAAGCTGGAGTATGTACAGTGGCGCGATCTCAGCTCACTGTAACCTCCACCTCCCAGGTTCAAGCGATTCTCCTGCCTCAGTTTCCAGAGTAGCTGGGACTACAGGCATGTGCCCCCATGCCCAGCTAATTTTTGTATCTGTAGTAGAGATGGTGTTTCACCATGTTGGCCAGGATGGTCTCGATCTCTTGACCTCATGATCCGCCCGCCTTGACCTTCCAAAGTGTTGGGATTACAGGCGTGAGTCACCAGGCCCCGCCAAAACCTAGGGTGTTTTTACGGATTCAGACTACATGATAACCCTGCTCTGTCCATGGTGGCCCTGGGGCCCCTGCTTCCCATCTTTGCTTCTCAGTGGGTAAGGAGCTAGGTAGTGGTGAACTCAGAGATGAGGATTTTTTCTTTTCTTTTTTTTTTTTTTTTTTTTTTGAGACGAAGTCTCGCTTTGTCATCCAGGCTAGAATGCAGTGGCGTGATCTCAGCTCACTGCCACCTCCGCCTCCCAGGTTTCAAGCAATTCTCCTGCCTCAGCCTCCTGAGTAGCTGGAATTACAGGCACCCACGATCATGCCTGGCTAATATTTGTATTTTTAGTAGAGACAGGGTTTCATCATGTTGGTCAGGCTGCTCTTGAACTCCTGACCGCTAGCCATCCACCCGCCTCAGCCTCCCAAAGTGCTGGGATTACAGGCGTAAGCCACCGCACCTGGCCTATTTTCTCTACTCTTCAAAATAGAAATGTGTATATGGAATTTTTGGAAATTTCCCTTTTCAGCATAAACTCCCACTATCACTTCCTTTGTTCTCCTCGGCCATCGACCCTTAATTAATATTGCCTGATCACTTTAACTCCTTTCCTTTATGTTCCCAATTTCCCCTCATCTGGTTCCCCACTTGCTTTCCCGGGAGTAAGGTAAGCTTGGAAAGCTTTCCTTTTATTTTCTCCTTTGATTTTTTTTTTTAATGAGAAAAATGTGGCAACTGTAATAATGAAGCACTGCTGGCCAAGAAGCTCTCTAGAAATGGGAAAATAATAATCCTTATTTTGACAAGAAAGATCAGGCCTCCACTCACATAGGATATGGAGCTGGATCACAGTGGTTTTCATCAACCGCTGACCCTGCACCACCAAAGAGGCCTCGCAGGAGAAATTTCAGCCATCATCTTCCTCCCTGGCAGTAAGTAGAAGCCAGGCAGGCTCCCCAGCAGGGAGGTCTGGGGCTCCCTGAAGCCGAAGAGTAGGGCTGGGTGATGTTAATACATGCCCTGAGCAGGTCACATTAATGTCGGTCCCTGCCAATGGGTATGATTCTTTTAGCTCCAGGATTGGTGGAGGGAAGCCTATAAGGAAAGGAAAAGGAGAACCAGACACATTTCTCAAAACTAGCAGACACTTCTGCACTCTTGCTGCTGGTAAAAGCCCTTGGGAAGGCAGACAACAGGGGAAAGATTTTGGATACCATTGCTTCTTCTGTAAAAGCTGAAGAAAGAATGAGGTGGTTTGGGGATTCAAGAGCTTCTCTTATGCATGCACACATTTAGCTATGCTTCGCTGCAAGGACTGCAAGATGTCTTTTCATCTTACAGCTTTCCTCCTCACCTCAAATAAGTGTTTCTAAGAAGTAGTTCAGGGCATCCACAATCACTCTGTAAGCAGGATAGCCTAAGGAAACTGGGGATGAAGGCTGGAAAGAACTACTGTAGCCCATGTCCCCAATCTGCCTGCATTTACCAGAGAAAGATGAAGACTCATGTTCACTTGAGAGCATACCCAGCAAAGGGCAGCAGGGATGTCTACAGCCGAATCACCAACCCGTTACTCTGTGTTTTCAGCAGCAGAGAACCCGTATGAAAAAGGAAGAGCCAGGCCACTTATTGTAGCTATGCACTAGCTTTCTTGTCTTCTGTTCCATTGCACCCAGAGATGCAAAGCAAGACAGTTCCTGATCACCAGCCTCCATGGTCCGAATGGTAGCATTGGCCCATGCTGTGTCCCCCTCCCAGGAAAGGAAGGAGCTCAGCTCTTGGTCTTCCAGGAACATGTGGAACATAACTTCTTTGGCTGGAAACACCCTAGCCACCTCGCAGCTCACAGTCTCCGCCATCCCAGCCTCCAAAAGGGAAGAGACCCAGATGTGGGGACTCTGAGAGAATTCTGCCAAAAAAATGAGGACAAGAAGAGAAAGGAGAAAAGCCATGATAAATCACACATCATGCAGGACCCTTCAAGGTAGGAAGGGAGTGGGGCTAAAATGTCTCTCTTCCGCAGGGTGAGTTTAAAGCTCAAGCAAAGGTGGAGCTCAGTTACTCTCACATCCTCACCCTAAACCCCGTGAGAACTTAGTCCCAAAGGCCAAGGCAAGATGAGCCCCAGGATTCCTCCTGCACTTGAGTTCTGACTCACCAAAGATCCGGACTATTCTGATGGGTGAGCTGCCTTGAAAGAGCCTCCCACCTTGCAAACTCAAGTCCAGTTCTGCATGGCAGGAAGAATTGCATCTGTCATTCTCCTTTTGGGCTCTGACACTGATGATGACTTCAGCTCTTTGGGAGGCCACAGCCAAGCTCGTAAAGTTCTTTCTATGCAGTTCTTGGTTACCCTGGAGAAGGGCAAGGGTGAGACTCTCCAAGGGTGCTACACTGGGTACATGACACTTCACTGTGAAGGCTTCGTCCACAGCCACCCAGGCAGGCTGCAGCTCCAGGATCACTTGCTCTGGTGGCTCTTTAAGACAAAAAGGCAGGACTTGATGAGCATGCCACCCACCTCTCCAGAAAGAAACAGCATAGGACAGAAAGATGAGGTGATACAAATCACAGAAGGTGACTGCCACCCTTAAACCATCTGATCAGCAATGTCAGCTTTCTGCCATCCCTGCCCTAGATGGGGTGAGTTAGTCTTCTGGCTCTTCTTCTTCGCATCAAAAGTGGCTATGGCCATAGCAAAGAAGAGTGACTGCTGAGGGAGAGTCCCTTGCTTTGACTGTTGCTGCCATTCTGGAAAGCATTGATCTCTTACCAGAGGGGCTTCAGAGGCAAGAGCAGCTTCCGGGGGCTCCTTAGCATCACATAAAATCTATACTGTAGCAGGCCAGGTGCAGTGGCTCACGCCTGTAATCCCAGTACTTTGGGAGGCCAAGGCAAGCGGATCACTTGAGGTCAGGAGTTCCAGACCAGCCAGGCCAAGATGGTGAAACCCAGTCTCTACTAAAAATACAAAAATTAGCCAGGTGCGGTGGCAGGTGCCTGTAATCCCAGCTGCTCGGGAGGCTGAGGCAGAGAATTGCTTGAACCCGGGAGGCAGAGGTTGCAGTGAGCCAAGATTGTGCTACTGCACTCCAGCCTGGGCAACAGAGCAAGACTCCATCTCAAAACAAACAAACAAACAAACCAAACTATAGCTAACCAAGTTCTGACCCCATAGAGACCACATTTGCTTTCGTGCCATATCTTTGTCCATGTTATTTGCCCACCTGAAAGGCCTTCCTCACCTGTCCCCTTCAATTCAAACCCTAACTATCCTGGGGGAGGGCAGTGCAGGAGCCTCCTCTACCATGGAGCCTTCTCAGGCTGCCCCAGCTCACAAAAACCCTTCTCTCTCCAATCTCTGTTTATTCCAAGAGCTTGTAGCAAACAATTCAGCATTAATTTCATACTTTTTTTTTTTAAGAGACAGGATCCCACTCTGTTGCCCAGGCTGGAGTGCAGTGGTGTGATCATAGATCACTGCAGGCTTGAACTTCTAGGCTCCGGGGATCCTCCCACCTTAGCCTCCCAAGTAGCTGGGACCACAGGTGCACGCCACTATGCCTGGCTAATTTTAAAAACTTCTTTTGTAGAAACAGAGGTCTCACTGTGTTTCTCAAGCTGGTCTGAAACTCCTGGCCTCAAGTGATCCTCCTGCCTTGGCCTCCCAAAGTGCTGGGATTAAAGCATGAACCACTGTGGCCAGGCTAATCTTATACTTTTTGGTAATTTAACCATAAACATTATTAGCATATGTTTCCTGTATTGAAGATATTTTCAAGCACAGATAATCTGGATGCTCTCTATGGTCTGCTCCTAATTTAAAACTCAGAAGAAAGCCTACATCAAAGGGAAGTAGAAGTGGGCCCGGCTCACTTCTACTTGCTGGACTTGAGGTGGCTCACACCTGTAATCCCAGCACTTTGGGAGGCTGAGGCAGATAGATCACTTCAGGTCAGGAGTTCAAGACCAGCCTGGCCAACATGGTGAAACCCCTGTCTCTACTAAAAAAAATACAAAAATTAGCCAGGCATGGTGGTGGCTGCCTGTAGTCCCAGCTACTGGGGAGGCTGAGGCAGGAGAATTGCTTGAACCCAGGTGGAGGCTGCAGTTAGCTGAGATCACACCACTGCACTCTAGCCTGAGCAATAGAGCAAGATTCCATCTCAAAAAAAAAAAAATAAATGAAAAAGGTGATTGGATCTAGAATCCCTACAGTATGCCAGAAATCTTTATTAAGGGCCTTAATTATCTCCCCTAATTAGAAACATTTGTCCCATCCTTCCCTAAATAAGACATGTTCATGTTTCCCCATTCCTCCTTTCCATCCCCCTGCCCCCAGCCCTCAGCCCTACTCACAATACACAGTGATGCCAAGGCTTGTGTCCTTTTGAATCCCTGCACAAGAGAAGAAGCACTGCAGGATGGAATTCTCTGTGACATCCTCCAGAAGAAACTCTTTCCACTGAGGCCCTTTGCCCACCTGAGTTTTCTTTAAGAAGGTCTCAATTCCACTGGGTCCTGGGTCTGGGCAAGTAGTGCTGCAGTTGACCACTAGGGACTGTCCAAACTCCACCAGGGCCTGACTTGGCCAAATAGAAACCTCAAACAACTCTTCCGGGACCCCTGAAATATGAACCACATCGGCCAGGCGCGGTGGCTCACGCCTGTAATCCCAGCACTTTGGGAGGCCGAGGCGGGCGGATCACAAGGTCAAGAGATCAAGACCATCCTGGCCAACATGATGAAACCCCGTCTCTATTAAAAGTACTAAAATAAGCTGGGTGTAGTGGCGCACGCCTGTAATCCCAGCTACTCGGGAGGCTGAGGCAGGAGAATCGCTTGAACCCAGGAGGCAGAGGTTGCAGTGAGCCGGGATTGTGCCACTGCACTCCAGCCTGGCAACAGAGCAGGACTCCATCTCAAAAAAAAAAAAAAAAAAAAATGAACCACATATGCCAATGACTCTGGTGAGGACCACGAGACCCAAATAAATACAGAACCTATTCTATCTAGTTCCAGGTTAGAGAACAGGAAACCTGCCCTGAAAAAAAAGGTTCAGACAACCAGACAGGACAAAAGACCTGTAATTGGCCGGGCGGGGTGGTTCACGCCTGTAATCCTCCCCACTTTGGGAGGCCAAGGTGGGCGGATCACCCGAGGTTGGAAGTTAGAGACCAGCCTGACCAATATGGAGAAACCCCGTCTCTACTAAAAATACAAAATTAGCCAGGCATGGTGATGCGTGCCTGTAATCCCAGCTACTCAGGAGGCTGAGGCAGAGAATCACTTGAACCCAGGAGGCAGAGGTTGCAGTGAGTTGAGATTGTGCCATTGCACTCCATCCTGGGCAACAAGAGTGAAACTCCGTCTCAAACAAACAAACAAAAAAAAACTGTAGTTAACAAGTTAGCTCTGATTTCACCACTATTCCCTCCACCTATCATCTTTCTTGAGAACTTGAATTCTCTATTAGTATCACCATGGAAATTATGGAGTTGCTAAAAAAAATTATGCCCAGGAAACCAATATCTTCCTAAACTTTCAGAATTCTTGAAAGCTCCCCATAATAGGCTGCTGTGGACCCTCACAGGATTCGAACTTCATTACTTATCCCTGAAAGCAGTGTCTCTCTCAAATTATGGCTAAGGATTCCCTTTGCCAGAATCATCCTAAATGCTTGTAAACTGCAGACTCCAACTCCACCTCAGAGCGCATGGTTTCAAACCTGTGAAGGTGGGACCTGAAAATATGCTAAGGAATAAAACAAGCCTCCCGGGGACCCTTATGCACACCAAATTCTCAGATCCATTGGCCTGCAGGTAACTCCCAGGGTCACTCATTTTCCATGCCTCTTCTTTATGCCTCTTCTCAGAGTGAGACCATTCCATTTTGATTTGGCGCTAAGGGAATGGATGTTTTGGATGCTTACAAATTTCGTCTGTTCTGGAAATCTTCTCTGATGCAATGGGAGATGTCAGATGGATTTTTATTTTATTTTACTTTATTTTATTTTATTTTTGAGACAGAGTTTCACTCTTTTTGCCCAGGCTGGAGTGCAATGGCACGATCTCGGCTCACTGCAACCTCCGCCTCCCATGTTCAAGTGATTCTCCTGCCTCAGCCTCCCAAGTAGCTGGGATTACAGGTGCATGCCACCACGCCCGGCTAATTTTAGTAGAGACGGGGTTTCACCATGTTGGTCAGGCTGGTCTCGAACTCGTGACTTTGGGTGATCCGCCTGCCTCAGCCTCCCAAAGTGCTGGGATTATAGGCATGAGCCACTGTGCCTGGCCAAGCCACCACGCCTGGCCTCGGATGGATTTTAGATGCCTGATGTAGGTAAAGGGCACGGAGACTTCAGGAAGTCCTGAAGGCTTCTCTACAGGTCCTCTTTAGCTAGTCCATATCTACCATCTACTTCACCTCCCAATACCAGTCCCCTCTGGGAATACACAGCTCTTGTAGCAATGTTACCTGCTAAGGCCCCTGTTCCTTTCCCGTCATCAGGAGAACTCACTTTCTGTACCTGAGCTATGTATGGGTCCTGTCCTACCAAGAGCCTATTATAGTTCATCATGACACAAACGGTGGCAACAAAGAAGTAAAAACATTCTCAAGAGGAGAAACACAGGGCAGTCCTGGGGCAGAAGGGAACCAAGCGGAGAAGGCATGTTTCCTAGGGAGAGTCCTCTCTGATAGTCTATTAACTAGTGTTATCCCAAATACAAGCCAGAGACCGTAACGATTCTGTGTCCTAGTGATCCAAGAGACAGGAATCTTTCCCCCGGGTCCAGATGAATGAACACTGAAGTGTCACCCCACTCAGGACTCCCCACCCCCTTCCTCACTGACCAGCTACCTGTGTCCTGACACATACTGGTTTAAAAAGCTTTCCCGAATAGCCTCACCTGGGCAAAGGATCAAGGCCAGCAGGGTCCAGACACCAAACAGAAGCGTTTTCATCCTGATAAGAAGGGCCAAAGGCTGGAGAGAAAAAGACAGCAATGCTGGAGAAAGTGACCAAAAATATATATATAAGGAAAATTGCTTATTTGATATTAAAACTCAGTCCCTTTTTCTGAAACCTCACTAGTCTAGAAAAATTACAGCAAAAACATCAGCAGTGAAGGTGTACTAAAAGAATGTCTTATATCTATTTATTTCAGTTTAGCTTATGTGCATAGCAAAAACATGGGGGAAAATATGAAAAAGGATGAGGCGATATTATCAAGATTCCTGTATAAGTTGTATTCTACTTACCTTTTTACTAGTTTGCCTCCATCTATTAGACTGAGTCAATAGAAGGGTGCTGGCATGGAAACATGAAAAACTGAGTTTAGACTGGGCACGGTGGCTCATACTTGTAATCCCAGCACTTTGGGAGGCTGAGGCGGGTGGATCACCTGAGGTAGGAGTTTCAGGCCAGCCTGGCCAACATGGTGAAACCCCGTCTCTACTAAAAAAATACAAAATTAGTCGGGCGTGGTGGTGGGTGCCTATAATCCCAGCTACTCGGGAGGCTGAGGCGGGAGAATCACTTGAACTCAGGAGGCGGAGGTTGCAGTGAGCCGAGATCATGCGACTGCACTCCAGCCTGGGTGACAGAGTGAGACTCCATCTCAAAAAAATAAAACAAAACAAAAACTCATTCAAGCTAATTTCTTCTAAGAAAGGCTTCTTGACTAGCCTTATCCCACTTCACAGTCCCTTACTTGTTATACATGATCTCTACCTCACTTTATGCCAAACAAGATTTCTGAAGTTGCATATATTAGTTCACTTTGGTGAATTATTTCAGTGATGTAATCATCACTATACTAGAAATTCCTTGAGGGTAAGAGGCTCTAGTGTACTTATCTTGTGTCTCCAGCACCTAGCACAGAGCCTATGATATTCTGGGTATTCCATAAATGAAGGACTACCCTCCAATTTTGTATTTAATTTTCATACAGTGGGTTTGGAACAGGTCTAACTCCACTTCTATGCTGGTCTGAAAGAGTTTTTTTTTTTAATACAGGGATAACAGGCATATGAAAATTTATACTCCCAAGTGAAGGTTACCCTTCAAAATAACCACTTTGGAAGGCTATCATCTTTTTCCAGGATGACACAATTATTCAAAACCTTTTTTGAAATTATTTATTTATATATTGAGACAGGGTCTTGCTTTGTTGCCCAGGCTGAAGTGCAGTGGTATGATCACAGCTTGCTGCAGCCTCAAATTCCTGGGCTCAAGCAATCCTCCCACCTCAGTCTCTTGAGTCGCAGGGACTACAAGCACACACCACCACACCCAGATAATTTTTTTATTAATGTTTTTGTAGAGACAGGGGTCTCACTATGTTGTCCAGGCTAATCTTGAACTACTGGCCTCCAGTGATCCTTACACCTAAGCCTCCCAAGGTTCTGGGATTACAGGCATAAGCCACCATGCCCAGCCTGAAAGTAATTTAGAACTGGCTTTTAAGCCATATAAGAAAAATTAAGCTGGGTGCGGTGACTCATGCCTATAATCCCAGCATTTTGGGACACCAAAGTGGGAGAATTGCTTGAGCCCACTGGTTTGAGAGCAACCTAGGCAACATAGCAAGACCCCTGTCTCTACAAAAAAATTAAAGAATTAGCCAGGTGTGGTTATGCTCACCTGTAGTGCTAGCTACCTGTGAGGCTGAGGTGGGAGGATCACTTGAGCCAAAGAGTTTGAGGCTGCAGTGAGCCATGACCACACCTCTGTACTCCCAGCCTGGGCAACAGAGGAAGACCTTGTCATAAATAAATAAATAAATAAATAAAGCAAGCTCTCCTCTTTGTTACCGAACCAAACCAGGTCGGTCTGTCCACGTGCAATGTAAAGCCAAACACTGAAGCACCAGACTTTTTATTGCAAGGTGGCTGAGCAAGAAGACAGGCTCAAATATGTCTCTTCAATCTGGAGTCTGGAACAAATTTTAAGTGTGAGGGAGGACACGGGCATAGGTGGAAGTGCTGGCAGGACAGGTTTTGATCCGAAGGACTTCAAACAGTACCACTTATGGTAAGATATGGTAAAGGGTCTTATCACTGGACGTTCCTGGGCTTGGACCCGTTGCTTTTGAAAGTGTTCCTGTGCTCATATTCCAGCCATGTCCCAATCTTTTGGTTCTGTTGAGGGGCAAGACTTTAGTTCCCGGGTTATTTGAGGTTAAAGTCTCCCTTTCTGCACATGTTCTGACTGTAATGACTTGCAACTTCTTGGCTCTGTGCCGGTAAAATAACTTGATACCCCATTATTAGCGGAGTAGAACCAGTTAGAACTAATCCAGCAGTTACACTCTCCAATGTGTAGGTCTTATGATGTTTAAATCTATAACATGAATCCAGATTATTTGTGCTTTAATGGGGCCACAGTGTCACAAACAATTCCTCTTAGAGATTAATCCAAGAACTCCTGCTTTACTCTTCTCTGTAGCTTGCTGATGTTACGTTCTTTTTTTGTTGTTGTTGATGGTTTTTTTTTTTTTTTTTTTGAGACGAAGTCTCACTCTGTCGCCCAGGCTGGAGTGCAATGGCGCAATCTCCGCTCACTGCAAGCTCCGCCTCCCGGGTTCACGCCATTCTCCTGCCTCAGCCTCCCAAGTAGCTGGGACTACAGGTGCCCACCACCACACCCGGCTAATTTTTTGTATTTTTAGTAGAATGGGGTTTCACGATGTTCGCCAGGATGGTCTTGATCTCCTGACCTTGTGAACGGCCTGCCTCGGCCTCCCAAAGTGCTGGGATTACAGGTGTGAGCCACCGCGCCCGGCCTCTTTTTTTTTTTTTTTTTTTCCTGAGATGGGGTCTCACTCAGTTATCCAGGCTAGAGTGCAGTGGTGTGATCATAGCTCACCGCAGCCTCAGACTCCTGGGTTCAAGCAGTCCTCCCATCTAGGCATTCCAAAATGCTGGGATTACAGGTGTGAGCCACTGCACCTGACCTGATGTTACCTTCTGCTACATAGCCTAGCACTGCTGTCAATTTTTTTTTTTTTTTGCGACAGAGTCTTGCTCTGTCGCCCAGGCTGGAGTGCAGTGGTGCAATCTCTGCTCACTGCAACCTCCACCTCCCTGGTTCAAGCGATTCTGCCTCAGCCTCCTGAGGAGCTGGGACTACAGGCATGTGCCACCCCGCCCAGCTAATTTTGTTTGTATTTTTAGAGAGATGAGGTTTCCCTGTGTTAGCCAGGATTGTCTTGATCTCCTGACCTCATGATCCACCCACCTCGGCCTCCCAAAGTGCTGGGATTACAGGCGTGAGCCACCATGCCCGGCTGCACTGCTGTCAGTTTATCTCAGAGACTATGTTCTGCTTTTACAGTCTTAGCAAAAAAACGAAAAAAAAAAAATTCCCATTGCTCATTACTATAAGCCAAGCTAATCGGTTTTTCTTTGTAGTTGCTACTAGTATTATCTCTATGCCTGTAAAGAGTCTTAAGAAAAAACAGTCCTGGGCGAGTTGTTTTTGTTTTCATACCCATATACAGACACATACTTTGTTCTTTGTTGTTTCATGCCCTGCCCTCACCCCACTATCCCCATAGCTCCAATCTTTCATCCTTGTTTTCACATAGCACATTATGATCAGGTTCTGAAACACAAAATTTTGTATTTATCTTGCTAAGGAGAAAGAAAGCAGTAACCCCAAGGAGAAATTATTTTTAATTTATTTTGGAATTCCTTTTGCTTATTCTGTGGATTATATCCCAAATTAGAAATTTAAACTGAGGCTGGGAGCGGTGGCTCATGCCTGTAATCCCAGGACTTTGGGAGGCCGAGGCAGGCAGATTACCTGAGGTCAGGAATTCAAGACCAGCCTGGCCAACATGGTGAAACACTGTCTCTACTAAAAATACAAAAATTAGCTGGACGTGGTGGTGGGCGCCTGTAATTCCAGCTACTCAGGAGGCTGAGGCAGGAGAATTGCTTGAACCTGGGAGGCAGAGGTTGCAGTGAGCCAAGACTGCGCCACTGCATTCCAGAGCGAAACTCTGTCTCAAAAAAAAAAAATGGTTTAAACTGTCTGAAAGTCTTGGCCTGCACTCCAGTCACTGGGAGGTCTTTTGCAGGAGAGGGGTAGGCAGTGAGAGGAGGGTGGGGACGCATGCTGTTGGATTGCTTTGGCCGCGCGTGTGAACTAAACTTCGCGTCCAAGTCTGGGATTCTCGCCTTCCATTCATAGTCAGTGGTTTCTTGCTGCCCTTCCTTCCTCCCTCCCTCCCTCCTCCCTTCCTTCCTTCCTCCCTCCCTCTCTCCCTCTCCCTTCCCTCCCTGCCTCCTTCCTTCCTTCCCTCCCTCCCTCCCTTCCCTCCCTCCTTCTTTCTTTCTTGCCTTCCATTCATATTTTCATATTCAAGGGTTTCTTGCTGTTTTCTATCTTTTCTCTTCTTTCTTTCCTTTTTTTTTTTTTTTTTTTGAGACGGAGTTTGCTCTTGTTGCCCAGACTGGAGTGCAATGGCCCCATCTCCGCTCACTGCAACCTCCGCCTCCCGGATTCAAGCGATTCTCCTGCCTCAGCCTCCCAAGTAGCTGGAATTACAGGCACGCACCACCTTGCCTGGCTAATTTTTGTAGTTTTGGTAGAGATAGGGTTTCACCGTGTTGGCCAGGCTGGTCTCGAACCCCTGACCTCAAGTGATCCGCCCACCTTGACCTCCCAAAATGCTGGGATTACAGGCGTGAACCACCATGCCCGGCCGCTGTTCCTTATAAATACAAGTCACACTGGGCCTCTGCACTCTCTCGTCCATCAGCCTGGAATTATCTTCCTTCTCCCCAAACACTCCTCTATCCAGTTCAGTCTCTTTGTAATGTGGCCTGCGCTGACCTCGGGCTTCCCAGCCCTCCCTGCCCACGCCCCTCACCGCAGCACCCCCCGCATGCCTACCGCTTTCCCTTCCGCAGCACTATCGCCCTCTAACACCCTGTCACTTACTGATGAGACCTGAAATCAGCGGCTCTGTCTCCCCTGGACTGTAAGTCCCAAGGAAGGCAGGGCCCTTGGTTTTATTCACTCATGGATCCCAAGCACCTGGAACGTTACAGGCGTTCAACGACCACAAAGGAACAAGTGAATGCACGAACCAACGCACTAGATAGATGGGTACCAATCCTTGTGTGAGGGCCACTGCCCCCCACGTGGATACCGGACACCAGGCCAGCTCTTGCTGGCAAGGGGCCTCGGGTCCAGCGGAGAGAGGGGCGAGGACACCGCGTGGCCATCAAGGCTCTTCCAGGAGGACGATCCCTAACACACGTGAGAACGCGTTCAAAAGGCAGTTCCACCCGGCTTCTCCGGGCTTCCGGCGACGGCCAAGGAAAACACGACCGAAATCCTCACCGAGCCGCGGCCGCCCGCTCGCACGCCCCTCGCCCTCGCCGGGCCGCTCCTCACGGCTTCAGCCTCCGCTCCTCGGCCTCGCCCGCTCCGCTCTCAGTCGCCCGCCAAGCGCTCAGACCGTTTGTTCTACACCGCCAGGCGGGGGCGCGCGAGGGTGCGGCCGGAGAGCGGTTTTCCTGATCTGCCTAGAAACTCGTGACGCCCACGCGAAAGCTCAGCAGGGTTGGCTGAGATGAGAGGGGCGAGCAGGAAGCTACAACGACGGGAGGGGAGCGCGGGGAAGATGAGGGTGGGGAAGGCTGAAACCTGTGGGGCAGAAAGCGCGTGTTTGGCGCCGCATAACCACTTCTGAATAACGCAATGTGGAAACAAAAGGAAAGGGATCGTTTGCAGCAAAGCTCGGCTGTATGAGGAAAACAAGAGGTTGTTCTCCCCTGTGGCTGTTGTTTTCGTGGTGCGGCCCGGACACGTGAGCCGGCCCGCGTCTCAGAGAGTTGCGCGCGAAGCCACGTTCCCGCCTTGGACATCCCGGCTCGCTTGGCCGAGCTTGCGGCCTCTGCTGGCTGCTCCCTGGCGGGCTGGGAGATGTATTTGGCGGAGTTTTGACAATGGATAATTTGCAAAAAGTCTTGTTTTTTTGTTTTGAAACAGAGTCTCGCTCTGTCGCCAGGCTGGCCTGCAGTGGCACGATCTCAGCCCACTGCAACCTCTGCCTCCTGGGTTCAAGCGATTCTCCTGCCTCAGCCTCCCGAGTAGCTGGGACTACAGGCATGCGCCACCACGTCCAACTAATTTTTGTAATTTTAGTAGAGACGTGGTTTCACCACGTTGGTCAGGCTGGTCTCAAACTCCTGACCTCAGGTGATCCGTCTTGGGATTACAGGCATGAGCCACTGCGCCCGGCCCAAAGCCCACTTCTTATATGCTGATATCTGCACTGCTGGAGTGCAGTGGCGCGATCTCTGCTCACTGCAAGTCTGTACTCTTCAGGCATTTTACCGCTAGACTGTGCTGTGACAGTATGTGTGTTGAGAACTGTGACCACAATGTGCTCACAGAAGAGGAGCTCTCCCTTACATTCAGTGATCTGGCAACTCTCACTCTGATTCTCCTCATCCTGTACAGCTTCATGCCTTTGACTCTTACTGTGTCTTCTTTGCTTAACTCACCTGTTACCTCCTCCAAGAAGTCTTCATTAATCCCTTTCCCTCATTAAAGGCCTCCTTGTTTCCCCATGGTACCTTGTGAATACTTTTATCTTAGCAGTTGTCATGTGGGGAAATGACCTGTTTATGCATTTATCTTCTTTACCAGCATATGTCAGGGACTGGCACATAGAAGTTGCTCAATAAATGCTTCTCAAATGCTGCGTACAGCACCTGCTACATTATCTTGGCATCCAGTCCTTCTGCTGCCCTGACTGTCCCTTCCTCTCCCTACTCTGCATCCATGTGGGAGATGGACACTTAGCTGCCGGGGTGCTCCAGCTGGGACAGGCTCTGATACAGCTCCGCCAGTGCTGCCATCTTGGTAAACATTTCCCACCATGACCAGACTATCCACATTGCTTCTCATGAAATTCCAACCCCCTGAAGGACATCCATACTGAGGAATGTTCCTTTGCTGGCCTGCTCTAGGGCAAGCACTGGGCCACCTTGCTCCAAGGGCCTTTCTCCAAGCTACTTGGTGGGTGCTACTTTCATGCAGCTGGGCAAGGAGCCAAAATTCCCAGAGTCTGTGCTGGGAATTGTCCCATTGGCTCTGGTTGTATTAAATACTTTATTATTAAATAGTTTGTTAAATACTTTTTAGTTCCATTTAGTCTCTTTGAGTATCTGTAGATGTTAACAGGGCCTCAAGGTTATAGGAAAGTCCCTCCTCTAAACTGTAAGCCTGGGACCATACAAGGGCTCAATAAAAGTTGTTGAATGAAGTCCATGAAAAGTGGGCACTGAGCAGAATAAGTATCAAGGGAGGAAGAGAAACAGACATTCCAAGCTGAGGGAACAAAGGCAGGGGAATATTGCCTCCACTTCAAAGTGTTCCAGGAAACTTCGATTAATCAGGGCCTATCAATCAACTTCTTTTTCTCTGAGTGTCTATGACACTTGCATTTCAGTTTTTTGTTTTTGTGTTTTCCAGACACAACATCTCACTCTGTAGCCCTAGCTGGAGTGCAGTGGCATGATCAGAGCTCACTGCAGCCTCAAACTCCTGGGCTTAAGTGATCCTCCTGCCTCAGCCTCCCAAGTAGCTGGGACCACAGGCACCCACCATCACACTCTGCAAATTTTTTCATTTTCTTGTAGAGACAGGGTCTCACCATGTTGCCTGGTCTGGTCTTGAACCCCTCAAGCAATCCTCCCACCTCAGCTCCCAAAGTGCTGGATGAGTCACCTGCCCAGCCTCACTTTTCAGTTTTAACAGTTTCTTTGCAAGTAATAACAGACCAGACACACAGCTACCAAAAATCGGTGGTAAGTAATGGTTAGTCCCTAGACTGGATTCTAGAGCCAGATCAGAAACAGGTTTGATGAATCCTAGCACCATCACAGTGAGGGTGGGCAAGTGACTGGATCTCCATGCTTTGATTTCTCAAACAGAGATAGAGCCAGGCATAGAGGCTGGTGTCTGTAGTCCCAGGTACTCGGGAGTTTTTAGAGGTTGGAGGATTGCTTGAGCCCAGGAGTTTGAGGCCCCATTAGTCAAGCTATGATCATGCCACTGCACTCTAGCCTGGGCAACAGAGTGAGACCCCAACTCTTTAAAAAAAAAAAAAGAGGTAAAAATAGTGTGTACCTCATATATGGTATCTACCTCCTATGTGTTGTGATGATTAAATGAGCTAATTCACGTAGAAAATGCTCAGTAAATGTTACCTATTCTCTGCCTACTGTGTAGGAAATCTTCCTTTTATCTCTACCATGCCTCAGATATCTCTATTTGCTCCCTAACACCTTAAGGATATTTTATCATAACACAGTTAACTCATTGTTTATATTATCTGATATATCTGATATTAACTGATATTATATTATTGTTTATCATTCCCTCCCACTACACTCAAACATTGTCTGTTCATACATATTTGTTAAGTTACAACAGGGATCAAGGGAGACACAGTATATACCCCAAATAACTGAAAACAGGTACTCAAATACAAATATATATTCATAGCAGCACTACTTGGAATAGCCAAGAAGTAGAAGTAGCCCTACTGCGCATCAACAGATAAATGGATAGGGCCAGGCATGGTGGTTCATGCCTATAATCCTAGCACTCTGGGAGGCCAAGGCAGGAGGATCACTTGAGCTAAGGAGTTTGAAATCAGCCTGGGCAACACAGCGAGATGCTGTCATAAACAAATAAATACAAAGACAAACAGATGAACACATTGTGTTATATACATACAATGGAATATTATTCAGCCATAAGAAGAAAGGAAGTACTGATACATGCTACAAAATGGATGAACCTCAAAAACATTATGCTAAGTGAAGGAAGCCATGCCCAACACCCACCTATTATGATTCCATTTATATGAAGTATCCAGAATAGATAAATCTAGAGACAGAACCCAGATTGGTGGGTGCCAGAAGTTGGGAAGAGGAAGAAATGAGGAGCAACTTCTAATGAGGATGGAGTTTTCTTTTGGGGTCATTATTTTGGACCCCAAAATTTTGGACCTAGGTAGAGGAGGTGTTGCACAACATTGTGAATGTAATATATACCACTGAATTGTGCAATTTCAAACAGTTAATTTTATTACGTAAATCTCACTTCAATTTAAAAAAATAGCCAGGTGTGGTGTATACCTACTCAGCTATTCAGGAACTATCACTTGAGCCCAGGGGTTTGAGGCCAGCCTGGGCAACCTAGCAAATCACTGTCTTAAAAAAATACAAATTTTAAAATAAAAAGATAAATTGAGAGAGAAAAAGATCCTGCCTTCGTAGAGTTTATATTTTAGTGGGTGAGCCACATCAGACAGTAAATCAGCACACACTTAAGTAATGATGTACTGTGATAATCACTTGGTGGGAAGTAGGGTGTGAGAGAACAGAGAGGCTCTGAGATGGGAAGGGGATGGGTAGTTTGAAAAACTGCAAGGAGACCATCTGGGCCAATGCTTGGAGAGCCAAAGGCAGTGATTTAAAATGAACCCAAGGAGGTAAGCAGGGACCAGGTCCTGCAGAGCCTTAAATGTCACAGGAGGGAGTGTGACATTCAATCTAAGAGCAATGGGGAGCTGGGGAGGGTTTTAAACAAGGGATTGACAGGAACTGAGTTATATTTAACCGTTTGATCTGCTTTATTATTATTGAGACAGTGTCTTACTCTGTCACCCAGGCTGGAGTGCAGTGGCACGATCTCTGCTCACTGCAACCACTGCCTCTTGGGTTCAAGCAATTCTCGTGCCTCAGCCTCCTGAGTAGCTGGGATTACAGGTGTGCACCACCACGCCCAGCTAATTTTTATATTTTTAGTAGAGACATGGTTTCACCATCTTGGCCAGACTGGTCTCGAACTCCTGACTTCAAGTGATCCACTCACCTTGGCCTCCCAAAGTGCTGGGATTACAGGTGTGAGCCACTCCACCCAGCTGATCTGCTTTTAAATGCACTTATTAGCTTGCCCCTTTTCTAGGGTAGAAAAAATCTTGTGTTTTCTGATGCGACCCACTGGGTCGCATCAGAATTACCTAGGAAGCTTATTTTTCAAATACAATACTGAGAGCCATTGGATTGGAGGGGTGGCTGGCGGAGGTATTTTGGAGTAGCTTCCCAGAGGACTCTGATTCTCCACTGCCCCTATCACTTTGAGAATTACTGTTGTTCTAGAAGCTTAAAAGGATTGAAATGGATATTAGCTGCCTTATCATGAACTCTTAACCCACTTTACAGGGATGGGAGGGGCCATGATTCAGTGACTTTAACAATTCCAGTGGCCAGTCCCCAGACTGACAGGTTATCGACTCTTGGGGCAATAGAGTGGGATCTCTAAGTTCAGGAGGTAAGAAAACAGCAGCAGCGGTGTTTATCACTAGAGGCATGAGGAGAACTAATTTCTAAAAAGCACTGGAGAACTATACTGTAAAAAAGATCTGGGGTGCTATGATGCAAGGAAGGAAGTATTACTTGGTTGGGGCTGGAAAAATAAAGCAATTATAGTAAAAAAACTAAAAAAAAAAAAAAGTCTAGATCCCGGCTTCTTGACAGTGTGGTCTGAGAAGCAACAGCATCGCTGGCAGCTTGTTACAAATGCAGAGTCCTGGGCCCTGCCACAATCTGCATTTTTAATAAGAGCCTCGAGTGTTTTTTATGTGCTCATTAAAGTTTAAGCAGCACTGGTCCATATCACGGCGAGGAGATCCAGACCATCAGAGGGTAGGCTCCCTGGCACAGCTGACGCATTTTTGAATACTTTGATACAGCACAGTGTACCTGAAAAGATACTGCATTTTTGAAAATTAAGTGCTATAAATACTGGAGAAAGACCTCTTTTTTTAAACTGCGGGGAGGTTTCTCATAAGCCAAATTTCTTTTGACTAGAAGCATTTTCTGGGGAGTAAAGTACCAGGCTTCCTTAAAGTGAGGCGGAGCCACGTTAAAAATGTGCGGTAGAACTCAGCCTTGGCCAAGTCGACCGTTCACCAGCTGGGTCAAGTCTGGAGCCTCCTAGGTCCCTTGGCAGTTCCGAGCTACCAGCATGAGCTTTTACAGGAAGTTGAGTTGGCTGCTGTTCTGCCCCACAGAGCAGCTGAGTCTTTTTTTTTTTTTTTTTTTTTTTTGATGAGTTTCACTCTTGCCGCCCAGGCTGGAGTGCAGTGGGGCGATCTCGGCTCATTGCAACCTCTGCCTCCAAGGTTCAAGCGATTCTCCTGCCTCAGCCTGCCGAGTAGCTTGGATTACAGGCGCCCGTCACCACACTCGGCTAATTTTTGTATTTTTAGTAGAGACGGGGTTTTCACCATGTTGGCCAGGCTGGTCTCGAACTTCTGACCTCAGGGGATCCGCCCGCCTCAGCCTCCCAAAGCGCTGGGATTACAGGCGTGAGCCACAGCTACCGACTCTGAGTTGAGTCTTTAACGCCGAAGATGCAGAAAGGAGACTTGACAAAACTATTTTCGGGGAGTGTGGCCGCGGAATTCGGTGAGGGTGCTATACCGGGAGAGAGTAGTAGCAACGGCTCATTCACTGTGAAGCCCCTAAGTGACCTTAGACCTCTGACCCCGCGCCTCACTCGGCGCTTCCGCGCGCAGCTTCCGCTCCCGCCCCTCCGACGAAAGGCTGGGCCAAAGGTGGGGGGGTGGGGCTCTGAGGTCGGCAGTTAGGGGCGGTGCCCGCTGGGGGCGGGTCTCGCGAGGGGCAGGATTCGAGGAGGCACTCGAGCATTGGGCACCAGGTAGAGGCGGGGCCTAGTGCTGGGCTGGGTTGGGCGGGGCAGGGAGTTCGTAGCCGCCTCTGGGTAACTCGACTCGGGCGGCCAAACCTCCGGAGGCCGGGGACGGAAGGCGGGCCCGCAGCAGATCCTGGATCCGGAATCTCCCGGGCAGGAGCGGAATCTGTCCCGAACCGGGTCTGTGAGGAACTCGCGAACTTGGATTAGGAAATCCCGGAGCCCGGATCGACAAATCCCGGAACCCGGAATTAAGATCGCCAAGTCCCGGATCGCGGAGCACAGAGCACGGAGTGGACTCGACGCGGAGCCCGGAGTCCGGATCGCGGCACCGCGGGACGGGACGGAGCGATGTCGGGCCGAGGCGCGGGCGGGTTCCCGCTGCCCCCGCTAAGCCCTGGCGGCGGCGCCGTGGCTGCGGCCCTGGGAGCGCCGCCTCCCCCCGCGGGACCCGGCATGCTGCCCGGACCGGCGCTCCGGGGACCGGGTCCGGCAGGAGGCGTGGGGGGCCCCGGGGCCGCCGCCTTCCGCCCCATGGGCCCCGCGGGCCCCGCGGCGCAGTACCAGGTGAGCAAGGAGGACGCGAGCGGACGGGGGCGAGAGGCGCTGCGAGGGCGCCCGGGCCGGCGGCTGAAGGGGCCTCGAGTGAGGGCCCTGGGGAATGCATGAGGAACTCCGGGAGACGGTGGAGGGCGGGCCGGGACCCTCGGGCTGCGGCGGGTCGCGGTGGAGAAGTGGGAAGGGGAAGCAGGTTCTGCAGCGGAGGGCTGGAAGCAGCTGGGAGGCCTGGGGGCTTCCGCGGCACAGGGATTCCGAGTGACTGGGAGATGGAGGAGTTTGGGGAGCCAGTGAATTGTGGCGGGTGGGTTGAGAAGTCTAGGGTAGGAGGGCTGGAAAGTGATGAGAAAGTTTGGGAAAGGGCCCTCGCTGAGAAACCGGGGTTACCCTGCATCGGCCTTGGTCCCAGTCCAAGTCTGCCCTGTTTTTTCTGATTGGGAACTGGCGGAGCTCTAGCGTGTCTGAGATGGCTCCCGGCTGCTAATAAGGAGGAAGGAGCCTGGCTTCCCACGGGCACGGGACGCTGAGGCTAGGGCCAGGGGATTCCAGCTTGTGCACGGGCGGACTTTACTCCTGAGGCAGGGCCAGGCGCCTTCGCTGGGAGGACTCCAGCTTAGACCAGAGACGGTGGTGGCCTGGCCTGAGGGGAGGCCCAGCCCAGTCACAGGCCGGCTCTCTTCTGGGCTTTCTGCCTCCTGTCATCGTGTCCGGGAGTTGATTAGTCTGGACGTGCAGAGTGGAGCCCTGCTGGTCTGGGGCCGGAGGAGTCTGCGAGAGTTGCTTCAAAGAGTGCTGTCCTGACCCCTTTGGGGTTTTGAGAGCTGCTCAGATTGCAGCTTCAAAAGCCCTTGCAAAGCAGCGACTTCTGCTCAGTGTGTGAGGACCTCAGCCTGACCCTGCCAGTGCTCTAGTCTGCTGTTCAGGTTGCCCCAGAGGGCTTGGAAACTGTGCCCATCTGCCTTGTCACCCTCTCTGCATTTTTATTTGGCCTTCAGGTTCTAACTCCACCACGTCCGAAGCCATGTGCCCAAGCATTTGACACTGGCTTCTTGCTCATCTACGGGTTTGCTGTGGGCTTCCTCTGTTTTCGACTCATGTCTCCAGGCAGAGGTCCTTAGGGATCCTCGTGGAGTATACACAGCCTACCTGCCCCACTGGGCCCTCACTTCTAAGGAGATGGCTTAACTAGGGACAGTGACTGGATTTTTTTTTCCTTCTTACTCCTCATTCTTCCTCCTTTCTCAAGAGAAAAGAGAGTCTGGGTATGGGCAGAGACAGACCTGGTCCCAGGGATTCCAGCTGGGGCTCATCTCTCCCACCTTGCTGTCCCCGTTGGGGATTCATGGGCCCAGGGTGTTGCTGAGGGCTCCCTGCATCATTCATTGTAGCCCTTGGGCCTGCCCACTGAGACCTGGCCTGGGCACCATCTGTGGGCCTTTGGCCTTGGAAGGACCTGGAACAGACAAGCCGCTCCAGTTTCCTTGGCATGCAAGCCATAGGAAATGTGCCCTTGGGACAGCCCCTGAGAGGATGGATTCCACATGTTTTGGTGGGGGGTGGCCTTGGGCCTGTGGCAAGGCCAAGCTGGCTGGCTGGTTAGGCCTGGGCTGCTAGCTGTGCGGAAGTAGGAGATGGCCCTGAGTCTGGGTTTCCCATCCCACTAGCTTTCCTCCTCCTGGCAGGAGAGGTAGATGGGAAGGAGAACCCAGCCAGCTAACTTTGGCTGAGTTTGAAGAGGATCCTATTTGCCTTCTTTCCAAGTCCAGTTGTATGACTGCCAGGAGAAGGGACTTGAGATCTGGGAAACAAAGGGGTTCCTGTCTGTTAGGGCTCATGAGATGCACTTGAAAAGTGAGAATTTGAGGCCCAAGCTGAGCAAATAGTTGAAAGAAGGGAAGTGATGACCTCCCTTCCTCCAGAGGGTGGTTCTAGCTGTGGATCACAGTTAACAGAGGAACCTAAAAAAAGAAAAAGAAAAGAAAAAAACCTCCAGGGCAGGATATGGTGGGCTCACACCTGTAATCCTAGCACTTTGGGAGGCCCAGACAGAAGGATTACTTGAGACCAGGAGTTCAAGACCAGCCTAAGCAACATAGTGAGACCATCATCTCTTAAAAAAAAAAAAAAAAATTTAGCCAAGCATGGTGGTGTGCGCTTATGGTCCCAGCTACTCAGGATGCTGTGGCAGGAGGATTGCTTGAGTCCAGGAGTTCAAGGCTGCATTGAGCTATGATCCTGCCACTGCACTCCAGCCTGGGCAACAAAATAACAAAAACCTCAGATTGCTGGGTTCACTCCAGAGAGTTCAAAAAGTTCAAAAAAAAAATTTTTTTTTTTCTGATACGGAGTCTCACTCTGTCGCCCAGGCTGGAGTGCAGTGACATGATCTCAGCTCACTGCAACCTCCGCCTCCCAGGTTCAAACAATCCTCTGCCTCAAGCCTCCTGAGTAGCTGGGATTACAGGCGCCCACCACCACGCCCGGCTAATTTTTTTGTATTTTTAGTAGAGACGAGGTTTCACCATCTTGGCCAGGATGGTCTCGAACTCCTGACCTTGTGATCCACCCGCCTCGGCCTCCCAAAGTGCTGGGATTATAGGCGTGAGCCACTGCACCCGGCCTCAAAATCCTTTTTACTCATGGGAGAGTGGGTGGTATGTTCCCCAACTGAGGCCCTCAGGCCCAGGTTCCAGGAGCATCAGGGCCACATTTGGGGCAGGGCAAAGCACGCTCACCGGAGCCCTGGATTCCTCATCTGGGGTTCAGGGGATTGATCCAGGCCTACCTGGTCCTGCTGCAGGCAGGGAGTTAGGGAGGCTCAGAGTGCTGGACTGCTTTTTTTTTTTTCTTTAACTCCTGAGTTGTTTTTTTTTGTTTGTTTTGTTTTGTTTTGTTTTTTGAAGTGGGAGGAGTTGCTAGCGCCTATAAGCCCTATGGAGCTTGGCAAGGCTCAGCTGGGACTTGAACTATAAGCAGCCTTCCCCTGGGGCCCTGAGTGAGCCAGGGGCTCTGGGCCCAGGAAACCTGGAGCAGATGTCTGGGTGGAGCCTATTCCAGACCCTGCCTATGAGGCCTTGTCTTGGGACTTCCTGTTACCGGAGCACCTGCCCAGGAGGGATGGGTGGTGCTGCAGGTTTTGTGAACACTGCAGCAGGGAGCTTCCTGGGGACCACAGGGCCCTCGCTCACCTCTGCAGGACCCACTGCTTCAGTTCTTCCCTGTCTTTGTCTCAGGCACTAGGAAAAACTAGTCTGGGATGTCTGGGCCTGGGCTTACAGCTGTAGCCACACTTAGTTTTTTTCTATAATCTCAGGCCAGAGAAAGAACAATCTTTAAGGCAGAGAAAGAGGCTGTCTTTTGCCTTTCAACAGCTCTGATTAATCTCTTCCTGATGCAGAGAGACTTTGGCAGGACTCCCAAAGCCCCAGAGCCCCCCACTTTGAACTTTTTATTCTCCCAAACACTTCCGTCCCACCCTGCTCCTCCTCTCCCCATCCTCACGTCTGTGGGTCATGTTTCTTTCCATCTCCGCATCTGGTCAAGAATCTGACCCTCTGTGTTGGGAACATGGGTTTAGTGCGGGATGAAGAGGTTGGGGAAGAATCTCATCTCCATGATGCTGGGGTGGGGGAGGGTCCTTTGATTTGGTACAAGTCTCCACCCTGCCGGGCTTGGTTGGCTGGTTGTGCTCGTTGCATAATCTGGGCCCTGGGGCCAGCCCTGTGAAGCTGCCAGGGACAGTGTGTGCAAGGCAGAGCTGCCAAACAGGCCTTGCAGGCAGCAGCCATGGGGAGGCGGGTGGGGGTGGAGGTGACTCCCAGATGGGCTCCACAGAAATGTCAGGGAGCAAGGCCTCAGGTGGGAAATCCTTCTGCAGGCATCTAAAGAAGCTATTTCTGTCTCCCACTTTCCTGCTGCTCAGCCTGGGCCTCTATCCTTGCCTCCCAGGATAATCTTAGCCCCCTTCTCCAGCTTGGGATTGCCAGGGCTACACGGAGCCAGAGCCAGTCCTGGCTGCCAGGTGGTGCCTGGACCACTGGCAGAGTCCAGGTGCTAGCTGCTCTCTTTCCCACAGGCCACCCAGGAGCCATAGCTTCCCTTCTGGGGTCTTCTGTCATAGGGGTAGTAGTTGGGCAGTAGGGAGGTAAGAGGAGGGTCCAGTTCTGGGCTGTGGGTGGGGGCTATGTGATACCAGACTACAGGGTACAGGGTCCCTGTACCCTGCCCGAGGCCACCCCCACCAGCTGGTACACGTTCCAAGCCATCCTGTTGCAGCCCTGCTCACCTGGGGTGCTGCTGCCTACCAGACCCCTTTCTCCCTCGGCCACAGAGGATGGGGATTGGGGCTCTGCGCCATTGGCCTACTCATACTATAGTACACTCCTCTGCCTGGCAGTGACACTGCCCCTGTGCCTCTCAGCCATGCTTCTTCTTCATGATGGGAGAAAGAGAAGGAGGGCAGGGCTTGGCAGGACTGTCTGAGAGAATAGGGACCAGCTTGCCCAGGGAATAGGGCACAGCATGCTGGGGCTGGAAGGTAGCAATGGGCCCTGAAAAGCTCCCCAAGGCCCTTCCCTCTGCAGGCAGGACCCTCCTCCCAGCCCAGGTTCTGGCAGGCCTCATTCGCTGGCATGGCTGCCAGGGCGGTTGCAGGGGGCAGGGCAGGTGTGGTTTACACTCTGTGCTCAGGCGCCCACTCCCCTTTGTTCCTGGGGCTCCAGCAGGGCTCTGGTGTGCTGCTCAGGCCCTACCTGGCTGACGAGAGGGATGGAGGGCATGGGCTATGGGTCCCGGAGGGCCTTGCCCCTGACCTATGCACCCCCGTTGGCTCACTTCCCCCAGCGACCTGGCATGTCACCAGGGAACCGGATGCCCATGGCTGGCTTGCAGGTGGGACCCCCTGCTGGCTCCCCATTTGGTGCAGCAGCTCCGCTTCGACCTGGCATGCCACCCACCATGATGGATCCATTCCGAAAACGCCTGCTTGTGCCCCAGGCGCAGCCTCCCATGCCTGCCCAGCGCCGGGGGTAAGAGCATCCTGCTTCTCTCACTCTGCCTAACTCAGCTCTGGTGGTAGCAGAGGGTTTCCTTCTATCTTAAGAGCTTTGGTGACTGAGGATGACTCCAGGCTCTCCTGGGGGAGAGGGTCCTGGAGACTGGAGGGGCGTTATGGGAGTGAGTGTCCTTTTTTGGACCATTGACCTCTTAAGTGGGTTTCTGTCCTCCCCAGGTTAAAGAGGAGGAAGATGGCAGATAAGGTTCTACCTCAGCGAGTAAGTGTTAAGAGGACACCTGGGAGGCCTGCCCAGTGGCCACCTTGGGGTGGGTGTCCATCTCTCTCAAAGCTGGGCTGCAGCAGGAAGGGAGGAAAGAGCCAGGCTTTGGCTGAAGCAAGCTGATGAGCTTCTGCTACCTTCCTTCAGATCCGGGAGCTTGTTCCAGAGTCTCAGGCGTACATGGATCTCTTGGCTTTTGAGCGGAAGCTGGACCAGACCATTGCTCGCAAGCGGATGGAGATCCAGGAGGCCATCAAAAAGCCTCTGACAGTATGTGTGGCCCTGACCACCTCTAGCCTTCCCAGGTTTCCTTGCCTTCCACCCCCTTGTTTTCCAGGGGCCAAGCAAGTTGGGCTAGAGCCGGGTTTTTCACATGCAGGATGCAGCCCACTAGTAGAGTACGAACTCAGTTGAATGTGTTGGGGCCAGTATGTTTTAAATGAATATATGACAGTAGAAAATCTTAAAATACTTCACAGTAGTACTTACCATAGTAGTAAATGGATTCTTTCATGACATTTTTGTTTCTGATAAATAGATATGCAGACCTTGGGTCATAATTGAAAATGTAAATCTTATGGGTGGTGGTCAAAAGTTTGAAAACCACTAGACTAGGGGATAAAGGTAGTTCCTTTCTCCTTCCCCTTCCCCATCCATAGAGAAATTTTCTTTTTTTTTTTTTTTTTTTTTTCTGAGATGGAGTCTCGCTCTTTCACCTAAGCTGGAGTGCAGTGTTGCGATCTCGGCTCACTGCAACCTTCGCATCCCAGGTTCAAGTAATTCTTCTTGCCTCAGCCTCCCGAGTAACTAGGATTACAGATGCCTGTCACCACGCCCGGCTAATTTTTGTATTTTTAGTATCGCCATGTTACCCAGGCTGGTCTCGAACTCCTGACTGCCTCGGCCTCCCAAAGTGCTGAGATTACAGGCGTGAGCCACTGCACCCAGCCGAGAAGCTTTTCTTAATAATAATGTAGAACAGTCCCGAGTGGTGAAGCCTTTCCAGGGGACTAGGATATTTTGGAGCCGTGATGGGTGTTTGGGTTTCATGTAAGATGTGAGCCAGAGACTGGCTGCGTGTTACTCCATCATGCCGTAGCACCAGTCCCACTGTGCTGGCATTGTTGGTGATGCATCTCTTTCCCCATAAAATGGTGAGTTCCGGCCAGGTGCGGTGGCTCACACCTGTAATCTCAGCACTTTAGGAGGCCGAAGTGGGCAGATCACCTGAGGTCAGGAGTTTGAGACCAGCATGGCCAACATGTTGAAATACCATCTTTACAAAAACACAAAAAATTAGCTGGGCATGGTGGTGCGCACCTGTAGTCCCAGCTACATGGGAGACTGAGGCAAGAGAATCGCTTGAACCTGGGAGTCAGAGGTTGCAAGTGAGCTGAGATCGCGCCACTGCACTCCAGCCTGGGTGACAGAGTGAGACCATGTCTAAAAAAAAAAAAGGCTGGGACTGGGACTTACTACTTCTGATTCCCAGTACCTGACAAGGTGCCTGGCTGGCTCATGGTGCTCAGTACTGATTGTTGAATGGTTCATATGAGAAGATGCGGTAGCACTGTGTCCCAGCATCTTGGTCCACCTCCAGTTGTGATTGCCTTTCTCTCTTTAGCAAAAGCGAAAGCTTCGGATCTACATTTCCAATACGTTCAGTCCCAGCAAGGCGGAAGGCGATAGTGCAGGAACTGCAGGGACCCCTGGGGGAACCCCAGCAGGGGACAAGGTGGCTTCCTGGGAACTCCGAGTGGAAGGAAAACTGCTGGATGATGTGAGTTGGGGAGGGAGGTTCTGGAGGGAAGGAGGCCTGTGTGGGTTTAAGACTGAGACCAAGGAGTTTGATACTAGCCTGAGCAGCAGAGCCAGACCCCATCTCTACAAAAAATTTAAAAATTAGCTGGGTGCGGTGGCATGCACCTGTAGTCCCAGCTACTCATAAGGCTGATGCAGGAGGATGGCTTGAGCCCAGGAGGTCGAGCTTCAGTGAGTTATGATCACACCACTGCACTTCAGCCTGGGTGACAGAGTGAGATTGTGTCTCAGAAAAAAAAAGACTGGGCCAGACACTTGGGCGCTCCCAGAGAAGTCCTGCCATAGGGAGGGGGGCGCTGCTCCAAGCCCGTTGGAGGTTGATTTGTGTGGTTATTACAGTGTTCCTGCAGATGGCAGTCGAGTGTCTCGAGGAAGTCCCTCGTGGGCTGCAAGAGGGCACCATTTCCCTGCCTCCAGTCTGCCCAGAGTCCTGCTTCCATCCTTCAGGGCCCAGGAATCTTCAGTATCCGGAGCTCCAGGGCTGAAATGGGGCTTCTCTTTCTTGGGATTTAGCATAGCTTGAGATTTGAGAGCTCAGCAGCACCATCTCACACCCCTTTCCATCCCCAGCCTAGCAAACAGAAGAGGAAGTTTTCTTCATTCTTTAAGAGCCTCGTCATTGAGCTGGACAAGGAGCTGTACGGGCCTGACAATCACCTGGTGGAGGTGAGAGTGGGCCTGGGGCAAAAGCAGGCTGATGTGCAGGTTTGGCAGGGAAATGGCCTCAGGGCCCTTGGGAGGCCCTGTGTTCACGCCCACCCCCTTGGTGATAAGCCATGCTTCCCTCCCTGCCAGTGGCACCGGATGCCCACCACCCAGGAGACAGATGGCTTCCAAGTAAAACGGCCTGGAGACCTCAACGTCAAGTGCACCCTCCTGCTCATGCTGGATCATCAGGTGACAGAGACCCTGGGGTCATTTCTGGGCCCACAGGGACCCCTCAGGAGGGGAGCTGGTTCCTAGAAACCCTTCCTGTCCCTGCCCTATTTTCCCACTGTTCTACTATAAGAACCCGTTCTGACTCCCCTCCATCCAACTCCAGCCTCCCCAGTACAAATTGGACCCCCGATTGGCAAGGCTGCTGGGAGTGCACACGCAGACGAGGGCCGCCATCATGCAGGCCCTGTGGCTTTACATCAAGCACAACCAGCTGCAGGATGGGCACGAGCGGGAGTACATCAACTGCAACCGTTACTTCCGCCAGGTTAGCCAGATGCCAGCCCCCGTTTTCTCAGCCCTTGCTTTGCCTTGCCTGCTGGGCTACTCCTTGGCCACAGCCTGCAGACTGCTGCCCTCACTGGTCCTGGAATGGTCCACTCCACTGTGCCCACAAGCCAACGCTGAGCCTTTCGTATTTCCTCCAGATCTTCAGTTGTGGCCGACTCCGTTTCTCCGAGATTCCCATGAAGCTGGCAGGGTTGCTGCAGCATCCAGACCCCATTGTCATCAACCATGTCATTAGGTAAATGCAAGGAGGGGGACAGGAAGGCTCTTCTAAGAGCAGATTCACCCTTGGCTTGAACTAAAGCCAAAGAAAGCATCAGGTTTCTTTTTCCCTGAGTGTGTGCAGAGAATGGGCCCCAGATTTGGCCCAGGTGGGCAGGATGAAGTCAGCTATGTGCCTTCCCTCCCCATGTGCTGCCTGCAGTGTCGACCCTAACGACCAGAAGAAGACAGCCTGTTACGACATCGATGTGGAGGTGGACGACCCACTGAAGGCCCAAATGAGCAATTTTCTGGCCTCTACCACCAATCAGCAGGAGATCGCCTCCCTTGATGTCAAGGTGGGCCCTCTGGCTCCACAGCTTCCTCTGGGGCCCAGGATTGGGGTGGGCTGGCTCTGTCCAGCATTTCCATACATGTAGCACCTGGAGGACGGGATGGGAACTCTGGCTCAGTTGCTTGCATGTAAGCTTTGGGGGCACAGTCTGACACAGGTACCCTCTCCAGATCCATGAGACCATTGAGTCCATCAACCAGCTGAAGACCCAGAGAGATTTCATGCTCAGTTTTAGCACCGACCCCCAGGACTTCATCCAGGAATGGCTCCGTTCCCAGCGCCGAGACCTCAAGGTGTAGTCCTCTTTCCCGAGGGGACTCCTATGTAAAGCTCTGGGTGATTTTTACCCACAGCAGTTCCCAGGGTGGATTAGCCCAGGGGTGGGGATTATGCTATGGCTTTCCTCCTGGCTCTTTGCAGATCATCACTGATGTGATTGGAAATCCTGAGGAGGAGAGACGAGCTGCTTTCTACCACCAGCCCTGGGCCCAGGAAGCAGTAGGCAGGCACATCTTTGCCAAGGTGAGGCTCTGCCCTGTTTTCCCTCCTTTGGCCGTGAGTAGCAAAGGCCTGAGCCACTTGGTTTCTCCCTTCTCCAGGTGCAGCAGCGAAGGCAGGAACTGGAACAGGTGCTGGGAATTCGCCTGACCTAACTGCTCAGGGATCTTTCTTCCCAGCCCTGGAGCCTGGAGGGAGACCACCCTCTGGGTCCTTGCTGGGGCCGCAGACACGTAGGCTGGGGTGAGGAGTGTCTGCTGTCACCCTCTACTCTCCAGCTTTAGTCTTATAAATGTAGTGATAGGATTCCTTGTTGCTTGGTCCCCAAAGCCTTATACTTTTTGCATTGGCTTTAATTGGGTTCAGCAGATGCCTCCTCTGCCCCCCTGCAGGCAGGCCCAAGTAGGACTGCTGGAGGCTGTGCTTTGACATTGTAAGACATTTCCGAACCAAAGGCTGCTGGGTTTGCATGTTTACAGACTCCCCCTGGGGCGAGGGTCAGAGCTGGCTCTGGGGAGCTGGGCTAGGAAGAGGAGGTGCAGCCCAGACTCTTCCTAGCCTTTCTAAACCAAAGTTCTTTGCCATTCCTACAAGCCCAGCCTTGCTGCTGGTTTTTTCCTTTCCTTTGGGTATTTGCACTATTTTGGGAGCAAGTTTTCTATGTGGGAGCCACTTTTTTTGTACAGGGGTAAGTTGGGGGTTTTCAGGGAGCCTGTTAGGTGCCTCCTTCTTTTCTTTCCTCAATCTATGCAAGCGGCTCTGGCCGCCATCATCTCCTGGGATGCCAGAGGGCTGCCTCTCCAGCGGCTTGGGCCGGGGAGGGGACACTCCAGTTCTCTAGCATGGCCTGAGGTATGGGGTATGTGCATGTGGAGGCCAGGGTAAGGTGAATGGGGAGGCTGGGAGGACTGGTGTTGCCCTTTGGAGCTTGGTGAGGAGGGTGGGCCTAGGGCTTGGCGAGTGCCACATCTGGCAGGTTTGGAAATTTCCAAATAAATCCTTTTGTCTATTGGTGGTGCCTGGACCTGGTCCTTGAACAGCACAGCCCTCATTAACAGACTGGAGTCCTAGAGGACTTGGCCCACAGAGCTTTATTGGAGAGATACACACAAAGGCTGTCCACTCACTTCCATAATTTCTTGATGGACATGTTTTTCTCACTGTCCTTCTGCATGACCTAGGGGTGGGAGAGAGAATGAACATTAAGTTACGAACACACACATGCCCTAGCCCACTGCCCCAGAGCCACCACTGGCAAAGGCACAAAGATGGAGGCCTATACCTTGGCTACTGCCATCTCAAAGTCCTCCTGAGTGACATGGACTCGCCGTTCTCGCAGGGCATACATGCCAGCTTCTGTGCACACGCCCTGAACAGGAAAAGGAAATTGAGGCCCCACTGCTGTGCCCCTCATCTGTGGCCCTTGAGCCCAGAGCTTCCTGCCTCTGCCCTGTTTTCAGTGGGTACTCCAATTACCTTCACTTCAGCCCCTGATGCTCCTGGCATGAGCTCAGCAATTTTTCTCAGGTTGATCCCCCGGGTCAGGTTCATCTTCCGAGAATGAATCTTCAAAATGTCCAGCCGGGCCTGGAGATGGCAAGGAAAAGCCTGAGCCCCACACCCCACCCCCACAGCCAGAGCCACTTTGCACAGTGTCCATCACAAACCTCCTCATTGGGGGGTGGGAATTCAATTTTTCTGTCAATGCGCCCTGGGCGAAGCAGTGCCGAGTCCAGGATATCAATCCTATTAGTAGCCATGATAACCTGAGCAGAGAAAGCAAGTGGGGATCAGCTAAACCTCTTCCTCAGCCTGCGTGGCACCCAGGCCTTCCCTGGGCCCATCCCAAGGATGCTACCACCTTACCTTGATGTTCTTGGTGGCCTCAAAGCCGTCGAGCTGGTTGAGCAACTCCAGCATCGTGCGCTGCACTTCACTGTCCCCTCCAGAACCCCCCTCCAGCCGCGAGGAGCCGATGGAGTCGATTTCGTCCATGAAGATGATAGATGGAGCATGTTCCCGTGCCATGACAAACAGCTCCCTCACCATTCTTGCCCCTGTGTGGAGGCCGAGCTGGTGTTAGGGAGCTTATTAGCTTATTAGCTCTCTAACCCCCTACCCCTACCTCTTGCTTCTCACATTGCTAGCCATGGTTACCTTCCCCTATGAATTTCTGTACCAGTTCAGAGCCAGAGACACGAATAAAGGTACAGTCCGTATGATGAGCCACAGCCCGGGCCAACAGTGTCTTCCCAGTGCCTGGAGGTCCATACAGCAGCACTCCCTACAGGGGAACAGCAGGACTCAGGGCAGAAAGCTACACCCCTCATTTCATTCAGTGAACATTTACCGAGTGCTGGGTCCCTTGCTAGATGTTAGGGATACAAAAAAAAAAAAGGAACATCAAGGTCCCTTCTATCCAAACCACCTCACCGCCCTAGGAACACTTCCCCAGCCACTCTTTTCAGGGGGAGGGCCAGCCCAAGCAAGATGCAGCCTATCCCGGTGCCTCCCCAACCCCTGCAGTAGGGCTGGCTGGGGCAGGAGGAGTAAGTACAGCTTGGCCCTCTCAGAGAAGCCCTGCTCCTCACCTTGGGCTGAGCAATGCCCAGTGCTTCGAAGAGCTCAGGATGCTTAACAGGCAGCTCGATCACTTCTTTGATCTCCTTGATCTGTTTGTCCAGTCCACCAATCATCTCATAAGTTGAATCTGGTACTTTCTCCACCATCATCAGTGACACTAATGGGTCTACCTTGTTGGGCAGGATCTTGTGCAGAGTGTAGCTGTCATTCCTTAGAGCCACCCGGCAATTGGGTGTCACCTGGGTGAAGGGGGCGAGTTTCAGAAGTGGTACAGTAAGAGCTGACCCCACCACCACCACCACCTCACCTGCTACACTCACATCATTGATGTCAATGTTTTTGTCCACGTCTACAACAAATTTACCTTCAGGATGTACCTAAAGAAACAAGGGCTCATGACCTTCCTTGACAGCCACCAAATCACTAATCCTACCCAGGAAGACCTATGAGAATCCCACAATACCTTGACAGAACACAGAACCCTGTCTCCCGAGGCTACACACAAAGGGGTGGGAATGCAGTGGAGACCGAGCTGGTCCCTGGGGTCATGCTGCTTTTACCTTGACCAACACTTTCTTCTTATCCATGGCCCGGACTACTTCCCCCACATAGGAGCCCTGCTCCTGCAGCAGCTGTAGCTCCTCCCGCAATAGGCGAACTAGATGGCAAACAGACACAGTGGTCACCTAGCTACTCCTTTGGAGTCTCCAGGACCCAATTCTACGTGCATGAGCTAAGCATCACTCTTATTAAAGGAAGGCCAAAGGTCAAAATTCATGTATTTAAGGAGGCTACAATAGGGCTCAGGAAAAAGAGATGCATGTGAAACTACTAGATGATGACAGGGAGAAAACAGTAAGCACTGCTGTGAAGACACAGTGCAGGGAGATAAGGACAGACCTCAGACAAACTGCCCACATGCGGCTTCCCATCTTTCTCCACTCACCTTTAGCATTTAGTTCGTTCCTCTGTGCCTGCAGCCTCCGGAGGTTTTGGCTCTTATCATTCACAATCAGCTGTGGCAGACAAGAGACAAATTCCATTATTCAAGGGCAGGAGACAGGAGGAGGTAGGATCTTGGCCAAGACCTCACAGGTCTGAATGAGCTGAGGGAAGGGCACAGGGCACCTGCATGTTGTTTCAGATTCTCCAGTATGATCCTAATGACCCTGCCCTGTCCTTCAAGAGTCCCTCTGGACCTTACAGCAGCCATCAAAGAAGGCTGCTTGTCCAATACTGGTCCAGGAGTAACAGAATCTAATGGAGAAAAGTTACAGCTGGCTCATGTAACACCAAATTTCTTGCAGGAAGGCAACAACACCTGGTGGAAAGATTGTTAGGTGAGAAACCTGAGTTCTAGCCCAGCCGCTGTCAATCAAAAGCAAAGTAAAGGTAAGACAATCTATTTTTAAAAATCTAGATCTGTTACCAAACGGCACATGGGTATAGCATCAGCTACCCTGCTTCAAGACTACTAAGGTGAACGAATAAAAACACATGAAAAAGCATTCAAAAATGGTAAACTAAACATAATACCTGCAAATGCACTTGGAATTCAGAATTGTCTTTTGTGGCTTTCCCCCATCCAATTTATATTACAGTTGACACTTGAACAACGCAGGGGGTTAGGGTGAAATTGAAAATCCATGGACCTGTCCAAAGTTAAACTACTAACAGCCTACCGTAACAGTATAACGTAACACTAACAGACTACTGTTTATGTTGTCTGTAAGGCTTACTACTGGAAGCCATACCTTACTGCTGGAAGCCTTACTGGTAACACAAACATTTGATTAACAACATAAACGGTCCTTTTTCTATGGTTTAGCGCTTTAGGCTAGGGCTCTGGGTTGCCCAATTTCTTTCATTCAGTCTCTATGGAATTAGCATTGTCCAGATCCCTCAATGATGCCCTTCCTCACATTCTCACTTCACCCTCACCCAACCTCTTGGTGATAAATTTCAACTCCTGAGCTTATGTTTCCCTTTTATAAGAATCCTTTTCATTCGGGCTTCTTCCAAAAGGGTTGACCTTTGGCTAGAGGTACCTTTACTATTAAGATTTGACTCGAAGATGTGTAACAAACTGTGAACACTAAGACCCTCAAAGAGATGGGACTGGAGGAGAACAAGAGATTGCTTACTTCTGATACATACACCCTACTAGCTAAGAAACAAACAAGAAAGGAGAAGCAGCAGCTTCTTCCACTGCACTCCCAAAGGAATTAGATGGATTTGTGGAAGTCCGTTTCCATCCCCCATCATCACCCTTCCTAGCTCCCTCTGGAGTCCGTCCTCACCTGGAGTTCTTCAATCTTGGACAGATAATATTGGCGGAGTCCGCTGCCTGCCTTCCCCTCCTCCAGCTCCATCTGAAGACACAGAGTGAGTCTTAAACGACAGGTTAAACATCCGAGGGGGTAAAGCCACTTGCAGGGCACTTTGAATAAGGCTTGACACCAGGTAGCTTTGCGTAGTAGAAAAAGTTTGGACTTCGGAGGCTCAGGATCTGGGTTCTAATCCCTCCCTCCCTTGGAACCCTCCATTTTCCCAGGACTAAAATAAAAGAATGGGAACGCCGCCTACCTCATACGACTTTTAGGAGGACCGAGAGGCGATATGATATAGACGGGGGGCGCTTTGCACTGCGTGAAGTGCTCTACAAGCCCGAGGTGTCAGTACTGACGAAGGAGCCAGCGGAACGGAGCCAAAGGACTGGCGTCCCGTCTCCTGCGACCCGTGGGCCGGCCATTCCCGCGCCCATCGCTTCCCTCACTCACTCCGCTTCTACCGCGTCTTCCTCTCCCAGCCTTGCCCTGACTCACCGAGGGCGGCGCTGACACAGCAGATCCGGTCGCAGGCAGCGTCCAGCATGGACTGGTCCAGGCACCTCCGACCCACCCGACGCTCCTGCCCCGGCCCGCTCTCCACTCAGATCACGCTCGCTCCGCACCCAGCCCCGTAACCTGCCGGGCCGCCACTGCACCCGCCATACCTGCTCTGGTCCGTCAAGCGCCATCTTCTCTCTTCAGCAGAGACCGCCGGCATCCGAGCCGTCTTGGCGCGCAAGCGCGGAAGCGGAGGATTGGGACCTGAAGACCAGGCAGAGAAGAATTCCGGGTCAATGGGCGGGGTGTGCGGCGAGACCACACTAAGGGAACCATGATGGGAGGGGCGGCTACTCGAGTTCAGGGGCTTTGGAAGGGGATGAGGAAGGAGTAGAACTCCTCCTCAGTGTTGCCTCATTGAAACTCTGTTTATAGTTCTTGTGATATGCCTTCCTAGTCTCAACTTTCAACTTACAAAACCCAAGGACAGAGTATTGAGAACAATCTAGGGCCACACTCAAAATGGCGGAAAACCTCGAGCCAGGGACGCAGGGGACGCAAGCGGAAGCGGAAGTAGTTAGCTGCATACTTGTGCGGTTCCAAGTGTGGAGAAAGCGGCTCTGGGTCTAGGTAGTGTGCGGAGAGGGGCGCGGGGTGGAATTGCTGCGGGAAGTGGGAAACTGGAAGTGGGAAACTGGAAGTGGAATCTGGTGCTCCGGAAAGAGACGTTCCCAACTTCTACTTTCTCCCCAGATTGAGGGATACTCCCCCTTTCCACCATGGGCAAGAAGGGCAAAGTTGGCAAGAGCCGACGAGACAAGTTTTATCACTTGGCGAAGGAGACGGGTGAGTCCGGATTCGCTCAGTCTGCGAGCGAGCGAGCGATCTCTGCCCGGTTCGCCTGCTCTTTGCGACCATTATGTACCTCTCCTGCAGAAGGGGTGGTCGGTTGCGAGGCCGGAGAAATCCTACTAGTGAAGCAGTTTGCGCACTTGGTTGTTTTGTCCAGGTTACCGTTCCCGATCTGCTTTCAAGCTGATCCAGCTCAATCGCCGCTTTCAGTTCCTGCAGAAAGCCCGAGCCTTGCTGGACCTGTGTGCTGCGCCAGGGGGATGGTTCGTAACACTCGCCACAGGTTGCTCCTGGTGGCCGCTTTCTGGGTTCTGAGCTGGGATGGCTTCCAGTTTCACTGCGGGAGGGGAACCCGAATCCCGGTCCTCTTGGGGGCCGTTTCCTTTCTTGATTGCAGAGAAAGGGCTTGGAATACGTGCCTATGATATGCTTTGGCCAGTACACGTAACACCAGGGATGAGAGATCAGTTGCCAAGAGGGGGAAAAGGATGGCTCTAGGTTTTTAAATTTCTGTTCCTTTTATAGGCTGCAGGTAGCTGCCAAGTTTATGCCTGTATCCAGCCTTATTGTGGGTGAGTAACGGACAGCTCTCCTTGGTGTTTTAAGGGGTGGGTGTATAAGGTATTTTGTCCTGTATTTCTCTCCTCCCTGCTTGAAGCAACCTTTTAGAATACTCTGACCTGATTTCTTCCAGGAGTGGACCTGGTTCCAATCAAGCCTCTCCCCAATGTGGTGACTCTCCAGCAGGACATCACAACAGAACGTTGTAGGCAGGTAATAGGAGTCTCTCTCTTCCTTCCCCCTTTATACGGAAACATCTACATCCCTGAAATCCTCTAAAGGCAAGTTTTTCCTTTTTACCGTGCTTTGAGCACGTTCTTGCCTGACATCTGTACGACAAGACCTATGGCATTCGTAGTGTCCACTCCAGGCTTTATTTAGAGTCAGGGATAAAGGTGTTTGGAATTGGGAGAAGGGCAGAGATCTTTAGTGAAGTCTTCTCCTGTGAATTCAGTGTCAGACTGTAATCTCCATGAAGGTAGAGACATACTGTTTTTGTTTACTATTGTATCTCCTGTGCCTGGTACTGCATTTGGCCCATGATGGGCACTCAGCAAATGACTAGATGGACAAATGGCTGAACCAGGGCCATTCCAGTGTTTCTGTTTCCATAGTTCCTTTTCTTCTCTTTAGGCCCTGAGGAAGGAGCTGAAGACCTGGAAGGTTGATGTTGTGCTCAATGATGGGGCCCCCAACGTTGGGGCTAGCTGGGTCCATGATGCTTACTCACAAGGTACAGGGAGTGTGGTGCTTGGAGATCAGGTGATGGTGGAGGTGGGCGCATGCCCTCCTGGGCTGCAGAGTGCGTCAACTAATTGTCTCTATCCTACAGCCCATTTGACACTGATGGCTCTACGTTTGGCTTGTGACTTTTTGGCCCGTGGTGGCAGCTTCATCACAAAGGTTTTCCGTTCTCGTGACTATCAGCCTCTGCTATGGATCTTTCAGCAGCTGTTCCGCCGTGTCCAGGCCACCAAGCCCCAAGCCTCTCGCCATGAATCTGCAGAGATCTTTGTAGTCTGCCAAGGTGGGCATCATTTCCTTTCTCTTGATCCAGGCTCCCAACTCCCAAAGCACACTTTTTAATATATCCTGTCATTTTTAGGATTCCTGGCCCCTGACAAGGTTGACAGTAAATTCTTTGACCCCAAATTTGCCTTTAAGGAGGTTGAAGTTCAGGCTAAGACCGTTACTGAATTGGTTACTAAGAAGAAGCCAAAGGTGTGTTTTGGGGAATGGGGTCACTCTTGGGTCCTGGAACTCTAGGGAGGTTGGGCCTGGTGGGTCCTACAGGTACCTTAGAAGGGCCTGACCAAGCTTCTCTCTTTTCCTTCCTAAGGCTGAAGGCTATGCTGAGGGTGACCTCACTCTCTATCACCGTACCTCAGTCACTGACTTCCTCCGAGCTGCCAACCCTGTTGACTTCCTCTCCAAGGCCAGCGAAGTGAGTCTCCAGCCTTGAGGGACATGAGGTAGCCCCAGAAACATGGCCTGAGGATCTCCCCTGACACCTTTCCATCCTCCCAAACAGATCATGGTAGATGATGAAGAGTTGGCACAGCATCCAGCTACCACTGAGGACATACGGGTGTGCTGTCAGGACATCAGAGTGTTGGGGCGCAAGGAGCTCAGGTATGGAGTGGGGTAGGCACGGGGGCCAGGAGCCCTGGAGGCAGGGAAAGGCCATGATGTTGGACCTCTGGGAAGAGGATATTGCTGTGCTAAAGGTTTGGGATGGGGGCCTGAGCCTTTTGATTTATGTAGCCGAAGCCCGAAAGGTGGGTAGTGAGCCTAAAACAGAAGGGGGCGGGGACAAAGAGGGAGATGGCAAGATCAGTAATAGTATCTCTGGGGCAGGTCGCTACTAAACTGGAGAACAAAACTTCGGCGATATGTGGCCAAGAAGCTGAAAGAACAAGCAAAGGCACTGGACATCAGGTGAGGAGAGAACGCAGCGAGGCAGGTGTGGACTGGGTGTCCAGGGGAAAAGTCTGGGAAAATAACCCAACTCTTGGGACTGTTTTGCCAGCCTCAGCTCTGGAGAGGAAGATGAAGGTGATGAGGAGGACTCAACAGCTGGAACCACAAAGCAGCCCTCTAAGGAGGAGGAGGAAGAGGAGGAGGAGGAACAACTGAACCAGACCTTGGCAGAAATGAAGGCCCAGGAGGTGGCGGAATTGAAGAGGTGAAAGGAGCTGGGGTAGAGCTTGGAGTTCCCCAACGCAGGGACTGTGTGAAGATGGGAGAAGAAAATGCAAGGCATGGATAGAAACTTTGGAGCTGGGCCGGTTTTACTCCCTCAATCCACCCCCTCAGGAAGAAAAAGAAGCTGTTGCGTGAGCAGAGAAAGCAGCGGGAGCGTGTGGAGCTGAAGATGGATCTGCCTGGGGTTTCCATTGCAGACGAGGGGGAGACTGGCATGTTCTCCTTGAGCACCATCCGGGGTCACCAGGTGAGGCGGCATTGGGGGTGCAGGTTTAGGAGACAGAAGGATCTGTTTGGGTGTTTGGAGGTGGGGGGTGTTGAATGTCTTTTTAGGTTGCCGAACGATAGGCTGTGGTTGCTGTCTTCACCACAGGGTGCCTTGGTGAGTATAAGGCCACAAAGAAACATAAACCAAAAAGGATGAGTTAGGTAGATAGATGAGTGTGATAGATTTATTTTTTTTTTTTTTGAGACGGAGTCTTGCTCTGTTGCCCAGGCTGGAGTGCAGTGGCACGATCTCGGCCCACTGCAAGCTCCACCTTCCAGGTTCACACCATTCTCCTGCCTCAGCCTCCCGAGTAGCTGGGACAACAGGCGCCTACCACCACGCCTGGCTAATTTTTTGTATTTTTAGTAGAGACGGGGTTTCACCGTGTTAGCCAGGATGGTCTCGACCTCCTGACCTCGTGATCTGCCCACCTCGGCCTCCCAAAGTGCTGGGATTACAGGCGTGAGCCACCGCGCCCGGCTGATAGATTTATTCTTGAAGAACTAGAACATCAGAAAAGAACTTAGGTTATAGTAGATGCTGCCAGGTTACTTGAGTTTCAAGCACAGATGAATAGAGGATCTCCCTCAGAGGGGAGCAGCATTCTTTAGTTCATTGAGACCAAGTGAGCACTCGCATTAGGGTACTTCCACTGAATACTGAAGAACATGTTTTTCCTGACAAAATCAGGGTCACAAACAAAATGAACTTTTGTGGCTTATGTGTGGGAGTGTCATAATCAGGTCATCTTTGTTGTACAGGAGGGCAGTAGAGCATGGTGGCCCTAGAGCAGACACAGGCTCAGGTTTCCTTCCCAGCTCTACCACCTGGAGCTTTGTGAAGTGACTGAGCTGACTACCACTTATCCTTGCTGCCTCAGTTTCCTCATCTGTAAAACAATAATAGAACCTACCTACTAGAGTTTTTGGTGAGGAATAAAAAAAGATAGGTGTAATCCCTCATATGTGATAAACACTCAAGAAATAGTAGTTGGAGTTTTTCCTTTGAGACAAGATCTTGTTTTGTCACCCAGGCTGGAGTTCAGTGGTGCCATCATGACTCACTGCAGCCTCAAACTCCTGGCATCAAGCAATCCTCCTGCCTCAGCCTCCCAAAATGCTGAGATTACAGGTGTGAGCCACCATACCCAGCCTAGTATCTTTACCATGAGGAAAATAAAAGGTTCTGACAATTGGTTTAAGTGGAACAGTTTTGTTGGATGTATGTTGGCTGGGCCCCTTTTATTCAGTGGAAACAAACTGTGTAGACGGTATTCTCAGGAGATGATTGAGATGCTGTCTGAGAATAATTTTTAAAGGAAAACCAGTGTTGTAGAATATGTTAAGATTTGGTGCTATGTGGGCTGTAGGTACCTTCCTTAAGACCTATTTGTGATACCACTGAGACAAGACAGCTGAGTGGGATAGATCAGTAACCCAGCCTAGAACGGGATGTTGTAAACAGGCCATTCACTACCCTGGATCTGAGCTTTCCCATCTGTGAAAGGATAATGGATTTGCCAGTGTTCTTTCTAGTGTTGCTGAGCATAGACTGAGGTGAGGGACACAGAAAAAAAAACAGTATATTTCCTTTTAAATAGTTTACCTTTGTTTCTGTTACACTTCAGTTATTAGAGGAAGTAACACAAGGGGATATGAGTGCAGCAGACACATTTCTGTCCGATCTGCCAAGGGATGATATCTATGTGTCAGATGTTGAGGACGACGGTGATGACACATCTCTGGATAGTGACCTGGATCCAGAGGAGCTGGCAGGAGTCAGGGGACATCAGGGTCTAAGGGACCAAAAGCGGTAAGGGGCACGTGTGCACCAAAGGGAATGCTGCCACTCTGAGGAAGTGTTAGGGTGGGTACTACCAGAGCCTGAGTAGGGCAGCAAGGGCTCCAGGCAATCTGGGTCTCTGAGCCCCCTACTTTCCTTTGGGTCTACAGTATGCGACTTACTGAAGTGCAAGATGATAAAGAGGAGGAGGAGGAGGAGAATCCACTGCTGGTACCACTGGAGGAAAAGGCAGTACTGCAGGAAGAACAAGCCAACCTGTGGTTCTCAAAGGTAAGGAGAGGCCGGGGGCAAGACTGCGGGGAGATGAGTCTTCCTTGGGAGAAGGGCAGCTGATGTTCTCCTATCACAGGGCAGCTTTGCTGGGATCGAGGACGATGCCGATGAGGCCCTGGAGATCAGTCAGGCCCAGCTGTTATTTGAGAACCGGCGGAAGGGACGGCAGCAGCAGCAGAAGCAGCAGCTGCCACAGACACCCCCTTCCTGTTTGAAGACTGAGATAATGTCTCCCCTGTACCAAGATGAAGCCCCTAAGGGAACAGAGGCTTCTTCGGGGACAGAAGCTGCCACTGGCCTTGAAGGGGAAGAAAAGGATGGCATCTCAGACAGTGATAGCAGTACTAGCAGTGAGGAAGAAGAGAGGTGAGTAGTTGCAGCTGAGAGAAGGGATGGAAAGGAAGCGGTGGCTTGAACCATTTCTCTAAATTGGGGGTTCTTAATCTTGGCTGCACATGGGGAGGGTTAAAAATACTGTACTGACGATCCTGATTTAACTGGTCTGGGGTACAGCCTGCATGGCAGGATTTTTGCAAATTCCGTGGGAGTGCGGTCTGAGTAGTACAGAGTGGTGGAATCACTCAGAGTCCTCCCCTCTTCACAGCTGGGAACCCCTCCGTGGTAAGAAGCGAAGCCGTGGGCCTAAGTCAGATGATGACGGGTTTGAGATAGTGCCTATTGAGGACCCAGGTGAGAGCTCTGTATGCAGTGGAATGAGAAAAGACCACTGGAAGTCTCAGTATTGGGAATTGAGCTTTGACCTTTCTCCTTCCCTCTCTAGCGAAACATCGGATACTGGACCCCGAAGGCCTTGCTCTAGGTGCTGTTATTGCCTCTTCCAAAAAGGCCAAGAGAGACCTCATAGATAACTCCTTCAACCGGTAAAGGGGCCATAAACTCATCAAGAGTGACCCAGGGTCTGGTGGGTAAATGGGTAATTTTTTGTTTTTGAGATGGAGTCTCGCTCTGTTGCCCAGGCTGGAGTGCAATGGCACGATCTTGGCTCACTGCAGCCTGATTCTCCTTGAATCGCTTGAGTCAGCCTTCTGAGTAGCTGGGATTACAGGTGCCAACCACCACGCCCAGCTAATTTTTGTATTTTTAGTAGAGATGGGGTTTCACCATGTTGGCCAGGCTGGTCAAACTCCTGACCTCAGGTGATCTGCCCACCTCAGCCTCCCAAAGTGCAGGGATTACAGGCGTGAGCCACCGTGCCCAGTCTGGTAATTTCTTTAGAAAGCCTGGAATGTTGGATATTAGACAGATGTCCTTTCCACTCAGGTACACATTTAATGAGGATGAGGGGGAGCTTCCGGAGTGGTTTGTGCAAGAGGAAAAGCAGCACCGGATACGACAGTTGCCTGTTGGTAAGAAGGAGGTGGAGCATTACCGGAAACGCTGGCGGGAAATCAATGCACGTCCCATCAAGAAGGTGGCTGAGGCTAAGGCTAGAAAGAAAAGGAGGGTAAGTGATGGGGCCTCCAGAGATTGGGTGGGGTGGGGGTGGGGGGATGGGGAAGAGGTCACCTGACAGGTTCCTTTGCAGATGCTGAAGAGGCTGGAGCAGACCAGGAAGAAGGCAGAAGCCGTGGTGAACACAGTGGACATCTCAGAACGAGAGAAAGTGGCACAGCTGCGAAGGTAATGGGAGGACACCACAAAGGTACACAGGGCTAAAAGTGCAGCAGAAAGCAAGCCTCTAACCTCTTCTCTTCCCCCCTGTAGTCTCTACAAGAAGGCTGGGCTTGGCAAGGAGAAACGCCATGTCACCTACGTTGTAGCCAAAAAAGGTGTGGGCCGCAAAGTGCGCCGGCCAGCTGGAGTCAGAGGTCATTTCAAGGTGGTGGACTCAAGGATGAAGAAGGACCAAAGAGCACAGCAACGTAAGGAACAAAAGAAAAAACACAAACGGAAGTAAGCAGAGCTGCCAGGCTCCCAGGAGAGCATGGGGACTAGGAGGAAGGGTGTGGCATGGCTCAGTCTGGCCCCCTTGATTACCGGCCTAGCCCCTGCTCACATCACAGCTGTCTGAAGAACAGTGAGGTGGAGTGCCTAGAACTCCCGTGGTGGTCCTGAGCAGAGAGGAGGATGTCCTCCTGCCTGCCTGAAGGTCTCCCATGAAAACACTGCTGAACTGTGTTGACACTCATGACCCTTTTTTTAAACCGTTAAAGGGAAGTTCGGTGTTGGAGCGATACTCAATGTAGTCAGTCTACACCTGGACGTGTGGGCCACTTAAGCCCTCCCCACCCCCATCCTATTCCTGAATAAAACCAGGATAATGGAAGAGTTGTCTTTTCTGACAGTTTTAATAAGCACTTCCCTATCTGTCCCTACACTGTGTGCGGCACTATTCTTAATATGTACCAATTCATAGACAGAAATGACAAACGATCCACAGGTCCCGGTAGTAAAACATTTACTAGAGAGCAAGCAGAAAGGAATGCACATCTTAAAGAAACCTTCACAAAGTCACAAAAGTCAAAGTTTGTATATTTCTTTTCCTTTTTATAAACGATAAACAAAAATCATCAAAATCATTTCAGCAAAAGACTTTTCTATCATTGGGGCAAGTTAAAAAAAATACAATGAGATAGAAGACACTTTAAAAGCTGTTGTTGGGTTTCTTGTTTAATTTTAAATTTAGCAATACCATCTCAAACCTGGAGCAATCCTGGAACAGTTACCAGGATCACCTTTTCCCTTCAATCCTTGTGGCTTCTGGGAATCTTCAGAGCCTGGGTCTGAAAGGTGTTTCCTACATGTCTCAGGGCTGGATGCAAACCTGGCTGGGGACCTGAGCATCAACTCCCATTTAGAATCAGACATCTCCCTTCCCTGCAAATGTCTACAACTACCAAATTGCTCCCCAACAGTTAGCTCAATGGATTGAATTTGCAGAAGCCAACTCCTAAAATGGGGACTGCCTGGCCATACAACTAAGAAAAAGAAGTCAATTTATAGATGCTTATAAGGTGACACCTTAGTAAAAAATATAAGCTACATACAATATAAACCTAGAGTGAGTTTTGTGCCCTAGAAGACCCTTTATCCCAAGATAACCTCAACTTACCCACATGACAACTCACCTAGAGCCAAAAGAAGCTTCCCAGCTCTCACTGCTTCCAAGGACCAAAACAGCTTCCCAAGAAAACATCCGAAAATTCCTTCTGATGAAGGGGTAATGTCTCCAAGCTCCAGCTCTCCACTAAGGGCAGGGGGTCCTTACACTTTGGACCCCAACCCAGCCCTGAGACACCTAGTTACCAAAATCTTTCTAAAAATTAAGGACAACTGATTTCACGCTTTAGCACATCCCCTCTAACTGTCCCATCGACTTTTCTTGCGTTTAGGCGGCTCTGGGACAGCAAAGCCGTCAGCTGTCTTATCTGTCTTGCTGTCCACCTTGTCCATCTTGCTGCTGTCCACTTTGGGTTCCATCTTGGGCTCCATCTTGCTCTCACGATTAAAAGCTTCTTTCCTGCTTTCCCCATTCCGACCATCATTTGCACCCCGGTTCTCCCCATGCCGGCCTGCGCTTCCTCCATGTCTGTTCTCCCCGTGCCGATGGCCATCAGTATGACGGCTGCTGCTTTCTGGATGGCGGTATCCATCTCCATGGCGACCACCATCTCCGTGACGTGGACTATCGCTATGCCGATTGCCAGTCTCTCCGTGACTGTGACGGCTGCTGCCCCGGTTCTCAGTATATCTCTCTCTTTTCCCGTTGCTGCCCCCAGTCCCTTCTCGGCTGTTATTCCCTGAAGCTGTGTTGTTGACTCCTTGGGCTCCGGCAGACGGGTAGGTCACAGGGGCACCACTGATGTTGCCAGTATTGCCAAAGCCTGGGATGCCCTTGGCGGCACTGGTGACGGGGCTGTCAGGACTGTTATGGCCCTGTTGTGCTGAGTTAGTTGGAACAGAATTCAAGCTCCCTGCACTAGTCCACCCACTTGCCCCAGCAGCAGAACTTCCAGCCTTCTGATTACTTAAACTGGCTGCAACAAAGTGACTCTTGTACTGTGACTGAAAGAGAAAGAGACATCAGGAGTAGGTAAGATAGCAAGTTCAAGAAACTTGAATATACAACTTGGCAAATGATGAGGTTTACAGAAACTCTGTGCTATCCTGGCACTGTGAGTTTAGTGTCCTGATGGCCCCACAGTATGGTCCCTTTTGTTCTTGTGCTATAAAGGAAAACTTGTGGATCTCTGTGGAGAGATGGACCCCCAGTGTTCTGAAATGTACTTTTATAGCCTGATTGGCTAGAATAAAGCATCTATGTATTTAGCACATTTATCTGCATTCAAAACCAAAAAGTTCTGAAAACTTAAAAAAAATTTTCATACTGCAATTTAAGTTTGACAGCAAAACCTGCCTTGAACTCATTCTATCGATTCACCTTAGTGTGACTATCAGTAAATTTTGCTTCAGAAGTGAGTTGGAGGTGGGTGCCTGGGAGGTGGGCAACACTTCAGGCTGTTGGGAAGGGAGGGAACACACACCCTGCTGCAGGACAACAATCCCAGGCCCCAAGTGTGACTCAAAGTAGACCAGCACAAGGGGTTCTCTAGATCAACTTGCATTTCCAACTAAGCTACTGTTAGGTTTATATTCAAAATCCAAGCAGCGTGAAGACCCTAAATCTAGCATCAAGCCTAGGCGCCCAGCTACAACCAGGAAAACTAAGCCCCTCTGTCACTGCCCAAGAGTTACTGCTGAAAGTGCTTTTAATGAAATGCTTATTTCAGACCTGGAAAGCTGCTTTCATTGCCGTTAGTCGATCTCCCATAGCTCCTGTGGAAGGCTTGTAGGCCTCATAATTGCTCATTACATTGTTATTTCCTCGATCCTAAAAAAATAAACACATCTATGAGAATGAAAAAATAAGCAGGAAAGCTCACTGCTATAGACTAGGCCTCATTATGAAAACCCTTGAAGTGGGAGCTACAAAGGAACTGGATACTTTTAGAAAGCTGCTACTGCTTTGTGAGAAAAGACACAGTGACAATCATTTAAAAATGCTTATGCCCTCAACCCAGAAATTCTATTTCTGGAAATTAACCCTATTAAACAGAAATGCAATCAGATTATGCCCAAAGTTGATCATGTATTTACATAAACACTTCCAATTAATTAAGTAAAAATTACGTTAAAGATGAAAAGGCCCTGAATAGCATATTGTGTGACTGCTCAGGCCCTGAATCAAGACCATGAAGGGTCTGAATTTCGGCTTGAACACTTGTCACTGTAACCTTAGGTGCCTCAGCATTGTTATCTGTACTAACTTCCATTCAGTTATTTTGAAGATTAACTGAGCCAAAACATCTGATTGCTTGGAATGGTCCTGGCACATATAAAGTGCTCAATAAATATTACCTATTATTATGCATCATCATCATTATTATTATAATGTGGGAACAGAGTATGTAATTACAAAGATGCCAAGTTTAATGCTCCAGAAAAGTATACTGGCAGCTTTCTTCCCTGGCTTGGAATCAAGGTGACAGAAAACAGGCAGTTAAGAAAGGCCACCAAAAGGGTACATTTGTTACCTGGTTTGTGAGAAAAACTAGCTCCCGACTTGGAAATTCCTGATCCGTTCCTGAGTTTAATGACAAGATATGGCTAGACTTTACAGTGACCCTTTGGCAACATTTACCTAGCAGCAGGCTTTAGGCCAGTGTTGAAGGGCTTATAAAACCAGACTGCTGGGCCCCAACTCCAGAGTTTCTGATTCACAAGGTCTGGGGTTGGGGATGAGTTTGCATGTGCTGCTGGTCCAGGGACCACAGTGTGAGATCACTGCTAATCTAGAATAATTTCCTGAGCAAGCCTAGTCAACCAAGTACACAAAGATGCTTCTTCAATAGAAAGTTACCATAAGAATGAGCACTGCATTGACTCAAATCAGATTAAATACAAATTCCCTTCTAGACAGGGCTTTAAACTCACTGAGGCTTTCCTGGGTAGATGAGAATATTCCTAATGACTTTCAGGACATGAGACCAACTATAAAGGCACTACTGTAGTAGTCTAGACTCACCATGTTCTCAGAGCCCAGGCCAGGCCGCTCCCTGTAGCCTAGGCCTCCTCCACCAATGTTCAGCTTTTTTCCTTTCCCTCCTTTGAATCGAGATTTCCGAAACCAGGCATTCTGCATTGAACAAAATTCAAGGTTAAGTCAAGGGAGGGAGAAAAGAACAGAAGAAGAGAACGAGGACAAAGAGGAAATTAAGTGGGAAGGGGGAACTTTTGCTTAATTTTCAGCCAGCACTACGCTAAGGGAGGAATTTTCACAGGAACCACAGATTGGTTTCTCTTTGGTAGCATAATCCACCAAATTTGAAAAGTGGCTGAGATCCTTATCTAAGGCTTCCTACAGTGCTCCCTCCCTCAAGGCTCTCCTGGAAGGGAAGTTGTTCAGGTAAGCTTCAAACCCAGAGGAGTAACTTTGGCTACTTCTAACTTCCTTGAGGAAAATGAGCTTATATTTTATTTCTCAAACCATGTATTATTGGACGTAAACATTTGGAACTTAAACAACTGGTATGTTCAGAAGCAAAGGAAAAATGCTATGTGAAGTGAGGCTTATCAGAACTGACTATAGGGACAGACTCCCAGAAAGGATGGTAGCCACACAACTGAAAATTTTATTTACCCGCAGAGCGTAAAAGTTTTCATTGAACTTGACCATTGCCACTCAACATATTTACTCACATTCTCTTAAGAATGCAGGGCGGTGGCTCACGCCTATGAATCCCAGCACTCTGGAGGCCGAGGTGGGCGGATCACTTGAGGCCAGGAGTCAAGACCAGCCTGACCAACATGGTGAAACCCCGTCCCTACTAAAAATACAAAAATTAGCCAGGCATGGTGGCACATGCCTCTAATCCCAGCTGCTTGGGAGGCTGAGGCAGGAGAACTGTTTGAACCGGAGACGCAGAGGTTGCAGTGAGCTGAGACTGCGCCACTGCACTCCAGCCTGGGTGATAGAGTGTGACTCCATCTCAGAAAAAAGAAAAAAAAAAAAAAAAAAAAAAAGCAAATGTCTCTGGGAAGGTTAAAGTTTTATCTGACAATCACATATTACCAGCAAAATAAAGTGCTTGAGAGGTAGGGCAGCAGGCTTGGACAAAGTCCTGAGCACAGAAAGCCTGAGGTACAAAAAGAAATGGAAGAAAATGCCAAAGTCAAAATGTGTCCTGTTTTAAAAGTTTATTTAGGACTAGCTCTCTGTGCTCAGGAGCAGGGGAGGAAACATTATTCTCTTCTCTCCTGCAGTGCAGGTCCTTTACTCCTAGGACCAGAAACTTGGGCACTGCCACATTGCAGCTGGGTTGTACCAGTTGTGTGAGCTGGCCTAGGCATTTGACAAACTCTTAACAGTTTCTGCTCTCAGAAAGTGTTCCGAACCCATTTGTAATTTGGGGACAGCATGGATTCAGATGACTCCAGGTTTGATTTGTTAGAATGCCTCACTTAGCTTTAGATTGGAGCACACCTGGAAGAGGGCAATCAGTGTGGTCAGAGGTCTGAGATCTCTGCAAGGAACAGTTAAGAGGCACCATACAGGCTGGGCACGGTGGCTCACGCCTGTAATCCTAGCACTTTGGGAGGTTGAGGCCGAGGCGGGCGGATCACCTGAGGTCAGGAGTTCGAGACCAGCCCGACCAACATGGCAAAACCCCATCTCTACTAAAATTACAAAAATTGGCCAGGCGTGGTGGTGGGCGCCTGTAATCACAACTGCTTGGGAGGCTAAGGCAGGAGAATTGCTTGAACCCAGGAGGCAGAGGTTGCAGTGAGCCGAGATCGTGCCATTGCACTGCAGCCTGGGCGATAGAGTGAGATTCTGTCTCAAAAAAAAAAGGTGGGGGGGCACTATACTATACACATATTGTTTTAAAGGCATCACACATTTTTAGCCTCCCAGAAGAAAAATTTTGTGGGGGAAGAGCAGTAAGGAGAATAGTAACCATCTTTGAGATTAAATTTACTCCTAAGTGTGCTATGGGGTAGAAATTACAGCGACAGATTTTAGCACAAAGGAATAGCTTTTCAAAACAGATGCTGTTGAAAGAAGAAGACCAGATAAGACTAGATGAATTTTAGTATCTCACAATTCCTATCTGTACCTCATAAGCCCCACATCCTCCTAGCCACCCAACTTTCTTGTCAAGTTTTTATGTTATCTGTTCCAGGACTGCTAAAATGTCTTGGTCTTATAACCAGGAGCAATTGAAAGTGTGCCCAGCCCCTCACCTGCATTGCCAGATCTAGGAGTTCCTTAGAAACGTGTTGATTGGCTCCTTCCAAGTTCCGGACCAGGTCACCAGCAAAATTGCTGTCCTTGGGAGTGAGTAGGGTATAGGCCACACCTTTCTCACCCGCTCTTCCTGTGCGGCCAATCCTATGCGTGTGGGTATCAATGTCTCGTGCCACATCATAGTTAATGACAGTCTTAATTGAAGGAATGTCCAGACCACGGGCTGAAATAAAAAGCAACCAAATTCTTTTATTCTTCATCTGTAGTCAGAAGATCAAAGTAACCAGAAATGCTAGTGCTAATAAGCCACATTTCCTTTATCTAGGCAAAGCGCATGGGTTTGGTGAGCTGAGATACAGGCATGTTAAGTCACCACCACAGATTCTATGATGTTAGGCCTTCTAGTGTAAGGGACTTTTATTTTTTAGAGACGGAGTCTTGCTCTGTTGCCAGACGGGAGTGCAGTGCCATGATCTCGGCTCACTGCAACCTCCGACTCCCTGGTTCAAGCAATTCTCCTGCCTCAGCTTTCCAAGTAGCTGGGATTATAGGCACGCGCCACCACACCCAGCTAATTTTTGTATTTTTAGTAGAGACGGGGTTTCACTATGTTGGCCAGGATGGTCTCGATCTCCTGACCTCAGGTGATCCGCCCGCCTCCACCTCCCAAAATGCTGGGATTACAGGTGTGAGCCACCGTGCCCGACTGGGACTTTTATCTTTTGCATCAGTAATCTGCCATGCCCTCTTCTCTTGCACTGGGAATATATATTTAAAATGTGTCATGAAGCTGAGAAGTTCTCTCCTTTCTAGGAAAAAATATCAGTGTTTAAGGGTAGTTATTAAAACTTGACAGAACAAATCCAGAAATTATATTCCAAAAACTGTTCTCATCCTGAGTTAAGTTGCCCAACTAAGCTGTGTATAGTAGATCAATGTAAGGGTAAGGTATCTACTATATTCAGACATACAATAAGGGCATTCACTGCCTTTTTTCCCAGAGTGACTTCTAGCTGCAGGGATTCTTTGATTAGAGAGAAATACTAAGTGAAAAGTGGTATCTAGAGCTCCAGACTGTGATCCCTGTGCTGAACTGCTGCTTCCTTGGGGGTTTGGGAGGGGATGGCCAGCCAGGCCAACAGTCTTTCCATCAGCCTGCTCAGATATTATAGGTCTTATGTAGTAAGACAGAGTACCCTTATAGCCTAGGAACTTAATGTTGTTGAAAAATTCATACTCTACCTGCAACATCTGTGGCCACCAGGACTGGGATGTCCTTTTTCTTAAAGTCTGAAATGACCTTGTTTCTCTCACTCTGATCCATATCCCCATGGAGCAGCCCAAGATTATGACCCTCCTGTTTAAGGTTATTCGCTAGCTCTTCAGCATTGGCTTTTTTAGTAACAAAGAGGAGGACACTCCCTGAAGAGGTAAATTCTACCAGACGCCGGGTAAGCCAGTTCCATTTACTAGGTCCAGAATGGAGAATCTCCACAATCTGTGTCACATCTTCATTTGCCTGAGAAGGAAGAAATGAAACAGATGATTGTGACATTGGAGCCACAGGGCACCTGAACAAGGACTAGGCATTATATTTCTACCTGCATCGAGAAGACCTTGAACAATCCCAGTTCTCCTTGGGCCTTCAGCAAGTCAAGTGCAGCTCAAAACTCACCTCTCCTTTCCAATCACCTTGCTCTCCACCTGGTGTACATACCTAATTTGTATGCCCCACTACTTTGTAGAGCTTTCCTTAACAATAACCATGGCAAGCAACTGAAGGATTCTCTAAGCAGCCATAACTGAATTCCAAGTCCCAATTCAGAGTAATTTTTCACATAGCGCATATGTACAGGTAAGAAATGAAACCTGATTTTTTCCAGGCCTTCCAGGTCACCCTTTCCCTCCTGCGTAGGCCCCTACCACAATAATTAAAACGTCAGTTCCAACCTAATACGCTGATGCTTCCAGGCACATCTTTTTGTCTCTTTGAAGCCTTTTTAAAACAATTGTAAGTTTTGAGACATTCAATAAAACAAAAAAAACACAAAATGAACAAAATCAACTCATACCCATCACCTAGCTTCAATGATTCCCAACATTTTGCCAGTCTTGTTACGTCTATCCCCACAACTTGCAAAATACCCAATCTCAAGCATGTTGCATCTATAAACATAACATCTTTTTTTTTTATCTCAATAGTGAGAAATTAATTCTGTGTTCCATAATATGAGAAATAAACCCATTAAGGTCCCATCCAGCCCTGCTTAGGGTTACCTCTCCAATATCTCCCTGCACCACTCGAATAGGGTCGATCAGGATGTCTCTGGCCAACTTTTCAATCTTCTTCCGAAAAGTTGCACTAAATAAGAGAGCTAAAAGGTAAGATAAATTCTGTTAGAGAAACAATATGATATCTTTATGCATACCCATTAAGCTTCTTTGGCATTCAGGATTATTCAGTTTTTTTACATAAGCTCACCTGAACTTTAAATTTAGTTTAGAAACTGATTCACTAGGGAAAGATTTGCTCTTATTCTATTTTTATTACATTTTTAGTTAAGACAAGTTGTCAGTATGGTTCAGAAAAAGACTCTTGATTTCAAATCAGCAGATCTGTACTGTACACTGCTTCTACCCACTGATAAAACTGTATAATTTAGGGCAGTTTATTTAATTTCTGATCCTTGGTTTTATCATCTATAAAAAGGAACAAGTTATATCTAGTGCTAAGATCCTGTCCAGCTCAGATAAACTCATTACCTCCCTTATTATGGTTCTCACCAACAGACACAAGATCATTTTTACTTCCATAACTCTGAGTGCTTATAAAATAAATAAGTGCCCTTTTTAGTACAAATTTGGTTTAACAAAGGTGCTTCATACATACTCTGCCTGTCAGGACGAACATGACTTGCTATGGATCGAACTTGGTACTCTGCAAGAAACAGAACAATAAAATTATTATAACCTGAAATACAGTTTGGGAAGCCTGGAAAAAGCCATATTAGTAAAAGTCTTCATAAGAAGTTGTAAGAATTAAGAAAATTAGAAACCCCAGGCCAGGCACAGTGGCTCATGCCTGTAATCCTAGCACTTTCGGAGGCCGAAGCAGGCGGATCACTTGAGGTCAGGAGTTCGCAGCCTGGTCAACACAGCTATCTCTACTAAAAATACCAAAAAAAAAAAAAAAAAAAAATAGCCAGGCTGTGGGGTAGGTGCCTATCACCCCAACTACTCAGGAGGCTGAGGCAGAAGAATCGCTTGAAACTGGAAGGAGGAAGTTGCAGTGAGATCGCACCGCTGCACTGCAGCCTGGGCAACAAAAGCAAAACTCTGTCTCAAGAAAAAAGAAGCTCCTAAACATATCATTCAGCATAAAAGTGAAAAATTTTCCCTCCATCCAACTGGGCTAGGTCTAGCAGTGTTCCAATCAGTAAAGACAGCTACGAGGATAGGAAAGCAAAGGGCCTCGAATGATCTGACATTCATCTACCCAAGAACACAGACCTTAACCTCTATGATCAAAGGCATATGGATAAAAATGAAGACAGAGAAAATATTCCCCTTATATACAAAGGCACTTTGAAATTTCCTCAACCCAATAAAACCTAACATACTTTTCCAGAGAAAACTCCTAAAAATGTTCATCTTAGCTATATTTCTATAGTCTAACCCCATCCAGGAGTATTTTTAGCTTCTCTCATGCTGAAAAAACAGTCTAGAAAGACATGGAAAAAAAACTAGTATCATGAGGATGGGGACAGAAGAAACTGGTATTCAAGGCATACCAAATCCCATGTCAAACATTCGATCTGCTTCATCAAACACAAGGTAAGAGACTCTTTGAAGATTGGTAGCTTTCTTTTTCACATGATCTATCAGTCGACCCTATAAGATCAACAAAATGAACAGTAAGTATAATTAAAGGCATTCACAGGGACTTTCTAAGCAGTTGCACTCCTGGCAAAAGTGCTAATTCTCTAGTCTCAGACTGTAATAGATACTGGTCCAACAGCCACATACCTTATGCACTACTTAGCTCAAAGGAACAGAAATTTTGAAAACTCAATCGGCATCTTCATTTACACTGTGATTTAAATTCTGTGGGAAAGTGGCCAGAAGCAGTTTTTGAGGCATTCTAAAGTGACCTGATTTAAAGCATAATGACAGGTTTCAATGTTTAAACTACACTCTTCTAGGCTATTCTGACCATATGTATCTTTCTGATTCTTGATGAACTTGGCAATCATTTTGTGGGAGAGTATAAGAAAAACTATTTGACATAGAGGGGAATTTGTAGCTACTAGCCTATATGTCACAGAGACTCTCACTGAACTGCTAATTTAGCCACCAATCAAAATTAAAACCACAGCCTGCCGTTCATCAGTATATTTTCAACCCTGCTTTTACCACACTTTAGGGGAAATTCTCTGCAAAACTAATCATGTTTTCCATACCGAGGGAGGCTGAGAAGCCATTTAAACACAAGGCATACTTACTGGGGTACACACAACAATCTCTGCCCCCTCCTGAAGGGCCTTGGCCTGCTCCCACATACTCCCTCCTCCATATACGGCCACTGATCGAAGATTATATGCTTTTCCAAACCGCTTACATTCTGCATGGATCTACAAAGTTGTGAATAATATATTAACAAACTGTGACACTAACAAATACCTGTCACAACCCAAACGAAGTTCTGAAAAACAGAATGTGATGTCATAAAAAATCGAAACCTAGAACATACTTTAAAACCACGATTTTATTCATAAAGGTATAAATGAATGGAATACCATTATTGCATCTCAACAGATTATCTAAAATCTTTTATTCATTTTACCCCCTTCTCTTCCTGATCCTGTCACTGCTTTTCTACCAAGATAAAATGAACTCATCCTACAGAAAAACTGTCAGCTTATAATACAAACAATCCCCATATCACAATAGGCTTTTCCTCTTAAAAAAAGTAGTTCTGGCCGGGCACAGTGGCTCACACCTGTAATCCCAGCACTGTGGGAGGCCAAGGCAAGCAGATCACTTGAGGTCAGGAGTTTGAGACCAGCCTGGCCAACATGGTGAAACCCCGTCTCTACTAAAAATAAAAAAATTAGCCAGGTGTGGTGGCGTGTGCCCGTGATCCCAGCCTCTCGGCTGAGGCAGGAGAATTGCTTGAAACTGGGAGGTGGAGGTTGCAGTGAGCTGAGATCACACCACTGCACTCCAGCCTGGGCAAAAGAGTGAGACTCTGTCTCAAAAAAAGCAAATAAATAAAAATAAATAAAAACAGTAGTTTTTAGGGGAAAATATGTATTTGGTTATATAGAAAATATTTAACACATAATACTTTCCAAAAGTTTCCTGGTAGCACAACACTGTGAATATACTTAATGCCACTGAACTGTACATTAAAAATGGTTAAGATAATCAATTTTGTGTGTATCTTATCACAATTAAAAAAAAAAGTTTCCTGGTCATTCTACCTCACTTGACTGGCTGGTCCCTTGCTAGTCCACATATGGAAGGAGGCATTCTATAGAAAGCACATACCTGCTGGCAAAGCTCCCTGGTAGGACACACAATCACTGCAATTGGTCCATCACCTGGTTCCAACTCCTTCTGGTCCATTATATGAATCAACATGGGCCAAATGAAGGCTGCAGTTTTCCCACTACCTGTTTTGGCAATACCAATCATGTCTCTACCACTTAATGCCACAGGCACACCCTGGAGAAAAAGTAAAATATAACCACTCTAAAATTTCAATTCTAAAGATGTACTGAAGCAAATCCTGGGGAATGATAAATGACTACTAACATTTTTATTTGCAATGGAACAAAACATACCTGGTGCTATGCATACTGGTTGTGAAATAGAAATATCAATATCCAACATTCTCATTAACTTCTTGATTTATAGGAAATGACATCATTCTCATTACGTGGATATCAGCCACCACTTACAGAACAGAAACAACTCCATTTTGTTTAAAATACAGAAATGAAAAATCAAGGCCGGGCAGTGGCTCACGCCTGTAATCCCAGCACTTTGGGAGGCCGAGGTGGGCAGGTTCCCTGAGCTCAGGAGCTCGAGACCAGCCTGGGCAACACGGTGAAACCCTATCTCAACTAAAATACAAAAAATTAGCCAGGTGTGCTGGCGTGCGCCTGTAATCCCACCTACTTGGGAGGCCGAGGCAGGAGAATTGCTTGAACCTGGGAGGCAGAGATTGCAGTGAGCCAAGATCGCGCCACTGCACTCCAGCTTGGACAACAGAGTGAGACTCTGTCCCCAAAAAAAACAAAAACAAAAACAAAACAGAAAAATTGCAATTTATAATGAAGGGTTGCTAAAATTTTAAAAATTTTCCCCCCTTAAGAAGGTACAGACTATCTCATTCATATACAGAAAATGAGAATGTTCTGCATAAGAATAAATAAATCCCATATATAAATGGGAAAAAGAAGCTAAAACTTTCAGTAATGAATGAGAATTTTCAAGTGACGAACGAAGGAATTCTAGTCATTGACAGTGCTAAATTTGTCTATATACGAACCTTTTTGGTTAGGTTTAGGCCTAATAAATTATTTTCTTCATATCATATTTTCAACATACGTATCAGATACAAAAGAATATTTGTCAGCCATTTAGTGACTTCTTAAGAGTGATAAATACCTCTATCCTTATCAACAAGGTTCTACACTAAACACTGTTTTACTGCTGTGATTTGTTTTTAAATTAATATAGTCATGAAAGACTACCCTACTTTATTTTTCTTTCATTATGTTTTACTTACCTGGCACTGTATTGGAGTGGGCTGTGTGTATTCAGATTTCCGAATCTGGTGCATAAGTTGTTCGTCAAACCCAAAATGAGCAAAGCTACTTCCTGGTCTAGGAGGTGCAGCACCAGAGACCTAGAGATAGAGACAACTCCCCAGAATGACTTGTACTTCAACATTAACAGCATTTGAAGTTCAACAATACTTACCTGGATCTAGCATTTTAGCTGGAGTATGAAGTAAAAATACAAGTCTGTAAGCCAAAATCATACAATGAAAAGGAAAAACCTCAAATGGTAACAAATATAAACCTCATATTAAAAACTCCATGATAAATATTCCCAAGATAATTGTCATACAATTTTAAATGATTAAAAATTTCTTAACTCAAAATTAATTTTCTCATAACAAATAAAACGGAAAAAAAATTGTTCAATGAATTGGGAAGCCATAACTGTTCTTTTGCCATTTTGCATTAAGTATTAACCAGATGGTAGAAAAAAATTAATGTATCTTACTCTTGAAATGAAAATTCCAAGTGGGCTCCAAATAAGACAAGTCTACACATGCTGGCTACCAAGATATAATCTACTGCCTCCATTTTCAGTTATGCTTGATGAATTAAAGTCTCACTTAGTGATGGTCCAGCCACTGTCAAGCCCTGTTCAAACTGCACCTAGGTGAAGAATGGGGCTTATAATCTCCATTTTGTCCCCCAAAGTGGTAACCTTTCAATGCTTCTCTGGTGATGTTGATATTTCCAATCAGGATTTCAGGGGTTTTACTTAAAATTTTTCTTGGGTCACTGGGGAGATGAGTAACCTCTTGGAAAACAGACAAGTGTACACACACAAATACACACCCCTCCTGGAAAACAGGAGTTTAAACATCGTGTAGCAACTGATAAGGTGCACACAGGCGAGAAAGTTGTCTATATTAGAGTAGATAGCATAGCATATTTTTTCTGTGTGTTTCATTTACCATCTATCAGCACCTTAAACCAATGTAGCCAATGTGCAGCCCAAAACTTTCTGGTAGGCAGTTTAAACCATTCTGAAATTAGTACATGCATATTTTTAAAAGGTATTAGTTTATTCTAATTTTTAAAATAAAGCATACTATATGTAATTTGACAGACAAGTTTATCTTCATTTCAAAATATTCTAAGATATCATCTGTTAACATCTATTCCTTTTGTTTCCTCTTCCTTTAGATGGGGACTCCCACCCTTCATCACTAGCCCATCCAGCACAGAACATATAAAACTGACTGAAATATGAAACAAGAAAATGATCCTATCCTAAAACAGCATCTAGAAGACTAAAACAATCAAATTAAGAGACATGAACAGAAGGGATATAATAATTACTCTGGCAAAGACAGTTCAGAGACCATTAGAAAAGAAATTCAAGGTTATTAGTTTAGATAACCAATAATACTAAATCTGGACTAATTAACATTAATATTAAGAATATTGAGCTTAATGATGCTTACCCGAAGATTGAGCTTATGCCGGAGATCTATTAACTGCTGTGGAGTGAGGTTGGTTATCTCTTCATGCTCATTGTAAAAGTTTTTTTCAAATGGTGGATAGTCAATCTGCAGGTCCAATTATTCAAAGTTAGTCTAGAATTCAAGAGTCAATTCTGTAAGTTTGATTTTATTGCAAAATAATCTTTTCCAAATTTTACACAAGTAAAGCCATTCCAGCTAGAGAAAGCAAAAAAATTAATTTATTCTCAGCTTAGATCCTAAAAAGTATAGCTAGTTTGTTTTCTGTTCCTATTTTCAATATAAACACCAACCTACTTCTTTTATTGGTTGAGACAGTTTCGCTCTGTCACCCAGGCTGTAGTGCAGTGGTGCGATCCTGGCTCACTGCAGCCTCCACCTCCCCGGTTCAAACAATTCTCACGCCACCTCAGCCTCCCAAGTAGCTGGGATTACAGGCATGAGCCACTGTGCCTAGCCTAACACCAACCTACTTCCTAAAGAGACTCTTAAGGAAACCTCGAATTTGAACAACATTGAAGCAGACTAAGGAATCTCTCTATAATGCCAAAGACCTCAGAGGACAGAGAAGATATTTCACCATATAACATTTAAATATGTTTTGAATAAAGCTGTTTAACCTAGCTCTAAGCATTTAAAAACACTCCTAATATTTATTTTGGAGATAGCTCTGCTTTTAGAGGGAGTTCTATTCTGTTTAAAAACATGGAGTTGTTTATAACTTTTAAAAAATGTATGGCCAAGAATTTCCAATTCCAGAAAGTAGTAGTCACTTCTATTATTCTTTTCATAGCTTAGTGTAGTAGGTATACAAAACATAAGCACATCACCACCTATCAATTTGGCTAAATTATTTTTTATAAACTATTTTTTTTTTCAGAGACAGGGTCTTGCTATGTTGCCCAGGCTAGACTCAAACTCCTGGGCTCAAGTGATTCTCCTGCCTCAGCCTCTCCAGTAGCTGGGACTCCAAGCATGCACCACCATGCCTGGTTCTTAAACTTATTTTTTAAGAAAAATATAAGCATTCTATAGGTAGTTAAAAAAAAAAATCATAGTTCTGGATACATAAAAAAAATTGGAAGAAGAGTGACACTATTGTATTTTCACAAATCTCTTTATTAATGTCGACTTAAATAGCTCCTACTATATTCAAATTATTGCAATAGGTTGGTTTTATTTAAGCCTATAAGAAATTCTTGCCTCCAGGCCTGGAGCAGTGGCTCATACCCGTAATCCCAGCACTTTGGGAGGCTGAGGCCGATGGATCACTTGAGGTCAGGAGTTCAAGACCAGCCTGGCCAACATGGTGAAAGCCCGTCTCTACCAAAAATACAAAAATTAGCCGGGCGTAGTGGCACACACCTGTAGTCCCAGCTACTCGGGAGGCTGAGGCAGGAGAATCTCTTGAACCCGGGAGGAGGAGGAGGTTGCAGTGAGCCAAGGTTGCGTCACTGCACTCCAGCCTGGGCGACAGAGCAGGACTCCATCTCAAAAAAAGAAAAAAAAGCAAAGGAAAAATACGTAGTTGAAAAAGAGAGGACAGTATTTTAGTAGCCTTTTCAGATACCTTTTTTTTTTTTTTTTTTTGAGATGGAGTCTTGCTCTGTCTCCCAGGCTGGAGTGCAGTGGCACAACCTCAGCTCACTGCAACCTCCTCCTCCAAGGTTTAAGTGATTCCCCTGCCTCAGCCTCCTGAGTAACTGGGATTACTGATGCCTGCCACCAATCCCAAAGACGGGGGTTTCACCATGTTGGCCAGGCTGGTCTCAAACTCCTGCCCTCAAGTGATCTGCCCACCTTGGCCTCCCAAAGTGCTGGAATTACAGGCATGAGCCACCGCACCCAGCCCTTTTCAGATACTTTTTATTTTACACTAAAACTTGACAAGTGGTCATTTCCTAAAAGTTATTTTCATTGTGTAATCTGAAACCATATTACTGAAGTTTTCACACTCTGTTACATTATAATCCATTTATTTATCATGTATTTTGAGTTGAGCTTTTATTCATGCTTGACTTTGTAATGTCATACATTGATCATTTGGAAAATATTGGTTCACTGAGGTTATATACAGATCATCCAAATGTTAACACATTTCATTATATTAAAAATCAGTTACTAATATCACCATCAATTTTGTCACAATGGTCTTTAAGTACTGAAAAGCTGTCAAGCCTACTGTGGTAGATGTAAGTTTTCCAAATTCTAATTTTTGCTTGAAAGCTTGAATTTTTTTTTTTTTTTGAGATGGAGTGTTGTTCTTATTGCCCAGGCTGGAGTGCAATGGCATGATCTCGGCTCACTGCAACCTCCGCCTCCTGGATTTGAGTGACTCTCCTGCCTCACTCTCCCGAGTAGCTGGGATTACAGGCATGCACCACCATGCCTGGCTAATTCTGTATTTTTAGTAGAGATGGGGTTTCTCCATGTTGGTCAGGCTGGTCTCAAACTGCTGACCTCAGGTGATCCACCCGCCTCGGCCTCCCAAAGTGCTGGGATTACAGGCATGAGCCACCATACCCAGCCTGAATTTTGTTATTAAAAAACAAAATTTAGATGGAGTTTCACCAAGTTGCCCAGGCTTATCTCAAATTCCTGAGCTCAAGCGATCTACCCGCCTCAGCCTCCCAAAGTGTTGAAATTACAGGCGTGAGCCATTGCGTCTGGCCGAAAGCTTGAATGTCTATCATGGGTAATAAACACTTTCAATTGTTTTCCTTGAAATGTCATTGATTTTGTCCAGTGAAAGTGGTGTTCTATGAAAAAAAGTAGCTAGTTCACCTTACAACTCAAACACATAAGTGCTTTTCCTTGAAATGGCTATCATATTTTGGTATGCAACAGAAATGCTTTATGCGTACTTCCCATTTTATCACACAGAATAAAAAGACATGTAGCTCAAGGGTCACGACTTTAATAATTTTTACTGTTCAGGGCATTCTTGAGTGAAACTGGCCTTTTTTTTTCTTTTTAACTGCAATGGTCTGAGAACAGAGAATACGCCTACTAGAACAGTTTGGTGCCACTGGCTTGATTCATGCTAAGGCATCAGCAGTTTTACTTATCACTGCTTTTACACCAACAATGTAAATGTTGATGCAGTAACAAAGGAAAACAATCTTGGTATAATGAAAAGTGTTTGGACTCTGTAGGCTCCCTGAAAGGGGTTCTTGGTCCACACTGAGAACCACTGCTCCAGATCTAGAATCATTAGTGTATGTGAGATCTCGGCTGATATTTAACCTGGATGAAACACTGATATTTTTTCAAGTGGGTATACCGATGTCCTCATTCCTTAAGGATCCTGTAATTACTGGCTCCACTGTGAAGAAACAGCCTCTCATCTGCCCCAGATCTAGGACCAACAGTAAAAATTTATAGCAATTAAAAAAACAAATGTGACCGGATGCAGTGGCTCACATCTGTAATCCCAGCACTTTGGGAGACCAAGGTGGGTGGATCACTTGGGGTCAGGAGTTCGAGACCAGCCTGGCCAACGTGGTAAAATCCCATCTCTACTAAAAATGAACCTGGGAAGCAGAGGCTGCAGTAAGCCAAGATTGCGCCACTGCACTCCAGCCTGGGCAATAGAGCAAGACTTCGTCTGGAAAAAAAATAAACAAAAAAATAAAGGCATGCCAGGTACAGTGGTGTGCACCTGTAGTCCCAGCTACTCAGGAGGCTGAAGTGAAAGGATCACTTGAGCCAGGGGATTTGGGGCCAGTCTGGGCAATATAGCAACAACAACAAAAACAGTAAACACAGGCCAAAACGTTCCCAGTTTGAAAGAAAGATGTCAAGGCTGGGTGCGGTGGCTCACGCCTGTAATCCCAGCGCTTTGGGAGGCCGAGGCAGGGGGATCACCTGAGGTCAGGAGCTCAAGACCAGCCTGGCCAACATGGCAAAACCCCATCTCTACCAAAAATATTTAAAAAAAATTAGCCAGGCATGGTAGTGGGCACCTGTAATCCCAGTTACCCAGGAGGCTGAGGCAGGCAGAATTGCTTGAACCCAGGAGTCAGCGTTGCAGAGAGCCAAGACTGTGCCACTGCACTCCAGCCTGGGTGACAGAGAGACAGAGAGAGAGAGAAAAAGAAGAAAGAAAATAAAAGAGAAGAAAGAGAAGAGAAGAAAGAAAGAAGAAAGAGAGGAAAAAAAGGAAAGAGAAAGGGAGAAAGAAAGAAGAAAAGAAAAAGAAAGAAAGGAAGGAAGGAAAGAAAAGAAAGAAAGGAAGGAAGGAAAGAAAAGAAAGAAAGAGAAAGAAAGAAAAGAAAGAAATATTGGTTCTGGAAAACAAGTACAATTACTTGAAAAAAATGTTTTAATTCTAAAGTCAAATGTAAGTGATTTGGTTATACTTTTGAACAAAACAGGCTATAAAGCCTCATGGAATTTGTGGCTCAACCACTTAGTAGAGATGACAAGATGCATACGCTCATGATGTAAGAGTATTCCACTACTGAGAAAATCTAAATGTTAAAGCTGAAGTAAAGCATCAGCTTGAAACAAGAGTAAAATTCAGCAAGAAACACCATACCTCTGAATGATCAATGGGGGGAAGAGGATCAATGATTTTTTTGGTAGGTGCAATTGGATTTCCGTCACTATCATATTCTAGATTGTCTTCCTCTTCCTCCTGAACCACACCAGCAGTTGGGTTTTCTGCCATGTATCGAAAATAAGCTTCCTGCAGGAAAGCACAAGAACATAATCACACCCAAGTACAATTGAGAATGTTTCTGCTCCTGTAATTAGCGCACATAGTGTACCAGATAATTGCACAGTTAACATACCTACCAAGTAAGGCAAGATCCTTACTAGCAATGATTCCTTTAATAATAGCAATATTCAGAAGAACAATCAGAAGAAATGAATTAAACAGTTAGTACTATTAAATGTTGCAACTTGTTTAATAGAAGACTTACAAATCTGTCTGTTCCACAGCCTTCCTGGAGTGGGGTGTCTATCAACCCTGCCCAGAGCCATAGAACACATGCTGTGGCTTTAACAATCCAAGTTTGGAAGTTAACGCTAATTAGAAAGGTCACAAACCTGGAAACGGCTACCACTCACTCTGATTCTCATCACTCCACAACTGAACAATGGGGGAAAAGAGACTAATGGACAGTAATTAATGTTCCAGCTTGAAATACAAGAACCACAAACAGGACACTTACTAAGAGACAGAGGTTAGATGTTACCAGAGGCCATCAATAGATCCCACACTACTCTACCACTTGATTTATCAGAATAAACATTAATTTTGGATTTAAAAAGAAGCAAGCTGAATAAAGCTCGTATTTGCTTTGGATGTCACAGTTGATCAAAAATTCCATCTTCAATATGGGGGAAAGCCATGTGAATCTATGTATTACCAATTGGTCACACAGGTACAAAAGGAGCAAATCAAATGACATTCCCTGCTGAATGTCAGGAATGGCCATTTTGAGTGAAGGCAAGCTCTAGCTTGTCCCCAGTATAGACTTTGTGGATAAAAATAAAAGATAGAAATACTGCATAGGAACTCACTTGGTCATCTTCCTCTTCAATGTCATCTCGAATACCCCTGGAAAAACAAGCGGAGAAACAAACTTCCCTGCAAATGTTCCACATACCCAGCTCCATACTTACAGCAGATTAGTGTTGAATTCCACACAGCACAGGAACTCTCAACACTAATAATAACAAAGCAGCAATGAGCACACTATAAACTATCCACCCCATTATATATATGTGTAGCTGCACTCTATAATCTGCAGTTTGCATTTCTTTTAAATGGGATGATATGATACCCCTAGAAACAGCGGTTACCAACAAGGATATCAGACGTAAAAACTTTCTGAAGACAGATACCAAATGGTCCTAGTTTTGTGAATCCATACAACAAACAATGCGGTTGTGAAAAGTATTTCATACTAAAAAGAAAAAAAAAATCTTGTATTTGGCATATACTAGAAAGGTCACAACCTTCTTATTGTCCCCAAAGTTTCTAGCTCTAGGGTAAATGGTTTTCAGCCAAAAGCAGTTACCTTAGGGATGGGGACAGAGTGAAAACTACATTAACTCCTTTATGAGTTTGGGAATAAAACGCTTAAACAGTTCACATGGAGAAGGGGACCATCACCACTTGCTGTATGTCTCAGGAGCTATAGAGAAAATATGGTTGCTTAGTTCCCACAACCATCTGTTTCTAATCAGACTTTCTGCCTAACCTAGAGCGCTTGCTATTCCTAAGGCAACCGGCAAGCAACACCACCAGTGCAGGGCAGGTGGAAGGGGATATGACATACAGTGAATACCAAAACCACAGCTAAATCTCCATATGGAACAGAAACCCTGGTAAAGGACTGAAGCACTGACTGCCAAGCACAGGGAGAAAAAAGTCCAATCATGACTGGCAGAAAAAGCCTTAGGAGTTTATTCATCAAGGCAAAGAGACTTCTCTTTCCCAGAAAATAAAGTACTTCAAGTTCTGACTATGGCTGCTACAGCACAATGTCACTCTGGAGCTAAATAAAATTAGGTATTATTACAGCCCTCCTTATACACAGGTTTTTATACTGTGAATATTATTTTTCCACCTGTGTTGGTTGAAAAAAATCCCCATGAGTGGACTCACGCAGTTCAAACCTGTGTTGTTCAAAGGTTCAACTATACATAGTTTTCATGATACAGTTGCCATTACTTCTCATAATCAACCATATAGGCATAAACCTATTTTATATTAATTATGCGACAAACTCAGAACAATGAGCCTAAACTTTAATAATTATGCTCCCCTAAACTCTACTATAATTCATTCCTTGTGTTTACTAAACAACTATTTATAGTCAAAGACCAAATACTATTCTACCAAACTGAATGCTTTTTAATTATTGCAAATGCAAAGACTGTTGCCATCTCTATTCTTAAAGTATTCAAGATACAGGAATAACTTCAAGTAAAGTACACAAGTGTACGTCAATATTTTTTCTCTATAAACTTTGGGGGAATAGACTTTGCAATACTTCAGCAGTTTTCACGTAACCTTTGTGAGGGAGAAGAAAACAACTTACTTTACGTTTTTTCTTTCCTTGTCCTTTTCTTCAAGCCTCTTCATGTCTCTAGCTGCCTGATCCTAATGAAACAAAAGGCTGTATAGAATGACATCAACTAAAAACACTGAAAGAAACAATTTTTAGATTGGAACAAGTGCCATAATAGCTTTAGCTATGTATTTGACAAGTGCATTTTGATGCCATCAAATTGCATTTTGACAATTATTTTTCAAAGAGAAATAACTAAATGCTGTATAAATTGGCTGTATATGGACTGCACAATTTTATCTGTAATAATGTGCCACACATGGAAAAATGAACAAAAATGCTTGCTTCACAAATACATAACCTTAAGTTGCTTTAAGTTAATGATAAAATTACAGATATAAAGTGCTTTCAATTCAGGCAGATAGGCCTTCCTCAAAGTATAGCTTAAGACCACATACATCTGACTCTGGAAAGGTTGCTCTCAATCTGGGACAATTTTGCCCCTAGGCAACATCTGGCAATGTCTGGAGACATTTTTAATTTTGGGGGTGGTACAGCTGATAGTACTGGTTTCTAGAGGCGGAGGATGGCTACTAAACATTCTACAATACACAGGAAAGCCCCACAACAAATAATTATCCAGCGCCAAATGACAGTAGTCTCAAGGCTGAAAATTCTGTTCTACATCTACTAAATCAGAATCCTTGGGGCTGGAGTGAGTTAAATGTGTGTAGTTTTTACATTTTTCATAGGCAATTCTTTTTTTTTTTTTTTTTTGAGATGGAGTTTCGCTCTCGTTGCCCAGGCTGGAGTGCAATGGCACCATCTTGGCTCACCACAACCTCCTCCTCCCAGGTTCAAGCGATTCTCCTGCCTCAGCCTCCTGAGTAAGCTGGGATTACAGGTATGAGCCACCACATCCAGCTAATTTTGTATTTTTAGTAGAGACGGGGTTTCTCCATGTTGGTCAGGCTGGTCTCGAGCTCGTGACCTCAGGTGATCCACCGCGCCCGGCCTAGGCAATTTTTATATACTGCAAATTGATGATCACTGATCAAAATTAATCATTTGCATTATACATTTGAAAATCAAGGTCAGAAGAGTTAAATGATTTTTCCCAAGGCTTTATACACATTCTGCACAACTTTTTCTCACTATAAAGCACCGTGAGTTTTTCTGGCAATCTCAGATTTTTAAAAATGCCACTATATATACTGTGGCATGATCGGGTGTTCTATCAAACCAAATGTTCCTGATGAAGAGAAATTGTTTTAAAGAGAAGCAATGCATACAAACAACCTACTTTTCGGAGGACTGAACCAGCTATAAGATATATTTAAGACTATAAACTGAAGATGACATAAGCAATGTAACATAAGAAACAGGTCACCAAAAGTGGTAGAACATATTGTTTAAGCCTACATAAATCCTTTTTCAGAACACTGGCTAAAAATAAATCTTCATCTAGTTCAAGCACTAGAAAAGTTTATACTTTCTATAAAATTTGACATCTGGGCCGGGTGCGGTGGCTCACGCCCGTAATCCCAGCACCTTGGGAGGCCAAGGCGGGCAGATCACCTGAGGTCAGGAGTTCGAGGGCAGCCTGACCAATATGGAGAAACCCTGTCTCTACTAAAAATACAAAATTAGCCAAGCATGGTGGCACATGCCTGTAATCTCAGCTACTCGGGAAGCTGAGGCAGGAGAATCGCTTGAACCCGGGACCCGGGAGGCAGAGGTTGTGGTGAGCTGAGACTGAGCCATTGCATTCCAGCCTGGGCAACAAGGGTGAAGCTCCATTCCTCCCTCCAAAAAGAAAAAAGGCCAAGCAAAAGAATTTAGCCTATTCTCGGATACTGTCACTCAGAAAGGGCTATGCCAGTTTGTACTACCATAAATCTACATTTAAACCCAGAAAATCAGAGCTAATTTTTCTTTTAATTCATCACTAGGGATCCCTCAAGAAATAACGAGACCAGATTCTCTAGGAAACATAGCCCATTAGGAAATGTTCGTATCTCAAGAAGATGAAGAAAACAACGCATACAAGACATCTCAAAGATGACAATTCATTTATTGCCTTTACTCCTAGGGTAAATCACTTAACATATTAACTAAATACCTACTATGCTGCAAGACACACGTATACCCTGAATAGTCTGGGTGTTTGGTAAGTATCCTGTATAGTTTGTAAGTGGCAGAAATACACAACACTATAAGAACTCAGATACAGAATGATACTGCATAAGGAATATGGGGTTTGGAGGTGAATTTTGGCTCTGCCACCTATTAGGTGTATATTCTTCAGTAAGTAACTTAAGTTGTTATAAATCAAAGATGGCAAATTCAAAGACCAAACTGGAAATAAGTAGGCATATTCTTCTACAGAAATGTACTCTAATTTTTCTTACATCACCCTGAGTCTTTTGTTTTCTGATATCTGATAGAGAACTAAGTTCAGAAAAATAATTCTCCACCCTAAGAAAAATTACAATACAGAGGCTGGGCACAGACCCACACCTGCAATTCCAGCACTCTGAGAGGCCAAGGTGGAGAGACTGCCTGAGGCTACGAGTTTGAGACCGGCCTGGGAAAAAATATTTTCTAAAAATTAGCCAAGTGTGGTGGTGTGGTGCCGTGCACCTGTAGTTCCAGCTACTTGGGAGGCTGAGGCAGGAGGATCACTTGAGCCTAGGAATTTGAGGTTACAGTGACTGTAATGGTGCCACTGCACTCTGGCTTGGGCGAGAGATCCTGTCTCAAAAGAAAAAAATTACAGTGCAAGAGAAATGACAAATGGTGCTATAAACAGTGGCCTCAAGGTTAAGAAGAAAACAGGGATTGATGTAACTATGGTGAGCAAGGAAAAGCATGCCTTGTCTAATGTAGGCAGCCATTTGCTCAGCAATAGCCTCTTTCTGCCACACAAAAACACAGACTTAGTATATTGCCAGATCTTCCTTTTTTCAACAGTCTGAACTATTAGACAAGATCCCCTGATACTAAAAATGTTGGCTCACATTTTAAAAAAGCAATGTCTAGGCCAAACAAAAACACATTAATCTTGGATTATTTCTTTCCCTACTTCCTTGGAGGAGAGGTGTATTCTGGCTGAAGACAAGTAACTAAGGAATCCGAAAGGATTTTATTTCATAACTAATTAAGTGACAATTTTTCTTTTTTTTTTTTTTTTTAAGATGGAGTCTCACTCTATTGCCCAGGCTGGAGTGCAATGGCGCCATCTCGGTTCACTATAACCTCTGCCTCCCAGGTTCAAGCGATTCTCCTGCCTCAGCCTCCCGAGTAGCAGGAATTACAGGCATGCACCACCATGCCTGGCTAATTTTTTTTGTATTTTTAGTAGAGATGGAGTTTCACCATGTTGGCCAGGCTGGTCTCAAACTGTTGATCAGCCCACCTCGGCCTCCCAAAGTGCTGGGATTACAAATGTGAGCCGTGAGCCACTGTGCCCGGCCAAATTTTTTTTTTTTTTTATAGACAGGGTCTCACTATGCTGCCCAACCTCAAGCAATTCTCCCACCTTGGCCCTGCAAAATACTGGGGGTTATAGGTGTGAGCTACGGCACATAGTCTAAAGTGATAGTTTTTGGTTTCATTTTGTTGAGAAAGGGTCTCACTTTGTCATCCAGGCTGAGTAGTGGCATGATCATGGCTCACTACAACCTCAGCCTCTCAAGTAGCTGGAACTACAGCAGCATGCCACCACGCCTGGCTAAATTTTATTTTTTGTAGAGACAGGGACTCGCTATGCTGCCTAGGCTGATCTTGAACTCCTAGACTCGAGGGATCCTCCTGCCTCAGCCTCCCGAAATGCTGGGATTATAGGTATGAGCCACCATGTCCAGCCATCTAAAGTGACAGTTTTTAAGTATGGAGAATAACATGAAAAGAAACATATTTTGGTCTAATTAACCTGTAGCTGTATACTACCTAATAAGACAGCAGAGAGCCTAAAGCAGGGAGAGAATTTACGAGAGTGTAAAGTAGGATGGCTACAATGGCAACAGAAAGGAAAGAACAAATGCAAGGGCTATTATAAAGATTGACAGATTTTGGCCAATGAGAAGAGGAAAGGCAGCATGATGTATGGGAAACAGCTAGACCTTCAGGACTACTAAGCAAGCGAAATTAGATTTGAGTTCCAGGTCTGCCACATTAAGTACCAATATGATTTGGGGCAAGTGATTTGAATTATCTTGGGTCTCGGTTTTGTTATCAGTTAAAAAATTATATATATATATATATATATATAAATTTTTCTGCCTATTTCCCACCATTATTTTGAGGATTAAATTAAATAATGAACATTCTTAATGATCTGCTATATAATAATCAATATAGAGAGCTGTAAAAGGACCTCTGTATGTGAAAAATTGGAGGAAGATGGCAAGAAGGATCACAAATAACAGATGGATATTTAATGATTTGTTTTTTGGGTGCGACAATAACATGGTGGTTGTAATTTGTAAGAGTGTTCTCAGAGAAATACTGATGGATAAAATTATATGTCTGAGATTTTAAAATAATCCAAAACAGAATTGGATTGGGCACAGTGGCTTATGCCTGTGGTCCAAGCGCTTTGGGAGGCTGAGGCTAGAGGATCACTTGAGGCTAGAAGTTCAAAACCAGCCTGGTTAACAAAGCAAGACCTCACCTCTATAAAAACTTTAAAAATTAGCTGGGTATGGTGGTGCACACCTGCAATCTCAGCTATTCAGGAGGCTGAGGCAGGAGGATCATTTGAGCCCAGGAGTTTGAGGCTGCAGTGAGCCATGATCATACTACTACACTCTAGCCAGCCCACATCAGAGCAAGACTTTGTCTCAAAAAAATAAAAGAAAGAAAGAAAAAAAAAAAGAGAAAGGAAAAGAAAGAATCAGAGGTGGGAGAGATTGGATAAAACAAGAGTGGCCAAAAGTTGTTAACTAATAAAGTTGGTTAAAGGTACATGAAGGTTCATTTTATTATTCTATCTTTGTATGTGTTTAAATTTTTCCACAATAAAAATAGCAAGAAAACAAAAACAAACAGAAAACAGAAAGATGAAAAAGGAAAATAACACAAAATCACAAAAGCCTAGTGAGAAGAGTTTCAAGGAGGTGGTCATGAGGTTAAATTTCTACAGGGAGGTCATGAATGTTGATGAAGAAATAACATTTAAAACTACAGAATACAGAATTTATAATTTTGGCAAGTTCCTTAAGTTTAATTACCTTACATAAATATGTACTTAACAAATGCTAGATTGAATATTAATTCCATTTAAGAATATGCTAAGATTATTAAAATAAAATACATACACACATATACGTCTAGAGCTACCATGTTCATGGGTTACAGTTCAAATTTCTAGCCACCAATCATTGCAAAAGTACTACAGGGCAAGTGGAAGTAGATATATGCAACTATAGACTACTGGAGCAAAATTCTCAAAAAAAAAAAAATAATAAGACTAGAAAACAAATTTTGAATAAGATTTGAAGTACTAAGTTAACTTGATCTATTTCTAACTGCTAAATATTTTAATGAAACATGTTGATACTTGCCTCCACTTCAGCCATGAATGCCTCCAAGGGATCATCATCGCTGTCAGAATCTACTGGCTTGGAATGGAATTGCTGGCGAGTTGGTGAGTTTTCAGCAGGAATGTAAGGTAAATCAACGTTGCTAGAATCTTCTTCCTCATCTTCAAAATAGCTGAGAATTAGAAAGCAAACTGGTAAAGTGAATGCTTACTTTGGGGTCAGTAAATCTTTCATTTAACAACATTTTTATTATGGTATATCTTATTATTAGGAGATGTAATGCAGATCAAATTAGAGACCTCCAAGGCTTTGGCTAATGACCTAATTATTAAGTACTACTTAATACATGCAAAATTTCAATATTACAAAAAAGTAATCACAAGAGATTCTCCATTTCAATAGTGTATAGTCAAATCATGCTCCCAGTTCTGTTAAAAGGGAAGAGTTTTCAGTACAAACTTACTGACCATTGTTAGATAAATATGACAAATATTAAAGAGCTGTGCTATGGGAAAAAAGAAAACTTTTTTTTTTTTTTGAGACGGGGTTTTCCTCATCGCCCAGGCTGGAGTGCAGTGGCACAATCTGGGCTCCCTGCAACCCCCGCCTTCTGGGTTCAAGCTATTCTCCTGCCTTGCCCTCCCTAGTAGCTGGGATCACAGGCACCTGCCACCATGCCTGGCTAATTTTTGTATTTTTAGTAGAGACAGGGGTTTCACCATGTTGGCCAGGCTGGTCTCGAACTCCTTACCTTACGTGATCTGCCCTCCTCAGCCTCCAAAGTACTGAGATTACAGGCGAGAGCCACTGTGCACAGCCAAAAGGAAACTTACTGAAACATTAGAAATCCAGTTTATTCTTTATAACCCTTAATAAAAACTTGAGATATTCTTTTAAGACCAAAAACCTCAGAAATTCTGGGCTATTTTCTGGGGACCAACAGAAAACTTCCGGAATTGAAAATAAATGTTCAGGCCAGGCGTGGTGGCTCACACCTCTAATCCCAGCACTTTGGGAGGCCGAGACAGGTGCATCACTTGATGTCAAGAGTTTGAGACCAGCCCAGCCAACATGGTGAAACCCTGTGTCTACTAAAAATACAAAATTAGCCAGGCATGGTTGCACATGCCCGTAATCCCAGCTACTCGGGAGGCTGAGGCAAGAGAACTGCTTGAACCCAGGAGGTGGAGGTTGCAGTGAACTGAGATTGTGCCACTGCACTCCAGCCTGGGTGACAGAGCAAGACTCTCTCAAAAAACGAGGAAAAAAGCAAGAAAATAAATGCTCAATCCAAAATAATTTAAGATACTACTTAAGTATTCAGAAAGGACATCTTCAAAGGCTGGATAAGGTATCACTTTCTCTTTAACAAACATTTCAGAAAAGGATGTCAATACAGCTCTTTATAAACTAAACCACTGTTTAGACTTTAATCTCAAACTCAAATAGTAATATAACCAAATATTAATTTAAATAAATAACTGCAGTTTAAAAAGTTAAAGCATTTCAAGTCTTCCTAGGAATTATTTTAAAAGCTTTAACTGTTATGCTATATACACACATGCATACATATATATACACACTAATGTAACACTGACTATATGTAACAATAATATAGGCTAAACTATATAGTATATATGCTTTTTTGTTTTTGAGACAGCCTCGCCCTGTCGCCCAGGCTGCAGTGCAGCGGCGTGATCTCTGTGCTCACTGCAACCTCCACCACCCAGGTTCAAGCAATTCTCCTGCCTCAGTCTCCCAAATAGCTGGCATTACAGGTGCACGCCACTGCACCCAGTTAATTTTTGTGGTCTTTTTGTTTTTGAGATGGAGTCTTGCTCTGTCGCCCAGGCTGGAGTGCAGTGGCACGATCTCAACTCAGTGCAGCCTCTGCCTCCCAGGTTCCAGTGATTCTCCTGCCTCAGCCTCCCAAGTAGCTGGGATTATATGCGCCGCCACCACACCCAGCTAATTTTTGTATTTTTAGTAGAGATGGGGTTTTGCCACGTTGTCCAGGCTGGTCTCTAACTCCTGACTTCAGGCGATCCGCCCGCCTCGGCCTTCCAAAGTGCTGGGATTACAGGTTTGAGCCACCATGCCCAGACCAATTTTTGTATTTTTAGTAGAGACGGGGTTTCACCATGTTGTCCAGGCTGGTCTCAAACTTCTGACCTCAAGTGATACACCCACCTCGGCCTCCCAAAGTGCTGGGATTACAGACGTGAGCGATTGTGCCTGGCCTAAAATATATAGTCTATATGCTTATGCCAACTCCTTTATATAGTAACTGTTATGTATACTAATGTAGCAATAGCATACTCACGCTATATACTATACGATGCAATATATATGCAATATATAGCATACATATATACACATATTTACTCATGCATATTCATTCATATAGTAGGTTTTTAGTTTTTTGTTTGTTTTTTTAGAGACAGAGTCTCACTCTGACATACAGGCTGATGTGCAGTGATGCAAACATAGCTATCTGCAGCTCAGACTCCTGGGCTCAAGCAGTCTTTCCACCTCTGCCTCCTGTATATAGTGTGTTCTATTTAACTAATGAAAAAGTAGCCTGAACTGGTTAACTGCTGTTTAGAATAATGATCTCTGACTTTGCTAAAACTTAAACACTACTTGTATATTTGACTCCTAAATAACATGTCAGCTTTCTAAAATATTACTGTGTACTTTCAAAATATTTTGGCCAGGTGCAGTGGCTCATGCTTGTAATCCCAGCACTTTGGGAGGCCGAGGCAGGCAGATCACCTGAGGTTACGAGTTTGAAACCAGCCTGGCCAACACGGAGAATCCCTGTCTCTACTAAAAATACAAAATTAGCCAGGCGTGGTGGCACATGTCTGTAATCCCAGCTACTAAGGAGGCTGAGACAGGAGAATTGCTTGAACCCAGGAGGCAGAGGTTGCTGTGAGCCTAGATCACGCCACTGCACTCCAGCCTGGGCAACAAGAGCGAAACTCTGTCTCAAAAAAAAAAAAAAAAAAACAAAAACAAAAACAAAAACAAAAAAGTCTTTTAGAAGCTTTTTTTTCCAATTAACATCTGCTGGGTGCAGTAGCTCACGCCTATAATCCCAGCACTTTGGGAGGCCAAGGCGGGAGGATCACTTGAGCCCAGGAGTTTCAGACCAGCCCGGGCAACAAAGCAAGACCCTGTCTCTACAAAAGAATAAAAAATTGGCCAGGCATGGTGGCTCAGGCCTTTAATTCCAGCATTTTGGGAGGCTGAGGCGGGTGGATCACCTGAGGTCAGGAGTTCGAGGCCAGCCTGGCCAACCTGGTGAAACCGCGTTTCTACTAAAAATACAAAAATCAGCTGGGTGTGGTGGCAGGCACCTGTAATCCCAGCTACATGGGAGGCTGAGGCGTGAGAATCACTTGAACCCAGGAAGTGGAGGTTGCTGTGAGCCTAGATCACGCCACTGCACTCTAGCCTGGGTGAGACAGTGAGACTCCATCTCAAAAAAGAAAAAAAAAAGAATAAAAAATTAGCAGGGTATGGTGGCATGTGCCTATGGTCCTAGCTACTCAGGAGGCTGAGGTGGGAGAACTGCTTAACTGCTTTAGCCTGGGAGGTCGAGACTGCAGTGAGCCTTGATCGCACCACTCCACTCCAGCCTGGGTGACAGAGTGAGACCCTATCTCAAAACAACAACAAAAACAAAACAAAACAAAAAAAACCTCAAGCAGTGAAGCAGTGTCACAATCAGCTTGGAAATAATAGCAACAAGAGATTTCTTCAGATTCAGCAAAGAGAGATATTTTGTATAGAAATTAGAACTCAACCCCTTAAATCCCAGCCTTTTCTAACCACATTATTATATCAGCAAGTTAAAAACGGTAATTGGTAAAAAGCATTTACCAATTATGAGAACTATGGGAAAAATGTGAGTAGATTTTTCTACCACTATCAGACGTTCCAACATACTAGTTTTGAAGACTTAGATGTAGCCCGGGCCCAGTGGCTCACGCCTGTATAATCCTAGCAGTTTGGGAGGCTGAGGCGGGCGGATCATGAGGTCAGGAGATTGAGACCATTGTGGCTAACACGGTGAAACCCCGTCTGTACTAAAAATACAAAAAATTAGCTGGGCATGGTGGCACGTGCCTGTAGTCCTAGTTACTTGGGAGGCTGAGGCAGGAGAATCACTTGAACCTGGGAGGCGGAGGTTGCAGTGAGCCAAGATCGCGCTACTGCATTCCAGCCTGGGTGAGAGAGACTCCATCTCAAAAAAAAAAAAAAAAAAGACTCAGATGTTGAAGCAAACTTGTATTTCCATCAGTTCTGACAACGGCCTGTGTTTACTAAACAATTTATATGGTGTCAGTAAAAGACTGCAGTAAAGACCACCAGGCCAGGTGCAGTAGCTCATGCATGTAATCCCAGCACTTTGGGAGGCCAAGGCGGGCAGTTCACCTGAGGTCAGGAGTTTGAGACCAGCCTGGCCAACATGGTGAAACCCCATCTCTACTAATAATACAAAAATTAGCCCAGCATGGTGGTGCATGCCTGTAATCCCACCTACACAGGAGGGTGAGGCTGGAGAATCACTTGAACTCGAGAGGTTGAAGTTGCGGTGAACCGAGATTGCACCATTATACTCCAGCCTGGGTGACGAGCAAAACTCTGCCTCCAAAAAAAAAAAAAAAAACCACATGAATTATATAAAACTCTTCAGCCATATTTATGTTTCAATGGCTTTTTGGTTTTTTTCTGAGATGGGAGTCTTGCTCTGTCGCCCAGGTTGGAGTGCAATGGCACCATCTTGGCTCACTGCAACCTGTGCCTCCCGGGTTCAAGCGATTCTCCTGCCTCAGCCTCCTCCTGAGTAGTTGGGATTATAGGCGTGCACCACCACGCCTGGCTAATGTTTTGTATTTTTAGTAGACAGGGTTTCACCATATTGGCCAGGCTGTTCTCAAACTCCTGACGTCAGATGATCCATCCGTCTCGGCCTCCCAGAGTGCTGGGATTACAGGTGTGAGCCACCACGCCCAGCTACCACGCCCAGCCTGTTTCAATGGCTTCTAATCCCACAGTGAGCAACAGCCCAGTAGGACGTAACACTGAATGAGTAAAGGTATAAGTAACACCACAGGTATTACATTCCTTACAAATGAGTAAACCTGATAATTTAACTTATTAGGAACAATGGAATTCAGCGAGACACATAATTTAAGAATTCATTATTATTTGAGAAACAAAGTTTCTTTGCCTCAATTTCTGCTGATAGAATGAATATATCAAAGTCCAAACTTTGCTACACTACCAGGAATTACCACTTACGCATTTTCTTCATCAAAGTTGGCCCGCTTAGATCCAATTTTGTAGAAAGAAGGAAGCTGTGGTGGAGCTGACTTTCCAAATCCAGAAGAAGAGCTGGTTGCCCCAAAGGCACTGTGGGACTGCTGTGGGAGTTTGGGTTCCTCCTTTTTCCCAGCACTGATGGCAAAACCTCCAAAGCCAAATCCTCGCTTAGTGCCAGGACCACCTTTATTCCAGTTCATGGTGCCAATGACTGACCTGTTAGGAATAAGATACACAAATATAAATTAAACTTAAAAAAGTGTATAGCCCCAAGGGCCGGGCGCGGTGGGTCACGCCTGTAATCCCAGCACTTTGGGAGGCCAAGGCAGGTGGACCATGAGGTCAGGAGTTCAAGACCAGCCTGGCCAATATGGTGAAAACCCTTCTCTACTAAAAATACAAAAATTGGCCGGGCGTGGTGGCACATGCCTGTGGTCCCAGCTACTTGGGAGGCTGAGGCATAAGAATCACTTGAATCTGAGAGGCGGAGGTTGCAGTGAGCTGAGATCGTGCCACTGCACTCCAGCCTGGGCGACACAGCGAGACTCCGTCTCAAAAACAAAAAAGAAGTATATAGCCCCACTGAGTTGTATGTCTCTTCCAACCTCCACCTAAAATTTTATTTTAAATTTTAGCTTCTCAATTAAAACTATAACACTGTAGTCAGGAGAGTGGCCCAGGCCAGTAATGCCAACTACTTGGGAGGCTTAGGCAGGAAGACTACTTGAACCCAGGAGTTCCAGATTACACTGAGCTATGATCACGCCACTGCACTCAAGCCTGGGTGACAGAGATTGTCTCTTTTTACATTAAAAAAGAAAAGACAAGAAAAGAAAATCCATCTCATTAAGAGATTCATTTCCAGCCCAGCTATTCAGGAGGCTGAGGCAGGTAAACTGCTTGAGCCCAGGAGTTCAAGGTTACAGTGTGCTATGATCCTGCCTGTGAATAGCCACTGTATTCCAGCCTGGGCAACATAGTGAAATCCTGTCTCTTAAAAAAACAAAAACAAAACCCACAAAAGTTGACATTGTATTTCAGATACACACCATGCTAGCCTCAACAAATGATTATATTTTCTAAAACACTGAAGAAATTGTTTTAATTTTATTGGGATCTCAGTATAAACCAGAATGCAGTATTTAATATCATCCCCTCCAAAAGGATTTGCCTGCTAATTAACATCTTATTAAGCTGACAAAAATACTCATAAAAAGAAATATTTTGGGGAATCTGATATGTGCAAGGCCACTGGAGATATGAAAAGACTAAATATCTTCATCCTTATATGAAAGACTGAGCTGCTATCAGCCAAGACTCTCCGAAAACTAGAGGTTATCCTCTGGTAATGACATCTGGAAGAATCAAAGAATCAAAACTTAAAAGATCAGTTGTTTGTAGACAGTATCTATGTATTCATGTCTGCAGGAAAGGTACTATGAACCATGTATTTATTGAACAACTGCCCAATAGAAACACTATCCAGGAAGAAACTATGATTCACTGACATGTTGCCTGAAGTATTCAGTTAGCCTGTGGTTAAGAGTTACAAAGAAATTTCTTGTGCATTCATAAAATCAATTTACAAACAATACCTTACATTAGTCTTGGCTCCAAAAACCTTTTCTTTCTTTTTTTTTTTTTTTTAAGGAACAGGGTCTTGTGATGTTGTCCAGGCTGGTCTCAAACTTCTAGCCTCAAGAGACCCCCCCCTCTCACATCTGCCTCCCTAAGTGCTGGGATTACAGGCATGAGCCACTGCACCTGGCCCAAAAAAAATTTTTTTGTTTTTTGTTTTTTGAGACAGAGCCTTGATCTGTCACCCAGGCTGGAGTGCAGTGGCCCAATCTCGGCTTGCTGCAACCTCTGTCGCCTGGGTTCAAGTGATTCTCATGCCTCAGCCTCCTGGGTAGCTGGGATTACAAGTGTGCACCACCACATCCAGCTAATATTTTGTATTTTTAGTAGAGATGGGCTGGTCTGGAACTCCTGGCCTCAAGTGATCCACCCACCTCAGCCTCCCAAAGTGCTGGGATTACAGGCATGAGCCCCTGCACCTGGCCCCCCAAAACCCTTTTTAATGATACAACTTACCTAAGTTTTACAGAAAAGCAGAAAGCAAAAAAGAACAAAATTTAAAACTACCTGAAATTTCCTCTCCCAGATATGTAGTTTTGTTCTATTTTTTGCTACTTGTATGCATATGTGTATATACACACAAATTAAAAATTGAAACCATACTGTACATATTGTCTTAGTGATTTCTTCACCTAATGATATACTGTGATATTGTTTAATGTCAATAGATATCTATTTCTTCACTACTTGACAGTATAATACTGGTAACACAATGTTGCAAAACACATCATTATAGCTACATCTTTGTGCATACCTTCAATTATTTCCTTAGGAACAAGTTTTAAAATGCAACTGCTCAAAGGAAAATGCATTCTGAGTTAAAAAAAAAAATCTTTTTTTAAGACAAGTTCTTGCTGTCACCCAGGCTGCATTACAGTGGTCTGATTGCAGCTCACTGCAGCCATGAACTCCTGGGCTCAAGTGATCCTCCCACCTCAGCCTCCTGAGTAGCTGGAACTACAAACATGAGCCACCATGCCTGGGTTTTTATTTTAATTTTTTGTGGTCTCACTATGTTGCCTAGGCTGGTCTCGAAATCCTGGCCTCAACCAGTCCTCCCACCTCAGTCTCCCAAAGTGCTGGAATTAACAGACATGACTCACACCACCTTGCCTGGCCTAAAAATTTTAACTACTACTTACATTTATGAAAAAGTATCCATTACACATTGAGTAAAATAAGGGCATAAAACAAGGTGGGTAGTATGATTTAATTTATGTAAAAACCATGAGTTATATATACAGAGACAGCTGACAGGCTGTTTATCAAAATGTTAACAGCAGCTATTTGATTTTTATTTTGTTTACCATTAGTAAGAAAAATTAAAATGTTTACTTTAATTTTAATTTCCACTAGCTTTGAAGCCAGGGTGGAAAAAAATTCCAAAAACTGTTTATTATAGTAACATTGTCGAAGAGATCAGAAACATGCACTGTTCTATACCCCTTGTCTATATATACTTCATAGGTTTTGTTCAACTGCTATTATACACAGCACTTAGTTGTTTGCTTAGTTTTAAGGTTTTTGTTTGTCTGTTTGTTTTTTTGGGAGACAGAGTTTCACTCTGCCTCCCAGGCTGGAGTGCAGTGGTACAATCTTAGCTCACTGCAACCTCTGCCTCCATGGTTCAAGTGATTATCCTGTCTCAGCCTCCCGAGTAGCTGGGATTACAGGCGTGTGCCACCAGGCTCAGCTAATTTTTTGTATTTTTAGTAGAGATGGGGTTTCGTTATGTTAGGCAGGCTGGTCTTGTACTCCCGACCTCAATCAATCCAACCACCTTGGCCTCCCGAAGTGCTGGGATTACAGGTGTGAGCCACGGCACCCAGGCTGCTTAGTATTAAACTTGAATTACACTACATCAATCTCTACTTAGACCCTTAACTCCAGATAGAAACTGTCTTTACTCATTTTGGACTTCCTTCTCTAACAGTGAGAATGACTAAGGTATGTATTTAGTAAGTACTAATTTACCTGAACTTCATCTCCTGCTGTCTTTCGGAATCCCATAAGGGGATTCCTTCAATCAAGGAATCAACGTAATTCCAGTGTGATGAAATTTAGTAAGAATCTTTACAAGCAAGAAAATTTCAGCATCTGACGTTTTTAAACTAATCTATAAGCTATCTTTACAAGAGGTGTTCCCAAGCAACAAAAAGGATGGGCTCAATTTTAATCTCATTTTTCCTAGTGTATACAATGTATAACAAGGAGCTAATAAGCCATAAGGATGAGAAGGCAAAGAAAGGATAGTGGAAAGACATTTACGTTCAGGTGGATTTTAAGAATCACACAATCTCCTAGCAGGAAAACTTTCAATGGTTTACTGAAAGCTTGCTGAGAAGGTCAGGTGGTATATGATGTGCTAGGCATTCATACATGAAAGATACAGTCCCTGTTCTCAAGGAGTAGACAGTGCAGTCTGAGGCAGCTGAAAACAACATGATGCGTTCTAACAGACGTACTATACAGAGTGCATTCACTGGTGGTCCATGAGTGGGAGCAAAGGCATAGAAGTGTTCTGAGAGATGACATGTTAAATTTTGAAACCTCAAGAGGCATTAGATCAAAGAGGCATTAAAGAAGGGCATTTCAGATGGAAGGATCTGTTAAGTGTTACCACAGAGAACAAGAAATAGTTCAGTGCAGCTAGAGTTCAGTAGCACATTTGGGAAATTTGCAGGACACATGTTCAGAAAGACAGGTAGGGCCAAGATGAACAGCTTAGAAGGCTATGCTAACGACGTACCATACAAAACTGTATTCTGCCAGCTACAAAGAATCGTTAATTTTACACAGAAGGGAAATTTTCAGATCAGTGTTTTTGAAAGACAGAATGAGAGATACTCATGGTAGAGGCAAGGAAAGTAGAAGGCTGTTGCAGCAACGCAGGTATAAAGCGACAAAATTCTGAACTAAGAAAGCACCTGTGGGAAAGGAGAAACGGGGGATGGATCTGAGTTATTTATTTAGATATCTGAGGAAAGATCAATTAGGATTGTGTGACCAGTAATTGGTGTGGAAGCTAAGGAAGAAGAGTCTAGAATAACTTCAGAAGTTTCTGGCTTTAAAGACTGGGTGAACTGTGGAGCCACTAATGGAGATGGAAACCTAAAAGAGCCAGGTTTGCAAAATTAGGCAAAAGGTGAGTTCAGTATCTATGAGAGAGCTGAGTAGAGATGCCAAGCAGGGGCAGTAACTGCAGAGAGGGGTCCGGAGTGAGCTATAGATTTGATGTAAGCCATTTGCATTTGAGGTTACTGATGTAAATAAGCTAGCAGAGAGACCATGCAGAGTGAGAAAAGAAGTAAGACAATTCTTTCTTTTCTCCCCAAGACGGAGTCTTGCTCTGTCGCCCAGAGCTGGAGGGCAATGGCATGATCTTGGCTCACTGCAACCTCCGCCTCCTGAGTTCAAGCAATTCTCCTGCCTCAGCCTCCCGAGTAGCTGGGATTACAAGCACGCACCACCGTGCCCAGCTAATTTTTGTATTTTTAGTAGAGACAGGTTTCACCATGTTGGCCAGGCTGGTCTCAAACTCCTGACCTCGTGATCCACTGCGCCCAGCTGGTAAGACAATTCTTTTTTTATTTTTATTTTTTGAGACGGAGTCTCACTCTGTCGCCCAGGCTGGAGTGCAGTGGCACAATCTCGGCTCACTGCAAGCTCTGCCTCCCGGGTTCACACCATTCTCCTGCCTCAGCCTCCCCAGTAGCTGGGACTACAGGCACCTGCCACCAGGCCCGGCTAATTTTTTGTATTTTTAGTAGAGACGGGGTTTCACCATGTTAGCCAGGATGGTCTCGATCTCCTGGCCTCGTGATCCACCTGCCTCGGCCTCCCAAAGTGCTAGGATTACAGGCGTGAGCCACCACATCCGGCCCAGTAAGACAATTCTTAACATATATCACTATTTAGGAATGGGCAGAAAAAGAGAAGCTTACATGGAAACTTCAGATGGAACAGGGATTGGGGAAGGGAAAGAAAGAAGAGGGGGAAAGAAGGAAGGGGAGACAAGGAGGAACACGGGTGAGGAGAAAGAAGCTCTATAGGCAGAAAACTAAAGAGAAGTTAGGTAAGTTAAGAACTAAAATGTGCCAGGCACGGTGGCTCACGCCTGTAATCCCAGCACTTTGGGAGGCCAAGGCAGGCGGATCACAAGGTCAGGAGATCAAGACCATCCTGGCTAACACGGTGAAACCCCATCTCTACTAAAAATACAAAAAATTAGCCGGACGTGGTGGCGGGCACCTGTAGTTCCGGCTACTCAGGAGGCTGAGGCAGGAGAAAGGCATGAACCTGGGAGGTAGAGCTTGCGGTGAGCCAAGATCCGGCTACTACACTCCAGCCTGGGCGAGAGTGCGAGACTCTGTCTCAAAAAAACAAAACAAAAAGAACTAAAATTCTTCTGTTGTATAGGCAACCAGGAGTCATCAGTGAAAGCAGTTTCAATGGAGCAGTAGGGACAGGGTTGAGGAGTACCTGGCAAGTAAGTAGTAGAAGATGAAGACTAGGTCAAGAGGAGTCAAGAGTACTTTGTAGGCTGTTTATCAATGATAGGAAGGAGAAAGTGAAGCATTACCTACAGAAATTTTATTTTTTAAAGAAACATAGGCATGTTTATATGCTAAAGGGGAAAAACCAGTAAAGTCTGAAAAACTGAAGATGCAAAATGACAGAAAAAAGTCATAGGATTTCCAGAGAAGACCAGACACAATCAAAACTTTTAACAACAGGAGTAACTCACTCTTCCCCCAAAGCTAGAGGGAAGGAGTGAAAAGAACAAACATGACTATGAATCAGCCCTATTAAATAATCAAAAGGTTCATATTACAAAAGCAGCAAATCAACTCCTGCCACAAACAGGCAGGCAGTGAGACCTTGGGCAGGTGAGGGTTGCTTACTGGCTCTCAAGACTTAGCAAGTTGGAAAAGCGATCCTTTCCCTAGCTCATCTAGAACACACAGCTCATTGTCCCTCAATTACTGACTCTAGGAAGGCCAAGGAACTGTGCTTTCTATATACCCTGAGTAGAATGTTAGCTCTATGAGGGCATAGACTTGACTCAATTTGTCCAGCACTATATCCTTGGTGTCTGCATAGTACTCAAAAAATTTTGCTGTATGAATAAATGTAATGTATTCAGGCTCTCCAAAATTCATCCCAGTATTTATGAAAACTCTATTTTATTACTACAAACCTTGTTATCTAGCTAACCACCCTTCCTGATTAAATCTAAGCCAGATCATCCTCAATGGATCATTACTTAAGTCTCTTGACAACAGTTTTTCCTACTTTTTTTTTTTTTTGTTTTTTTGAGACAGTTTCGCTCTTGTTGCCCAGGCTGGAGTGCAATGGCGCAATCTCAGCTCACCACAACCTCCGCCTCCCAGGTTGAAGTGATTCTCCTGCCTCAGCCTCCCAAGTAGCTGGAATTACAGGCATGTGCCACCACGCCTGGCTAATTTTGTATTTTTAGGAGAGATGGGGTTTCTCCATGTTGGTCAGGCTGGTCTCAAACTCCCGACCGCCGGTGATCTGCCTGCCTTGGCCTCCCAAAGTGCTGGGATTACAGGCGTGAGCCACCGTGCCCGGCAGTTTTTCCTACTATTAAACCATGTAGTGTATATGGTTACTGAACCTTGACAATCACAGAGATTTGTGGGAGTATAGCTGACAGAAGAAGCAAAAGATAGCCACCCAAATTTCTATTTGGTTACTAAAAAAATAAAAGAGGCAGATGCAGTGGCTTACGCCTATATTCCCAGTACTCTGGGAAGCAGGAGGATGGCTTGAGGCCAGGAGTTTGAGACCAGCCTGGGCAACACAGCGAGACCCCATCTCTACAAAGAAAACAAAAAGAAAAAAAAAAGAGATACCTAGAATAGTCAAACTCAGAGACACAGAGTAGAAGAGTGGTTGCCAGGGGCTGCGAGGAGGGGAGAATAGGGTGTTATTGTTTAATGGGTACAGAATTTCAGTTTTACAAGATGAAAAGTGTCCTGTGGCTAGATTGTGGTGATAGTACCAAAAGAAGAAAACAAAATGAGGTGGGCACAGTGGCTCACAACTGCAGTCCCAGCACTTTGGGAAGCCAAGGCAGGAGGATGGCTCGAGCTCAGGAGTTAGAGGTCAGCCTGGACAACAATGAAAGACCTGATTTCTACAAAAAATACAAAAATTACCCAGGTGTGGTGGTGTGCACCTGTAGCCCCAGCTACTCGGGAGGTTGAGGTGGGAGGATGGCCTGAACCCAGGAGTCGGAGGTTGCAGTGGGCCGAGATCATGCCAATGCACTCCAGCCTGGGTGACAGAGTGAGACTGCGTCTCAAAAAAACAAAACCAAAACAAACAAAAAAAACACACTTGGGGAAATTCAACTGCATTTTTGTATTTTTTCTCTTAAAAAAGATTTCTTCATTTCCTGCTGGGGTGCCAAAAAATAAAAATTTAAAAAAGAACCCTTTTGAAATACCTAATTTGAAAAGAATTAGCTGAATAGAGCCATAAACAAAGTTTAATGAGTATTTGTTTAAAAAAGAACAACCCTAAGTGGTTCTTAGTAATAACATCCATTGTTTTATACTGACCAATAACCACTGATGATTTTGTTATGTGCCCAGTACTATGAGGGACATCCCTCACGTATACCCGCCTTTCCATCTCCACCTCCACTATTGCAATTATTTCCTAAAAAAAAATTTCTGATTATTGGGAGGCCGAGGTGGACGGATCACAAGGTCAGGAGATCAAGACCATCCTGGCCAACATGGTGAAACCCCATCTCTACTAAAAATACAAAAATTAGCCAGGCGTGATGGCGCGCACCCATAGTTCCAGCTACTTAGGAGGCTGAGGCAGGAGAATCTCTTGAACCCAGGACACGGAGGCTGCAGTGAGCCGAGATCGTGCCACTGCACTCCAGCCTGGATAACAGAGCGAGATGCTGTCTTAAAAAAAAAAAAAACTTTATTATCAAGCTCTCACAGCACTACTAGAGTGATCACTAAGTCAAAATATACTGAGTGCCTATTTTGTGCCAGTAACTGCTCTAAGGTGCTAAGGATACAGTAATGGAATCAGATGCAGCCATACTCAGAGTTCACAGTCTGGCCCAGGAGAAAGAAAAACTAAATCATGTAATTCCAGGTAGCAAAAGTGCTATGAAAAGCAAGCAAGAGGGTAAGAGGCAAGCTATTGCAGACTTAAGTCAGGCAAGGCCTCTCTGAGATGAATGACATTTGACAGGTAATCCTCCCCTGACTACTGTCCCAAGAATGTCTGTTTTATTGGAAAAGTAATGTGGATGTACATCCAGATGCTTCATCTAAAACCAGCAAATCTTCCATAGTCTATGAGAAGTGATTCTGTTTAGTAAAGCATAAAATGATGAAGTAATAGTGAGACACACAGTGAAAAGAGAAAAGCAAGTTTTACCTCCTTTGGTAGAGTAGCATAGTGTGTGTTAATACCGTGGAACCAGAAAAAGTCTCACAGAAGGGAGGTCAGTATTCAGATGCTTATCGAAAACCCTTTCCAGGTTCTTCCAGAACACACATTTCTGATTATGTCACTCTCCTCAATTCCATAGCTCTCCACAGTTAATCATGCTGGAATGAGACCCTCCATTGTGGCATCAAACTACTTTACCATTCATATTTCCCAGGGTCTCTCCACACGTACTCAGTTTTCCAGGAAAACAAGCACTCTAGTGAATCCTCTTCCCTCTAACTGGATCCCCTTCACATCAAATCTCTTTCCTATAAACTGTGAGTACCTACCAAAGTCCTATCCTTCAAAGCATATCTCAAATACCAACTCCTAAAGACATGAATATGATATCCCCAAAGAAATGGCATCTCCTGGCTGGGCACGGTGGCTCACGCCTGTAATCTCAGCACTTTGGGAGGCCGAGACGGGTGGATCACGAAGTCAGGAGATCGAGACAATCCTGGCTAACATGCTGAAACCCCATCTCTATTAAAGATACAAAAAAATTAGCCAGGCGTGGTGGTGGGCACCTGTAGTCCCAGCTACTCCGGAGGCTGAGGCAGGAGAATCACTTGAACCCGGGAGACGGAGCTTGCAGTGAGCCAAGATCGCGCCACTGCACTCCAGCCTGGGCGACAGAGTGAGACTCCGTCTCAAAAAAAAAAAAAAAGAAAGAAAAAGAAATGGCATCTCCTTCCTCAAACTCCCTTTCCAGTCCAACTCCGTATTATAGGATTCATGGCTGAAGAAACAGGCTTATTCACTTTTCTCTTATAGCATGTTTTCAATATTAGATACTCATTTATTCAATATGTAAAAGACTAAAGGAGATCTACAACTAGGCTGAAGAGAAACAGTCAAGATGGCATCAAGTCCTATTTGGTATGGTTCTAGGCACTAAATCCTATGGCTGGCTGGGCAAGGTGGCTCACACCTGTAATCCTCGCCCTTTGGGAGGCCAAGGTGGGAGGATCACTTAAGGCCACGAGTTTGAGACCAGCCTGGGCAACACAATAAAACCCTGTCTTTACAAAAAAATTTAAAAAATTAGCCAGGCATGGTGGCACACGCCTGTAGTCCTAGCTGCTCAGGAGGCTGAGGCAAGAGGATTGCTTGAACCCAGGAGTTCCAGGTTACAATGAGCTGACTGGACCACTGCACTCCAACCTGGGCAACACAGCAAGACAGTCTCTAAAAAATAAATAAAACACGGTGGTTTCCTAGGAAATCTTAACAGAATAGTAAAGTAGCACAGGCTATGTGTAAACTATCTTTGCTACTAACTTGATATGAACCTCAGGGAAGTTATTTAGCTTCTCTGGGTTCAGTTTCCTCATCTATAAAAAATGGTAAGAGGCTGTGTGTGGTGGCTCACGCCTGTAATCCCAGCACTCTGGGAGGCTGAGGCAGGCGGATTACTTGAGCTCAGGAGTTCAAGACCAGCCTGGGCAACACAGCCAGACACCATCTCAAAAAAAAAAAAAAAAGATGAGACTATCACCTATCTCAAGAGTTGGCGTGAAAAATTAAGTTCATACACAAAAATGTACTTGTTCAATATGTCAGCTACCATCGTGTTTTTCATTATTACATTATTTCTGAAGAACCAATTTCTTCATCGGTAAATTGAGACTATCAGACTTCTTTCAACTCAGGTATTTCATACATAAGCGCCACAAGAACACTGAAGATGTCAGAGATCACCATGAGCTAACAAGCAAGGGCAAGTGTCATAACAGAGTCAGAAGCCAGGCTAGGCACAGAAAGATGAAAGCTGGGTAGAGACGTGCAGACGAAGACATTCCAGGGAGAAAGACTGAACTAGCAAAGGCTAGGAAGTGAGAATAAATGTGGAACACACTTATAAAGGAAGACAATTTAGCTAGTTTGTGTTTTCGGCAATGGCGGAAAATAAGATATGATCTAAATGACTTTAAATATAGTGGACTAAAAACAACTGATTATATAAGCCACATTACTTTATCACTTGTATTTTTGGAGGTGGAAGGAAGAGTTCTAGTGACAGTGATTAGCATCTACTCTACATATACTTTGAGAGTACCTCACACACTATATACAGGTCAGTTCTTTGATGAGAATCTAAATAAAAACTCAAGAACGTAATCACATTCTTCTAAACCAAATACAAGTAAATGCTAGGTTATGGTTATTTTAGAAGCATCCCTTCTCCTGTCAGCTTAAAGCAACTAAGAGCTGATTATATGACTATCAATGTAACAAAACAAATTTAAATAACTGCACTCCTCTCTTATATTAAATTGTTACAATATAAATCAGATATTATCATTCCTCTGATCGAAACCCTCAGATCCTTCCTAAGTAACAGCCTAAAAGGCTTTGGTTGTTCCGCTCACTCCCTTCCCCCAATTCTTCCCTGACCTTATCTCCTAATACTCCCTCAGCTCACAGTGCTCCAAACGCGTTGGTCTTCACACTCTTAACGGGCCAGCTTTGTCCTCCTCAAGGCTTTTATGTTTGTTATTCTCTAGCTTGGAACGTTCCTTTCCCCAGATAAACGTAGGCTCTCACTCCACCTTCTAGTCCGCTTAAATATCAGCTTGTCTGTATGGACTTCCCTGACCACTTTATTGCAAATTCCAACACCACCACCTCCCCAACCCCCTTTCCAGCTTTCTTTTCCCTAAGATACTGATCATCTTCTAACATTCAGTATAATATATGTATCTGTTTGCCTCTCCTCCCGCTACTAGAAAGTTAAGTTCCCCAAAGGCAGGGGTCTAACACCTATCCCTATCACCTAGAACGGCGCTAGAGAATAGGCACCAATAAAAATACCCCTTGAATGAACGAATTGCACATTAGGCTACACAATGCTTCTTCCAGGTACAGGAAGATATATTTTCTTTTCCCAGCTGTCAAAATATAAACATTAATTTTTGTACGAAACACTCATTGCTCACCTCTTATGTGCCAGAAATGAGCTTGGCTCTGCAAAGCGCCTTAAGACATAGTCCCTGCGCTTGAGGAAGTCCTGGGTGTGTATACGAGAGAGGACAGACATAGAAACATCATTGACAAAAAGAAAACACAGGGAAGCCACAAGAAATTGGATAACTGCCTATAGGAGTGGGGGCAAGAGGGAAATTCTCAGTGATGAGAATGTAATTCCCCAAAACTCTCGACAGCTTCTCCTGTTTTTGATGCATATGTTTGCAATTCCATGTAAATTATTTATTCACATCAGATACGCTCTCAAGTAGGCCGCAAAAAAGTTTGTGTGACTACAGTGATGCTAATAATCGACCTACTCAACGCTGCACAAAGATCATCGCCTATATCTTTTCACTCCTCTCATTTGGCAGCTTTTGCCTCTCAGGACCCCAAATTCGGAGGCCTGCATCTCCCAAGCGCTGCCTCCTTGGGTCAGAATTCTCCCCGCGCTATTCCTGCCCTGGAGCCGGGCACCCTGCAAATCCTTTTCCTAGGCGAGGGGGCGCCGCCTCCGGAAAGCCGCCAACTGGGCCTCGGTAAGACTTGTGAGGGAAGCGGGAGCTGTGGGAGGGCGACGCGGCTAGGAAGGAACCCTAGAGGCCTCAGCCCCCACTCCCACCCCTTCCCGGCACCCCGGCCGCCGGTGCCCCGAGGCTCTGCCGACTCTTTGTTAAGCGAGGCCGCGGTTCCTCCGCCCTCGCTAGGCCCAGCAGTTGCCTCCAGTGCCCCCAAGGACTGGCGGCCTTGCGTCCAGAAACCCCACGCACAAACCTGCTGCTATGGCTGCAGCGGCAGCTGCTACAACCGCGGGCGCGGAGCGAATCCCGGAGCCCAAAGTACGCGCTGTCCCGGCCCGGTCCCGCCGCGCTCCTTCCTCTCCGCCCCCTTCGCCGCCGCCGCCGCCACCACCACCACCGCCGCCGCCACCGCCACCACCGCCACCGCCTCACGGCCCGTTGCTGAAGGGGGGAGGGGAACAAAAACGCGACATGCGCAGTGAGGAACGCGCGGGCAGAAGGGCGGGGCCGGGGCTACGGCTCCCGGAAGGCGCCTGACCTTAAAGCTCCAGAACGCCTCACAGGCTCCTCAGATACTCTGACGGGAAACTGCAGTTGGGTGGACAGTGTTCATGACCCATCTAGAAAGTGGGTCTGCGAATGAAGAAAAAGTGGCGTCAAGGGGCTAGCCAAAAATCCCAAGAGAAAACGGGTTGGACAGAAACCATATTTACATGAACATGCCTATAGTTTAAACTGTTGCATATACTACTAGAGCGACACTCTTGCCTCTGGCCACGTGGTCCCACACAGCATGGCCACCTTTAGCTTCCGGAGCACCGGTTCCGTGTGACGTCAACTTGACGGAATCCTAGGTAGGAGGATTGGGATAGGCGAGGGCAGTTCCGGCCCAGGGGCGGGGATTATGTAATTTTCCCAAAAGCCCCACCTCGCCTCAGCCGGGCGGGAGAGAGGGAGGTCTCGCGCTTTCCCCGGGGTTGCGTCCCGCCCCGCAGGCTGCGCGCAGGCGCTGACGAGCCGCTCGCATTCTACGTAACGGACGGCGGAGGCTACGTGAAGAGAGGCGCGGCGTGACTGAGCTACGGTTCTGGCTGCGTCCTAGAGGCATCCGGGGCAGTAAAACCGCTGCGATCGCGGAGGCGGCGGCCAGGCCGAGAGGCAGGCCGGGCAGGGGTGTCGGACGCAGGGCGCTGGGCCGGGTTTCGGCTTCGGCCACAGGTAAGGAGCGGGCCAGGACGCGCTCGTCGGCGTGGCCGGGCCAGGCCGAGCGGTGACTCCGAGTTGCTTGGCCTGTAGCCCGGTCCGGTTGAGATAATTGTAATGGTTTGGGGGAACTTTCCCACGGAGCTGTGAGCAAATGATAGCCAAAAGGGCAGAGTTAGAGGAAATGTACAGTGTGTGCCGGAGGATGACATTAGGATGTATTGATTCTCTTGGGTGGGGAGAAACTAGGCAAAGGGGTTTAATAGAAGCAAAAACCTCTGTGGCCAGTCTCTTCTGGAGGTTTCTAAAATGAAACGTGTTTGTATCCAACACATATAAAGAGACAGAGGAAAGTCTGCATGATTTCCAGAATACTCGTTTTGGCCGTTGTCAGGAAGACCTAATCTAAAATGACAACAAGGAATGATGGCCTCACTCAGTCCTCTTTCCTCAAGTCTAGACTCAGTCGCTGAGGAACTATTGGATGAGCTTGCAGAAAATAATCAAACCAGACTTGTTAGCGCTTGTGTGAATTTTCCTTGGTCCTGTGTTGCTTGCTTCAGGAGTCATAGAGGCTGGGTGGTCTGGCAAGGACTTGTGCATTTGAGAACTGACAGGTGCAGCGGAGACTTCTAAGAGGGAAAACCAAGGTAAAAATGGCTTGGATGATTGTAACCTAAATAACCTTGAAGGATCTCCATTATAGTGCTGAGTTATCTCAGAAGTGTTTCTATGGTGTGAATATTCTAATTGGAAATTCAATTTGAAATGATCGGATCTTTTGGCAGGCTGTTAATCGAGTTGACTGTTCCGGTGTTAACTTTTAGTTGCTTCTATATGAAAAAAAAGTTTTAAGAGTAGGATTTGAAAAGGAGGCTGGGCGCGGTGGCCCACGTCTGTAATCCCAGCACTTTGGGAGGCCGAGACGGGTGGATCACGAGGTCAGGAGATCGAGACCATCCTGGCTAACACAGTGAAACCCCGTCTCTACTAAAAATACAAAAAATTAGCCCTGCGTGGTGGCGAGCGCCTGTAGTCCCAGCTACTTGGGAGGCTGAGGCAGAAGAATGGCGTGAACCCGGGAGGCGGAGCTTGCAGTGAGCCGAGATCGTGCCACTGCACTCCAGCCTGGGTGACAGAGTCAGACTCCGTCTCAAAAAAAAAAAAAAAAAAAAACCCTTGGTACATATCTCCCGTAATACCCACTGCAGCCCTAAGAGGCAAGTAGCAAATGGTATCCCTTTTTTGTATGTGGAGAACAGGGAATTTTAAGTAATTAGGCTAAGGTCATATTGCTGGTAAATGGTAGAGCTGACATTTTATTTTATTATTTATCTATTTTTTTGAGACAGAGTCTCACCCTGTTGCCCAGGCTGGAGTGCAGTGGCGCAATCTTGGCTCACTACAACCTCCATCTCTCGGGTTCAAGCGATTCTCCTGCCTCAGCGTCCCGAGTAGCTGGGATTACAGGTGCCTGCCACCACGCCCGGCTAATTTTTGTATTTTTAGTAGAGGTGGGGTTTCACTATTTTGGCCAAGCTGGTCTCGAACTCCTGACCTCAAATGATCCACCCACCTCGGCCTCCCAAAGTGCTGAGATTACAGACGTGGACCACCACGCCTGGCCTAGAGCTGACATTTTAAACCAAGTCTAATTTCACCAAAGTATGTGCTGTTTTCTATATTTCTTCCACTTTTGACCAAATATCACAACATGAGAACTAGAGGGAAAGCCTAGAAAAACTAGAAGAGAAACTTTAACAGGTAGTAATTTAGAGGACTGAAGACCCTTAGGCCTAGTGGAAGTGGAAAATATACATTCCAGAGTTTAAAAACACTCATTAGTAACTAAAGATGGTTAAAGGAAGCTAGGGATGTTTAGAGACACATCCCATACCTCTTTGAGGCTGGCATTGACAAAGTGGCATGCTTTCCCATAGATTGTCCCTTGATACTAACCTGAAGGATCAACTAGTATAAAAAGAATGTTTAGTTCTCCCTTGATATGTATGGGGGATTGGTTCCAGGACCCCTTGAGAATACCAAAATCCATGGATACTCAAGTCCCTTATATAAAATGGTGTAGTATTTACGTATAACCTATGCACCTCCTACCATATACTTATATATGTATATGTATATACACTATATAATTATCTCTAGATTACTTATAATACCTAATTTAATTGTATTTTTTTTTAACTGTTCTTGCCTCCAAATCTGTTCCATCTGTGGTTGGTTGAATCCACAGATGTGGAACCCATGGGTAGGGCCTACTGTACCGTTGGCCTATCCTTTATGGCATTTCTCAAAATCATTTGTACCTTTCAAATTTTATGAACTTTAATTCTAAGAACATTTAATTTCTTTCTTTCTTTCTTCCTTCCTTCCTTCCTTCCTTCCTTCCTTCCTTTCTTTCTTTCTTTCTTTTTTTTTTTTTTGACACAGTCTCGCTCTGTCACCCAGGCTGGAGTGCAGTGGCATGATCTTGGCTCACTGCAATCTCCGCCTCCCAAGTTTAAGCAATTTTCCTGCCTCAGCCTCCCAAGTAGCTGGGATTACAGGTGTGTGCCACCATGCCTGGCTAATTTTTTGGTATTTTTAGTCGAGACGGGATTTCACCATGTTGACCAGGCTGTTCTCGAACTCCTGACCTCCGCTGATCTGCCCGTATTGGCCTCCCAAAGTGCTGGGATTACAGGTGTGAGCCACTGCGCCCAGCCTTTAAGAGCATTTAATTTCTTGAGCATCCATGGATTGCAAGGCATTCGACAATAACCTTCGATATTAAACTGATTTCTTTAAGAAGTTTCAGTGCTATAAATGAGATTTAGAATATTCTCCATCTCAGAGCACCTTGAAAGAGTAGTACATATTTCCCTTTGCCATACTCTCACTTCCGTTAATACTCAATTGCTTGCATTATGGCTTCCATCCTTATCACTTCCCTGCAGTTGCCAGTAATGATTTCATCATGACCTGGCCCCTGAGGGCCTTTCCAGCCTCCTTTCTCCCACTTGAGTCTACAAACCCAATGTCCTATCATACCAGGCTCCTAAAATATGCTATTTCAGGCCTCCATGCCAAACCTGTTCCGCAGTCTGCAATGCCTCTTCTCTAGTGACAAAAGTACACTACAGAAAAAAAAAAATTAGTCCGGGCACGGTGGCTCATGCCTGTAAATGCCTGTAATCCCAGCACTTTGGGAGGCCGAGGCAGGTGGATCACCTGAGGTCAGGAGTTCGAGACCAACCTGGCCAACATGGTGAAACCCCATCTGTACTTAAACTACAAAAAAAATTAGCCAGGCATGATGGTGAGTGCCTATAACCCAGCTACTCAGGAGGCTGAGACAGAAGAATCGCTTGAACCCAGGAGGCAGAGGTTGCAGTGACCCGAGATCACGCCACTACACTCCAACCTGGGCTACAGAGTGAGACTCTGCCTCAAAAAAAAAAAAAAAAAGAAAGAAAAATAAAGACAAAATATCCAGAATTCTACCATACAAGCTAACTAATATTTGTATGTAAATGTATGTTTTTCTAAACCAAGCTTGTCCAACCCATGGCCTGCAGGCCGCATGTGACCCAGGACAGCTTTGAATGTGGCCTAACACAAATTCGTAAACTTTCTTAAAACATTATGAGATATTTTTTAGCTTATTGGCTATCATTAGTGTTAGTGTATTTTATGTGTGGCCCAAGACAATTATTCTTCTTCCGTTGTGCCTCAGGGAAACCAAAAAATTTGACATCCCTGTTAAACTTTTTTGTTTTCTTTTTCTTTTCTTTTCTTTTCTTTTTTTTTTTTTTTGAGATGGAGTTTCACTCTTGTTGCCCAGGCTGGACTGCAATGGCGCTGTCTCGGCTCACTGCAACCTCCACCTCCTGATTCAAGCGATCCTCCTGCCTCAGCCTCCCAAGTAGCTGGGATTACAGGCGCCTGTCACCATGCCCGGCTAATTTTTGTATTTTTAGCAGAGACGAGGTTTCACCATGTTGGTCAGGCTGGCCTCAAACTCCTGACCTCAGGTGATCTGCCCACCTCAGCCTCCCAAAGTGCTGGGATTACAGGTGTGAGCCATCGCACACAGCCAAACCTTTTTCTTTATGTGCATTTGCTTCTAAAATGATCTGGGTTTCGACTTCATTTGTAACATTTTGTTTTTTTTTTTTCTTTTAGACAGCCTTGCTCTGTTGCCCAGGCTGTAGTGCAGTGGCGCAGTCATGGCTCACTGAAGCCTCAACCTCCTGGGCTCAGGTGATTCTCCCACCTCAGCCACCAGAATAGCTGGACTACAGGTGCACACCACCAGACTTGGCTAATTTTTTTTTTTTTTTTTTGAGACAGAGTCTCCCTGTGTCACCCGGGCTAGAGTGCAGTGGTACAATCTCAGCTCACAGCAACCTCTGCCTCCCAGGTTCAAGTGATTCTCATACCTCAGCCTCCCAAGTAGCTGGGATTACAAGTCACGCCACACGCTGGCTAATTTTTTAAATATTTTTAGTAGAGACAGGATTTTACCATGTTGGCCAGGCTGGTCTCAAACTCCTGACCTCAAGTGATCTGCCTACCTTGGCCTCCCAAACTGCTGGGATTACAGGAATGAGCGTGAGACTTGGCTAATTTTTAAAAGCTTTTTTGTAGAGGGGAAGTCTCACTGTGTTGCCCAGGCTGTGTAACAATTTTTTTTTAATTACTTGGGGGTTTTTCTTTTGTTATTTGTGTTTTGTTTTGAGGCACGTTTCACTGTCACCCAGGCTGGAATGCATTAGCATGATCACAGTTCACTGCAGCCTCGGCCGGCCTCGTGAGCTCAAGCAATTTTCTCACCTCAGTGCCCTGAGTAGCTGGGACTACAGGCACATGCCACCAAACCCAGCTAATTTTTCTATTTTGTTTGTAGAGGTGGGTTTTCGCCATGTTGCCAAGGCTGGTCTCCAACTCTTGGGCTCGAGCAGTTCACTCACCCCAGTCTCCCACAGTGCTGGGATTACAGGGGAGAGCCACCACCCTATGTAACAATTTTTAATGGACAACAGTAGCTTTGGTTTTTGATACATCCATAGTTTAACCAAAGAGTTTAACCAAATTTCACCATCATAAATAATATTGTAGCACATGTCCTTGAAGCTGAATTCCTGTGCAAATTTATGTTCAGTTCAGGAATTGTGCTTTATCTTGGCATAGTACCTACTGTGGCGATATGCTTAGTGAAGGTACATTTAATTACAGTAGGATCATTGTGAAAAGCAGTGAATGCCAAAGGAGTTTTTATATTACTTTGCAATAATTGGTTAGCCTTTGATGATTATTGAATCCTTATATGTAACAAAAGTTCTGTTTTAGACAGATGCTGGTAGTTTTTAGGGAGGAAAAGTAGGGAGTGGGGAGAGCATTAAGACGATACCATTTAAAATAATATGGTGGCTCTTCAGCAGGTGGGGGTAACTTGTAGTGGCTATAGGAATCAAAGAAGGAAACACCAGGATTTGATGGCTGATAGATTTCAAAGGAAAAAGAAGGCAAAACATTAGATATCTTGTTCTTTTCAACAAGCAAGACTGGAAAAATGTGATTGATATTAATATACGAATAGAGAAATTCAGATACCTGATGATTTTGAGATGACTATAGGCAGGGATTGGGTCAGCCTGAGGGGAGGCCTGTGAAGTAAGAATGGTCTTTATATTGTTTTAAAGTTTTTTTTAAAAAAAGAACAATATGCAGCAGAGACCAGTATGTACCCCATGAAGCCTAGAATATTTACTATCTTACTAGATACACGAAAAGTTTGTAGGGCGTCAAAACAGATATGTCTTCAAGGTTACAGTGAGTTATGACATAGGGCTGGTGTTTAGATGAGGGACAGGACTGGAAATACAGCCTAAATGGGTTTGATGGTTGAAATATACTTTTCAAATTTCAGCTCAAATGGTCTCCCCACTTTTTTTTTTGTAAAGCCTTACCTATTTGGGAAAATGGTTACATTGTTGTCCATGTTTTCATATAATTTGGCACATATTTTGTCACAGATATGATATCATTATATTTGTTAATGCAGAAGCTTTTTTCACGTATTAGAAAACTTAATGTTCTTCAAAAAGCTATAAAATGATGATACATTGAATTCCATCATACACACTAAGAACAATTGGTTAGCAAAAAATTACTGCTTCTAAGCAAGTAATATGAAAGCACAGCCACCTACCACATTTGAGATGCAGCCTGAGAAGTGGTTCATAGCATGGACTCTGGAGGCAAAACTCTGGGATTAAATCACAGCTCTTTGTCACTTGGTAGTTGTACTACTTAGCATCTCTCTGCCCCATTTTCCTTATTAGTGAAATGGGGATGTTAATGTTGCAGCTTTCCTTAGAGGGTTGTTATGAGGATTAAATTAGTTGCTTTTTGTAAAGTCTTTGGAACAGTGTCTAGCACATAGTGATTTAAGTGTTTGCTCTTATGATAATTATGTTCATGCATGAACACAAATCAATCTAAGGGTGAATGGCTTTTTTATTCATGGATTATTCTTGTTACCACTAACAGATAAATAGCTACATCTTATTCCTTCATTTTTACCTCCTTCTCATTTTCTATAGAAAGCTTTTTAATAGGCCCTCAAAAAATGCTTATTGAATACTCTATGTAAATGGACAGAGTTTTAGAAAACCCAACCTAAAGAAATTAAATGACTTGGGCTGGGCACAGTGGCTCACACCTGTAATCCCAGCACTTTGGGAGGCCGAGACAGATGGATCACCCTGAGGTCAGGAGTTCACAACTAGCCTGGCCAACATGGTGAAACCCCATCTCTACTAAAAATACAAAAATTAGCCAGGCGTGGTGGCACATGCCTGTAATCCCAGCTACTCGGGAGGCTGAGGCAGGAGAATCGCTTGAACCCAGGAGGCAGAGGTTGCAGTGAGCCAAGATCACACCATTGTGCTCCAACCTGGGCGACAAGAGCAAAACTCCGTCTCAAAAAAAAAGAAATTAAATAAATGACTTGATGACTTGTTGAAGATTTTACAGATATGTAGTGCCAGGATCCAGACTAGAACCCAAGCCTCTTGACCTTACTTCATTGTTCTTTATATAATGTGGTCTGAATCTAATAGTACCAAATAAGAGAAAAGCAGGAGAGGTTTATAGATTTTTACTGTTTATAAAATCTGATCAGTATGTATAGAATGGCAATCCATTTTGGGGTTCTCTTTTTTTTTAAGCTTTTTTTCTCAAGGTGCAATGAAAGCCTTCCACACTTTCTGTGTTGTCCTTCTGGTGTTTGGGAGTGTCTCTGAAGCCAAGTTTGATGATTTTGAGGATGAGGAGGACATAGTAGAGTATGATGATAATGACTTCGCTGAATTTGAGGATGTCATGGAAGACTCTGTTACTGAATCTCCTCAACGGGTCATAATCACTGAAGATGATGAAGATGAGACCACTGTGGAGTTGGAAGGGCAGGATGAAAACCAAGAAGGAGATTTTGAAGATGCAGATACCCAGGTGAGGCTCTTTTTATTAATTTATTGGAAAAATTTGTAACTAGCACCTTTCCCAAACATTAAAATTAATCCTCAGGCTCAAGAGACCTTTACTGTCTGGAGTCTTCATTTTCATTCACTAGGTAGAGCTCTTCTAAATGTTCTGTGGTAAGTTTCCACCTTTTACATTAACAGAATGAATTGTGTTCTTCTATTGAAACCCTGACTGGAAGAGGGGTTAGAGAATAGATACTGTTTGTGGGTGAGAATTGTATTATTTAGAACTTTGCAATTGGCTGGGCACGGTGGCTCATGCCTGTAATCCCAGCACTTTGGGAGGCCAAGGCAGGCAGATCACCCAAGGTCAGGAGTTTGAGACCAGCCTGGCCAACATGGTGAAACCCTGTCTCTACTAAAAATACAAAATTAGCTGGGCGTGGTGGTGCGTGCCTGTCATGTCAGCTACTTGGGAGGCTGAGCCAAGAGAATCGCTTGAACCTGGGAGGTGGAGGTTGCAGTGAGCTGAGATTGAGCCACTGCACTTCAGCCTGGGTGATAGAGCAAGACCTTGTCTCCAAAAAAAAAAAGAAAAGAAAAAACTTTGTCATCAAAAGCATGGGGACTCATCATTTTGGTGTTTTGGGTGCTCCCCAGCTTTATTGAGGTGTAACTGACAAAAATTGTATATATTTAAGGTGCACAACATAGTGTTTTGGTATACCTCTACATACAATATGAAGTGCTTACCACAATCAAGCTAATTAACATAGTTGCCTCCGTGTGTGTGTGTGTGTGTGTGTGTGTGTGTGTGTGGTGAGAATACTTACAATATATTCTCTTAGCAGATTTCAAGTCTACAATACATTATTATTAACTGTAGTCACCTTGCTGCACATTAGGTCTTCAGAACTTTCTCATTTTAAGCTGAAATTTGTACCCAATCGTTTTGTTAAAAACATGTAACATCTGTTTTCTGTGCTTGCTGCTTACACGTTCTTGTTTTCCCCAACAAATGTTGCCAACAAAATGAGACACAGCTGCTGGTGACATTTGTAGAGGAAAACGGATGATGCCTCATTTTTGTAGGAGGGAGATACTGAGAGTGAACCATATGATGATGAAGAATTTGAAGGTTATGAAGACAAACCAGATACTTCTTCTAGCAAAAATAAAGACCCAATAACGATTGTTGATGTAGGTATCCAGGATTCTGAATTCCCAACTAAACAACAAAATGTCTTGTCATCAATCCCAGAAATAAAATTAATGATGTATAGCTGGTGTTAATGCAATAGTGGGAGCTGAGAAGGAGCTTGACATCAATTTTTCTGATAAAAATCAACACCTCTCCGTCTCAAAAAAAAAAAAATCAACACCTACAGAAGCAACCCCTATTCATCATTGTAGCACTTCTAGTTTTACTACTTATCAGGGAATAAGTAAAATTTATTCCTTGGTGATGTACAGTACATTGAATTTATTTGGGGGTTAAGGACCAAGTGTAAAACAAAGGGCTTTCCAGCTTTTCATCCCATTTGATTGTCCTTATATTTCCTTAAAGAATCTTTTATCAAGCTAGCCTAGAAAAGTAAAATGGACCTATTTTTCAAAGTATAACCTTATTCAATGACAGATATCTGAAGTATCCCTTCTGTTTATGGATTTTCTCATTCTTCCTGCCATGAGGTAGATTTCATTCTTCAGTCTCAGCCAACATTTAATGGAATGATTTTGCTTTTTTAGGTTCCTGCACACCTCCAGAACAGCTGGGAGAGTTATTATCTAGAAATTTTGATGGTGACTGGTCTGCTTGCTTATATCATGAATTACATCATTGGGAAGAATAAAAACAGTCGCCTTGCACAGGCCTGGTTTAACACTCATAGGGAGCTTTTGGAGAGCAACTTTACTTTAGTGGGTAAGTGAGGCCAATGTCAGCCCAGCTTCTTGCTTGAAAACAATCTGGTAAGGATGATGTATTCCCCTCAGTATAAGCATCTAACTGCTTTCATGGAATACCAAAGAGGGTGCATTGTTTTTTCTCTCAAGGATTCCCCCTGCTCTTTTTTTTTTTAATTTAATTTAATTTTATTATTATTATTACTATTTTTGAGATGGAGTCTCACTCTGTCACCAGGCTGGAGTGCAGTGGCGCGATCTCGGCTCACTGCAACCTCCACCTCCTGGGTTCAAGCGATTCTTCTGCCTCAGCCTCCCAAGTAGCTGGGACTACAGGCGTGCACCACCATGCCCTGCTCATTTTTGTATTTTTAGTAGAGTCGGGGTTTCACCATGTTGGCCAGGATGGTCTCAATCTCTTGACCTCATGGTCCACCCACCTCGGCCTCCCAGATTGCAGGGATTACAGGCATGAGCCACTGCACCCGGCCTTTTTATTTTTATTTTTTTGAGGCAAGGTCTCACGCTGTTACCCAGGCTTGTGTGCAGTGGTATGATTACAGTTCACTGCAGCCTCGACCTCCCAGGTTCAAGAGATCCTTCCATCTTAGCCTTCTGAGTAGACAGGACTACAGGCACATGCTACCACACCCAGCTAATTTTTGTATTTTTTTTGTAGAGACAGAGTTTCATCATATTGTGCAGGCTGGTCTCGAACTCCTGGGCTCAAGCAATCTGGCTGCCTTGGCCTCCCAAATTGCTGGGATTACAGACGTGAGCTACTGCATCCAGCCTTGAGGATCCTGTTTTTTGGCCCGGTGCGGTGGCTCACACGTGTAATTCCAGTGATTTGGGAGGCCAAGGTGGGAGGATTATTTGGGGCCAGGAGTTTAAGACCAGTCTGGGCAACATAGTGAGACCTTGTCTCTACAAATAAAATAAAATAAAAATTGGCCAGTCACAGTGGTGTGCTTCTGTGGTCCCAACTACTTGGGAGGATGAGGTGGGAGAATTGAGCTCAGGAGTTTGAGGCTGCAGTGGTACAGAATCATGCTCCTGCACTCCAGCCTGGGTGACAGAATGAGACCCTGTTTCTAAAAATAAGAATATATTGTATTTAATAATTTTCTCATCTTTCATGAGTCAGCAGTAAAATTGCTAAACAGCTTCTGATTAGTATAATGTAATCGATGTTTTCAAAACAAGTTGATAAAATTCTGACGGAAACCAAGAAAGTTTGACATTTTAGGTAGCTTGATAAATGCTCTCAATTCATCTTTTAGAAATTGAAAGTCCCTCAAAATTCCCTTAGAATCTGACACTTGAGTTTTGGATCCACTGCTGAAATATACATTGAAGGACTTCAAGGAACCTCTGTAGTTGTGCAATGTAGGGAATGAGGTGGACTAACCTCACATTCACCTATTTGGCATTTAGCACCTTATTTCTCTTTAATAGTAAGCATGTATCCACCTGCTCTGCAACACAGTAGTGTTTATATATTATGCTAGATACTTTGCATACAGTGTTTCTTATTTACTTTTTGTAACAACACTGTCAATTGGCTATAGTTGCTGTTTTCCTAAGGAGGAAACTGAAGGGCAGAAATGTTAAAACTTATCTAAGCTGTTAAATTGCAACCAAGATATCAGAACTTATCTACCTGTTTGCAAAGTCCACCCCGTCTCCACTATACCATAGTATTTCAGAGTATGTTTTGACCAGGAAATTCGAAAAAAAATAAATGAGCAGCTTTGGCTCCTTCTACTTCCCCTTGCTTGTTTTCATTTGGTGTATCAGTCCGTTTTCCCTTGTGAGGTTGAGCAATTTCTTTTGTATACTTAATGAATTAAATGAAGAGAGAAAGTATTGGAATTTGAGCTTTTTTCTAGAGTTAAAATACAACTCTTAATACCATTAGTAAGACCCAGTTATCATTTTGCATTGGAAAAGAAAGCTTGGTTAAAGTTAATTCATAGGAGACATAGTGAGAAATTGTTGAGTAGTTTGTATTAATGGTATTTTTTATTCACTCCATAGGAGTTTTTAACTTTTGGCAGAGATATTTCAACTGATTTTTTTCCCATTTTGTATGTACTCTGAGAGACTTATACTCTAAGCTGATCATCGTTAAACTGACAAGCATGTGCTTAGAATCCATATTTCTTCTAATACAGACAATAGTTTTAAAAGTAAAACGAACAGTGCTAATCTATTTCAGTCCCTGTCCAAACAGTTCTATAAGACAGCAAAGTATTGCTACTCTGAAGCTGTGATCATTTTGTGGTCAGGGTAGAGGAACGTGAGGTATTCGGCCTTGTTTCCTTTTTTTTTTTTTGAGACAGAGTCTTGCTCTGTCATCCAGGCTGGAGTACAATGGTGCGATTTCAGCTCACTGCAACCTCCGCCTGCCGGGTTCAAGCTATTCTCCTGCCTCAGCCTCCTGAGTAGCTGGGACTACAGGTACGCGCCACCATGCCCGGCTAATTTTTTATAATTTTTTTTTTTTTTTTTTTTAGTAGGGACAGGGTTTCACCATGCTGGCCAGGCTGGTCTCGAACTCCTGACCTCGTGATCCACCCACCTCAGCCTCCCAAAGTGCTGGGATTATAGGCGTGAGCCACCACCCCCGGCCCGGCCTTGACATTTTCTGTTGAGTCACATTAAGTGGTTTTACCCCTAGGGGATGATGGAACTAACAAAGAAGCCACAAGCACAGGAAAGTTGAACCAGGAGAATGAGCACATCTATAACCTGTGGTGTTCTGGTCGAGTGTGCTGTGAGGGCATGCTTATCCAGCTGAGGGTAAGTAGGAAACTTCTTGTACGATATATATCTTCCCTTAATTTTGTCCAGTTGTGATTCCCAGCCCCCCAATTCAGCATCTTATCCCTTCATGTTTGACTTAAAATGAGGTCTAAAAGTGATATTTATACTAACTGGCAAATGTGTCGTAAAGTATATTTGATGAAGCATTTGATTCTCCTTCAAGGCCTTTTTTTTATACTAAGTAGGAGTTGCAGTTGGATTTACTTACTTCTCTCATTTTTTTCAGTTCCTCAAGAGACAAGACTTACTGAATGTCCTGGCCCGGATGATGAGGCCAGTGAGTGATCAAGTGGTATGTATTCTTCCCGCTGGTTTTCTGTGTACAGACTGAATTATTTGTTTTCTTTCTTTCTTTTTTTTTTTTTTTTTGATGGAGTCTCACTCTGTTGCTCAGGCTGGAGTGCAATGGCATGATCTTGGCTCACTGCAACCTCTGCCTCCCGTATTCAAGCAATTCTCCTGCCTCAGCCTCCCAAGTAGCTGAGATTACAGATGCCCACCACCACGCCTGGCCAATTTTTGTATTTTTAGTAGAGTCAGGGTTTCACCATGTTGGCCAGGCCAGTCTCGAACTCCTGACCTCAAGTGATCCATCCACTCTGGCCTCCCAAAGTGCTGGGATTATAGACGTGAGCCATCACGCTTTCCCCAGACTGAATTATTTCCTAGAGCTTTTTCCATTTCTGCCTGGATTGTGTTTGGAGTTTCTGGCAATTTATGTCCCTTGACAAAAAATGGACCCTTTTTCTCCTTGGACAGAGCATCATCTTCCACTCTGTGCAACTGTCAGGGGGCCTTCATGGGCCTTTTGGTAGGAAAGAGGTGATACTCTGTCACCACATAGATCAATGGAGTTAGCCTTGACAATAGAGGGCAAAGCAATTGTGAAAGGTAATGGCCCTCATGGGTAACTTGGCTCCTTGTATATGTTTTTATCTTTGGCAGATAGCTGGGTTTCTTCTCAAATATGTTTTGCTTCAAATAATACGTTTCTGGCCGAATAAGCTCCAGTCATGATCTGAGGACCTTATGTTTGGTGTATCTTCTTTCCTTTATTAAATCAATATGTTTATCTGCAAATTGTGTCCTTTGTCACAAATACCACATTCCTTCTTCATTGTTTCTTTTTTTTTTTTTTTTTTTGAGACGGAGTCTTGCTCTGTTGCCAGGCTGGAGTGCAGTGGTGCAATCTCGGCTCACTGCAATCTCTGCCTCCTGGATTCAAGTAATTCTCCTGCCTCAGCCTCCCGAGTAGCTGGGACTACAGGCGTCCGCCACCACTCCCAGCCAATTTTTTGTATTTTAGTAGAGATGGGGTTTCACCATGTTGGCCAGGATGGTCTCGATCTCCTGACCTCGTGATCCGCCCGTGTTGGCCTCCCAGAGTGCTGGGATTACAGGCATGAGCCACTGCACCCGGCCTCTTCATTCTTTCAATAAATAATTATGCTGGCTCCCACTGCTACAAGAAACAAAAATATAGAAGACAGTTTTTTTCTTTTCTATAATAGAACAAGAGATAGATATGTATATATGTGAAAGTGTGAAATAGTATTTGGTTAGTAAGTGCTTTGTTAGTGATGTAAATTGGGTACTTTCAAATGTTATTGGATTGAAAATCATTGTTTTATATATATATATATATATATATATATATATATATATATATATATATATAAATATATATATATATATATTTTTTTTTTTTTTTTTTTGGGAGACAGAATCTCACTCTATCACCCAGGCTGGAGTGCAATGGCTTGACCTTGGCTCACTGCAACCTCCGCCTCCAGGGTTCAAGCGATTTTCCTGCCTCAGCCTCCCAAGCAGTTGAGATTACAGGCGCCTGCCACCATGCCCAGCTAATTTTTGTATTTTTAGTAGAGACGGGGTTTCACCATGTTGGTCAGGCTGGTCTCGAACTTCTGACCTCAGGTGATCCACCCGCCTCAGCCTCCCAAAGTGCTGGGATTACAGGCAAGAGTCACTGCACCCAGCCCCACTGTTATATTTTAAAGATCTCATTTTTACTTGTAAACCTGTATTTTTATTTCAGTTTTTCTAACATGGCCATGATGACTTAGTCCACTAAAATTTAGAACCCTATCAGTTAATATTTCTGTCATCCTTTCTCCCACAAACTGCCATCTTATTAGGAGGAAAGTTTGCTGTATCCTCAGCCATCTTTTTGTAAAAATTATTCTTTAAAAGTGTTTTAATCATTTTCAGTTCTCATTCCCTCTCTCTCTCTCTCCTCCTGCTAAGAGAAATTGCTTCAACAAATATGTGGCTCTTTATATTTTATTTGCCCCTTTTTTTGGAATTCTGTTTAAGGTTTGCTTTGTGTAATTTCCCATCAATGATGGAAGAGCAGAAAACGTTTTCTTTTACAGCTGCCATCTTACCAGTTCTTTTCCTATATTAACATTTTCCTTCTTCCATATACTAAAAATTATTTCACCCAAGCATTTAAAGATGTAATTAATATAACAAATATATCATATCAGACTCTTTTAGGCTTATAATTTTTTATCTTTCTGGCCCAGAGTACTAGTAACTGTTTACTTGTCTGGACTGTTTTCCAATACAAACAGCCAATTCTCAGATTCTCTGTATACCAACTGGGTATCCCACAATTGAATTCAATAATAATAATAATTCTTTTTAATTTTGTAAATTTAAATTTTTTTTTTTTCTAGAGACCGAGATTTGCTATGTTGCCCAGGCAGTTCATGTTGCCCTGTCCTTAAGTGATCCTCTCACCTGGGCCTCCCAAAGTGCTGGGATTACAGGCATGAGCCACTGTGCCCAGCCTCAATTCAGTTCTGACACTATCTACCTGGAGTTAGCTTCAAATCCTACAGATTAAAGGGCTCAGCCCCACAAGACTGCCCCACTTCAGATGCAGTCGAATGTCCCAGGTTACCCATACTACCATCTGGACTTCTGACCAACTAACTATTAATCGGGTTCCTATGACCTCCCCACTCAACCAATAATTTGTTAGAATGGCTCATAGAACTTGAAAAGACACTTATATTTACTGGTTTATTATAAGGGATAAAACTCAGGAGTAGCCAAATGAAAGAAAGACACAGGAAGAAACAGGGTTGGGAGTCGTTCGGAGCTTTCATGCCCTCCCTGAGCACACCACCCTCCCAGCAGGTTGATGTGTTCACCAGCTTGGAAGCTCTCTAAATCTTGTTCAAGAGTTTTTGTAGAACTCAATTTCGTCCTCCCTCTCTTTCACGGAGGTAAGGGCAAGGCTGAAGGTCTCTACCCTCTAAGCACTTGGTTTTTCTGGTTATCGGCACCATCCTGAGGCTAACTAGGGTCTATGTTAAGTCACCCCATTAGAATAAACTCAGGTGTGATTAAAAGGGGCTCAGTATAAGTAACAAAAGATACTCTTGTTATTCAGGAAATTCAAAGGGCTTTAGGAGCTCTGTGCCTGAAACCTGGGATAAAAACCAAATATATTTCAGTTTATTCCACATTATTCCATTTAGGTTTTGTTTATTTTTTATTTTTGGACTTGAGTGCTCCTGTGTGAAGTATTGAGTGTATTCGTGTTCTATTACTACATAGCAAATTACCCAAGTGTAGCAGCTTAAAACAACCCTCATTTATTATGTTACCGTTTCTGCAGGTCAGAAGTGCAGCATGTATTGAGTGGGTCCTCTAGGGTTTTAACAGGCTGAAATCAAGATGTCATTCAGGTTAGAGTTCTCTGAAGCTTAGGGTCCTCTTAATGTCATTTGGGTTGTTGGCAGAATTCAGTTCCTTGTGGGTGTAGGTTCCTGTTTTCTTTTCCTTTTTTTTTTTTTTTAATTTTTTTTGAGACAGGGTCTTGCTCTGTCACCTAGCATGGAGTGCACGATCATCACTTACTACAGCCTCCAGCTTCTGGGGCTCAATCGATCCTCCTGCCTCAGCCTCTTGAGTAGCTGGGACTACAGGCATGCATCACAATGCCTGGCTAATTTTTCTTTCTTTTTTTTTTTTTTTGTACAGATGGGGTCCCATTATGTTGCCTAGGCTGGTCTTGAACTCCTGGGCTCAAGCAGTCTTCCTCCTTTTGCCTCCTAAAGTGCTAGGATTACAGGTGTGAGCCACCATGCCTGGCCTTTTCTTTCTTTTTTAGAGATCGGGTCTGGTCTCAAACTCCTGACATCAAGCAGTCATGCCTCAGCCTCCCAGGTAGCTAGGCTTAAAGGCACGAACTACTGTAGTCCCTATTTTCTTGCTAGCTGTCAACTGGGAACCACTCAGTTCCTAAAGGCCACCCTTAGGTCTTTACCATATGTGCCCTACCGCCAACCTTCCCATAAGCCCTTTCATATTTTGACTTTCTTCTTCAAGTAGGGCTATAGTCCCTTTTAAGGACTTGCTTGATTAAGTTGGATACACCCAAGATAATGTCCCTTTTGGTTAATTCACAGTCAGCTGATTAGGGACCTTCTGCCATAAAACAGCCTGATTATGGGGGTAATATTCCATCATATTTGCAAATCCCAATCACTTAAAGGGAGAGTATATGCACCAGCGGGGAGGGAATCTTAAGGGTCATTTAGAAATCTGCCTATCACAGAACCTAACAGGTGAATTTTGTTGTTTTTTACATTTTTTTAAAAGCAAATAAAAGTAACCATGAATGATGAAGACATGGATACCTACGTATTTGCTGTTGGCACACGGAAAGCCTTGGTGCGACTACAGAAAGAGATGCAGGATTTGGTATGTCAGGTTGCTCCAACTCAAATATACGTAGAACTGTGTCTCCTTAGCACACACATATTCAGCTTCATTGCATAATAAAAGGTCATATCTTACTTTCAATTACTTCTTCCTCTAGAGTGAGTTTTGTAGTGATAAACCTAAGTCTGGAGCAAAGTATGGACTGCCGGACTCTTTGGCCATCCTGTCAGAGATGGGAGAAGTCACAGACGGAATGATGGATACAAAGGTAAATGCGACAGAAGACATACATTTGCCAGGCCTTGGCATTTACAGGACACTCTCCCTAAAAGTCTCATTGTACAAGTTCATCATTTTATGGCAATGTATTAGTTTTACATTCCTTTCCCACACAAATATTAAAATACCTTCTTTAAGCAATAAATTAGCTTGTCAAAAGGACAATTTGATTAGTCAAGAAGTTCTCTAAATCAAGAGCAAATTGTTCCTGGGATTGCTAATGACTTTCAGGTTTTTTTTTGAAAAAGGAATATAGCTTCTAATCTTTTTCGTCATGTCATTTAGTCTTTTTTTTTTTTTTTTTTGAGCTCCAGTTTGTGTGGGAGAAGAGGGATGTGTAGAGAGCCCTCCTCCTTTGTTTTTAAAAAGATGGGGTCTTGAGATGTTGCCCAGGCTGGAGTGCAGTGGCTATTCATGTGTGTGATAGATCTCACTGCAGCATCAAAAACTTCTGGGCTCAAGTGTTCCTCCTGCCTCAGCAAGAGCCCACCATTGTGCCTGGCTGAGAGAGCCATTTCTTTCTATTGGTTGTGTAATGGTAACAGATCTTAGTATCATAAGAATACAGGATAACTCAGAGATGGTTATAAATGTAAGTTCAAGGTGACATGTTTATAAAGGATCCCCTGAAATTATTTTAGGTGTTATCTTTATGCTTTCATTCTTGTTTCGACCATTATTTTGAGAAATATTTTTAGCTGCTCGAAAAGAATCTTAATCATTGGTATGACTAAAAAGGAGTACTACTTTTTTTTTTTTTTTTTTTTTCTTAGTAGAGATGGGGTTTCGCTGTGTTGGCCAGGCTGGTCTGGAATTCCTGGCCTCAAGTGATCCACCCACCTTGGCCTCCCAAAGCGCTTGGATTACAGGCATGAGCCACTGCACCCAGCCTGGAGTACTACTTTAATTCTAAAGAGATTCCCTATCTTATTGAAATTTAATTTTTAAAAAGCTTTAGCCTTGTCCGCGCGCTGTGGTTCACACTTGTAATCTCAACACTTTGGGTGGCGGAGGCAGGAGAATCACTTGAGTCCAGGGATTCAGGACTAGCCTGGGCAACATAGTGAGACCCTGTCTCTACAATAAAAAAATTAGCCAGGTGTGGTTGTGTGTTCCTTTAGTCCCAGCTACTCAGGAGGCTGAGGCAGGAAGATCACTTGAGCCCAGGAGATTAAGGCTATGGTAAGCTATGATTGTGCCACTGCACTCTAGCCTGGGTAAGAGAGCAACACCTTGTCACAAAAAATAAATAAAAAGCAATGAACACGCTTTGGTCTTAATGAAGGACATTGTATAAAAGTAAGGATTGAAAGGTGAATTTCTTTTTTTTTTTTTTTCTTTTTTTTGAGACAGAGTGTTGCTCTGTCGCCCAGACCGGAGTACAGTGGCGTGGTCTCTGCTCACGGCAACCTCCACCTCCCGGGTTCAAACGCTTCTCGTGCCTCAGCCTCTTGGATAGCTGGGGTTACAGGCACATGCCACCATGCCCGGCTAATTTTTTTGTATTTTTAGTAGAGACGGTGTTTCACTGTGTTGGCCAGGCTGATCTCAAATTCTCAAACTCCTTGCCTCAAGTAATCCACCTGCCTCCCAAAGTGCGGGGATTACTGGTGTGAGCCGTTGCACCATCTCAAAGAGTGAATATCTTTAGGAAAAAAAGGGAAATGCATTAAACCTTGCTTTTAAAAAATATTATTTTCTTTTTTTCAGATGGTTCACTTTCTTACACACTATGCTGACAAGATTGAATCTGTTCATTTTTCAGACCAGTTCTCTGGTCCAAAAATTATGCAAGAGTACGTATAAGATAAAATTGTTGAAATTAATTTTCCTCACTAGCTTTCTGTGTTGAAACACCTGTAAGGTGCTTCTGCAATATCCCTTACCAAATGTGTGAAGGAAGTTGGTGACAGGCCTCCACATTTTCCTTTGCTTTGACTGCATGCATCATAAGAGGTCATTGTAAACCTATGGGAGAGAAATGAGCCTCCCCTATCCCAGTTTGTATGTGTCCCTGCATGTTTGTGCCACTGACTCAGTGAGATGGTTGGGAATCTTACAGAATGGCTGGTACTAATAAAATGCAGTGGGTTTTTTTGTTTTGTTTTGTTTTTTGTTTGTTTGAGACGCTGTCTCACTCTGTTGCCTAGGCTGGAGTGCGGTGGCACAATCTTGGTTCACTGCAACCTCCGCCTCCCGGGTTCAAGCAATTCTCCTGTCTCAGCCTCCTGAGTAGCTGGGATTACAGGCGTGCACCACCACGCTCGGCTAATTTTTGTATTTTTAGTAGAGATGGGGTTTCACCATGTTGGTCAGGCTGGTCTCGAACTCCTGACCTCGTGATCCACCTGCCTTGGCCTCCCAAAGTGCTGGAATTATAAGCGTGAGCCACCATGCCCCAGTCCATAGGTTCTTTTTTTTTATGATAATAATTTGTGTGTGATGTTTGACTTATGTCTGATTACAAATCTGTGTGTTTTGTAATTTATGGCCTTTTCTGGCTTCCCTCTTTGAATAGTTAAGTGATTGTATCCTTTCCTAGCATAGAAGCCCACAATGTCCATAGGGTTTCTAGCTTTATAGTAATACTGTTCAGGAGTACATATTCAGGACTTGGATTTGTTCTTTGAATTCACAGCCTGTCTCAGGAGAGCATATTTATTTACCTTTATGCTCGGTTTGAAACTGGTTCTGACTAAATTTTTAGTTAAAGACTACCCTCTGATAGGCTGTGGAGTTGAGCACAATTCAAGCCAATCTGGATTTTAGTTGTATACTAAGATTACTCAGGTCCTTATGCCTCTAGATAGTGCTGCATCATCCTTGTCTTGCTCAACTCAGTGGCACTGAGGACAGTGTTTCACATTGTAGCATTCATCATGCCTTTTAAATATGAGATGGAGGGCAATTGATAGTCAAAGGATTCATATAGGCAGAGATTACAAAGGAATCTTCAATGACAGAACTAAATTATATATGCTGTAGTAGATTATCCCTAAATTTACTCTGAGCCTAACTCAAAAATAAGATAATAAGATGCCTTGTTATAGGAAGATAGAATAGGAGTTGGAAATAAAACATAAAAATGCATCAAAATAAGCAAAAATGTATCTAAAATATGGGCCTCATACTTAAATATAGGCTCATTTCTGGCTCCCCAGGTGAGATGGAATATACCCTTGCCTGGAGGGAACATCACTGGAGGTGTTCAAATATAGGATAAAGATCACTTGAGAATGCATCCATCAGATAGACGAGTGGACCAGATGACCTGTAAAGCTCCTTCATTATATTTGACTTGGGTATGCCAAGCCAAATACTGTGCTGATTATGTGCAGGTATCTGTTCATCTAAGTGTATTGGGTGACTTGTGTACATGGAAAACATCTTTCTTGTATTCCTTCTTAATTGCCTTTTCTTTTATGACAGGGAAGGTCAGCCTTTAAAGCTACCTGACACTAAGAGGACACTGTTGTTTACATTTAATGGTAAGTATTCTGGGTCCTTTCTGGGTTCTTAGTCTTCTCTGAGATGACCTTAAGGAGAGTATTGTTTCCTCCTAAATGATAGCTTTAAAACTACGTCAAAACTATAAGCCTGTGCTTGCTTACTGATTTCCAGATTTCTTCAAGAAGAAATTACCTATTATATATTTTAATTTATATTTTCTGCTGCATTTTAACTGCCTAACAAACTTAGAGAAATGAGTCTCTTAAGATTAAAAAAAAAAAAGAGTTGGGTGACCTGGAAATATTAATGCTACCATTAACTCAGTAGGAAAAATGGCTTTGTTTTCCAGTGCCTGGCTCAGGTAACACTTACCCAAAGGATATGGAGGCACTGCTACCCCTGATGAACATGGTGATTTATTCTATTGATAAAGCCAAAAAGTTCCGACTCAACAGAGAAGTAAGACCCAATGCCTGTATTATATAAATTGGCACCTTTTTTTGTTTCTTCTCAAGGGGGAGGGCAGCTATCAATGATTTCAGTGACTGAATTTTTGCTAGTTGATTTAGAAGTGCCAAATGGGAGTAGTTTTATGAAAGAATGCTAAACGGGATTTTGTTGCTGTTGACTAGAAATGGATTTCTTATGAAATACTTTGTTTCTTGGGGAAGGGCAAACAAAAAGCAGATAAGAACCGTGCCCGAGTAGAAGAGAACTTCTTGAAACTGACACATGTGCAAAGACAGGAAGCAGCACAGTCTCGGCGGGAGGAGAAAAAAAGAGCAGAGAAGGAGCGAATCATGAATGAGGAAGATCCTGAGAAACAGCGCAGGCTGGAGGTTAGACAAACTTATCACTGGGGTAAAACTACGATTTGTAAGGATGACTGCTTGTGTTCTGTTGGTTGTTAAGGTAATCTTTGTAGGCTAAAAGTTTAGCATTTTCTCAACATTTGGGACATTGTATCAATTGATAACACTATAAAGAAGAATAAATAATCCTTCCTGTTCAAGCCGTGCCACACTGAGTCTGTGAACGTGAAAAATTATCAGTATTATCCTGTTCCCCCAGCACAATTTCATTTTGAAAATTCCATTATCAGTTTTCGAGCCAAACACTTTGGTAGAAAGAAGTTAGAAATTTTAATAGAAGGCAGCACATGCGCCCTATTATCTAAATAAACTTGCTATGTAAAATTTAAAATCTGATTATAGAATTAGAGATTTCCAATATTTTTGTTTGTATTTTTGTTTTCTGTTTTTTACCTAACTAGAATCTCAAACTCAAAAGCTTTTTGGGTATAGTATGTTATATTTGAAAGCTCGGTATGATCTGATGTGTTTCTGAAATAAGATGCCATAGTCCAGCTCTAAATTTTTTTTTTTTTTTTTTTTTTTTTTTTTTTTTTTTTTTGAGATGGAGTCTCACTCTGTCACCCAGGCTGGAGTGCAATGGCGCAATATTGGCTCAGTGCAGTCTCCGCCTCCCGGGTTCAAGCCATTCTCCTGCCTCAGCCTCCCAAGTAGCTGGGACTACAGGTGTGCGCCACTCAGCTCTAAATTTTAGACCTTGTAAATGCTGGTCAAGAAAGAGAACAAAGGCCAGGTGCAGTGGCTCACGCTTGTAATCCCAGCACTTTGGGAGGCTAAGGCAAGCAGATTGCTTGAGCCCAGGAGTTCAAAACAAGCCTGGGCAACATCATGAGACCTTGTCTCTACTAGTAAAAAAAAAAAAAAATTAGCTGTGCATAGTGGTGCATACCTGTAGTCCCAACTACTTGGGAGACTGAAGTGGAAGGATTACTTGAACCTGGGAGATTGAGGCTGCAGTGAGCTATGATCACACCACTGCACTCTAGCCTGGGCAGCCAAAAAAAAAAGAGGGAGAGGACAGGCCGGGCGTGGTGGCTCACGCCTGTAATCCCAGCACTTTGGGAGGCTGAGGCGGGAGGATCACAAGGTCAGGAGTTCGAGACCAGCCTGACCAACATGCTGAAACCCCGTCTCTACTAAAAACAAACAAAAAAATCAGCTGGGCGTGGTGGCGCGTGCCTGTAATCCCAGCTACTCAGGAGGCTGAGGCAGGAGAATTGCTTGAACCTGAGAGGCAGAGGTTGCAGTGAGCAGGGATCGAGCCACTGCACTCCAGCCTGGGTGACAGAGGGAGACCCTGTCTCAAAAAAAAAAAAGGGAGAGGACAAAGTTCTGAAAGATGTGAATTTTAGTAAGAATAATCTTGAGATAATTGAAGAATATTCTTAGGAGCAAAGGGGTCACGTGTCCAAGAAAATGTGAGCTGCTGTGCGGGCCTGCATTTGACAGCAGTGTCATTAATGCTGTTGAGTGAACTGCCCAGGATACTGCAGGCCTGTCATCATCATCTTACCCCTTTTATCATTTTTTTGTTTTATTTGACTTGGTTTAGTGATAGGTATTTTTCCCCTGAAAATGTAGCTCTGTGTTTATGCAGTCTTCTTTATAAATAAATATGGCTTTTTATGTACATGTGAAGAATCTACAGAGGAATCATTAATAGGTAATGCCTTTCATTTTTCTATAAAAGGAAGTTCTACATTTCTTTCTAAGGTTTGAAACTATAATGAGTTAAAGGAAGAGGGGGCCTGAAACTTAACCTGAGTCAGATTGTAAGCTTCTTGTCGATGTAAATCATTTAATTTTTTTGAACTACCACTTTATAGTATCTGGTCTGGGCACCTTGTAAAAAGATCTGGTGAACTCAATAGAACAACCCACCCAACCCCCTCTACCAGTATATGATATGAAAGCTCCTTTTTTTCTTTTAATTTATTTTTATTTTTATTTTTGAGACAGGGTCTCACTCTGTTGCCCAGGCTAGAGTACAGTGGCAAAATCGTAGCTCGCTGCAGCTTCGAACTCCTGGGCTCAAGCCATCCTCCCGCTTCGGCCTCCCAATATGCTGGGAATACAGGTGTGAGCCACTGTGCCCAGCCAGAGAGCTCCTCTTCACTCACATCTTTTCAAAAACTAGTTATTAATTTTTTTTTTTTTTTGAGACAGAGTCTCGCTCTTTCACCAGGCTGGAGTGCAGTGGCGCGATCTCAGCTCGCTGCAGCCTCCACCTCCCGGGTTCAAGCGATTCTTCTGCCTCAGCCTCCCTAGTAGCTGGGACTACAGGCACATGCCACCATGCTCAGCTAATTTTTGTATTTTTAGTAGAGATGGGGTTTCACCATGTTCAGGATAGTTTCAATCTCTTGACCTCGTGATCCGCCTGCTTCAGCCTCCCAAAGTGCTGGGATTACAGGCGTGAGCCACCGTGCCAGGTCTTTTTTTTTTTTTTTTTTCCTTATTCTGGTAGTGGGGAAATGGTATCCCACTTGTTTTGTTTTGTTTTGTTTTGTTTGAGACATAGTCTTGCTGTGTTGCCCAGGCAGAGTGCAATGGCATGATCTCAGCTTACTGCAACCTCTGCCTCCTGGGTTCAAGCGATTCTCCTGCCTCAGCTGGGATTACAGGTGCCTGCCTCCATGCCCGGCTAATTTTTGTATTTTTTAGTAGAAATGGGGTTTCACCATGTTGGTCAGGCTGGTCTCGAACTCCTGATCTCAGGTGATCCACCCACCTCGGCCTCTCAAAGTGCTGGGATTACAGGCGTGAGCCACTACGCCCAGCTATTTTTTGAATTATTATTTGAAGTTGAACATTTTTCATGTGTATTGACTTAACATAAATATCTCTTAAATGTGCTAGCATAAATATATTTATCTTTTTTTTTTTTTTTTCTTTGAGACAAACTCACTCTGTCGCCCAGGCTGGAATGCAGTGGCACAATCTTGGCTCACTGCAACCTCCGCCTCCCAGGTTCAAGTGATTCTCGTGCCTCAGCCTCCCAAGTAGCTGGGATTACAGGTGCCCGCCACCACACCTGGCTAATTTTTGTATTTTTAGTAGAGATGAGGTTTCACCACATTGGCCAGGCTGATCTTGAACTCCTGATCTCTCAAGTAATCCACCCACCTCAGCCTCCCAAAGTGTAGGCGAGGTTTCACCACATTAGCCAGGCTGGTCTCGAACTCCTGACCTCTCAAGTGGCCCACCAGCCTCAGCCACTGCGCCCGGCCAATATTTCTTATACATGATATTGTATTCTGTGTATCATTAGTTTTACACATGTGTGTAATATGTAATATGGGAGATAGGGATAGATAGTGCTGGGAAAAGAGTGAATGTGGTGAAGGTAGGGGTTGGGACAATGGGAAGAGGACATTGGGATCGAACCTGGGAGGCAGAGGTTGCAGTGAGTCGGGATTGCGCCATTGCACTCCAGCCTGGGGAACAAGAGCGAAACTCCACCTCAAAAAAAAATTGAAAAGAAACCTAAGATAGGCCGGGCGCGGTGGCTCATGCCTATAATCCTAACACTTTGGGAGGCCGAGGCAGGTAGATCACTTGAGGTCAGGAGTTCAACACCAGCCTGGCCAATATGGTGAAACCCCATCTCTACTAAGAATACAAAAATTAGCTGGGCATGATGGCACACACCTGTAATCCCACCTACTCCGGGGGCTGAGGCAGGAGAGTCATCCCAGGCAACAGAGCAAGAATTCTGTCTCAAAAACAAACACAAACAAAAAAAAAAACCTGGCCAGGCACATTGGCTCACGCCTGTAATCCCAGCACGTTGGGAGGCCATAGTCGGTGAATTGCCTGAGGTCAGGAGTTTGAGACCAGCCTGGCCAACATGGTGAAACCCCGTCTCTGCTAAAAATACAAAAATCAGCTGGGTGTGGTGGCACATGCCTGTAATCCCAGCTACTCGGGAGGCTAAGGCAGGAGAATGGCTTGAACCCGGAAGGCAGAGGCTACAATGACCCGAGATTGTGCCACTGCACTCCAGCCTGGGTGACACAGCAAGACCCTATCTCAAAAAAAAATAAAGAAAAAACCTAAGACAGTCAATAGTTCCCAAACCAGGAATTTACAAATCACCCTTTGAAACCTAATTTGTTGCACTATGAAGAACTATATATGCTTTGCACTTCTTCTTTTCTTCCCTATTTTCTCCATCCTGTACCAGTTGAGTATATTTCTGAGCACATTTTTACCCCAGTACCCTAAAAATAAGAAGTTTGAGATTGTAGCTGAAATAAACTTTTAATCAGGTGTGACCACTAGTGGCCAACAGTGAAGTCATACTTTGACTTGACCTCTAAGGCTTCTATCAGTCCACGTAATAATAACCTGAACCTTCTTACTCTTCTATGTAACTTCCTAATTCCTAAATAAAAATATGATAAATTTGATAATTTTTATCACATTTGATAAATATGATGTCTCAAATAGAGCATTATGAATTTAAGTATTATGTGCAGGTATGGTGTCTGTGCTAATAAGAAATTTGCAATGAATAACCTGATGGAACAAGATTCTTAAAATTTATTGAACTGAAGTAGAATGTATCTTCTGGCAGTTATACATTTATGATATAATGCCATCATGAATGGTATGGTGAACATCAGGCTAAGTGTTCCCTGGGTACAGAAAAAAATCAAACCAGAATAACAAAGGCTGGTTAATTATAGTAGTTTCTTTCAAAACTGAGATTTTAGTTTACCTTTGCTTCATTTGAAGTTGATTTAATTTTTATTCACTAATGTAGATATTGGCAATTATTTTTATAACTATCTTCTAGAATGTTATGGTGCAAGCCTAAGTTTTTGAATAATACTATAGGCAGTATTCTAATTTGGATTTTTTTTTAACATATGTTTCAAGCTTAATTTGAATTCTCTCGTCCCCACTCCCTTTCTCTATTTATTACCCCTTCTTTCTCTAGGAGGCTGCATTGAGGCGTGAGCAAAAGAAGTTGGAAAAGAAGCAAATGAAAATGAAACAAATCAAAGTGAAAGCCATGTAAAGCCATCCCAGAGATTTGAGTTCTGATGCCACCTGTAAGCTCTGAATTCACAGGAAACATGAAAAACGCCAGTCCATTTCTCAACCTTAAATTTCAGACAGTCTTGGGCAACTGAGAAATCCTTATTTCATCATCTACTCTGTTTGGGGTTTGGGGTTTTACAGAGATTGAAGATACCTGGAAAGGGCTCTGTTTCAAGAATTTTTTTTTCCAGATAATCAAATTATTTTGATTATTTTATAAAAGGAATGATCTATGAAATCTGTGTAGGTTTTAAATATTTTAAAAATTATAATACAAATCATCAGTGCTTTTAGTACTTCAGTGTTTAAAGAAATACCGTGAAATTTATAGGTAGATAACCAGATTGTTGCTTTTTGTTTAAACCAAGCAGTTGAAATGGCTATAAAGACTGACTCTAAACCAAGATTCTGCAAATAATGATTGGAATTGCACAATAAACATTGCTTGATGTTTTCTTGTATGTCTACATTAAACTTGAGAAAAAGTAAAAATTAGAACACTGTATGTAGTAATGAAATTTCAGGGACCCAGAACATAATGTAGTATATGTTTTTAGGTGGGAGATGCTGATAACAAAATTAATAGGAAGTCTGTAGGCATTAGGATACTGACATGTACATGGAAAATTCTAGGGACAGGAGCATCATTTTTTCCTTACCTGATACCACGAACCAGTGACAACGTGAATGCTGTATTTTAAGTGGTTGTATGTTTATTTTCTTGAGTAACAAATGCATGAAAAATTAATGCTTCACCTAGGTAAGATCATTGGTCTGTGTGAAATCACAAATGTTTTTTCCTTCTTGGTTGCTGCAGCCTGGTGGATGTTCATGGAGAAGCTCTGTTCTCTATATTATGGCTGTGTGCCGTTGCTTCTCCCTCTGCTTTTATCTTTTCCACAGTTGAGGCTGGGTATGTTCTTTCAAAGAAATGGCCATGAATATGTGTAAGTATACTTTTGAAAATGAGCTTTCCTAAACTATTGAGAGTTCTTTCCACCTCTTGCGGAACCAACTCTTGGAGGAGAGGCCCATGTATCTGCACGAGCACTTAGCTTGTTCAGATCTCTGCATTTTATAAATGCTTCTTACCAAGAAAGCATTTTTAGGTCATTGCTTGTACCAGGTAATTTTTGCCGGGGATGGGTAAGGGTTGGGTTTTCTGGTGGGAGTGGGGTGGTGGGTATTTTTTGTTGATGCTTTAGTGCAGGCCTGTTCTGAGGCAATAACAAGTTGCTGTGAAAACAGCATGTGCTGCTGCCTTTGTAACTGCATGGAAACTTTTCACATGGGTTTTTCTCCAAGTTAATACAGAAATATGTAAACTGAGAGATGCAAATGTAATATTTTTAACAGTTCATGAAGTTGTTATTAAAATAACTAACATAAAACTTAATTACTTTAATATTATATAATTATAGTAGTGGCCTTGTTTTACAAACCTTTAAATTACATTTTAGAAATCAAAGTTGATAGTCTTAGTTATCTTTTGAGTAAGAAAAGCTTTCCTAAAGTCCCATACATTTGGACCATGGCAGCTAATTTTGTAACTTAAGCATTCATATGAACTACCTATGGACATCTATTAAAGTGATTGACAAAATCTCAGAGTGCCGCCTTGACTTTGTGGAGTTATCCTACAAGAGTATAAGCTCAGAGGAAAATTCTTTCTGTTCGATAAAAGTCAGCACTGAAATGCTTTTCCTTCAAAAGAGTTCATCTGAATATTCCTTTTGTTATTACCATTCAATCATTTTAAAAACATTTTATATTTTTAGAGCCCCATATGTTATTTATGGGCTCCTCCCTGCATTCCACCTCTTAAGACTCCATTAACTCTCCTGTGAATGCGAGGACAAAGAGAGGAGGATGTTGTTTAGTGTCACAAACTGGAAAACCACTAAGTCTCCAATCTCATTTGCATTGCCTGGATGTTTAGCAATGCCAAAATAAGCACTGGACTGTAAGACAAAGACCTGGCTTTTAGTGCCAGCAGAACTAATTACTAATCCTTTGACTTTCGGCAAGTTATTAACCTAATGTGAAGTGAGGATAGTAATTATTTGCCCTGCCTGCTTCACAGGTAGTTGAACACTAAGAGAAAATATATATGTGAGATTGTTTTGTAAACTGTTTAAGCACTTTGCAAGTATAAGGCATCATCTAGGACTGGTCTCCAAGTGATGCATTCTTGCTTTACTCTCTTTTGCTTTTCTTTCTCCCAATGGAAACCAAGCAGATCCTTTCAGAGTTCTTTATCTGCAAAAATTGATAGGGTATTTTTTGAGGAAGAGGGGAGTAGCTTATGATTCTGTTTCCTTAGTAGTAGCAAACCTTTTCCTGTAAAGACCAGATGTGAAACTCCTCTTTTTTTTGTTTTTGAGATGGAGTCTCACTGTGTTGCCCAGGCTGGAGTGCAGTGGTGCAATTTCGGCTCACTGCAACCTCCATCTCCCAAGTTCAAGCAATTCTCCTACCTCAGCCTCCAGAGTAGCTGGGACTACAGATGTGTGCTACCACGCCCTGCTAATTTTTTATATTTTTAGTAGAGATGGGATTTCACTGTGTTAGCCAGGATGGTCTCGATCTCCTGACCTCGTGATCCACCCACCTCGGCCTCCCAAAGTGTTGGGATTACAGGCGTGAGCCAGTGCGCCTGGCCCTAACTCCTTTCTTTAGATGGAATTTAGACCAAAGAAAAACATTGATTTCTTATTCCACCCATTCAGTAGGAATTGGCAATTCAGTAGGAATTGTTTAGAATTGTGTTGTACAAGAATCCAGTGGATTTGGCAGGAAGAGGTGAAACACTGTGCTTTATCATCCCAGGTTCTCATTCCTTACCATTCCTGCCTCCTCTCATTTTGAATGATGTGAAACGATGTAAGAGAGACAAGAGGCCGGGCGCGGTGGCTCATGCCTGTAATCCCAGCACTTTGGGAGGCCGAGGCAGGCAGATCACATGAGGTCAGGAGTTCAAGACCAGCCTGGCCAATATGGCAAATCCCCGTCTCTACTAAAAATACAAAAATTAACCGGGTGCGGTGGCACAAACCTGTAATCCTAGCTACTCAGGAGGCTGAGGCAGGAGAATCGCTTGAACCCAGGAGGCAGAGGTTGCAGTGAACCAAGATTGCACCACTGCACTCCAGCCTGGGCAATAGAGCAAGACTTCCGTCTCAAAAAAAAAAAAAAAAAAAGAGTTATACCCATAGGAGTGTCTTCTGTTACAGACTGCTAAAACAGAACAGTTCTGAGACAATATGTTTTCTCTACCCATTTGTAATGGCTGCAAGAAGTTTAGCATCTTTTCAGACAGTCTCTCTAATACTCGGTTCCAAAAGACCACATGTGAAAGACCCTTCAGTAGAACACTGCTAGAAATTTTACTTCTCTGTTTATACTCTGTTGCTTTGTGAGTTTACCAAGTTTGCTCCTGAGAGTGGCATCTTATTTTGAGAATGAGAGCATGTGAGGGTAGCCCTTAGCAATGTCAAAGCACTCGATAAAATCAAAATGATGTGGCCCAGCACAGATGGCTCACACCTGTAATCCCAGCACTTTGGGAGGCCGAGGCTGGTGGATCACCTGAGGTCAGGATTTTAAGACCAGCCTGACCAATATGGTGAAACCTCGTCTCTACTAAAAATACAAAAATCAGCCAGGCGTTGTGGCGTGCGCCTGTAGTCCCAGCGACTTGGGAGGCTGAGTCAGGAGAATTGCTTGAGCCCAGGAGGCAGAGGTTGCAGTGAGCCCAGATCACGTCACTGCATTCCAGCCTGGGCAACAGAGCAAGACTCCATCTCAAAAAAAAAAAAAAAAAAAATCAAAGTGATGTATGTAAGATCAAATGAGAACTCATGTGCATACAGGTCCCACAGTTTCAGGGGCATATTTCTTTTTTTCTTTTTTTTTTTTTTTTTTTTTGAGACGGAGTCTCGCTCTGTCGCCCAGGCTGGAAGTGCAGTGACGCGATCTCTGCACACTGCAAGCTCCGCCTCCCGGGTTCAGGCCATTCTGCTGCCTCAGCCTCCATAGTAGCTGGGATTACGGGCGCCTGTCACCACGCCCGGCTAATTTTTTTGTACTTTTAGTAGAGACGGGGTTTCGCCGTATTAACCAGGATGGTCTCGATCTCCTGACCTAGTGAACCACCCGCGTCGGCCTCCCAAAGTGCTGGGATTACAGGCGTGAGCCACCGCGCCCGGCCTTCCAGGGGCATATTTCTATAAGTCCCTACTTGGATGTAGCTAAACTCCTCCCCCAGTCTTGGAAGTTAGGACGGTCTAAATCTGTGTCAAAGCTCAGAGCTGGCAAGAGCGAGTGTTCATTACCTGATGGTATATATCCGCGTTTTGGATACCCCCTCCTGCGCACGCGGGGGATAAGTCACTGAAAAACCTAGTCTCACAGGAGTGAGGCTTAGTTCATCGCTTCCTCATTTCTCAAGCTCTGCATAACCTGGCTTGGACAAACCTGATAGGTTTCCACAAACGGCTTCAGCTGTGGATGAGGAAGGCTTCGGGGGAAAAAAAAAGATACTGAGGGGACAAGATCGTTTTCATTAGTTGAGCTATTTTCCTTGTTTTACAAATAGTGGGGAGCAAAGAAAGGATGGGCTTCCCCTTTGCAGCTTGTTGTCTGGTGCCCGAGAGGCCAAAGTGAGGGGCATTTGAGATGTCGTCCAAGAAAAGTGCGAGGCGGGTTTTCCATTAGAAGTCCTACCACATGAAATGAGAAAAACACAATTCTCAGGAACAGCCAAGTTTGCCTTTCTCTGGTCCTTCATTGTTGAAGCCACCTGCTTCCCCCTCCTGCTGCGGGGGCGGAGGCTGTAGGCGGAAGCGCTGCGCGGCGGGAAAGACAACGGGAACTGAGAACCGCTCTCGGCGCGGCGGCGGCTGCTAGGGCCTGCCGCAGCCGCGGCCACTCGGAAAGGGCGGGACTTCCCCGCAGGGCGGGGTGGGGCGGAGCGCTCTATCAGTCCTCCCGGTCGCCCCACTGCGCATGGCACGTTGCGTACTCCCCTCCCAGCAACCGGTCTGGCGGCGGCGCGGCAGTAAAACTGAGGAGGCGGAGCCAAGACGGTCGGGGCTGCTTGCTAACTCCAGGAACAGGTACCTGCCTGGCGGGGTGCCTGGTACGCTGCCGGGGCCAGTCCCTCCTGGCTCTGCCACCGATTCCATCTCCCCAGGCCCGGGCCTTCGTCGGAGCGGCCATCCTGGGCTCACCTCACCCTCCACGGGCCCCCTTTTTAACCCGCGTCCTCGACTCCCGCAATGAGGCGCCGCAGCCCGAGAGCAGAATAGGCTTGGGCCTGGCGGGGAGACGCTGAAGCGGAGTTGCCGGGCGAGAGAGGCGGGCTCCTGCTTTCCCCTTCCTCCCCACCCCCTAGGACTTCCAGGTGGGGAACCTAGGGCTGGGTGCCGGTTTGTCCTGTTCAGGCAGAGTGGCGGCCGACCCCGGTCCTGGGCTCCCCGCTGTCCCCAGCCGCCGCGCACTTTGGGCTGACAGGCAGCGGGTCAAGTCCTCGTAAGGACACAAGATCCAGATGACTCCCAGAATCGGCCTAAACGAAGAGCTCATTGTCTTTTTGTTTTCCAGAAATGTTTTTTGGGTGCCTGCAGGGGATTTGGGCGCCGGAGATGGGGGTTGGGGATAAGGAAGAGAGCTCGAGGGAGGGGCAGTGGGTAGGTAAAATTGTTCATAGTTCTCAGGAAATAGGGAACTAACCTCTCTGCCCAGCCTTCTCCTGTATCCTAACATACTTTAACTTGACTTTCCCGGAGAAAGAGCCGTTGGAATTTGCCCTTTTCTTATTGTAATATCTGTTCAAGTAGAAGCATGTTCCAATACGTATATGCGACGTTAAGACAATTCTTCATTGACACTCATACCTTCCTGAAGACACCCAGGACTGTTTCTTGTCCCTGAGAGTTAAGGAAGAAACCAAATTTGATCACCTGCCAAAAGCCTGTGAATTCAGCCTTTAGTTACAGTGCTGAACTGGTCAAATCTGTCCCCTACTTTTTAATCAGATTTCTTAGAGGTGTTTTGGCTGGAATGCAGTGTTTATAGTTGTGGCCCCAGAAATGGAGGAAGTTTACTCTGGTTTTTAGAGCGCAGGCTTTGGAACAGATTTAATTAGTCCCCTACCACTTATCTGTGTGACTTTGGGCATTTAACCTCCCTGCACACCTGAATTTCCTGATCCGTAAAACAGAGATGATAATACTTGTGAGCTGCTCATGAAGCATTTAGCACAGTGCCTGACACGTAGGAAGTTTGCCATAAATGTTTGCTGGGTTTATTATTTTCTCTCTTTATTTTTATTTTAATTTTTTTGAGATGGAGTTTCGCCCTCGTCCCCCAGGCTGGAATGCAATGGCGCGATCTCCGCTCACTGCAACCTCGGCCTCCTTGGTACAAGCAGTTATCCTGCCTCAGCCTTCCGAGTAGCTGGCATTACAGGCACCCCCCACCACACCTGGTTAATTTTTGTATTTTCAGTAGAGACGGGGTTTCACCATGTTGGTCAGGCCGATCTCTGAGGTCCTGACCTCAGGTGATCCACCAGCCTCGACCTCCCAAAGTGCTGGGATTACAGGCGTGAGCCACCGCGCCCGGCCAATAAAGCTATTTCTATGTCTGTCCACTAGTAATATTGCTTTGTTGTGTGTGTGTGTGTGTGTGTGTGTGTGTGTGTGTGTATATATATATATGTATGTGTATATATATATGTATGTATGTATATATATATATATATATATAGTGTTAAATGTTTCTGATAGGCTGGGTACCGTGGCCCACCTCTGTAATCCCAGCACTTTGAGAGACTGAGGCAGTAGGATTGCTTGAGCTCCGGAGTTTGAAACCAGGAACAGGTACCTGCCTGGCGGGGTGCCTGGTGCACTGCCGGAGCCAGTCACTCCTCGCTCTGCCACCGATTCCATCTCCCCAGGCCCGGGCCTTCGTCGGAGCAGCCGTCCCGGGCCATATAATTATGTACATTATATGTATATACATATAATTATGTACATTATATGTATATACATATAATTATGTACATTATATGTATATATGTACATATATACATAAATATATAATGTATCAATATGTATACATAATATATACACATAAAATTATATATGTATACATATTAATACACTATGTACATATATAATATATACATATATGCATAATATATAATATACACATACATATGTATTTCTTAATTTTTGATAAGTGTGGATATATCTTTCGAATGATATCCATCTGCCCTCCCCTTCCATTAGAATTTACATTTTAAGGACATTTACATTTGCATTTTAAGGAAATTTGAAGGGAGCAGAGTGATGATGTTAATGTCATACAGATAACCGGGCATGGTGTAATCCTAGCACTTTGGGAGGCTGATGCAGGAGGATTGCTTGAGTTCAGGAGTTTGAGACCAGCCTGGGCAAGTTCATCTGTACATGATTCAATCTGAAAATAGAAAAGTCCTTCATAATTTGTATACCATTTACTGCTAATCACTAGGTAGAGCTACTCTAAACCAGCTCAGATGAAATTTATTAGTAAGATTTTATCAAAGAAAATACCTGTGTGCAGTTATTAAAATAATTGTATAGGGGGCTATAAAGAAAAATACCAGTCTCATCTCTATCTCTCTCCATCCCTGTGTCTATTTCCCTTTTTTTTTTTTTTTTTTTTTTTTGAGATGGAGTCTCGCTCTGTTGCCCAGGCTGGAGTGCAGTGGCACGGTCTTGCTTCGCCTCCCAGGTTCACGCCATTCTCCTGCCTCAGCCTCCCAAGTAGCTGGGACTACAGGCGCCCGCCACCATACCCGGCTAATTTTTTTTGTAATTTTAGTAGAGATGAGGTTTCATCATGTTAGCCAGGATGGTCTCGATCTCCTGACCTCGTGATCTGCCCGCCTCTGCCTCCCAAAGTGCTGGGATTACAGGCGTGAGCCACCGCACCCGGCCTGTTCCCCATTATTATTATTATTATTATTATTATTTTGAGATGGAGTGTCACTCTGCAGCCCAAGCTGGAGTGCAGTAGCACAATCACAGCTCACTGCAACCTCCTGCCTCAGTCTCCCGAGTAGCTGAGACTACAGGTGCATGCCATCACACCCTGCTAATTTTTTGTATTTTAGGAGAGATGGGGTTTCACCATATTGCCTGGGGCAGTGTGGAACTGCGGAGCTCAGGAGATCTGCCTGCCTTGGCCTCCCAAAGTGCTGGAATTACAGGCAGAGCCACTGGGCCTGGCCTCAATTAATTTAATCATTTTTTGTTTTAGTCCTTTAATGATGGACTTCTGTAATTCTAAACAACATGTTTAGACTTTCCACTGACAGGAGAGACAGAGAAATGACTAGTGAAGCTTCTCCTTATTTTTCCAAGAGAGTAAAGGTCATGCTGAATCTCACACCACCCCCTCCTCACTGCCTCCCAACTTTTTCTTTTTTTCATTTTCTTTTTCTTTTCTCTTTTTTTTTTTTTTTTTGAGTCGGAGTCTCGCTCTGTCGCCCAGGCTGGAGTGCAGTGGTGTACTCTCGGCTCACTACAACCTCCGCCTCCCGGTTTCAAGCAATTCTCCTACCTCAGCCTCCCAAGTAGCTGGGAGTACAGGTGCCCGCCACCATGCCCGGCTAATTTTTGTATTTTTAGTAGAGACGGCGTTTCACTATATTGGCCAGGCTGGTCTCGAACTCCTGACCTTGTGATCTGCCCGCCTCGGCCTCCCAAGGTGCTGGGATTATAAGCGTGAGCCACCGTGCCCAGCCCCTTCTTTTCTTTTTTCTTTTCGTTTCTTTTCGTTTATTTTCGTTTTTCTTTTCTCTTCTCTTTTCTTTTCTTTTCGACGGGGTCCCTCTGTGTTGCCCAAGCTGGAGTGCAGTGGCTCAATCTCAGCTCACTGCAGCCTCCACCTCTGGAGCTCAAGTGATCCTCCCGTCTCAGCCTCCTGAGTAGCTGGGACCACAGGCACATGCCACCACACCTGGCCAGTTTTTTTATTTTTTATAGAGTTGGGGTTTCAAACTCCTGGGCTCAAGTGATCCACCCACCTCTGTTTCCCAAAGTGCTGGGAACACAGGCATGAGCCACTGTACCCAACCAGCACCTCCAAACTTTTGATAGTTGAATCCCTCTATTTTTACACTTGTTGGTTACCTTTGTAACCTTAAATATTGTACATAACTTTCTATTTGTTATCCTATCAACTTTCAGTATTAACTTTACCTTCTTAGGAAGATAGGGGTATTAGCTTCCCCAGTCATTCCTCTATCTCTTCCCTGTTCCATTTCCCATCTTCTGTCAGGTGAAACTTTACTTTCATATTATCAAATTTGAAGGCATTTACATTGTGTTCTATAACTGTAATTAAGTTTATCATGCTTTGTCTATAGACTTAAAATTTATAAGCTGATGATGAGCACTTAACAGTATTGTAAGTATTATTCACAAAACAGCCAAGTGTTATTCTGCACTGCGGTCCACTGTCCTAACTTCCTTCTCATTCAAGGTCAAGTGGATTTTCTTTCTCATTCCTTGCTGAACTATCTCAATTTTTTTTTTTTTTTTTTTTTTTTTTTTTGAGATAGAGTGTTGCTCTGTCACCCAGGCTGGAGTGCAGTGGCATGATCTTGACTCACTGCAACCTCCGCCTCCCAGGTTCAAGCGATTCTCCTGCCTCAGCCTCCCCAGTAGCTGGGACTACAAGCATGTGCCACCATGCCCAGCTACTTTTTGTATTTTTAGTAGAGACAGGGTTTCACCATGTTGACTAGACTGGTCTTGAACTCCTGACCTCAGGTGATCTGCCCTCCTCAGCCTCCCAAAGTGCTGGGATTATAGGCGTGGACCACTGTGCCCAGCCATGCTATCTAAAAATTGTAACACATTTAAGTTTGTTTCAAATTCGGACTTTGACTTTTAAAATATAGTTTTAATTTCTGTTGGAATTTTTGGTTGCCTTTCTGCTTGATTTTTTTTTGGTGGGGGGGGCGTGGGGGGAAGAAATAGGCCACTTTCCACCCTGTCCGTGATATTTTTCATCCTTTATAATCTGTATATTTCATGATATTATTATATTTTCTTCAACCTGCCAACTTCATGTTCTAGTTTTGACTGATTCCTTTCTTGATCAGCTTCGTAGCTATCATCTTGAGATATCTCTTCAGTGGACACACCACTTTATTATTATTTTTTTTTTCTTGGGGCAGAGCCTCACTCTGTCACCCAGGCTGGAGTGCAATGGCGTGATCTTGGCTCACTGCAACCTCTGCCTCCCAAGTTCAAGCAATTCTCCTGCCTTAGCCTCCCGAGTAGCTGGCATTACAGGCACCTGCCAACATGCCTGGCTAATTATTGTATTTTTAGTAGAGACAGTGTTTTGCAATGTTGGGCAGGCTGGTCTCAAACTCCTGACCTCAGATGATCCACCCGCTTCAGCCTCCCAAAGCTCTGGGATTACAGGAGTGAGCCACCGCGCCCGGCTGGACACACCACTTTTTATATCTCATAGCTTCCTTTTTAAATTTTAGCCTCATTTTACTGGAATATTATTTGGAGTACATTAAAATAATTTCATTAAAAACCGTGTATGGGGCTGGGTGCAGTGGCTCATGCCTGTAATCCCAGCACTTTGGGAGGCTGAGGCGGGTGGATCACCTAAGGTGTTTGAGACCAGCCTGGCCAACATGGTTAAGCCCCGTCTCTACTAAAAATACAAAAATCAGCCGGGCGTAGTGGCACATGCCAGTAATCCCAGCTACTCCGGAGGCTGAGGCAGGAGAATCCCTTGAACCCAAGAGGCAGAGGTTGCAGTGCGCCAAGATCGCACCATTGCACTCCAGCCTGGCCTGGGCGACAGAGCCAGACTCCGTCTCAAAAAAAAAAGAGGAATAGAAAAGCTGCTGACTGGGAGCTCTGTGGATTTAAGACTCATGGACATGAGTGGGCAGTTACGCCAGGGGCTTGTTTTCAGCCCCACTTCTCCTTCCCTCATTCCTTATTGCGCAGTTTTGTTTCAGAACCCCTTAGGATTGTCTGCTGGGCATATCTGCCGTCTCCTCTACTATACTCTCCATTCACATTCTAGCCTGCAGCTTTCTCTCCATTTCCTGAGACAGCACCCTTATGTCCACTTTTCAACTCCTAGAAATTTATTGAAATTTCATCTAATAGCTCCTCTCATTCTGTCCTCAGATATATGGTTATTATTTGTATTCCTTTGCCTTAATTGGGACCTTGGGAGAGAGGTGAGATTCTAAAATCTTAAATCAGAAACCTGAAATCTAATCTTTCTAATTCTCTGAAAAAGTTAATTTTAAGGTCTCTCCTAGAAACATAAGCCATTATTATAAGCATCACTATCAGAGGGAGAAAGATATTTGTCTCAGGTGTCAGACGGATGTCATTAACCTCATTTTAGAGTTATTAACGTTGAGATTCGGCAAGCCAAAGTATGCTGATCAAGTTAACACAGATGCAAGAACGCAATTCATACCATGCTCGTCTTATTTCAGAGTATGTGCTTTTTTTACTACGCCATATTGTCACCCTTAAGTATAAATCTCTGACTTCAGGTTACTCTTAATGAGCCTTTAGCCATGTTTTAACCTTATTGATTATTCTTACGATTTGTATAGTAACATTATGGGTGAAATTAGCTCACTCTTTTTTTTGAGACAGAGTCTCGCTCTGTCACCCAAGCTGGCGTGTGCAATGGCACGATCTCGGCCCACTGCAACCTCTCCCTCCTGGGTTCAAACGATTCTCCTGTCTCAGCTTCACAAATAGCTGAGCTTACAGGTGCCCGCCACCATGCCTAATTTTTATATTTTTTATTAGAGACGGGGTTTCTCCCTGTTGGTCAGGCTGGTCTTGAACTCCTGACCTCAGGTGATCCACCTGCCTTGGCCTCCCAAAATGTTGGGATTACAGGTGTGAGCCACCGTGCCCAGCCAAATTTGCTCTTTTCTAGATGTTAACCTTTCCTAATAGCTTCTATTTTTCTAAATTAATCTTTACTATCTTTGAAACATTTCCAAGTTCTTTGTGTGTCTTTACCATTTTCTTACATAGGACTGAAATACACATGTGGTAAATGCTGTTAGGGAAAGATTAATTTGGTCAAGGTTGAAGTTAGTTTGGCAAAAATTCAGAAAAAGCAAAAGTATCCCTGATTCTTTTTTCTTTTTTTTTGAGACAGGGTCTCACTCTGTCATCCAGGCTGGAGTGCAGTGGCGCAATCTCGGCTCACTGCAACCTCTGCCTCCCGAGTTCAAGCGATTCTCAGCCTCCCAAGTAGCTGCAATTACAGGCCAGTGCCACCATGCCCGGCTAATTTTTGTATTTTTTATAGAGATGGGGTTTTCACCATGTTGGCCAGGCTGGCCTCTAACCCCTGACCTCTAGTGATCCGCCTGCCTCAGCCTTGCTAAGTGCTGGGATTACAGGTATGAGCCACCGTGCCCAACCTATCCCTGATTCTTAATCCAGAATGACATTTCCTCTGCCTCTTCTCATTTAGTGAACACAGTAATAAAAGCATTTTTAGAACATTCTTATTGAAAACAGTGACAAGTTTCTTAGAGCTTTTGATATAAAATAAAGGCTATTCAAGTACAGTTCAGTAAAAATAATTTTATTGGAGGCAAATAGAGTAAGACCTAGGCCTGTAGCCATCCATTGGCCAGCCTTAATCCAGGAATAGATTTAGAACATTTAAAATAATTTCCTTCAGGTATCCCTGTATTGGAGGTTCCCAAGAACACCCTCAGGTTCAGTAATTCACTAGGAGGACTCACAGCACTCAGCATATAGTCACATTCATGGCTAGGATTTATTTCAACAGAAGAATACAAAGAAAAACCAGCAAAGGGAAACAGCACATGGGGTGAAGTCTGGGGGAAACCAGGAGCAAACTTCCAAGGATCCTCCCCAGTAGAGTGACACAGGACTCAAAGCAAGAAGTTGTGGTAGCATGTGTGAAATGTTATCAACCAGGAAAGCTCATTAGAAACTCCATACCCAGGATGGTCATGTAGGCAGCCTGTGCCTGGCATGTATCAAAACTGGACTCCCAGAAGGAAAGCAGGTGTTCAGCATAAACCATACTGTTTGTACAAATAGTTTAGGCATAATAAGCCACTCTTGTCATTTTTAGGAAAATGGGAAATCTCTCAAAATCCAAGTTCCCCAATGCCAGCCAGTGGCTAACCACGTAAGCAGACTTTTTAAAGGATAAGAAGTTAGGCCTGCTATATTAACCCTTCTTCTGCAGAATCCCAGTCTGTAAATACTATTTCTTTAAATTGGTCTTTTGAGAGATATGGGAATGGGAGTGGGTTGAAGATTGTATTCTTTGAGCCAGTTCCACTTGAGATGAAAAATAAGATAAACAAGAATAGAAAAGCAAAGATAAAAGGAAGAAGAAAAAGCAAGAGAACTGAATACAATTTTTAAAAGGAAATAAAAAAAAAAGATTGTATTCTGACAAATACCAGGATTACTGCTGTTTTATTGTCAGTTATATATGACCCATATGTCTTAAACATTTAGTAGTGAACATTGAGGAGTCTGATAAAGATTCATACCTGAACAGAAGGGTATCCTATCTCTTTGCAAAAGTGTGTCTAGCTTGTGCCCATTGGCAGGCCCAAAATCTTCTTAGGAAATGGTTTTTAGTTGGAAGGCCGAGGTGGGCGGATCACCTGAGGTCAGGAGTTTAAGATTAGCCTGGCCAACATGGTAAAACCCTGTCTCTACTAAAAATACAAAAAAACTAGCTGGGTGTGGTGGCGGGTGCCTGTAATCCCAGCTACTTGGGAGGCCGAGGCAGGAGAATCGCATGAACCTGGGAGGTGGAGGTTGCAGTGAGCCGAGACCACACCATTGCATTGCAGCCTGGGCAACAGCACGAGACTCTGTCCTTCCCCAAAAAGAAAATGGTTTTTAGGCTGGGTGTGGTGGCTCATACTGTTAGTCTCACCACTTTGGGAGGCCAAGGTAGGAGAATCACTTGAGCCCAGGAGTTCAAGACCAGCCTGGACAACATAGTCTGTTACCTAGGCTGGAGTGCAGTGGTGCGATCGTGGCTCACTTCAACCTCTGCCTCCTAGGTTCAAGGTATCCTCCCACCTCACCCTCCCAAGTAGTTGGGACTACAGGCACATGCCACCATGCCTGGCTAATTTTTATATTTTTGTAGAGATGGGCTTTCGCCATGTTGCCCACACTGGTCTTGAACTCCTGAGCTCCAGAAATCCATCTGCCTCAGCCTCCCAAAGTGCTGGGACTACAGACATGAACCACCACGCCCGGCCTACACAAGCAATTTTTTTTTTTTTTTTAACTAGCCAGGCAGCTTCTCACACCTGTGGTCCCAGCTATTCAGAAGGCTGAGGTAGGAGGATTGCTTGAGCCCAGGAGGTTGAGGTTGCAGTGAGCCGTGGTTACACCACTGCTTTCCAGCCTAGGTGACAGAGCAAGACCCTGTCTCCAAAAAAAGAATGGTTTTTAATATGCCACTATTGGCCAGGTGCGGTAGCTGACACCTGTAATCCTAGCACTTTGGGAGGCCGAGGCGGGTGGACTGCCTTAGCTCAGGAGTTTGAGACTAGCCTGGGCAACATGGCAAAACCCCGTCTCTACTAAAAATACAAAAAATTAGGCCAGGCGCGGTGGCTCACGCCTGTAATCCCGGCACTTTGGGAGGCCGAGGCGGGTGGATCACAAGGTCAGGAGATCGAGACCATCCTGGCTAACATGGTGAAACCCTGTCTCTACTAAAAATACAAAAAAAAAATTAGCCGGGTGTGGTGGCGGGCGCCTGTAGTCCCAGCTACTCAGGAGGCTGAGGCAGGAGAATGGCGTGAACCTGGGAAGCAGAGGTTGCTGTGAACCGAGATTGTGCCACTGCACTCTAACCTGGGCAATAGAATGAAACCCTGTCTCATAAAAAACAAAAGAAAGAAAGAAAATTTGATTTTATTTTTAAATTCCAAAATTTTTCCAGACCATAGAAACTTTTTTTGCAGATAAAAACATCTATCTGCCTCTTTACACTAATTTTCTCTTTCTATTGTAGACTACATGAGGATATGGACCTTTTTTCCTCTTAAATTTCTTTTGCATGATGCTTTGTGTTTAATACTATTAAATATGCATTCTAATCATGTTTTTTCAAATCTATATTTTTAAAATTTTGTGACAAGATAAATGAGTGATTCTCAGCTGGGGTTGGAAAAGGAGCTTCTATAAGAATATCAGGGCCGGCCAGGCGCGGTGGCTCATGCCTGTAATCCCAGCACTTTGGGAGGCCAAGGCGGACGGATCACGAGGTCAGGAGATCGAGATCATCTTGGCCAACATGGTGAAACCCCGCCTCTACTAAAAAAATACAAAAAATTAGCTGGGTGTGGTAGCGCATGCCTGTAATCCCAGCTACTGGGGTGGCTGAGGCAGGGGAATCACTTGAACCCAGGAGGCGGAGGTTGCAGTGAGCTGAGATCACGCCACTGCACTCCAGCCTGGTGACATGGCAAGACTCCGTCTCAGAAAAAAAAAAAAAAAAAAAAAAAGGAAAGAATATCAGGGCCAGGTGCAGTGAGTCACGCCTGTAATCCCAGCACTTTGGAAGGCCCGAGGCGGGCAGATCACGAGGTCAGGAGATCGAGACCATCCTGGCCAACATGGTGGAACCCCGTCTCTATTAAAAATACAAAACTTAGCAGGGTGTGGTGGCGCACGCCTGTAGTCCCAGCTACTCAGGAGGCTGAGGCAGGAGAATCGCTGGAACCTGGGAGTCGGAGGTTGCAGTGAGCCAAGATCACCGCTGCACTCCAGCCTGGCAACAGAGCGAGACTCCATCTCAAAAAAAAAGAATATCAGGGTAGGGCCAGGCGCAGTGGCTCACACCTGTAATCCTAGCACTTTGGGAGGCTGAGGCAGACAATTGCTTGAGCTCAAGAGCTTGAGACCAGGCGCAGTGGCTCGCACCTGTAATCCCAACACTTTGGGAGCCTAAGGTGGGTGGATCACCTGAGATCAAGGGTTCGAGACCAGCCTGGCCAACATAGTGAAACCCTGTCTCTACTAAAAATACAAAAAAATTAGCCAGGTGTAGTGGTGCGCGTACCTATAGTCCCAGTAACTCGGGAGGCTGAAGCCAGAGAATCACTTGAACCTGGGAGGCAGAGGTTGCAGTGAGCCAGGATCGCGCCACCACACTCCAGCCTGGGCAACAATGCAAAGCCCGTCTCTACAAAAAATACAAAAATTAGGCATGATGGCATGTACCTGTAGTTCCAGCTACTCAGGAGGCTGAGGTGGGAGGATGGTTGGAGCCCTGGAGGCAGAGGTTGCAGTGAGCAGAGATCACATCACTGCACTCCAGACTGGATGACAGAGCCAGACCCCGCCTCAAAAAAAAAAAAAAAAGTCAACTAAGTGCAACTGGCCTAAAAAGCAGTTAGTCCAGATTGTAGCAGGAGACCGGAGGGCCCTATGAAGGCAACTTCCAGGAGAAAATTCTAATTGATGGGTTTGAGGGTATGGAAAAATACATTGATAAGGCAAATAGCAGAGATGTTGGCGTGTTTGTAAAAAGTTAATAATAGCTATATGGGAAACCAAGCAAGTGAACAAATGAGGCAGTTATTAACTCTAGGAAAAAATAGGTGTATAAGGAAAGAGAGACATTGTCTGGGCACAGTGGCTCATGCCTATAATCCCAGCACTTTGGGAGGCCGAGGCGGGTGGATCATCTGAAGTCAGGAGTTCGAGACTAGCCTGGCCAACATGGTGAAACGCCATCTCTACTAAATACAAAAATTAGCCAGGCATGGTGGCAGGCACCTGTTATCCCAGCTACTCTGGAGGCTGGGGCAGGAGAATCACTTGAACCTGGGAGGCGGAGGTTGCAGTGAGTCAAGATCGTGCAACTGCACTTCAGCCTGGGCAACAAGAGTGAAACTCCATCTCAAAAAAAAAAAAAGGAAAAGGAAAAGAGACATGGTTTTTTTTTTGTTGTTTTTTTTGGTTTGTTTTGAGATGGAGTCTAGCTCTGTCACCCAGGCTGGAGTGCAGTGGCGCGACCTTGGCTCACTGCAACCTCTGCCTCCTGGGTTCAAGCAATTCTTCTTTCTCAGCCTCCTGAGTAGCTGGGACTATAGGTGCCTGTCACCATGCCTGGCTAATTTTTTTGTGTATTTTTAGTAGAGACAGGGTTTTACCATGTTGGTCAGGCTAGTCTCGAACTCCTGACCTCAAGTGATCCACCCACCTCAGCCTCCCAAAGTGCTGGGATTACAGGCTTGAGCCACCAGGCCTGGCTGAGACATAGTTATTTCTATTTGCCTCAGCTCTGAACCATATTTGCATAGTCATAATAATATAAATGTGGACTATTGATTTAACCAAATTATGCCAGAGCTATGTTGGTAGAATGAGAGCAGGAGATACAGTGGAAGATGATGCTATAAGAAGCTTCATCTTCATCTACCATAGTAGGAAGTTAAAACTGGCTGACTCTGGGTACATTGTCTATGAGTTAGCCCTGCTCTGCAAGGAGCAGTAAAGAAAATTTTAAAAGTCTAAAATTAAGTCATACCCATATAAACATTGTTTAAGAATAATTATTAAAAAGCAGGATAACACTGTGCATGGTGGCTCACGTGGTAACCCCCACACTTTGGGAGGCCAAGATGGGAGGATCGCTTGAGTCCAGGAGTTCCAGACCAGCCTGGGCCACATAGAGAGACCCTGTCTCTATAAGAAGTAAATAAATAAAAAGCAGGATAACCATGGAAAATAACTGAAGGTAATTGCTTCTGGGAAAAGGTTAGTGGGGGATTAAGTCAAGAGAAATTTAGGAATTAATTTAAAACCATATAATGACAAATTTCTCTTTCTACAGAAATTAATTAATTAAAATTTTTTTTTTTTTTGAGACAGTCTCACTCTGTCACCCAGGCTGGAATGCAATGGCGTGATCTTGGCTCACTGCAATCTCCATCTCCTGGGTTCAAACGATTCTTAAGTAGGTGGGATTACAGCCATCTGCCACCTTGCCTGGCTTTTTTTTTTTTTTTTTTTTTTTTTATAGAGATGGGGTTTCACCATGTTGGCCAGGCTGGTCTCGAACTCCTGACCTCAGGTGATCCGCCCGCCTCGGCCTCCCAAAGTGCTGGGATTACAGACGTGAACCACCACATCTGGCCAGAAATTACAGAATTTTATAATGTACTTGGCCAAAGTATATTCAGATTTATCATCACTTAAAGTTTCTCTAAACAAATCTAGCAATTTATAGGTGAAGTCCAGTGCTTTGAATGGTAGACCTGTAATAAGTTTTTGTTAATCAGAAGATATTTCTCTATAAGGAGATTTTTGCTAACTCAACCTGTTTCTATTTTCCTTTTAGGTTTAAGTTTTTGAAACTGAAGTAGGCCTACACAGTAGGAACTCATGTCATTTCTTGTAAGTAAACCAGAGCGAATCAGGGTGAGTGTTTTTCTATTCTTCTGGCTTTACTATTTTTGTTTTCTGAAAAGCAGTGTATTTTGGCAGATGTTGTAGGTGGTTTTCTACGTGAGGGTCGGAATGATACGGAAGTGAGGGATGTAGGAAGTAAGGCAGGTAGTGCAGCCTCCACTCCTGAGAAGAGTTTGCAGACAGAGGCTGACCAGAGACACAAAATTTACCACCAGCTTGTCTGATAGAGAAGAAATAAGAAGAAAGTGGCTTATTTCATGAATATCAGTCATACAACATTAAATGAGTCGATGATACTTTTAAGTGTAGACGTTTAACTGCTTATGACCCCCCGTGAGGTTGTGAGTTTTCAAAATCAAGTTGTAATTACTAGGACACTTTTTTCTAAGTAATATCATTAGTTTTAATTGAAGACATTTTGAACATGAAAGATTTTATTATACTTCAAAACTTCGTCAGATAAAATGATTTCAAAAACAATACTAGATTTAGCTTCTTTACAAATTCCCATTATTTCATGAGTTTCTTATTTTCTTTATTATCAAGTACCTAATTTCTAAATGCAGTTGTAATTATTTTAGAATTTTGTAACAGTGTATAAGTGCTATGAGATATTATGAGTATACCACTTTCTTTACATATTAAAGCATAATTTATGTTTTTTGATGCAGTGCATATAATTTTTATGAAGTTTTCAATTTAGGATATTACTTCTTTTTTGATTTGGAAAAAATAGTTATAGGTAAGGGCAGAAGATGCTATAGTTCCAATTCACAGTCTGTATCATGCAACTTATTTCTGAATGTTACTTAATCTTTTTTCTAATGTTTATGCATATAAGAACAATTTATATTAGAAAGAGTAAACTTCACTGTTAATTAAGAGGAAAAAAGGAATCTCTCCATAGCCTGAACTCTGCCCAGTGGAAAGAATGCCCCCAAGCCAAAGTGTAACACCAGTCCTTAAGGGAAATACAATCTTGATTCCATTGCTTTTAAATATGAGCTCCTTGTCTGCTTCAACGTAGCCTAATTCAGGTGAAACGAAACCACTGATCAGAATGACAGAAATCTAATACTCGTTTGAAATAGGCCAGTAAAGTGAGCCATAGATTGATCCTGCTAGTTTGGTCTTACTAGTTTGGCCCTTGTGAACTTGGCAGAAAATGTAAGCAGCCATGTCTTTAGAACCCCTAGTGGATAAAGAATATGCAACTTGTTGTGTGCCATTTTACAAACTAACAGGGTCTTGTGAATAACTACTGTTTCATCTCTGTTTTCTGTGTTATGAATTCCAGTAATAGTTTTCAAATTGACATCAGTGATCCAAGGCATCTGTAATGTAGAACGAGTAAGATGGAACCAATATAGGGAAGGCAAAAACAGTCTTCATTATTACAGCCAGTACTATCTATTTCTCATCTGTCAAATTTAAGAATTATTCATCAAATAGGCAAAGAGGAGTGGAGAAAGGAATCTTGTTTTTAGTTCAAGATTCTGTTAAAAACTTTTCCATAGAAATGATTCCTAACTGTACTGCATGATTCTGTTTTCATAGTTGGGATTTTGTTTGTCTGTCTAAAGGCTGATAGCTAATTTGTTGCGGCTTGGAAGAAATACTAATTCTCTTTGGGGTTTTCCTCTTTAGCGGTGGGTCTCGGAAAAGTTCATTGTTGAGGGCTTAAGAGATTTGGAACTATTTGGAGGTAAGTACAGTATGGCATTTAGCCATCACTTCAGGATATAAAAATCACTACTTTTTTGTTGACTAAATCAATCTATAGCAATTGGCAATTCTAAGGGCAAGTGTAACCTACAGTTGTTGGATTTCTTTGGTTCCTTTTTGAATTTATGGTTTCCCAAAGATTTGAAGACTAACATGGCAATTTTCCTTGGCCTGTCTTGATTGTTAGAAAGCCAGTATTTACTTAAAAGCATATATGTTTTCTTTTGTCCAGGTGAAATACATATTTTTAAAGGAAGAAAACTATTTAAAAGTCTGTAGCCTTGATTTAAAAAATAATTGTCAAGACAAAGGAAGCAATGATATGAAAGTTCTGGTTTTATTGATGAATCTAGTTGACTCATTTTTTCATGGTAGAAATTATGAGATTTAAGAGAACTAAGGAAAAATCTTTCAGAACAAAAATATGAACTTCCTATTGTAAAACCTGACTGTTGATTTCAGAAGTAAACTTTGACAGGCCTAGGCATTACCCTTTGGCCATTTTCAAAGTGAGCCTTTTTGGGAACTGTCATCTTAATTTAGGGCAACAAAAATTATTTTCAATAAAAATAATAGTAGAGCCCCATTCTTTGTGTCTGAATTCTAAGATACTCTTTTAGGATCCTATAGTTTAAGAAACAGATTACCGGCCGGGTATGGTGGCTCACGCCTGTAATCCCAGCACATTGGGAGGCCGAGGTGGGCAGATTACGAGATCAGGAGATCGAGACCATCTTGGCTAACATGGTGAAACTCCGTCTCTACTAAAAATACAAAAAAATTAGCCGGGCGTGGTGGTGGGTGCCTGTAATCCCAGCTACTCCAGAGGCTGAGACAGGAGAATGGCGTGAACCCAGGAGGCGGAGCTTGCAATGAGCGGAGATCGCGCCACTGCACTCCAGCCTGGGAAACAGAGCTAGACTCCGTCTCAAAGAAAAAAAAAAGGAAAGAAAGAAACAGATTATCGGCCGGGCACGGTGGCTCACGCCTGTAATCCCAGCACTTTGGGAGGCCGAGGCAGGCGGATCACCTGAGGTCAGGAGTTCAAGACCAGGCTGGCCAACGTGGTGAAACCACATCTCTACTAAAAATACAAAAATTAGCCGGGCATGGTGATGCACACCTGTGGTCCCAGCTGCTAGGGAGACTGAAGCAGGAGAATGGCTTGAACTCGCGAGGTGGAGGTTGCAGTGAGCCAAGATCACGCCATTGCACTCCAGCCTGGGCGACAGAGCAAGGCTGAGTTTTTGAGACTCCGTCTCAAAAAATAAAATAAGAAGGAAATTTAAAAAACAGATTATCAGATTGAGTACATTGGTTAGCTGATCCAAAATACGCCCAGATAGGTTTTTTTGGTCTTGTTTTATTTTGTTGTTGTTTTGTTTTGAGACAGAGTCTCGCTCTGTCGCTCAAGCTGGAGTGCAGTGGCACGATCTCGGCTCACTGCAAACTCCGCCTCCCGGGTTCAAGAGATTCTCCTGCCTCAGCCCTCCTGAGTAGCTGGGATTACAGGATCACACCACCATGCCCGGCTAAATTTTTTTTGTATTTTTAGTAGAGACAGGGTTTCACTTTGGGAGGCCCAGGCGGGCGGATCACAAGGTCAGGGATAGGTTTAAGTAATTGAAAACTCAAACTTGTTAGTTACTAGGTGGTACCTATTATTTTCCCTAACACATCTCAAAGAATTTCTGGACTAGTGATATCTGTGAACTTTGTCAAAGTATTATGTTTTAGATAAATGGGAGTTTAGAATAATGATGAGTTCTTTATATTTTAGTTGGAAAGAATTAGTTAGATGCACAGTAAAGGAAAGGATAGTGGAACAAAAATACCACATTCTGTTCCTATTCTCATTTTCTTCCCATCATTAATGGGAATAAAATGGTTTCAAAGTAAACAATGAGGCTGGGCACGGTGGCTCATGCATGGAATCCCAGCACTTTGGGAGGCCGAGGTGGGCAGATCACAAGGTCGGGAGTTCAAGACCAGCCTGGCAATATGGTGAAAACCCCATCTCTGCTAAAAAGACAAAAAAAAGATAGTCAGCATGGTGGCGCACGCCTGTAATCCCAGCTACTCAGGAGGCTGAGGCAGGAGAATTGCCAAGATCGTGCCACTGCACTCCAGCCTGGGCGACAGAGGGAGACTCCGTCTCAAAAAAAAAAAAAGGTAGGCCAGGCGCAGTGGCTCACACCTGTAATCCCAGCATTTTGGAAGACTGAGGCAGGCAGATCACCTGAGGTCAGGAGTTGGAGACCAGCCTGGCCAACATGGCAAAACCCCATCTCTACTAAAAACATAAAAATTAGCCAGGCGTGGTGGCAGGCACCTGTAATCCCAGCTACTTGGGAGGCTGAGGCAGGAGAATCGCTTGAACCCGGGAGGCGGAGGTTGCAGTGAGCCAGGATCACACCACTGCACTCCAGCCTAGGGGATAAAGCAAGACTCTGCCTCCAAAAAATAAAAAATTAAAAAAAAAATTAAAAAGAAGAAAGCATTTTCCTTGGTAACTAGACTTTTCTGATTTTGTAGTTTAAGGTATTTAGAATTGTATAATTTAAGATAATTAGAAATGTATAATCACCCCAATATTTTACAGTTAAAAATCTTCAGTTTGGTGATTTTTATCACTTTTACAGAATAGAGAAGGTCAAAAGCACATACAGAATTTGGCTTAAGAACAGAAAGTTATTTCAGTTGTCCTTTGTTTTGTTCATTTTCACTAGGACAAGCAGAGCGCCAAAATGCCTTTGCTTTATTTACATTTAGAATCAAATATATCTGACTTTAGAGAATCAGGTTGGGTAATGGTCCTTCATACACGTGTTGCTATTTTAAAACTTTTTGCCCTTTTTTGAAAAAACATGTTTTCTAGTTCCCACACTCACTGGGAAATGGCCAACCATCTCTGTAACTATATAATCAATTGTTTATTCACAAAATATAAGGAACTGGCCTATTCATAATAACATTGTGTGTTGATGCCAAGTAAATGTATGACCAGAAATGTAAGAGTTGAGTTCTATCCAGTAAAGAATACCCATAGAGTAGTAGCCTTGCCACCTTTTGAAGAACCATAGATCCATGTTTAAAGCCCTATCTCTCTGCAGCATTTTTACTGTGGATCTGTGTGTGTTTATATGTAGCCCCGCAGGCACTTTTTGCTGTAATGACTTTTAAGTGGTTTCTATTAATAAATGTAGTCCTAAGTACAATAATTGCTGTTCTGAATGTGGGTGTGTCTTCTGCTAAAACACAAAATGCCAACAATCAATTTCTCTACCCCAGAGCAGCCTCCGGGTGACACTCGGAGAAAAGTAAGTGGCTTCCTAGGCCCTAGCACTATGGCTGTTGCATGGAGATGACTTCTTGTGGAAGTTTGTGTGTTTTGTTGGCTTATCATTTTATGTTTCTGCTTATCTGTCACTGAGCTTTATTTGTAGTGTGATTTTTGTACTTGTGGAGATTCAGGTTTCACCCTGGAAAAATTTGGATGTGTAGTTTGAAAACTGAAAAAAGTCTCAGGTAGTTTTTGTCTCTTCTGGGGATTAAGGTCTCCTCCTCTCCCCAGCCCTGCCAATCGACTGCCACCCCTTCCCCCAAAAAAGTAAGTTTCAACAGTCAGAAATACGGTTATTGTTTAGTGACTAATGTTATTAAATTTTCCGTCCTTAGTTTATTAATAATAGATTTTAGTCCACAGAGATAATACAGATCTCTGCCTAGATAATAAGACAGGACCTCAAATCTCTTACCTTAAAAAACAAAAGCAAAATTAAAAAGTATAAAACAGAACATTTACTTTTTTCATTGGTGAAAGCTGCAAGATTCTTACCCTGTTTCCTTCTCTTCTAGTTTATTTTACTTAAATAAATAGCACCAGATGTGCACAGTGTACCAAGCTATTTTGGAATATATGAATCAGTGTCTTATAAGGAGAGAGGATAAGAACCTTTCCTACCTAGACTTCTGACTCTGTTCAGATTGCAGACATTTGCAGCTTCTGCAGCAGCCCTAAGGTTGAGTGAAGGACAGTGATGTTGACTGGGAATTTCTGAGTAAAGCTTTGGCTGTGCTTATGTCATCTGCTAATCAGGAGCACCTCTCTATCAGATCCAAATGCTTTCCAATCTGAAGACCAAAAACGTTCCCTATAGGCTCAGTTAGCTATTTTTCTAGAATACGATGCCAATTACATAGGATTTTTATATTTTTACAGCTGCTGATGTTATATCAAAAGTTATCCTGTGTGAAACCTGTGGGAAGTTGAATGTGTTTATTTGGTAGCATTTTGTGAATATTGTCTTTGTGTGCTTTACTGTATTTTGTTTTAAACTCTTTAAACACAGTTATTTTATGGTCATTTCTGGATATCAGCTGCTTATTTATTTTTCAGATGCTTCAAAATGAATAAAATGCATTTCATGGTGGGGGAAACTAAGAAAACACTTTGACAGAATTAGTTCCTTTCTATGAGCAATTGGAGATTATTACATTGCACTAATTAAACTATGCCATGCTGCATTTAAAGAGAATGGGCTAAATAGTTCATTCTTTTTATCTGAGTTTAGACCTGTTCTAAAACTGAAACAGTGTGATGAACTAACCTGCGTTTCTTGTGGCAATGTCAGATGATCTAGACTTCTTCCTTTCAAAATATTGCCTGTTTCCTTGTTTGTTTGTTTGTTTTCCTAAATGAAGTTTGGTCTCTCTTTGAGTTCGGACCTATACAATATCCACAAAGTAGAAGGCCTCCATTTTAGAATCATTCCTAGTAAGCTGGGGACAGAGCAGTTGCTATCACTGGACTAGTTCATTTTATGCAATTCCAGATTGCCTGTGAGCTCATATTGCCAGTTTCATAAAGAACTTTATTTTCTTTCTTTCTTTTTTTTTTTTTTGAGACCGAATCTCACTCTGTTGCCCAGGCTGGAGTGCAGTGGTGCGATCTCGGCTTACTGCAACCTCTGCCTCCTGGGTTCAAGCAATTCTCCTGCCTCAACCTCCCGAGTAGCTGGGATTACAGGCCTGTGCCATCACACCCAGCTAATTTTTATATTTTTAGTAGAGACAGGGTTTCACTATGTTGGCTGGTCTCGAACCCCTGACCTCAAGTGATCTACCCTACTCAGCCTCCCAAAGTCCTGGTATTACAGGCGTGAGCCACCGTGCCCAGTCAAGAACTTTTTTTTTTTTTTTTGAGATGGAGCTTCACTTTATTTTTTTTTATTTTATTTTTTCTTGAGACGGTGTCTCACTCTGTCACCCAGGCTGGAGTGCAATGGCATGATCTCGGCTCACTGCAACCTCCACCTCTCGGGTTCAAGCGATTCTCCTGCCTCAGCCTCCCGAGTAGCTGGGACTACAGGCACCCGCCACCACGCCCAGCTAATTTTTATACTTTTAATAGAGACGGAGTTTCACCATGTTGTCCAGGATGGTCTCGTTCTCTTGACCTTGTGATCCGCCTGCCTCGGCCTTCCAAAGTGCTGGGATTACAGGCGTGAGCCACCACGCCCAGCCGGAGCTTCACTTTTGTTGCCCAGGCTGGAGTGCAATGGTGCAATCTCAGCTCACTGCAACGTCTGCCACCTGGGTTCAAGCGATTCTCCTTCCTCAGCCTCCCAAGTAGCTGGGATTACAGACATGTGCCACCACACCCAGCTAATTTTTTGTATTCAGTAGAGACAGGGTTTCACCATGTTGGTCAGGCTGGACTCGAACTCCTGACCTCAGATGATCCACCTGTCTCAGCCTCCCAAAGTGCTGGGATTACAGGCGTGAGCCACCATGCCTGGCCAAGAACTTTATTTTCTTTTTTTACTTTTTTTTTTTTTTTTTTTAAACAGTCTCGCTCTGTCGCCCAGGCTGGAGTGCAGTGGCGCGATCTCAGCTCACTGCAAGCTCTGCCTCCCCGGGTTCACGGCATTCTCCTGCCTCAGCCTCCCGAGTAGCTGGGACTGCAGGTGCCCGCTGCCATGCCCAGCTAATTTTTTGTAGTTTTAGTAGAGACAGGGTTTCACTGTGTTGGCCAGGATGGTCTCAATCTCCTGACCTTGTGATCCGCCTGCCTCGGCCTTCCAAAGTGCTGGGATTACAGGTGTGAGCCACCTCGCCCAGCCCCCAGAACTTTATTTTCTAAAGGCCAGGTGTGGTGGCTCACACCTGTAAACCCAGCACTTTGGGAGGCTGAGGCAGGAGGATGACTTGAGGCCAGGAATTTGAAGCCAGCCTGGGCAACATAGTGAGACCCCATCTCTAAAAACAAAAAAACTAGCCAGGCATGGTAGCGCACACTGGTAGTCCTAGCTACCCAGGAAGATGAGGCAGAAAAATCCCTTAAGCCCAGGAGTTCAAGGCTGCAGTGAGCTAGGATAGCGCCATTGCACTCCAGCTTGGGAGACAGAGTGAGACTCTGTCCCTAATTAAAAAAAAAAAAAATTAGCTTGGCATGGTGGCATATACCTGGGAGGCTGAGGTGGGAGGATCCGCTTGAGCCCTGGAGTTCGAGGCTGTAGTGAACTATGATCATGCCACTGTACTCCAGCCTGGGTGACAGAGTGAGACCCTGTCTCAAAAAAAAAAAAGAAAAAGAATTTTATTTTCTAAAACTAATACTTTTGGGTTAGTTTTGGTAGTTTTCTGTAATACTGGAGAGTAGAAATAAATATTGTCAAGTTACTAACTAAGCACATTGATAGTTTAATGAATCATTCCCTACCTAGGCTTAGCAAGAATGTGTCTTAGTGTATAGCCTAGTAGACAATATGTCTTATAAGCTTATATGCACGCCTGACAAGGAAGAGGGACATAGGTAATGAAGTATCTATCTGCCGGGCGCCATGGCTCACGCCTGTAACCCCAGCACTTTGGGAGGCCGAGGTGCGCGCATCACCTGAGGTCAGGAGTTTGAAACCAGCCTGGCCAACACAATGAAACCCCATCTCTACTAAAAATGCAAAAATTAGCCGGGCATGGTAGCACGCACCTGTAATCCCAGCTACCCAGGAGGCTGGGGCAGGAGAATCACTTGAACCTGGGAGGTGGAGGTTGCAGTGAGCCGAGATCGCGCCATTGCACTCCAGCCTGGGCGATAGAGCGAGACTCTGTCTCAAAAAAAAAAAAAAAGTAGTATCTATCTGTGGTTTCTCCAAAGGGAGTTATTTAAAGTACATAAAATGAATATTTGAATCTCAGGACTCAGCTGTCTTTCATAGTCTCTTTTTCAAGTGAGAGAAATTTTAAGGAGTTTGCTTAGAGAGCAGATGCACGAAGACCTTCAGATACAAAGTAGTTGCCTCTCATTGAGGCCATATTGTTACCTACTGAAAAATGCAGTACTTTCTCACATGCAGGAATCAGATTCTGGTCTATAGAGTGTTCTGAGTAACACAGGAATCTAACGACTGTGTCATTATGAGGCTGGCATTTCCAGCATAGGTCATCATGCTGAACCCGTTACCAAAGGAACTGGCTGCATTGACCTATTCTCTTCTTTAGCCCGTGGGAATGAAAAGATCATGGGCAGAAAGCCTCAGTTCAAACTTTGCTTAAATCATTTTCATTTTTTAAGCATTTGCCAGCGGTGTTCCAGGCACTGGGGGAATACATCAGTGAACATGACAGACAAGGTCCCTGCCTTTCTGGTGCTTGCATTTTAATGGAAGAAACTTTAGTGGAAGATTTTAGAGAAATAAGCTGCAATGGTAACTTCTGTGAAGAAAGGAAAGCAAGGCTGTCTGATAACGTGACCAGGAGCCTAGTTTACTTTGGCTGGGCAGTCTCTCTGAAAAGGACATTTAAGTTGAGACATCAGTGATGTTGAGGAGGTAGCCATGAGAAAAATAGCAGGGTCAAGGGAAGGAGGAGGCTAGGAGGGTTCCAAAGGGACAGTTAGTGCAAGTTTCCTGAGACTGGAACACACTTGTTTATGTGGGAATATTGTTCAAGTCAGGCGAGCGTGGTGTGGAATGAGATCACAGAGGTAGGCAAGGGCCAAATCATTTGTATACTCATAGGCTGGGGTGGGGAGTTTGGGTCTGAAAGCAACCCACTGAGCTTTCTATTAACTGTTAACATTGATTTTATTAAGGAATAGATTAATACTTAAGAAAACAGAATCTGCAGAGCAAGAATATGTGCAGGAGTTAGGCGTATATAAGGTTGAGAAAATGAGACACTTCAAGACCAAATGAGCGTTGTGAATTCTAAACCGATGGAGAGTTGTCATTTCAGAACTCTTGCTTGAGGCTTTTTGCTCAAATTGCTGCTCCATTTTTGCCTCCTGGTTGTGTATCTCTCTCACCTTGGTGAGGTACCTGGCATGTGGTAACCAGTATCTTAACATCTTAAGATGATTCTGAAGATGAGATCGTTTCAAAAAGCTAGAGTCAGCAGGGTGCAGTGGCTCAAGCCTGTAATCCCAGTACTTTGGGAGGCCGAGGCAAGAGAATCGCTTGAGCCCAGGAGTTTGAGACCAGCCTGAGCAACATAGGGAGACCTCATCTCTACAAAAAATACAAAAATTAGCTAGGCGTGGTGGCACATGCCTGTAGTCTTAGCCACTTGAGAGGACTGCTTGAGCCTGGGAGATTGAGGTTGCAGTGAGCCATCATCTTGCCACTGCACTCCAGCCTGGGTGACATATTGAGAGCCTATCTCAAATAATAATAATAATAATTTTTAAAAATTTAGTGATCCTAGGCCAGGCATGGTGGCTCACGCCTATAATCCCAGCACTTTGAGAGGCCAAGGTGGGAGGATCACTTGAGGTCCAGGAGTTCAAGGCCAGTCTGGCCAACATGGTGAAACCCTGTCTCTACTAAAAATACAAAAATTAGCTGGGCATGGTGGCTCACACCTGTAATCCCAGCACTTTGAGAGGCTGAGGCGGGTAGATCACTTGAAGTCAGGAGTTCGAGACCAATCTGGCCAACATGGTGAAACCCTGTCTCTACTAAAAATACAGAAATTAGGGGTGGTGGCAGGCATCTGTAATCCCAGCTACTTGGGAGGCTGAGGCAGGAGAATCACTTGAACCCAGGAGGCAGAGGTTGCAGTAAGCTGAGATCGCACTACTGCACTCCAGCCTGGGCAACAGAGTGAGAGTCTGTCTAAAATAAATAAATAAATAAATAAACTTAGCCGGGCATGGTGGTTCGCACCTGTAGTCCCAGCTACTTATAAGGCTGAGGCAGGAGAATCGTTTAAACCCAAAAGGCAGAGGCTATAGTGAGCTGAGATCACGCCATTGCACTCCAGCCTGGGTGACAAAGTGAGACTCCGTCTCAAAAATAAATAAATAAAATAAAATAAAATTTAATGATCCTAGAATTTATTTTGAGAGCATTAGAAAACACAGATAAGTATAAAAACCAGTATCAAATCAACTTTACTGATCAAGCTCTGCTTAGGATTCTGTTTCCTCCATTTTCTCTTTTCCATTTTATTTGTTCAACAGGAGAGTCACCAAAAAGTAGAGAGCAATAGAAGGAGGAGGAGAATAGGATTCACATGTATTGAATGTCTTTTATACACCAGGTAGCACTAAGCTCTTAACATATTTTATCTCATCTAATAGATACAACACTATGAGATGGAAATTATTCAGCTGCTGATATAATGGAGATCCCAAGAGATCAGAGTGACTTGCCCAGGGTCACAGAACCAGTAATAGACCTGAGTTCAAATTCTGCCTCTATGTGGCCCATAAGCCTATGCTCTTTGCATTGTAGCATATGTTTTATTTAAAACAGCCTTTCCCAATTATCTTTCCCAAAATTTAACAGATGTTAGGCACAAAAGGTTCCCTAGACAGATCTCTTTGGGAAATGCTGGGTTAAACACAGTAAGTTTTCTTACTACAGAATTTCTCAGTGCCTTTAATATGGACGTACACCTTGTGATCCTCCATGAGAGAGTGTGCTGCATTTCCTAACTTCACTGGACATGGAAACTTTTTCCATCCAACTGGCAGAATCAGAGTTCCGTGGGGCCTACTTTGGGGAAATCCTGCACTGAAACAACAGGAAAATGGTCAAGAGACAGGAAGAGGCATTTTCACCTTGGAGAACGCTCACATGACTGATAAATATATGAAAAGATCCTCATCTTCATTAGTAATCAGGGAAATGTAAATCAAATCCATGAGACTGGCAAAAATTAAGAAATCTGAAAATACCAAGTGTTGGGGAAAAGATAAATTAATAAGAACACATGTGGCCGGGCACAGTGGCTCATGCCTGTAATGTTAGCACTTTGGGAGGCCAAGCTGGGTGGGTCACTTGAGGTCAGGAGTTCAAGACCAGCTGGGCAACATGGCAAAACCCCATCTCTACAAAAAAATACAAAACTTAGCCAGGCATGGTGGCTCACACCTATAGTCCCAGCTACCTGGGAGGCTGAGGCAGGAGAATTGCTTGGACCCAGGAGGCGGAGCTTGCATTGAGCCAAGATCGTGCCACTGCACTCCAGCCTGGTGACAGAGTGAGACTCCGTCTAAAAAAAAAAAAAAAAAAAACCACGTACGTTGCTGGTGGGAGTGTAAATTGGTATAACCATTTTGGAAAATAATTTGGCATTGTCTCAAACAGTTGATTGTTCATATGCTCTGTCACTAGCAATTCCAGCCACTCCTAATTACAAGCTTTAGTCAGGATACATATTCAAACATGTTTATAGTAGCACAGTCCATAATAGCAGAACTGAAAAACAACCCAAATGAGCCATCAAAGTTGGAATTGGATAAACTGAGATATATTCATGTGCTGAATATATGATACAGCAGTGAAAATGGGCGAACTACAGTGAAATACAACAATATGGCCAAATCTTAGAAATTTAAAAATTGATTAAATTAGAAATGGAATTTGGTGACAGGGCTTAATTTTGCTTGACTAGGTTCCTCTTATTGCCAGGGTAAGTGGTGAGGGAGACAGAGCCCACTTGAGGGTTTCTTTCCCCATCAGCAGCATCAACTGTTTTGAAACCACATACAGCCAATAATCTCAGCTCCTGCCAATAATCTCAGCTACTTGGGAGGCTGAGGCAGGAGGATCAATTGAGCCCAGGAGTTCGAGGCCACGGTGAGCCAGGAACTCACCACTGCACTTTAGCCTGAGCGACAAAGAGATAACCCATATCTTAAAAACAACAGCAACAAAACAACAAACAAACCAGATACACGTGAAACGTCAGCCAACAGGGTGGTAGATTAATCTCACTGGTTTGGGCCTGGGTCCTGTGCCATGTACTCACGTTTTGATTTTTGGCAAGTCACATAATCTCCTTGGCCCTCGTTTTTGTTAGTGAAAAGTGGAGATAAGATCTGTCCCGGCTACTTGACTGAGCTATGGAGGAATCATGTGCAATTTGGAAGTGCTCTGGAAAGTATACTCTGGTCATCTTACAGGTATAGAGCACCGTCATCTTTATGGTTTCCTCTGCAGAGCCGCTTCCCAAAGAGTTGTTCAAGCACCGCCTTTTCAGAACACTCTCAGCTCGTGCTCTTCTGGGTAGTGCTGGGTCAGGAGCCTCTCATACTTTCACAAAGGACTTTTTCTGCCTGGAGGTCAGGTTTATGAGTGCAGCACATGAAACATGAGCTGGCCCAGGTTTCTCCATTTCAGTTAGATGTGCATCTAAAGAAAGAGAATCTAAAAGAAAAGCAGTCACAGTCCCTAAATCATACACATAAATTTAGGTGTGGAAGAAGGAAACAGTCCATTAAGCTGAAAGAAGAGCTGTTGGTCTGCCGTGTGTTTTGCACAAACTCAGACATGGCTGGACACCTTCCTCTAGGACCTTAGAGGCCAGAGTTGTGACACATCCTAAGTGGCTGGACTCCAGCTTCACTCACAGCACACGTGGGCAGGAACGAGGGAGCAGGCCATGTCAGCTGCCTGGACGATGCCTGAGACCTGACAGCTCTGTGCCTTGCCTGCAGCTCAGGGCATCAGGGTTCTCCCACTTCACTTGGAAATGTCAGGCAATGACTGGCCCGGGCTCTTGGTTTGCTAAAGAGGGGGCTACTCCTGGCCACATTTTCCCTAGAGCAAGATTCAGCGTTTGACCTTTTGGGATCTTGTGGTGAGGACCTTAAAAATAGGATCCTAATGCATCAGGAAATTCATGAGAACCCCTACCTCTCCACCTGCTTCTCTTTTCCAAACATGCTTTCATTCTCTAGACATCCCTTCTCCAAGTGAGAATTTCATAGCTTTTAGCAAATGCATTGATTGTTGGAAAGGACAAGCAGATTAACATTTGATGGGAACAGGTCCTTGTCTCCTCATTTGTAGACAACCCTAACACTTGCTCTGATATTAGTGCTGATTACTACCCTGAATGTAGTGTTTTGTTTCTCTTCAAATAGTGCTGGCACTGAGTCGGGATTTGTGTGTGTGTTTAGATGCCAGTCTCCTCGTGGGTCTGAATTACCACCTTCACCCCACTCCCATCCCACCCCCAGTTTTCTCTACTAACCTATTTTTCTTTTTCTTTTTTAGACCAATGATGCGAGCTCAGAGTCAATAGCATCCTTCTCTAAACAGGAGGTCATGAGTAGCTTTCTGCCAGAGGGAGGGTGTTACGAGCTGCTCACTGTGATAGGTATGTGCAGGGGCCGTCCTTACTCTCCTGCTTTCTGCTCCAGGGGCTGCTGCAGCTTTCTCAGCAGCCCCAGATGTGTGTACAGCAGAGGCCATCCACTAGTTAGGAGGATTCATGGGCACAGACTTGCTTCTGTGGGTCTTCTCTGTTTTTTTATGCCAAGTATGGGAAGAGATCAAACTTCCAGGAAAGAAGCTCTTTTGCCATCTTTCCTTTGTGGCTGCCATGTTTCCGGTGTCCTGGCCATAGTGAGTCAGAAAGGTTGGCTGAGAAGGAACTGATGAGAGAAAAATCAAGAAATGTGAGCCATGAACATAACAGTTAAATTCTGCTGGGAAAAGGAAAAAAAAAAAAGTAACAGTAGTGAAAAATTTAACATTAAGTTTCTTTTGAAATCAAGTCCCTTTTTTAAAGGAAAATTTTCTTAAAACCTTTTGTTGTTCTTGTCCTTGCGTATGGCATTCCCTTTTTCTTTTAGGCAAAGGATTTGAGGACCTGATGACTGTGAATCTAGCAAGGTACAAACCAACAGGAGAGTACGTGACTGTACGGAGGATTAACCTAGAAGCTTGTTCCAATGAGATGGTAACATTCTTGCAGGTAATAAACCATGAGTGTGTCACATGGAGGGAGGGTGGGCTCTTGGCTCTGATAGGAATTACAAGGAATTACAAAGAAATGAAGGGAGACTAAACGTTCGGAAGTTATGGAAGCTTTCAGTGGAGAATCCTGGCCATTTGGCACTAAGGATTGGGCTGAAATGCTGCTCAGCCTAATTTATATTTCCCTTTTCTTCTCCAAACACTCCCTTCTGGCTTTTTTATTCATTTATTTATTATTTAGAAAGAAGCTAAGTAACTTGCTCATGGCAGAGGCAGGATTCAAACCCAGGCCATCTTGTTCCAGACACAAGGTGCCTGCCCTGCCACCAGTGGCCATCTTCTGGCTCTCAGCCTCCTGTTTGCCTGATGTTCCTTTCTTTTTCTTTTCTTTTTTTTTTTTTTTGAGACGGATTCTCACTCTGTCACCCAGGCTGGAGTGCAGTGGCACGATCTCGGCTCACTGCAACCCCCACCTCCCAGGTTCAAGCGATTCTCCTGCCTTAGCCTCCCGAGTAGCTGGGACTATAGGCGCACACCACCATGCCCGGCTAACTTTTGTATTTTTAGAAAAGACGGGGTTTCTTCATGTTGGCCAGGCTGGTCTCAAACTCCTGACTTCAGGTGATCTGCCTGCCTTGGTCTCCCAAAGTGCTGTGATTACAAATGTGAGCCACCGCATCTGGCCTCTTTTTTTTCGAGACAGGGTCTCATTTTATTGCCCTGGCTGGAGTACAGTGGCAGGACCACGGCTTACTGCAGCCTTAACCTCCTGGGCTCAAATGATTCTCCTGCCTCAGCCCCCCAAGTAGCTGGGACTATAGGCACACCACACCTGACTAATTTTTGTATTTTTTGTAGAGACAGAGTTTCACCATCTTGCCCAGGCTGGTCTCAAACTCCTGAGCTCGAGCAATCAACTCACCTCAGTCTCCCAAAATGCTAGGATTACAGGTGTGAGCCACTATGCCCAGTCCTGACATTCCTTTCTATTCGAGAAGCAAGTAGCCACTCTCTCGTTAAACTGAGAGAGGGGGCAGGCATGGTAGCTCATGCCTGTAATCCCAACACTTTGGGAGGGCAAGGCAGGGAGATTGCTTGAGCCCGGGAGTTTGAGATTGCACTACCAAACTCCAGCCTGGGTGACAGACTGAGTCCCTGGCTCAAAAAATAAAACAAAACAAAACGGAGAGAGACTGTGAGTCTAGTAAGTGCTTGGGAGTTAGACTCTCCTTTCCTGATGCCAGCTTAGAGTCAGGGCCTGGGGCAGTTTTCCTTCAGTAGAGTTAGTTGCAGCCCCTCCCCTCCTTCATTTACAACTTTTTCTGAATTGGTGGTTACCTGATGGTGCTCTAGGACCTGTTCATCTGTTCATAGTAGTTTGGTGGGTCTGAGGATGGAGCAGAAGCCAGTCTCAGCTGGCCTTCTCCTCCATCAACTGTGTTTTCTTTTTCTTTTTTTTTTCTTTATTTGAGACAAGGTCTGGCTCTGTTGCTCAGGCTGGAGTGCGGTGGTGCAATCACAGCTCACCACAGCCTCAACTGCTCAGGCACAGGTGATTCTACCACTTAAGCTTCCCGAGTAGCTGGGACTAAAGGCATGCACCACCATGCTCAACTAATTTTTTGTATGTTTCATATAGATGGGGTTTCGCCATGTTGCCCAGGCTGGTCTCCAACTCTTGGGCTCAAGTGATCTGCCTGCCTCGCCTCCCAAAGTGCTGGGATTACAGGCGTGAGCCACCATGCCCGGCCATGTTTTCTTTTATAATAGAAACATAGTTTTGGGCTGGGCACAGTGGCTCACGCCTGCAATCCCAGCACTTTGGGAGGCCAAAGCAGGCCTAGGCAACATGGCAAAACCCTGTCTCTACAAAAAAATATAAAAAATTAGCTAGGTATGTTGACGTCCACCTGTGGTCGCAGCTACCAGCGAGGCTGAGGTGGGAGGATGACTTGAGCCTGGGAAGTTCAGGCTGCAGTGAGACGGGATCACACCACTGCACTCCAGCCTGGGTGACAGAGCAAGACCCTGTCTCAAAAAAATAAAAAAGAAAACATTTTTGGCCAGGTGCAGTGGCTTGGTGGCTCACGCCTATAATCCTAGCACTTTGGGAGGCTGAGGCAGAAGGACTGCTTGAGCCCAGGAGTTTGAGACCAGCCTGGGCAACACAGTGAGACCTTGTCTCTACAAATAACAACAACAAAATATTTTTTGTTTTCTTATCTTAAAGAGGAATTCTATACGTTGGCCCTTGAAATTGAGATAAGCTTATAACTTCAGAAGTCTTCAGTCAACAGTTTGCCTTCATCATCTCTGAGTCGGTGTGCTGGCACCCTTTGTTGTTGGCAGTTTCCCTATCTGGCAGAGGCAAAGCAGTGCTGGGTCCCTGCAGAGGCAGCAGGGCCTTGTTTTTCCTATGTTGGCAGGCACCTGCTTAGGCTGTTCCCATGACTCTGAGAACACCCAGAAAGTGCCAGGTCCCCCTATTGTCCATGCTGCCATCTTTGTGTTGAGCGGCATCCTTCAGTGCCATTTGGTTCTGACTTCAGCTTCATCATTGCTTCCAGGGCGAGCTGCATGTCTCCAAACTCTTCAACCATCCCAATATCGTGCCATATCGAGCCACTTTTATTGCAGACAATGAGCTGTGGGTTGTCACATCATTCATGGCATACGGTGAGTGGGAAAGGGTTCTTGGTAGAAAGGGGTTATTGGGACTCTGTTGTCAGATTGCCTGTGTTTTCCTCCTCCATTACCTTTCACTGCCTCCATGCAATCCTTTTCTGCAGGTTCTGCAAAAGATCTCATCTGTACACACTTCATGGATGGCATGAATGAGCTGGCGATTGCTTACATCCTGCAGGGGGTGCTGAAGGCCCTCGACTACATCCACCACATGGGATATGTACACAGGTGCGTTCTTAGGCGGCCTTTCCCATGATTACAGTGGGTAGCTATGCCCCTGAGCCTTCAGGTAAAGTGAAGTTTGACTGAAGTTAATGAAGCCAGAGTTTAAAATCAAGGATCTGGATTCTTGCTGAAGATCTCTTTGCTCTGAAAAGAAACAGGGCCCAGCGCGATGGCTCACGCCTGTAATCACAGCGCTTGGGAGGCCAAGGCAGGTGGATCACAAGGTCAGGAGTTTGAGACCAGCCTGGCCAACATAGTGAAACCCTGTCTCTACTAAAAATACAAAAATTAGCCGGGTGTGGTGGCACATGCTTGTAGTCCCAGTAGCTGGGACTACAAGCTGAGGCAGGAGAATCGCTTGAACCTGGGAGGCGGAGGTTGCAGTGACTGGAGATCACACCACTGCACTCCAGCCTGGGTGGCAGAGTGAGACTCTTGTCTGAAAAAAAAAAAAAAAAAAAGAGAGAAGGATCTGGATTCTGACCTTGCCACTGACTTGGGAGATGGTCACTTAGCCTGTTAGTGCTGAAGCCACTGACTTTCTCTTTGCTGAGCAGCTTGGTCTTGAGTGTTGTGTGAGAGGAACATCTGATGTGGACCTTTGTACTCCACTCTCTGCCTCCTTCTTTCTGTGCCCCAGAGTCAGTCTTATGCTGAGAGACCAGGGCGAAGACAGATAGCTTAGTAGATAGTGTCAGGAAATCAGCTCATAGTAGGGAAAATGGTAAAACTGGACCCCTACATAACTCCTCATACAGAGAAGGACTGCAGCTGGATTAAAGGCTTCTATGTAAAATGTGAAACTGTAGACTTAAATAGAAGGAAATGTGAGAAAATGTTTTTGTGACCTGAGGCATGTAATAATTTCTCAACATTTTAGAAGCACAAAACATAAGACAAAAGATTGATGAATTTGATTAGATCAAGAAGATTTCTATCCAATACAAGATACCATGAAAAAGGTTAAGAAACAAGTGACAGAGCAGATGATATTAGCTTTGTCACCACAGGAGATTAGTAACAGGGAAATCTTGCAAATCAACAAGAAATGGACAGCAAAGCAAGAAAAATGGGCCAAAGATATGAAGTTTACAAAAGAGGAAACCCCAAGACAAACCCATCATAGGAAGAGCCACTCAAATCTCGCAATCAGAGAAAAGCAAATGAAAAACAAGATGTCACCTTATACACATGAGACTGGCAGCGGTTGGGAGGCTGGACGAGTCCCAGTGTGGCAAGGACGGGGAGCCTCCTGTCCAGGTGGTGGAAGATGCCCGGTGCTGCCAGTCAGGGTCACAGAACCAGAACCATCAATGCCACTTCTGGATGTACACCCTAAAGAAACCCTCGTGCAGACCCATCAGGGGACATGTTTGGATGTCACCATTCACACGTGTGTTGGTTAGGGGTAGTGTGAGTGTCTGTCCCCAGAAGGATGGATGAGTAAAAGTGTTAGATCTCTTCCCAGAACCAAGGTGACAATTAGAAGAAAAGATGAAAGGTACACAGCTAGCAATACAGATGTGTCTGGAAACTACAGCCCTGAGTGAAAAAGGAAGAATGGGATGCGGAACACAGTACCCCTAGGTACACTTTACAAGAGTCCTACAGATAAGAAGTACAGATTAAAAGCATTCGTAGGAGGTAGGGCAAGAGGTGTTCTAGAGCATACAAGAGCACTGAACAGTCCCAGCACTCTGGGAGGCCAAGGTGGGTGGATCACCTGAGGTCAGGAGTTCGAGACCAGCCTGGCCAACATCGCAAAACCCTGTCTCTACTAAACATACAAAAATTAGCCGGGCATGGTGGCAGGTGCCTGTAATCCCAGCTACTCAGGAGGCTGAGGCAAGATAATCACTTGAACCTGGGAGGTGGAGGCTGCAGTGAGCTGAGATCGTGCCATTGCACTCCAGCCTGGATGACAGAGCTAAATAAGCTTTTAATCTGGTGATATGTAAATGGAGTCATGCTATTTTATGTAGATTTGAAGTTTTTCATTAAAACATAGTTATAGCTGGATGCAGTGGCAGCACTTTGGGAGGCCAAGGGGTGGATCTCTTGAGGTCAGGAGTTCAAGACCAGCCTGGCTAACATGGTGAAACCCTGTCTCTACTAAAAATACAAAAACTGGCTGGATGTGGTGGCATGAGCCTGTAGTCCCAGCTGCTCAGGAGACTGAGGCAGGAGAATTGCTTGAACCTGGGAGGCAGAGGTTGCAGTGAACTGAGATTGCGCCACTGCACTCCAGCCTGGGCGACAGAGTGAGACTCTGTCTCAACAACAACAACAACAAGAACAAAAAACCTGGTTATAGGCCGGTCACGGTGATTCACACCTGTAATCCCAGCACTTTGGGAGGCCAAAGCAGGCGGATCATTTAAAGCCAGGAGTTCAAGACTGGCATGGCCAACATGGCAAAACCCCATCTCTACTAAAAATATAAAAATTAGTTGGGCGGGCCCAGCGCAGTGGTTCACACTGGTAATCCTAGCACTTTGGGAGGCTGAGACGGGTGGATCACGAGGTCGGGAGATCGAGACCATCCTGGCTAACACAGTGAAACCCTGTCTCCACTAAAAATACAAAAAAAAAAAAATTAGCCGGGCGTGGTGGCGGGTGCCTGTAGTCCCAGCTACTCGGGAGGCTGAGGCAGGAGAATGGTGTGAACCCGGGAGGCGGAGCTTGCAGTGAGCCGAGATGGCGCCACTACACTCCAGTCTGTGCGACAGAGCAAGACTCCGTCTCAAAAAAAAAAGAAAAAAAAAAATTAGCTGGGTGTGGTGGTGCACACCTGTAATCCCAGCTACTTGGTTGGCTGAGGCACAGGAATTGCTTGAACCCAGGAGGCAGAGGTTGCAGTGAGCCTAGATTGAGCCACTGCACTCTAGCCGGGTGACAGAGTGAGACTCTTATCTCAATGAAAACAAAAACATGGTTATGTATATGTAAAATACACATATACGTGTATAACACACGCACACAGGAGAGAGCTGGCCAGGTGGAGTGTGTGAAGACCAAAAATTTGTAGCAGGAGGGGCTCCTGCTCTCGACATGACACCCTCCCCGCTTCCCCAGGAGTGTCAAAGCCAGCCACATCCTGATCTCTGTGGATGGGAAGGTCTACCTGTCTGGTTTGCGCAGCAACCTCAGCATGATAAGCCATGGGCAGCGGCAGCGAGTGGTCCACGATTTTCCCAAGTACAGTGTCAAGGTTCTGCCGTGGCTCAGCCCCGAGGTCCTCCAGCAGGTCTGTGTGTGGGCCCAGAGGAGCTCCCCTACCCAACTCATGATTCCCAAGGGAGCCTTCAGGCATTGCCTGGAGTCGGGGGCTCTCAACCTCCCAGTGGGGTAAAGGGGTTCCTGGAGGGAGGGAGCCCTCAGCGTGGGCAGCGCCTGTCCACTGCAGATGGATGTGGTTCCTCCCAGGGGGTCCTAACCTCTATTGGATGAAATTTCAGCTCCCTTTAGGGACCCTTGGCACCCTATGAGAAGAGTGAGCATTTTGGAAATGTTTGCTGCTCTCTGGATCCCTGTGCTAAGCAGGGGCATGGGGCTGGCACTTCCTGCTCCTTACAGAGCATCGCCAGTTACAGGTGGTAAAATACCAGTTAGTCTTCAGTAGCACAGGCAAGGAGAGTCATTAGCAGCAGGTCCTGATGTGGGGACAGCCATCCTTTTCCTCTCTTTAGTTCTACCCTTTTTCTAAGAACAAAGACCAAATGGGGTAATCTGTGGCCTTTTTTTTCTGGCTTAGAATCTCCAGGGTTATGATGCCAAGTCTGACATCTACAGTGTGGGAATCACAGCCTGTGAACTGGCCAACGGCCATGTCCCCTTTAAGGATATGCCTGCCACCCAGGTAAGCCTGCCGCCCATCGGTTTCCTTCTTGCCTGCTTGCCTTCCACAGATGTTCGTTGAGTAGCTCTCACACTCAGGACACAGACTAGGAATACTAAGATGAAAGACCCTGTCTTTTCCTTCAAGAAGTCCCACCCAGTGGGGGATAGTGACCTCACTCTTTGTTTACTTCCTGTGGCAAACCTGGTGGTAAGGGAGGCCAGCTTGGGGAGGGGAGCCCGGGAGCAGGGGTGCAAATGGAGGCCCACACGCTACATGTCTATTTAAAACATATACATTAAGCTAACTAGTTTTTATAAATGCATAAAATATGTTCTGTCCTCCTACTTGGATAAATATACCTGGAAGGTCAGTTTCTAATTTAGAATTCCCACAGTTCTTAACCGCATTCCAGCTGACACCTTTGGAACCCCCATTCTGTAAGTTCAGCTTCTGTTCATGACCCTCCAGATGCCTGTCCTTTGGCCACCCCTAGGATCCAAGGGTGCACAGTCAGTGGCACAGTCTACCCTTGGGAAAACAGACCCAGGGAAGAGGCTTATGCAAGCCTCATTAAATCCAGAAAATGGATTTGGGGTCATTTGGGCAAGGATTACCTGGGTCCCAGCTACTTGGAGTGTGGTCTGGAACTGGGAGGGGCAGGATGCAGGCTCTAATTAAGCCACTTCCGGAACCCACAGGCTGCTTGCCCGGTGGTAGGGGCAGCTGGAGGGTGGCCAGAGTGCAGCCCCCCAGAGCAGGGGCCCAGGGAAGTCCTGGGAGGAGGCAGCCTTGAGTTGGAAGGCAGACAGCAGTCACCTGTGTGGAGGAGGAACTAGGACACTCTTCTCGGCAGACAGCAGCATGTGCAGAGACCCAGAGTCTAGAAAAAACAGATCTGGAGAACAGCAAGGAGGTGTAAATGGTATAAATGGCCAAGGTGCAGTGCTTCTTGGGGACTGCCAGGTGACAGGCACAGAAGGAAGCAAGGGTACATTGTGAAGGGCTTTGATGCCACTTTAGAGCACTGGTTCCTGTCCTAAAGCCTGTGGAGCAGTGCTGAGGATTCTAAGCACAGGAGTGACAGCATAAGATGGCTCATTTACAAAGACCACCCCGGCAGATGGATTAGATCCAGTAGCTCAGTTAGGTGGGTATGGAAGTCTATGTGAGGAATCTAGGAGATCTCAGTAAAATAATTCAGTGACAGAGGATGCTCAGGAAAGAAAAGGTGACTGAGGAGGAACAAGAAGTCCAGGCCTAGAAGCAGCACCATCCACTAGAATTTGCTGCAGCGAAGGAGGGCTTCTGTGGCTGCACTGTCTAGCGTGGGAGCCATGAGACTGTGTGGCTGTCGAGCATTTAGAAGGTGACCAGTGAGACTGTGGGACTGAATTTTAAACCTCATTTAAATCGAAATAGCCACAAGTGGCTAGTGGCTATCACGTTAGTGCAGCTCTAGAGCAATTTCCAGGTTTCTGGCTTGGACAGCTTATGCGGTCATGAGGACTTCCACGAGGACAGCAGTCCCAGGTGGGGCTGGTTTTATATGTGTTGAGTTGGGGTACTTTGGAACAGCCACCCAGCCTGGCCTCCCCTTGGGCATCTTGCTCCCGTGTGGCCTGCTGCAGCGACAGCCCAGGCTGTGGCACTGCAGGGACTGCCTCTCAGACCTCATCGGATCCACCTGAGCATGGCAGACGGCTGGGCTTCAAAGCAGGTTCATCTGACTGCTCCTTCCCTCTAGGGTGAAGACTCTACGGTAAAAGGAATTTGATGCCTTGGAAAGGGAGAGCGGAAACTGTGAGCCCTGCTTTCCAGCCATGGCGAAAGCGGGTACTTTTGTGCAACCCCTCTCCTTTCACGTTGGCCTGGCTAGGGCGGAGCTGCCACGCCAGTGACCAGCGTTTCTTTGGGAAAATTGGACTTACTCCACTTCCACCTTTTCCACTCTTCAAATGATCACATTTGCATATTGGGAACAGTGTATTTGTGAAGAGACTCTCAGGCCTTCCAGGGACCACCCCCCCCCCCCACCCGCTACAGCCCAGGTCCTGGTTCTGTCCTCCCCAGATGCTGCTAGAGAAACTGAACGGCACAGTGCCCTGCCTGTTGGATACCAGCACCATCCCCGCTGAGGAGCTGACCATGAGCCCTTCGCGCTCAGTGGCCAACTCTGGCCTGAGTGACAGCCTGACCACCAGCACCCCCCGGCCCTCCAACGGTGACTCGCCCTCCCACCCCTACCACCGAACCTTCTCCCCCCACTTCCACCACTTTGTGGAGCAGTGCCTTCAGCGCAACCCGGATGCCAGGTATCCCTGCTGGCCTGGGCCTGGGCTTCGGGAGAGCAGAGGGTGCTCAGGAGGGTAAGGCCAGGGTGTGAAGGGACTTACCTCCCAAAGGTTCTGCAGGGGAATCTGGAGCTACACACAGGAGGGATCAGCTCCTGGGTGTGTCAGAGGCCAGCCTGGGGAGCTCTGGCCACTGCTTCCCATGAGCTGAGGGAGAGGGAGAGGGGACCCGAGGCTGAGGCATAAGTGGCAGGATTTCGGGAAGCTGGGGACACGGCAGTGATGCTGCGGTCTCTCCTCCCCTTTCCCTCCAGGCCCAGTGCCAGCACCCTCCTGAACCACTCTTTCTTCAAGCAGGTATCGTAGCCCCTTCGTTCTGGTTCTGGTTCTAGTTCTGGTTCTAACAACTCACAATCCCTTTAGCTTTCTCTCCCCTCCCTTTGAATGAGAGAAACTACCCCGCTTCCGAAGCCCCTGAAAGACACTGCTCCTTCCTCTCATGGAGTTGGCTCCGACAGCCCGTCTGCCACCAGGCCATGGTTCCTTGCCCCATGGTGTCCTGGGACCCAGAGCAACAGGATCTGTCACCCACCTCTCTCTTCTCCCCCAGATCAAGCGACGTGCCTCAGAGGCTTTGCCCGAATTGCTTCGTCCTGTCACCCCCATCACCAATTTTGAGGGCAGCCAGTCTCAGGACCACAGTGGAATCTTTGGCCTGGTAACAAACCTGGAAGAGCTGGAGGTGGACGATTGGGAGTTCTGAGCCTCTGCAAACTGTGCGCATTCTCCAGCCAGGGATGCAGAGGCCACCCAGAGGCCCTTCCTGAGGGCCGGCCACATTCCCGCCCTCCTGGGCAGATTGGGTAGAAAGGACATTCTTCCAGGAAAGTTGACTGCTGACTGATTGGGAAAGAAAATCCTGGAGAGACACTTCACTGCTCCAAGGCTTTTGAGACACAAGGGAATCTCAACAACCAGGGATCAGGAGGGTCCAAAGCCGACATTCCCAGTCCTGTGAGCTCAGGTGACCTCCTCCGCAGAAGAGAGATGCTGCTCTGGCCCTGGGAGCTGAATTCCAAGCCCAGGGTTTGGCTCCTTAAACCCGAGGACCGCCACCTCTTCCCAGTGCTTGCGACCAGCCTCATTCTATTTAACTTTGCTCTCAGATGCCTCAGATGCTATAGGTCAGTGAAAGGGCAAGTAGTAAGCTGCCTGCCTCCCTTCCCTCAGACCTCTCCCTCATAATTCCAGAGAAGGGCATTTCTGTCTTTTTAAGCACAGACTAAGGCTGGAACAGTCCATCCTTATCCCTCTTCTGGCTTGGGCCCTGACACCTAAGTCTTTCCCACGGTTTATGTGTGTGCCTCATTCCTTTCCCACCAAGAATCCATCTTAGCGCCTCCTGCCAGCTGCCCTGGTGCTTTCTCCAAGGGCCATCAGTGTCTTGCCTAGCTTGAGGGCTTAAGTCCTTATGCTGTGTTAGTTTCGTTGTCAGAACAAATTAAAATTTTCAGAGACGCTGCTGGAGAATGGCATTGTGTCTGCGTCAGCTCAGGGGCTACAGGCTGCTTCCTGGTGTGTGTGCTTGCAGGGATGGCCGTGCTGCCCCAGGTGAGAGCTGTCCCACCATCCAAGAGCAGGCCCATGGGTGCTCACTGAAGCTCAGCAGTGACCTCTTACACTAGATAGACCAGTTTATTTGAAAACCTGTAACAGATCTGTCTCTTAACTATCTAAAATTTTAAGACTATGAATTTTAGCCTGTGGTCATCAAACCACTTTGGAGCTAAAAAGTTCCAAAGATTGAGATTGAGGCAGAGGATGCTGGTGGCCTTTGGCAGGAAAGGAGGTAGAAGGGTTTGTCTTGCAACCGGACATGGGTGTCTCCTTACCCTGGGTGCTAGCACCCAAAGAGCAGGAAACCTAAGAACCAGCCCCGCCCATCCCTGCCATGCTGGCTGGCGCCAGCGAGTGTGAGCCAGGGGGTGCAAATCTGAGGCTCCCTGCAGTGCTTCCAGGGCACATGGCTTACCCTTCTCCCAGTCCCTCAGGGGGAAGGCCCTCCCCCAGCTCAGGCACCTCAAATGCCCCTCTAACCTGAAGCTGCACTGAACCATCAGGTGCCCTTGCTTTCCGTTTCCTCCCAAATTTTAACAGCAGTTTAAAGAAGAAAAGTAAGCCTCTTTGGGCAGTGAGAGGCTAAGGTGAAGGGAATGACACTGACCCTGGGCTAGGATGGGGCCTGGGGCGAGTGAGTGTCGGGGGCGGCGGGGAGCATTTCCGGCCCTCCTCCCCCTGCTTTAAACCTCAAGTTCCCTTCGCCTCGCCCCGCCCTCCCCCCCCCACACACACACAAACACAGAGTCTGTCGCCCAGGCTGGCGTGCACTGGCTTCATGTTGACTCACTGTAGGCTCCACCTCCCGGGTTCAAGCGATTCTTCTGCCTCAGCCTCCCGAGTAGCTAGGATTACAGGCACACACCACCACGCCTGGATAATTTTTGTATTTTTAGTAGAGACGGGATTTCACCATGTTGGCCAGGCTGGTCTTGGACTTCTGACCTCGTGATCCACCTGTCTCTGCCTCCCAAAGTGCTGGGACTACAGGCGTGAGCCACCGCCGAGCCAAGTTCCCTTTTTTTGTTTGTTTTTGACGCTGGTCATCAGTTTCCTTTGCTTCTGGATGCCTTCTGCACCTTGCTGTTGGGGCATCCTCAATGCCCATCTGCAGCTCAGCCCACAGGCCCGTCCTGGGCAGGGTGCCGGGGCCTCACCATGCCCAATGGCAGCAAGCCCTGCTCCTAGTACCCCCGGGGCTTCCCGTTTCTTGCATCAAACAGCCCCTTTGGAGAATCTGATGACAGGTGTGGAAGCTTTCCCGAGAGGCAGCCACTTTAGAGGGTCTGACGCTCCCCACTAGAGAGTCGGCCCACAGTGCAGACAAAACGCAGATCTTCCTCTAGAGAGAACAGAAGGCTGGAGAGGAGACGCGGAGCCGGTCCGTGGAGTCCGCCAGCCTGGGAAACAGCTGGTCGCTGGGGAAGCTGCAGCCTCCCTGCTCCCCTGCCAGGCGTCGGGCGAGAGCTGTTCTGTTCCCTGACAAGCGCGTGGGCCGCCAGTGCTATTCCTGCCACAGTGTGGGAAGGCGCTGGGCTAAGGGCTGTGCTTCCCGGAGCTGCTTCTAGCCTGATTTCCGGCCAAGCCACGCAGTCCCTGGTGCCCGGGAAGGCGCCGGCCTCGCCGCCGCTCCAAAGCGAGTGGCCGTCTCTCGCCGGCTGTGCCTCCGGCCTGCTGTGCGGCTGCAGGGAGGGAGCAGCTCTGCGGCCCAAGCTCTGTCACCTCAGCTCTCTGGGCCGCGGCTCCCACGTGAGAAATGAGGTGCGCTTGTTGGAGAGGGGGCCCCCGTTGCTGCCCACAGAATTCCGCCCCAGAAACGCTTGAGTACGTGGAGCCTCGGGGGACGGGTGCTCCGGGAACCACGCATACCGGCCTCCCCAGCCCGTCGCAGGGTTGCAGAGGCGCCGAGGGCTGGGGGGGCTGCCGGGGCTGCCGGGCCCTCGTGCAGGCTCCTCCCCGCAGCCTCGCGGCCGGGCCTGGAGACCGCGTGCCCGGACGCCGCCGCCAGCCTCGTGGGCCGCAAAGGGGCGGGGGCGGCCCCTGGCGGCGGGAGGACTCGGCCGCCCGAGGGACCCCGGGCCAGGCTCCGGGGTCGCCCCGGCTGGGTCTCTGCGGCCCCACAGCTCTGGGCGGGGATGGGGGCGCCGGCGCCTACGCGCGAGGCCAACCGGGGGAAACCGAGGCAGTGAATGGCCCAGGCCCCGCCCGGTTATCCCGGAGCCAGGCCGGGAGCGCCCAGTGTCCCGCGACCGCAGCCGCCGCAGCCTGAACTCGTCCCCTCCCAGTAGGATGCGGAGCGCGGCCCTTCCATCCTGTCCCTGCCACCGTTGCTTCCCCACGCCGGGCCGCCGTCGGGATGGGCAGACGGCGCGGCCGGTACCCGAGGCCTGCGAGCGCGAGGCCCGCGGGGCGCTGCGGAGCCGGGAGCGCGGAGCCGGGGCGGGGGACAGACAAAGGCGGGGACGGCGGCGAGGGGAAGACAAAGCGCGGAGGGGGGTCGGCGGCGGCGCCGGGGCCCCGAAGGCGGCTCCGGGCGCGGCGGAGCCAATGGGCGGGCGCGGGGCGGGGGCCGGCGGGGGCGGTGCAGCGATAAGGCGGTGGCGGCGGCGGTGGCTCGGGGACCACTGGTAGCGGCAGCAGCTCGCGCCCGCGCCCTCCTCGTACCCGTGCGCCCCCGGAGACCGATCCCGCCCCGCGGCCCAGGCCGGGCCTGGTGAGAGCCGCGGGGGGAGGGGCCGCGTCCGGCTCCGGAACCGGGAGAGGCGCCGAGGGGTGTGGGGTGAGGGCCGCCCGTGGGGTCCCGGCGAGTCTGCGAGCCGCTCTCGCCCGGGGCGCACAGGCTCGAGTCCTCGTTTCAGGGCCGGCCCCCGGCTGGGCGGAGCCGAGACCCGCTGGCGGGGCTCGCGGCGTCGGGGTCTGGGGTCCGGTCCTCGCGGGGCCAGGTCGGGGGCCGAGGGGCGGGGCGGGCGGGGACCTCGGGCGCTGTCCAGGGGCTGCGCAGCCTAGGCCTGGACGCCCGGGCGCGGCGCAGGGCAGCGAGGGCCGGGGTCAGGTCGGGGCAGCGGCTTCTCATCGCGGCCCCGCCGGCCCCGACCTCCCCTCACCCCAAGCGGTCCCAGCCCGCGGGACGCACACGGCGGCTGCGCGGGAGCCCCCGGCCCCTCCGCTCCCGCTAACTTTGTTCTTCCGAGGGACGGTGCCACTCGGGACCCCGGCCCCTGGGGAGCAGGGGTGGGGGAGGTGGGTGAGGGGCGGAAGTGGCAAGACCAAGAGCAACAGGAAATGACTTAGGGAAAGTCCCAACCGCAATCCCCCCAGCCCCTGCCTGTCAACACCCCCCACCCTGCAGGCTGGGGCCGGGCTGGCGGGGCCCTCCCGACTGACTTCCCCTTGCAGAACCCAGCGGGTGCCGCTTCTCCACCCGAGGCTTCCACCTCCAACGAGCCATGTTCCAGGCTGCAGGAGCCGCCCAGGCCACCCCCTCTCATGTAAGTGCCCGGCTGGGTGGGAGGGCCCCCCGGACAGGAGCCTGGCCTGGGGTGAAGGGGAGAGGCATCAGAGTTTGCCGGCCCCCTTTGTGCCCTGCGGCGCGCCCCTGGGCCTTGGGCTGATGGCTGCAGCCCTGATCCAGGGCCTCCCGGAGCTGCCCCTGCCCTGACCGCCCCTCTCCCTCAGGACGCCAAAGGCGGCGGCAGCAGCACGGTGCAGCGCTCCAAGGTAGGGGCCTGGGGCCGGGTGTGCGGGAGGAGGGGTGTGAGGGAGCGGGATGAGCACTGGGGCAGCACCTGGCTGAGCTTCCCGCACAGTCCTTCAGCCTGCGGGCCCAGGTGAAGGAGACCTGCGCCGCCTGCCAGAAGACCGTGTACCCCATGGAGCGGCTGGTGGCCGACAAGCTCATTTTCCACAACTCTTGCTTCTGCTGCAAGCACTGTCACACCAAGCTCAGGTGCGCCCCTGCCCTGCCCGCCCCCGCCTCGCCTGCCAACCCAGCCCCGACCTGACCTGACCTGACGCCGTTGTTTGGCTTCTGCAGCCTGGGCAGCTACGCCGCGCTGCACGGGGAGTTCTACTGCAAACCCCACTTCCAGCAGCTGTTTAAGAGCAAAGGCAACTACGACGAGGGGTTTGGCCGCAAGCAGCACAAGGAGCTCTGGGCCCACAAGGAGGTGGACCCCGGCACCAAGACGGCCTGAGGCCTCTGTAACCTTCCACCCCCTCTGCGGAAGGCCTGGAGCCGGCAGGGGGAAGGTGGGAAGGAGGTCGAGCTGGGCTTGCGTGGGGGCCAGGTGGGAAGGGGATGAGGCTTGCTCAGGCGTAGGGGACCAGGGCAGGGCTCTGCTCCAGGACTCCTTCCTTCTTCCTTCTCCCGCAGCCGGTGAGGGTTTGGAAACCAGGATTGGGGTCTGCCCACCACCCTGCTTCCTGCTTCGTTCAGCCTCCCTCCCCACCTCACCCCAGGACCCCCTGGGAGGCCCCCAAGCCCAGCTCCCCTATCTAGGTGCCTTTTCTCCAGCAAGGAGTCAGCATGCCCCCCTCAGGGTCCCAAGCTCCCTCACTGCCACCGGAGACTGTGTGGCCCCCACGTCTCCCCATCTACCTCTACCCTTAACCTGTTTCTGAGCCACGGAGACAGGGAGGAAGGAGCGCGACAGTGCCACCTGTTGGGCATCATAAATGCCCCTGCAGCCCATGGGGGAGGAGATGGGGAAGTGGAGCCACCCTGCCTCTGCAGGGCAAGGCAGGGCCTGCCCCAGTGGGGCTTGGGACCATCTCGAACCACCAGCGTGGAGAAGCAGAAGCAAAAGCACTCGCCAGGCTGCAGCCTCAGGCACTGGCAGGGGCTGGTGCGGCCCCACTCCCCTCCCCCGCTCCCATTTGTGCCCATCCTGTTGTGACCAACCCCGTTTTAAACATGTTTCAATAGATCCAGATTCTCTATTGTGTGGCCTGCTGGGGGATCTGTCACAGGAAGGGTGCAGACTCACCATGGGGCGGGCATGGGGGGACAGGGCCAGCCCCGACTACCTCGGCCCTGATGGGGGCAGGGAGCTAGAAGTGGGTGTCAGTTCCCTGACACACCATTGAGAAATGGGAGGGCTCCTCTTCACAGCGAGGGCTTCATGCTGTCACACCCACAGTGGTTTTGGAACTGAAACTCCACCTCACCCCTCAGTTCTGGGTTGGTTCAGACCCACCAACTTACCATATGCACCCCATTGTGAAGAGGCCTGAGAGCGGGAGGGCCAGGCTGCCAGTGGGTGATGGCGCCTGTCCTCGCTGCACTTCAGTGCCTGGGGTGCAAGCTGCCGCGTTCCCTGGCTGGTTCCAGCTGTCTAGCTCCCTCCCTTCTTCCCAGCCCTTTGACCTGGAAGTAAGTTAGCGAAGAATGGCGGTAACCAGCAGACCCAGCAAGTGCTGCCCAAGGTTTTAGTGACCCCTGGATTGTCCCCCCTCATCATTACCCCTCGCTGCTGTCATCATCCCCTTGCCTTTTCAAGCTCTGCGGAGGTGCAGTCACAGCTACTGTCTCAGGAAATCCAAAGAGAAACTACCTCTGCTTCTCTGAAAACCCAGGGACAATGAGGGATGAGTTCACAGCAGAGCAAACCAGGCAAGTTGGGAGGACCTGAGGGCGCCCCGGTGGGACACAGGCAGAAGTCTGGGTTGTCCTGCTCCAGATTCAACTTCCTGATGTCTCCAGACATGGGATCGATGAGAACAGAGACTCCTGGAGGGTTTGCTGCCACCACACCATACAACTGCCTGAGTTCCTAAGTGGCCTCCCCGTGGAACAGGGCAGGGAGCTGGGCCACAGGCTCCAGTGTCACATAAGTCACTATGCTGAGGCAGGCACTGCTCCTCGAGGGAGCAGAGCGAATACTCAGCAGAGATGGTGCCCCGGCCTGGATCCTCCCAAGTGTGAAGTGAGCGCCTCAGAGCCTCTCAGGGCAGGCCAACTTCCTGCACCAGAGGTCTCAGATGGCAAGGATCATCTTGGTTCGGTTAAGCAACAGTAGCAGATGACCACAAGGGGGTACTGGAGAGGTGGCTCTTGGAGACACCTGACCCCTGCCCTGCAAAGATGGGACTGAAGGAAGTCCTCTGGGCCAGGAAGACCCTACCAAATATCATGAAAGCTCCGGGAACTCAGCCACTGGTGACGTTCAGGTTGTGAGGGCCAGCAGTGCCACCCTGGTAAATCAGCCCTGTTGGGACCACCCCAGTGGAGCTCCTGGAGGGGCAACTGGAGGAAAGGGGCAGACACCTCTGGACTGACAATGGTATCAGCCAGATCACCCCAGGACCCCTCTACTTGGAGTCAAGTTCTCTTCTGCTTGAAAGGCCCAGGCTCGTTGCCAGGCACCATACCTGGCCCCTGCTAAGCAAAAACCTACCTCCACCCCCCACAACTGAAAGCACTGCCACAGGACCCCTCTGATATAAATGATCCCTTTTATTGTAAGTAATGCGCAACACTGGCCTGGCTTTGCACTGCAAGCCCTCGGTCAAGATATAGTCAAATAACTATGGCTGCAGGTTCCACAGTTCCACAATAACCATGGCTGCACGATCCACAATTCAGACACAGACATAGAGCTGGGGTGGGTGGAAGGGGCAGGAGGGTGGCAGAGTGCGGACTGTCCCCAGCCCTGGCCTCTCCATGCAGAGTTGGCCCAGGCAGACACACCCCATGGAATGATGAGAAAGTGACGGCACGGCCCCTTCCCACAGCAAGCCTGGGGCTGCCAGGAACTGCCCTTCAGAACCTTTGGGCCCAGGTCACCCTGAAGCCCCACAACTTTTTATCTGGATTAGTTATTAAAAAACAATAAATTAAGCAACAACTTGGTCCTGAGGATGCTGAGCCAGCATGTCCACAGTTTTTGGCACAAAAAAATTAGGGTCTGTTTTGCTTTTTTGGAGTGCAGGGTTTGTTGGCTTGTCTTCAAATTCATTTTCAAAACACATTCCCAGTGAGGTAAGACCCCAGGGGGTGGAGCTCTGTAAGACCCTGAACCTGGGACGCACAGTTGAGTCAGCCAGCACCGTGCTCTGTATCCTCTTGGGGAACAGGGACTGGGGATGGGGGTGCGGGCCAGGAAGAGTGTGCAGCCACCAAGATGGGGTCGTAGAGAGGCCGAGCTGCCACACAGCAGCTTTGGTCAAGATGAGGGCCAGGCCCCACCCTGGGCAAGGGCCGAGGTGGAAGCAGGAGCCTGTGTTGTCTTCAGAGGGCAGTGTGGGGTACAGGGGCTGATAGAGCCCCTGGGGGAACAGGGATGGACACAGGAGGGTCCAGGCCCAACTGGCGCATGCGACACACACTTCTGCAAAACCAGCTGCTTTCATTTTCTCTTCTCTCTCTTGAGGCGTCCGTCACCTGTAACAGTCTAGAATTGATATATATAAAAACCATCAAATATGATCTGAGATATAAATTAACAAGTACAAGGCCTCACATTACATGATGTGAAAAGGCTAAAAACAGCGATAGAAACTACATTCATAAAAGTGCATCGTCAACATACAACGAAGGCTTTGGCTTGTTCTGTGCCCATGGGGATGTAGGCATGGCTGGCAGGGCTGCCTGGCACTAATCCCCAGCTCCCTGGAGATGCCCATCCCTGGGCACTGGCTTTTTTTTTTTTTTTTTTCCTTTAATGACAACTCCCAAGGAAACTGGGTGTTGAGAGGGAGGAGCTCTAGCAATAGGCACATTTTGGAGGGGAGGGGCCGGAAGAAAGGACCAGCGCCCAGGCTGAGGTAAATATGGCCAACTCTAAGCTGCTTGGAGATGCTGTTTCCCCAACCCCTGCTGCCATTCCCCCTCCAGGGGAGGAGCTACAAGGGAAAGGGGCTGAGACCTCAAGGGGATGGGCGAGGCTGGCTGAGGAAGAACAGAGCTGGCGGTTTTGGACACAGCTGGTGGTAGCATATGGGCTTTCCCTTCTACCAGATGGAGTGGGCTCTGGCCTAGCAGGTCACGACTCAGGCAGCCTGAGACACCTCCTCGGGCTCTCTGGGATCAGGGCACTGGCCAGGCCAGATGCCCCGACCGTGTCGTCCATCTCCCCTTCTGCTCCAGTGGGGAACAAAGGCTGGGCCAGGAGCGCAAAGGCCACAACCTTCAGCTCTTTTCAATGCAGCCTAGGCCCAAGCCCAAAGCAGGGGTACTCAGAGCCCAGAGGGCACACACAGTCTCCAGTTTAGAAACTGGGTACAGCATAAGAGTGACTCCAACTTGTAAAACAGAGACAACTGCATTGACAAAACTGGATCCCCCCTCAGTGGCAGCAGTTCCACATCGCGGGCCCCTGCCTGGGAGAGGCAGGGTCATGGCCACAGGCAGGACAGGCTCCTCCTTCCCTGAATAAGGCAGCATGACATTTGCTTCATTCATCTTTGGTAAAGGACAGGACTGGCAGAGCCAACCTGGGACTCTAGGGGACGGCAGCCTGGGCCTCTGCCTGCCACTGCTAGCGAGTGCTGGCCTTTCCCTCAGGCTTGTGGGAGCTCATCCAGCCCAGAGATGCCCTGGTGGTCTCCAGACATTGGAAGGAAAAACAAAATAACACTTTGAATGAAAATAACACTCTTCATACCCTGGCGTCAGTCTTGTGCCCCCAGACCCTCTGGGCTTCGGTGCCAATTGCAGTGTCAGGACACATCCCCGAGGGTGGGGCCCACGGCTGCCTTGCACACTGTTCCCAGCCCCTACCCCTCCACGCTGAGCTCAGGACACTGGAGCTCCTGGATCTGACAGGCTGGGGGCTCCCAGTCCTGAGGCTGCAGCCACCCCACCCCGGCTCTGAGCCCCAGTGGCGGAAGGGGCACAGACCGACGCTGGCTGGGCTGCCACTCCATGGTCCACAGCCTTGCCTGGGAGAAGCAGCAACTTCACTGAGCCCAGCAGCAGCCCCCTGCCATGCAGCAAAGGGCGACCGGCAGCTGTGTGGCCGTGAGAGCTCAGTACATGAGCTGTGCAAAGTGGTGTGTGAGCAGCTCCTCAGCTGAAGGTCTCTGGCGAGCCTCCACAAAAATGCGCCTCAGGAAGTCCCGGCCATGTTCAGAGATGTGGGAGGGCAGCTGAGGATTGGTGGGCTGGGTGGCAATCTTGAAGATGGCGGCCATAGCTTCATACTCTGCCCACGGTGGTTTCTCTGTCAGCATCTCCACCACAGTGCAGCCCAGGCTCCTGGAAAGAGAGAACCCCGTGTCACCCCTCAGCCAGCCCTGGACTCCCAGCTGTCCTGCCCACCACTGCAGAAAGAGGCGCCTTTCTCACAGCAAGCTGAGGTGCAGGACAGGCCAAGCTGAGGGATACCTCAGCTTGGATGTCTGTCCACGTGGGCTTCATGGACCTACACTCACCACACACCTGGGTACTTCTTGAAATAAGGAAAAAGAGAATCACTTAGACTTGACAGAAAGAACTCTACAATAACTGTATTAGCTACCCATAGCTGCTCTTAACAAATGACCACAAACTTAGAGGCAGGAAAACAACACAAATGTATCATCTTACAGTTCTGAAGGTCAGAGGTCTAAAATCAGTCTCACAGGGCTAAAGTCAAGGTGGCGGCAGGGCTGGTTCCTGTCAGAGGCTCTGAGGGGAGAACCTGTTTCCTTGCCTTTCCTGGGTTCTAGAGGCCACCTGCATTTCGTGGCTCATGGTCCCCTCCTTGTATTACTCCAACCTCTTGCTTTCATTGTCTCACCTCCTATTAGCCACTCTGACCTCTTGAGACCCTTCTGTAAGGACCCTTAATCCAGGATAATCCATCCATCTCAAAACCCTTAACCTAATCCTATCTGCAAAGGCCCTTTGCTATATACAATCACATTTACAGATCCAGGGATTAGGCAGTGGACATCTTTGGGGGGGCCATTATTCAGCCCACCACAATAGCTTTCCAAGGGGAGAAGCTCTCCTGACTTAGGGGCCATTTCAGAGGATAGACACAAGGTTATGTCGAGCAAGTGCAAACTGTCTTGAGTGCTAGGAGAAGGGACAGAAGCCTGCTCCTGTTGAGAGACTGGTCCAGGCCTTCAGGCCTTCAGAGTGGATCCTGCTTCCTTAAGAGATTTAGCAAACATGAGGGATGTTTTCCATGGCCTAAGTTCCCAGCTCTAATGGAGTGTGCTTTGAGCACCACCCATGTGGTGTGTGTGCTACTGCACCCAATAATACCCTTGCACACACTGCAGCCTGGGCCCTGGGCACACTCCCTCCTGCCACACCACAAAGTCCCCAGGGTGTGTTTCTAATGGGGGGCCACTATGGCCTGGGTGGAAGAATGGGTTCTGCATGTCCCAGTGCTCACCACACGTCTGCTTTCCTTCCATAGCCCTCGCCGCTGATCACCTCAGGGCTCATCCAGTAGGGTGTGCCAGTGACGGAGCGCATGCCCGTCCCCGACATACAGATCGTCTGCAGGCGTTTGCTGGCCCCAAAGTCCCCCAGCTTTACATTCCCAGCAGAGTCTCGGAGGATGTTGGCTCCTGAGGCATGAAAGGGCAGAGGCTGCAACCCTGGACCCTCTTGCATTTTCTCCCATCCTCCCCACCCCCGGGTCACTGAGAGCTGCTGGAGAGGGCAGGGCTACCACTGAATTAGACATGAACTGCAAAGGGCAAAGGATTTAGCAAAGGGGAGTCTCAGATCTACCGCACAAAATGACCATCTCCAAGGCCCACATGTAGAGGGAACTTGGCAATATTCTCTCATATTGCTCAACCAATCTCACCAGTTCCTCAGGGAAACAACTGGGGTCCCACTTTTCAGAAAGTTCAGAATGGTTAAGTGATTGGCCCCTGCAGGCACTCAATGGTAGACTTGAACCCAGGTCCTGGGGACTCCATGTATCCTGGCCCTGCTCACCCTTAATGTCCCGGTGAACAATCATGTTGCTGTGCAGGTAGGACATGCCCTCCAGGATCTGCCGCGTGTACTTTCGGGTCACGCTCTCTGTCAGAGCACCGTAAGCCTTCAACTGGTCTTTCACCGAGCCCTGGAGGCCACAAGAAGTCAGAGGAGTCCCCTCAGGGGAGGGCTGGTGGAGGGGCAAGCCCATTCCAGCCCCCAGCATGGCAGCAAAGGAGTGATTTGTTCAATTCCTATCTGGCTGGGCAGGGCATTTTGCCAGGAGCTGTCAGGCAGTTTGGAAAAGAGAGTACCCCAAGTCCTTCTCAAGCAGAGCGCCACCCAAATCCAGGAGCAGGGAGGCCTCTCTGCTCCAGATGAAGGCTGCATTTACTGGACAGTGGGCCAGCCCTGCATGCCTCAGGGGAGTGCTGGACCTAGGACAGCTGTCATCTCATACTCCCACTGCAACCTGAGGCAGGGCCCTCCTGACTCCAAGTCCCACCATCACCTCACTTTGCTCCTCTGGGCCTCTGGAGCCTCAGGTGTTCAAACTCCTATCCAAGGTGACCCCCCTCCTGCAGGCCCCAGCCCCCAGGTCAGGCCCTCTTTTGTGTGTGTCTCACATGCATTCAAGGGGCACGTACCCCTGGCATGTACTCCATGAAGATGGTCAGGGTCTTCTCAGCGCGGTCCCGCAGACAGCCATAGTACTGCACGATGCGCTCATGCTGCAAGTTCTTTAGCAACTGGATCTCGCACTCCAGAGCACTCACCTCCTAGGGGAGGGGTCAGTGGTCGCCTCAGCTCTCAGGGCCCTAGTTCTGCCCGCCTGGGTTCAGCTCAGCTTGCCCTAGTTAGTGGCCTCACAGGGATCTGCCTTGGGAACTGCAGTTGGAGAAAAGGGGGACTCTCTTAACTGTCTAGCTCTTGGCCACAATGCTGGGCAGGCCTTGGGATGGTGGCACTCCCATGGGTGGAAGGAGGCAGGGAGGTGGGAGAAGGGGCCGTGGGTGCTTAGTTAAGGTAACTGCTGTTTGTCCACAGAACTTGAAGTATAAGCGACGTTGAAAGCTGAACTGCAAAGACAGGCCATATGATTCCTCCTCTAGAGCTGGACCAAGTGAAGGAGCCCCACAGCTCCTTCCTGGGCTGAGAGCTGGGGAGAGATACTTGTCTAGGGGAGGGAGTCCCCTCTGTGTCACAGGTCATCACCTCTCAGTTTGGGTTACTTGGTACTTTGGCATCAGCTTAGTTCCTTACACCCAATCCCTCCCCTCCAGGTGCTTGGTGCTCTTCAGACCACAGTCCTTTCACCCTGTGGCTGGGACCAGGATGGACAGAAAGGGAGTTTGGGAAGAATGACAGAGGAAGCAACCTACAGCATCTCAGGCAACTACTCTGTGTGGTAAGACAGGCATTTTTGTTGAAAGGAGGGAACTGAAGTCAGACCACGGGTTAAGTGTACCTTGCTTGTCTCAGGACTGTCTGGATCAAATTGGACCTGCTTGGAAGCAAGTTCACGTCCCGTGTCCACGTCATAGCACAAATAGACCCTGCCGAAGGCACCCTGGCCCAGGAGCTTTCCCCGGCGCCAGTTGATGGGGGCACTGGGAGCTACAGGAGAGCAGAAGGAAAGAGTTACTTTGTGTACATTATTTATGAATATCCCATTCATTCTCCAGGAACAGGGTCTCTGGCTCAGGCTCCCCCTCACCCAGCACCCATCATCTCTTAGTAGAGCATCTCCACCACAATCTGGAGCAAGCCCAGTGCCCTAGTCACTCGGACCTGAAGTCAGAGTCCTAAGAAGCAGAGGATTGGCTGAAGTCATGGTTAAATGCTCTTCTGCATTGATCAAATGCATTTCCTTCCAAAGCCCCTAAATATCTTAATATGGCAGGGATGAAGGGTGTGCTCTTCCCTAGTTTAAACATGGAAAAACTAAAGATCAGAGAGGAGAAGAGGCTTGTCACACAATAGTGGAGCCAGGCTTCAGACACTCCAAGGCTTATCCCATGTGGTGCATTTGGGCCAAAGCCACCACCTGCTGAGCCTAAGGGTCCCAGGGGCCCAGCTGTTTGCCCCCGTAGCTTGTCTGAGACCACCTGGGCAGTCTCCTCCTAGCCAGGGACAGCTCCTCACACTTGGTTGGCACATTCCTCTCCTGCACAGAGAGGGCATTCTCGCTGTCCGCACTCCGCAGGCGCCCACGGGGGTCCAGGTATTGCACAGCCAGACCCATGTTCTCGCCATTTGTGCTCAGGGAGCGGCTGGAGGGCACCAGGGTGAACAAGTTGCCTTGATGACGCCGTATTCGGGGAAATGTTCTTCTGCCTGAAAGGGTGCAAGGGCCAGAGGAGAGCAAGTCACACCCCAGGCTACGAGGCGGAACGTACAAACCAGGTCTGAGACACCCCGGGCTACAAGGCGGAATATACAAACCAGGTCTCAGCCAGAAGTGATAGATAATACCAGCTCCAGCCCATCCCGTCCGCACTCCCACCTGACTCATTCCACAGAGGCTGCTGTCCCAAGCACTCCAAGAATCAGGACAAAAGCAGAAATTAGGAAGTAGTCTGGTTCAGGGAGATCTGGCCAAAGGGAAGGTGTATGGCTGGCCAACAGGCTCCCAATTGCTTGCAAGGCCAAGCCACACCCGAAGGCACTGATTTCCTTGTATCCTACTCCTTACCCCTCTACAGGGCCCAGGCCACCTGCTGCTGTGGGGCAGAAGAGGACATGGGAGAGATGGTGCCCCTGGAGCACACCACTGGCTTCAAACAAGGTCAGAGTTCCCAGTGGCAGCATCTGGTCTACAAATACTATCTTCCCTGTTTTTGTTTTTGTTTTTTTCCTGTCTCCCATGCCTCAAGTCTGGGCCACAAATCCTCAGGAATGAAGGAAAATACAGGCACTGCATGGACGAACCCACCCTCCCCATGGCAACTTGTCCTTTCTTGAGGCAGCCAGCAGGGAGCAGGTGAAGAAGAACTCACCATCACTGTAGTCCTTGTGGTGCACAGACACGTGGTAGCGCCGGGGGTAGGTTCCACCTTTGACCCCTTTGTCATAAAGCTGAGTTTCCCGATCTGAGTAAGACAGGGGAATCACTGGCTTCTGGGTAGGTCAATGTGAGCCACTTAAGCCCCCAAGTCCCCAAGGCACCTGAGACCTCAAAGCAGCAAGCCCAAGGAGAGCTACTGACTCAGAAAAGTCGAAGCAGAGCCACCTGAGGCCCCACCCAGACACCCTGCATTACCCACCCAGGCTCTGTGGAACTCACCTGAGTATTCCTGTCTGTTGTCAGGGAAGCTCTGGGCACGGGACATTCGTGATTTCCGGAAGGATGGGCTGGAGAAAACAAAAAGAAAAAACAGACTCCCGCACACTTCCACAGCAACCAAGCAGGGCGTCCAGGCAGTCTCCCTTTCTAACCCCTGCCACAGCATTAGGTGGGGGAAGCAGATTTTGCGGGAAATAGCCCTTTTCTGAGCCCAGCTCCTGCTTTCTCCACCCTCCCTTCACTAGTCTGTGACCCAAATTTGACAGCACCCTGAGTGGTAAATCTCCCCCATCTGACCCAACTCCAGCCTGGCTGCACAGCCCTCTCCCTCCTTGGCCTTTCTTCCCACCTCTGTAACAGGCAAAGAGCTCCAAGAGAATCCTTTGCCCAGGGCAGTAATAAAAACAGCCACAGCATCATCGTTGATAGGCTGCTGCTTTCTTACCTATTTTCTAAAGTGAGGTTTTTCTCATTTAATCCTCAGAACGCTGTGAGGTAGCAAATACACCATATAATAAAAATAGCATAATAGCAGATCCACTTGATGAGCAGCTAGGCTGTTTCTGTCTTCACAGACACCCCTACAGATTAGGCACACACAGTCCTATGTATATGCTCAAAGATAAAGCTAGGAAGACAGGGCCAGACTTTTTTTTTTTTTGAGATGGAGTCTCGCTCTGCTGCCGGGCTGGAGTGCTGTAGCATCTCAGCTCACCGCAACCTCTACCTCGCGGGTTCAAGCGATTCTCCTGCCTCAGCCTCCCGAGTAGCTGGGACTACAGGCACGCGCCACTGGCCAAGATGGTCTCGATCTCTTGACCTTGTGATCCACCCGCCTCGGCCTCCCAAAATGCTGGGACTACAGGCATGAGCCACCGCGCCCAGCCCCAGACTTTTTTTTTTTTAAGATGGAGTCTCGCTCTGTCGCCCAGGCTGGAGTGCAGTGGCATGATCTTGGCTCACTGCAACCTCCACCTCCTGGGTTCAAGCTATTCTCCTGCCTCAGCCTCCCAAGTAGCTGGGACTACAGGCATGTGCCACCATGCCCAGCTAATTTTTTTTGCTTTTTTTTTTTTTCTTTTTGAGACGGAATCTCACACTGTTGCCCAGACTGGAGTGCAATGGGGCGATCTGGGTTCACTACAACCTCCGCCTCCTGGGTTCAAGCAATTCTCCTGCCTCAGCCTCCCAAGGAGCTGGGATTACGGCGCCTGCCACCACGCCCAGCTATTTTTTTTTTTTTTGTATTTTTTAGTAGAGACAGGGTTTCACTATGTTGGCCAGGCTGGTCTCGAACTCCTGACCTCATGATCCACCCACCTCAGCCTCCCAAAGGGCTGGGATTACAGGCAGGAGCCACCGCGCCTGGCTTTTTTTTTTTTTTCATTTTTAGTAGAGACGGGGTTTCGCTATGCTGGTCAGGCTGGTCTCAAACTCCTGACCTCAGGTGATCCGCGTGCCTCAGCTTCCCAAAGTGCTGGGATTACAGGCGTGAGCCACGGTGCCTCAAGGCCAGACTTTAAATCCAGGTCTATGAACCCAAAGTCTATGTTCTTGCTGCTAAACCAGGCATCTTTCTTTCACCTTAATCATCACCATCCCATTTTGGAGATGGGGAAATTCAGGAATAGAGAGGTTAAAAGACTTGTCTGAAGCCATTCAACTAATATTTGGTGGAGCTGGGACTGGATCTAGGTTTGTCTGGCTCCAGATCTCATGCCCTTTCCCAGATCCCGTGAAGGGAAGATGAAAGCCCTGAGCCCAAGTCAGGCTGGACCTCAAGGAAATAAGTCCAGGTCATTCACAATGAGAAGAAAACAAAGTACTGCAGGCACAGAGGAAAAAACCCAAGAATAGAGAGGCGGGTAAATTTAGCTATCTTTCCCAGCACCCACCTGAATGGCCCTTTCCCTTACACAAGAGTGCTTATTGGCCTTTTGCGGGGGCCACAGGTTTGAAACTCTCAAGGCAGTGGCACAAGGGGGCTGCCCCCTCATTTCCCAACTACTAGACCTTCTGTAGTCCTCTTCTCTCCCCTTTCCCCTCCAAAGCTTAGGAGATAATCCAAAGCCAGAGTCAATCCCTGTCTTGGCAGAGCCCTCAGTCTATGACAGCAAGCCCTGGCACTCTTGCCTGTGCCTTCTTACTCCCCTGGTTGGAAAGCAAGCCCCAAACAAGGCTACACATTGGAAACCAAGTAACCATGACTGTATTCTATGATATCTAAAGGGAAGACAGTGCTCATCAGTGCTCAGGTCTATTAGGCAAGACAATGCAAATTTAGCCATAGTCATAATATCACTACCCAAATGAACAATTAATCAGTTACACAAAGTAAAAAAATCCCCAAACCTTTTCCATAGCCTCTGACCACAGTCCTAAGCCCAGACAGACGTGATCAAAAGTGTTCTTGGGCATAATGAGGCAGAGGCGAGGGAGTGGCAAGATCAATGCCAAGGCCTCTCCAAACATACCCTTGCGATTTGGTATGTAAAGGACACCACTTGTTTCCTCCCAAAGTGTAAGAAGAAGATATACACCAAGCAGGTGGCATGGTACACTAGGCATTCTGGATATTCTGTTTTTGGGTTTCAGTTTCTTACTCCACCAAAAACACTTGGAATAAAAAATGATGGTAAAGCAATGGATGAGAATTCAGTTCTCCCCCTAAAACACTGACAGTCCACTCCTTCTCAGTTCAGATCACAGCAGTGAGGCCAAAAGTACGAGAGCGGCATATATTATATGGAAAGTCAAAACATGTAAAGCACTTAGAACAACAAAGCAAGTACTTAATAAATGAGCTGCTATTTTATGAGCTATTATTACATTCATTTAATTATGCCATCATAACATTCTCGTGGTGTTGGGGAAATTAAGGAGAAGGCTTTTCCTAGAAGCATGATGTTTTAACCCTGGGCCTCCAGAGCTAACTCTTCTTCCTCAACCCATCAATTCCAAAAATGCCTATGCATTACCCTCCAAACCACCCACAGTCCCATACCTGTCTGCTGACCTGTCCAAGGATTGGCAGCTTCCAGACAAGGAATTTTCTGCACTGCTCAGGGGATCCAGCATCTGTAAGGCAAGTCAAACAATGAAGCCACACCCCCAGCCCCAATTCCCCCCAGTGACCCAGGCTTTATGGCAAGGGCCAGCAAATGGGCCTTTTTGTCAAAACATGAAAGTGTCCTTTTTCTCCCCATGCAATGGGAAGAATAGTTAGAAAGGTACCATCCTCCCCCTTAGTTTGAAAGGCAAGTTTCCAGGAGGGAGAAAAATGCTTGGCTGGCATCCCAAGGAGCTCTGGCAGGAGAGCAAAGCAGAGGCTCTGCTTTTCTTGTTGGCATGTTCTTGGCTCATTAACACTGGAGCCTGGCGCTGGAGATGGTACTACCCTGCTGAGCCTTCCAGTGAGTTCGGGTGGGACCTTAATGCTTCTGTTTACACTCCATAATTTATAATTTACAAAGACAAGGATTGCCTCATTTCACAGATGAGCACTACAGGCCTAGAAAGGTTAGGAGACTTGTCTAAAGTCATAAAACTAGTTAGTGCACAGCTGATACCAGAACAAAAATGTCCCAGTTCCTGGTCCAATGCAGAGGTAATAGATATCTAAATATAATAAAATATTTCTCTGGCCCCTGGTCAAATGCAGCAACAAAAGGCCTTTGGAATCCCTTTTTCTCCAATCAATGTCCTGAAGGTCCTCCCTTTCATTTTCTCTGCACAAAAGTTGGGGTGGGGTCTTCAATTTCAGAATATTCATTATCCGAGCTCCAACATTAAACATTACATAGGGGCCAGACTTGGTGGCTCATGCCTGTAATCCTAGCACTTTGGGAGCCGAGAGGGAAGGATCACTTGCACTCAGGAGTTCAAGACCAGCCTGGGCAACATAGTGAGATCTTGTTTCTGTTTAAATATTTTTTTAATTAATTTTAAAAAATTACATAGGGAAACAAAGTATCAGAATTATGAAAATTCACTAACGACCTCCATAAAATTAGTTTCCAACTCAAATATTTTTTCCCATTTAATACCAGGGTCCATCCCCACCCATAATTTCAAATGCTTTAAGTCATGTTGTCACACATGATTTTTTAAAATCTGCCAATCAAGGCAAATTAATTGCAAAGTAAAACTGCAAATGTTGCTAAGGATATAGGATAGCCAAAGTGGATGAAACCAACATCGGAGAGAATTGCTTTAAATCCATCAGATGCATATTTGGCAAATTTAGACTAGTTAACAGAAAAAGACAAAATGGACAAATAAATAACATGGCAGGTGTGGTGGAGGAAGAATACCAAAGATTCACAAGAGGCCTTGGGGAAAACTGCTGAGTCCTGTGAACGCTCTTGTAAAAAATGACGTTCTTTATGGTTAGAAGTCAAGCAGGGAGTGAAGGACGTTACATTGTGCTAGCATTTTGTTGTTGGTGCTGTTGTTCGAGACAGGGTCTCATTCTGTCACCTAAGCTGGAGTGCAATTCACTGCAGCCTGGGCTCAAGTGATCCTCCCACCTCAGCCTCCCGAGTAGCTGGGACTACAGGCAGGTGTGCCACTATGCCCAGCTAATTAAATTTTTTTTTTTTGTAGAGACAGGGTTTTGCTATGTTGCCCAGGCTGGTCTTGAACTCCTGACCTCAAGCAATCCTCCTGCCTTGGCCTCCCAAAGTGCTGGGATTACAGCTATGAGCCACTGCGACCGGACTGACATAATTTTTGTTGGAAAAATTAGGCCAAAAAATTAACATGAATCATGCTTTGCTCATTCTAAAAATTAGTAAATAGATGCAATTATTGCTTAAACCTGATTAAAGAAAAAACAAAACTTATCATATTTTCACTTTTCAGTAAAGTCACACTGGAATATTCTTTTATTACATACTATGCAGTGTTCGTTCCTGTTAAGCAGATTGATCTCAAATGGCCTGTTACCAGGAGCAATTCTCTTCAGCTAAAGAGGCAGGCGCTGGGGGAGGACCTTGGCAATCCCCAACCACTGCCTTCCTTGGCCTCTTTCTAAAAGTCTGTCCTCACTGGGAGTCAAATCCTCCCAGGCCTTCCAGGGCCATGCAGGCAAAGTAAAAAAGTGAAGGGGGCAGAGTATAGGACCATGGCGAGGGACATAGACTGAGGGCAATCAAGCTCATCTGCAATCTCTGGGATTTTACACCCAAGTCACCCCTAGAACAGCTGATGTCCAGAAGTGCCCTGGTTAGAGAAACCAGAAAGGATGGTCAGTAAAATGCCCAAAAAGGAAATCTGCAGCTAATGGCACTCCAGGTCACTACTCCAAACATGAATTTATCTGGAAGGCAGGAGTATAGAAGGAAGAAGAGTACAAAGGGCTTCTCATAGCCTACATAGTTTGAATAATGAAAGAAAAGTTACAAGAATCAGCTTTTTATAAGATCTCCCATGTGACAGCACAGGCCCTTCTGTTGGACATTTTCCCCTTAAGAAATTTCCCCTTCTCAGGCCAAGCCCAGAAAGTGTAAGAGCAGCCTTTTCTTTTACATCAAAGCAAGTTTATTGAAAAGACCAGAATGAAGCTAGAGATCTCATGCTTGGTGAGTTCACTAAGCCAAATTGCCATTTGCATCAAGTAAGCCACCAATTTAAAAGCTAGCCACTAAAATGGCTGAGCCACTGTGGTAGACACACCCTAAGGTGATTGCTCCCTCTTCCAATTAGTCCCAATGAACTGCCTTTCCCTTTAGTGCAAGTAGAACCTGTGACGTGAGTCTAGCCAATAGACTATGGCAAAGAGGATAGAATATTCATTCCTATGATTATGTGATGTTTTATGACTCCATCTTTGCAGATTGGAGCAAAAGATTCTCCTGCTGGCTTTGAAGAAGCTGCCATGTTGTGAGAGGGCCCCATGGCAAGGAACTGCAGGTGGCCTCTAGGAAGGGAACTCAGAGAAGCCCTTGGGTGACATTCAGAAGAAAAGAGGAACCACAGTCCTACAGCCACAAAAAAACTGAATTCTGGCAACAACCATCTGAGCTTAGAAAAGAGCCTCAAACTCAAGAAAGGCAGGCAGCCTGGCTGACACCTTGATCGCAGTCTTGTGTGACCCTCAGCAGAGGACCCATTTGAGTCATGCCTGGACTCCTCACCCAGGGAAACTGGAAAATGATAAATGTATATTGTTTTAAGCCTCTAGGTTTGTGGTAATTTGTTATGGAGCAATAGATAACTAATACAACTGTCTACCATCATAAATGATCAGCCTAACCAATCCTACAGTGTAATTTTGATATGGTTTACTCCTTACCTTTCATCAAGAAACAGCAAAACTAAAATATATCCAATGAAAAACATAACCTGTCACTTTAGAACCAGTCGTATGTTAAAACACTACTGAAATGAGCTGGGCGTGGTGGTGCCTGCCTGTAGGAACAATGAGAGGACCACGATGAAGAAAAATCTGTTAAATCCTCACCCAACAACAAGGAAACTATGTAGTTTAGATCCTTTAGATCCCATCTTTGGCAGAAATTGTTATTTGGCCCTTAAAAAGGGACAATCCATATTTGGGCAGGCCTGGTTTATAAAAGAGCTTTCAAATGGGGTTCATGTCCCTCAGTTCTGCACTGTGACTACTAAGAACCCCTTGTTATGAGCTTGGTCTGCTGATACAGGCCACAGGCATATCCCAGCCCCCCTATACTCACGCACTGCTCGCTGGTCTCTGGGATGAACTCCCCCTCACTGTTGATGCTGGTGTAGGACCCCTGCCGGGCAATGTGCTGCTGCCGCTCAGGAACATAGCCAGGGGGAGGTGAGCTTCGGCCAGGGTTCTGGGAGCCTAGAGCACATAAAGGAGGCTTTCAACAACAGAGCCCAGGGTGTGTGGCCCAAGAGGAGCAGGCATGGGGCCAACTATTAGGCCCTAGAGGTCAGGAATGTGACTCAGATGGGTCATGGCACCAACGTCCAGCATGTGCCAGCTCCCTCAGGCAAACAAAGTCCCTTCCTAATAGGAAACAAACTCCAGAGATGGAGCAGGCACTACGGCATATCCGACCAAAAAAACCTTGACACAAAACAGAAACCAGAATAACCCCTAGGAGACCATTTTAGCTGGCAATCAGACTAGCTTTTAAAAAAATTCTTATATATAATTACTCCTTCATAATGTCACCTTCTCTCTTCCTCTAGAGCACTAATGCCATTTCCTCCCATCAGCTCAATACATCAGCTTAGTCCTCTTTAGTTTTGGGTCCAAGCAGTATTTTGAGGGTGGGGACCAGGGAAAGGTAACTGAATATACCTGTGCATCTCTCTCTGTTGCCCTGTTCCCCCAGCCAGTGTCTCCCCTTATTTGTTCTCTACTTGTATCAGGTAAAAAGGCCTTCGTGATGGTCTGGCCAGGATCAAAAGGCAGGCTTCTCCATTCCTACCCACTCCCACACTTCCTGGCTTATGAGTAATGATATTACCTTTTTTTTTTTTTTTTTTAAATTGAGACAGGGTCTCACTATGTTGCTCAGGTTGGTCTGAGTAATGATATTATCTTGCATTTATGTGGTGCTTTACTTTTTGTTACACATTCACAGTAATTAACCTCATTTGATTTTCAACATCTCTACAACAGAGGTTTGGCAAATATTTTTTGAGTGGCTGCTAAGTGGCAATCATTCCACAAGGTATTTTTACATTTGTTACTTCACTTAATCCTTTCAACAATCCTGAGAGGTAAGCATTTGCTTTACTTAACAGAGGAGGAGACGGAGACTCAAGGAACTTAAATCTTAAAAAAAAAAAAAACCCAAAACACCCAAAAACAATTATTTATGTTTTACAGATAAGAGACTATAAAACCAATTAACAGGTACTTTCACCACATCAGCTTGTAAGATGAAATGGTTTATCATCCTAATGTTAGTGAATGACAGAGGTGTGCAGTCTTACAAATGACACACTTTGTAAGTCACTGAGCAATGTTTTTCTGCCATAAGGGATTTTGAGTCCGAGAAATCAGGTCCTCCTTCCTCCTAGCCCAAGAGCTTTTTCTGACTGGCTGTGTTGCTTTCCATGATCAGAGAAGACAAAAATGAGGCCAAAAGTTTGCATCTTTTTTCCTTCCTAAGCTCACCAAACCAGAAGAGCCAATTTTCAGAAGGTTTAAAAAAAGCTTTAACTATACCCACACAAATATTTCTTGTAGCTTCAAAACTTAAACGTAAGACTCTTATCCTGAACCCTTTTCCTGTTCTGAAGGGAACAAATTTATCCTGTTGTTTAGAAAACCAGAGACACAAGAGCCCTCCATTCCCTTATCTACCACCCCTTACCTCTCTCCCACGACCCAGCAATTCCCAGACACCAGGAATAGAGTAGTACCATCCCTCAACAATGCAGGTTACTTTCCTTGCTGGCTGGTTTCTCCAGTCTAGTTCAGGGGCTGTAGCACTAGGTTTTCTGAAATGGAACTGCAGGCAAGATGCTCTGTGGAAATGGCTAAGGAAGCAAGAGAGACCAAGTTTGGTAGCTGGAGACCTAGGGAAGTACCTGACTCATTCTATTCTGTTTTGTTGTTTTGTTTTGTTTCAGAGACAGGGTCTCACTCTGTTGCCCAGGCTAGTCTTGAGCTCCTGGGCTCAGGCAATCCTCCCCCTTCAGCTACAGGCAGGTGCCACCATGCCTGGCTTCTCTCCTTTCTTGATGATAGATCCCTAGTCCAGACCAGTTTTAGATGGAAAATCTGAGATACACAGTTTTAGTTTTATGTATGTGTGTGTGTATACATGTTTATACATATATGTATATATATTTCCTATTGCTCAAAAACTCATGTGTGGCCAGGTGCAGTGGCTCACACCTATTATCCCGACACTTCGAGAGGCAGGAGAAATGCTTGAGGCCAGGAGTTTGAGACCAGCATGGGCAACATGGTGAGACCCCATCTCTACAAAAAATATTTTAAAAATTAGCCAGGCGCACACTTGTGGACCCAGCTACTTGGAAGACTGAGACAGGAGGACTGCTTGAGCCTGGGAGGTTGAGGCCGCAGTGAGCCGTGTTTGGACCACTGCACTCCAGCATAGGTGATAGAGTGCGACCCTGTCTCATAGACAAAACAACAAAGCTCATGTGGAGCCAGGAGCACTCAGCCTGTACCTGGAAGTAGAGGTAGTGCACCAGGGACTAAGCATCTACAGCAGAGGGTGCTCAAGAGCCCAGTCCAGGGTCTTAGAACATCCCGGAAAAGAGGGTGGGCCTGACAGACTGATGGAGCTCAACAAACTCCCTGAGCCAGAGAGACTCCCACTATTTCAAAGACCCTCAGAAGGAAGAAAAATACTTAATGGAAAAAAAGAATGGCGGGGAGGCTTGCTCTGTGTGTGTGTGTGCACTTTTAGGAACAGGGTCTCGCTATGTTGCCTAGGCTGGTCTCAAGCCTTGGCCTCCCAAAGTGCTGGGATTAAAGGCATGGGCCCCCATGCCTGGCCAGAGGGTTGCTTTTTGAAAGACATTTTCTAAGAAGCTTAAACTATTGTTTTTCAATGACCTTTAAGAAACTGACACTGACTCTTTTTTTTGAGACGGAGTCTTGCTCTGTTGCCCAGGCTGGAGTGCAGTGGTACAATCTTGGCTCAAGGCAACCTCCGCCTCCTGGGTTCAAGCAATTTTCTGCCTCAGCCTCCTGAATAGCTGGGATTACAGGTGGCCGTCACCATACCCAGCTAATTCTTATATTTTTAGTAGAGACAGGGTTTCACCATGTTGGCCAGGCTGGTCTTGAACTCTTGTCTTCAGGTGATCTGCCTGTCTCAGCCTCCCAAAGTGCTGGGATTACAGGCGTCAGCCACTGCACCCAGTTGAAACTGACTCTTTAATTCTTCTATATTAAGTCAGTTGTTCAGAACATATGGTTCATGTGGTTGTGCTGAATACATTTTGAGAATTCACCACTGAACTGGTATTGGAGAATACTTCCAATCTCTTCTTGGACACATCACCCCAGCCTCCCTCCAAGGATGTCTCTCTGGCAGGAAAGCTAACATGGGGTCCTCAGTAATCTGGCCTCCCCACCTGACTCCAGAGCAAAGGCCAGAAACAAAATTGCTCTGAAAACAGGCATAGAATTTTGCTGGATTTCCTGTCTCAACATCTCACTCACAGGGTAGAGGCCACCAATTCTGAGATAAAGTGGTATCTGAGCCATGCCTTTGCAATGGTCTCAAACAGCCCATGGAAGAGAATTTGTCCTATTTTCTAAGTCCTAACAGAAACTAAAGTTACTCTGAGTGTAAATTTAGGGATATTGTACCATGAACTAACAGAGCAATAAAATCAGTCAAGGCAATTTTTTTTTCTTAAAAAAATATTGTCACCTCTCATTTAACCCTTACTACACCCCTGCAGTGGTGGTGCATTATCATCATCCACATTGCGCAGAGGGAAACCCAAGCCCCAAAGCCATAAAGTGACTTTATGGTGGGGCCGAAGCGAGAAAACAGGCTTTGTGACTCTCATACAGTTCAGCCAAGGCAATTTGGGGACCATAATTTATTTCCAAAAAGGGCAGGCATGCTGCTCAACACAGTGGCACAAGACATAACTTCTCCTTGAACTGGCCAGGCCATCTGTCCCCCATGAGTAATCCCTATGGAGGATGGAGATCCCATCCACAAGGAAATATGACAGCCTGCCAGGTGTGGGAGGGAGGCTAACGTGGGGACTTCCTGGCAGCACAGGGGAAGCACAGTGCCATGTATCTTTCTTTCTTTGGAGTGCAGTGGCGTGTTCATAGCTCACTGTAGCCCCAAACTCCTTGGGCTCAAGGGATCCTCCTGCTTCAGCCTCCCAAAGTGCAGGGATTACAGGTGTGAGCCACATCCACAGTGGCATGTTTCATGCAGCTCAAATTCAGAGTTGTTTTCTCCATGGTCATTTGGGAGTCAGAGGCCAGGAATACAAAATGCCGCTTGGCCAACAGAGGGTTTGTAGGCAAAGACAAGATGGAGGTTTAGGGGAAATCTGGACCAAGGGAACTACTCCACTTTCCAGTGACCCAGACCTCACAGACCCATGTACCTGGCTGTTTCCCTTGCTACTGTAACACAAAATTCCAGTGCAACTGTAAAAAAAGGATGGTTTTCCTAAGTCTTATCATGTCACAAAACACAGAGAGAGCACTATTTAACCCTTTGCTTATAAAAATTAGCCTACTGCCTGCTTCCTACTTTTAGCTTTGGATGACATCTTGGTAGTCCACAAGTTCTATGGCAATTCAATCCACATGTCAGCAACATTTGTCAGCAGCAGAAGCAACTCTAAGGAGGTAAGTGAGGTGCACGGAGAAAAGACTAAGCTTTGAAATTAGATATACGTGGGTTCAGATCAGGCTTTGCCACTCATTAGCTAAATGATCTAAGCTCTCACCTCAATTTCCTCAACTGCAAAAATGGGGAGAACTATCTACCTCATAATTTCTTTCGGAAGTTATAAATGTGCTGGCACAGGTACATATCCGCATAACCCCATCTCACAGTAGGAACTCCGTAGAATCCCATTTGTACCCTTCACTCTATGTGGCAGATATATGGGGTAGGCGTAAGATGGATTCCACCCTTCTACTGTGCCTTCCTGTACTTGAGAAGCTAACTGGCTAAAAGCTGTATTTCTAAGACTTTCTTTAGATTCAGCTAATCACATGCACTTCTATGAGATTAACAGGCTTCCTGCTGTTCCTGAGCAGTCACAGAAGCCTTTGGTTTTTCTGCCACAGTGTTAGCAGAGGCCCCACACCTGGTCTCCAGCTTTGCCGATGTTGACAGGTGTGGACCAGACCTGAGGGGCACTGGACTTCTGGACCGGTGGCTTCCTGATTACAGAAGAGGGAGGACGCTCTGTGGTGTGTCTTAACCTAGAGGCTGCTTCTCTTTCTTCCCTCATTGATTCCATAATCCACAATGTGCACCTCTGGTTTATGGAACCTCTTCTTCCTGAAACTAGCTACAGTGGGTTCTCCTCTGCACAACTGAACTCTGACCAACACACTCTGGAGCTGTATTATACATTTTACCTAGAACAAATAAAAATGTCTCTTGTAAGGGACTGATTGGAGAGAAAGAAAAACTCTTATTTATGAAACCTCAGACACTGGTCCAAACTATGCCTAGGCAGGATGAAATGCCCTCAATCTGTTACATGGAGTGTCTGGGGTGAGACTTCCCTGGGATAAAATATCCATGGTCCCCCTGACACCTGTCCCCTCCTTCATCAGCTGCACTGAACTCTCCCCTGGTTTTACAGGTGGGATGGGACTAGCTCACAGGAGGCCAGCACTACAGACCCAGGAGGGTCTGGGGGGAAAAATAGCAAAGGTTTTCTGAGCTTTTATTTCCAGCCAGAAACTTTCACTTTTTCCAATCCACACTGTGCCTGCAGAGAGCCAGCCTTGTTATCTGATGGGCTATGTGCCAGCGGCTATTGTGCACAGGCCCACAGGCTGGAGCAGGAAAAGGAAGTCTCCCCAAACCAGTGGCTATCAGAGGAACCGAATGGAAAAACCAGGAGTTGGCAGAACTGCTCCAGGGCATTTTCAGTTTTGTTTTTAATCTTCATTTCAGAAATTGGGAGCCAATGAGATACACAACAGTTGAGAGCAAGTGAGACAGGGAGCTAAACAGGATAGGATACTGGACCATAAAACTACGTATTTACCAGCAGTGATAGCAATGAGCCAGACAGCCCAAAGCACAGAGCTATGCAAAACAGCTCATTCCGTAGGTCTCAGAAGGCTGCATAGGCAGGGGTCACAGGCTTTCTTGGGACACCTTTCCCTGGTATTCCAGCCTGAACTTGCTCTAGCCTCACTGCGCCACCTGTGCCACCAGCTGAAGCAAAGGAGCACAGTAGCAGTTCCACTGTTCAGAGAGAGGCCCACAGTTTCCCATGAAGGTATTTTACACAGAAGGAGAAAAGCGGGGTTTAAGCTGCCAGCTATCCTCATTCCACCCAGTGCGTGCTAGCTCTCTACCAGCCTCCTTAACCCAAAGAAGCAGAGTCAAAGATACACTCTCACCCTCGGATATGGTAGGTTCTTTTGCTTTGTACTCTGACTTAAAGCTGAACGACAGGCTCTCAGATTCTAGCCCTTCTCATAGCAGAACCCTAATCAGGAAGCTGATGCAGTCAGGAAGTTGTCTCCGCAGGGAGTTCTAGGGCTTTGGGTCAGTGTTAATGTGCAGGTCACTGCAAGTATAAAGAGATAGCTTTTTTGGCCACTAACTATTTCCTAAACTCTTTTCTCTCTTCAGGGACAGATGAGATGGGGAGAGAAATCAAACTTTTTTTCTTTCTCAATAGAAAATCTTAACTAATATTTACCAATATGCTCACAGTGGACCACACTCTGTAGAACACAGTAGTGGGTAGAATTTCCATAAGACCCTAAGAACATCTTCTATGTTTCAACTTTCAAAATTCCCATTTTATTTTGGAGCTGCTACCACCATCAAAGTTTCTGATCTCATGTAGCATCATAGAACTTATAGCAAGGAGGGAAAAAAAACCTTTGAAGATGAAAGAAGCTAACCATTTTGTTTCCAAGTGTATGGTCACTACCTCTACAGTCCTGGCTTCTACCCTTTCAAATCGGTACTAGGACTGGAAGCTGGTCCTGAGCACTGCTCTCTGTTTACTGCCCAGTTGTCGCTATAATCTACCCTCATCCTTTCAACATTCTTTCTTGTCCTCTGCCTGAATTTTCCCTCCATGTCTCTCAGAGGCAGAGAGGGCTCCTCTCTTCCTTGCAAAAGTATTATAAACCCTCTACCTGGACTCGATTCATCTCCAGCAGGAGTCAGCTCCCCCATGGTCTCCTCTTCATCACCTTTAACCCCTCCTTTTCAGCTGTCTTTATCCCTCCCTTCATACACTTCCTCATATCTCTAGCCTAAGAACATCCTGGGCTGGGCATGGTGGCTCATACCTATAATCTCAGCACTTTGGGAAGCTGAGGTGTAGAAGGATTGCTTGAGACCAGGAATTCAAGACCAGGCTGGGCAACATAGTGAGAACTCATCTCTACAAAAAACAAATTAGCCAGGTATGGTGGCAAGCACCTGTGGTCCCAGCTATTTGGGAGGCTGAGGCGAGGATCGGTGGTTGAGGCTGCAGTGAGCCATGATGGCACCACTGCACTCCAGCCTGGGTGACAGAGAGATGGGGTTTTGCCATGTTGCCTGGGCTGGTTTCGAACTCCTGGGCTCAAGCAATCCACCCACCTTGGCCTCCCAAAGTGCTGGGATTACAGGTACGCACCACTGCAACTGGCAGGTCCACCATTTCACTACCAAACTCCAGAAAAACCTGATTGCCTCCACTCAGGCGTTGGAGTATGGCTTGCCTCACTATGGGACAAAGTGGCAAGATAAGGAGAAAGACAGAGTGAGAACTGAGGCAAAGGCACTTAACAAGATGAACTTAGACCATACAGGAGTCAGAATGTAGCAGGGACAAGTCCTTTTTTTTTTTTTTTGAGACAGAGTCTCACTCTGTTGCCTAAGCTGGAGCGCAGTGGCACGATCTCAGCTCACTGCAACCTCCGCCTCCCGGGTTCAAGTGATTGTCCCACCTCAGCCTCCCAAGTAGCTGGGATTACAGATGCGCACGACCACACCTGGATAATTTTTATTTATTTTTTATTTTTTTGAGACAGACCAAGAGTCTGTCCAGGCTAGAGTGCAGTGACACGATCTTGGCTCAATGCAACCTCTGCTTCCCAGGTTCAAGCAATTCTCCTGCCTCAGCAGCCGAGTAGCTCGAATTACAGGCACCTGCCATCATACCTGGCTAATTTTTGTATTTTTAGTACAGACAGGGTTTCACCATGTTGGACAGGCTGGTCTTGAACTCCCATCCTCAGGTGATTTGCCCGCCTTGGCCTCCCAAAGTGTTAAGATTATAGGCATGAGCCACTGCACCCCGCCGACAAGTCCTTTAGTTGAGGCTTGGTTACATGGCTTAAGGGCACCACCCAATGTATCATGGAAAAATAGTGCTTGAGCTTCAAAGGTAGGTAGAATTTCCGTAGGCCAAGGTATGAGAGAGGATGTCTTCAGGTAAGGAAATTCCACCTATCTGCCTAGTGATCTCCCCACAGAGAGATTAATTCCTTTGGATTAACTCATTACTTAGTAGGGTTTTTTTTGTTTGTTTCTGTTTTGTTTAGCATGAACTAGTTTAACAGACTAAATGGCCTGAAAAAAACCTGGAATTCAAGGTATGCATATTATGATGGAAACAACAAAGGGTAAACATGATACCTGGCTTCACATGTTTGAAAAACTGTCATATGAAAGATTTTATCTGTGTTTATCTGTTGCTCAAGGGAGCAGCACTAGAATCAGTGGGTAAAGTGAGAGAAAGCTGATTTTCAATCCAAAATAAAGAAGAATTTCAAATATACATGTCTGGAATTTGATTGGGCTACCCTGCGCTTCCCCATCAATGCAAATGTTCCAGTGTGAACTGAGTAGCCTGCTTGCTGCAGACTCACTAAATATTCACATGTATGTAAACGATGATGGCAAGGAGGCAACAGAGGAACCCAGTGGAAGGCTGAATTGCTAAGGCTTACTAACCAAGGACTTCTTGGACCCCATTTCTACTGCTAGGACTTTTCCAAGTCTCTCATGCTATACCTTGACTTCTGTCTCTGTTTCCCTTCCAGAAAGTCTTGTCTGTACCAGCACACAGCAAGCACTCAAACATCTGTGAATGAAAATAACAGGTTTCTGTCTCTTACCCTTGGTCTGTCCTTACCAACCTGGCTGGTTCTGTGTAATGCCTTCTCCCCACACTCCTAATTTCCTTTCCTACTTCTCTGGTTACTCCTTTTCTGTGTCCTTCACAGGCTCATCCTCTTCTAACTGGCCACTAAGTGTTGGGTTCCTAAGGCTCAATCATGGACCCTCTTTTCTTCTCATTCTATAGTCTCTGCTTAGGCACTCTCGCCTGGGTGCATGGTTTCAACATAACAATTTCCAATATTTTTTCACTAGCCCTGATTTTCTCCCCTCTGAGCTAGAGACCTATATATCTAACTGCCTCTCTGATATCTCCTGTTGGCTGTATCAGAGGCACTTCAATACCAACATGTCTAAAACATTAAGTCTGCCCCTTCCCAGCACCTGGAACCAGGCTCTCTTCCAGTATTCCTGTCTTAGTGAAAGGCGATGCCATTTATTCATCTCCACAAAGCAGTAATTTACCTCCCTCTCTCTCAATATCTGCAAATTATTTTTTCTTCCTTCCTTTTTTTTTTTTTTTTTTGAGATGGAGTTTTGCTCTTGTTGCCCAGGCTGGAGTGCAATGGCACCATCTCGGCTCACTGCAACCTCCGCCTCCCGGGTTCAAACAATTCTCCTGCCTCAGCCTCCCTAGTAGATGGGATTACAGGCGCATGCCACCACACCCAACTAATTTTTGTATTTTTCATAGAGACGGGGTTTCACCATGTTGGTCAGGTTGGTTTCAAACTCCTAATCTCAGGTGATCCACCCATCTCGGCCTCCCAAAGTGATGGGATTACAGATGTGAGCCACCAAACCTGGCCTCATTTTTTTTTTTTTAAATGATATTGGGTCTCATTATGTTGTCTAGGCTAAGCTCAAACTCCTGGAATCAAGCCATCCTCCCACCTTAGCCTCCTGAAAACACCTGCAAATTCAATCCAATACTATAGTAATTCTTAAGCCTTTTGGTCTTAGAACCCCTCTGTACCTTAAAACTGAGGCCACTTAGCTTTCATTTATGTAGGATATATCAACTGATATTTACTGTATTTGCAATTAAAACTCAGAAATTTTAAAAACATTTTCTCAGGAGAAACCAGTGGAGGAAAAAAGAAATTTTAAGAATACAATCATATACAAGCACACATGCCATTAAGCCATTACGGTGATGACATCACCTCAGGCACCTGACCTCTGGAAACCTCCATTGTACCCTTGTGAGAGAATTGAGTGTCATGTCTTAGCATGATTATGAAAATAATTTTGAGGGCCAGGCGTGGTGGCTCACTCCTGTAATCCCAGCACTTTGGGAGGCTGAGGCAGGTGGATCACAAGGTCAAGAGATCGAGACCATCCTGGCCAACGTGGTGAAACCCCGTCTCTACTAAAAATACAAAATTTAGCTGGGTGTGGTGGCGCATGCCTGTAGTCCCAGCTACTTGGGAGGCTGAGGCAAGAGAATCGTTTGAACCCGGGAGGCGGAGGTTGCAGTGAGCCGAGATCACACCACTGCACTTCGGCCTGGTGACAGAGCAAGACTCCGTCACAAAAAAAAAAAAAAGAAAATAATTTTGAACTCACAGGGTCAAAGGATCCAAGGGACTCCCCAGGATCCCCAGAACACACTTTGAGAACCACCAAAACGCCATGTTCTGTCAGTTTTACCTCTAAATGTCACAAGTTCACCTGCTCCTTCCTCTCTCCACTTCATCAGCCTACTCCAAGCCCAGTTTTCTTTACCTGGACCACTGCATTAGCCTAATGCAGTTCCCTTGCATGCATTCTTGCCCCCTCCAATCTGTTATCCACACTGTAGCCAGATCAATCTTTTCAAAATACAAATACGAATATGTAACATCACCCACTCCTCTTCACTTAAAAACTCTAAAGTAGCTTTTCACTACTTTCCATGCAATGATCAGAATCTTAACCAGGGTCCACAAGGCTCTGCCTCCCTCCCCAGCTTCATCCTGCCCTCCCCTTCCCCTTGCTCCCAGCTCTCCAGCTATCTGGACTTCTTTCCATTTCTGACATACCACACTTCCTCTTGCCATCAAGTCTCTGCTCTTGTAACATCCCCTGCCTGGAACCCTCTTCCTTGCATCCCTTTTGCCTAATTCCCAAATCCCATTCATGCCTAAGGCTTTCCTGGCCCCAAGATCAGGATCAGGTCCCATCCCTTAGTTATAGCCCACCATTTCTTTCTTTCTTTCTTTTTTTTTTTTTTTTTTTTTTGAGACAGAGTCTCACTCACTCTGTCACCCAGGCTGGAGTACAGTGGTGCAATCTCCACTCACTGCAGCCTCGATCTCTCAGGTTCAAGTGATCCTCCTGCCTCAGCCCCCTGAGTAGCTGGGACTAGAGGCACTCACCATCATGCCCAGCTAATTTTTGCATTTTTATTAGTGACGGGGTTTTACTGTGTTGGTCAGGCTGGTCTCAAACTCCTGGCCTCAAGCAATCCACTCACCTCGGCCTCACCAAGTGCTGGGGTTACAGGCGTGAGCCACCATGCCCAGCCCATTTCTTAGTTATAGCCCACCTGCAGCACCACACACCTTTCAGTCACAGTTTGTAATTATACATTAATCACATCATAAGAAGTAAATGTCTGTCTTTCCATGGATTGTAAAGGCCACAGGGACAGGGCCTGTGTCTTTTTTGCTTCCCATATTTCTGGCACATAGTAGATACTTTGGTAATTACTTTTTTTTTTTTTGAGACAGGGTCTTGATCTGTTGCCCAGGCTGGAGTACCATGGCACATTCATGGCTCACTGAAACCTCTGCCTCCCAGGCTCAAGTGATCCTCCCACCTCAGCTTCCCAAGTACCTGGGACTACAAGCTTGCACCACCACACTTGGCTAATTTTTGTATTTTTTGTAGAGACGGGGTTTTGCCATGTTGCCCAGGCTAGTCTCAAACTCCTGAGGCTCAAGCAATCCACCCAACTCGGCCTCCTAAAGTGCTGGGATTATAGGCATAAGCCACCATGCCCAGCCAGTAATTATCTTTTGAATGAATGAACAAAAACGTAGTATGATGGAAGAAAGATAAGACAACATGATAGGTTGAGGCGTGGTGGCTCACGCCTGTAATCCCAACACTTTGGGAGGCCGAGGCAGGTGGTCATCTGAGGTCAGGAGTCATACCAGCCTGGCCAACATGGCGAAATCCCGTCTCTACTAAAAACACAAAAATTAGCAGGGAGTGGTGGTGTGCACCTGTAACAGGCTGAGGCAGAAGAATTGCTTGAGCGCATGAAGCAGGGGTTGCAGTGAGCCGAGATGGCATCAATGCATTCCAGCCTGGGTGACAGTGAGACTCTGTCTCGAGAAAAAAAAAAAAAGACAACATAATAAATATTATAATGGTGATGGGTATAAGGGGCAAACATTTTCAGTGGCTTCCACTGCCTACCAAAAGAGTCTGAGTGCAGCTGAGAGTCCCTTAGAAAACACCCAGGCATCCTTTCTTGGCCTCTCTATTCCTCCTCCAAATGTATCAGCCAGCCTGGACCTGAAGAATAGCGAGCTCTCCACAGACATAGTCTAAAAGCCCTCTCCTCTCTCCCCTTGTCCCCTGTGGAAATCCTCCACAATCTTTCAAGGTCCAGCTGGAACAGCTCCCCTCAGAATGCATTTTCCAGATCATTCCAGTTAGAAATCATCTCTCCCATTTCTTGGCTCTATGGAAACGCTCACAGGCTCAGCCCATTCTCTTGCCACATCTACCTTACCCTACACACAGTGCAAAGCCCCTGGGGTTCTTCAACCCACCAAGTTCTTTTGTGATCATGCCTGGCAGGTGCTCCTTACTATGCCTGAGATATCTCTCTCTACTTGATGCTCAGTAAATCTTCCTTGGAGTGTCAGCTCTGATGTTACCTTTTCTGTGAAAGCCCCTCTCTCCCAGGCGGAATCTGCTCCAGCCACCCTTGCTCTTTCAAATGCTTCACTGCAGCATTCATCTCAGCCCAACAGCTGGTACTTAATGCTTTGCTGAATGAAGGAAGCCAGGATCTAGGTATGCTAAGAGGCCGTGTTGCCCATTTTCCAGATAAACAGGAACTACTTCACAGAAATCTCACTCCTCAGCATTCTCAGCCAGGAAAATCATTTCCATATATAGCTCCCGGTAACATGGAGAAAGGGTCCAGTGGCTAAGTATTTAGCCCCTGCCTCCATGCACATATCATAGGCTCTTGCTTGGGGGCAAGAGACCCAGTTACTGCCCCATCAATCCTTACTGATTACAAGGGACCATGCTGCCCACCTCCATCCCCTCAATCTCTACAAGGACTACGGAAAAGAGGCCAAACTGGCAGAGCTTCCCAGGCTCTGAGGCACACAGATTCCAGGGCCAGAGACGCTGTGGCTAGGCTCTCCTTGCTAGGGTACTAGCTCTCCATCCTCAACCAACACATTCCCCAATTATCTACAGAAATCTGAAATTCATATACAGACTTTCAGCCTGGCAATACTTACTACCAGTACTTGCCTGGATTCCAGAAGTTACTCAGTAAGGCAAAGTCAGTACCTCAGAAACATATTTTTCCTGTAACTCCCTCAGGAGGCATATTGCAAACAGACAAACTCAGCAACAGGATCAGTGCTTAGATCTCTCAAGCTCAGCTCAGGATCTTCAGAGGACACTTCAATTTGAAGCAATTCTACCTATATGGATAAGGGCAAAGCTGGCTTTCTAGCAGCAGCAGGGGTCTCCACAACATTAAGGCAGCAGGCTCAACACGATGTTTGATAAGACCAGATTTCCCTTTTGATACAAGTTCCACAATTCAAGAAATGGGGGCTTTCTCCCCAGACTCCCAAAAGTGGAATCCACAGGAATCCTGGGTTAACAAGTAATAATGCACAGGCCTGATTTAGATTCCTGTCCTGGGAAGGACTGGTAGCAGCCACAGAGCTTTCTGACTAGTTAGCAGAGGGTTGTATATATAGTTGGCCCTCCATATCTCCAGGTTCTGCATCTGTGGATTCAACCAACCACAGATTGAGAATATATGGAAAATTATAAAAAATAACAATAGCAAAAAAATACAAATAAAAATATAGCATAAGAACTATTTACATAGTATTTACATCATATTATAAATAACCCGGAGATGATTTAAACTATGAAGGAGGATGTGGGTAGGTTATATGCAAATACTACACTATTTTATTTCAGGGACTTGAGCATCCACAGACCTTGGCATCCACAGGGGTCCTGGAACCAATCCCCTACAAACACAGAGAAATGACTGTACTATGTCAATAGTCTCCTTTCCTTCCAGACAACTTAGCTTGACTCTCTCAAAAGTTTCATTGGTCACTATCTTCCCTGAAGTATAAAGACTTCTCAGGAATCATAAGCAAGAGGTTTAAGGTCAAAATTCAAACTTAGACCCGATTCCTAACTTTACAAGTCTCTATTCTTCACAAGAATGGTCAAAAGTGAGTGTAAACACAGCTGGAAGTCTTCAAGCAGATGTCTGAGGCAATCACTTTTTCAGGGATGTTTAAAAGGAATTTAATCACACTACTATATCATTATATTTTAAGTTCCTTGAGAGTCAGGATACCATCCCAGTTATTTCTTTGCCCTTCCTCTCTAAATAAAATAAAGGCATAAAGGATTACTCTACACAGAGTAATAGTTAATAAATATTTGATGATTATTTAATTAACAAATACTTGTTGCTTTTTTAAAATGTGGGCAGATAAAATAGAGGGGGAGAAAAAAGGGTTGAAATACTCACTGACAGAGAGGTGCCTGCTTCTGGGCTCGGGGGGCTGGTAGATAGTATTTATATCCCCTGCGGACTGGGAAGCCTTGATCCGCACCTGTCTGGACACCCCAGAGTGGGGAGAGGAACTGTTCTGTAAAAGAAGAGGAAAAAGGCCAAGCTACATCTTTACACAGTCAGGCCTATCAAGGTCTTCTCACCCTTTTCCTAAGGACTCCCTGCAGGCTCAGCCACCTTCATGCTTTTAATACATGAGCTACCCAGCTTTCCCCCAAATCTCACTCTTCTATTTGTCTCAGCAAACCACTATTCGCTCAATGTAGTTTTATAGCTTCAATGATGTATGAGCGCTGAGACCTAGTGCCCCAGTTTAACAGGTGATGATCCAGACATGGAGGAATAACAGGCATTCCTGTAATAATCTGCAAAACAGAAAAGAGAGCTGTAAATACCCTCTCATAAAATTCTCCAGAGAGTTTAGGAAGAGTAGCAGAAAATTATTTCTGCAGAGGAGGAAGTCAGGATGGAGAGTGAATGATGGCAACTTCCCTCCCCAACAAAATTCTGGTTGCTATATATGTATTTATCTTATTGACTGATTGATTGATACAGAGTCTTGCTATGTTGCCCAGGCTGGACTCAAACTCCTGGGCTCAAGGGATCCTCCCACCTCAGCCTCCGGGTTAGCTGAGACTATAGGTACATGCTACCATGCCCAGCTTATATATGTATGTTTAAAAGTAGCTCAATTTGCTTCTTTTTCCCAACAATAATCACTCCCTGAAAATTAAGAAGATTCCAGGGTTTACACACAAATCATCTCAGGATCATGTTCAATTGGGAAAAGCTATCATAAGTACCATTGTGCCAGACAGAGGTCAAGGGCCTGAGAGGAGGGTCAGCAATCCTCCCAGCACCCACCCACTCTTTCCACTGGGCCCAGTCCAGCCGCCAGAGAAAACTAAGCAACAAAGGGGGGCCTTTGCACTGAGAAAGCTTAAAACTAAACCCTGGAGGTAATCAAGTGATGTCAGGATGCTATTACAAATAAGCAGGGCACTGGTGAGAGTCGGGGTGAGAGCTCAGGATTTACAAACAAGTTGGTTCAAAGTTTCTACTTGCTCCTCTATCTCCTCTACCTCCCCCTAACAAAAAAAGTCCGATCTAAACAAACTCTATATCCTGTCCTCCAGGAAAAAGGTTTCCTGCTCTCAGGGGAGAGTTCAGCTGCCAAGCAACCTCCTGTAGTCCCCATGCCAGACTTTATCACATGCAGGTTGTCTTGAAAAACTGTCTTGCTCTAACGGGAAGTCAGAACCAAGGGGGAAGTGAATGTTCTTGCTGAAGCCTCCGATGTGCAATAGCTCTCTGCTAAGGGTCAAAAAGGAAACAACAGTCAAAGCCACATACTGGGGAGGCAGGCAAGTGAAGGGCAAGGGAGGGTCATAGTCTTGCACTCACAAAGAGGAGGTGCATGATGAGCACCCTGCCACCTGCCTGAATGCAGGGCCTTACACATAGTGGGAATTCAAAAAATCATGGCAACATGAATTTGAAATGTGTACCAAAGGACATACTATCTAAACCCTCAATTAAAAAATCTAAAAGCTAGGCCGGGAGTGGCTCATGCCTATAATCCCAGCACTTTGGGAGGCTGAGGCGGGCGGATCATGAGGTCAGGAGATCAAGACCATCCTGGCTAGCACAGTGGAACCCCGTCTCTAATAAAAATACAAAAAATTAGCTGGGCGTGGTGGCAGGCACCTGTAGTCCCAGCTACTCAGGAGGCTGAGGCAGAAGAAGGGCATGAACCTGGGAGGCGGAGCTTGCAGTGAGCCGAGATCGCACCACTGTACTCCAGCCTGGTCGGCCTCCCGAGTAGCTGGGATTACAGGCATGTGCCACCACGCCCAGCTAATTTTTTGCATTTTTAGTAGAGATGGGGTTTCTCCATGTTGGTCAGGCTGGTCTTGAACTCCTGACCTCAGGTGATCTGCCTGCCTTGGCCTTCCAAAGTGCTGGGATTACAGGGGTGAGCGACCATGCCCAGCTGCCTGTGGAGATTTTGACACCTCAGATCAACAGAACCTCTGGACACAGAGTCCAAGCACTGACATTTTGTAATATTCAGCCAAATTTTGAAAACCTCAATTTAAGGGGGCAAAAGGGAATGGTATGGTAAATAAAAATGAGGTTGCTTCAAGGGTTTAGGACACCTTGAATAAGACTCAGAAGTGGGAAAAAGAGGAAGGAGGAAGGTGGGACTATGCCTGAGAATATAAGGGGACTGTCGCAGAGTGACAGGAGAGCCCATAGGTATGAACTGTGTAGCTAGCAGAACATTCTAAAGACAACAAATAGAAGATGGTGTTTGATCATTCCATGAACACCTCACTAAAGGACTCTGGGTAGAAGTTAGCTGTGGCTAACACAAACAATATGAAAAATTACCAGGAAACCATGTGCATCAAGATTTCAGTGACTGGAAGATAGGAGATCAGTAGAAAAATAAGTTACAAAAGTCCACCCACAAATTATCTCAATAAAAAATCTGGCAAGTGGATTCAACGATGCAGGGAAGAGGTGAAGCAGGGAGAGGGGTTGCTTTAGTTTGTTACATGGGAATGTAAGGTAAGAAATGGCACACTGGATCACCAAGAGCATCCTGTCCAGTCCTCTGTTTTAATGGTGGTACCAAGAGATATTTGCATGGAAGACCATGATAGTTATGATAGCTGTGAAAGCATCTGAGGTGATTTAATTAAATTTACAGCTTTACCATCCATGAATTTATTAAAGCCCTTTTTTTTTTTTTTTTTTTTTTTTGAGACGGAGTCTCGCTCTGTCGCCCAGGCTGGAGTGCAGTGGCGCGATCTCGGCTCACTGCAAGCTCCGCCTCCCGGGTTCACGCCATTCTCCTGCCTCAGCCTCCCAAGTAGCTGGGACTACAGGCGCCCGCTACCACGCCCGGCTATTTTTTTTTTTTGTATTTTTAGTAGAGATGGGGTTTCACCGTGTTAGCCAGGATGGTCTCGATCTCCTGACCTCGTGATCCGCCCGCCTCGGCCTCCCAAAGTGCTGGGATTACAGGCGTGAGCCACCGCGCCCGGCCTAAAGCCCTTTTTAAAATCTGCTTTGAAGCTACACAATTTCAGAATAATAGATGCCACATATATCATCTTTTTTGTTTTTGAGACAGGGTCTTGCTCAATGAGTGCAGTGGTGCAATCATAGCTCATCGCAGCCTGGAATTCCTTGGCTCAAGTGATCCTCCCGCCTCAGCCTCCCAGGTAGGTGGAATTGCAGGCATTTGCCACCACGACTGATTTTAAAACTTTTGTAGAGATGGGGGTCTTGCTATGTTACCCAGGCTGGTTTATCACTTGTTATACAAATTATTTCTTTTTTGTTCTAAGATAATGCTCAATATTCAAGGAGTTCATCCAAATTGAGATTAGGTGAATAAATCCGTGTCTTCATTATCCATGCTCTTAAACGCTTTAAAGACTCTGATTATATATGCTTAGGCTGTCTTTCCTAACTAAAGAGTTCTAAACTTTTTTTTTTTTTTTGAGACGGAGTTTCGCTCATCGCCCAGGCTGGAGTGCAATGGCACAATCTCGGCTCACTGCAACCTCCGCCTCCCAGGTTCAAGCAATTCTCCTGCCTCAGCCTCCCGAGTATCTGGGATTGCGGGCATGCGCCACCACGCTCAGCTAATTTTGTATTTTCAGTAGAGACAGGGTTTCACCATGTTGGTCAGGCCGGTATCAAATTCCTGACCTCAAGGGATCCACCTACCTCAGCCTCCCAAAGTGCTGGGATTACAGGCATGAGCCACCACGCCTGGCCAAGCATTGTAAACTTTTACACTGTTCATATATGAAAGTGACTCCAACTCCTTGAAAATTTTGTCTTCTGGACATTTGCTAGCTCAGTTGTCTTCAAAGCTGCAGGGAACAGAATGATACAACATCTCACAAGTTCTCCTCATGGACAGTATTATACTTTCTGCTTGGCTTCTAATGATTTCCAACCGTGGAGGCACCTGGGTGAGGTTTCCCAAGGACTACAATAATTCTAAGAACCCTCTTCTGGGGCCGGGCGTGGTGGCTCACAACTGTAATCCCAGCACTTTGGGAGGCCAAGGCGGTCAGATCATTTGAAGTTTAAGAGTTCGAGACCAGCCCGGCCAACATGGTGAGGACCGCCCCCCGCCCAACCCCATCTCCACTAAAAATACAAAAATTAACCGGGCGTAGTGGCGCACGCCTGTAATCCCAGCTACTAGGGAGGCTGAGGCAGGAGAATCGCTTGAACCCGGGAGATGGAGGCTGCGGTGAGCTGAGATTGCGCCACTGCACTCCAACCTGGGTGACAGAGTGAGACTCCATCCCAAAAAAAAAAAAAAAAAAAAAAAAATTCCCTCTTCTGGATGGTGACTGACAGGCACTAGACTACAAGTCAGAACATCTGGATTTCAGACCAGCTCTGTCACTACACACTGCCTCACCTGAGCAGTCACCCTAAGTCTCAGTTTCCCCAGATGTAGACTGGAGATAATAGACGCCTGCCCTGGTACCCTCAGAGTTGTAAAAATCAAGTGAAAGATAAAAACACTTTTTATGTGCTAGGTGTTGTTATTATTACTATTATTCGAGACAGGGTCTTACTCTGTCACCCAGGCTGGAGTGCAGTGTTGCAATCTTGGCTCACTGCGGCCTCAACCTCCCGGCCTCAGGTGATTCTCCCACCTCAGCCACTCAAGTAGCTAAGACCACAGGCACGCACCACACCTGGCTAATTTTCGTTTTTTTTTTTTTTTTTTCAATAGAGACAGGGTTTCGCCATGTTGCTCAGGCTGGTCTCAAACTCCTAGGCTCAAGTAATCTGCCTGCCTCAGCCTCCCAAAGTGCTGAGATTACAGGTGTGAGCCACCATGCCCAGCCCAATGTTATTATTATTGAGATGAGATGGAGTCTCGCTCTGTGGCTCAGGCTGGAGTGCAATGGCGCAATCCTGGCTCACTGCAAGCTCCGCCTCCTGGGTTCATGTCATTCTCCTGCCTCAGCCTCCCGAGTAGCTGGGACTACAGGCACCTGCCACCACGCCCAGCTAATTTTTTGTATTTTTTAGTAGAGATGGGGTTTCACGTGTTAGCCAGGATGGTCTCCATCTCCTGACCTTGTGATCCGCCTGCCTCGGCCTCCCAAAGTGCTGGGATTACAGGCGTGAGCCACCGCGCCCGGCCCAGTGTTTATTTTTAACAGGGGCCAGAAGAAGCTATTCTGCCCAATCAGGTTTGTTTTATCTTCCTGCACCTGTCCCACTATTTTACAAGGACTGAAAAGAATTACCTTTTAAATTATCCTTGATATTTTTAACTTACAATATTTAGGTGAGAAGATTAGAAGCTTATTTTTGTCAACGCGAATATGAGGTAACAAAACAAAGTGGCTAGGTGTTTAGTTTTTATCGTATACAAATACAAGTTACAAAAGAAGGTTCAGCTTGATATTACTTTATGACAGTGGAAGATCTGAGACTAGAAAGTCCTAAGAAGGTCAAGAGCTGAAAGACAAATGTAAAAGTTAGATGCATAAGCTAAAAGTTGGTGGTCCAAAGCAGAGGCTTAGGACAGCAAAAACTACAGAAGGAGACAATGAAGTATCTTAAAATGATGGTAGAGACCAAGGCTAGAGAGAGGCTTTTCAGACAAAGAGACTGGCCAGATCCGGTGGCTCACACCTGTAATCTCAGCACTTTGAGAAGCTGAGGCGTGCGGATCACTTGAGGTCAGGAGTTTGAGACTAGCCTCGCCAACAGTGCGAAACCCCATCTCTACCAAAAATACAAAACTTAGCCGGGCATGGTGGCATGCACCTGTAATCCCAGCTACTCAGGAGGCTGAGGCAGGAGAATCACTTGAATCTGGGAGGCGGAGGTTGCAATGAGCTGAGATCGTACCTGGGTGACAGAGTGAAACTGTGCCTCAAAATAAAAAAAAAGAGATAGTTCTGTGATTACCAAAACTCAGGAGTTCTCAAGAATAATATTGAGGCCTCTCAGACATGGCCTTGGCCAAAGTGAGGTGGGAGAGGTAAGACTATGTACCTTGTGAGGAATGAAGACAGAAGGAAAATTAGAAGCTGCCATATAGGGATCAGAAGAATCCAAGGCGGGGTGCAGTGGCTCATGCCTGTAATCCCAGCACTTTGGGAGGCCGAGACAGGCGGATCACCTGAGGTCGGGAGTTCAAGACCAGCCTGACCAACATGGAGAAACTCCGTCTCTACTAAAAAAAAATACAAAATTAGGCGGTTGTGGTGGTGCATGCCTGTAACCCCAGCTACTGGGGAGGCTGAGGCAGGAGAATCACTTGAACCTGGAAGCCAGAGGTTGCGGTGAGCCAAGATCACACCCCTGCACTCCAGCCTGGGCAACAAGAGTGAAACTCCATCTCAAATAAAAAAAAAAAGAAAAGAAGAAGAAGAAGAAGAAGAAGAATCCAAAGAGAAGAAAGAGATAGCACAATTCAAAACAGGAACAAGAAGAGAAACAGCCAGGTATGGTGGCTCAAACCTGTAATCCCAGCACTTTGCGAGGCTGAGACAGAAGGATTGCTTGAGCCCAGGAGTTTGAGACCAGCTTGGGCAACATGGCAAGACCCTGTCTCTACAAACAATTAAAAAAAAAAAAAGAAAAGCCAAGCATGGGGGCACACGCCTGTAGTCCCAGTTACTTGTGAGGCTGAGATGGGAGGAAGATAACTTGAGTCTGGGAGGTTGAGGCTGTGGTGAGCTGTCACTGCGCCACTGCACTCCAGCTTGGGTGACAGAGTAAGATCCCATCTCAAAAAAAAAGGGAAATAAAGGAATAGGTGGTAACAAAAGGCGGTGAGGCAACTGCTACAAATGCAGGAAATTCAAAGTGGAGAAACAAAGTGACTGACAGTATCAGCGGAGGTGATGAAGACCAGGTGATATAGTATCCTGGAGCAGTGTACTTAAGGTATGATATCTGGGCTGGTGCCAGTCCACACACTGGTATACTGCTCGTCCTGCTCTTCCACCAAGTAAGTAAAGAAATGGAGAGGGCCCTTTGAAAAACTTTAGAGCAATTTGGCAGAGTGATTTTATGTTTATTGAATCTACTAATGAAAACTGTAGCCTTATAATTTATATACCTCTAGTTTATTTTTCCATTTCACTTCTCAGTTTTTGTATTTAAAAAAAGAACTGGTACGGCCGGGCACAGTGGCTCATGCCTGTCCCAGTACTTTGGGAGGCCAAGGCGGGCGGATCACAAGGTCAGGAGTTCAAGACCAGTCTGGCCAACATGGTGAAACCCCTTCTCTACTAAAAATACAAAAATTAGCGGGGCGTGGTGTCGTGCACCTGTAATCCCAGCTTCTCGGGAGGCTGAGGCAGAAGAATTGCTTGAACCCGGGAGGTGGAGGTTGCAGTGAGCCGAGATCACGCCACTGCACTCCGGCCTGGGCGACAGAGTGAGACTCCATCTCCAAAAAAAAAAAAAAAAAAAAAAAAGTCCATGACAGATTTGAAATCAAAAGAACAAAACTGATATTTCATCACATATAGTTAGAGGAACACTGTTCTAGAGGTGAGGATTCCTGAGCACAGAGCAATTTTGGATCATAATTCTTCCATTTATTAAGAAGCCTAAAGTCTAGGTGAGGAAGTTCTGGAGGAAAGATTTCATCACCAAACATTACCATTGTTACTCTTAAATGTAAATATTTATAAATGCAAAAAACAGGAGCAGTTTCTGTGTCCCAACAGTAGCAAAAATGGTTATTTAATTAAATTATGGTATATCGACTCAAGAGAAACATGTATCCTTACAAATTATAATTACAACATAGAAAAATGTTCACCACAGGCTGGGTGTAGTGGCTCACACTTGTAATCCCAGCACTTTGCAAGGCTAAAGTGGGTGGATCATTTGAGCTCAGGAATTCAAGACCAGCCTGGGCAACACAGTGAGACCCCATCTCTACTAAAAAAATTAAAAAATGGCCGGGCACAGTGGCTCACGCCTGTAATCCCAACACTTTGGGAGTCCGAGGCGGGTGGATCACCTGAGGTCAGGAATTTGAGACCAGCCTGACGAACATGGTGAAACCTTGTCTCTACTAAAAAATACAAAAATTAGCCAGGCATGGTGGCGGGCACCTATAATCCCAGCTACTCGAGAGGCTGAAGCAGGAGAATCATTTGAAGCCAGGAGGCGGAGGCTGCAGTGAGCTAAGATCACACCATTGCATTCCAGCCTGGGCAACAAGAGCAAAACTCTGTCTCAAAAAAAAAAAAAAAAAGAAAAGAAATGGTCAGCATGAGCAGCATTCCACCTAAACTTTGTCCTAGTCACTACACCCACACTTATGCTGCCATGTTGGCTGTCCACATAAAGAAAAGGAAAGCCTGTCAAGCATAAGAAAAGGAAATGGTGCCAAGAAACCTTCAGAAACATGCATCTGAAGAAAACTGGTAGAAGAATCAGTAATTGGAAGACAGATACAGATTGCAAGCATTCTTGTGAAATGCGGGCCTCCAGGAATCCTTCAGGAGAGGAAACTGTGCATAAGGGATAATTCCCCACTTCTGACACCCTACAGACTGCCTGCCATTGGGTAAAGCAACAGCTGATAAGTTATAAGAGGCCCCCAACCCATGGCTTTTTCCACTGAACAAAAGGAAAAGTTTGTTTCCTACAAGTGTTCCAAGGGAAAGGCAAGGTGTTGTGGGAGTTGGGTTTATAAAGCATGACAGTCTCAAATCTTTGACAGTCTTTCCTAATCGGCACTGCCAAACGAATCAAATTTCTCTTGTTGGGGTCAAAATCTAATTGAAAAAACATAAATTTAGAGCACAAGAATTTTATTCTTTATCATAAAGTATTTTCCTTCCTCCCTCACCAAAAGTCAAATAACCTTTAGATGCAATGTTAACACTGACAATCTGGCTTTTCGGTGAAATCAAATGCAGAATGTTCACTGGCCACTGACAAGTGGGCTGTGCTGTGCTTATGCTCTCAATTTGGCAGTGGCTGAGGAACGAAAATGTCTGTCAAGGAGGCGAGACAAGTTCCTGAAGGAAAGCAAGCTTTGTCTTCAGCTGCCAGACCATGACAAGGGCTACTTACATGGTTTCTGTCCTGGGACAACAGCAATATCCTAAGGCTTTTCATGCTTGAGCTTCTATCTAAAATGTCAATTGCTTTATCAAGATCATCTTGGTTTTTCAGCAGGATGGAGAGCTGTGATACAAGACATAGAAAAGGAAAATAATATAAAACAGAAGTTTATCTCAATGTTTCACTTTGCAGAAATAAAATAAACAAAAAATAAAAATACATTTGGAGGAAAACAATCTCACTGGATACTATGGGGTCTTAAGAGATCTAGTTGAAACCATACAGATTTTTTTCTCTAAATGTACAATCCAAAAATTTGTAGTACCTTTACATAGTTGTGCAACCATCATCATAATCCAATTTTAAAACATTTCCAGAACTCCAACAGGATCTCTTGTGCCCATTTATAGTCACTCCTCCTTCCCACCTCCAGCCCCAGGCAACCACTACTCTACTTTCTATCTCTATTGATTTGCCTTTTCTGGACATTTCATTCCATTTAGACTCATACAATTCATACATATTCAATTCAATTCATAAAGATTCAATCTTTTTCATCTAGCTTCTTTCACTTAATGTTTTTTAGTTCATCCATGCTGTAGCATACCTCAGTACCCAGTTGTGAGATACTTTCTGAGAAGAGCTGCCTCTCCAAAAACACTAATTTACTTCAAAATATCAAGTTGCAAACAGTTACAGCCCCCATATTCTTTTCCAAATTAAGTAGGATCATGTCCCACTCTACTGCCAATTGTGCTGACATTAATAGAACAAGCAGAAAAGGAAGAGAAGGGGTGGAGGGATGGTCAGAGGATGAAAATTGTTATACAAATAAAAACACAAATTTAGACTGCATAGCACGGTTTAATTATCTTTCTGTTTAAGGGCAAAGTCAGTGACTAGAACCTGAAAACTACCTCCTCCATTCTCACGGAGCTTTTCCCCCTTTGCTTGGCACTTCTCTCTCCTGTCGCCATATGAAGGATGTGTTTGCTTTCCCTTCCGTCATGATTGTAAGTTTCCTGAGGCCTCCCCAGCCATGCTGAACTGTGAGTCAATTAAACCTCTTTCCTTTATAAATTACCCAGTCTTGGGCAGTTTTTTACAGCAGCGTGAGAACAGACTAATACACTCATACGTTCCAGTGAAATATTAAATAGAAGGTCCCTGAGGGTACAAATAAGTCTCACTCACTGCAAAAAGCAGAGCATGTTATGAATACTTGGTATTAAGAGATTCATAAGATGCAAACGTATGCCTTGCTTAGGACCTAGCAAATGTCAGATCTTATTCTTATTCTTCTTATTTTTTGGAGACAGAGTCTTACTCTGTCGCCCAGGCTGGAGTGCAGTGGCACAATCACAACTTGCTGCAATGTCCACCTCCTGGGTTCAAGTGATTCTCCTGCCTTAGCCTCCAGAGTAGCCGGGATTACAGGTGCACACCACCACTCCCCACTAATTTTTTTTTTTTTTTAGTAGAGACTGGGTTTTGCCATATTGGTCAGGTTGGTCTTGAACTCCTGACCTCAAGTAATCTGCCCACCTCAGCCTACCAAACTGGTGGGATTACAGGAGTGAGCCACCACGCCTGGTCAGATTTTATACACGTATGGTAAACACAAAATCAAGCAAAAGTCCAATTAACTTACACAGTTCCCAATTTATAATACAAGATTTTTTTTTTTGAGACAGCATCTCCCTCTGTTGCCCAGGCTGGAGTGCAGTGGCACAATCTCGGCTCACAGCAACCTCCGCCTCCTGGGCTAAAGTGATCCTCCTGCCTCAGCCTCTCAAGTAGCTGGGATTACAGGCATGAGGCACCACACCCGACTAATTTTTGTACTTTTTGTAGAGATGGGGTTTCACCATGTTGTCCAGGCTGGTCTTGAACTCCTGAGCTCAAGAGATCTGCCTGCCTCAGCCTCCCAAAGTGCTGGCATTACAGGCATGAACCATCGCGCCTCGCCAAAAACAGTACATATTTAAAATAAAATCTCAAAACTACTTATGGAATGGGAGAATGTTCTGCAAATCATATTATATTGCAAAAGAATTTCTTCCTGTGTGACATTCAAAGTGGGAATAAATAAGAATGGTTGGGAAGGGAGTTAAATAAAAAAAACCAAGTAGGCTGGGGATAGTGGCTCACACCTGTAATCCTAGGAGGCTGTGGCGGGAGGCTCACTTGAGGCCAGGAGTTTAAGACCAGCCTGGGCAAAATAGTGAGACCCCCATCTCTACAAAAATTTATTTTTAATTAGCTCAGTGTGGTGGCATGTGCTTATTGTCCCAGTTACTGGGGAAACTGAGGTGGGGGGATCACTTGAACCCAGGATGTCAAGGCTGCAGTGAGCCATGATTGCACACTGCACTCTGGCCTGCGCAACAAAGTGAAACCCTGTCTCAAACCAAAAACAAAAACAAAACTCACAGTGACATATCACTTTACACCTACTAGGATGGCTATTAAAAGAAGAAAATAACAAATGTTGGTAAGGATGGTGGAGAAACTGCAGCCCTCACTGATATGGTTTGGCTGTGTCCCCATCCAAATCCCATATTGATTTGTAGTTCCAATAATCCCCATGTGTTGTGGCAGGGACCCAGTGGGAGGTAACTGAATCACGGGGGTGGTTATCCCATGCTGCTGTTCTCCTGATAGTGAGTGAGTTCTCACGAGATCTGATGGTTTTATAGGAGGCTTTTTCTCATTTGCTTGGCCCTTCTCTCTCCTGTCGCCATGTGAAGGATGTGTTTGCTTTCCCTTCCATCATGATTGTTAAGTTTGCTAGGCCTCCCCAGCCATGCTGAACTGTGAGTCAATTAAACCTCTTTCCTTTATTTGTTTATTTAAAAATAAAATAAAATAATTTTTTTTAATCGTTTTTTGAGACAGAGTCTCAACTCTGTCTCAAATGAGCTGCAATCTCGGCTCATTGCAACCTCCGCCTCTCGGGTTCAAGTAATTCTTCTGCCTCAGGCTCCTGAGTAGCTGGGACTACAGGTGTGCACCACCATGCCCAGCTAATTTTTATATCAGCAGCAGAGACGGCGTTTCACCATGTTGGCCAGGCTGGTCTCGAACTCCTGACCTCGTGATCTGCCCGCCTCAGCCTCCCAAAGTGCTGGGATTAACAGGCGTGAGTCACTGCACCTAGCCACCTATTTCTTTTATAAATTACCCAGTCTCGGGCAGTTTTTTACAGCAGAGTGAGAATAGACTAATACACTCATAAGTTGCTAGTGGGACTGTAAAATTGTGCAACCATTATAGAAAATCTGGGCAGTTCCTCAAAAAGTTAGAGTTATCTTATGACCCAGCAATTCCACGCCTAGGTATATACCTTACAGAATTGAAAACATATGTTCATTTAAACACTTGTAAACAAATGCTCATAGCAGCACTATTTAATCACCAAAAAATGAAAACAACCCAAATGTCTATCAATAGATGAACAGATACACAAAATGTGGTATATCCATAAATGGAATATTTATTATTCAGCCATAAAATAGAATGACATACTGACAACATGCACAGATGACCGTTGAAAACATACGCTTAGTCAAAGAAGCCAGACAAAAAAGGTCACGTACTGTATGATTGCACTACACGAAATGTTCAGAATAGGTAAATCCAAAGAGACAGAAAGATAAGTGCTTACCAAGAGCTGAGAAGAGGAGAGAAAGGGGAATAACTGCTAATAGGTACAGGTTTCTCTTTGGAGTGATAAAAATGTTCTGGAGGCCAAGTGCGGTGGCTCATGCCTGTAATCCCAGCACTTTGGGAGGCTGAGGCAGGCAGATCGCTTGAGCTCAGGAATTTGAGACCAGCCTGGGCAACATGGTGAAACCCTGCCTCCATAAAAAATACAAAAAAATTAGCTGGGTGTGATGGTGTGTGCCTGTAGTCCCAGCTACTTGGGTGGCTGAGGTGGGGGAATCGCTTGAGCGCAGGAGGTCAAGGCTGCAGTGAGCCGTGTTTGCACCACTGCACTCCAGCATGGGCGACAGAGCAAGACTCTGTCTCAGAAAAAAAAAGAAAATGTTCTGGAATTAGATAGCGGTGTTGGTTGCACAACTCTATCAGCATACTAAAAACCACTGAATGGTATACTTTTAGATGATAAATTTTTTAATCTCAATAAAACTATAATTACAAAGAGATAAATAAATAAAATCTCAGTAGATTTTTCATTTGGGATTCTTAGATCTTGACAGTGCAGGGTTTAAAGGGCAAACAAAAGAACGGAATTGAGGGATTTTAAATTAATCAAATGTAAGTTAGTCAACTCCTGATCATTAACATTAGTAGAGTATGTTAAGACATGTATGAACTAAAATAATAACAATGATTTATATTTGGCTTTAGAATAAAGAAACATCAGGAATTCTTAATGGAAATATTAACTGAAAAAGAAAAGAGTACTAAATGATTCAGAAAAGTCTTTACTAAAAGAAAAATTTTAACTCCTCATCAAATAAAATAAAACTACACAGTGATGATCTGGTTCTCAAAGGGTCATGATGTTGCCCAGCTTTCTTGTCTTGCACCCCTAACTCAATTTCCTCGAGGTACACATTCTTTACTCAGCATAAATACACTGCAAAGCACCAGCCTAAGCTGATTGTAGTCTGTAATATTCTTCTTGGAGCTGGGAAAGCAGCCCAGAAACTGACATTCAAAAGAATTCCTTCCTGGGTGATATTCAAAGTAGAAGTAAATAAGGACCGTTGGGGTGGAGTGAGGAGGAGGAGGAGTTAAAGAACTTATTGGAGCAGGTGCTAACATTTGAAACAAATAAGCTCCAATCAGAAGAAACTCTAAGAGAAGAATCCTGCATTTATGACTGTAATAGATGACCTACTCACTGGTTTTTCACACCTCCCTAGCCCCTGCTAAACCCTCTGCTTCTTGTTAAGGCTGTGCTGGGGGGAAAAAAATAAGATACTCCTACAAAATGTAAAGGAGACAGTATAAGCCCTAGCCCTGGTACCATACCTGATTCCACCATGGAATATTAGAGCTATCTGCACTGAATGAGTAGGGGGAATGGAGATGGCTGAGATGGCTGAGTAATCTCCCATGTAGTAAAAAACAGAGATCCCACAGTTGTTGGAATTAAGAAAAGGGGGTCTAGAAAATGAAAACCTGCAGATGATATTAGAGGAACAAACTTTAAAGGCTCTGGTAAACAGAGAGAAAAAAGGTAGGCATCTGCCCCTCTTGTCCCTGCCCCATCCATCTGCCTTCTCACCTCATTGTTCATGTAATGTAGATCAAGAGGTTGTCCAAATACTGTTGTCACCTTGTGCTCCACATCTTCATATTTCACAGGCCGGCTGAACGCTATAATTCTGAAAAGAAACAGAAAGAAAGGTTGGTTAATTGTATACTTAAAACGTAGGGTTTAAAAAGCAATGGTCTGAGTATATTCTTCCTTTCTTCTCAACATAGGATTCTGTTTTCTTTCACTCAATTTGCCTTTTCCCGATTGTTTCCTTTTTTCCTCTTCTCTACCGTTACCTTTCACCCTCTGAGCATCTATCAGGTTTGACAACAGTACCCACAACTATTGCTCAATCCCAACCATTCATCTACCACTTCAGCTTAGACTCTTCTGCCAATGACAGAAGAGGCCACTAGATTTAAAAACTATGTTCCAACGATGAGAACACACAGACACATGGAGGGGGAACAATACACACTGGGGCTGTTGGGACTTGGGGAAGAGAGAGTATCAGGAAGAATAGCTAATGCATACTGGGCTTAATATATAGGTGATGGATTAATCTGTGCAGCAAACCACCATGGCACATGTTTAACTATGTAACAAACCTGCACATCCTACACATGTACCCCAGAACTTAAATAAAAGTTGAAAGAAAAAAATTATTTAGGAAATAAGGTAGAAAACGTACAGACTGGAGTAGCAGTCCTGAAAACATGGCCTCAACTCCTAAGGGACTCAACTCTAGGACTTGAAAGGTCTTTTCCATCGTTCATCTTTGAGATGCCATAAGAATCTCCATACTGATTTTCCTCAGAATTAAGATTTTCTACTACAGAGTCACAGGAATTCCCCCTTGAGTTAGTGATATGCCTGATCAGTTTTCTTAACCAGTGACATATCTGTGCATGTAACTAGTATTGACATTGAAGATTTTCTGGAGAGACTCATTAGGTCAGTTCAAAGAACAATTTCTACAAATATAAGGTAGAGTAAGGAGTCATCCAAAGAGGTGTAAAATCTGATTTGTTATTAAATACTTCAGCAAAATTTAAAAGTGGGAATTGATAAAACAAGACTGGGAAAATGTTAGTAATGTTGAAGCTGGGTGACAGGTCCATGGGAGTTCAGTTTAATACTCTGTCTACTTTTGTGTGTGCTTGAAATTTCCATAATAAAAAGTTGTGGGGTTTTTTTGTTTGTTTGTTTCAAAACAGAGTCTCGTTCTGTCACCTAGGCTGGAGTGCAGTGGCAATGATAACGGCTCACTGCAGCTTCAACCTCTGGGGCTCACGCAATCCTCCTGCCTCAGCTTCCCAAGTAGCTGGGACTACTGGCATGCACCGACTAATTTTTTATTTTTTGTAGGGATGGGCCTCAATAAGTTGCCCAGGCTGATCTCAAACCTCTGAACTCTGGCAATCCTCCCACGTCGGCCTTCCAAAGTGCTGGTATTATAGGTGTAAGCCACCATGCTTGGCCAATAAAAAGTTTGAATGAATGTATTAGGTTGAACTATATGAGACTACTGATGGCCGACCATTTTTGATATATAAAAGTGGCAATTTTATATGGGTTCAACCCAATACTCTAGAACAGAAATGACTAAAAATAATCAGAGATAACTGAAGAAAAGAATATAAGAAAGAAACTCATACACACACATACTCTCAAATTTATATAAGAAAATACAGAATTAAAAAAAAATCTTGGGGGCCAAGCACTTTGGGAGGCCAAGGTAGGAGGCTCGCTTGAGGCTAGGAGCTCAAGATCAGCCTGGGCAAGATAGTGAGCCCTCCTGCCTACTAAACATTTTTTTAAAAAATTAGCCAGGTGTGATAGTACATGCTTATAGTCTAAGCTACTTGGGAGGCTGAGGTGGGAGGATCACTTGAGCCCAGGAGATCAGGGCTGTAGTGAGCTGTGATCATGCCACTATACTCCAGCCTAGGCAACAGAATGAGACCCTGTCTAAAAAAAAAAAAAACTCTCTCTCTCTCTCTCTCTCTCTCTCTCTCTCTCTCTATAAGAGACAGAGAGAGAGAAGGTCTTCCTAACCATAACATAAAATACAGAAGACAAGCCAGGCAAGATGGCTCATGCCTGTAATCCCAGCGCTTTGGGAGGCTGCGGTGGGTGGATCACCTGAGGTCCGGAGTTCAAGACTAGCCTGGCCAACATGGGAAAACCCCATCTCTACTAAAAATTTAAAAATTACCTGGGTGTGGTGGCACATGCCCTGCAATCCCAGCTACTTGGGAGGCTGAAGCAGGAGAATCACTTGAACCCAGGAGGCAGAGGTTGCAGTGAGCTGAGATCACACCACTGCACTCCAGCCTGGGCAACAGAGCAAGAGACTCTGTCTCAAAAAAATAAATAAATAAACTTCTGATTGCAAAATAAGCCATCAACAAAGTTAAACAAATATCAAACTTTGAGAAAATACTTGTAAAAAATCAATAAAAGACAATCTAATAGAAAAGGCAAAAGATTAGACAATTCACAGAAGAATTGTAAGTGGCTAATAAAACACATGAAAAGATGCCCAATGTGACTGGAGAAATGCCTATTAAAACAACCTTCATCTCTTAGTACACCTAAGCAGGATAAAATCAGACTAGTGTGTGTTGGAGCAAGCAGTATTCAGCCATGGGCCTGCGCAGTTCTTGTCCTCTTCCATGCTGAGAGGAAGAAGTGTGTGGTTCTTTCTCATCTTCCCTGCTCCCCCAGAGTGGGAAGTGGTGTAACCAGAGGAAGAAGCAATAAGCCACAAGAGAGAGGGATCTAAACCATTGGGTTTTAATAAAATCTGACCAGATAATTTCTTTAATGTTCTTCTGTAACAGGTTGGCTCAAATCAGTGAGAAGCATAAAAGCCTTCATCATCTAGAACTGCATCTGCACTATTCAATATGGCAGCCATTAGCCACATATGACTATTTAAATTTAAATTGATTAAACTGAAAATTGGTTCCTGAACAGGTACAGTGGCTCACACCTATAATCCCAGAACTCTGGAAGGCCAAGGCAGGTGGATAGCTTGAGTCCAGGAGTTTGAAACCAGCCTGGGCAAAATGGCAAACCCTGTCTCTACAAAAATTACCTGGCTATGGCAGTGTGCCTGTTGTCCCAGGCACCTGGGAGGTTGAGGCAGGAGGACTGCTTGAGCCTGGGAGGTGGAGGCTCCACGATCACACCACTGTACTCCAGCCTGAGCAACAGAGATCCTGTCTACTTTTTTTTTTTTTTTTTGAGATGGAGTCTCGCTCTGTCGCCTAGGCTGAAGTGGCACGATCTCGGCTCACTGCAAGCTCCACCTCCCAGGTTCATGCCATTCTCCTGCCTCAGCCTCCCGAGTAGCTGGGACTACAGGTGTGCACCACCACACCCAGCTAATTTTTATATTTTTAGTAGAGACAGGGTTTCACCATGTTGGCCAGGCTGGTCTGGAACTCCTGACCTCAGGTAATCTTCCTGCCTCAGCCTCCCAAAGTGCTGGGATTACAGGCGTGAGCCTCTGTACCTGGCCCAGAGACCCTGTCTTAAAAGAAAAAGGTTCCTCTGTCTCACCAACCACATTTCAAGTGCTCATTAGCCACATGTACAGCAGCCATATGTGTACTGGACAGCACAGATATAGAACATTTCCATTATAGCAGAAAGTTCTACAGGGCAACATTGATAGACTATTAATATAAACCATAATCTATCCTTCACGCAAAGCCTAACATCTCAAGAAGGTAATTCCTTCCTGTTTTTTTCCTTTGTCCATCACCACCTTTCATTTTTGGAAATTATACTGCTAACCAAATTAGTTTCATCTCCACTAGGAAACCCATTGAGACTGTAATTCTTTTTTCTGTGTGTGTGTGATGGAGTCTCGCTCTGTCCCCCAGGCTGGAGTGCAGTGGCTCGAACTCGGCTCACTGCAACTTCCACCTCCCAGGTTCAAGCGATTCTCCTGCCTTAGCCTCCCGAGTAGCTGGGACTACAGACGCCGGCCACCACGCCCGGCTAATTTTTGTATTTTTAGTAGAGACGGGGTTTCACCATATTGGTCTCGAACTCCTGACCTTTTTATCTGCCCGCCTCAGCCTCCCAAAGTGCTGGGATTACAGGCGTGAGCCACCACACCCGGCCCAGACTGTAATTCTTATATTTTTTTCTTCCAAATCAACTGTCCCAAGCAGTGATACTGTTAGGTGCTATCTAGATGGATTCTCTAGATAGAGGTGTTTCTGAAGCCTTTTGAGAGGATAGCTTTCTATTAATGCCTAATAGCAAATCATACCCCTCCTTCTTCAAGGCCTCAGCAACAGTGCAAAAGGGTCCAGCCTTTCTGGATAAAATACCAGAAGTCCACTCAGATGTCCCTAGCACACTATTGAAAAAGGATCATGATCAGAGATAAATTCTTCTGCATTTGGCCTAGCAATGAGCCATTCAAAACCCACAAAAGCAGCTTGAAAGTCTGGTCAAGATCAGAGGCCAGGACTTCCAGATTGGGTAAGATCTAAGCTGCTGCCATCCTATTGAATAACAGGCATTTTTAGGCCAGTGCTTCAAAGAGAGGTCTAACACCCATGCAACCACCCCCATCAGTGTGTCATTAACATTTCCAAAGGGAAGGAGATCTTAATCTACAATCCTTCTCCCCAGCCCTCCTGGGGCCAAAAGGGAGGACAGTCAGGGGTCTGGTCCCCATATTCTCAAAGTAAAGGGAAAGTCAGCCCACCAGAATGAATACCTGTCATGGATAAGTGGGAAAAGTCATGACTTCTTTCCTCTTTCCTGTGAATTCTAATTCTATAAGGGCCTACATTTAGATAAATACTACCCATATTCCAGGTAAAAAGTTTAAAATGCCCATAATGACATTCTCTACAAAATCCTGACGTGAAATACACGAAACTAGAGCTGTGTGGCACAGAGTACTAACTCTGTTGGCTTCCCTGCACCAACTTTATAAAGTCCTCAATTCCACATATAGTACACAAACACTGAAATGCCATGGCTCCTGAAAACAGCTCCGTAAAAAGAGAATGCACCATTTTCAAAACCTTGATAAGCAACGTTCTGCTGCTCAGGGCTTCAGAAGGCCATTCCTGCCTGACCACCTTAAATATTTGTGGTTTCAATCTGGCAGCTTCTCTGAAACCAAACACATACACTTTCTCAGTGTAAGCCTGCTCACTGTAACTGCATACCACTTTGGGAACAGGGAATTCAGGAGAGCCTAACTGCGTAATTGGGCTCCAACACAATTGTGCTTTTGATTGAAAACTCTGCTGCTCTGAGTTTGGCCATCCCTTTAAAACTCAGGTTGGAAAATGTGAAAAGTAGCAACAGTGAAGTGACAATTTAACTTCTCTGCTAATGGCAGGACACAGGAAGAGCAGCTGGGGACAGAGCTCAGACCTTCCTCCCTCCAGGCCTGGAACTCACATAGGAGCAGAAGGACCCTGGCTCTGCAGACCACACTTTCCACAATGCTTCCACCGGGTTGCCTCTGACAACCTTGTAGGCTTGTGAATGTGTATTTTAAAGGGAGAATAGTAGCCACAGGTCTCCTCTGGAGCCAGCTGCAAAGTAGGCTGAAAGGTACCAACTGTAGAGAACTACCAGAATCAAGAATGTTTAGAGGTACTAAGGTCCTGTGGTGAGACTCTTAAAGTAGGAAGACCTCATACTAATGGGTATGCTCTTCACCTGTCCAAATGCTCAAAGCAAAGGAAAGCTGAGGGTGGCAGGGGGTAGTATATCAATGGGAAAGAAAGGCAAAGAGTGGAAAAAACACCGAAAGGCACATTTATGTGTACATGTGCCGCACATGCACAAACATGCAAGGTCCCAAATATCCCATGTCCAGAGTTCTGTATGCTTTCTGAATGTTTTCCTTAAATAACTTCAGAAATTAAGTACAGTCACATTTTTTCTACTGAGAACTTCTACCTTGGCTTCCCACAAAAAATAACAATAATGAAAATACTGACAATGGAGAAAAGGACAGAAGAGTTTTGTAACACTACTTTCACTTCCCTAATGAGGTAAGATTCAGAACACAGACCGAAAAACTCCCTCTTTCTATGTCCTCAAAGGAGCTAAAGTCTTTTACAACTGATGGACTTGGTGCAGCTTCCCATGACCTAGAGACATCATGAAGAAACTTCTAATTCACCAACCTGACCCTTGATGTGGACAAAGCCAGGGCTGCTCTACTGGGAATAGTAATGGCACCATATCACAGGAGAATCCTGCCCTCCCTCTAATGCCCACAGGTGACACAGTGTCAGTGTGTCTGAAAGCCATGACTCTGAGTAGGGCCAGAGTCCTCACTTCCTAATAAAATGTCAGACCTCACAGCAGCAGAATAGAGCAGAACAGTAAAACATCAGCAGTTGAAATGGCTTCCAATGCTAAGATAGGAACAAGGTTCAATTAGTAGGCCAAGACAAGGGTGAAACTTTCCTCCCTTTATGCCCAATCCACCCTATTACCCAGCCAGTGGCCCCACAGGGATCAGGACAGGGGAATGACTTCCATGAACTCAATGCTATCTGAGAACTTTGGCATACATGAACACAGCTACTCATCAGAAGGCAGACTTACCGCCTCTCCCCGTTGTGCTCGAACTTGATTCTGACGTCACTCTGCCAAAAAGAATGATAGACAGGTTAGAGAATTCTCTGGAATGTGTCACTCCTGCCATTGCCAAGTAAGCCTTGGGCAGTTCGTTAGCAACATTAGGCATACATCCCTGATGGCTCCTGGTCCAGCTTCTCTTCCCAGATGGGCATGGGCATTCCTTTCCAATGAGTTAAAACTTCCAGTTCTAACATCAGGGACAACAAAGCTCTTAGGGTAAGATCCCTAGGTGGCTGCCCAGCTCAGTTGCTATGCTGTGACATGCTGTTTCTAGCTTCATACACACCCTATTTCTACAATTGGCTCTGGAAGTTTCTCCCACTCTATCACCTCCTGACCAGGATACATTTCCTTGTTGGCTGATGTGACTGAAGACAAAAAAGAAATTTTGCTGCTGATGCTTTCTAGCTATATGACCACAGGCAAGTTACTTATCCTCTGTGAGTCTTAGTTTTTCCATCTGTAGAGTAAGCCTAAACATACCTTGCAGAGTTCTTACAACAACTAAATGTAAGTAAAATACCTGACACATAATAGACATGCAATATTTGGTTTTTGCTGCTGCTGCCACTGGTACCACTATCATTGATTTCCCAAAACCCTCCCAAAGCTACCCCACTGGGGGTAAAGTAGGATCTTATACACTGTTCCCAGCCTTTTCCAAAATGACCATCATGAGTAGCCTGTAAACTGCAGGAGAGCAGAGATCAGGTCTATCATGTTTCTTTTTTTTTTTGAGACGGAGTGTCACTCTGTCACCCAGGTTGGAGTGCAGTAGCACAATATCGGCTCACCGCAACCTCCGTCTCCCGGGTTCAAACGATTCTCTTGCCTCGGCCTCCCGAGGTCTATCATGTTTCTATATCCCCAGTGCCAGGCAAAGGAAATGGCATATAATATTTGTGCTTAATAATATTTGTTAAGTGGTTGAATGAATTGAAGAACAGAAGTATAAATATGAGAAATAAGAGGAAGTAGAAATGTTAAAATGACAAAGAACAAATTAAAGAGGAAGAGATATTGCAAAAGGGCAAACAAACAACTTGAGGGAGTTTAAAAAATGACAGGGAAAGGAGAGAGATATTACAGAAGAACAGGTGTAGAGGAAAAGAAAGGTAAGATGGGCAGGAAACCAGCAAATAATAGAGATAAAGGAGAGAATGAAGTCATAGTCGATGAAGAAAAATTATTTTGAAGAAGACAAATTAATAGGCTGTGGCTTGGAAGAAAGAGGACTTAAGAGTATTTGAAGATGAGGAACACATAGCAAACAGACAACAGAAAAGGGAGTGAGTTTGAAAGGAAGGGTAGATGCCTAAAGGACTCCCTTTTCCCAAGGTATTAAGGGACTAGACTTCTCTTCCAGTTCAATGAATTACAAGAGTGGTTCTAATTTACACTGTAAAAATTATTAAAGACCCCAAAGAGCTTTTGCTTATGTGGATTATATCTATTGGTATTTACCATATTCAAAATTAAAACTGAGAAAATTTACTTTATTCATTTAAAATGGCAATTAAAGGCCAGAGGCACAGTGGCTCACAACTGTAATCCCAGCCCCTTGGGAGGCCGAGGCGGGCAGATCACTGGAGGTCAGGAGTTTGAGACCAGCCTGGCCAACATGGTGAAACCTCATCTCTACTTAAAATACAAAAAGTGTGCCGTGAGTAATGGCGCACACCTGTAATCCCAGCTACTCGGGAGGCTGAGGCAGGAGAATCGCTTGAACCTAGGAGGCAGAGGTTGCAGTGAGCTGAGACAATGCTGTTGCACTCCAGTCTGGGTGACAGAGTGAGACCCTGTCTCAAAAAATATACAGCCCTGATATAGCCTTCTTATCCTGTAAGATAACACATGGACCACTTTATCCATTAATAATAATGATAATAGCTAACGTTTATTGAGCATTTACCACAAACCAAGCATTGTTCTAAGCATGTTTACATATATTAATTAAACTGATCCTCAAAACAAGTACCATTATTATCCCTATTTTACAGAAAATAACTGAGTTACAATAAGATTAAGTAAGTTCCCCCAAGGTCAGGTCATATCGCTTGTAAAGGAAGAGGTAGGATTTGAACCCTGGAAGCCTGACTCTTAACTACCATGCTATGCTACAACTTAAGTGTCACACAGGCACTGAGAGCAGTTTTTCACTATCTTCTTTTTCTCGTTCCCCTGAAATTCTAAACAGTTACCATGACAAGAGTCCTCTAAAGCAGAGTTGCCATGCTCTGATGTGTGGTCTCCAGCTTCCCACACTATTTCCTCAACTGGATCTGGAGTATCCCAAGTGCTCTATGAAGTTTGTAGTCCTGTCTGCCCCTGTGGGAGGGTTATACATCCTTTTACCTGTTCCTGCCTACAGCCCAGCATACCTTGCTGTAGCTCTATTATTTTAATTAATAAATTTTATTTTTAGAAGAGTTTTACATTTACAGAAAAACTGAGCATACAGAGCAGAGTTCTGATATATCCTTCTCCCCTTTGTACAGTTTCCCCTATTATTATTATTGTTATTATTGAGACAGGGTCTTACTCCTGCCACCCAAGCTGGAGTGCAGTGGTACGATCACGGCTCACTGCAGCCTTGACTTCCCGGGCACAGGTGATTGATTCTCCTACCTCAGCCTCCCATGTAGCTGGGACTACAAACAGGCACATGTCGCCACACTGGGCTAATTTGTAACTTTTTGTAGAGATGGGGTCTTGCCATGTTGCCCAGCTAGTCTCAAACTCCTGGGCTCAAGCAATCTGTCCACCTCAGCCTCCCAAAGTGCTGGGATTACAGGCATGAGCCACCACACCCAGCCAGTTTCCCCTATTATTAATATCTTACATTAGTATGGTATATTTCTTTTTGTTACAATTAATTAATCAATATTGATATATCAACTAAAGTCCATAGTTTACTCACATATTTCCTCAGGTTTTTGTTTTTGTTTAATTTTTTTTTTTTTTCATTTTTAGAAGTTTTAGGCCAGGTGTGGTAGCTCACGCTTCTAACCCCAACACTTTGGGAAGCCGAGGTTTGAGGATTGCTTGAGCCCAGGAGTTTGAGATCAGTCTGGGCGACATGGCAAAACGCCATCTCTACAAAAAATACAAAAATTAGCTGGTTGTGGTGGCACACGCCTGTAGTCTTAGCTACTTGGAAAGCTGAGGCAAGAGGATTGCTTGAGCCCGGGGGGCTTGAGGTTGCAGTGAGCCATGATCACGCCACTGGACTCCAGCCTGGGTGATAGAACAAGGATTCTGTCTCAAAAATATATTGAAACAAAACAAAACAAAACAAAAAAACGAGGTTAAAAACACACACACACATAACAGCTTTCATTCTTAAACTGGGACAACATTTTATTTATTTTTTTATTTTTTGAGACAGAGTCTCACTCTGTTGCCCAGGCTGGAGTGCAGTGGCGCGATCTCGGCTCACTGCAGCCTCTGTCTCCTGGGTTCAAGTGATTCTCCTGCCTCAGCCTCCCAAGTAGCTGGGATTACAGGCATGCACCACCATGCCTGAATGATTTTTGTATTTTTAGTAGAGACAAGGTTTCACCCCTGGCCAGGTTGGTCTTGAACTCTTGACCTCAAGTGATCCACCCGCCTTGGCCTCCCAAAGTGCTTGGACTACAGGTGTGAGCCACTGCCCCAGCCCTGGGACAACATTATATTTAGATATACTAATGAAGGAATCTCCTCAGTGCCTTTATGGAAATGAAGGAACTAAATTTATTTCATAACGAGCCATAACCTAAGCACTGCTCTACATGAATTTATTCAGAAAGGGAATTAAACTTTTGTTCCAAACCACAAATCACTGCTACTTAAGACTAACCAAGCCTGTGACTAAAAAGCAGTGTAAACAAAGATGCTTCTTTGATGCCATGACAGCCTTACAAGCTTCCATGAACCACATGATATGCCCAAATCTTCTGAGTCCCTAAATCTGAATTTCACCCATCAGGTTGACCATAATAAGCCATAGATAAGGGAAGTTCAGATAAAGATAATTTGATTCAATGCCTTCCGGCCAGCCATTCTTCTTGTCCTCTCTGAGGCATTTCACACTGGTGGGTGGCCAACTCTATTTCCAACTTCTGTGACTCTATCCCAGCACAGGGAACCTGCTACCACTCTGACCACTTCTGCTTCTTTGCTGGTTCCTCTTGTTCATGCCCTCTCCCACCCCTCCCCAAACACATGACCATTCCTCAACCTTGCGACTTCTGACTTCTGGCTTTCTCCTGCTCTGCATACAACTTCTCAGTGGGCCTCTAAATAGATGATTCCTCAATCTCTATATGTAGCCCCAATCACTGAAGCAAGGCTCATCTGCTTGCCACGTATCTGAGGCCAATATGTAGTTGTTAAGAATGTAGCACTGGAGTCCAACTGCCTGCTTCAAATCTTGGCTCTACAACTTCCTAGCTGTGTAACCTCGAACTTAGGTTGGTGCAAAAGTAATTGCAGTTTTTGCCATTAAACCTAACTGCACTAGGCTGGGCGTGGTGGCCTTGTAATCCCAGCACTTTGGGAGGTCAAGGAGGGCAGATCACGAGGTCAGGAGTTCGAGACCAGCCTGGCCAACATGGTGAAACCCCGTCTCTACTAAACATACAAAAATTAGCCGGGTGTGGTGGCGGGCACCTGTAATCCCAGCTATTCGGGAGGCTGAGGCAGGAGAATTGCTTGAACCCAGGAAGTGGAGGTTGCAGCAAGCCGAGATCACGCCACTGCACTCCAGCCTGGGTGACAGAACAAGACTCCATCTCAGGAAAAAAAAAAAAAAAGTAATGGCACTGCAGCCTCATACTTAACCTATAACTTAGTTTCCTCATCTGTAAAGTGAGAATGATAGTATCCAATTTACGGAATTATCAAAAGAATTAAATCATATAATTGGGTAAAGTGATTAGAACAGTACCTGATATACAAGTGGTTGGTAAATGGTAATACAGGTCTATTATCCTTTAGCCAAAATTCTTGGGGCCAAAAGTGTTTCAGAATGCATGTTTTGGATTTAGAGGGGTAGTATGGTAGATGTTCTATAAATCATGTGATGCCTCCCCAGGCAGTGGAGTGGGGGGTGTCTGAGACAGTACTACTGTGGTAGAGGCAGAATGCTCAAGTATTTCCTGGACCTCTTAAAAGTTAGTTTGGGGGGTTTGTCCCTAGTTCTGACCAAGAGCTAGGAACAGAATCAAGTTCTATACTCTCTTCCCTGGCAGGCACATGTCCTAGGACAGAGGAGTCTCCCTCAATCCAGGTTCCTAAGTAACTCTGGGCAACACTGTTCTCCCCCTCCTTGTACTGGGAATACTGTGTTAAATCACTGAGATTTGGAGTCTATTTGTTAACAGAGTACATGCTTTTTATCGAAGCTATCCTAATTTTTGCAATGAAAAGTATGAATATTCACAATAAGTAGAATAAAGAAAGACCATAAATTGCCCTGTGTCTATTCAGGACAGGTCTGGTTGCCAAATGAGTCTGCTACAAATTAAAAAATAATAAATAGAAACTAAAAACTAAAAATACCCCTTTAGTTTGTAGTACTGTTTGGATCTCAGAACTGCAGATAACAGATTATGGACCTGCAAAAATCAACGTACACACATACACATACCTCACACACTCTTGAGGTTTTTTCCCACTGTAATCTCAAACTCAATCTAGCCATATGTGTCTATATCAACTACTCTCCTAAACTAGTCTCCCTTCTCAACTATTACTTTCTTTTCAGAGATGGGGTCTCGCTATGTTGCCCAGGCTGGAGTGCAGTAGCTATTCACAGGCACAATCACTGTGCGCTACAGATTTGAGCTCCTGGGTTCAAGTGATCCTCCTGCCTCAGCCTCCCAAGCAGCTTGGACTACAGGCGCATGTCACCATGCCTGGCTCAGTGTCACTATTTCTAACATTGGTACTGCTGTGCTCCCAGCTACACAGTTACATCTCTGAGTAATGCTTGATTCTTTCCTTCCTTTTCCTCCTCACAGCCAGGGAGCAAATTTCAATTCTCCTCTCAAAGACCTCCGGTATAAGACTCTGCTTCCCATTCTCCCTGACATCACCTTCAGTGAGACCCTTTCCCCTTGATCCCAGAGTCAATAAGATATAAAGCATTATATCTTTATACATTTATAAATGTATAAAGCTGAAAATAAGATATAAAGCAACACACAAGCCTGGCATTATATTTTGTAAGAAGGTTGCTTTATAATCATCTCTTCCACTGATCTCCTACAACTTTCCAGAGTCATGCTTAAAAATAAAATTTTAATTTTTGTTGTATTTTTTTTTCCTTTCATTCACTTACTCTCTTTGGCAAAATAAGGACTGCAATTCCAGAAATGTGGGGAGGCATCAAAGGTATGTAGCAAATGCAGGGAGAGAAATCAGTACAGAATCAGAGTGAGGATACATTTCAGCTCCCCATTTCCAACCCACTCTGCGTTCCTCTACAGTTCCAACCATCTCAATCACCTTTTTCACCATGTTCCTTCTTTGTTCATAAGGTAATCAGTGATACCCATTATCTATGGAATAAAGTCTAAATTCTCTGCTATCACTCAAAGCCCTCTGGGATTTAGGCTCATTCAGTTTACCTGATCATCTCACACTGTTTGTTCCCCACAGGGACCCCCCTTTAAAGCCAGATCAAAGCTCACCTTGTTTCCTGATACAAGCCATGTTTGCTTCTTCCCCTAGGCCTTTAATCATTCTGTTTCCTGACCTGGAGTGCCACCCTTCCTCCGTTCTACCTAACTGTTTATACTTCCTTCACAGCCTAGTTCAAGTGCCCTTCCACCTGAAATGACTCCATAGCTCCTCTGGCCCAGGCTCATCTTTCATTTTCCTGGCCTTCTATAGCACTTACTCTCTGTACCACACAGTGAGGCATAGTCATATCATACTTTCTTTTTTTCATGTAGTCCTCACTTCCCAGTAAGACTGCATGATTCCTGGGGTACAGGGAATATGACATACCTTTCTTTTTTCTTTTTTTTCTGAGATGGAGTCTTGCTCTGTCGCCCAGGCTGGAGTGCAGTGATCTCGGCTCACTACAACCTCCGCCTCCCAAGTACAAGCGATTCTCCCACCTCAGCCTCCCAAGTAGCTGGGATTACAAGCACCTATCATCATGCCCAGCTAATTTTTGTATTTTTGTACAGACAGGGTTTCACCACGTTGGCCAGGCCAGGTGATCCGCCTGCCTCGGCCTCCCAAAGTGTTGGGGTTACAGGCATGAGCCACCACTCCTGACCGACATACATTTCTTTTGTGTGTCTGAGAAGCGTGACCATAGGCACATGTTAAACTGAATGGAGGTGTCAGCTACTGAGAAAAAAGTTCTAGTACAGAAATTCAGGTCTAAGCAGCTTCATGTCCCCTCCCCACCACAGGCAATCCGGTGAGAGCAGTAGTGACAGCCACGCTCAGGAGAGAGACAGTGCGGGCTGTCGGGTTGAGCTACAGATTCAGGGACTCAGCAGGAGCAACAGGAATAACTGACAATAACACTAAAGCAGAAATGACCTTCTCAAAGTCTGGACTCAACAGCTGAACATGTAGCCCAAAAAGCTTTCAAGAATCCAGAAAAATCAGGATTTATTAACCAAAGGTTTATGAACTAACTTGACCTGAAAAAGGCCTCAGTTACCCATCATTCTTCTTATCCTCGCTCTGATTCTGTACTGATTTCTCTCCCTGCATTTGCTACATACCTTTGATGCCTCCCCACATTTCTGGAATTGCAGTCCTTATTTTGCCAAAGAGAGTAAGTGAATGAAAGGAAAAAAAAATACAACAAAAATTAAAATTTTATTTTTAAGCATGACTCTGGAAAGTTGTAGGAGATCAGTGGAAGAGACGATTATAAAGCAATCTTCTTACAAAATATAATGCCAGGCTTGTGTGTTGTTTTATATCTTATTTTCAAACTGGCCAGCCCATCTTATCAACAACCCTTGAAAGAGAAGGGAGGTCCTGAAGAGCCAGGTCTTTCACACTGAAAGCAAAAGACAGTCTGCTCAATCACTGACCCTGCTGGGGGAACAGATCCTGGAATTCTCTTCCTCTAGAAATGATAGCCAAGGCCCTGCCCTGCTTGTGCCTATCATGAAGAAAGCAGCTTTTCTGTTCTGAAGCACCCACTCATGAACATCTGGAGGGTTAGATCCAGAGCCCAGACTCTGTTCAAGTATCTACCTACCATTTTGATAAGATTCAAGGGAAACAGGAATCCATGGAAATAAGGATTCCATTTCTTCCTCCACTGGGATTTTCAGAAATTAGGCTAGCTTCAGAAATTTGCAAAGATCATCAGATAAACAGTAATGATAATCCCATAAAGAGAGAAAAACCTTAATCCTTTCAGTTCCACAACACTATGGACAGTTGTAGTTAGAAGCTTTCCCCAAAGCTCACACCTGCAGTGCCAGAACATAAGAAGTGACATAACCACTGCAACTTCACATTTGTACATTTGTTTTACAATGTACAAAATATTTCACATTCTGTCTATGATCTTACAACAATCTTAAGAGGTAGACACAGTGAGTATTAAGTCTATATTTCAGATGGAAAAACTCACTTCAGAAAGGTTATATGACTTATACATGGTAAAATTACGGTGACTAGGAATCAGAAGGCTTGGATTTACTTCCTGCCTCTACTCAATACCTTTGTGTAAAAGCTGTGTAAACCTTATACACATGCTTATAGCATTGATGTTAACTGTTGTTGAAAGCACTCTATAAATTATAAAATCCTACATTAATAGATGAGTAACAACTCTATGACTCCTAGGCCAGTACTCTTTTTTTTTTTTTTTTTTTGGTTGGTCTCAGTTTTTAATAGTGGCAGGGCCTCACACACTTGCACACGTGCGCATGCACGCACACACACTCTAAGGCTTCAGACCTTGTTGAAAGCTGCAACATCGACACTCTACACACGCTCTCAAACTTGGTAATCTCCTCTTCCAGAAAGTTTGTCCCCACCTTGTCGTCCCCCACCACACACTGAATCTGCAGCTTCCGGATACCGTAGCCCATGGGCACCAGCTTGGAGGCCCCCCTAGACCAGCCCGTCCAGCTGGATGAAGCGCATACAGGCCTCCAATTGGGCTATATTGGTCTCATTGTCCCAAGGCTTGATGTCCAGCGGGATGGAGGACTTGACCACCAACGCAGTCTTCTTGGCCTTCTTCTCCACATACCACCTCAGCCACTTCTCCCACAGCCGGGCTGCCTCCTTGTCTTCCTCCTCATTGTCGCTGACAAACAGGTCAATGTCATTGTCCTTGTCACCCTCTGCTAGTGTGGCTGCCTTCTTGGCTGGGGGCTCCACTTGGCACATGGGAGACACATGCTGGATCTGCGTGGCTGTGTCCCTGTGGCCAGGCAAGCTCTTCTCCAGCATGTTCAGCCACAGGCCAGCACTCTTTTCACTATACTAAGTTGTCAGACCCACAGAGAACTAACACCCATTGATAACTCACTGTGAGTTAATGACTGCTAAAGGGACACTGCACATCATGGCCTGCAAAACTATCCATAGGACCCAGCCACACGTAGGATGTGCCACACATCTAAGAATATTCAGTCAGCTCTAACCACGCTGTAGGCTTCCAGAGACCCAATATACAAAAGGGAGAATACAGCAAATGCTCCTAGTGTACAGTATTCTCTGTACTCCTAGAATACAGAGAATACAGAATCTACCTCCTAGAAAATTGTTAATAGCTCACTGCCCATGTACTTCCATAGCTGCCTATTTGTTCTCAAATCCATTCTCTTTTTCAATTACTTACCAAGCTTGTTTACTTAGGGAAAAGGATGTCTCAAGTCTTGCTAAGCAGAGATATTAAATTAGATTTTTCAGTTCTTCCAGGCCTCGGCACCCAAACAATCCTGTTAATGAACCCACAGCTCCTCTGGCTTTCCTTGCTGGGCCAAGCTTGAGCTCCATGAAGCTGTGCCAGTCTCGACTCTGCCTTGTAGCCAGCACTGCCATTCTCATAGTGAAAGGCTGTTTGCCTCTGCCAGCCCCATTCCACCCTTGAATAAACAACCTTTCCAGCTAGCCAAAATGCTTAGCTTCTTTCAACTGGGACTCTGTAATTTGAATCTGTAATCCAATTAGACATTTCTTAACCAAATTTGGCAACTCTTCACCATTTAAATTAGGTTTTGATCTTTCATTCCTCTCTCTTCCTAAGCATGGACTTTCTGGCAGAAGAACTGGTAATGAAGAAAACTGTTTCATTCTATCTCAGGCCTAGGCTAACAAAAACTACAATAATAATAATAAATGTGTAACTCTGTGAATTATAAAATCCGATGTTAAATGATTATTAATATCACCAGGCTCCTTTCATTATACTAGGCTATAAATACCTCTCCCCAACATCTTCCCCGCACTACCTCTTACCCTATCTTTCCTAGAAATGCATTTGCTGAGACTTTGTCTTTTTCTGCTTTCAGAATTTTGCTGAAGAATATCCCTCTTGGTCAGAAGCAAAACATCTGCTACACTTCCCAGGACAGGCCATTCTATAACCTTGACTTCATTAAGAGGAAAAGCTATCTTAGCATTTTATTTCCCCTTTTGCCCATATTAACATAAAACTTTGAGCTTCAATTTCTAAACAGCTGTTCTAGTTCCACATCTTCACATTCTTCCTAAAACAGAAATCTTAGGTAGGATTCCCATTATTAGCTTATCACAATGTACAGAAACTCATGACGTGTGTAAGGAATGAACATACCAATGAATATCTACACATCTCCAAGCATATACATAATTTCTTGCCCAATAAATCAACAGTCCCTTACATAGTGCATAAAGTCATGCTGTCCAATACAATAGCCACTAGCCACATGTGGCTGTCTAAATTAATTAAAATGATATAAAATTTAAAATTTAGTTCCTTAGTTGCTCAACAGCCACATGTAGCTAGTGGCTACAAAACCACATTGGACAGCAGAGATATAAAACATTTCTGTCATCACAGAAGGTTTATTGGACAGCACTGATAGAGGCTGTTTATGAATAATACTGTTGTGAGAAATGGTGACTAGAAGCACTGAACACAGGTCACGGGTAACCAATGCTTTTTACAAATCCACTAAAACAACTTGTCTGGGAAGTGAATTCTGCTGTTGCAGCATGAGTAGCAGATTTAAAAGTACATTTTGGCTTTAACAGGTAATCTGGATCCTTACCAAAAATTTCTTTTTCTCACTGGCCCCTGCACATGAGCTTGTTGTTACTGTGGGGCTGTTCAGAAGGGCTGAGCTGCTGCTGTTGTGTTTTTTCTTTAAAAACAAAAAAACTGAGGTTAATAATTTGTATCCTTCGTGCAACATAAGTTTGACAACATTGAAGTAAATCATGGATCCAAAGATCTAGTACCTCTTGTTAAGATTACTTCCTAACAGTCAATCCTTTTTAGGCTTCTGCCTTCATAACCACTGACTTCACTCTACCAGCGCAGCAGCAGGCACAGCAAAAGATCAAGACTTCCCTCATCATGGCTTTTAGGCTCTAAGCAGAAGGAGTCCTAAAAAGGAATCCTCCTTCAAGGAACCATCAGTGACCATTCCGCCCCTCCTTTTCCCAGCCTCGTCCTTTTGGGCCTTCCAATTCAAGAAAGCTTCCCCTTTTCACCCACTAACTGATATTCATGCTAATAGTCCAGTCTGGAGAAAGATCAGCTAACTGGAGCAATGTTAGCAAGCACACACTACATAGGAAGACAGGAAGGAAAGTGAGGTCATTAGGCTCAAGCAAGGGGGAGGGGACTCACTTCTGGTAAAATGCTCCTTCGAAAAGTGGCTTTGAATACAAATGAGTTATAGCAAGGGAGAACTCACACAGTCAGACTGAATAACATATGAAAATAGTGTAAGAATGGGCCCTTATCTGTTTATACCTCCAGTACTATAAGGTAACAACAACAAAAGCAGCTTTTTAAACTAATCCTTCTGTTTTAACATGAAACAAAAGGACTCCTCTTCCCTTGGGGTCCCTAGGATTCCTAAAGGCAGGAAATACTCTGGAAGGCTCTATCTAGCAGACCACAGACAGGAAAAGTTTTAGGGCCTTATACTATCTCTAGGAACCAATTCTGAAGAATTGGTAAACAAGGTGCAAATGAGAAGAAAGGAGGTTAGCTGATAACAAACAGAACCAAAAGGGAGAATGTCATACACAAATTTTCATCAAACATGCCCAATATAGCTAGCTGACACAGCACTGGATACCCACTAGGTAGGAAAGCTCCCCATCATTCACTCCTCTCTGCAGAACAAAGTACCCAGGAAACAGGTAAGTGGCACTACAGGTGAGAAGAAGATTGTCAATGACACACAAGTTTAAATGTTAAGGAAAATAGGCAATGTTTTCCTAAAGAAGCATACAACTCTCAATAAAACAGGCACTATCAATAAGGTTAATAAGGTAAAATAACTGTAAACAGTAATAACAAAATCACTCATTATTGCCTTCAGAATATACTAGGTGACATTTTAATTAATAAATTTACCTTCTTAATTATATTTTACATAAGCTAATACCAAATTAATTAGTTTTTCCTGACTATATACTGTAAGGTAGCTAAAAACCTTCTGACTTAGGGATCATGAATCTGAATTAAATATTTGCCAAATATCAGTAAAGGGGAAAAACGAATATGAATACTGTCCCCATAACAGATGAAATGCTTACACAAGGCTTTAAGACTCCAAATCATAGATCCATAACTGCATGGCATATATAACTTTTTTTTTTTTTTTGAGACAGAGTTTCACTCTGTCTTGCCCAGGCTGGAGTGCAGTGGTGCTATCTCGGCTCACTGCAGCCTTTGCCTTCCAGGTTCAAGCGATTCTCCTGTCTCAGCTTCCTGAGTAGCTGGGACTACAGGCATGGACCACCACACCTGGCTAATTTTGTGTTTTTTAGTAGGGACAGGGTTTCACCATGTTGGCCAGGCTGGTCTCAAACTACTGACTTCAGGTGATCCGCCTGCCTCGGCCTCCCAATATCACTTACCATTTAACCATACCTGGTTGGTATGTATTACTTCCCATTTAACAGACTGTGAAAGGAAGGGGTCAAAAGCATTCAACCCTGGTAATGTAGTCTCCTTGGCTTTTCGTATATTTCCCATTTGAAAACCCCTCCCCAACAAATCTCACTTAGCTCTGCCAGGGTCACACACACCTGCCTATTTGAGTGACCTGTGTCTTTGTTCTTCATGGTCTCATATCCAGGCATCCGGTGACGTCGGTTCATCTGGAGGGCCACCAGATCGTTCATGATTGAGTTCAATGCCTCCTGTTCGTCTGCAATGAAAGAGAGCACATGGACTAAGACACTTAAATACAGACCAGCAAAGCTCTTTCACAAACTGTATAACTAATACTCAGGGAGTTCTGCCCAGGTAAAATGACAGACCCTGTAACTATAATCAGATGCAGCCCAAAAGGTCAGACTATGGCAATTTGAATTTTAATGGATTCTTTTTTTTCTTCGAGACAAGGTCTTGCTCTGTCACTCAGGCTGGAGTGCAGTGGCGTGATCATAGCTCACTGCAGCCTCCAACTCTGGGGCTCAAGTGACCTTCCCACATCAGCCTCCTGAGTAGCTGGGAACACAGGCATGCACCACCATGCCTGGATGATTTTTTTATTTTTTGTAGAGACGGGGTCTCCCCATGTTGCCCAGGCTGGTCTCCAACTCCTGGACTCCAGTGATCCTCCTGCCTCGGCCTCCCAAAGTGCTAAGATTACATACAGGTGTGGGCCACCATGCCTGGCCTTTAATGGTTTCTTAATAGCCCTCCAATCAGATTTCCTGCAGCAATATTTACCAATTCATTGCAGGGAAGGGACACGCTCAAACAGGGCAGTTGGTCCAGTGCCAGAGAAACTTAACCAGGAAAAATAGATGAAAAATTGAAGTGAAGAACACAGTACAATGTAATATGGTACTGAATGAAAAGATGAATCCATAGAGAGAGGATTATGGCACAGTGTCAGTCCCAGACTTATTCTTAAAGCATCATAAGGAGGAGAGCACACTTTAAAAGGTACCAAATAAGGGCCTCAGGTAACTGCTTTGAACAGAAGTTGTTTTACAAGCCTAGCATTTGAATGCCGCCACCACCAGCAACCCCCACAACTCTTTACAAGTTTATAGGCCTACTACTTCCCATGGGGAAGTCAAAGGGTAGTTCTATTGTTTTTCCTCCCTAAGCTGACCAAGCAATGCATTGTCTCCACCTTACTGGCATTACTTTTAATCCCCTTTTCTTGAAATAGCATGGAGTACTAGAGTTCTCATACATTGAAAACAACTGGCCAAAACCCAGAACACAAACCAGTCCAATTCCATGTTGTACAAATTTTTCCCAGGTCCTTTAAGAGATCTTTGCCCATTCAAATAGCATTTGGAGATTGAAAATGAATAAATCTGTTGATCGTGAAGGGAACATGAGGGATGAGTTGTTACACTTGCTTTGGTGACAACTGAGCCATTTGGGGACTTGGGGCACACCTTAAAAGAAGCAAATACAAAAGATTCCACCCAAAGAGAGTGCCTATCTTCTACCCTTTATCACTGTCCCTTGGAAATATTCTAATACCCTGTGGAAAGAAACGAACAGCATGAAATGTAGGAAGTAAAACTGCTCAAGTCTCTTCTCCCACTACTGATTAACTGATTGACTGACTGACTGAAACAGGGTTTCACTCTGTTGCCCAGGCTAGAGTGCAGTGGTGCAATCACAGCTCACTGCAGCCTCCTCCACCCCCAGGCTCAAACAATCCTCCACCTCAGCCTCCAGAGTAGCTGGGACTACAGGTGCACACCACCATGCCCTGCTAATTTTTGTATTTTTTATTGAGCGAGGGTTTCACCATGTTGCCCAGGCTGATTTCAAACACCTGAGCTCAAGCGATCCTCCCTCCTTAGCCTCCCAAAATGCTGGGATTACAGACATAAGCCACCGTGCCTGGCCCCTCACCTTATTTGCCTCTCCCCTCTTCCTAGACGAAATCTGCTCTGGTGCCCTATATGCCCTCTGACGAGGTACAGAAAAGGACAAAGTTGCCTATAAAGAGGTTTTTGCTTGTTCAGGAAAGTAAAATTAGATTTAAAACTTGCAGGAAAACCACCAGGAGCATAACTTCCCATATGATTCCACTTCAAAACATATACAAAAGTATGTATGAGAGTGACATAGCTGTAATATAGAAAGCATGCAGTAAAGGGGATAATGAATGAGGAGAAAGTGGGTATCTACAAAAAGACATCTGTCAAATTAACACATATATATCCCATCAATTATTTTATACCTTCTACAATTTCCCTATAGCTTCTTTAAAGAAGGGAACCTGGCTGGACAGGGTGGCTCATGCCTGTAATCCCAGCACTTTGGGAGGCTGAGGCAGGTGGATTGCTTGAGCCCAGGAGTTCGAGACCAGACTGGGCAACATGGCAAAACTACATTCTACAAAAAATACAAAAAATTAGCTGGGCATGGTGGTGCACGCTGTAGGCTCAGCTACTTGAGAGGCTTAGGTGGAAGGATCACTTGAGCCCAGGAGGTTGAGGCTGCAGTGAGCCATGATCATGCCACTGTACTTCAGCCTGGGCGACAGTGAGACCCTGTCCCAAAAACAAAAAGGGAACTTGGTTTTTTGTTTTGATTTTTATCCTCACAACCAAACTTTAAAAACTAGAGCATAACATCTAAGCTAGGAAGATTGGCTTATATATAATATGTATAGGTTTATATATTAAATGGCTTAGATATTATTAAATATATATAAAATTGGGCCAACTGTAATAATAAATTGGGATCAATACAAGGAGGATTATGACTAGGTTTAAGTGTTTTCTGAGGAGCATCCAACAATACTCCTAAAAGCGGAATGCAAGGAGTTATCAGTAACAACATTAACCACCCTAAGTATTGAGAATTTTCAGTTCTTTCAACTCAGATATTGAACAAAGATGGATGTGAATACACATACAGGCACACACATACACACACCACTTTTCAAGTCAGATCCACAAGTATGACTGAAGAAATCATTTCTAATTCTGTATAAGATGACGCTATTATAAGAGCTGGTTTATCAGGTTGACAAATTCTGTTTCCAGGAAGCTAACCAATTCCTGGCATTACTTAATGAACAAACTTGTTTAGTAGTTCCAGAGCTGAGAACACACTAGTGGAAAAGTTTGGCACTGTCATCTGAAATCTGGGACAACTGACACAAGTGAATCAGGGTTATAGAATCTAATTTTGTGTCAAAGTAAAATACATTCCTAGAGGTAGACAGGTTCTTCAACTGATACTTCAGAGGACATGTATAAAGACAGGAAGTAAATCAAGTGGCTCTTTTAGGCATTTCTTCCTGGATTGAGGTTTTGTTTTTGTTTTTTTTCCTTCTAAAAAGCAACATCACTATGCACACTTGGCTGCCACAAGCCAGTTATCTCTGTGGTATGGACTGAGACTAACTGAATTATCAGCACTCCTCCAATGTGGCATTCTTTAAAAACAAACAAAACTTTTAAAAACAAATAACAGGCTGGGCGCAGAGGCTCACGCCTGTAATTCTAGCACTTTGGGAGGCCAAGATGCGTGGATCACTTGAGGTCAGGAGTTCGAAACCAGCCTGGCCAACATGGTGAAACCCCGTCTCTACTAAAAATACAAAAAAATTAACTGCGCGTGGTGGTGTGCGCCTGTAATCCCAGCTACTTGGGAGGCTGAGGCAGGAGAATTGCCTGAACACAGGAGGCGGAGGTTGGTGTGAGCTGAGATAGCGCTACTGAACTCCAGCATGGCGACAGGGCGAGACTCCATCTCAAAAAAAAAAACAACAAATAACAACTTTCTTAGACTGAAGCAGTTAGGAATATGAACTTCAGAGTCAGAAAAATTTGGTAAGGAGGCCCTGAGCAAATCATTTATTCTCTCCAAACCTCAATTTCCTCATCTGTAAAATGGAGATAAAGCATCATTTCACAAAGCTGCTGTGGGAGTTAAAAGCAACAGAAAACCTACGAATTATTTCTTATGGTACCTAACACAGTAATGCTAAAAAAATGCTGGCTATTATTATCATCAATGAGAAAAGGTCAATGGAAAAAGACTGGAGGCCATTTAATCTACCCTAATACTTAATTTTATTACTGAACTTTTATAAATCATTAACAACAATTTACTGAATACTTATCTTGTATTACACATTAGAAAGTTTTAAAAGATATTTCAAGGTGTTCAAACTCTAGGGATAAAAAGATAAACAACACACAAATACAAAGTTGTATGAAAAAAAAGATAGAATTGGCAGGGCCCAGGGGCTCACGCCTGTAATCCCAGCACTTTGGGAGGCTAAGGCAGGTGGATCACCTGAGGTTAGGGGTTCGAGAACAGCCTGACCAACATGGAGAAACCCCGTCTCTACTAAAACTACAAAATTAGCTGGGCGTGGTGGCACATGCCTGTAATCCCATCTACACGGGAGGCTGAGGCAGGAGAACTGCTTCAAGCTGGGAGGCGGAGGTTGCGGTGAGCCAAGATGGTGCCATTGCACTCCAGCCTGGGCAACAAGAGCGAAACTCCGTCTCAAAAAAAAAAAAAAAGACAGAATTAGACAATATATAAACCAGAGTATATAAATACAAATGTATAAAAATAAATATTTTTAAATATGAGTAGCTTATATGGTTATATAAGAGGTTATATGGATGATTTTACATAATTGTTAACAGACTAAAGATTCTTTAAGAAAAGCAAGCTGGCTGGGCGTGGTGGCTCACACCTGTAATCTCAGCACTTTGGGAGGCCGAGGCAGGCAGATCACCTGAGGTCAGGAGTTCAAGACCAGCCTGGTCAACATGGTGAAACCTCATCACTACTAAAAATACAAAAATTAGCTGGGCGTGGTGGTGCACACCTGTAATCCCAACTACTGTGGAGGCTGAGGCATGGGAATAGCTTGAACCTGGGAGGCAGAGGTTGCAGTGAGCCAAGACTATGCCAACACATTCCAGCCTGGGCGACAGAGTAGAGACTCTGTCTCAGAAAAAAAAAAAAAGGATTGAAGAAAATAAGAGTGACAGGCCGGGCGCATTGGCTCACACCTGTAAGTCCAACATTCTGGGAAGCCAAGGCGGGCATATCACTTGATCCCAGGAGTTTGAGACCAGCTTGGGCAACATGGCAAAACCCCATCTCTACAAAAAATACAAAAAATTAGTCATGGCCAGGCACGATGGCTCATGCCTGTAATCCTAGCACTTTGGGAGGCCGAGGAGGGTGGATCAGCTGCAGTCAGGAGTTCAAGACTAGCCTGGCCAACATGGTGAAACCCTGTCTCTACTAAAAATACAAAATTAGCCAGGCATGGTGGCCGGTGCCTGTAATCCCAGCTACTCGGGAGGCTGAGGTAGGAGAATTGCTTGAACCCGGGAGGCAGAGGTTGCAGTGAACTGAGATCGTGCCACTGCACTCAAGCCTAGGTGACAGGGCAAAACTCCACCCCAAAAAAAAAAAAAAAGTATTTGTGAACTTTACACGTGAACAAGTTGAGGTAGCGTAATAGTGTGCTTATAACTTTGAAAAGATTTCCTGAGAGTGGGAGTGGTCTGACACACTTAGAAGCTACCAGGAAGAAGCATAAGGAGAAAGAGGTTAATTTTAGAGATTAAGAGGTTAAGAATCTAGGAAAAGGAGGAGTATTCATGGAACTAGAAAAGGATCTATCAAACAAGGATTAGAGTTCAGGCTTAAAAAGTAGAAGCTCTTAGGCAGTTTTAAGTAATTCCCCAGTGGCATGTAGTTTTTCTTCTCCTGGTACCCCAACCTGTGGTATGGAGGCTGCCAGGCAACATACTCCTCTCTTTAGCTCCAGCAGGAAGCCACTCTTCCAGACTGAGCTATTACTTGTATCTCAAAGCAGGGTCTTAAGGCACTTCCCATTTGTGAGTTCCCTTGGCTAACAACCCAGAAAAGTTGCCAGAAGCACCACATTCTCTAATAAACATTGTTATCCCGTATGGTGTCTGTTTACTATGCCACACACTCTCTCTCTTTTCCATAGATACAATCCCCAAAGTAATGTTTTAATCTTTGTTTTGTTTCATTTAACTAATGATGTTATTTCTTCATCTTGACAATGTTCTACCCAGCTCCACCAGATCGTCTGATCGCACTGCCCACTCAGGAGAGTCTGTGCTTCAGTGTCCCTGAGTCAGATTTTACTTTCTCTTCATGACATTCCACATACTTCCACTGCCTCCACCCTGTCCATGCCCAGGCAAACATCATTTTACAATGAGTATATGCAATAAGGCCAGACCCTCAATTCATAAGAAACTTTTATCCTTCAAGAAATGGTTGAACCTTTGCTAAATCTCAAAGTCAAATGCTGGCGTTTTTCTGTTCTAAGATATAATAGGCATTCAATATTAATTGATGGTTCAAATTCTTAAAACACATATTATAAAGTAGGCCATTTATTCCTCATAAGAATCAATATATATCACCACTACATTTTAACGTTTAGTGAAATTAACCCAAAGGACTGGAGACTATAGAATTACATGTGTCAATACCAAAACGACAGAATTGATCTCTCTCCTGTATATCTTTACACACTTTTGCACTTAATTGTTTACATGTTTCTGCTTCACCTTACCTAACTGTAACTTCTTGAGGACAGGATAACACAGGCACAGGGCTTAATACTATGCCTGGCACATAGGAGGCATTCAACAAATGGGCAAAGAATAAATTAACAGCTTCCATAGAACCAGAAAAACCTCATCTTATCCTCTGTGTATTCCCCTAAGTAATGCTCAGTTGGACAGATACTTACTTTTTACAGATGCCTAAAATTCAGCTATTTTTTGTTTGTTTTTTGTTTTAGAGACAGGGTCTCTCACTCTTGTTGCCTGGGCTGGAGTGCAGTGACACGATCATGGTTCACTGCAGCCTCAACCTCCCAGGCTCAGATGATCTTCCCACCTCGGTCTCCTGGGTAACTGGGACTATAGGGGCATGCCACTACGCCCAGCTAAGTTTGTGTGTTTTTAGTAGAGACAGGGTTTCACCATGTTGCCCAGGCTGCTCTCGAACTCCTGGGCTCAAGCGATCTACCAGTCTCAGCTTCCCAAAGTGCTGGGATTATAGGTGTAAGCCACCATGCCCAACCTAAAATTCAGTTTTAAAATCCAACTGTCATTTTTAAAAATATCAGAAATCTAGTAATGACATAGCCATGTTGATTTATTAAACTGTGATTCAAATTTCAATCAAAACAGCTGCTAACTATTCAGAGTCTACATAGGTGGTCAGATTCTAGCCAAACTGAATTGAGACTATTCTAACAGGGAGCTCCTAACAGCCTTGGAACCCTAGACAAGGTGTCTGTAAGTCACAATAATTCTGACTTCAAACCAGAACCAGATCATCTGTAATCCTGTACTCCATTCACTATAGTTTCCTGTAGCATTTCCAAGTTGTTACATATTTTTCAGTGATATATAAAGTTTCAGACTGCGTTTATAAAAAGACCACATAAACAATCTCAGGTATTATGAACAGCATTTGCCACTATGATTACTAAATCTGGAAATGAATTCTGGAGTGACCAAGAAAAAACAACCAGTCAATCCCAATTTTTTATAGCCACATAGTATCAAAGCAAAAAAAAAAATTTCCTATTATTTACAGAGATAAATAATTTCCACTAGAAATTCATTGGGGCTAACAGACAATATAAAATCTGACATGTTTTTATTAACCCAAGTTGTCAAACAGGCTTCAGTCTTGGGCTTAGAACAGCTCAGGAAAATGTGACTGTTACTTAACCAAAGAACCTGCAGGGCAGAGACTCAAGTTTTAGTCCTTTCTTCATGAGGCTGGAGTTTAACAAGTATAACTAAAATACTAAGAAGTCTATGTTTCTCTCTTATCAATCCTTTGAGTTTATTTAGAACTACAGCAACTAAAAGCAAACTAACTAAACTGGAAATTCAAATTTTCATCACCAAAATGGAAACTAGTATTTAAGAGAGAGACTGTGTGTGAATGTATCTGTGTATACATATCCTCAATGAGCTCTATACAAAGCAAATTGAACAGCCAGGTGTCAAGAAGAATTCAATATTAGCTCTAACAGTGTATCAAGGTCATCTACTTTCCCCTCACAAAAAAGATGGAGAGAATTGTATGGGGGAAAGTGAAGAAAGCTAGGGCAGTGGTTCTTAAACTAGCTTGCCTAATATACTGCAGCCACCAGGGAAGTTAATTCCTCTTGCATGTTCCTTTTACATGTGTCTTCACGTAAAACTGACAGGAGGACAACTGATGTGGGGACAAATGAGAAGATCCTGAGGTCCTGGCCCTTTTTTCTTTGGGGCTCTAGACCCAGCCTATATAGTTTCCTTCCTCCCCATCATTGGTCTCCATATACTCACACACTTATAAACTTTTTGAAAATGTCTTGAAATGTGAAAACAGGTTCATATCTATTTTCATGTTAGATAATGAGATGTAGTCAACACATGTGGGCACTCTAACTGGTGTAGCAGTCAACAAAGTAGGAAGTGGATGGTCTACATACCCTTAAGTATTTCACACTCTCCTTTGGGACTAACAGCTGCCCCCACAGGACAAGAAAAAAGACTTGTAAGAAAGACTATCACAATACAGGCTCATAAATCAATTCGAAGATTTATTCAAAATCTATAATACAAGATAAATGTTTGAATCCTGGGGTAGACAAGAATTCTGTGTCTCATCTATAAAAAAATTCAATAAACATTTCTTCAATTATATATTTAAATACCAGGCCTTACTGGGTTCCTTTTATGTCCACTCTCACAGCAGACCTTCCCTCAGAAGAGCACGCACTTCTGAAGGAAAGCATGAGAAGGAAACAGTAAGCCCAGCAAATGAACAAACCCTTCTCATACTGTATGAGGGACAGCATGAACTAGAACAAGGCAATTCATTCAAAGCCAGGGTGTAGAGATGGGTCACAAAACAATATCTGGCGAATTTGACATAGCGTACAGTTAACCTCCTACAAAAAGGACTTGACCTTGCTATAGGGCAAGGCAAACATTAAGGCTCCCTCTTCACATGGGGCACTTCACAGAAGCAACGGAACGTTTTGCAAACGATCCTCTCACTGAAGTTTACCCTTTTATTATTATTTAGGGCAATACCAAATATTTTGCAAAACTTGTGACAACAGTATCACAACACCTGTCTGGGCAGGAGAAGTAAAGAACGTTTAAAATGTTATTTCTTAGTCTAGTCCAGTAGTCATTTGCTAAACTACCAAAAAGGATATGGAATATAATTCAACTCAAATGCTACGTGCGGAAGACATTAAAAGCTTTCCTTAGATTACATCTTCACAGTAGAAATTGTAAATACTGACAAAAAGGAAGTGATTTCAGAGAAATTCTTTTGTGTAGCAAATGTTTCTTTCAAAAGTTACATAATTTCAGGGATACCGCAAGAAAAAAATAATGGATTAAACCCCTGCAACGGGATTTTTCAAAAAGTAGGATGTGAATTCTAACTGGCAGCATCCGACCAACTCCTGACCCCCAGCAATCTGCGTGCAGCACGCATTTGTCAACCGCGCGCTTGATCACAGCTCCAGTTTAATCGCCTCCTAGCCGAGCCCCGCACGCCCTCCCCCCTGCGCTGGGGCGCGCACAGGGCTGGAGAGCAAGCCCCGGGAACTCTCACAGGCCGGCCTGTGTGAGCAAAGGGAAGGAAATGACACAGGCAGGAAAAAAAAGCAAATCAAGGAAAAGACACAACAGCAGCTGGGCCTGCGGCAGCCTCCAGCCCGGGCCCCACACTGCGCTCTTGCTCCCCCGCCCTCGGGCTCGCGGTCCGGCTCGTTCGGACCAGGCTGCCCCGCGGAGCACGGGCCCTCGGTCCCGCCGCCGCTTCCCCGGGATGCGCCCGCCGCGCCGCCCAGAAGGAGGGCTGCCGAGCGGGCTCTGCCGGCCGGGCCGCCCCGCGGAGCCAGAACCCCCGCCCGGGCCGCGGCGCGCGAGCGGGGCGGGCGGCCGGCCGGCCGGCGGTCCGCAGCCCCGGGCCGGGCGGGCTGTCCATGCCTGTCAGGCGGTGGCCCAGGGTCCTCCTCCCTCAGCCTGGGGCGGGGCGTCGCGAAGCAGCGCGGGCACAGGCCGGGGCGGTGGCGACACTTACCCATGGTGGCGATGGCGGCGGCGGTGGCTAAGGTCCGTGAGTGTCACCTCCGCAGCCGGGGCTGCATGCCGGGGGCCCGGGCGGCGGGGACGGCAGCGGGCCTGGCTCCGCGCGGGGGGCGCGGGCTGCGCTCTGGGCCCCCGCCGCCTCCCCAGGCTCCGGCTCCGGCTCCGCCCGCGGCCGGGCGCTGTGGCATCGGCAGGGTGGCCCGCTACATCCCGGGCGCTCCTGGGCTCGGCCCAGCCCGGCCTCGGCGGCGCCGCTCGGCCCGCCCGCCCGCCAGTCCCTCAGACCCGCAGTCTCTCCGTCCGGCCACCGTTCTCCACCTCAGGAACGCTCCGAAAAACAAACCGCTGGTCGCGCAGCTCGCCCCCCTGTCTGTCACTCACGCCGGCCCCCACCAATCCCAGGCAGCCGCTGGGCCGTCGCACCACCCCCACCCACCTCACCAGCCAATAACAAGAAGGAAGTCGGCAGCCCCCGCCGTCCCCCTCCAACTCTCTCCCAACACCCTAACTCTCAGCGGCCAGCTAATCATCAGCACCACACGATGAACCAATCCCGCCTACTCTCACAGGATGCCAATGGGCGAAGCCAAGGCGGTTTCCGAGGGCTGTCTAGCGCCTGCCAATCATCGGGACAGCGCCCGGCTCCCTGCGCTGTTAGCCAATCACGTAGAGGCCTCTAAGCCCCCGCCTCTGCGCATCCCTCTCTGGTGCTGTCTCCCTCTCTTGGGAGAGATTGGGAGGTGTTGGTTGTTCCAATCACAGCTCCGGCGTGAGGCTCCGCCCACATTCCCACCTCCCGTCAGTCACCGAAGGCTCGGCGGGCGCGCGGGCTGGCGCAGTTCCCCGCCGGCTACTTTAGGGCTGGGGTGAGGAGTAGGCGGCTGCAGGGGGCCCTCAGGCCTTCCGCCCTCCGGGTTCTCGGAGGCCCCAGCGATCTGGGTGGTTCCAGAGGGTGGCGTCCTGCTCCTCCCCGTGCCCAGCACAGGGCGTGTAACGAGTGGGGAGGGTCTGGCCTGAGCACTTCCCGGCGCGCGGCCACCTCTGCGGCCCCATCCCCCGACTGGTCCTCCGGTCCCGACGCTGCTCTTGCCCCGGGCAGGGGCGGCCGGCCCAGCCCAGCTTTCCCTGTCTCACACCTCCAGGGCCACACCCTCTGGTCTAGGTACCTCAGACACCCGAGGCTGGGATAGTGCTGGCATGTGGGTCCCTGGAAATCTGAGTTCCGCCAGAGGTTCTTTCAGAAAATAACTTTTTTCTTATAAAAGCAACACGAGCTTTTTGTAGGAAAATTGAAAAATGCAGAAAACTATGAAAAAGAAAAGATCCCACCCCAGAGATAATCTATTTCCTACCTAGATAGGCGTTTGACAAAAATGGCTTTGTATTGTTTTGTAGTATGCTTACATTTTATTCTGTTTTCCCGTGCCACCAAATATCCTTCCAAAACAATTGTACTGATTGCATGATGTTTCAAAATTAAAGGCACCATAATTAATTTCCCCAACCTTTTCATTGTTCAACATTTTATACACTCAGATCTTCAGATTCCAAGTCCACCACAATTAATGTGGGCTCCTTTCTCCGGCCTCTGTTCCAGTGTAATATGTCAGGCTCCAGAATAATCTTCCTCAGATGTCATTGTCCACTGTCCACTAAGAACATTTAGTGGTGGCTTTGCCTTGAGTGTCAAATCCCTTAAGAATTACCTTGGGCTCTCCCCTATTTCTTTTCTTTTTCTTTTTTATTTTTCGAGATGGAGTCTCACACTGTCGTCCAGGCTGGAGTGCAGTGGCGCGATCTCGGCTCACTGCAACCTCCGTCTCCCGTGTTCAAGCAATTCTCCTGCTTCAGCCTCTCAAGTAGCTGGGATTAACAGGCGTGCGCCACCACGCCCGGCTAATTTTTGAATTTTTAGTAGAGACGGGGTTTCGCCATGTTGTCCAGGCTGGTCTCGAACTCCAGACCTCAGGTGATCCGCCAGCCTCGGCCTCCCAAAGTGCTGGGATTACAGGCGTGAGCCACTGCAAGCAGCCTCCCTTATTTCTTTACACTCATCTCCGTATATTTAATCAGCCCCCTTGTCCTGTTTTCTTTTTCTTCCAACAAGCTTAAGCCTGCCATATTCCCACTTGATTTGGTCTCTACCCAGTTTACTGGAGTTCCTTAACTATAATAATCTCTATTCTTGAAAGCGGGGATAAAGGGGAAAGAAAATTAGTATTTATCAATATAACAGGCACGTCATTGCATTTAATTTTTCCAATAACTCTAAGGTTATTATGCTAATACTGTGGGCATTTAAATGATGAAAGTGAAGCTTAGAGAGGTTAAGCACTGTGTCCAAGTAGTGGAGCCAGGATTCATACCAAGCCTGTGTGACTCCCAAAGGCCATGTTCTTGCACTAGGCCAGTGTTTCTCAACCTTTTTTTCATTATCCACCCCTGCCAGGAAAAAATTTTAATTTAAATTACTTAATTAAATTTAAATTCTCCCTAAGAAGAGAAATTAAATACTAAGGAATAAGATTTTGTCAGGTAGAGTAGAGCCTTTGTAAAAAAAATTTTCTGTAGAGTTGGGGGTGTCCCACCATTTTGCCCAAACTGGTCTCAAACTCCTGGGCTCAAGCAATCCTCCCACCTCAACTTCCCAAATTGCTGGAATTACAGGTGTGAGCTGCCATGCTCCTTTCTGTTTTCCCAATTGCTAAAGCACAGATGCTGCTCGACTTACCATGGGGCCATGTCCAGATAAACCATCAGATGAACAATCGTTAAGTAGAAAATGCATTTAATACACCTGACCTACTGAACATCATAGCTTAGCCAAGCCTATCTTAAGCGTGCTCGAACACTTAAGTTAGCCTACAGTTGGACAAAATTATCTAACACAAAGCCTATTTTATAAGAAAGTTTTGAATAGCTCATGTAATTTACCAAATACTGTACTGAAAATGAAAAACAGAATGGTTGTACTCAAAGCACAGTTTCTACTGAATTGTGTGTTGCTTTTGAACCATCATAACGCCAAAAATCATAAGCTGAGGCCGGGGCACAGTGGCTCACACCTGTAATCCCAGCACTTTGGGAGGCTGAGGCGGGTGGATCACTTGAGGTCAGGAGTTCGAGACCAGCCTGACCAACATGGTAAAACCCTATCTCTACTAAAAATAAAAAATTAGCTGGGCGTGGTAGCGCACACCTGTAATCCCAGCTACTTGGGAGGCTGAGGCAGGACAATTGCTTGAATCCGGGAGACAGAGGTTGCAGTGAGCCAAGATCATGCCATTGCACTCCAGCCTGGGCAACAAAAGCAAAACTCCATCTCAAAAAAAAAAAAAAAAAAAAAAGGTATAAGCCGAACCATAGTAAGTCAGAGACCCTCTGTACAAACCTAGGAGTGTTCCTTGATTATTCTCTCTCCCTGACACCCATATATCCAAACATGCAGCAAATCTTTTCAGCTCCCACTTCAAAATGTATCTGAATCAGGTCGGACGCAGTGGCTCACACCTGTAATCCCAGCGCTTTGGGAGGCCAGGGCAGGTGGATCACCTGAGGTCAGGAGTTCGAAACCAGCTTGGCCAATATGGTGAAACCCCATCTCTATTAAAAATATAAAAATTAGCCAGGTGTGGTGGCCTGTAATCCTAGCTACTTGGAGGCTGAGGCAGGAGAATCGCTTGAACCTAGAAGGCGGAGGTTGCAGTGAGCCGAGATTGTGCCACTGCACTCCAGCCTGAGCAATAGAGTGAAACCCTGTCTCCAAAAAAAATACAATAAAAATACACACACACACACACACACACACACACACACACACACACCTGAATCCAACCACTTCTCATCCCACCCCCCTTATCCAAGCCACCACCTACTCTCCTGAATGACTGCCCCAGACTCCTATCTGGCCTCCATTGTTTCCTCTGTGGCAGCCCAACAAATGATTCCCCAATAGCAACCAGAGTGATCCCTGTAAAATGTAATTCAGATCACGCCACCCTACCCCCTGCCCACTGTCAGCCCTCCAATGGCTTCCCTCCCATCACACTCAGAATAAAACCCCAATTCTTTGTCATGACCTGCCAAGCCCAATAGGAGCTGGCCCCTCCATCCTGTCCCTCCATCACTGTCCTCTAGCTACTCTGGCCTTCTTTCCATTCTTTGAAACTACCAAGCCAAGATGTTCTCATTTCTGCAGTTTATTCAAGTCTCTGCTCAAACGTCTGCTTTTAAGTCATTTCTTATCACCCCATCCAAAATGACCCCTCCCTTCCATCATTCTGTATTTGTATATTTTTTCCTTGTTTTTTTTTCTCAGTGGCTAAAATTATATATTTATTTGTTTGCTCTACTCCAACTACCACAAACATAAGGTATGCAGGAGCAGGAATTTTGTCCTGCTTACTGCTCTATCACCAGCACTTAGAATAGTGCCTCACACATGGAGAACCGCAGTACATCTACCTGAGTCTTTAGCTGAAAACAACCTTCTGATTTACCTTCTACCTTTCTTACAACTGCCTTCTTTGTGGCTTCATTTGCACTGTCGGTGTCTCAACCAGCCATCTCAAACATTCCCATACTGCAGTTACCATATGCGCTGAGGATTCCAGAATCTCAACTGTGTCTCTAGCTCAGGGATGTCTTTCTTCTGAACTCCACAGACATGGGTGTCCCACAGGAACCTCCAATTTTGGGTCCAAACTGAAACCATTTTCCCCCATAGTTCTGTATTTTCTCTGTCCCTCTCCAGTTTCCCAAGTTGGATACCTTCGAATGATCAGATAGCTCTTTCTCTCCATTTCTTTCCCCCACAGCCAGTCTTGAACAAGTCTCCAATCTGTCCATCCCTCTCCCATCCCATTTTACCACCCTAGCTCAAACCACCAAAATCTCTTACCTGCATGACTTAAGCGTAACAGCCTCTCAACATATATTCACATCACAGATTGATCTTTCTGAAATGGACACCTGATTCTGCCATACCCTCCCTAAAAAGTTTCCCATCACCCTTAGGATAAGTCATATATGTGAATGTAGTTAAGAAGGTCCTTCAGGACCCAACCCATACCTTCTTCTTCAGCCACACGTCCTTCTATTTCCACCTTAACTATAATAGTTAACCCCATTATTCAAATTCTATGCCCCAGCCACATAGAACCACCAGCAATTCCTCAAATGTGAATTTCTCTTGCTTCTATACCTCTGCGTGTGCTATGTTCTCTGCATGAAATCCTCTTCGCTTCTGCTTCCACCTCCATTCTTTTTTTTTTTTTTTTTTTTTTTTTTTGAGACGGAGTCTTGCTCTCTCGCCCAGGCTGGAGTGCAGTGACGCAAGCTCCGCCTGCCGGGTTCATGCCATTCTCCTGCCTCAGCCTCCCGAGTAGCTGGGACTACAGGTGCCCGCCACCACGCCTGGCTAATTTTTTGTATTTTTTTTTTAGTAGAGACGGGGTTTCACCGCGTTAGCCAGGATGGTCTCGATCTCCTGACCTCGTGATCTGCCGCCTCGGCCTCCCAAAGTGCTGGGATTACAGGCATGAGCCACCACGCCCAGCCCCCACCTCCATTCTTTCAGGGAAGAGCTAAGCCTATACAGCATTCTCCAGGAAGCCTTCTCAGACAGACAACTCCAAGTCCGGGTTAAGGCCCTCAGACATGCTGTCAGAGCACTGGGTACTTTCTTCATCAAAGCATGTGTCCTGCTAATAATTGTCTTTAACCAAGTATGTATAAAAAGGCCAGGTGTGGTGGCTCATATGTCTATAATCCTAACATTTTAGGAGGCTAATGAGGGAGGATTGCTTGACGCCAGGAGTTTGAGACCAGTCTGGGAAACATAGTTAGACCTCGTCTCTACAAAAAAAATTTAAAATTATCCAGGTATGGTGGCGTGTGCCTGTAGTCCTAGCTACTCAAGAAGCTGAGGTTGGAGAACTGCTTGAGCTCAGGAGGTAAGGCTACAGTGAGCTATGATCCTATCACTGCACTCCAGCCTAGATGACAGGGCCAGACCCTCAAACAAAACAAAACAAAGCAAAACAAAGCAAAACAAAACAACCAAATTAAGCATAAAGACAGAAGCTGCTTTCAAATCAGCATGCCTCTCATCTTTCATAGCACATTAAAAAACAAATATTTGTCAAATGAGTAAGTGAACCTCAAATGGAGATGTTAGTAACTGAATGTAATTTCCATAATGTTCCCTTTTAGGTATATGCAGTATTTTATCTTCTTTTTTTTTTTTTTTTTGAGACGGAGTCTCGCTCTGTCACCCAGGCTGGAGTGCAGTGGCGTGATCTCGGCTCACTGCAAGCTCTGCCTCCCGGGTTCACACCATTCTCCTGCCTCAGCCTCCCAAGTAGCTGGGACTACAGGCGCCTGCCACCATGCTTGGCTAACTTTTTGTATTTTTAGTAGAGACGGGATTTCACCGTGTTAGCAAGGATGGTCTCAATCTCCTGACCTCATGATCCGCTCACCTTGGCCGCCCAAAGTGCTGGGATTACAGGCATGAGCCACTGTACCCAGCCGAAAATTCTTTTTTGAGACAAGGTCTTGCTGTCCTCCAGACTGGAGTACAGTGGCACAGTCATAGCTTACCACAAGCTCAACCTCCCAGGTTCAAGGGATCCTCCTGTCTCAGTCTCCTCAGTAGCTGATACTACAGGCTCATGGCACCACACCTGACTTTTTATTTTCATTTTATTTTTGAAGACAGAGTCTTACTCCATCACCCAGGCTGGAGTGAAGTGGTGTAATCATAGCTCACTGAAGCCTTGACCTCCTGGGCTCAATCTTTCCACCCCAGCCTCTCAAGTAGCTGGGACTACAGGTGCACACCACCATGCCCTGCTAACTTTTGTATGTTTTGTAGAGACAGGGTTTTGCCATGTTGCCCAGGCTGGTCTTGAACTCTTTCGGCTCAAGCTATCTGCCCGCCTCAGCCTCTTGAAGTGCTGGGATTACAAGTGTGAGCCACCATGCCCGGCCCTAGCATCTTTTTTAAAACAGACAATCCAAATGCCCATTGATAGGAGACTGGTTAAATTATGACACGTTAATACCAAAAAAGTTATGTAGCTATTAAAAAGAATGAAGAGACTTCTCCATACTAATACTAAAAGGTAACCAGGATGTATTGTGAAGTGAAAAAAAAAAGGTTAAAGCAAAGTATATAGCATGATCACTTTTCAGTTTTAAAAAATGCTCATTCAGGCCAGGTGTGGTGGCTTATGCCTGTAATCTCAACACTTTGGGAGGCTGAGGCAGAATTGCTTCAGGCCATGAGTTCAAAACTACGTATCAAGACCCTGATATGCCTGTCCAACATACTGAGACTCCATGTCTATTTAAAAAAAAAAAAAAAAGAAGCTGGCCAGGCAAGGTGGCTCACACCTATAATCCCAGCATTTTGGGAGGTCAAGCTGGGAGGATCACTTGAGCCCAGGAGTTCAAGACTGGCCTGGGCAACATGGCAAGATCCCATATCAATTAAAAAAAAATTTTTTTTTTTTTGAGACAGAGTCTTGCTCTGTGGCCCAGGCTGGAGTGCAGTGGTGCAATCTCACTGCAACCTCTGCCTCCTGGGTTCAAGCAATTCTCCTGCCTCAGCCTCCCGAGTAGCTGGGATTACAGGCAAGCACCACCCAGCCCAGCTAATTTTTGTATTTTAGTAGATGTTGTGTTTCACCATGTTTTCCCTAGGGTGGTCTTGAACTCCTGAGCTCAGGCAATCCACCTGCCTCGGCCTCCCAAAGTGCTAGGATTGCAGGCATTAGCCACCATGCCTGGCCAAAAAAATTTTTTAATGAAAAAAAAAATGCTCATTCACACTTAGAAAAAGGCCAACATTTATTGAACACTTAACTATTGCCAGGTGCTGTTTCAAGTGCTTAACATATATTAACTTAATTCTCAAAACAGCCGCATGTAATCGGTACTATCATTACCCCCATTTTACAGGTAAAGAAGCATGTACAAAGAGGTTAAGTTCTTGTCCAAGGTTGCTAGCTGTTGGCAGAGCTAGAATTTGGTCCCTAGCAGACTGGCTCCAAAGAGTGAAAAAATATAAATCGTTAATGGTGGTTGTATCTTAGGAGGTAGAATTAAATGGGAATTTTGTTGTTGTTGTTGTTGTTATTTATTTATGTAAGATTTGCCTTTTTAAAGACAATAAATGTTACCTTTTGGGCATACACAAAAAATAAAAAGAACAAAGAAGTAAAAATGCTATCCTGTTCACTGGCTGGACATAGAATAATTTCAGTTAAGAGTAGTGTGGCACCAGGCTGATGGCTCATACCTGTAATCCCAGCACTTCAGGAGGCCAAGATGGGAGGATCACTTGAGCCCAGGAGTTCAAGACCAGCCCTGTCAACATAGCAATACCCCATCTCTTCAAAACATAAAATAACCGGGCATGGTGGCATGCAAGGAGGCTGAAGCAGAAGGATTGCTTGAGCCTGAGAGGTTGAGGCTGCAGTGAGCGATGGTTGTGCCACTGCACTCCAGCTTGGCTGACAAAGACCCTGTTACACACACACACACACAAAAAAAAGAAAAGAAAAGAAAGAAAGAAAGGAAAGGAAAAGGAAAAGAAAAAGAGTATTGTGGATCTATCATCGCATTCCCTTTTGCCAGACTTATTTTCTGTGAAGAGAATGTCTCCAGAAGTGTCTTTGGGGATTCAAATAAGTCTGGGAATTGGGGGCTCTTCGAGTTTGAAAATTTATTGACTGCTATAAGTTTCAGAGAAAAAAAAGTAACTCAACCACATGGCTGAATTTCCACAGTTGGTTGGAGGCACAGCCTTTGCTGTTCCTCTTGGATTCAGCCAGGGCCTCTAGCAGAGGGGAGGTGGCTACGCACAAGAGTGCTTCTTATAACAGTCAAGACTGTGAACAGAGCCTATCACAGATACTTCTGTCCCACTAAAAGGACACTTGAAGGTAAGCCCAAGGTGGCTTCAAGACCTTGAATAATTTTATGTTGCTAAGACAATAACCAAAGATAAGGCAAAGCAAGCCAAGCCAGCACTGGACCTCATTCCTCTGACTTTAACATGCATCTGACTCCCAGACTCTCAGATGCTGTGAGACTAGCTTTTGGTTTTTTTTTAATTATGTCACCTGATAAAAGTAAAACATGGGGGCTGGGCACAGTGGCTCACACCTATAATCCCAGCACTTTGGGAGGCTGAGGCAAGAGGATCCCTAGGAGCCAGGAATTCAAAACCAGCCTTACACAGGAAGACCCCATCTCTCTCTCTCTCTTTTTTTTCTTTTTTCGGTGAGACGGAGTCTTGCTCTGTCGCCCAGGCTGGAGTGCAGTGGTGCGATCTTGGCTCACTGCAACTTCCGCCTCCTGGGTTCAAATGACTCTCCTGCCTCAGCTTCCCAAGTAGCTGGGATTACAGGCGCCCGCCACCACGCCCAGCCAATTTTTATATTTTTAGTAGAGACGGGGTTTCACCACATTGGCCAGGCTGGTCTCGAACTCCTGACCTTATGATCCACACACATCGGCCTCCCAAAGTGCTGGGATTACAGGCGTGAGCCACCGCGCCCGGCCGGGAAGACACCATCTCTTAAGAAAAGAAAAGAAAGAAAGAAAAAAGGAAAACATGATTACAGAATATAAAGCTCAGTAATAACATCACTACCCTGAGATAACCTGTTTTGATATTTTAGTACATTTCCTTCTAGTCTTTTTTAAAAAGTTCATATATATAATATGTTAAATAAATATATACATATCTATTTCAAAATTTGGACCACACTATACATGTAGTTTTGTATCTTTTTTCCCACTTAATGTTATATTCTAAACATTTTCTCTGACAAAAGATTCTTTAAAAAATAATTTTTAGTGGCAACATAATACCTTGGCATATGGATGTAACCATCTTTAATGTTTTTTTTTTGAGACGGAGTCTCGCTCTTGTGCCCCAGGCTGGAGTGCAATGGTGTGATCTCGGCTCACTGCAACCTCCACCTCCCGGGTTCAAGTGATTCTCCTGCCTCAGCCTCCTGAGTAGCTGGGACTACAGGCGCCTGCCACCATGCCTGGCTAATTTTTGTATTTTTAGTAGAGACGGGGTTTCACCATGTTGGCCAGGCTAGTCTCGAATTCCTGACCTCAGGTAATCCACCCGCCTCGGCTTCCCAAAGTGCTGGGATTACAAGCGGGAGCCACCGCACCCGGCCGTGACCATCTTTATTTGAATAGCTCAGGGTCTCTTTTCCAGATCTAGAGACAGCAGAACAAATTCAAGAAGGGTTCATTTCTGCCTTTCCTATTAACTGCAGGAGAGAGACTGCAGGGCACCACTAGGGGTCAGTGCAGAGCCATCATCACAGGAGCCTTTACTGTGCCTTACAGTAAGCATGTCTTGATGTAAGATAATTGGTTATGCAACAATCCATATTAATAAAGATTCTATATGCTACATTAGAGATCTATTCACATGACTAGCCATGTTCCCTTTAAGAGCAGACTCCCTTAGTACAGATTTCTCAGATTATAAATAAGATTCCTCCAAATTAATTTCCAAAACAGAGCTATTTTATAAACACCAAGGTCTATCAGTGTAAGACCTGTTCTTTCCTGCTTGGTATGAGATCATTTGTGCATAAAATACTTGGCCAAAGTGTTTTATAGGTTTGTTGGGAAAATCAAATAAATAACATGTAAACGTATCTTACAAATTATGAAGCCACATATAAACGTAAATTTGCTCTTTTTTAATGATAAGCAATTCAGATATTTGGGCAAGTGGCATGACCATGGATTATTTCACTGGTTTTCTTCCTCGTAGCCCTTGCTCTCCAGCTATTGACATCAGTGTGGAGTCAGTAATTCTTTTCTTAGAAGCTGAAGTTATCATTTACAGTAAATTTGGTTTTAGTTCTTTGTCATCCTTATTTACCTGAAGCTCCTTCAGGAAAATTACTCTGAGCTCAGAATTAGCTTAGATAACTTATAAATAGGTGTATAACAGGGATCAGAAAGCCACTCTAGGCCTGACATGCTTGACAGGCTCTGACGCAGGAGGTGGGAGTTCCTGGCCCTTCTAAACACAGATGTGACTATTAGGAGCAAAAGGTACCAAGGGCCCTATTTCCCACTGGCGAGGCTTCTTATTCAGCCCTCACTCTTCTTTCTGTTCACGTTTCCTCTTCAGTTCTCAGTGCCACATCATTTGGCATCAGAGATGAAAAGGATCTAGGGCTGGTTGTTCTCAGAACCAAGAAGCTTTCAAAACCAGCTTGTGGTAGCCCTTCTTGAGAGCAGCTCAGTCTTCTCATTGGTTCACTCTGACCAATCCCAGGATGCATAGGGACCCAGGCAAAGCAGGCCCTAGTAAGTCCCTTTTTTTTTTTTTGAAAGACAGAGGCTGGGCGCCATGGCTCATGCCTGTAATCCCAGCACTTTGGGAGGCCAAGATGGACGGATCACCTAAGGTCAGGAGTTCGAGACCAGCCTGGCCAACATGGCCAAACCTGGTCTCTACTAAAGATACAAAAATTAGCCGGGGTGGCACGGTGCAGGGCGGTATGGGGACGCCATGGCAGAGCTGCAGCAGCTGTGGGTGCAGGAGGTGGTGGACTCCATGGTGAAGAGTCTGGAGAGAGAGAACATCTGGAAGATGCAGGGTCTCATGTTCCGGTGCAGCACCAGCTGTTGTGAGGACAGCCAGGCCTCCATGCAGTAGGTGCACCAGTACATCAAAGCACTGCCATGTGCCTCTGGCTCAAGCCCGGGCTTTGCTCACCAGTGAGTTGGAGAAGTTCCGGCACCACCTGGCCCGGTGCGCCATGCATTGCAACAACAAAGCCAAAGATTCAATGGATACTGGGAGTAAGGAGCTTCAGGTGAAGCAGCAGCTGGACGGTTGTGTGACCAAGTGTGTGGATGACCACACGCACCTCATCCCAACTATGGCCAAGAAGATGAAGGAGGCTCTCTTATCCATTGGGAAATAACAGTCTTTGCCAGTGGCCACTGGGGCTGAGGGCAAGAATATATTTTTTATAAGGAATTGGGAATTTTAGTCTTTTAAGCAAAGTTTATGAAGAAATGAAGGATGGCCACAAGTGTAAGACATATGTCACTTGCCTCTGGACACTGGTTCTTTTATGTTTCAGTCCTAAAAAATGAAATGGAAAAAAGTGGTGCTAAATTGGGTCAGAGATATTACAGGAGAGTTTTAGAGCTTATATATCCTATGGCCAGTGCTTGTCCTGCCAGTAAGGATCTCCCCTGTAACAAGCCAGAGCCCTCCAAGGCACTAAACTCTTCTTATTACACAGGTACCAACAGGCTGGCAGGTTAGAGTTGGTGGAGTTTGAGGAGAGATATTTTCTCTTTGTTGCCAACATCCTGTTTACCAGAAGTGTCACCACACCATTTTCCGTAAGCTGTGAAACAAAATCCATGAGGTCACCCGCTTAGAAGGGCAAAAAAGTTTTCTGGGTCTTTGTTTTCTTGGTTTTGTGTAATTTATACAAGGCGATACAAATTGATTTTAAGATGTGGAATTGGGAGGGAGACTAGTTTGGATAAGAACTTTGAAAGTTTCCTTGAGGATCCCCATTTCTGGTCATCAAGATGTAGATGTAGATTTCTTAAAATTATTACATGCTGCATCTTTCAGCCTGGAGACCATGCAAAAACATGAGAGGTGATGACATACTAATTATGGGAAGCATAATTACTGGCTGATGGGCCGAGGCTGTGTGTAGCAAAATGACAGGACAATCTTGCAGTAACACTTTCCCGGTGAAGAGAAGGGGGTTTTGATTGTGATATATACTAGTATCTAGAAATGAACAGTAAAAGAAGAGCAGTTGGCTACTTGATTATAACAGAGTTATGAAGTACTGGATTTGGAAAAACCTGGTTTTTATAGAACGGATGGAATGAAAGCCTAAACCTAGCACTGCCTACTTAGCCCCCTGAATTAACAAAGCACAATTGAGACAAACCCTGGCAACAGGAAATCCAAGGAAGAAAAAGTAAGCAACTTGGGCTAGGATGAGCTGACTCCCTTATAGCAAAGGAGAGGCAGACCCCAGTACCAAAAACCATTTTTGCCTGGGGCTTTCGCAACTTGCAGTGTTCCTGCCCCGGCATGGCACGTTATTGTTTTGATAGCAACCTCATTGTATTTTCATCAACTTACTACTTGAAATGATAATATAGCCTGTCCATTTGCTGCTTCCAGGCTGTGTTATATTTTCCCGGTGGTTTGCTTTTAAAAATAAATAAAGTTTAATTTTCTCCCCTCCCCCTCCACAAAAAAATTAGCCGGGCATGGTGGTGCCTGCTTGTAATCCCAGCTACTTGGGAGGCTGAAGGAGGAGAATCACTTGAACCTGGGAGGTGGAGGTTGCAGTGAGCCAAGATCATGCTACTGCACTCCAGCCTGGGCCACAGAGCAAGACTCTGTCTCAAAAAAAAAAGAGACAGACTCAGCCGGGCGTGGTGGCTCATGCCTGTAATCCCAGCACTTTGGGAGGCCGAGTGTGCAGACCACTTGAGCTCAGGAGCTCGACACCAACCTGGACAACATAGTGAAACCCCATCTCTACAAAAATATATATAAATTAGCTGGGCGTGGTGGCATGCACCTGTAGTTCTAGCTACTTGGGAGGCTGAGGTGGAAGGACTGCTTGAGTCCAGGAGGTCAAGGCTGCAATGAGCTGAGATTGTGCCACTGCTCTCCAGCCTGGGCAACAGAGTGAGACTCTGCCTCAAAAAAAAAAAAAAAAAAAAAAAAAAGAAGAGTTCTCACTCTGTCACCCAAGCTGGAATGCAATGGTGCAATCATAGCTCACTGTAGCCTTAGACTCCTGGGCTCAAGTGATCCTCCCGCCTCAGCCTCTCGAGTAGATGGGATTATAGGTGTGAGCCACTGCCAAGTCCCTTATCACTGGCACTTGATTTCCTACTGGGCTAGAACCTTAAGCTGTTTGGTGAAAGAAGGGCACAGAAGTCACACAAAGAGAGCAACAGATGCTTGCACAGCAGCTCACACTGCCCTGGGACAGCTCCAGTAAAGAGCAGTCCTGTGTTCAGGTCCTACCTTCTAGAGCAGGATCTAACACAGGACACCAGTTGAATAGCTTATGCTCTAGATAAGTACAGTTCTTGGTATATAGCTAGTGTTCCAGAAATATTAGTTGCATGAATGAATGACAGGTTTAGGCTGTAAGACCAGCATCAGACCATGGAGTGCCTGGATACAACTACATTTCTATGGCCAATTAAAAAAATAATCCTGGGATTGGAGTAGTAGAGCTAAGCCTAGGGACTTGAAAGTTAGTCCAGAGGATCCCAACAGCTGGACACAAACTCAGGAAGACTCAAGAGCCATACAACAGCAATGCAGCAACCAATAATCACCGTTATTATTAAGAGCAGTTTCTAGTACAGAGCGCCTCAGGGCACTTACAATCCCCACAGAGGCCAGCTACCCAACATCAGAGTCTGACCAGCTGGGTGGTCCTGCCCTGCATCCGAGAGGGTGTCGGGACACTCATCCAGATGGCTCTGAGACAGCAGCAGAGCTGACAAGGAGGCCCCACAAGTGAGATTCCTTTGGCTTCAAGGTCGCAAGTCCTGTCCTTGGGCCTCCTGGCCTGCTGAGCCTCCCACCGGCTTTACCCTCAGAGATTGCTGCAGAAGCCTGTGTGCTGGAATGGGCTGCCACATTTCTAGGAAGGAACCCGGGGGCACATGTAGCCTGGTTATTCAATGTTATCATAGACGTGAATCACATCCTCGTGGTTGCTGAGAGCCTGAATGAGATGTGCGGCCTGTTCCAGGTCGGGCTCAGCCAGCTGCACCTTTGAGTTGGGGATGAACTCTAGTGCACAGGACACAGAACACAGGCCCAGGGAGTCCAGCTTCTTCCTCACTTGGTGCAGTGAAGAGGCATCACAAATAAACTAGGGATAAAGGAAAGTCAGGAGGTGAGGAGCCAGGAGGTAATGAGACAAAGCCACACAGGACCTTGCAAAGTCCTGAATGTCAGTACTGGAATGGATCACTGGGTTTGAGCTCTTCACTGGCAGGGACATCGTTTTCAATGTTTTGACTCTTTCTTTCTCATAGTCCTCACTAGAGTCGGTCCTATTCAGTATTCACTTAATAAATGTTTGTACAATATGTGAACTGTCTCACCTATACCCTGGGGCACATGAAGGAAGAAACCAAGAGGCATGCATAAGGCATCTATCAGGGTCCTCCCGGAAGCCCACCAAACACCCATGTTTTCATGCTTACTTTAAAAACGTTCCTTTCTTCTTCATCTTCAGTTTCCTTGACATCCTCAGCTCCTGCTTCGATTGCCATCTCCAGGGCACGCTCTAGGTTCACAGCCTTCTTCTCTCTGTCCTCCACTTCAACCACAATCACCCCCTTTTTGTCAAAAGAGTGACGAGCTCCTACAGCCATCACTCCTCTGACAGGGAAGGAAACAGGCTGGCATGAGTGGATGCCTCTAGAAGCTCAGCCTCCATAAAGCTCATCATTCTATCACTGTCTCTTTCTTACCCAGTCTATGAAGTACACACAGACATGGAGCAGATCGCATCCTCAAGGAGAAAATGCAGCTGCTGCTGGGTAAGGGAACAGCCCAAGAATGTCCCCACGCTCGATTTTCTGCCCTGATTGCAGTTGGGAGGAAGCAGACTTAGCTGATAATTTCCTGTGCCATTAAGATGCCAGTCCTGGTGGAGCATTTTAAGACTTAGGCATTATATGGCTACAGATGGGGATAATAGGACAAAGATCCCCTTCTACATCCGATGAACAAGTCTTTGGGATCCTGCTAGTAGAAACTACATTAAGGGAAAGTCAATTAACTCATTAGATTCTGCTAAGGAGCAAGTGTGCTTAAAACCTGAAACATGGCCAGGCATGGTGGCTCCCAGCACTTTGGGAGGCTGAGGCAGGTGGATCACCTGAGATCAGGAGTTCGAGACCAGTCTGGCCAACATGATGAAACCCTGTCACCTCTACTAAAAATACAAAAATTAGCTGGGCATGGCTGTGGGTATCTTTAATCCCAGCTACTCAGGAGGCTGAGGCAGGAGAATCACTTGAACCCAGAAAGCAGAGGTTGCAGTGAGCCAAGATCATGCCATTGCACTCCAGCCTGGGCGACAAGAGTGAGACTCCGTCTCAAAAAACAAAAAAACAAAAAACAAAACCCTGAAACACTAGCAGAGATCAACAGTACTTGCCTTGCAGAGAATTGGAACATAAAGGCTCTGTCCCCTACCACTCCTCCCAGACGCACACTTACCCATTCTTATTCAGGATATGTCTAATGTCTGCTTGGCACTTGTGGCTACTGTTAGATAATGCCTCGATGAGCAGAGAAGAGCCACCAGGGCCTCGACCCTCATACAGCAAATAAGTGTCCTTGGATTTCTGCAATAAACAACACAAGCACATTTTCCTGTTTCCCAATTCCTTCCCACATGTCAGCCCAGAACTACAAGTATCGCAAAACTAACTCCATGGGATGGGCTCTCTAGGCTGGAGCCTGAGCTCTCAATCTTTATTTTTGTCCCCACCCTCTAACCAACTTTTGAGGTAACAGGAAGTACTACCCCTAACTTGGAAGGAGTCTGTTTCTCCGGTCCCTGAACAATCCATCAGCCATCTCTCAGCTTTGCTTCCTACCATCCCTAACCAAATGCCACATCTAGTCCCTACCCAATCCCACTCAGACTCATCCTCCTACACCCCCATCCTGTAAGAAACCCACCGGTCAAGTCTCAAGGTCCCTACCCTGGGCTGCTGAGTACTGCTGTGAAATATCACACACCTAGGCCTTGTCGTAAGAGCTGCTGAAAACAGCATGGTCTCAAAATTGAAACAATTAATCCAGAGCTCTAGGGACTAATCTCTTCTGGACCTTCCATGCCCCTACTCATCCCTTGTCCATGTATTCAATATTCCCCACTCCAAGCACCCTGTCCTGCAACTTTCCAGGAATTCTCAACTCATAACTTCTCCCTTCCTCTTTCACAAAGGTAAAAAGGGCCACTAGGTGGGGAAAATAGTTGCTGTCTCCACCACCTTCTCTGCACCATGGCCTACATGAAGGCAATAAGCATAACGGTTAGAGCACAGGCTCTAAAGTCTGACTATCTGGTTTCAAGTCTGTCATTTTCTATGCGACTTGAGTCAACTCACCTAACATTCCTGTGCCTCAGTTTCTACTTACGGTGGTTTTGAGGATTCGATGAGATAACACACATAGAGTTTTTATCCATGCTTAGCCTGCAGGAAGCACTCAATAATTTTGAGCTATTAAGATAACTATTACTTCCTCAGAGCCTCCCTACCTGCCCCAGAGAAAGGTGTACCCTTACGTGGACTCTATATACCTGCCCCTCCCACCATCTCTATCACCCCCATCCTCTCCCTTTCTACTGGCTTTTCTCCTTTAGGGCATAAACATCTGAAAAACAAACACTTCCTCCACCTAACGTAAGGGCTTTCTCCCACACTGCCCCTTCTTTCTATAATACCTCATCTCCCTACAACTTGGCTGAGCAGTCCCGGTCTTGACTGTATGGCCCTGCATACTGCCTATGCATCCTACTCCCAGTTGTGCTCCTAGAACCAATGACCAAGGACGGTGAGCTCTCAGAAGACTCTAGGCTGAGGGCGTCAACTACATTGCTACCGTTCTCTCTGATAATTTTTTTTTTTTTTTTTGAGACAGAGTCTCGCTCTGTCGCCCAGGCTGGAGTGCAGTGGTGCAATCTCGGCTCACCGCAATCTCTACCTCCTGGGTTCAAGCGATCCTCCACCTCAGCCTCCCCAGTAGCTGGGATTACAAGCATATGCCACCACGCCCAGCTAATTTTTGTATTTTTAGTAGAGATGGAGTTTCACCATGCTGGCCAGGCTGGTCTCCAAACTCCTGGCCTCAAGTGATCCACCCACCTTAGCCTCCCAAAGTGCTGGGATTATAGTCGTGAGCCACTGCACTTGGCCCCTCTGATAATTTACAGTGTGTTTGTTGGCCATCCAGACATGAGCCCGGTAGAGGCTGTGATCAATAAAAAGCATGTCAAACAGTACACACCTCCATTTTCAGTGCTGTCTCAATCGTTGACTTGGGCATATGTTTGCTGCGACACACCTCTAAGATATTGGCCAGGTTGCTGTTGTGCTCAGGGTTGGGGCCTCCTTCTGAGATTTAAAGAAAAAGAAAAAAAAGAGTGAGCAAAGACATCTCATTACAACATGGGAGAATAAAAGGGATTTCCAGCCCCACCAAGCCAAAGGAGTGGCAAATCACCATTTAGCTCTCAGTTACCTTAGAATACCTTAACTAGTGTTTCAGTGGGATACGGAGAAGTATTTTCGGGTTTTTTTGGTTTGTTTTTTGAGATGGAGTCTCACTCTGTTGCTGGCTGGAGTGCAGTGGCACGATCTTGGCTCACTGCAACATCCACCTCCTGGGTTCAAGTGATTCTCCTGCCTCAGCCTCCTGAGTAGCTGGGATTACAGGTGCACACCACCACACCCGGCTAATTTTTGTATTTTTAGTAGAGACCAGGTTTCGCCATGTTGGCCAGGCTGGTCTCGAACTCCTGACCTCAGGTGATCCACACACCTTGGCCTCCGAAAGTGCTGGGATTACAAGTGTGAGCCACTGCCCCTGGCCTGGATAAGTATTTTGGAAAAGTACTTTTTTTTTTTTTGAGACAAAGTCTCACTTTGTCACCCAGGCTGGAGTGCAGTGGCATGATTTTAGCTCACTGTAGCCTCAACCTCCAGGGTTCAAGCGATCCTCCTGCCTCAGCCTCCCAAGTAGCTGGGACCACTGGTGTGCACCACCACACCCAGGTAATTTTTTTCGTATTTTTTGTAGATTCAGGTTTTCACCATGTCGCCCAGGCTGGTCTCAAACTCCTGAGCTCAAGTGATCTGCCTGACTCGGCCTCCCAAAGTGCCGGGATTACAGGTGTGGGCCACCATGTCTGGCCAGAAAAGACCTTTTTTTTGAGACAGAGTCTCACTCTGTCATCCATGCTGGAGTGCAGTGGCATGATCTTGGCTCATCTTGGCTCAATGCAACCTCCCACTCCCGGGTTCAAGGGATTCTCCTGCCTCAGCCTCCTAAGTAGCTGGGATTACAGGTGTCTGCCACCATGCCCAGCTAATTTTTGTATTTTTAGTAGAGATGAGGTTTCACCACGTTGGCCAGGTTGGTCTCGAACTCCTGACCTCAAGTGATCCACTCACCTTGGCCTTCCAAAGTGCTGGGGTTACAGGCATGAGGCACCGTGCCTGGCCAGAACTTTCTAATTCATTGTCTTTAGGGATGGTTTTCATTCTGCTAGGTTTCAGCGATCTCTACTTTGTGTCAGATGAAGAAGGGTTATAGATGGTAACAACACTTCCTGGACTCATTACTGCTCTTACTCTACTACTTTGTGCATAATAATTATTTTTATTTTATTTTATTTTTATTATTATTTTTTGAGACAGAGTTTTCCTCTGTTGCCCAGGCTGGAGTGCAGTGGTGTAATCTCGGCTCACTGCAAGCGCCGCCTTCTGGGTTCACGCCATTCTCCTGCCTCAGCCTCCTGAGTAGCTGGGACTATAGGCGCCCGCCACCACCACGCCTGGCTAATTTTTTTGTATTTTTAGTAGAGACGGGGTTTCACCGTGTTAGCCAGGATGGTCTCGATCTGACCTCGTGATCCGCCGGCCTCAGCCTCCCAAAGTGTTGAGATTACAGGTGTGAGCCACCGTGCCCAGCACTTTGTGCATAATTATTGAAATGTTCACATGACATTGTGATCTGAGGGTAGGGGCTGTATCTCATCATCTTTCTAGTACCAATGGCATGCCTGGCACAAAATAAACACAAGTTGGTTGAACTTCATTGGGATGCAGTGGCTGATACCTGCAATCCCAGCACTTTGGGAGGTGGAGGTGGGTAGATCATTTGAGGTCAGGAGTTCGAGACCAGCCTGGCCAACATGGTGAAACCCTGTCTCTATTAAAAATACAAAAAAATTTAGCCAGGCATGGTGGTGCACACTTGTAGTCCCAGCTACTCCGGAGGCTAAAGCAGGAGAATCACTTGAGCCTGGGAGGTGGAGGTTGCAATGGGCCAAGATCACGCCACTGCACTCTACCCTGGGTGACAGAGTGAGACTCTGTCTCAAAATAAATAAATAAATAAATAAATAAAAGTTGCTTGAACTTAATATCAAGAATTTTGAAGAAAAGGAAGCAAACAAATACCAGGCATGAGCTGAGGGGGTAAATTAACATTAACTGAATGCCTATGATGTGCCATAAACCATAAACTACCTCAAGGTGGGTATTATCCTTGTTTCAGAGAAACTCAAGTTAAGCTACTTGTTCAAGGTTAGTCAGTGACAGAAACCAGTCTTCCTGACTCCAAAGTCCACAGTTTCTCTCTCTTTTTTTTTTTTTTTTTTTGAGATGGAGTCTTGCTCTGTCACCCAGGCTGGATGGAGTACAGTAGAGCAATCTCGCTTACTGCAGCCTTCAACTCCTGGGTTCAAGCAATTCTCCTGCTTCAGCCTCCCGAGTAGCCAGCATTACAGGCATGCACCACCATGCCCAGCTGTTTTTTTTTTTTTTTTTTTTTGTTATTTTTAGTAGACACAGGGTTTCCCCATGTTGGCCAGGCTAGTCCTGAACTCCTGACCTCAAGTGATCTGCCTGCCTCTGGCCTGGGATTACAGGCTGTGCCACTGCGCCCAGTCCAAAGTCCATGCTTTCTACAGGACTTTTCCTTTGCTCCTACAGATGTCTGGCCCTAAACAGAAAAAAAGCCTTTTCAGTGTGGCGACCTAAGGGAGAAAAGACATGGCTGCAAATCTACCTTCCAAGGAAATGTGTCTTGGGGAAACATTAATGAAGCAAACTAAGGCCTAAGCTAAGGCCTAAGCACTTAAGTAATAGCTTTACTCAGTGCCCCTGCCACAACCAATAAGGTACTTGAGGCGACTTCAGAGGGGTTGATTTGTCTCTTCAGGAGAGACACACATCTGCCCTGACTCTTAGGGCTTGTTTCTATTAAGTACCCAGCTAGATTAGGATGAAGTCACTTCTACCTTACCGGCTTATCTTCTTAAGAGCAGCTCCCTCTCTGACAAACTGGCCAGATGCTCAGCGTCTGGAAAAGTGAGTGAGAACCTCCAACGTAGGGTAGGTGTTTTGAGGATTTATGAGGTGGGCAATGGTGGGTACTGGGGAAGGAAAACAAAGTGAAGGGCCGGAGATCTAGGTGGGCCCAATTCCGAGAGGCAAGCGAGGCTGCGGGCACTGAGAGGGCAGCGGCAGCCAGTGCTGGGTGACCGTCAGGGTCTCACCTTTCACTGCCAGGCGGATGTTCAAACAGAGTTTGGAGAAGATGCGACTCCTTTCGACGTCCTTCGGACCCTTGATGTGCCTGACTTTGGACCACTTGTTGTGCCCGGCGGGGACAGCCGCGGTAAAGTGCAGCGTCCTGCCCGGAGCGGCACCGCAGCCCCGGGGCTCGGGGTGGGAGGGCCGGGGGTCGCGCGGAGGAGCCGCCCTGACCCCGGGGCCTCGTGCCAGCAAGCATCGGGCAGCGGCCCTGCTTAGGCTGGCAGCAGCCCAAGCCGACATCGGTCCCGACCCTGGGGTTCAAGCTGCTAGCAGCAGCGGCCAACGCCGGCGCGTCTCTTCCACTGCCGGAACAAGCAGTTCCGGACCCCGCGGCCGCCTGTGCCGGTCACCTGAGATCCAAAGGCTTGGGCCCGCCCGGGGCGGCTCAACAGCTAATGACCCTACACTGTCCCCGCGGCACCCGGGACTGGGGGCCCTTGATGGCGTAGCACACTTCCTTTACCGGGTTCGCTCCAAAAACACGTCCCCACTGCCCGCAAAGTCCGTTCCGTGGCTGCACGGTACTCGCTCCTCTCTTGCCCTTGAGCAGATCTAGTTAGTGCTCAAGCCCTCACGGTTGCCTAGAGAGCGCCGGACTTTGTTTCTCATAATGTTTTAGTGGAGACACATCTGAGTTATGAAACTGACTTTGCTTCCAAATTGCTGCCTAAATCTGAGCAAGTCCAGAATGATATTTTGTTGTTGCCTCATTGTACTGGGAAAGAAACTGCTGCCAGAGAAGTGAATTGCCCAAATGTTTAATCTCTCTGAACGTCTTCCCTATTTATAAATAAGGATCTAATATTTGCTTTATCAACATAGGAAAGTTAGAAACACAAAATGAGCCCTTAGAGCTTTAAAGTAATAAAGTTTTATGTAAATAGCCACAGTGCACTTAAGCCCCTAGATGCAAGAGATGGTTTGGGACAGACTCAGATGAGTCACAGGCCTTTGGGAGAGGGAGAATGATCAGACAAGCCCTTTGGAGCTAAACTCCCCTCTTCATTTTCTCTCTGCTGTCTCGAAAGAGAAAACCGAATCCGTTAGAAGATGGAGAGAAACAAAGCGGCAGCTGCTGAAAAGCTTTGTAGTGACTCCCATGCTGGTGAGATTAAGTCCAAAGGGCATGACATATCAGGTAGAGAAGCAGGACAGCCGGGCGCGGTGGCTCACGCCTGTAATCCCAGCACTTTGGGAGGCTGAGGCAGACGGATCGCTAGGTCAGGAGTGCCAGACCAGTCTGACCAACATGGTGAAACCCCGTCTCTACTAAAAATACAAAAAAATTAGCCGGCCGTGGTGGCGCGCGCCTGTAATGCCAGCTACTCAGAAGGATGAGGCAGGAGAATCGCTTGAACCCGGGAAGAGGAGGTTGCAGTGAGCCGAGATCGCGCCACTGCACTCCAGCCTGTGCGACAGAGCGAGAATCCAACTCAAAAAAAAAAAAAAAAAAGAGAGAGAGAGAGAGAGAGAAGCAGGACAGTGTGAAGTCCAAGTTTGTGCCCTCTGCAGTTAGACTGGGTGGCTTCAAACCCTGGTTGTTCCATTTTCTAGTGTATCCTTGGGCAAGTTCCTTTACTTTCCTGTTTCAGTTTCCTTACCATAGAATGGCCTTGTGAGGACTAAATGGGATAATGGATGCAAAGCACAAAAGCATAGATTTTTTATTTTTTATTATATAAGAACCTCCATGGGGCTGGGTGCGGTGGCTCACGCCTGTAATCCTAGCACTTTGGGAGGCCGAGGCTGGCAGATCACTTGAGGTCAGGAGTTCAAGACCAGCCTGGTCAACATGGTGAAACCCCGTCTCTACTAAAAATACAAAAATTAGCCAGGTGCGGTGGGTGCCCATAGCCCTTCATACATGCTTGCACCTTAGCACTTACCTTTTAAAAAAATATCAAAATGTTTATATCTGTTTCTACCGTAATACTAAATTCTCTGAGAGTAGGACTGTACTTCCTATGCCCAACACAGTTCTCATTTTTTAAAAAATTAAGTTTTGACATATTTCACAGATCACACAGATCACCAATTCAAAGTGTACAATGTGTTATAGAATATTCAGAGCTGTGCACAATTGATTTTACATTTTCATCATCCCCAAAAGAAGTCCTGTACCCATTAGCAATCATTCCCTATTTCCCCCCAATTCCCACAGCCCTAGGCAATCACCAATTTACTTCTGTCTCTGTGGGTTTGCCTCTTCTGGACATTTAATATGAATGGGCCCACACACTATGTGGCCTTTGGTAACTGGCTTCTTTCACTTAGCATGATGTTTTCAGGATTCTTGCATGTTGTAGCATGTATCAGTATTTCATTTCTATTGCCAAATAATATTCCATTGTATGAATATACCACGTTTTATTTATCTGTTCATCAGGCAATGGACATGTGGTTGTTTCCACCTTCTATGATGAATAATGAGGCTGTGAACATTCATGTACACATTGCTGTGTGGACCTATGTTTTCACTTCTTTTAGTTATATACCTAGGAGTGGAATTGCTGGGTCATATCATAACTATGTTTAACCTTTTGTGGGATTGCCAGACTGTCTTCTAAAGTGGTTGTATCATTTTACATTCCCACCAGCAATATATGAGGGTTTAATTTCTCCATATCATGAATTTTTTTTTTTTTTTTTTGCTTTGTTACCCAGGCTAGAGTCCAGTGGAGCAATCATAGCTGACTGCAGCATAGAACTCCTGGGCTCAAGTGATCTTCCCATCTCAGTCTCCCAAGTAGATGAGATTACAGGTGTGAGCCACTGGCTAAATTTGTTATTCTTTTTGACTATAGTTATCACCATCCTTGTGGGTGAGAAGTATTATCTCATTGTGGTTTTGATTGTATTTCCTGAATGACTACTAATGGTAAGCATCTTTTCATGTGCTTATCAGCCATTCATATATAGTATTACTTTTTGCAATTTAAAAATAGTTTATTCAGGCCAGGCATGGTGGCTCACACCTGTAATCCCAGCACTTTGGAAGGCCGATTTGGGGCAGATAATGAGGTCAGGAGATCGAGACCATCTTGGCTAACACGGTGAAACCCCGTCTCTACTAATAATACAAAAAATTAGCTAGGTGTGGTGGCACGCGCCTGTAGTCCCAGCTACTCAGGAGGCTGAGGCAGGAGAATCGCTTGAACCCAGGAGGCGGAGGTTGCAGTGAGCCGAGATCGCGCCACTGCACTTGAGCCTTGGTGACAGAGCGAGACTCCATCTCAAAAAAAAAGAAAAAAATATATATGTAATATTTACTTTGAGAAGCAAAAATCAAATTAATGGAATTTGTAATCACAAATAAGTGTAGAGGCTAAAACAAGGTTTGAGACTGCCCTAGTCCAGTCAGCCTGAGACCAGCAAGGGAAACCTATAGTCTCACAGAGTTAGGCTTATCAACTCACTGCAACAAGGGAGACTGCACACCAGAGGAATGGTGAAGTGTCTTACCGAAGAAAAAACTGGTCATAGAATTATGGGGAAGGGTGGAAGTTAGGTGAAAAATTAGAGTTAGGCTCAAAGAAACACAGACCTGTGTGAAAGGCGGATTAAGATCAGCTGGACTACCAAGTGGACCCAGGGGATCAGTTTCCCTGGAAAGTACAAAGTCAAGGTAAATGTGGACTGTTGTGTTCAGAAGCCCCTGCTCTGAAGCACAATACCTGGCCTGGAAATCAAGGCTGCTTCTCTGTCAGAGTGACTCAGCTCCTCCAAGCAAGACTGACTATAAGCCTTAATTCTCACAAATACAATTGCAAACAGCAAACTTTGTCAGCCTATGATTTTGGAGAACGAAATTTCTCAGTGAATTTTTTTAAAACAGTAGTCACTCAGGGAGTTTTGACACTTTATGTTGCCAAAAAAAGAAAAAAAAATTGCAGTGTGTTCTTGATAGAGGTACTATATCCTGTTAACTGTGCAGCTGGTTTTATCTGTCTGTGCATCTGTGATGAATGGCAGGGCAGATTTTAACTCTCAGTCTGAGTTAATAGCCACCTTTCAAGATAAATTCATAGTTGACTGAACCATCTCTAGACGCCTGGCTGTCAGGCTCACTGAAATCACTTAAGTAACAATGAGCCTTGGAAGCTAAAGACTGGCTACAAATATCATTCCATTAGGTTTGACCATGTGTTGTCCAGTACTAACAGCTCTCAATGAATGAGATTACATTAGTTATTAGTCCAGATACTTAGCCGATTTGCTAGTATGGCTGAGACATAATTATTCACTACTTCACTTCCTTTTCCAGGGTACACAGGAAGACTACATTTCTTGACTTGACCTTCCTTGCAGTTGGCAGATAGGAGCAAAAGTGAGTAAGCCACTTCCCGGCCCATCCTGAAAAATGTACTCCCTCCCACCCCCCATAAGCAACCTGGAGGTCACACGTTTATTTTTATTTTTTGAGATGGAGTCTTGCTCTGTTGCCCAGGCTGAAGTGCAGTGGTGCGATCTTGGCTCACTGCAACCTCCACCTCCCGGGTTCAAGCTATTCTCCTGCCTCAGCTTCCCAAGTAGCTGGGACAACAGGCGTGTGCCACCATGCCTAGCTAATTTTTGTATTTTTAGTAGAGATAGGGTTTCACCATGTTGGCCAGGCTGGTCTCGAACTCCTGACCTCAAGCTATCTGCCCCTCCCTCCCCCCTCAGCCTTCCAAAGTGCTGGGATTAGAGAGTTGAGCCACTGCACCCGGCCCAGAGGACTTTGTGTAAGCAAAAAATAAGCTTTTGTAGTGCTCAGTTTCTGAGATTTGGGGGTTTGTTGCCGCAGCATAGGCTAGCCTATAAATAGTATTACTCTCTGTTTTCTCCTTAAAAACCAGAGAGCAGGACTCATGTGTTTCTCACAAAATATACATTGTCAGACCATATAGCAGCACAGTTCCAAAGGACCAGCAGGTACTCATAAAACTTAAATTCTCTGCCAGGCACGGTGGCTCACGCCTGTAATCCCAGCACTTTGGGAGGCCGAGGTGGGTGGATCATCTGAGGTCGGGAGTTTGAGACCAGCCTGACCAACATGATGAAACCCCATCTCTACTAAAAATATAAAATTAGCCAGGCGTGGTGGCACATGCCTGTAGTCCCAGCTACTCAGGAGGCTGAGACAAGAGAATCGCTTGAACCCGGGAGACGGAGGTTGCGATGAGCCGAGATCGCGCCATTGCACTCCAGCCTGGGCAACAAGAGCGAAATTCTGTCTGAAAAAAAAAAAAAATTAAATTCTCAAGAGCACATACTTCCCTTCACAGATCCACTGCCACCGGCTCCATATCAGCTGACACAATGGCAGGTACTTACCGAATACAGGTTCACGGAACCAATCAGTTTGCCTTTCTTCTCTTCCTTCACAGTGGCCCAACATGAAGAATAAAAATATAAATAAATGGGGGTAGTATTTCATCCAGGACACACAGCATTTGAAGAGCAGTGGGATAGGAACTCCCCCACCCTACCGTGTGGGGCATAGGTTTGGGAAATTAGCAGGGACTTGGACATTCCTAGTCAGCCATCAGAACCTGTCCAAATCCAAAAGATCTGGGAGTTATTTCTCTGTCCTCCTTCACAATCAATAAATTACTAAATGCTGATGACTGCATCCCTCTTTACTTGTGCCCTGTCCTCTCCATCCTTGCCGTGGCTGCTGCTGCCGCCGCCGCCTTAGTTCAGGGTTTTTCTCTCACCCTATAAGAAGGAAGAGGCACTTTTTCATTGCCTATCCTTCTAAAATGCAATTCTGATGACTCCTCTCTGTGTATGTTTTCCAGGATCATACAGAAGTGTAATGTCTAAAATTTCTGCAAAGCGGGAGACTTTCCCTGCCCTGGCTCCTGTATACATCTCTAGCTACATTTCCCACTATTCACCCCACCTCAACCTGCAATTCTCTAAATATGACCATACTTTCTTGCCTCCATAGATTTGCACATGGGTGTTCTCTCTGCCTTAAAGGACATTCCCTATTTCCAGATAACTCCTACTCAGCCTTCAAAACCCAGCTTAGGCATCCATCTTAAGTAGTTTTCGCTGACCCCATGTGGCTCCCACACAGGCAGAGGTGATCACCTCCTCCTGAGGGGTGATGCCTAAACACATCCATTATCGCACAACAATGCAAGTTATTTGGTTTTTTTGTTTTTTGTCTTTTAAAAATTTGGGTGGGAGGGGGTAGGGATAAAAGACTACCAATTGGGTACAGTGTACACTGCTCCGGTGATGGGTGCACCAAAATCTCAGAAATCATCATTAAAAAAACTTATTATCCACATAACCAAAAACCACTTGTTCCCCCAAAACTATTAAAATAAAATAAATGCCAGGTGCGGTGGCTCACACCTGTAATCCCAACACTTTGGGAAGCTGAGGCAGGCGTATCACAAGGTCAGGAGTTCGAGACCAACCTGACCAACACGGTGAAACCCCGTCTTTACTAACAATACAAAAATCAGTCGGGTGTTGTGGCACATGCCTGTAATCTCAGCTACTCAGGAGGCTGAGGCAGGAGAATAGCTTGAACCGGGAGGTGGAGGTTGCAGTGAGCCGAGATCGCGCCATTGCACTCCAGCCTGGGTGACAGAGCGAGACCCCGTCTCAAAAAAAGAAAAAAGAAATGCAAAAAAAAAGATTTGTCTTAGATCTTAGTCTGGCTAAAAGAAATTTTTTTTTTTTTTAATAAAAATGACTGATTGATTGAGACAGGGTCTTGCTATGTTGCCAAGGCTGGTCTTGAACTCCTGGCCTCAAGTGATCCTCCCACCTCAGCCACCCCCATGCCTCAGCTGGGATCACAGACCACTGTGCCCGGCCACAAGTATTTATGTAGATGTCTCCTCTGGTAGACTGCAACCAACTTGAGGGCCATGTCCCCTGGCATAGAGGAGGTGCTCCACTGAATTAACAAGTGAATGACTAAATAGGATATAAAAGGTGATGAGTAGACTGCCCGGCTCGGGCTGGGGCACTGCCACTGTCTATGGAACATGACCAAAGTGACAAAATGGGAAGAACTGAATTCGTCACAAAAAGAAATTCAGTCAATCTATACATGTTCAAGTTTTATTACAAAGTATGATGGGCAGAAAATACGGTACTTCTTATACAGGAGGCTGAAACAGAATGAAAGGGTGAAAATTAGGTTTAATTTACTTAGGAAACAAGAAATAGAAAGTCATAGCTATAACACTCCACTTTCAGGTGCCCATGAAGTAGCCTTCAATGGAGATTCCCCATAGTTGTTTCACAGCACAGTGTTAAAATTTTATTACAAGCCCTGTGTACAATCAGTCCTGTGAAAATATTTATAAAAGAAAAATATTACAGTACAGTTCTGCAAGGGGCAGCTTCCTCTACACCTGACCGTGGATGCCACAAAACCTATAATATAGAGGGAAAGTTTAAATATATAACAAGAATGGAAGTTCAGACATACTAGGCTAAAGGACACAGAAATGGATCAGTTAGAGCTTAACATTTCAGAGCAAGAAATCTCCATTTTCTACATAGAGGTTTATACAATCATGCTACAAATTCACTCTGGGTGGGGTGGGGAAGGAAGGTCACTGACAAGAGGGGTAGTAAAATACACAGGAACCAAAGCAAGTGAGTCAGACTCAACTAAATCGATTCAAAGCTTCAGCTCAACAATTTTCATAACACATGGTATACCACAATCAACCCAAGGTGAGAACATTTCTTTTAAATAGTAGATATCACATGTTCATAATCACTGGGTTGTCCCAAAGGTGGGTGCCTATAAACTTTCCAGCTGTTACATAGACTGTCAACATCTTTCTTCTTGAGTTTAAACTTTCTTTAGCTTATTTGTTTCTCGTTGGATATACCAGTCCAAGCCTCTTTGGGAAGGCACCTGCATGTTTCCATATTTTAAAAATGACATCCAGAAAGTAGCCTGAGAGGACCTGGCCCATCCCATGTGGCCACACATTTGACTTTGACCATTAGCAGCAGTGACACTGTGAGAGGGGGAGAAGGTGCAGGTGGGTGAAGTGGGCAAGGGTCTGCAACACGAGACGCTCTCAGGAGCTGGCCCAGCCAGGGCCTGGCCCAGGGTTCACAGTGACTTTGCTCTGCTCCGCCCTCTTCCCTGGGAAAACCAATCTAAGTATCAAGCATGATCTTCCTTCTTCGTCCTGGAGTACACACAGTAAAGGGAAAAGTCTGCTTTGAGGCTTCTACTTCAATGGTCTCCCCTACCCCAAGCCAGGAATGAAAGGGGCTGCCATATTCTCAAAGTGGGGAAGGCAGAGGGACAGTACTGGGCTGCCCTCCCACGTGTGGTAAACCCTGCAGCTGCTACATGTCTTCACAGCCCAGGAATTCAAGGCCCAGGTGGCAGCAGGAAGAAACAGTGGAAAAGCAAGGGGAAGAGAAAAGAGAAAAAGGAGGGGGAAAGTCTGCATAACTGTCATAACCTCTGCTTCTCCTGCTCTGTAACAAACCCACAACCAGGAAGAGTCATGGTCTGGAACAATCATGGGACCCCAAACGCCTGTAGGTTTTTTACCACCAAACATCACCCATGGCTGCTCTAAGCTGTCATTTTGTTCCCACAGTTACCTAGCATCACGGATGCCCAATTTATGGCCCAGGAAGGCTGACCCAGGCTAAGGGCAGTCTCACTCCACAGCCATGCAATGGACAGTCTGAATGTTTCCCTACCCCAGACCTTCACTGACCTCTACTATTTCCTCCTCTGATATAAAGAAAACACTTTAATTTTCTCCTGCATCCTACATCTCCTCCTAAAATTTTGGCCCTAATTGTCATCAAAACCTTGTAGGATTCTGAATTTTTTGTTTCTTCCTGAATCTTAGCCAGTTCTCTCAGAGCCAATCCTGGATTTATAAGGAATTTTCACCTATTTTTTTTTTTTTTTTATTTTTTGAGACGGAGTCTTGCTCTGTCGCCCAGGCTGGAGTGCAGTGGCACGATCTTGGCTCACTGCAAGCTCCACCTCCCAGGTTCACGCCATTCTCCTGCCTCAGCCTCCCAAGTAGCTAGGACTACAGGTACCCGCCACCACCCCCGGCTAATTTTTTTTTGTATTTTTAGTAGAGATGGGGTTTCACCATGTTAGCCAGGATGGTCTCGATCTTCTGACCTTGGGATCTGGCCACCTCAGCCTCCCAAAATGCTGGGATTACAGGTGTGAGCCACCACACCCATCCTCGCCCAGTTATTAAATACCTTCCCTCTTCAAGTCCTAACCTTGCAGGCTAATTCCTCCCTGGAAGAAGAGGATTCCAATGCTCCTGAGCATAAAAAATTCAGGTCCTTGAATGACGTGGACCCATTCTCCAGCTCTCTGGTGGTAGAGGCCTGAGGCCTAATTTATTCAGCACCTCCATCCTTCAGTCAGAACAGATGAGGACAATACAGGCAGCTGTGCCTCAGGCTGCCAGGAGCAAAAGGGCCATCACCAGCTGGGCCACAGCCTGGCGGAGCCTCCATGTGGGCTTCCTGCTAAAGTCCTAGTGGCTGCTCCTCCCGCAGTCAGGGAGAACAGATCCAGGGCCTCCCACCCAGTCTCGCTGGCTGTCAGTTTGAGAACCTCAACAAATTACAGAGTTGTTTTTGCAACTACAACAGATCGGTGCTTTCTGGAGCATGGATGGCTTACAGACTTTCTAAATCCTGAGACTGTAGAAATCCCCTCCTCAGTCATGGGTCGTCGGGCTGGTGGAGTAAAGGGAGGGTAAGAGAGCTGGGACTCAAAGACCAGCAACTCATCAACTGTGAGTATGTGTGTGCTTGCTTAGGGGGGTGGAGTCCCCCTGGGTCCCCGGTGGCATTCAGGGGAAGACTGTACTGCAGGACCTAAGGAAGGATGACAGGAGCTGGGCGTCCACAGGGCAAGGGAAATCTCAAAAGTTGTTGGTTTCCAGAGTAAATAGCTATCTTATGCAAATATGTTCTAATTATTATTTTTTTTTCAAGTTGTTGTTTCTGAGTTCCAGCTGACAAATTCCACCATACAGACCAGGCGTAGGTGCAGATCAGGAAAGGAATCTTAGAACTCAGTGGATGTAAGCCCTGCCCAGCAGACCAGCCCCTTCTACCACTGACTTCCATTTCAGACCCTTCTCCACAGGAAGGAACTGATGGCCTCCTAAACAAGCAGCCATCAGCTTGGCCTTGCTACCCTTGAGAGAAGGACCCAGTAACCATTATCAAACACAATGAAAAGCAGAGGAGGGTTCTGACCAAGAACTGCTCGCTTTGTATCTCCAAACGATGCAGTGCAAATCCAGTGGCAAATGCAGGAGAGGCAACCACAAGCACATGGCCAGCCAGAGTCCTAAAATCAGAACAACAAAGTAAAAGGGTAGAAGGGGAAATATGCTGGCTAAAAAAAGAGCCTTTTTCTTTGGGACAGGTCCCTGTATGGTAAAGCAAAGAGCTAGACTTTTGGCATATAATGACATCTACTTCTGAAAAGGAAGACTTAACCAAAAAAGCTTAAGGGCCCAGAAGAACAAAGTTACTGTTTTACTTCTCAAGCAGGTGAGAACCAAAGAGGACAAAACCATCATCCTTCAGGCCTGCTACTCTACTAATCTCAGATGAGCAATTCAGAGGGACTTAAAAACCTTCGGGTAGGAGCAGAGCGCAAGGAAACAGCCAACTTTCCCCCAAGAGCACATCCCAAACTGCCTGCCCCAAGGGCTCATCTAACGGTGGAATCACACATATGCCCCTCCATGGAACTCATTCACATAACAGAAAGACACCTGCGGCCTGCAAGTCAAAAGACAACTGCAGGCTACAAGTCCAATACTGCTCAGAACCTAAACTGGGGGAGAGAGGGGTTGACAGGTGTGGGTAGAGCTCTTAACTGGCTGACCCTGGGGGTCTATAATTCCTTTTCCTTCTTTTTTTTTCCTCCCTTTTCATTACCCACAGTATAATGCTTTTTAACTATCTATCCACTTGACAGCCCAGGATTGCCGCAGTCCATCAGTCCATCTCTCATGTAAGGTCTTGTTCAGGGTTGGAAGCACAGACAGGATGCCTCGGGAAGACTCTCTCACCTCAGAACACTCAATCCAAAGAATGCCCAATATACCACCAGGCACAGTAAACTCAAACAACAGAAGCACCGAAGTTCAACTCAGATATCATTCTTGCCTATCATTGAAAAGACACTAAGTGGAATGGCCTGGGGCTTATATTTGGATGGAAAAACAGACTCTGAAAGAATGTACTGGAAATATGCTTGAAGTTCAGCTTCATGAAACGATTCCCCTCAAGTCAGGTACCCTGAGAGCCTGTTTCTCTCAGCTCTACCATGCTGCCAGTGGGAACCAATGGGCTGGACAGTGGTGCTTCAGGGTAAACAGAGGCTTCCTATGTCTGTTTACAAGCCCAGAATGCCCTTGAGAGGAGCCAGGCTAAGAAAGGTGTGATGAGTCAGTGGACTTCAGAGCACCAAGGTGGTTTGGACTCCCGGTCAGGTATGTACTACACAGGCAGTGACTCAAGAAGGCAAACTGCTCATGGGGCCAGGGGCCCAGTACCAGCTCCAGGCACTGAGGGAAGAGAAGAAGGTGCAAAGAGGGAGGACTATAAGACAAAGAAATGAAGCAGGAGAGTAAAATTCTTTTCATAAAAAAATTAGCCTGATAGATAACAAATATACAAAGTTAAAATTTGTTAAACACACTGATACTAGGAGAAAAGACAAATTGGTATTTGTTCCCACGTAAGTGCTAACACGAACATGGACATGGACGAGACATGAACTGCTGCCTTGGGCAGCAAACAGAGACACCTGGGCAGAGGAATAGACACAGCCAGTGCGTGAACTGCTCCTCAACACAACGCCTGACAAACAAATATACACACATTTTTTAATTGAGGAACCAAAGGAGAAGAGGAAAGGAGAGAAAATCTTAAAACTCAGCCCTGGGCTGAGGAGGCGCCACACAGCACTGAGTCTGCCACAGAGGGCGATGGGGTGACTGGCCAGGAACTCCTAGAGCAGCTTCTGGTAACAGTGGGTGCAAAGCAATGAAAGACATACTGGCCACTGGAAACATGTTTCTTCTTACTTTGGGGGTGGGGCAGAGGCAGGAAATACAAAAGCCCCTGCCTCGTGGGCACAGCGCCACCAACACTACACTCTGAGTATCTCCAGGCAGTTGTTGTAGCAGATGGCGATCCAGTCGGGCTGAGTTGATGCCCACTGCACATTGTTGATCTCTCCTTCAGCTGTGTAGGCCAGGATAGGGTCCTCAATGGCTCGGGGCATTTGCTGGATGTCCCAGATGAGAGCCTGGTGGTCATCCGCTAGGGACAAAGAAAGCCAGCAAGCAAGGTCACAAGTGAGGCAATGCGGATGATGATCCCTGCATTTCAGGAGCAAGTCACAGTTTACAAAGCACCCCCGTGATGGCGGTTCTATTTTAAGCCCCCATTTTATCGATGAGGAAATCGAGATTCAGAAATGTTAAGGCACTTGTTCCAAATCACACAGCTATTCAGCCAAGTGAGTGGCAGAGCCAGAACTCAAATCTAGGCCCTGACTCCATCTCCCAGATGTCCCCAGGCTCTATCCACTGCACTAATGAGTCCTTCTCATCTGGGTCAGGTATCAGGAGTGGACAAGGGGATACCAAACATGTCATTTGCAGCCACTTAAAATACTTGAGTGGTTACAAAGATCATTCTCTGATCATTCAATATAATGAGAGCGTTTCTTCCCTGTTTGATGGACATTTATGCTTCAGTGAGGTGTTATATAGAAGACTGATAAAGTAGTGCTGATATGTGCTGTTAAAAAATTCTTTCCTGGCCAGGCATGGTGGCTCACACCTGTAATCCCAACACTTTGGAAGGCTGAGGCAGGCGGATCACCTGAGGTCAGGAGTTCAAGACCAGCCTGGACAACATGGTGAAACCCCATCTCTACTAAAAAAAAAAAAAAAATACAAATTAGCCAGGTGTGGTGGCACACACCTGTAATCCCAGCTACTTCGGTGGCTGAGGCAGGAGAATCGCTTTAACTCGGGAGGCAGAGGTTGCAGTGAGCCGAGATCATACCACCGCACTCCAGCATGGGTGACAGAGTGAGACTTCATCTCAAAAAAAAAAAAAAAATCCAAGAAAATAGCTATGGGAAACACCAGAAAGATGGTAATCACTTTAAATATATAAAAGCACATGAAAAATAAGTAGAAGGAAATATATTAAAATGAGAATGATGGCAATACTAAGATGGCAAGGTTAGGATTTATGTTTACTTTTCTCTAGTTCCTAAGTGATTCGTAATGTGCTCATATTACTTTTTTTTTTTTTTTTTTTTAAATGGAGTCTCATTCTGTTGCCCAGGCTTGAGTGCAATGGTGCAATCTCGGCTCACTGCAACCAAAGCCTCCCAGGTTCAAGCGATTCTCCTGCCTCGGCCTCCCAAAATGCTGGGATTACAGGCATGAACCACCGCACCTGGCCTATATTACTTTTATAATCAAAATAGTAAGTTAATTTTTAAAAAAGAAAAAAATAAGGCAATGGCCTTCAGAGCTGCAGTGTACCCTGACTCTGCCATGCATTCTGATGAAAGCTGGTCTCAGATACAAAGAAAATCTGAATAAACTAAACCCTAATAGACTAATTGTGGGCAATACTAGTCTCCTGCCAAGGCCGCATAGTCTGGGCCAGGTGCAAGATCCCTCTCCCAGGGACAATCAATGCCAAGAGGTCAGGGAATTGCACCTCTAGAGCACTAAGGCCCTTTTCCTCAATGCTCAACCGAGCACACTTGAGCAACAGCTCCTTCGGTTGAAGGGGCTCAAGGCAGGTGCAACACACAAAACAACAGCGAGCCAGACAAAGGCAGCAGCCAGGAGCAGAAAATGGGGCTTCTACGGGGCCAGTCCTGCTTTCCATGAATAATGGATGACACCTTTCTTTTCTGCTTCTTCTATCCCTCCCTATCCACACCCCTGGGAAAAAAAAAAAAAGAGGGCAATAATGAAGAAGACAGACCACAATCTGAGGTACAGAAGGCAGCAGCAGGCCCCCAGCTGCTCTTCAAGGAGACATACAGGCATGAGCAGAGGGCCAAAATCAGGAAAAGCTTCATGCCTTCCAAATAATGCTCAAATGGCAGAAAAACACCAGAGTACATTGCTTCTTGGGCTCCATAACAAACCTTGTCCATTATAAGGCTCCTGATTAGTGAGGAGAAGAAAAAAAACACACTAAAAAAGTTAAGGAGCAAAACATCACAGGACTAGGACAGAATCCTATCAGTGCAAAAGGAAGAAGTATATAGTTGTATTTGGGGGCATAGATGTACATCCCTGAAAGTATACCAAAAGGGTCTGGAAGGAGACACATTACCTGTTGATAGAGGTCATCTATGCAGAGGGGGATGGAGGCAGAAATGATATAGGAAGGAGAAAAGATGACTTTCGCCTTGCTCTTAAATATGCTTCTGTACTGTTTTCAATTTAAATAACAGATTGGCATTATTTCTACAATAAAAGTGCATTGACAACCAGCATATTTTTCTTTTTTTTTTTTTGAGACGGGGTCTCACTCTGTCACCAGGCTGGAGGGTAGTGGCACGATCTCAGCTCACTGCAACCTCCACCTCCCAGGTTCAAGCGATTCTCCTGCCTCAGCCTCCCGAGTAGCTGGGACTACAGGCATGTGCCACCACGCCCAGCTAATTTTTGTATTTAGTAGAGACAGGGTTTCACCATGTTGGCCAGGATGGTCTTGATCTCCTGACCTCGTGATCCACCTGCCTCGGCCTCCCAAAGTGCTGGTATTACAGATGTGAGCCACTGCACCCAGCCTTTCTTTTCTTTTTTTAAAATTTATTTTAGAGGCAGGGTCTTGCTTGGTTGCCCAGGCTGGAGTACAGTGGCACAATCACAGCTCACTGTAACCTCAAACTCCTGGGCTCAAGGGATCCTCTCACCTCAGCCTCTAAGTAGCTGGGACTACAGGAATTCACCACCACACCCAGATAGTCTTTTTTTAACTTTCTGTAGAGATGAGGTCTCACTATACTGCCCAGGCTGGTCTTGAACTCTTGGCCTCAAGCAATCCTCCCACTTTAGCCTCCCAAAGTGCTGCAATTACAGGCCTGAAACACTGTGCCTGGCCCAACATATTTTTAAGGGGTACTTTTTTTTTTTTTTTTTTTTTTTTGGAGACAGAGTCTTGCTCTGTTGCCCTGGCTGGAGGGCAGTGGCATAATCTCTGGTCAATGCAACCTCCACCTCCTGGGTTGAAGTGCTTCTCCTGCCTCAGCCTCCTAAGTAGCTTGGACTACAGGTGCGTGCCACCATGCCTGGCTAATTTTTTTTGTATTTTTAGTAGAGACAGGGTTTCACCATGTTTGTCAGGCTGGTCACGAACTCCTGACCTCAGGTGATCCACCCGCCTCAGCCTCCCAAAGTGCTGGGATTACAGGCGTGAACCACTGCACCCAGCCCGTAAGGGGTGCTAGCTTTGGTCTGGGAAACAGTGAAATGAAAACCACAAGTCACAAACCACAACCAGGCAAAGTTCTGTGGGGCCCTCCGATGCATCCAGAGCACACTGTGGGTTTGTTATAGTGAAACCTGAAAGGTCCCATGGAGATGTTGATCTTCACAGTCCCAAAGATTCTGTTATATCCATGAGGGATGCCTCCCTTTCCCCATATTCCTGGAATTGAGTCCTCTGTGCCATCCAGATTTCAGGGGCACAGTACAAGGCACAGCCCTATAACTGACACATGATGTAAATCATATATGGAAGATGTTCTGATGTCCATGAGGGTACAAGATCGTCTAAAAATTTGTACTGATTGAATTTCACAAGTGTGGAGAGGCTCCAACTAGTCATTTTGTATAAATCTCTCAAGACTGTGCTTAGAAAACAGTAACAACTACAATTCTAAGGAGCCAAGAGAACAGATTTCCTCCATCCTTCCCAGATTTCTTTCTCCCCACCATGATTACCTGCAGTGCAGATGTGGCAGGATGAATGTGGGGCCCAAGCAATGCCATTGACACATGCTCGATGGTTGTTTAACCTGGCGACAGGTGTGCAGGGAACCCGGACATCTAGAATCACCACCTGCGGAAATAACAAGTAAAAGGCCTGGGATCATCAGAGTTTCATAGAAAAAAACAAAAAATACTATCCACATGCAAAAATCTTTTTAGGCATAATTTTTCATTTGTGGATTTAAAGAACTAGAGACAGGATTTCCATAGGATTGAGGGAAAAGAAGACAAAGGACACGGGTAGTTGATAGTCTCTATCTTGAGCAACACTGGGCCTTTAGACTGATAGGGGAGATGCAGAAACAGACAACAGGAGTCTGGGTAATCCTGGGTCCCAGCAGGTGCATGTGGTAAGAATTCTATGCATCTCAGATGAATGGAATGAGAGCCCAGCCAAAGCAGAATCTGAGGTGCTAGCGCCACCAAACCAAGGACAACCAATGCATTCTCCCCACCCACAATTCACCTCTTTAATCAAGTAACAGACTAGAGAGAGCTGCCATTTGTTTTTCTTTTTTTTTGAGACAGAGCATGCCCTGTCACCAGGCTGGAGTGCAGTGGCATGATCTCCGCTCACTGCAAGCTCCGCTTCCCAGGTTCAAGCTATTCTCCTGCCTCAGCCTCCCGAGTAGCTGGGACTACAGGTGCCTGACACCACGCCCGGCTAATTTTTTGTATTTTTTTAGCAGAGACGGGGTTTCACCGTGTTAGCTAGGATGGTCTTGATCTCCTGACCTGTGATCCGCCCACCTTGGCCTCCCAAAGTGCTGGGATTACAGGTGTGAGCCACCGTGCCTGGCCTTTTTTTTTTTTCAGATGGAGTCTTGCTCTATCTCCCAGGCTTGAGTGCAATGGCACGATCTTGGCTCACTGCAACCTCTGCCTACCAGGTTCAAACAATTCTCTTGCCTCAGCCTCCCGAATAGCTGGAACTACAGGCGTATGCCACCACACCCAGCTAATTTTTGTATTTTTAGTAGAGACGAGGTTTCGCCATGTTGGCCAGGATGGTCTCCATCTCTTGACCTCGTGATCCACCTGCCTCAGCCTCCCAAAGTGTTGGGATTACAGGCGTGACCCAGAGCGCCCGGCCAGAGGGCTGCCATTTCTACATCTGTTTGCTAAAGCTAGATGAATCTGTCCAGACTACAGAAGGGAAAATCTGCTTTTTCACTCAGCACCATAGGCACATACGATTTGGTTTACTCTTTAGATATTGCTTTTCCTGGCTCTAACTCCAACTCTTCAAAAATTAAAAGTTCTTAACAAGTAATTCTTATTCCAGATTAGGCTTTCTCAGTCCCGGGACTGCTGTCATTTTAGGTAGGATATACTTTGCTGGGGGACTGTCCTGGGCACTGTAGGATATTTAGCAGCCTCCCTGGTCTCTACCCCCTAGATGCCATAGTACCAACTGCGTCTCTAGAGCTGTGACAATCAAAAATGCCTCCAGACATTCCCAAAGATACTCCGGGAGCCAAACTGCTCCAGTTGAGAACCAGCCTTCTAGATATACTAAGCAGTGCTGGAGTTAGGCAGGGCCCATGGTAGCCTGAGAGGAGTGCTCACCTCCATTCCATCCATGGCCATGGTGGCCAGGTAGTTAGGGTCCTGCTTGTTCCAGCAGAGGCGAAGCAGTGGGTGATGCTGTGGGTCTTCGTAAATGATGGTGCTGTGTTCTAGATGGCGGAGGTCAAACATCCGCACCGAGCCATCAGCACCCACAGAGGCAAACATGTCCCTGCCACCCCCGGCCCGGCTAAATGCAATATCATAGACCTGTTGGTGAACAAGAAGCTCCAGTCAGATTCAGATCCATTACCTCTTCTTCCTATAGGAGGGAAATCTGCCACGTCCAGTTCATCTAAACCTCGCTCATGACACAAAAGCAGATAAATGAAGCCCAAACAGTGTCTGTGAGTACTGAAACCCGAGAGCTCTAATATCAGTGGCTTCCCAAAGATGGAAGATCATTCTGCTATAGAAATTGGCTGGCTTCTTCCCACATTCCTGCTTTCCAAGTCTTCTTCCTCCAACCCGTGATAAAACAAAGGCACATGCCCTGCTGACCAACAGAACAGTGGCTGTCTTCTGCCACACAACAAGAATGAGACACTTATTTCCTGGGCCTTGTGCACAATCAGAGGCAGGTCTACGAGCTCATTAAGGCCTAGATCATCAATCACAGAGGTGAAAGCAGCCCTCCTGTGGCCACTTAATAGCAGCCAAGCTGATTCTGTGAAACCTGGACCTGAGACTCATTTGCAAGAAAGAGGTAACAGAAATTTTGAGTCACGGGAGGCCTAGATGTTCCTGTATTCACAAATAGGTTAGTAGCACCCGCTTGTCCTAGGACATGTTTTTTCTTCTCCTAGTTGGTTTGAGATCATAAGTGAATCAATTTAGGTTCTGAATCACTGTTTTCTGCTTTTATTTGCTGCAAACATTGCATATCACTAACGTCTATGAGGAAACAGAGGCAGAGAGCAACGGAGAGCTTCAGAGAAAGGACGAAGGCCGGGTGCGGATTACACCTGTAATCCCAGCACTTTGGGAGGCTGAGGCGGGCGGATCACAAGGTCAAGAGATCAAGACCATCCGGGCCAACCCAGTGAAACCCCATCTCTACTAAAAATACAAAAAAATTAGCTGAGTGTGGTGTCTGGTGCCGGTAATCCCAGCTACATGGGAGGCTAAGGCAGGAGAATCGCTTGAACCCGGGAGGCGGAGATTACAGTGAGCTGAGATCAGGCCATTGCACTCCAGCCTGGGACAGAGCGAAACTCTGTCTTAAAGAAAAAAAAAAAAAGAGGACGAAGAGGGACGAAGAGAGAGCCAGAGACAGACAAATAGAGAGAGAAACAGAAAAACTAATGCCAAACAAAACTCATCTTCTGGGGATAATAACAGCTGACTTCTGGGGAGACACGACTAGAATTTCTCACTAAATATTACAGCTCCAGTGTTGAAGTTCTGCCTACAGAGGGGCACTGCCAAATGAGCATCTATTGCTATTTAACCTCACGAATTCCTTTTTTTTCTGGCTATGAAGAAATTATGCTTGTCTTTCTATGGCAGGAAGTAGAAGTGGTTCAAAAGGGACCGGGCCAGTCATCAACAAGGAGGCACTCAGGCCTGACGTGCCTGACAGATCGAGGCTTTCTCTAGTACTGTACAGCTGCTTTAAGGCACAGCCATGTTTATCAATATGTATACCCCCCAATGACAGCTCCTGGTAACCCTCAGGGACAGAGATCCCACAGGTGCCATGGGCAGCGTGGCTGAGTGTGTAATGCTCTCTCGGCTCTAAGTGACTGCTCCTTCAGTGCTCCGCTAGCATGGTTCACTGGGAAACCAAGGGAAGGTGACAACTCCCAAGTACACTAAACCCTCTTCTACACTGATCTGCCAGGTATCAATGAGAGCCTTCCAAACAAGTCTTTTCCTAGAGAAAGGTGGACTGAGAAAAATCAAAGGTGCTAGAAAGGTGCTATTACTGTTTCTCTAGAGCCACTATCCTTTCTCAGGTTTATTCCTTCAAGACAAGGCTGCCGGTCCAGGCCTGTCTGCTGTCAAGATCCATTCCTGGCCTTTCTCCCTGCTCTTCTTCTCTGTGTCACAAGAGAACTGATTCCTACAGCGTGCATTTGGCAGGGTCTCAGATCTGCTGGCTGCTTCTGGCTGGTTCAGCCATGGGAGGCTTTGGTGGGAAAATGGATGATGGGAGGCAGGGAAAAGCTAAGGTATTTCTCCTCCCCTCTCTCTGTTCCTAGAAGCGTCTCTGCCAGGTAAATCCAGCCCCTGGGCTCCAGGAACCCTGCCTCCTCCCATGGTCCCTCTGGCCTATAGGCAGCTGCAGCTTCCTGCTGCTCCCATTCTATGGATGACCTCACTGCTACCTATGTGGCTTCTCAGCTTTACCATCTTCTGTATAAGCAGCCCCTGGATTAAATCCCTGCAGTTCAAATACTTAAGAGTAGTTCCCATTTTCTGGGTTGGACCTAACAGACAACAGCAGGCTAAGTTGTCATATAACTAAAATGTAGCCGCTTGTTCAACTTGATGCCAAGAGGGTTTCCAGAAGTTCCTTACTGGTCCTCTCTGTGGGACAAACTCTTCATTTGACCCCTGGTTTAGCAGCAGTCAACTCTAGAAGTCTTGTAACAGGGCTTACCTTCAGGAGTACAGAAAGCCAAAGACAACCCCTTACTAAGAATGATAACCTGGGTCACATCTTCCTATGCTGTTGACAACCTCAAGTTTCTGACCTAAGATCAAGGCATTCCTTTTATCTGTATAGATATTAATACCCCTAGCTGTGCAGGGTAAGGTAGAAAAGAACAGGAAATAGTACCCACAGGAGATGAGAGTACCAGGAGCATGCAATGGCTGTAGGAGGAAAAGACTTATGGGGATTTTCCAAAATCACTGAGAAGAATGCTTTGATTAAAATGCAATTGGCCGGGCGCAGTGGCTCACGCCTGTAATCCCAGCACTTTGGGAGGCCAAGGTGGGTGGATCACCTGAGGTCAGGAGAGTTCGAGACAATCCTGGCCAACATGGTGAAACCCTGTCTCTGCTAAAAAATACAAAAATTAGCCAGGGGTGGTTGCGGGCACCTGTAATCTCAGCTACTCCGGAAGCTGAGGCAGGAGAATTGCTTGAACCCAGAAGGCAGAGGATGCAGTGAGCCCAGATTGCGCCATTGCACTCCAGCCTGGGCAACAAGAGGAAAACTTTGTCTCAAAAAAAAAAAAAAAAAAAAAAAAAAAAGCAATCACAAATAGCTCTTCTCAGTTTTCCCAATAAACACAGAAGCATCGCCATCAAAATAAAATATATTCCATTGCCTCCACTGCCAACAGTAATGAAAGTATAAAGATTAAGTGAACATACTAGGATTTGGTAAAACATTTATAGAGAAAAATGAATAATTACGTTTGTCTCTCAGAAAATTTTTTCTCTTCCTGTCTCCCTTCTTTCCTCCCCAAATCTAATCTGTTTCAAGATAAGTATTACTCTAAAGTTATTTTTTAATCACATCAGTTCCCAGCTCCTCTATAAGAGACTTTGTTATTTAAAAAAAGCAACCTCTGGCATGAAAAGAACAATGACAGACCGTAGAATAGGTCATTTACATTAGCCAAAAAAAAGCATTAGTTTACAATAGTGTTGTTTTCCCGTTTTTGATACATTACTATTGTCAATTTAGACAAGAAGATGTTATGTTATGATTTTCTACATAAATTGCAGAACAATGAGAGAACAAGCTGACCTCTTCCTGTGCGGAAGGCACAGGAAGCATTTGAGGAAAGACGAAATGGAAAAGCATCTTACCTCTTTGTCATGGGCGATCAGCTGGGTCTTCACGTGGCCAGACACGAGATTCACTCGCCCTAACACCTGCCCTGTCTCCAGCCCCCAGATGGTGCATGTCGTATCAATGCTTGAGGTACCTGCAAACAACCAGTGCAAGTCAGGGCTGACGGGACCAAGGTTCTCATGCAAGCTTCCCTCTTGTGTTTACTCATCTGCTCAGCCCAGGGAGCAGCATACCATAAAGACTACAGAAAACAAGGTGGGGGCTACCGGCAGAGCCACCGAGGCAGTCAAGTCTTCAGTCCTCACCGTAGGACCTTAGATTCTAACTGGAGAGACAAGATCTATACACACGGAAAGCTCACCCACACAAAGGAATTAATAAATAACCACATTCCACGCCTAGCCTACTTCCCACTGAGCCTTGTTCTAGGATGTATGGCCCAGTGTGACATCTGAGAAAATTTATTTTGGCTTCTTCCAGCTGAAATACATACTCCCTAACTCCCTTACCTAAAAGATAAGGATCCACCTCATTCCAGTCAAAGGAGGTCAGGGGAGCACAGAAATCAGAGTTCTTATTATTGTTTAGCAAACACTCCAGCCTGGTCTCTGTTTCACCAACCTGAAGGAACAAGAATTTTAAAAAAAATCAGCCAGTCTTATCCTCATAAAAAGTCTTTTAAAAAATCCCTGTTTAGAAAATATCTTAGCAAACATAAGACATGAGGGGAAAACATTTTTATCAAAAACAGTAATAAACCCAGGACTCCCTGAATGCTACTTTTTCCCATACTTTCTCCTCTGCCCAGCTTTGTTTTCTACATTTTCATCCCTGCACCTTCCTAGAGGAGAGGTCTTCTCACTTTGCCCAGCCTGGAACCTCTGCACAGGTGTACTAAGGCCACGCCCATGCTACAGAGGACGCTGCTGCTGATGAGCTCAGCTGAGGGTGGAGGGAAGCCTCCAAGATCCACTCACACACTTTATCAGAATCAATGGCCTGGTATTTCATTTAGTTTACTCAAAAATACCTTGGCTGCAAACAGAATATGAGTTCCCAAGTATTCCCACCTCCACTGAAGGCCGTCATCATCACCTCGGGTTGACTGAGCTGACTGCAGCCAGCAGCCAGACTTCATGGAATCTTGACTTGATATACTAGAAAATCTGCTGAGCCAAACGAGGCCAGTCCATTTAAGCTTCGCTTGCTTCTCCTGTGCTGCAATGACACTCGCTGCCTCTGACCCCTGTCTGTTCTGTGACTTTTCACTGCTAACAGCTGAGGCTGAGAAAGCCCACTTGTCTGGCTGCTAATAAAGCATCCGCTTACCCTCCACACACGGAGATAGTCACCGCTTGTTGCCAGTAGGTCTGGATAGACGCCTTTTGTGTCAGGGATCCACATGAGCTTTGTGGTGGGGTATGGGTGGTCAAAGGTGTTTCTGCAAATAAACTCTGAACTCTCCTCATCTAAACCAACAAGCTGAACCTGTAACATACCAAAGTTGAGCCACATAAGCATTTGTGAGCAGTACAGCAAATACATTAGATCCCTGGTCAGTGACAGAGGTTTTTTTTGTTTGTTTTTTGTTTTAAAGACAGGATCTTGCTCTGTTGCCCAGGCTGGAGTGCAGTGGTGCAACCACAGCTCAGTGCAGCCTCCACCTCCTGGTCTCAAGTGATCCTTCCACCTCAGCCTCTCAAGTAGCTGGGGTTAGAGGCATGCACCACCAGACACAGCTAATTTTGTTCATTTTTTGTAGAGACAAGGCCTCACATGTTGCCCAGGCTGGCCTTGAACTCCTGGGCTCAACTGATCCTCCCACCTCAGCCTCCCAAAAGTGCTGGGATTACAGACATGAGTCACTATGCCTGGCCAGTGACAGAAGTCTTGACACTGTACTACACTAAACTGCAGAATCAAAAACGATTGCCATGAGAGGGTATCTAGTCCAACCATCCTCTGGCAGACAAGGACACCCAGACTCAAAGGGGTGGTTACACTCAACACTGCAAAGCCAGTAGGAGACAGAGATTACAGGTTTTCTGACTCAAGTCTGCATTCTTGACTCCAACTACATAAGTGCACTATCTGCCAGGCCAGGCACACCTTCCCCTGAAACCCCTAAGGTATTTGAAAATGACCAGGGGTGGTTCTTGGCTGCCACAATGACTGAAGTGCTGAGGACATTTGGTGCTCAGGGGCCAGGAATATGAAACACCCTTTGCAATTTCATTAAACAAACTAATGCTCACTTAAAAATCCAATAGTGCACAACCCTCACCAACCCCAAACTCAACACTGGCTCATTATGTTTACACATAAAGGTATGTCAAATGACCGTTTGAGAGCCCAAACCACTGTGACTGGCAAAAAAAAAGTCGGCGCCATTGATGAGAAAGTCCCACCTAGCTCTGATCACTTTTTCTTAGAGTCAATTTTAGCCCACCATTAACTTCCAATCTTTGCTGTCAAACTCAATCTGGCTCAATGGGACACTAACTGTACATTTGCTTATGAACTTCCAACTGGAAGATGGAATAGTGGGGATATTTGGTAAACATCCACAATAAGGGGAAAAGCACTAACCAGACAACACAAAATAAAATTCCTTCTACTCATCTTTCTGACCTCAGTCTCAGACACACCAGTATCTTCCAGACATTTTCCCCCCAAAGTTAGGTATAGTTGCATATAATAAAACCCACTCAAGTGTACAGTTAAATGAGTTTTGGCAAATGTACAGTTGTATAACCCCCACAGTAAGATATAAAACATTTCCATTAACCCAGAAAGCTCTCCCAGGCTCCTCCGCAGTCAACCCCTCATACCTACCCCAAGTAGCCACTGATCTATGGTTTTGTCTCTCCATAATACGATATAAATAGAATCAGATGGTCTTGAGTCTTTGTGTCTGGCTACTTTCATCAGTACACTGCTCTTGAGATTCATCCATGTTCTTGTGTGTATCAGTAGTTGCTTCTTTTCTTACTGCTGAATAATATTGCATTATGTGCAATGTGGCAGTATAATTTTGGGTTGTTGAGATAGGGTCTCACTCTGTTGCACTGGTTCGAGTGCAGTGGTGCAATCGTGGTTCACTGCAGGCTCAACCTCCTGGGCTTAAGCAATCCTCCAGCTTCAGCCTCCTGAGTAGCTGGGACCACAGGCATGTGCCACCACACCCAGCTAATTTCTAAATTTTTTGTAGAGATGGGGTCTCCTTATGTTGCCCAGGCTGGCCTCGAACTTCTGGGCTCAAGTGATCCTCCTGGCTTGGCCTCCCAAAGTGCTGGGATTACAGGCGTAAGCACCGCACCCAAAAAATTTTTTATGTCCTAGTTGAGAAATCTTTGCCTAATCCCAGGTCCCAAATATTTTTCCCTGTTTTCTTCTAAAAGTTTTCTAGTTTTAGGCTTCATATTTAGGTCTCTGAGTCATTTCAAGTTAAATTTTTATATGGTACAAGATATGAATCAAGGTTTGCTTTTTGTTGTTGTTTTTCCTTTTGAGACGGAGTTTTGCTCTTGTCACCCAGGCTGGAGTGCAATGGGCACAGTCTTGGCTTACGGCAACCTCCACCTCCTTGGTTCAAGCAATTCTCCTACCTCTCTGCCTCCTAAGTAGCTGGGACTACAGGCATGTGCCACTACGCCCGGCTAATTTTTTAATATTTTTAGTAGAGAAGGGTCTTCACCATTTTGGCCAGTCTAGTCTCGAACTCTTGACCTCAGGTGATCCACACGCCTCGGCCTCCCAAAGTGCTAGGATTACAGGCGTGAGCTACAGCTCCCGAACAAGGTTTGCTTTTTTACATATGAACGTCTGACTCTTCCAGCATCATTGGTTGAGAATTCTTTCTCCTTTGCATTACCTTGACCCCTTTATTGAAAATCAGTTGACCATGTATTTATTCATCTATTTCTGGACTCTATTCTGTTCCATTATTTATTTGCCTATCTGTCTGCTAGTAGGCAAACTGTCTTGATTATAGTAGCTTTCTAGTAAGTTCTAAAATCAGACAGTGAGTTCTCCAACTTTGTTCTTCTGTTTCAAAATTGTTTTGCTATTCTCTACTTTTGCTTTTCCATGTACATTTTACAATCAGCTTGTCGAATTTTACAAAAAGCCTGCTGAGATTCTGATTGGGATTGTGTTGAATCTATTGAGCAGTCTGGGGAGAACTGACATCTTACAATATTAAGTCTTCCAACGCATAAACATAGCACATTTCTCCATTAATTTACGCCTTTTTTAAGTTCTTTTTTTTCAGACAGAGTCTCGCTCTAGCACCCAAGCTGGAGTGCAGTGGCACGATCTTGGCTCACTGCAACCTCTGCCTCCCATGTTCAAGTGATTCTCATGCCTTAGCTGGGACTACAGGTGCGCACCACCACGCCCAGGCAATTTTTGTATTTTTAGTAGAGATGGGGTTTTGCCATGTCGGCTAGGCTGGTCGCTAACTCCTGGCCTCAAGTGATCTGCCTGTCTCGCCCTCTCAGGGTGCTGATATTACAGGCGTGAACCACTACGCCCGGCTGCCTTAATTTCTTTCAGCAATGTTTTAAAGTTTTCAGTGTACTTCTTATGATTCTTTCATTAATTTTATTTCTTTATTTCTTTTTCTGAGACTGAGTCTCGCTCTGTCGCCTCAGCTGGAGTGTAGGGGCATGATCTCCGCTTACTGAAACCTCCGTTTCCCAGGTTCAAGCAATTCTCCTGCCTCAGCCTCCCATGTTGCTGGAATTATAGGCGTGCGTGACCACGCCTGGCTAATTTTAATTTTTATTTTTTGTATTTTTTAGTAGAGACAGGGTTTCACCATGTTGGCCAGGCTGGTCTCAAACTCCTGACCTCAAGTGATCTGCCCATCTCAGCCTGACAGAGTTCTGGGATTATTGGCATGAGCTACTGCGCCTGGCCCATTAACTTGATTTCTACACAAGTTTTATGCTATTATAAATGAAATTGTGTTTTATTTTTTTTAAGATAGGATCTTGCTTGTCACCCAGGGTGGAGTGTAGTGGCTCAATCACAGCTCACTACAGCCTTGACCTCCTAGGCTCAATTGATCCTACCACCTCAGCCTCCCAAGTAGCTGGGACTACAGGTACAAGCCACCGTACCCAGCTAATTTTTGTATTTTTTGTAGAGACAGGGTTTTGCCATGTTGCCCAGGCTGGTCTTGAACTCCTGGGCTCAAGTGATCCACCCACTCTGGCCTCCCAGTATGCTGGGCTTACACATATGAGCCACTGTGCTTGACCATGAAACTGTTTTAAATTCCATTTCCAATTGTTCATTGGTACTGTATATAGAAATACAACTGATTTTTGTACATTAATCTTGGCTTCTATAACTTTGCTACATTAGTTATTAGTTTTAGTAGCTTTTTTGTAGATTCCTAAGGATTTTTCTACATATATTCATAGATCTTGTCATCCATGTTTAACTCTTAAAAATCCATATGACTAAGTCTAAATATTCATTTTATGGAGCACCCACAGACTTTCAACAATCATATAATTGTTAGGGGAGTTAACGTATAAAGATGTAAAAGGAGACAAAACCCAGTGTCCTAAAACACTTAAGATAGCAATGCAAGTAATGTCACAAGGTAATACATGATTGGCTTCTTATTTATGACACAGATAATAATCGATAACAATTGAGAGGAAACAGCAATAATTCAAATGGGGCACCTGAGGAAAAAAGTAAGCATCTGAGCAGAGTCTTCAAAGGAGAATAGGAAGGATCTGGGTAGGCAAATAGGAAAGGGAAGGGCATCCCAGGTAGGTAGAACAGAAGGGTCACACATACAAAGGTGGCAAACTAAATGACCCATTTGATAGCAGCAAGCAGGCCTGTTTGAGAGAGCCACGTGGGAGTGCAGCGGAGATGCAGCTGGGAAGGTGTGCTGAGGGTAGGCTGGAAGGCACCAAAAGCAACCTTCACCTTCCCCCGATGAAGGTGTCTGAGAAGACAGTGGTATGATTACAAGGCCTCTGAGGGCCACACATCTGGTAGTGCTGGGCGGGACAGACTGGATCAAGGAGGTGGCTGGAGGCAGGGAGCCCAGAGGGGAACAGGGGAAAAATTAAGGGATAGTGAGAATGGCAAGGGATAACCAGGAATGGCCACAAGAGGGACTGTGACCAAATGAACAGTTTTTACATGGAACTAAAAAGTTGACATTCTCACCTTTGCATAATTTTTTTTTTTTTTTTGAGACGGATTTTCACTCTTGTCACCCAGGCTGGAGTGCAATGGCGCAATCTTGGTTCACTGCTACCTCAGCCTCTCAGGTTTAAGCGATTCTCCTGCCTCAGCCTCCCAAGTAGCTGGGATTACAGGCAGATGCCACTGTACCCTGCTAATTTTTTTTTTGTATTTTTCGTAGAGATGGGGTTTCACCATGTCGGTCAGGCTGCTCTCAAGCTCCTGATCTCAGGTGATCCACCCGCCTTGGCCTCCCAAAGTGCTGGGATTACAGGCATAAGCCACCACGCCCAGCCAGAAAATATTACATAAAGAAGGAAGATTCTAGATGAAATGTGGAATTTTTGGTATCAGCCTTTGTGGAGGAGAAACGGGAAAAAAACCCAGATGAGAGTGCTTGCTTCAGCAGCACACACACTCAAATCAGAACTATACAAAGGTTAGCATGGTCCCTGCACAAGGATGACATGGAAATTTGTAAAGTGTTCTGTATTTTCACAAAGGATAAATGCTTGGGGCAATGGATACCCAATTTTCCAAGTTGTGATTATTATGTTTTGCATGCCTATACCAAAATAGATACACCTATTATGTACCCACACAACAACAACAACAACAAAAACATGAAAGGCTAAATTCTGAGGCTCATTGGGCAGAATAAAGAATAAACCTCTGAGGCTGGGTGTGGTGGCTCACACCTGTAGTCTCAGCACTTTGGGAGGCCAAGGAGGGTGGATGGCTTGAGCCCAGGAATTCGAGACTAGACTGGGCAACATGGTGAAACTTCATCTCTACAAAAAATACAAAAATTAGCCGGGTGTGGTAGCGCATGCCTGTAGTCCCAGCTAATTGGGAAGCTGAGGTGGGAGGATGGTTTGAGCCTAGGAGGTAGAGGTTGCAGTGAGCTGAGATCATGCCACCACACTGCAGCCTGGGCAACAGAGCGAGGCCTTGTCTCAGAAAAACAAAGAAAAAAGAAAGAATAAGTCTCTGATGTAGATTGTGAGCCAGATATTTATATATTCATTCAAGAAGTATTTAGTAGACAGCTCTTAGGAGTCAGGCACTGTTTTAAGTGCTGTGGATACACCAGGGAGCATGAAACCCCAAATCCCTCTCTAACTTTGCAGATAACACTGTGAAGTTCAACTGGAAGAGAAAATGTCTTTCAAGTCATCAGAGATTTCCTCCCAAGCTTCAAATATCCAATCTTGTGAGCATTTGACACTTGGGATCCTCTTAGCCTAACAAGACTTTCTACCACCCAGCCCTAACTTACCTTATATTCCACCTTCATTTATCTAGTCACTGCTTCCCATCCCTTTCCTTACACTTCCCTCTATACCTGTAAAATCCTCATACATCCTTTCCACTGACCCAAATCCTGCCCAATGTTAATACGGCACAGTGGAATTGGGCTTCTAGGGCTCCCCACTTAACCACCTGCTAGCTGTAAGACTTTGGACATGTTACTTAACTCTGCTCATCTTGTTTCCCAATCTGTAAAGTGAGGATATTCACAGTACCTACCTTGAGTTGTATGTAACAGCTCTACATAGAACTGTCTTACTCAATATATGAGCTTTGAATATTATGACATCTTGCCTCCTTCATAAGGCATTCACAGTCTTCCTGGTCCAGTGCTCTTTCTTTCAGTGCTTATCTCTAACATCTGTTTGGTGACTAATCCCATAGTGCCTCATGAAAGCACTGACATTACTGTCTTATGCTATTTCACTTAGTAAATGCCTTAAATATAGGCCTGTGTCTTACTTCTGCTTGTACTGCCTACAGCAATGGTTTTCCAACTTAGCTATCAGACTTGCCTGAAGAGGTTTACATTCCTAGGCCTTCAACTCCAGCCTAAGATTCTGATTCAGTAAGTGTCAAGTGAGGCCCAGGACTCTCTATTCTTAGGAATTCATCACCCCTGGTGATGTGATTTCAGCAAAGTTTGACAATCTCTGAAAAATAGTACCTAACCTAAGAGAGAAGTCAGGAAATAGCTGAGATTCGATCTTTCCTTGACCTTATCAATGCTTTCAGAAGAGGTAATGACTTAAATTTTTAATTTGAATTCAAGAAAAAAGCCATCCTCATTTTTCAGAAAAGGCTCATGAAATTCAAGTCCTGACGTAATTTTTAAAAATGATTTTCCCCAATTAGAAAATTAAAACTTCTTCTTTATAAAAAATACTGCCCCCCCACACACAAAAAATTAAAATTAAAATCCCACCACATAAAGATAACCATTCATTTTCTTTTTTCCCATGGTTCTTTATAGTTTTTAAGTATTTTCAAGCATTACAGAAGTAATTTATACTAACTGTAAATAATTAAGGTACTAAGTATAGAGAATTAAAAGTACAAGTCCCTCTTTCAATGCCACCCCATCCCTCTATACCAGTAATTGCCATTTGGTTTGATATAACTACTTCCAGATCTTGCCTACAGATTTACAGATACAAATTTTCTTTACATAAATATAATTATACTATTCTGCAACTCACTTCCTTTACACAATATATCAATTTTCTTTTCTTTTTTTTTTTTGAGACGGAGACTCACTTTCTCGCCCAGACTGCAATGCAGTGGCACGATCTTGGCTCACTACAACCTCCACTTCCTGGATTCAAGTGATTCTCTTGCCTCAGCCTCCTGAGTAGCTGGGATTACAGGCACCCGCCATCGCACCTGGCTAATTTTTGTATTTTTAGTAGAGACAGGGCTTCGCCATGTTGGCCAAGCTGGTCTTGAACTTCTGACCTCAAGTGATCTACCAGCCTCGGCCTCCCAAAGTGCTGGGATTACAGGCATGAGCCACCGTGCCTGGCCATCTTTTCTCTTTTCAAAAAATTTTAAAATTTTTTCCAATCATATTCTGCATGACAATTTTCTTTTTCATGCTGGTGCCAATACAAATAAATCTGTCTAATTGTCACAACTGTATAGCATTCCACAAGATAGCCAAATTACAATGTATTTAATCCCAAAAGACAGTTAGACTAATTCCCATTTTCCCTATGAAAAACAATGCCTCAATATATATCCTAATAATGTTTTTCTGCACTAGTAAGTTATAGTGCTCTATAGAGCAGAGCACTACTTTCTGACTTGCCTTGCAATTTACACTCTTACCACCTAACTATGCAAATGCCTGTTTCCCTACACCCTCCCTCACAAGGGAAGAGGAGGCTTCCCTATCAAGGATATATATGAGAGGACCAGTATCTAGGAGGCAAAGAATATAATAAACATTTTTCCTATCTTTTTTTTTCTTTTTTTTTGAGACGGAGTCTCACTGTTGCCCAGGCTGGAGTGCAGTGGCGCAATCTCAGCTCACTGCAACCTCCGCTTCCCAGGTTCAAGCGATTCTTGTGCCTCAGCCTCCCGAGTAGCTGGGATTACAGGTGCATACCACCACGCCTGGCTAATTTTTCCATATTTTGTAGAGACGGGGTTTTGCTGCGTTGCCCAGGCTGGTCTGGAACTCCTGAGCTCAAGCAATCTGCCTGCATTGGCCTCCCAAAGTGCTGGGATTAGAGGTGTGAGCCATCACGCCTTGCCTTTCCTATCATTTCTGTCAGCTGTTAGGCTGATGTGACCAACATCCCTGTAATGAATCACCCTCCCCACCAGTAATGTTTAACCCACTGTAGTACACACACTTGACATAGCTGGTGCTTCCCAGTTTCTCTTACCAAAGTACTTGGAAAAAGACATCTAGACCGGGTGTGGTGGCTCACACCTGTAATCCCAGCACTTTGGGAGGTTGAGGCAGGCAGCTTACCTGAGGTCAGAAGTTCAAGACCAGCCTGGCCAACATGGCGAAAGCCCGTCTCTACAAAAAATACAAAGATTAGCAAAGCGTGGTGGTGCACACCTGTAATCCCAGCTTCTCAGAAGGCTGAGGCAGGAGAATCACTTGAACCCGGGAGGCAGAATTTGCAGTGAGCCAAGATTGTACTACTGCACCCCACCCTGAGCAACAGAGTGACACTCCATCTCAAAACAAAGACAGAAACAAAAACAAAAAGACATCTAGACTATTTAAAAATAAAAAGGTACATTTGTTACTCAGAGGTCAGATAGTATTGGCTCCTAAATATCTGACCAAGATTTGAGACACCTTAGAATTAAACAAAAACAAAAACAAAAACAAAAAACCACCAAAGTGGTATATATGAAGCCATGACTGTGGATGGTGCTGCTATGTGAGAGTGCACGGCCTGGAGATCAGGCCTGGTGGTACTGTTGGAATTTGCAGGGCAGCTTAAAAACTATGCCTGCTTGGTCCCCACCCTCTGAAGGTTCTGATTTACTAGGTCTGGGCATGAGCTTTTTTTTTTTTTTTTCCTTAAAGTAGAGCTCCATAGGTTATTCCAACACACCCTATAAGAAAGAGGACTGGTAGGTTAAAGCCAAAAATGGGGACACCCTAGAGGACATCTTTGGGAGAATAATCTACCTAGGCCAAGACCCCACTATCTGAGCATTCCACGCCTATAAGATGACCCTCTTCTCTCCTAGATCAGTGCTTCTTAACCATGGACCACAGCTCTATGTTAGAATCCTCTGGGAACTTAAACATATCCCAACAAATTAGGTTTAGTAACATCCCAGACCACTAAAACCAGAATTTCTGGTAATGGGACACAGGCTTTGGTATCTATTAAAGCTCCCAGTGACATCAAATAATAGCCAAGGTTGAGAATTAATGTGCTAGATTGACACAGGTGTTTGAACTGGTTGGACTTCTGAGCTAACCGATTCACTCCTAAGCATTTGGAATTAAGACCCAAAAGCTATCTAGTTTTAGCCTGGAAGGCAAAAGGCAGGAAAGGGCCACAGACGCAGCGTGCATGGAGCTGCAGGGAAAGCTGGCATACATAGCGAGTGAGAATGACAAGCATGCAAGGAAAGAGGCAGAAAAGAGACATGTATTGTGAGGTGGGGCAGGGTGTGAGACAACAGCTTTCCACTGGCCGGGTCCAGTCCCATGAGAGGCCTGAGGCTCATTCTTGCCTTCCGATTCTCCAACTCCCTTGAATGAAAACCTCCCTTTCCTTCAACTACCTTGAGTGGGTTTCTGTTTCTTGCGAGCAACGAACGTTAAATCAAGCCAAGAAAATAACAAAAACAGAGATGGTTTCTGTTAATGACAGAGATCAACTAAGCTAGCTTTCAACGTATTTCAGTGTAAAATTTAAAGCGCCTGAGTTTAATGTTAGGTTGGTGCAAAGGTAATTGTGTTTTTTTGCCATCATAAGTGATGGCCAAAACTGCAAATTACCTTTGCACTAACCTAATATAACTGATAACCAAAGCAAAGACTAAGAACTTTCTACATATAGTACCCCGAATAAAATGCAAAGCTTCTCTGGAATATCTTAGGGCATGCCCAATTCTACCATGTATCTTTCTACATCCGAAATCAGACCTGGGCACGGTGGCTCACTCTTGTAATCCCAGCACTTTGGGAGGCTGAGGCGGGTGGATCACTTGAGGTCAGGAGTTCGAGGCCAGCCTGGCTCTACTAAAAATACAAAAATTAGCTGGGTGAGGTGGTGCATGCCTGTAGTCCCAGCTACTTGGGAGGCTGAGGCAGGAGAATCGCTTGAACCCAGGAGGTGGAGGTTATGGTGAGCTGAGATCACGCCACTGCACTCCAGCCTGGGCAACAGAGCGAGACTCCATCTCAAAAAACAAAAACAATAACAAAACAAAATCAGGGTAAAATTTCAGGGTACATGCTATATTTAAGAAGGATGCCAGGCTGGGTGCGGTGGCTCATGACTATAATCCCAACACCCTGGGATGCCAAGGCCAGAGGATTACTTGAGCCCAAGAGGAATTTGAGACCAGCCTGGGCAACATGACAAAATCCCATCTCTGTAAGAAGTAAAAAAAAATTAGCCAGGTGTGGTTGCACGGGCCTGTAGTCCCAGTTACTCAGGAGGCTGAGATGGGAGGACCACCCGAACCCAGAAAGTCAAGGCTGTAGTGAGCTGTGATTGTGCCACCGCACTCCAGCCTGGGCAACAAAGTGAGACCTTGTCTTAGGGGGGAAAAAAAAGAAGGACGCCAAATAAAATCTCATGTACTGTTACAAAACAATGTAAGCTTTGCCTACGACTAGAGTTTAGCATGTTGTGTGCTTTATAATATTTCTGACCAGAAATTCATCTCTTTCCAAAATTGATTGTGTTTTCTTCAACATTTCAAGATTGTACTACTTACAATAGACAGTCCTGGCCCACCTGAATGTTCTAATCACACAGCCTAGTTTCTCTTTCCAAAGACTACATTGTGTTTGCACAAGTGTGTGTTTTAGCCTCAGCCAAACTGACACTGGCTCTTCTGCTCCAAGTTGCCAACCAAATATTGAGAGGAATTACAATTGGCTCTCATGTTGTTCAATTTTTTTTTGTTCAGATATCCATTTAAATTTAATGATGAAAGAAAATATAAGTTCTCTCTGAATATGCATATAATACAGAGTAAAAGAGTAAAGCCTCCCATCTGCTTACTGACCCTCAAAAATCCTTACTGATGCTATTTGGTGTGCATCTTTCCAAATACTTCTCCATGTATTTGTGTGTGGTTTTTTCTTTTTTTAAAAAAGCATAAATAGGTGCTAGGTGCAGTGGCTCACACCTGTAATCCCAGCACTTTGGGAGACTGAGAAGGGAGTATCACTTGAGCCCAGTAGTTTGAGACCAGCCTGGGCAACATAATGAGACCTCATCTGTTTAAAAAAGAAAGAAAGAAAGAAAAAAGCTTAAATAGACTTGCATCATAAAATGTATTCTGCAACTTTTTTTTGAGACAAGGTCTCATTCTGTCACCCAAACTGTAGAGCGGTGGCATGATCACAGCTCACTGCAGCCTTGACCTCCCAGGCTCAGGCGATCCTCCTGCTCAGGCGATCCTTCAGCCTCTTAAGGAGCTGGGACCACAGGTACACAGACACCACACCTAGCTAATTTTTGAATTGTCTGTAGAGATAGGGTCTCCCTCGAACTCCTGGGCTCAAACAATCCTCCCGCCCTGGCCTCCCATATTGCTGGGATTACCAGTGTCAGCCACCGTTGTCAGCTGTATTCTGCAATTTGCTTTTAACAATAATCTTAGAAGATCTTCAGTACAAATAGCTCTCCTTTCCCTCATTCTTCTATAGCAGATTATGGTAAGCACACCATAATTTATTTAACTATTCAGTTGTTTTGGTTATGTACCATTGTTTGCTAATACAATACTACTCTACTTTTGCTAATACTACTACTCTTACTCATTTATTTTTGTATGTGTGTGCAAATGTTTTTATTGGACAGATTCTATAAGTGTAACTGTTGTTTTTTTTTTTTTGAGACAGAGTCTCGCTCTTTTGCCCAGGCTGGTGTGCAGTGGCGCCATCTCTGCTCACTCTAAGTTCCGCCTCCCAGGTTCACGCCATTCTCCTGCCTCAGCCTCCCGAGTAGCTGGGACTACAGGCGCCTACCACCACGCCCGGCTAATTTTTTTGTATTTTTAGTAGAGACAGGGTTTCACAGTGTTAGCCAGGATGGTCTCGATCTCCTGACCTCATGGTCCGCCCACCTCGGCCTCCCAAAGTGCTGGGATTTTCGTTTTGTTTTTGAGACAGAGTCTCACTCTCTTGCCCAGGCTGGAGTGCAGTGGTGTAATCTTGGCTCATTGCAACTTCTGCCTCCTGGGTTCAAGCGATTCTCCTGCCTCAGTTTCCTGAGTAGCTAGGATTATAGGTACACACCACCATGCCCAGCTAATTTTTGTATTTTTAGTAGAGACAGGGTTTCGCCATGTTGATCAGGCTGGTCTCGAACTCCTGACCTCAAGTGATTTGCCTACCTAGGCCTTCCAAAGTGCTGAGATTACAGGCGTGAGCCACTGCACCTGGCCAGAGGCTGAGTACATTTGTTCATTGACTACCTTTACTTTTGAATAACAATAATCATTAATAACTGAGCACTTACATGGACCAAGTATAAGCATTATTAATGCTTTACACACATCATCTCATTTAATCCTCTCAATACTGCCATGAGGTAGGTACTATTATTCTTCCCACTTTCAGTAAAGAATGTTGAGTTAAATATCTTGCCCAATATCACAAAGCTCCATTTTATTATTATTATTATTTATTATTTTTTTGAGACAGAGTTTTGCTCTTGTTGCCCAGGCTGGAGTGCAATGGTGCGATCTTGGCTCACCACAACTTCTACCTCCCGGGTTCAAGTGATTCTCCTGCCTCAGTAGCTAGGATTATAGGCATGCACCACCACGCCCAGCTAATTTTTGTATTTTTAGTAGAGACGGGGTTTCTCCATGGTGGTCAAGCTGGTCTCCAACTCCCAACCCCAGGTGATCCGCCCACCTCAGCCTCCCAAAGTGCTGGGATTGCAGGTGTGAGCCACCATGCCCGGCCACAAAGCTCTATTTTAAATACAGGCAGTCCCATCCCACTACCCAAACTCTTCACCATTACACGGAAATCACCAGCTTAGAACATTTGTCCAGTTTTTCTACTGGGTTGTGGATATCTCTTTCTTATTGATTTGTAAGGACTTTCTCTCTTTTTCTAAGAGATGGGGTCTCACTCTCACCCAGGCTGGAACGCAGTGGCATGATCATAGCTTACCACAGCCTCCAATTACTGGCCTCAAGCAATCCTGACACCTTGGTCCTCCCAAAGTGCTGGGAATTATAGGCATGAGCCACTGAGCCCAACTCCTCATCTAGATTCGTGACTGTACTGTTACAAATTGTTAGTAGCACTCTCATTCTTTAAGCTCCTCATCCCCCAACACCACATTTCCGCCTATGCCCATAGGAAGGATGAGTTTTTGCCCCAGTCCCCCATGGAGGGAATACTGAGCGTGGGAGTTCTGCTCTTCTGTCCCCACCACTCACTAGCTCCTCCGGTGGGGGAAGAATTGCTGAAGTGATTGGCTGAAGCCCGAGACAGGTGCATGGGCCTGACCACTCTACAGTCAGACATGTCCCATGGCTCTCTGGCTCTGGCTTATCCTGCTCCTACATGGACAGGCAAATTGGCCTCCTCAGAATGGGCCTGACCATCCTCCGCTCCAGTTTCTCTGAACCTACAACTGGGTAGGAGAGGTCAGATTGGGTCTGTCCTTGAGTCAGAGGTAGAAAAGCAGAAAGTTTCACTGAGGCTTCAAGGCCAAACTGCATTTTCCCCACTTAGTTCACCAGGGAGCAGCACCACATTAGTGGTTCTTGTTCGGTTATTAATAAAATGATGCTAGGTTTCCCCTTTGGCTACTATTATTTGTATATAATTTCCTTGATAAGACTCCAGTGGAAAAAGAGGTGAGTGCTAGAATTTAGATACCAGAGTTCTAGCCTGAACCCCTTACCATTATATCCTCTAACATTTTCTTGTCCATTTTTACAAGTTTTATCTATTTTGATGACATTCCAATTGGGTTTATTACATTCTTTAAATGTACTTTTAGATTGTAAGAGGATTATAAAGTGTATCACATCATATAAAATCAAACAAAACACAGGTGTGTGTGTATATATGTGTATGTGTGTGTGTGTGTGTGTGTGTGTGTATAAAGTTAACATCCCTCTATGTCATCCCCAAGATATCACATAATTTGTTGTGTGTTGCTTCTACATTCTTCTATATGGTCAAACATATATACATTAAGTGTAAAGTTTTCCCTCAACTTTTAGAAAAATGAAATTCTAGAGCCAAGGCTATGAATCTCTATTAATTTGACAAAATAATGGACATCCCTCAGAGCAATATGAAGAGCCAAATCATTTTTTTAATCTATGTACCGGGATTCCCCCAGTGCTGTACACTGTTTTCTCTTACTTGCCGCTACTTATTTTTATTATTTATTTATTTATTTATTTATTTATTTATTTGAGACAGAATCTCACTCTGTCGCCCAAGCTGGAGTGCAGTGGCACGATCTCAGCTCACTGCAACCTCCACCTCCTGGGTTCAAGTGATCCTCCCATCTCAGCCTCCCGAGTAGCTGAGACTAGAGGTGCCCACCACCATGCTAGGCTAAATTTTTGTTTTGTTTTGTTTTATAGAGATGGGATTTCACCATGTTGCCCAGGCTGATTTCAAACTCTTGAGCTCCAGGGATTACAGGCATGAGCCACCACGCCCAGCCACCACTACTTATTTATATGCCTTTGTACATATGTGTTTATGAACTGCTGTATTTTTTTCTGGAGGCCAATGTCCTAACAGTGGGATTTCTGTATTAGAAAGTATGTGCATTTTAAATTTTAATAGACACCAACTTACTTTTCAAATAGACTGTAGCAACTAACATTCTTAGCAGCAGTATGTAAAGGTGTTCATTTCTCCATACTGTCAACAGCACTAGAAGCAATAACTTAATTTTTATAAATTTAAAAGGGAAAGATGATATCACAATTCTCATTTCCCTTAACTACCTGTGAGGTTCAGCATTTTTCCTGTTTACTGATCACTTGCATTTCCTCTCCTATGAACTAGATATTCATACCCTTTGTCCATTTTTCTATTGCATTGAGTATTAGCTACTATTGTCTGTCATGTTTTGAAAATATTTTCCGCCAGGCAGGGCTTGGTGGCTCATGCCCATTATCCCACTATTTTGGGAAGCTAAGGTGGGAGGATTGCTTGAGCCCAGAGTTCAAGACCAGCCTGGGCAATATGGCGAGATCCCATCTCTACAAAAAATAAAAATAACTAGCCAGGCAGGGTGTTGTGCGTCTGTAATTCTAGCAACTTGGGAGGCTGAGGTGGAAGAATCTCTTGAGCCTGAGAGGTTGAGGCTGCAGTGAGCTGTGAATTGTGCCACTGTACTCCAGCCCAGCTCATAGAGCAAGACAGTGTCTCAAAAGAAAAAAAAAAAAAAGAAAATATTTTCTGCGGTGTTTGGTTTTTTGTTCTTGTGCATATTCTCACTCATAGGTGGGAATTGAACAATGAGAACACACGGACACAGGAAGGGGAACATCACACTCTGGGGACTGTTGTGGGGTGGGGGGAGGGGGGAGGGATAGCACTGGGAGATATACCTAATGCTAGATGACGAGTTAGTGGGTGCAGCGCACCAGCATGGCACGTGTATACATATGTAACTAACCTGCACATTGTGCACATGTACCCTAAAACTTAAAGTATAATAATAATAATAAAAAATAAAAAATAAAAAATAAAAAAAGAAAATATTTTCTGCTGTCTTTTGACTTTGTCCATGGCATATCTTTCACAGAGAAATGTTTTATTTGTATGTACTATAGAATCTGCCAATCTTTTCCTTTGTTGACTCTGGAATTAATTAATGAGTGTCCGTGCGCACCCCCACTGCCTCATGACAAATTTCCTGATCAACTTTCTAATAATGTTTGTGGACTTTCCTTTATAATTAGACGTTTGATCTGGAATTAGTTTTCATCATACACTGTGAATTAGGGGTTCTAAATTTTTCTGCTAGATGAACAACTGTGCCATACGATGTAATCTTTTACCCAGTGAATTACAGTTCTATCTTATCACATATTTCACATTTATATATACTAAAGTTGTCTTTGAAATATTCTATTCAGTTCCACCTATCTCTCTGGCTATATCAATTCCAGTATGTTTATTCTAATCTGGTAGGGTAAGTGTTCCTCTGTTTTTCAACATGTTCTTTTTCCCCCTAAGTTTTTTTTTTTTTTTTTTGGACATTGACATACATTTATTCTGAACACTCTGGAGACAGACAGCACTCTAGTTCTGGCCCTCCTTTACCCCTTATATGACTTTGGGCAAGCCACTTAGCACATAGCTGAGCTTCAGGTTCCTCACCTTCCTGTAAGTTTTGATATGTAGCATTTTTTTTCCAATCAGTTGATTTCAACTTAAAAAAATTTTTTTTCTAAATACACAGTTTTTGTAAATTGGGTTATTGTTTAAAGTGAATTTTCCGTTGAATGCAAAGCTCTCTATACTTATAACACATTTTCTTCTTTCGAGATGGGGTCTCACTCTGTCACCCAGACTGAAGTACAGTGGCTCGATCTAGGCTCACTGCAAGCCACTGCCTTCTGGGCTCAAGCGATCCTCCCACCTCACCCTCCCAAGTAGCTGAAACCACAGGCATGGTGCCACCACATCTGGCTATTTTTTATATTTTGATAGAGATGGAGTTTCACCATGTTGCCCAGGCTGATCTCAAACTCCTGGGCCCAATGATCTGCCAGCCTCAGCCTCCCAAAGCGCTGGGATTACAGGTGTGAACAAACTGTAATTTTCTAACCCTCTATATCCTTGTTTTGTCTACTTCACTTAACAATTTCCAACATATGAACCAAATTCTCCCTATATTTACAAAATTTTTGCTTTCTATTTAAACGCTATACTCTTAGATATGTAAAGACTTATGACTTTTTATTCTTAGTCGGTTGTACTTTTCTTTTTTATTTTTTGAGATAGAGTCTTGCTCTATTGCCCAGGCTGGAGTGCAGTGGCGTGATCTCAGCTCACTGCAACCTCCGCCTCCCGGGTTCAAGTCATTCTCCTGCCTCAGCCTCCTAAGTAGCTGGGATTACAGGCACACACCACTACACCCAACTAATTTTTGTATTTTGAGACAAGGTTTCACCATGTTGGCCAGGCTGGTCTTGAACTCCTGACCTCAAGTGATCTGACTGCCTCAGCCTCCCAAAGTGCTGGGATTACAGGCATGAGCCACTGCACCCAGCCTGTAGTGGGGATTACAGGTGTGAGCCATCACGCCCAGCCTGTATGTTTAACATGTAAAATATTTCCTTTTGTTTCAACATTTTTGCCTTGAATTTTATCTGATGTTAATATTATCATGCCTGACTTCTTCTCTATAAAAAGAACTGCTTCTTGCTACTATATGCCTAGTGCTTCTTCATTCATTCCTTTCTGTTTATTCCTCTTTCTGAAGTTCTACTAAGATTTAATTTTTATTAATGTTAGCTTTTTTATTACTAACTTTCTTACTAGGTAATACATACACAAGGCCCAAATTTTGAAAGGCATAAAAGCAAAGCAATTACAGTACAAATTAGAGCCCCTACATCCCAGTCCCTTTCCCTGGAAAAATCAATGTTATCAATTTCTTGTGTATCCCTTCTACACACAACCACATATGGGTGTACATATGTATATGCATATGCTTTTAAAAAACACAGGTGTTTACTCTTCTACATATTTTTCCACCGAATATTTATTTTAAAATATTCCATATCAGTATATGAAAAGCTAGCTCATTCTTTTAACAGCTGCATGGAGGTAGCATAATTTATTCAACAATTTCCCTAATAATAATATTTTCATATTTTTCTTTTACAAATAATGCTAAAATGAATATCCTTGCACTTTAGTCATTTCAACCACATGAGTATAGCTGTAGGATGAATTACCACTAGCGGAACTACCAGGTGGAAAATAATGCCAATTTAAATTTTGATAGCAACTGCATGGGAAAGCTACACATACGTGTATACACACACACACAGTAGATTACCACGGTTTTTTATTTTTCCTAATCTAGCTGAAACTCCATTTTTTTTTTTTCTTATGAGGTTCAGTTCTTCATACGTTCAAGAATCATTTACATATCCTTTCTGGAAACTCTTCCTATCTATTTCTCTTTTTCTACTGGGTGACTGGTCTCCTGGTGATTTGCAGATCTTTATATGCAGTTATTAAGGGATTTGTTCTTTGTCTAGGACATTACATGTATTTTTTCAGTTTGTCACTTATCTTTTGACTTTGGTTTTGTTACAGAGATTTTATTTTTATATAGTTTACTTCTACTTTCATGGCTTTCTCACACCAAGATTCTCCCGTGTTTTACAGTTATATGTTTACATTCTTCCATTTATCTGGAATTCTGGTACAAGGTTTTTTTTTCTTTGAGACGGAGTCCCACTCTGTTGCCCAGGCTGGAGTGCAATGGTGCCATCTCGGCTCACTGCAATCTCTGCCTCCTGGGTTCAAGCGATTCTCCTGCCTCAGCTTCCCGAGTAGCTGGGATTACAGGCACCTGCCACCATGCCCGGCTACTTTTTGCATTTTTAGTAGAGACAGGGTTTCACCATGCTGACCAGACTGGTCTCAAACTCCTGACCTTAGGCGATCCACCCGCCTCAGCCTCCCAAAGTGCTGGGATTACAGGTGTGAGCCACTGCACCCGGCTGGTACAAAGCTTAAGGTAGAGATCCAATTTTTTTTTCTGGTTTCAATACCAATTATTAAAAATATATATATATATATATACACACACATATATATATACGTATATATATACATATATATACATATATATATACATATATATACACATATATATATACATACATATATATACGTATATATATGTATGTATATATATATACATATATATATATATATGGGTCTCACACTGTCACCCGGGCTGGAGTGCAATGATGCAATCTTGGCTCACTGCAACCTCCACCTCCTGGGTTCAAGTGATTCTCCTGCCTCAGCCTCCCAAGTAGCGAGGATTACAGGTGCCCACCACCATGCCTGGCTAATTTTTCGTATTTTTAGTAGAGACGGGCTTTCACTATGTTGGCCAGGCTGGTCTCGAACTCCTGACCTCGTGATCTGCCTGCCCCCGCCTCCCAAAGTGCTGGAATTACAGGCGTGAGCCACTGTGCCTGGCCTTAAAAATATTTTTTCTTCATTTCCTATCACCTTTAGCACAGACTACATTTCTTTTTGTATTCTGAGTTCATTTCTAGACTCTGTTTATACATCAGTTCTTAGAGTATCAAACGATCTTATTTATTATATCTTTGCATTATGTTTTAATATCCATCATTAGTCCACCTTTTCAGAAGTTTTTTGACAATGTGTGCATGTTTGTAAAATTTATCTGTAGAAACAATCAGTTTGCCTGGTTCTAAAAAACCATTATTAAAAATCTGGAGTATTTTTGGCCAGGTATGGTGGCCTATGCCTGTAACCCCAGCACTTTGGGTTGGGCAGGCAGGAGGACTGTTTGAGGTCAGGAGCTCAAGACCAGTCTGAGCAACATAGTGAGACACCTACTGATTAAGCCCAGGAGTTTGAGGTTACAGTGAGTTATACTCACACTACTGCACTCTAGCCTGGGCGACAGAGCGAGACCCTGTCTCCAGAAAAAACAACTGTGGTATTTTAAACAGGGATTACATTAAGTTTAGGGACACTGACATCTTTAGGATACCAAGCTTTACTATACAAGAAAAGAGAATACCTTCCCATTTTTCGAGTATTGTTTTGTGTTCCCCAGCATTATTATTTCCACATAAACCTTACATATGCCTAAGTATATCCCCAAGTATTTATAGCAGCACAATCTACAGTATTTGTACATTCCTAGACATTGCTCCATGGCCTTCTGTCATCAAATGTAGCTAGCCTAATTTCTTTTCCCCTCTTAAAGAGGACTTGATCATTTTGTCTGGGTGTCCAAATAATTCTTTCTTCATCCTTAAAACATAGAAATGTTCCTAGGGATGCCAGGCTCTGTGCCAGGCCTGTAGTCCCAGCACTTTGGGAGACTGAGGTTAGTGGATCACTTGAGCCCACAGTTTGAGACCAGCCTGGGCAACATGGCAAAACCCTGCCTCTACAAGAAATACAAAAATTAGCGGGCGTGGTGGTGTGCACCTGTAGTCTCAGCTACTCGGGAGGCAGAGGTGGGACAATCGATTAAGCCTAGGAGGTCAAGAGTGCAGTGAGCTGGGATCATGCCTCTGCACCCAGCCTGGGCAACAGAGTGAGACACTGTCTCAAAACAAAACAAAACACACGAAAAATAAGATAAATTTTTTAAAAAAGAAATTTTCCTAGGAAATGTTTCAGTGCCAACTGTTCAGTGCCAATTTTTCTTATCACTTCATGCCAATTTGAACTTATCACTTCAAATCTTTGGCAAGTTCAAATCATGCCAATTTGAACTTATCACTTCAAATCTTTACTTCTAAGTTCTTCTTTAACCATATATTTGAGTTTGTTTCATTTCTTTGGTCCTCTTCTTGAGGGACACCAATTATACTTACGTCAGATCTCTTTTACTTTCTGCATCTATTATGTTCTCATTGTTTTCTTCAGTTTCATTTTTCAATCTGTCCTCCCTAACCTTTACTGTTTTCAGCACTGTGTGTTCATCTTTATTCTGTTTCTTTCTTTCTTTTTTTTTTTGACAGTCTCACTTCATCACCCAGGCTGGAGTACAGTGACATGATCTCGGCTCACTGCAACCTCCTCTTCCCAGGTTCAAGTAAGTCTCCTGCCTCAGTGTCCCAAGTAGCTGGGATTACAGGAGTGAACCACTGTGCCCAGCCTTTATTCTGTTTCCAATGTGGCTTTTAATCCTGTGATAATTTTAGTTTTCTCTTCCACTACTTTCCTGTGTGCTCTGCCAGCTGATGTTATATTTTCTCTTTGCCATGCCTTATTTTACCCAATCCTCTATATCTCTGCTTGAAGTTCTGTATTTTCTTAAGTTCTTTGAACTCACAGTGGTAGGACTGACAATTATTTTTCAACCAAGCTAAAGACATCTTTTTAGTATGGGTACTTTATCTGCCACTTATTTTCCATTTCCCCCCATCCTTTCTAATAGCATCTTTCTACAGCTATTGTGCTGATTCCATTTGTTTTGTTTTTTTGGTTTTGAGATGGCGGTCTCGCTCTGTCACCCCAGCGGGAGTTCAGTGGCAAGATCTTGGCTCACTGCAGCCTTGACCTCCTGGGCTCAAGTGATCCTTCCATCTCAGCCTCCTGAGTAGCTGGGACTACAGGTGCATGCTACCACTCCCAGCTAATTTGTTTTTTCTTTTGAGATGGAGTTTCACTCTGTCACCCAGGCTGGTGCAGTGGCACAATCTTGGCTCACCACACCTCCGCCTCCCAGGTTCAAGTGATTCTCCTGCCTCAGCCTCCCAAGTAGCTTGGATTACAGGCACGCACCACCACATCTGGCTAATTTTTATATTTTTAGTAGAGCCGGGGTTTCACCATGTTGGTCAGGCTGGTCTCAAACTCCTGACCTCGTGATCCGCCAGCCTCAGCCTCCCAAAGTGCTGGGATTACAGGCATGAGCCACTGCGCCCGGCCCTGATTTATTTTTTCTTTTTGAAACAGTCTTGCTCTGTTGCCTAGGCTGGAGTGCAGTGGCACAATCTCCGTTCACTGCAACTTCTGCCTCCCAGGTTCAAACTATTCTCCTGCCTCAGCCTCCCAAGTAGCTAGGATTACAGGCATGTGCCACCATGTCTGGCTAATTTTGTATTTTTAGTAGAGACAGGGTTTCTCCATGTTGGTCAGGCTGGTCTTGAACTCCCGACCTCAGGTGATCTGCCTGCATCCACCTCCCAAAGTGCAGGGATTACAGGCATGAGCCACTGCGCCTGGCCATATTCCACTTTAACACACACAGTCCTAGTGCAGAAGAAGAAGGTGAATGTGTGTATGTATATGTAATTTTTAAAATAAGCTCCCAAGTTATCCAAATCAACATAACACTCCAGTCACTGGAACATTTTCCCACAATTGTTAATAAAACAAAAATCGGCTAACACAATATTCTGAGAATATACACTAGCTTTTCCTGGTCTTTTCTATTTGCTTTCTCTTCAAGCCTCTTCCTGACTGATTACCAAGGACCAGTGTCTGCAGGTACCCAAGGTCCTGCCCTATTAAACTTTAAGATGAATTCTGGCACAGCACACCTTTGGCTCGTGGCTCAGAGGCTGACCAGAGAGCTCTGGCAGCGAGAGCTTTGGCAGCAAGTCCTTAGGCAAGCCAGGCTACCTACAGAGCATAGATTCACTCCTTGTTCAAGTGACAGCATCTCCAATAAGTCTATGTGAACAAGATTAGGACAAAAAGCAATAAAGTAGCATTTTTTTTTAAAGCATTATCACTTTTATCCAGTGGTCACAACAGGGAATGAGTCCTCTCACTGTCTAGAAAAAGGAGGAAGTTAAAACCAGAAGAGTTTTATGTCTTAAATTCCCCTGCTGACAGTCTTGACAGGGACTCGTGGAACACTGCGACATTCTAAATATCTATCAAAAGTACTGATGTGTACCAAAACACATTGTGCCTAAAACACATGAGTATGTGTTCAATACAGACCGGCTAAATTAATGAGCAAATGAATGATAATCCTGAAGGGCTACCGCAAATACCAAGATGAAAAATTAAATACCGGAGTCGAAATAATTATGCATCAAACATATAAAGTAATTGTATTAAAAACCTCAGAGGAATCAACACAGGCTGGTGAGGTGAGTACCCATCCCAGTGTTTCAAGTACAAGGTGGTCATGCCACCCAGACTCACTACTAGGATTCTCCAAAAAGCATCAGATATACCTACAGTCTCTCCTCAGAACCTCAAAAATACTCTCTGGATGCCAAATCTTAGAGCACAAGTAGTCAGTTAAATACTGGGGCAAACTAAATCCCAATCACACTGCCATCTTTATCAAAACCAACCCTGAAACATGCACTTAAGTGGAACAGAAGCCCAGGAACTGCTACCCAGCTTTTCCCAATAAAAGAGGGGAAATAACACCTGGGCCTAAAGACCAAACATATTGTCAAAACACAGGAGAAATGCCAAATTCTTATATCTGACTTACGTAGGTAAGCCAGGTAGAACAAGAGAAAATGGATTTAAACTAGAAAATTACACTACTTGGAGTCTGACTATAAGAATCTGCTAGACTACAAAATGAGTTGGGTTGAAAGAGATAAGGGAATTTTCCCCCCAGAGTCTTTAAAAGGCAGAGAATGAAATAATGACCTTTTCAGCTACCTTTCTGACCTCTTATTCCTGAATCCTTTCTGGAAAATACAAAAGTAAATTTACTAAACAGCCATATAATTCTCTTTGGTTATATTTCAATTACAGGTACAGTAATGATAATAATTAAATAACAGCTAACATCTCTATATGGCTTATTCCACACCGGGTGGCGTTCCTAAGTCCATTACATATATTAACTCATTTAATCTTTGAACAAGGTAGATGTTATTATTTATTGCCCTAATTTTACAGATGATGAAACTGAGACACAGAGGATAACTTGCCCAAGGCAATACAAAACTGGGAAGTGGCAGGACTTAGATAACCCAGGCTAATCACAGAGCTTTTTTCATGGGTGAACTTGGATGGAAGGGCAGAACCAATGTTTAGGAGCATGCAGACACAAAAAGATCACATTCTCGCCTCTGGCCAACAGATGCCAAGGCAGCTCCAGGGCCATGTTCTGAGAGTGCCATCTGGACCACTCAACCACTAGTGTGTCTGTCACCTATCTCCAAGTCTGTTAACTTCAGGGGTGGAGCCCAGGAATGTGCAGCTCCCTCAGGATTCTCACACACTAAAATTTAGAGAACCTGTTGCTCCAACACCAATCTTGCTGTATCCCTCAAGAGACCACAACAAAAGAAGGTAGAAACATAATAACCAATAATGAGGCTGTTTTTTGAGACAGGGTCTGGCTCTGTCGCCCAGGCTGGAGTGCAGTGGCGTGATCTTGGCTCACTATAACCTCTGCCTCCTGAGCTTAAAGCATCCTCCTACCTCAGCTTCCCAAGTAGCTGGTACTACAGGCAGATGCCACCATACCTGGCTAATTTTTTAATGTTTTTGTAGAGTCAGGGTTTCTCCATGTTGCCCAGGTTGGTATCAAACTCCCGGGCTCAAGCGATTCTCCCATCTCAGCCTCCCAAAGTGCTAAGATTACAGGTGTGAGCCACCACGCCCAGCCCTATAATGGGGCTTTTTATTCCAAGTGTAGTTGATAGAATCTGTTTCTTTACTCTGCAACAATTCCCAAATTTATTCACATGAAGGAACACCTGGAAGTCAATTTCTTAAACTGTTGATAGACTTAATTCTATGGATCAACTAGGTACAATTTTACGTTAGGAAAACATGATTATGCTAATGCAAATTTTTAAAAATTACAACCATGTTTTCTTAGTGAATGTCTCCACACTAAAAAGATGACCACTTCTAGCCTTTTTCATCAGTGTTAATTTGCTGTGTCCATTTTACTTTATCCTCTGCTGGTGACCACTATCCATGGCAAGCAGGAACCAATGGTCTAAAAATTCCAACCAATAATTCTAAAGTTCCTCCAAATTATGAAGTCGACCACCTCTTTGGCAGGGTTTCTCACAAACTTAGCCTGAGAATCACTTTAAGGCAGGATTTGCTGCTCACCAACCACTACACATACTTCTCTCTCGCAGGGTTTCTTAACTTGGGGTCTGTGAACTTGAATTGGAAAATTATCCCCATATTTCCATTAACCTCTAGCTAAATTTTTTTGTTTCCTTCAATTACAAATGGGGTCAGGTGCTCACAGTGGTATGACTGTCTGTGACTTTGCCAGCAAGAGAATTTTTTTTTCCCACCACAGCACAGTTGTTAAGCATCTTGAAATGCTGTTTACCCTTGTCACCATTTCAAAATTACATTAATAATTACAGTGGATGGTGTAAATCAATAAGTTAATTTATTAAAAGTACATATGACTACATCACCACTTTAAAAAACATGTTGTTTATATCTGTAGTGCAACATAAGTGGTTTCTTTTGTAATTCTATGTGTTTTATGCATTTGAAAACATAACTATGAGAAGGGGTCTATTGGTATCAGATGACCATGGCACACAGAATTTAAGAACCCTGATCTACTGATAGGTGGAGGCACAAAAATGATTTTAAGACAGCGCATTGCCTACATCATGTGAGTTAAGATATAGTTAACTGCTAATGCTGTTGATAGTGGGGTTATTAGTTTGCATTTCACTGCTAAGCCATGCTACCTGTGTGCCTGTCACAAAGAGGAAGCTCCAGATAGTTGCTAAATGAAAGGACAAACTGGGGTAGAGTTCCTGCAACAGCAGTTTGACTACTCCACTGATCCTACCAAGCAGCCTAACTGTGGCTCAGTTTCTCCTCTCTGAGGAATAGGAGTAACTATTGCTTACCCAACGACCCTGGAAAAACTTACAAGAAAAAACATTAATTTGTGTAAAAAGACTTAAGCCCTTTGAAAGACATACTTTTTTATTTTCCACGTGTATCTTTAAACAATAGTTCTAGTGGTCTTAATTTTATTAACACGGTGTCCACATCAGAATCGTGAATCCCATTTCCAGTTCTGCTGTCCACTATGGGCCATAAGGAAGAAAGAAGCAACAGAGGAAAGAAAGCTCTATCTCGCCCGGGCAATGGGTGGACTTAAAGATCAGTGCATATTCCTTGGATTTGTTTGTAAATTGTTCATGTATGTGTAATGTCTGGACAATGAGAATCCATAGCTTTCATCAGCTTCTCAAAGTGGACTCCAAAGAGGACCTACTCTAGAGAAACAAATGTGCTCCTGAAAAACTGTAAACAAACTGTGAAATGTTCAAATTTCTTTTTTACAAGACCCTCACATGTAAACCAGAACCCCTTCCGTACAAACTGTGGGTCACAGATAATAAAACAGGCCTGTGCAACATCTCACAGCTAGTCAATAACCAGACAGGACCACCTGGTTTCTTCCCCCCTGCATCAGCCTTGTCACTGAACAGTTTTATTCTTCTTTTTTTTTCTGAGACAGAGTCTCACTCTGTCGCCCAGGCTGGAGTGCAGTGGCGCCATCTCGGCTCACTGCAACCTCCGCCTCCCAGGTTCAAGCAATTCTCCAGCCTCAGACTTCCGAGTAGCTGGGACTACAGGCGCACTAAGCTACGCCCGGCTTTTTTTTTTTTTTTTTTTTTTTTTTTTTTTTTTTTTTTTGTATTTTAGTAGAGACGGGGTTTCACCGTGTTACCCAGGCTGGTCGCGAACTCCTGAGCTCAGGTAATCCGCCCGCCTCGGCCTCCCAAAGTCCTGGGATTACAGGCGTGAGCCACCGCGCCCGGCCAGTTTTACTCTTCTTAAATCTGATGTTCATGGCATAAAGCAGGAGTAGTGGCTTTAAATATCACTAGCCACAGCTTTCAGTTGCTCTGATCGCTATCATTCACAACTTTGAGTAAAAGGAAGAAAGAAAATTCTTCCAACTGACTTATTCAACTTTCAAAAATGAGTTTGTTGCAATGCCAGTTTAAAAGCTCCCCTACTACACCGTGCTTCTATAAAGGATTCTCAAATTGATGTATGTCCAGCAAGACTTACTACTAAAGGTCACACAACTGTACTAGCACGAAACAAGCCAAGAGATAAGGCCCTGTCATCCTTCTGTGTTCAGGAAACAACGGCGGGATCATGCCACAGGCCAAGATTTCCAAAGAGATTGCTTTAGAGAGAATGGATATCAGGAAGCAAGAGCAACAGTAATTCTGGCAGAAGGGCTAGGATCCATGAGTACCCGGGGGGGGTGGGAGTAGGGGGCGGGGAAGCTTGTACAATAGATCGTCTTAATAGAAATCTAGTGTGGCCAGGAGTGCACGACCACCAATAGAAGCGCCTGCATTTTCCTTCACAGCTATCACTCTCTCTTCCCTTCCCCGCCCACCAACGAAAGCAATGCGGCAGGAGTGGAGAGCACGGGATGAATAAATGGAGTATCTTTGGGGCGTAAACCCGGTTTTAAGACCTGTTTCCACCCCGAAATAGCTGCCTGACCCAGGCAAGTCACAAAACCGTGCCTCAGTTTCCCCACTACACTGCCGACTACACAAGAATGCTGCCTGGATTAAAGGAGACAGACAACGAGTACGAAACCTTCAGCACAGGGCCAGACAGAGGAACCGCTCCGTGGCCCTAGGGCGAGTCCGCAAGAGGGTTCTGAGGCCTGGGCTCCGGCCCGGAAAGGGCGCTCCCGGGGCCCGCTCCCCGCCAGCTGGGTTCCGAGCCCCTGCCCGGCCCACCTTGTTGTTGTACTCCTCCACGAAGCTGCCCAGCGCCAAGCGAAAGCGCTTATCGGGCCGCACACTCCAGTTCATCGCGTAGACTGTCCAGGGCGCTTCATACTTGTAGATCTCCTTCCGTTTGCCGTGCAGGGACATGGTGGCCACGGGGCCGCAGTACGGGCCGGGTCAACAGTGGGCTGCGGCGGGCGGGGAGCCGAGCCTGAGATCTATGGGTCCGAAGGGAGGAGAGGAGGGGGCGGGCAGGAACGGCCTAACCCGGAAGCGGGGATGCGGCGACAAACAACGACGACGGCCGAGCCCGACCCCTAGTTTCAAACCAGCTTGGGAACGGACGACAACCACCTTCCGTTTTGGGACGCCGCCCCGCCCTCTCGGAACGGAAGCCGCCGGACCCCCGCAGCGGCACCGGCCGTTGGTTGCCTGACACGTCCTTTCGAAAGGATTCTTTCTTGTCATTGGTTATTGCGGCCGTAGCGTCTGAAATCTCCTCGCTATTGGGTTAAATGTTTGTCATTGCAACTACTCGCCCCGCCCAACTCTCGGAGGCAGGCGCTTTGGCAGCCCCAAAGGTCATTGGTTGGCCAAGATGTCAGTCAGGCAGATAACGGCTCAGTGCGGGTGGTGGGGGCGTGGGTGGCCTGGAGGCGAGCGTGCTGTAGCAGCGGGCCTCCAAGTTCTAGGCCAAGTCTCTGAGAGTGAAACCGTCTGTGACCTGCGCTGACTTCCCCTCCGCTGCTGCTGTTCTGAGCGGCCTCTCCACGCTGTCGAGTAAAAGTACAATTCTGCCTTAGTGGAAGACCTACTGACTTTCGCGGGACAGAGCCCTGCGGCCTGGCAGCCTGGCCTGCGCCCAACGGGTACCACCTTCCCGCCCCATCTCTTCCCAGGGCCCTTTTAACCCGAAAGCTGCTCTCTCCGTGCCTCAGGGACAGGCTTCGGGCGCGCAGATGCGCTCAGGGCCAGGCCAGCTTGAGTCAGGCCCTCCCGCGCTTTCCTGCAGGATCTAGAAATGTCCCCGAATTCTGGGGTAGGCACCGACCCGACCAGCTTGGCTCTGTTTTTGTCAGTTCCCATCCTGTACCCTTCCCGCCGTGGATCCCAACGCAAATGCTAATCCAGCCCCAAAGGTATCTGTGCCTGTGAGTTGGAAAAGGGGAAGGGCCAGAGACCAAATGACACCTTTATATAAATTATTTCCAATTCTCAGCTTTCATCAAAATTGAAGGAGGTTTGTATTGAATTGTTGGATGATAACATTAAATACTTTTTTTTTTTTTTTTTAAAGACAGGGTCTTGCCCTGTCACCCAGGCTGGAGTGCACTGGTGTGATAAGGGCTCACTGTAGCCTGGACTGCCTAGGTTCAAACGATTCCCCCACTTTAGCCTCTGGAGTAGCTGGAACCACAGACATTTGCCACCACACCTAGCTATTTTTAAATTATTATTTGTAGAGATGAGATCTCTCCATGTTGCCCAGGCTGATCTCGAACTCCTGGGCTCAAGCGATCCTCCCACATCAGCATCCTAAAGTACTGGGATTACAGGCTTGAGCCACCATTCTGGGCACTAAATATAATTTTTAATGATAAATGATTTTTCCACCTCCCAGGTTCAAGTGATTCTCCTGCTTCAGCCTCCCGAGTAGCTGAGATTACAGGGGTGCACCACCACAGCCAGCTAATTTTTGTATTTTTAGTAGAGATGGGGTTTCACCATGTTGGCCATTCTGGTGTCGAACTCCTGACCTCAAATGATCTTCCAGCCTCGGCCTCCCAAAGTGTTGGGATTACAGGCGTGAGCCACCGCATCTGGCCAAGAAATCCTCTTTTTTTTTTAATTTTATTTTATTTTTGAGATGGAGTCTCACTCTGTCGCCCGGGCTGTAGTGCAGTGGCACTATCTCGGCTCACTGCAACCTCTGCCTTTAGGGTTCAAGTGATTCTCTTGCTTCAGCCTCCTGAGTAGCTGGGATTACAGGCGCCCGCCACCATGCCCAGCTAAAGGAAATCCCCTGTAAGGAGGAAAGTTTAAAAACAAATTTAAAAAGGAAAGAAAAAGACGTACAAAATTCGCGGTACCTTGTCTTATTCTAATAAAAAATAATGATATTTATCCACAGATATAGGAACTAACGGGGGGAGGAAATTTTCTCTTTTATGACGTATATTTCCAATAAAATTTTAGTTTTTATTAGAAAATTGAATATATATTTATGTTGTTTTGAACAACTGTACTACTAATAGATGTAACCCTTAAAGCCTTATTAAGGTTACAAAAATTAATTTTAAAATGTCAATTAATTTATACACATTCGTTTTGAGGCAGGGTCTTGCTCTGTTATCCAGGTGGTGGTGCAGTGGGGCAAACAGTGCTTATTGCAGCCTTGACCTCCCGGGCTCAAGCAATCCTCCTGCCTCCTTTATTTTTTGTAGAGACAAGATCTTGCTATGTTGCCCAGGCTGGGTTCAACTGGTCCTCCCACCTCAGCCTCCCAAAATGCTGGGATTATAGGCATGAGCCACCCCATGACCGACCTACTTTTTTTTTGAAACGGAGTCTTGCTCTGTTGCCCACGCTGGAGTGCAGTGGCACGATCTTGGCTCACTACAAGCTCCACCTCCTGGGTTCACGCCATTCTCCTGCCTCAGCCTCCCGAGTAGCTGGGACTACAGGCACCTGCCACCACGCCTGGCTATTTTTTTTGTATTTTTAGTAGAGATGGGGTTTCACCCTGTTAGCCAGGATGGTCTTGATCTCCTGACCTCGTGATCTGCCCACCTCAGCCTCCCAAAGTGCTGGGATTACAGGTGTGAGCCACTGCGCCCAGCCACTTTTTTTTTTTTTTTTAAGAGACCGAGTCTTGCTCTGTTACCCGGGCTGGAGTACAGTTGCATGAACATGGCTTACTGCAGTCTTGACCTCTTAGGTTCAAGTGACTCTCCCACCCAAGCCTCCCAGCAAGCCCTGTAGTACCTGGGACTACAGGTGCGCATCACAATGCTTGGCTAATTAAAAAAAAATTGTTTTGTAGAGACCAGGTTGAGCTATGCTGCCCAGGCTGGTCTTGAATTCCTGGCTCAAGCAATCTTCCAGCCTCAGCCTCCCAAAGTGTTGGGATTACAGGCATGAGTGAGCCACTGCACCCAGCCTGTATACATATTTGTGTTGCAAACATATGATAGGGTGATCAATATTAGGCTTTGAAGCATACCAATAAATTACATGTAGGATAAAACTATGGGAGGAATAAGTGGGAATTATGAGAAAAGAAAAAAGAACGATGTTAAAGAAGGGTTTCTTGTGTTTTTAAAATAGATGGTGGTGGCTCTCAAATCGCTGCTATTTGGGTAGAAATGGGTCAATACAAATGCCCCGTGTTGGGCACGGGGATGATTTTTAAAATTTTCATTTTGAGACAGGGTCTTATTCCCTTGCCCAGGGTGTGAGTTCAGTGATGCAATCACGGCTTACTGTAACCTTGGACTCCTGGCCTCAAGCAGTCCTCCTGCCTCATCCTCCTCCCAAAGCCCTGGGATTACAGGCATGAGCCACTACACCTGGCCTCTTTTTTTATTTTTATTTTCTTTTTAACTGAGGTATAATTTACACACAGAAGCACACTCTTTCGCAACCTGAACACCTGTAACCAGCACCTAGATCAGGAAACAGAACAGTACCTGCACCTCAGAAATCCCCCTCATGTTTGGGTGTCTTAGTCTCTCTGCTACTGATCCCACATCTGTAAAATGGGGATAATAATACCAACCCGTTGGGGTTGTTTTGAGGATTAGATGAACAAGTATCTGCAGAGCTGTCAGCACAGTGCCTGGTACGGGGCGAGTGCTACCGAAGTGTTGGCTGTTGTCATGATCCCCTAGGGCCACCAAGCCAGTGCCTCTGCTTCCCTTCACCTCGGCCTAACAGCCCCAGGCTCCAGGAGCCTCTGGGCCCAGCAGAACCACCTTCAGGTCCCCAACACACTGGATATGGTGGAGGGTAAGTCTGCAGCTCCTTACAAGAAGGGTTTGGAGAAAGCCACAGCACAGTCAAAGACGTAATGACCTTCAGATAAGTTACACACCCAGTCCAACATGAAATGTGTACTTTATTAGCTGTGTGACACTCCACTGCCCTCAAGAGACCCAATGTCACAGAACCATCAGGAGCAGAGGGCTGGAGGACTGTCCTGACATGTCTGCCACAGAACATACCTCCATCTCCAGCCAGGTCAGAGGCTCATGGTAAGAGTTCTGACCAACCCCGGGCCTTGGTGCTGAGCCATGAGGTGCTGGAGGGTTCTGAGCTGGGAGGCTCAGAGCAAGGTACTCATGTAGATCAGAAACCTCTTTCTTCACTGCCCCCTCAATCCTGTAAGCTGCCTCCACACCTGAGACTCTCCCACCCTGCACCAGGCTTGCTGTTTAAATGGAGCCCTGGAGGAGGCTGGGAAAAGTCGTGAGCTTCTTCACCCACGCCATCCTGGGTCACCTGGATCAGCAGTTTGTAGCTACTTTAGGAGAGGCCCATCTGGGGGGCTGTCTGCCTCCCCAAGATCTTTTTTTTTTTTTTTTTTGAGTTGGAGTCTCACTCTGTCACCCAGGCTGGAGTGCAGTGGTGCGGCCTCGGCTCCCTGCAACCTCCACCTCCCGGGTTCATGCCATTCTCCTGCCTCAGCCTCCCCAGTAGCTGGGATTACAGGCGCCTGCCACCACGCCCGGCTATTTTTTTTCTTTTTTAATTTTAGTAGAGGTGGGGTTTCACCGTGTTAGCCAGGATGGTCTGATCCGCCCGCCTCGGCCTCCCAAAGTGCTGGGATTACAGGCGAGCCACTGCACCCGGCCACCTCCCCAAGATCCTTAACTCTCACCTTGCCCACCTTCAGTCCCCTCATGGTGTCTTTATCTTGGAGTTCAGTGGCCCCAACTCCCTGCAAATCCAGGATCTGAGCCATGTCTCTGGAAGTCCAGCTGCTTGGGAACAGAGCCAAGGTGTTCAGGGAGGGAGGAGAAGCAGGGACCACAGATGAGTCCTTGTACTTCCAGGGGATGTAGAGGTGAGGCTAGGGGTGGCCAGAGCCCCTCAGGCTGTTCCTGTTCTGAGGATGGTGCCAGAGTTTTGTCCGTTGCCACAGCCAGGTGAGGCATCCTGGGGGAGGAGTTCCTGTGCTTTGGACTACAGTCATCCAAGTCTCCATAGCTTGGGGTCTGGGAGGAGCAAGAAAGAGGGATGCACCCCAGGCCAGGCTGCGGGTTAATCCACCCTGATTTCAGGGATGGGATCAGGCAAAAATTGTACCTGCCCTTCCCACACCTCAGGGTCCTGCTGCCCTGGCCCCAGCTGCAGGCTCTGGAGTCACATTCTGGGCTTTGCCAGCACCTTGCCCAGGCTAACCCTATCATGACTCTGATCATAAAGGAGGTAAGCAGAAGCCCTGGCTGCTCTGGGGCCACAGAGGCTCTGGGCCTGATGCTGCACTGTGAACAAGTCAGGGTAGGGAAGGCATGCAGCTGCTCGCAGGTAAGCCCCTGGGAATCCCCTCACCTCTTACCTGTGCAGGAGGCAGAAAGCCCTGGGGCAGCCTGGGCCCTGGACTCGTCGTCTCCGAGGCTATAGGAACCAAGGCCAGGTCATTGGAGGCAGGGGCTTCCAGAATGTAGCTGGCGTGGCCCTGGGGCATGGGCTTCTGGAGGAGCTGCAAGATGCGGCTGAGGTCTGAGGACACGCGGGACTCCAGCCTGCCAGACAGAACCCCACAGTCAGGGTCAGGGCTGGCAAAAGTAGTTCCTGAGGGCAGCTGTCAATCTTGTAGCCTGCGTGCTGTTCCTGCTAGATGGAATGGCGGCCTGGGGCCTACCTGAAGCTATTTCCTTACTGGGATCCACAGCCCCGGCCCAGAATCCCCCTGGTACACCCCTGACTCTTAACAACACCAGTGAGCAGGCACCAAGCATACAAGATTCAGTCCCCAAGATGCTTTGATGTGGATGTTCCAATTATCCCCATTTCACAAAAGGGCAAACTAGGTTCAGAGCTGTTTAGTAACTTGCCCACACTCTTGCTGGTAGGGAACAGAGCCAGAATTTGAACCTGGACTGTTCTGCCTCTAAGCCCTCGCTCTGCCACCATAGCCCTGCCATCCACAGGACACACTCCCTTTCCCAGGACCTATGGAATTTGTTTCTGCACATGGTTGTGCCCCTCCCCCGAGAAGCTCCCTTGGCATGTTCCAGAGTTTGCTAGGGGAAGTCATTGGGGGAATTGTGCTTAATGACAGGTATGGGGAGACCTGCAGCTAAATGGCCTGCCCCATTCTAAAACCCACCTGGCACCCTGTGATGTGTCTGAGCCACTAGGAGGGGCTACCCATGACCAGCCCCCAGCCCTGACCACAGCACACACACCTGTTCATCTGGGCCTGGAGCTGCTCTAGCCTGGAGCCCAGCTTCAGAGGCCAGCAATCTGGGTCTTCCTGAGGGCTTTGGGGGCTGTGCCTTGGGGGCATTTCCTGCAGTAGCTCAGGCCAGAGGCCAGATGCATCTGAGATGCTCAGGGGAGGGGCTGCATCTGCAGGAGGGAAAGGGAAGTCTCAGCTGGGCCTAGCTGGTTCCACAGGCCTGACCCTTCTCAATAGAGCCTGTCCCCCACCCCCTACCTGCCCTGGGGACACAGGGTGTGAGGAGTGGCTCTCCTTACCTGGGTGCCCTGGAGCACAAGGTCCTGCCCCCATGGAGTTCTGGCTCCCAGGACCCAGGAGGCTGTAGCCCTTAGAGGGGAACTGGGGCCCCAGCTCATGGGGAGACCCTGGCAGGGTGAGGACTTTTAGCACTGGTTTCACTGCCCAGGGAGCTGCAGCCCAGTGGCCCCCCTGATGCCTTGGTGTGGAACCTCAGGGGGCTGGCTAGTCTCCATACACCCCTGGGGGTTGCATTTGAACCACAGAGCCCTCACTCTGCCTCTGAGGACACAGACCATCAGGACTGGGAGACTGGGGAGGAAGGAGGGCCAAGGCTCCAGCTCTGGGTCTAGAGAGGGAGCCCCTCTCCACTCATGGAGTGGGGTGGCGCTGGGGAGGCAGGATGGAGAGGACATGGGAGGGGTAGGAGGCTGGGCAGGGGCTACAGGCTGGTGGGGGTGGGGGCTGGCTTTGCTCACCTGACTGGTTGTCACTGAGAAAGAAACCTTGGTGGTCTTGGCTGCCAGGAGCCTGTCGGGGGGATGAGTGGAGACCCCCGGCTGCCTTATGGGAAGCAAGAGGGTGAAATAACAGGAACCAAAGCTGGGATGGGGCCTCTTTGTTCTTCCCTGCCCTGACCCCATGGTGCTGTCACAACTAGGTGAAAGAATGACAAGCAGCTGGGCACAGCAGCGATGCCCTGGACGACTTCCTGCAGGTGGCCCAGGCTGCAGAGACCACACCCCTCCTGTCCTGGTGCCCAGCTGCTGGGCATTCTGGCCACCTGATGGCTGGGGGCCGAGGGCAGAGTCCTAACCTGTCAGTCTCCTGTGCAGATCGCGGGAGGGAGGGGAGAAACTGAGGAGGGGGAGAGGGGATGGTGTGGGGAGGGCTGTCCACAGCCAGAAAGCCCACCCAGCTCTATGCTCAGGAAGCTGGGCACAGGGCCTACGCCAGCAGGGCCCTCCCCCAAGGTGGAGGGGCGGGGCACCAGGGAAGAAATAGCCCGGGCTCTGTGTTTCCCTGCCAGATGCACACTCCCTTCTTCCCATTAGTTTCCTCCTCCGTGATACCCCGCTCTGGGCATTCCCAGGTCGGTCCTGGCTGTCCCACTCCTTAGCAAGCTTGAGCTCCACATGGCTTCTCCTTTATACCTTCGTGACTTTGGCTGTTTTACTTTGTGGCTCTTTATTTTTCTTGAGTTGTCAAAATCTCCTCTACTGAGGGATGAGCATGAGAAGAGACAGCTTTGTCACCTCTTGGCAGCCCCTGTGTCTGGCACTGTGAGCCCTCTGGACAGAAGGCACCCCCTTTTTCAGCTTGGTATGATGTAGTAGGAATGCCTGGGCTTTGGAGTCAGACAAATTAAATTCACATTTTGGCTCTGCCGTTGACTAGCTGAATGGCTTTGGCCAATTTATTTATTGTCTCTAATCCTCAGTTTCCTCATCTGAAAATTGGGGATAATAATACCATTTGCAAGAAGATCATGTAAAAGAAGCCCCACCCTTAGCACCCTACTGCTTAATAAATAGTAGCTATCCTCATACTTAGCATGACGCCAGCCATGGTAGGCACAAAAGAAATTATGGCAAAGGTTGCAGGATGGGGTTGAAAGGAAGGGTGTTGGTCAGATGGGTGCCCTCAGGCCAGGCAGGCTGCCTGGGCATTTCCACCCACCCTGGCCCACCTGGCCCTGACTCACGTCCCGCAGGTTGAAGGTGACCTCCAGCTTACTCCAGAAGCTCTCCGCAAAGGCCGGGTACATGTCCAGCACCTCCAGCAGATCTGCCCGCTGGATCTTGTGCAGGTCGCAGTAGGTCAGAGCCCGCACGTCTGCACTGGACTTGCCTGGCTGGGCATGGAGGCTGACGGGTTCCCCAAAGATGTCATTCTTTCCTGCCAGCCAGAGGGGTGGGAGTCTCTTCAGGGTCTGACTCCATGCTCCCTTATGAGGGTCCTTTGACCGTGACCTCCCCCAACCTCGGACATCCTTCTAGGCCGGGGCCTGCTGCCTGGGATAGAGCTCTGGGGACATGGCTGGATGTGCTGGCTGTGGGTGGCAGGGTAGGGGTGGGGCTGTTCTCTTCCTGTGTCCTTTGAGCGGCACAGAGATCCGGCGTGTGGCTCCTCTCACTGTCTCCAGGCCCTTCAGAACCACCCTCCATCAGAATCTCCCTCCTGTAGCCCATACTCTTTGGCACAGTGGGCAGGAAGGGGCCCTAAAGGCTCAACATCTGTCTCAACGTCTTCCTGCTGCTTGGCCTGCCAGTGCTGTGGAGCAGGGTGCAGGGAACCCAGGGCCAGAGCACCTAACTCCGCCAGGGCAGGGCCAGAGGCTTCTCTGTCTTCCCACTCCCAATTGTGGGGCCAGGTAACCAGCATGGCCCTGGTGAAGGAAGCTTGGGGAAGTTACTCCCCCTGTCTAGACCCCAGAGTCTTCATCTCTAAAATGGATAAAACCTGATCTGCCTTGCCAACCCCACTGGACTGTTCAGGGAAGCAGATGAGGTGATGCTTGAGAAAGTGACTCAAAAAGCAACAGGCAGCAGGGCTCAGCGGCTCACGCCTGTAATCCCAGCACTTTGGGAGGCTGAGGGTAGTGGATTATTTGAGGTCGGTTCGAGACCAGTCTGGCCAACACGGTGAAACCGCATCTCTACTAAAAACAACAACAGCAAAAACAAAAATTAGCAGGGCATGGTGGCCTGTAATCCCAGCTACTCGGGAGGCTGAGGCAGAAGAATCACTTGAACCCGGGAGGCAGAGTTTGCAGGGAGCTGAGATCACACCACTGTACTCCAGCCTGGGTGACAGAGCGAGACTCCATCTCAAAAAAAAAAAAAAAAAAAAGCAAGAGGCACCTGACTAGGTCCATGCAAGGCAAGGGGGAATATCCCAGGGTAGACATGGGTGATGTTCAGGTATGTGGTATGTGGCAAGGGTACTGGGCCCTCCTGGTGCCAGGTGCTGTGCTGGCCAAAGGATATAAATATAAGATGTTGTGCCACCCACAAGGACCCTCCCAAATCCCTGCAAGATAGGTACGTAAGCAGCCAACAAGTTTACAGCATGATCTGTAGAGCCCTAGAAACAGGAAGAACCAAGAGTTATGGGGCCATGGAGGAGGGAGGGGCTCCTCCTGCCAGGGGTGGCTGGGGCAGAGAGGAGGGGGCTTACAGAGGAAGTGAAGTGGGGGCTGTGTCGAGAGAAACAAGGACCAGCCCCCATGAGAAAGGCAGTCAGGACAGAAGAAACAGCATGTGATCAGCACTGCACTGTCAGGGCTCAGGGGTGGAGAGCCCAGGGCCGGGGTGCCACGGAGCATGACTGCTTTGATTCCCACTCCCCCAGAAAGTCCACTTGTTAGTGCAAGTGGCAGTAACAGTTTAGCACAGAAGGATGGGTGGAGGCTGAGACATGTCCCCACAAGAGAACAGGATCAAAGGGTATTCACAAAGGAGGGGGCTGAGGCCTGGAGAGGGAAGCGGCTTGCCAGGGTCACACATGAAACCCTGAAGCTTGAAATCTGGGCAACATTATAATGTGATGGTTTTCCAGTAGATGAAAGATTCTGATCTAGTGTCTTTTTCTACTCAGGACAAAATGAGAGGTTTCATGTCTCTAACTGAAACTTAAATTGGATTAACTTCTTAATTATTAATAATAATAATCATCCCTCCCATGTGATGGCACTTTTTTTTTTTAAAGACAGAGTCTCGCTCTGCCACCCAGGCTGGAGTACAGTGGCGTGATCTTGGTTTACTGCAATTTCCACCTCCTGGGTTCAAGCAATTCTCTGCCTCAGCCTCCCAAGTAGCTGGGATTACAGGCACCCGCCACCATGCCGGGCTAATTTTTTGTATTTCTAGTAGGGATGGGGTTTCATCATCTTGGCCAGGTTGGTCTTGAACTCCTGACCTTGTGATCACCCACCTCGGCCTCCCAAAGTGCTGGGATTACAGGCATGAGCCACCGTGCCTGGCCATGGATGGCACGTCTAAGGTAGGCTGGGAGTGAGGGAAGGTCTCATACAGAAACCTGTGCCTAAGCCCAGCCTTGGAGGACAACTGGGATCTGCCGGACTGGCACAGGGTAGGGCGCTCCAGGCAGAATGGCAGCACATGCAAGGGCACAGATTTAGAGAACTCTAAGTAGTTTGGCTGGAGCATGAAGTACCAGGGGGAGGGTGGTAGGACAGGGTGGTCGGATTGGGATAACTGGGGATGCCATGCATGGACCATGGGGAACTGTGGAGGGATCTTGAGCAGAAGAGGCAGATGTACAGATGTCTATTTCAGGTCACTGGCAGAAGGTGGAAGACAGGCATGGGAGTAAACCAGACGCAGGGCCATGGGAAAGGAGTTCCCAACACCTTTCCAGGAAGGACCCAAAGAGGGCTGGATCCAGGCAGGGACAGGGAGACAGGTGTGAGATGGAGAGGTATGGACAAGTCTGGCTGGTGGACAGTGGGCAGGAATGAAGTAGGATGCCCCCTTGGCAGACTGTGGCGTGGGCAATAGGCAGATGCTTCACAGTGATGGGGATGCTGAAGCAGCTGGTTTTGAGGAAAGGTGATTTCAGGTTGGGATACATTGAGTTTGATCTGTTCATAGAATACTAGGGCGGCCATGCCCAGGAAGAAATGGAATATTCTGGTCTAAGGAGACAGTGGGGTGAGGACAGGGCTCCTTGTGGCACAGGTGAAGGCTGAAGCCGTGGGAGCGAGGAGCAGGCCCAGGGGAGGGTGTCAGGTGAGGAGGGGCGAGGAGAGCAGATCACCAGCAGTCCAGAGGAAGCAGAGGGGGAGGGCTGCCCGAGGGGAACCTGTCCAGAGGGGCTGGAGGATAGCCAGGTCATGGGTACCAAAGGAGGGCGAGGCTGAAGTTGGGGTGGAGATGAAGTCATGGGGCAGGCAAGGAAGATGAGAATCAAGAGGACCCTGTGATGCTCAGAGAGGCAAAGTGACTTGCCCAAGGTCACACAGCAGGTATGTGACAGAGGCTGCTTGTGACCTGTCTGTCCCCCCTGCCCAGTGCTCATGTCCTTCCTCCAAAGTGTCTAGCTATCCCTGTGTCTGCACTGAATGAGACTGGGGTCCCCAGCCAGGGCATCCACCTCCACCCAGAAAGACCCTTGGCCTTTCTCCCTAAACTCCCCAAGAGTGCAAGAAGGTAGGAAGACCTGCCTGGGCTTCTGAGTCACACTGGCAGCCCTGGAATCCCTGCCTGGCCACAGACTAGCATGATCTCCCTCAGCCTCAACTTCCCTCTCAGGAAAATGGGACCTCCGGCAGAGGGTTGTTTTAAGGATTCAGCCAGCTGGGTCTAAAGCTCTCCCGGGCACATGCTGTGCAAGTGGCTGCCAGTAAAAGTAAAATCCTCATCAGGAAGAGGGTGGCCTGGGCAGGGCATCTCCAATCCCGCCCTCTTCCATCCAATCCCCAACACAGGCCTGGTCCACTCCGCCGGACCCACCTAGGATGGCCACGACCACGTCGTCGCGCAGGATCTCGATGGAGCCTCGGGAGATGAAGTAGAGGGTGGAGAGCACGTCGCCGAGGTGCACCAGCGTGTCCCCAGGCGGCGCGTGGGTGGTCTTGAACTTGACGGCTAGCGCGCGCAGGCAGCCCTTGCCGGCGCCGCTGAAAGCTGGGCAGTGCTGCAGCAGTGCGCGGTGCAGGTGCAGGCAGATGTCAGCCTGCAGGCACTCGGGGAAGCCCTTCAGCACCTGCAAGGCGGGCGGCCAAGTCCAGCGGGACGCGGCCGGGGTGGGGCTGGGGGAGAGGGTGGTGAGGGCTCTGGGGACGCCCCGCCCCCGCAGGATCTTGGCTCCCCCCCACGCCCGGGGCATTAGCCGGAGCGGCGGGGCTCACCGCGTTCATGTCAATGCCATTGGTGTAGGACCAGGCGTGCTGGAAATACTCCTCCAGGCGCTGGCGCAGTGGGTTGGGGATCTGGTGGAAGCGGATGAACTCCTTGACACGCAGCATCTGCGTGTGGTAGCGCGCGGTGCCCGAGTACAGGCGCTGGATGATCGCGGACACGTTCCCGAAGATGCTGGCGTACATCAGGGCTGGGGGCGGGGCGGAGAGTGAGCTCCTCCGCGGCCCCACTGGGCCACACCACCAAGGGCTTACCCAGGTCTTCCTCCTTCCAGCAGCCCCCTGGTGAAGGACCCCTCTGTCCAGGGAGAAGTCAGGAGTGACCAGGACAGCGCCAGGGCACATGCGGGACAAAGGCCCCTGGGCTTTCTGCCCTCCTCCCTCTGTCCTGTGCCTCTTGGCATCTTACTGGGCCTAGCGGTCAAACTCCCGAGAAGAAAGAAGGAAGGCAATGGATTTTTAAAGTTCAGATCTGTTTTCTCCTTTAAGTTGTAAAAATACAATAAAGATAAAACTCTCCGCCGGGTGTGGTGGCTCAGGCCTGTAATCCCAGCACTTTGGGAGGCCGAGGTGGGCAGATCACCTGAGGTCAGGAGTTCGAGACCAACCCAGACAACATGGTGAAACCCCGTCTGTACCAAAAAAATAGAAAAATTAGCCGGGCATGGTGATGCCCGTCTGTAATCCCAGCTACTCGGGAGGCTGAGGCATGAGAATCGCTTGAACCCAGGAGGCAGAGGTTGCAGTGAGCCAAGACCATGCCACTGAGCTCCAGCCTGGGCGACAGAATGAGACTGTCTCAAAACAAAAAAACCCACAACAACAAAAAAGAGCAAACTCTCAATTTCTTGTTTTCACCCATTTTCTTCCCTTGTTTTTGTTTTTCTGGACTTTCATATCTCTAAATACTCTGAACATCACAACTCAATCTATGTGTAAAATTCCACGCTGACTCTTGTTTTCCTAAACCAGGTGTCTTGGGAGGCAGGCAGCTGGGAGCAGGGATTGAGAACAGCACAGCCTTGGAGCTGAACCCCTGGGCTGGGATTGAGTCACTCGGACATTTCCTAGCTGTGTGCCCTCTGGCACTTTAGCACTACCTGGGTTCTTGCTTTGTAAACCAGGCTCAGAAGGGAATGAAATGTGGGCTTTTGTAAAGTGTTTAAAAGAGTGCCTGGCAGAGCTGGCTTCATGTGTACAACCCATGTGGACACACGGAGCCGCATGCTAAGAGCCCTGCATTTGGTTTAATACTCTGCTGTCACTGTCGAAAAATTCTTTTTTTTTTTTTTTTTTTTTTTTTGAGACGGAGTCTTGCTCTGTCTCCCAGGCTGGAGTGCAGTGGTGTGATCTCGGCTCATGCAAGCTCCACCTCCCAGGTTCAAGCAATTCTCCTGCCTCAGCCTCCTGAGTAGCTGGGATTACAGGTGTGTACCACCACGCCGGCTAATTTTTGTATTTTTAGTAGAGACAGGGTTTCACCATGTTGGTCAGGCTGGTCTTGAACTCCTGACCTCATGATCCGCCCACCTCGGCCTCCCAAAGTGCTGGGATTACAGGAGTGAGCCACCATGCCTGGCGAAAAATTCTTAATAATTTTTTTTTCTTTTTTGAGACGGAGTCTCACTCTGTCACCTAAGCTGAAGTGCAGTGGCACGATCTTGGCTCACTGCAACCTCCACCTCCCAGGTTCAACTGATTCTCCTGCCTCAGCCTCCCGAGTAGCTGGGATTATAGGCATGTGCCACCACACCTGGCTAATTTTTGTATTTTTTAGTAAAAATGGGGTTTCACCATATTGGCCAGGCTAGTCTTGAACTCTTGACCTCGGGTGACCCACCCACCTTGGTGTCCTGGAGTGCTGGGATTACAGCCTTGAGCCACAGCATCTGGCCGATTCTTAATAATTTTTAAACAAGGGTCCCTACAATTTCATTTTGCTCTGGGCTCTGCAAATTATGTAGCCTGTCTTGGTGCCTGGCAGATAGCATGGGCTGTGTGGGTGTTAAATATTGTATACACTTGGTGCACACACCAGCAAAAATTCATTGTGCTGCACACTTAGGATCAGTGTACTGCATGAATTGTTGCTATGTGTTATGTTCTATCTCAGTACAAAACTACACATAAAATTTCACGGGTAAGACCAGAGCATGAAGTTAGGCCGTGGCATGAGGTCTCACTCACAGCCGATGAGCATGACGCAGATGGAGAAGACCTTCTCGGAGTTGGTGTTGGGCGAGACATTGCCGAAGCCCACGCTGGTGAGGCTGCTGAAGGTGAAGTAGAGGGCTGTGACATACTTGTCCTGCACCGAGGGGCCCGAGGCTGGGTCGCTGCCGTTGTAGCGCTTGCCAAGCTGCACACCCAGGCTGTCCAGCCAGCCGATCTTGTGTTCTAGGTAGGGCCGCTCCACATTGCCGATGGCGTACCAGATGCAGGCCAGCCAGTGCGCTATGAGCGCGAAGGTGCACATGAGCAAGAAGAGCACAGCCGCCCCATACTCAGAGTAGCGGTCCAGCTTCCGTGCTACGCGCACCAGCCGCAGCAGCCGCGCTGTCTTCAATAGCCCAATCAGGGTTGTGGTCTGGAGGGGTAGGGAAATGGTCACAGGGCTGGGGTCAGCCCTTGGAAGGGTGCAGTCAGGCCTGCTTTTGTTCACTCATGCATACAACCACATACTCATTCAACAAACATTTATGGAGAACTTCCTCCGGGCCACGCACTTGGCAGTGTGGCACAGTATGGGACATTGAGGATCTCAGCCTAAAGCTCAGAATAGTGTTCTGGTTGCTAGGACAGAAGTCCAGTGGGAGAACAGAGGAAGGGGAGGTCAGGGGAGGCTTCATGGATGAGGTGACGCATGAGCTGAGCCTGGAGAGAGGAGGCTAGGGCTCCAGACAGACAGGAGAGAGAGGGAAAGGGCACTCCTGGCTCAGGGAGCAGCATGAGCAGCGGCACTGAGGTGTGAAGTGCGTGGCCGATGTGGGAAACCGAGTGTGGCACTGCAGCCCGATGCGCACATGGGAGATGGAGGAGCAGTGAGAGCCGTGCCTGGGAAGGGCAGGGCGGGCAGGGGCTGCTGCCTGTGGGCTTCAGGGTCCATCATGAACTTGGCTTCTAGTCTGTAGGCCTTGGGAAGCCACTGAAAATTCTGAGGACCCTGTACACCCCAGAGGGTGGAACACAGGGTCAGGTAGGCGATCTGAAAGTCGCTGTGGCAGCTGTGTGGAGGGGCGGGAGACTGGCAAGTTTGGTGATGGGACACAAGTGAGTACGAAGGCCACTCAGTGTCCAGGTGGGGGCAGCAAGGTAGGAGGGTGGATTTGTTGAGGGGTGGTCTTAGGGGGCTTTGGAGCAGAGGAGCCCTGCTGGACACCCCCTGCTGGACAGGCTGGGGTGATAAGGGGGCACTGGAACACAGAAGGCAGAGTTGATTTCAGTGAAAAGCTGATCGTGAGGAGAGGGGGCAAGAGGAGACCGTGGGACTGGAAGCTATGAGAAAGGCATGTAGATGCCTTCACGTCACCTATGGGCAGCCAGGTGGACATAGTGGAGGGCTAGGGAGCAAGGTGGGAGCCAGGGTGCACTGGGGGAGTGGCCTGGGGATCCCTTTCTTCCTCCAGGGTGAGTGCAGTTTGGAAGTCAGCATGAGGGGCCGGGACCACACGAGTGCCCATCCTGGAAGGGGCAGCCTGCTCCTCTTACCAGGGCCTGCTCAGAGAGGGGGCAGAGGGACAGAGGCCTGGGGGTGCAGCCTTGGCAGGTCCTTCTCCAGGGCTGGGAGGTGACAGATGTTTGGGGCCTCCTCTCCACCTCCACGTGCTTCAGCAAAGGTGCCCAGTGCCAGATACTCTCCGCACCCAGTGCTGTGCAGCAGGGAGGGCTTGAGGCCAGCGTGCAGAGGACAGCCATGGCTGCTGGCCTGGAGGGGGTCTGCTCACCTCATCGGAGCCAGTGCGGAAGATCAGGAGGTCGAAAGGGATGGCGGCCACCATGTCAATGAGGAACCAGCCCTTGAAGTAGTGGACGGCGATGCGGCGGGGGTGGCTGACCACCTCATCATTGGTGTTGACATAGGTGGTGCGGAAGTTGATGACGATGTCCACGACGAACATGATGTCCACGATGAGATCCACCACAGTGAGGGGACTGCAGGTATAGCTGCAGGCCCCACGCCGTGATTCGTCCTGATCGCTGAGCAGGAAGGCGGCTGAGTAGGGCGTGAAGACAGCCGTGTAGATGACCAGCAGCAGGATGAGCCAGTCCCACACGGCCTTGAAGGGGCTGTAGTGCAGGATGGTCCAGCGGTGGATGCGCGGCGCCTGCAGCTTGTACTCCGGCAGCACATCCGCGCCCAGGGACAGGACCTGGGGGTGGGGGCCGAGGGAGGTCAGGCACGGGGCAGCCACTGCTGGTGAGACTGGCCTAGAGGGCTGAGGCCTGGGGAAGGTGTAGTGGGAGAGGGTGGGTGACCACGGCTCTGGTGGGCAGAGGGGATGAGGGAGAGATGGGGTGGGGGGTGTCTGAGAAGGCAAGTTCCTAAGGGGACAGATGCCTCGAGAGGAAGTGCAGAGAAAGGAGTTGGGATGCAAGAGGAGGGGTATGGCTCCGCCCCATAGCGACACCAGGTTTGATGCTCACAAGCTCCCTTGGAAACATCCTGGAGTGGGTGGAGCCAGGCAGGGGAGGGCCAGGCCCATGGACATCTATAGACCCATTCCACACAAGAGCCCACAGAAGGGGTAGCTGATGGGCTGATCCTCTCTGGTGAGCTTAGGAGGCTCCCTATGGTCAGGGTTCCTGATGGGAACAGGTCACCCCTAGAAGAATGTCTTCCTTTCTGAGGGCCCTGGGGATCCAGGACCAGTGAGTGCCCTCTCTGAGGCCAACTCAGAGCCTCCCATGGAAAGAGTCCATGGGGTAGGGGTGTAGCCAACCTGGACCCTCAACGGGTCCTGGGCACCAAGGAAAACTGACTCCTCCCCACATCTCCAAGGGTTTGGAATCATCACCTTCTGCAGAGCCTTCCCTTCTCCCTTCTCCCCTCCCGCCCCCGCCTCCAAGACTGTGATCAACCCAGGATCTCTAGGTCCCAGCACAACATGCCCTGGCTCTGCCCAGCTGCCCAACATGAGAGACAGCCAGGGCATTAGGAAGGGCATGGGTACTGAAGCCAGGCCTCCCCGGTTGAATCCCAGGTCTGACATGTGCTATAGGTGAGCCTTGGGCAAGTTTTGTAACCTCTGTGAGCCTCAGTTCCCTCATCTGCAAAATGGAATCACAAAGGACAACAAAAGCCATGGGTAGTGAGGAAATGAGATGCATCTCTTCTCATGTAGTTAGTGAGATCCATCTATTCTCATGGAGATGGCAGGTGCTGCTCTACACAGTAATTCCCTGTCCACCCTCCTCCTCCCTCAGCCTCATCAGACACTGCTCCAGACAAGGATGGAGCCGGAGGGGTGTTCCATGGACCTCCTCTCCCACCAGATGAGATCTGGTGGATAGTTCTGATTTAGGAAAATTTGCAATGTAAGGTTTGACCTTGCAAACCAAATCAATTAGCAGATGGGATCACAGTAAGGCAGATCCATTTAGTTTCAACCAGAGGGTCCCTATCTGACATCCAAACCCTTGAGTGGGGCTACCATGTCCCCACCCTGCAGTGACCTGCTCAGCCTTGAGGCCTCACCTCGTACTTCCCCAGGAAGCCCCCTCCGACTCCACATAGACTTGGGCTCTTTTTTTATTTTCTCCCTGCCCCTGTATCCACCTAGCTGCATGGTGGTGCTCCACTGAGCCATGGGCTCACTGAGTTTGGCTCCCTCACTGGCCCTCTCCCCGCTGTGTGCCCAGCTCTTGGTCCACATGGGCTCTCAACTGCAGGTCCTTGAATGAGCACTGCAAACTGGGGCTCTGATCAGGAGCAGCTGCCGTCACACCCTGGGCATCAGAGCTGCTCCTCCTCCTCCTGAGGGCTGCTAGGACCCTGCTAGGGTGAAACAAGGCCCTTCCCTAGGCCTGCCTGGGTGGGGAGTGGGAGGGAGACAGAAGGAATGGTGGGGGGTGGTTTAAAGTAGGCTGAGAATAGAGTTCCTCAGCTTCTCAGGGCCCCCAGACAGGGGGACCCCCAAAATCTCCCACTGCCTCCAAAGCCAGCTCGAGGCTCTTCGTGGCAAAGCCCACCCTGCCCAGTGTCCCCCAGAGCTGCAAGGCCCTCAGGATGCCCAGGCTCCAGTGTGAGGCCACAGCCATCGAGGCTCTTTAAGTTCTGGTTGAGGCCGATGTGACTTCCCTGATCTGGGTCCTCGCCTGCTCTTTCCCCTGAGATCTGTCAGGCACCTCCCTGGACCTAGGACCCACATGGAGCAGGGGAGTGACACCAAGAGGGGCCAAGCTGAGGAACAAACGGGTAGGCAGGTTGGGCAGGTGCCGGGACTATGGGCCCAGCCAGGCCTGGCTGTCTTTACCGACCACTCTCCAGTCTAACAGCCCCCTCCGTGGTAGCCACCAACAGTGGCATCAACCTAAGATGTCCTGGAGTAAGCAGCTGGGGGGCTTCCCAGGGTCAGGCCTTTGGGCCACTCTGCCTGACCTCAGAGGACACAGTCCTGCAGCCTGGCGTCCCACCCTCCTCAGGATCCTTGAGGTCAGTGAGGTGCTGAGTGGTCTTCCCCACACCTGGTTCCAGCAGCAACTGTGCTTTAGGTGAAAACAGGCAGGGGGAAAAGAGCTGCCTCCAGCCCCAACACAGGGACAGCCCCAGGAAAGCTGGGAGCAGGCCCCTCCATGCTCTGCATTGCTCAACCTTGGCCTGGGCCCCTGGCTATGACTTACAGCTTTGTCTGCCTCCTGGGGCCAGAACTACTCAATGTCAAATGGGTCCCCAGAGACCATTTAGTCCATCTCTCTCCTGCAGATGAAAGCCCTGAGGCCTAGAAAGGGGGCTGATAGTTCCCCTGGCCAAGGTCACACAGGGAGTCAGTGCCAGGACTGTGGTCACTGGAGCCTCGGGCAGGGCTCCTCGCATTTCCCTCTGGAATGGTCAGGGCTTCCGGCCTCATGAGAAGGGACAGCAGGGTGAGCTGGAGCAGAGAACCCAGGGAAGCCTGCCTTGGGGTGGCCAAGGAGGAGCTGCCGGGGTCCTTCAGGGCCTGGCCCCCAGGAAGCTGATTAAAGATAGCTGGAGGTGCCAGCCTCATCCTGCCCTGCCTGGCATGCAGGAGGATCCTGTGTTCACATTGGAAGGAAGTAGGGAGGGTGGCTTTTGTCTCAAAGGCAAAGGGCTGGCACAGGGCTGGGACCCCCCCCCACACCAGCTCTCCTCTCAGTATGGCCTTGGCATGTCTCCTCTCTGCCTCTCCTTCCCTGTGACGGGCTGAGCCTTGGTCAGGCCCCCATGGTGGCCTCCATGTCCATCCCCTGCCCTGGCTTCTCCAGGCCTAGGAGGTGGCATCATTCACAGGCCCTACTGACCCCAGCCTCCTCTGGCTCTAGGAGCTGGGCACAAGGGCTGTGACCTCAGGGCAGGCCTTCAGGTCTTTAGGTCTCAAACAGGACAGGAGGCCCGGGGCTCAAACCAGATATTAGAGGCTGGACAGGCAGGATCTCTTTATCGGCCAAGGCCCCAGAAGGGCCTGGGCCCAGAGCCTGGGAGGGGACCCTGGAGGCCTGGCACAGCTCTGCACACCCTGCTCTGCAGGCCCGCACCTGGGTGACCTTCTCAGTGACGTTCTGTGTCCGCTCCACCACCTTATGGGGCGCGATGATCTCAATCTCCGTGGTGGAGCTGGAGCGGTGCTTCTCCAAGTTGAACTCCACGAAGTTGAGCGTGAACTGTGGGATCTGGCTGATGGTCCTGTACTTGCCCCTGCCTGTGCCTGGCCCTGGTCCGCCTGGCCTGCCATGAGAGCCCTCTGAAACCAGGGCCAGGAGTCAGAGCAGCCACGGCCAGGGGACCCTCATGCGTCCCTCCCACCACCACCCTCACTCTGCCTCACCGGAGCCCAGGAAGCTCTGGGACAACAGGCGCTGGGACAAGCTGCGGCTGCTGCACTTGGCCAGGAGCTGGGCCAGGTCCTCGAAGTTGAGAATGAACATGATGACAGCCCCGTCCTCGTTCTTCACGGGCACCACATCTACCAGGCAGCGGAAGCTGGAGGCTGCGAACACCATTGGGAGGATGGGGGGTGGGCCCTGAAGGGGTCCCCTCCTGCAGTGGCCTGGCTAGGGAAGGGGCTGAGTGAAGGTCAAGTGAAGGGCAGCCACGGGTGAAGAGGCTTGGACAGTGACCAGAGATACTGGGCAGAGGGTGGGTGAGGCTGCTCAGCTGGTGCTCCACCCACAGGGCAGAGGTGGGGAGAGCGGTTAAGCTGCTTATTAGGAGATAAGGTAGCATCAGATCAGGCCCAAGTCCACGCTCGGCCATCAGCTCAGAGCTTAACCTCGAGGTCTGCTTCTGCTGTAATTAAAGCTGAGCAGATGGGGGTGGATTAAGTGGGGAGGTGAGGCTGGGCATTCTACCCCATGGAGCTGGGTTGGCCCTGGGCGCTCTTCCCATATTCCCATCCTGCAAAGATGCCCTGCTCCTGTGATGCAGGGAGGAATTTGTTGTTGAAAGTACACTAAGTGCTGGGCATGGGGCCAGTTGGAACATTTGGCCTCAGGAGGTCCTTGGGGGGCAGGCATGGACCCCCATTCTGCAGAAGAGAGCCTGAGGTTCTCAGAAACTGACTTTCAAGGGCTGGGAGGGAGCATGGAGAGAGGATCCCTGGGTTTGCAGGACACAATAGCTTGGAAAAGGGAAGGGACTTGTTTGGGAGGAGAGTGCTGGGGCCAGAACCAGGCTGCTGCTCTGGGCCTAGGAGGAGTGTGGGGTCCCAAGGCAGGGCTGGGCCCAGGGAGCAGGCAGAGTAGTGGCCTGGGCACCACAGAGGGAGGAGGATGGCCCTGTGGGGGCAGGGCAGGCCCCTCTGGCCACCTTCCCCATTATCTTGGGCAGCCCACACCCAGCGGCTGGCTGCTCTGTGCCTCTCAGGTCGTAGACTCTGCCCCTCCAGGGTCTGGCTGCAGCCCCCTTTGGTGGATGGAACAATACCAGCTAAAATGCCCCATGCCTGGCCGGGCGTGGTGGCTCATGCCTGTAATCCCAGCACTTTGGGAGGCTGAGGCAGGCGAATCACTTGAGGCCAGGAATTCAAGACCAGCCTGGCCAACATGGTGAAACCCCGTCTGTACTAAAAATACAAAAATTAGCCAGGCGTGGTGGTGCGCACCTGTAGTCCCAGCTACTCAGGAGGCTGAGGCAGGAGAATCGCTTGAACCCAGGAGGCCAAGGTTGCAGTGAACCAAGATCATGCCACTGCACTCCAGCCTGGGTGACAGAGCGAGACTCTGTCTCAAACAAACAAACAAACAAACAAAATACCCCATACCCAAGAGCCCCAGGCCAGGCACCCCACGAGCACCCTCTCCATGGGAGTCCTATGTCCCTCAACTCAAACTGTTGGCAGATGTCAGGCCCAAAGGGCAGGATCCTCAGGGGGCAGGGGCCTCAGGTGACCACGCAGATGAGAAGGCAGAGCTGCACTCCCTGAGGGCAGGTTAGGCTCTGTTTCACCTGTCCCAGGTGTTGTTTGTTGACTGAATGTATGGAAGCCCACGTGTGGGGGACGCAGGCCGGCCGCTGGTGGGAGTATCACTGCTGTGGAGCTCACTGGAATGACTCTCCACCAGACTCCTTGTTTCGTCCTCAGCCCCTCCTCACAGCCATCAGAGCTGGGGTGCAGCTGAGCCACCCATATCCTCCCTCTCGCTTTCCTCCCTGGGGAGTAGGAATCTCTCGTATTGGATTTCTGGACTCCCAGGCACCAGGCAGCCATCTACCATCTGCTGCCTGGGCCCAGGGGAGACACCCACACTGGGGAGAGGCGCCTGCCTGCTTCACCCACTCCTGGGCACATAGTGCTATAGGCCCAGACTCCCAGGCCCAAGCCCATAACTCCAGTCAGCCTGGGGCATGGTGACACGTGGACGCTGGGACCTAGACAGGGAGCCTCCTTGGCCAGTGGCCTCGGACACTGCTCCTAAGGCCAGATTATATTGTCAATCTCTCTGGCACTGCAGAGATCTGTCCTGGCAGGGGGCAGGGAGAGGGCAGAGCTGGGCAGAGGGGCAGAAGGCCTCCAGGGCTCTCTAAGCTGCTGGGGGCTGTCAATACACAGTCTTGGCGTGGCTGCACCCAGCAATTGATGTTACTGGAAAATTGATGCAATTGGAAAACTGCGGCTGGGAATGGACCAAAGACCAGCCCGTTATAGCAGTGAGGTCTGGGGCTGGGGTGGGGTGCCAGTGCGTGGTACCCCATGCCCTGCCCCCATGCCTGTGGCCTGTTGGGTAGGCAGACAGGAGGCTAGGAGGATTTGGAAGAGTCCAGAGCATTCTCTCTCCCCCTGCCCCAGGTTGTCCTTGCTTACCCGTGGCTCAGAGCCCCCACACAACAAAAGCCCACATCTAGGTGACCAAAAGTGGGTAACTGTACCATCTCAGGTTATGCCCAGGAGGGATGGTGTTCCTGTGCCCTCACCAGGGCCCTGGAGGAGGAGCCACAGTCTCTGCCTGCTTCTTCCTTGCAGGAGCTCCTCCCAGCACCCACCTTTCTGACCAAGGGCAGCAGGTTTGTCTGCCCCCTGGGAATTCCCATTCCTTCTTATATGCTAGGTTCTTACTTTTCTTAGCAAAGGCACCCCACTTCTCTCCCCTGGGAGACCCCAATTCTCTCTCCTCTTCTCTCCCTCTTGAATGTGCTCCTTCGTTCAGTTTCCCAGCACTCACAACCTCCTTGTTGTCTTCACCTCTGTCTCCCGATGCACACCCCATCCAGCACTGTGGTGAGTCCCCAGGGAGAGGCTGGTGCTACAAAAAGCCAAAAAGCTGCCACTGAGAGGGTGGCCGCTGCATGCTGCCTCCTAGCTTGGTCCTCCTGGCATTCACAGATGTGCATATGGTAAACATGGGAGGAGGGTGGGGGCAGACAGCAGCCCCTTGTCCCATCCTCCTCATCAAGAGCTGAGGACTGGAGAAGTCCCAGGACTCCTCTGATCTGGCTTGGGGATTAGGGGACTCTCTGGTTCGGGATCCTCAGAGAAGAGGACCCAGGAAAGGCAGGCTGGGGTGGGCTCCCGGGCAGGTGCCAGTGCGGGGCAGGCGTGGGTGACAGTGGGGGGATCTGAGTGCTCTCCTTTCTTCCTGCCAAACTCTCACCAGTTCTAGTCCTGCCACATCCCCATTCCTCCTTATCTGTTAGGTTCTCACCACTCCTAGCAAAGGCAAATAGAGGAAGAGCCAGTTTCCCAGGGGTCTCTGAGATGTCTCCCGGGGTATTTTTGCCAAGTGCCCTGGCCTCTTTGAGCCCAAATGTCTGTAGCTGCACAACGTGGAGCTATGTGAACACAAACCCTCCACTTTGACTTCGAGAATTTTCAGTGGATTACCCCTTTAGAGGAAAAGAGGATTATACATAAATCAGCTAGAGATCTGCTCAGGACCCCTTCCCACCTCCCTGGAGTTGGGGGTTGGGGGGAAGGGAGGTACTGACCCGAGGAGGAAAGAAATCACCATTAGGATGCCCCTCAGCAGGACTGTAAGTGTACATGAATATGGTCAAAAATGGATCATGTGCCAGCCTGGGCAACATAGTGAGACCCCCATCCCTACAAAAAATTAAAAAATTAGTCGGGTGTGAGGGTGCGCGCCTGTAGTCTCAGCTACTCAGGAGGCTGGGATGGGAGGCTGCAGTGAGCTATGTTCTTGCCAGCCTGCGTGACAGAGCAAGACCCTGTCTCAAAAAAAAAAAAAAAAAAAGGATTATATGAGGTCAGAGTGGACCTTAAGGTGAACATCAGTTATCTGAGCACAATATCCTTCCCTTAGTGTAATGCAGGCCAGGAAGCTCCCCTTTCTGGGTTTCAGGACAATTTCAGGAAGGTCCAGGTAAATCAAAGCCTTGGGCAATAAGATAGGGAAGGGCCGAGGGTGGGATGGGAGTAGATTGGGACTTATGGGGCACCAGGTATGTGGGCAATTTCCCATTTTCACCGAGGGTCAGCCCCCAAGACAAGGTTCCTAGGTTCCCTTCTGAGACCTGAGGACTCCCACAGGATTCTGATCTGAGTCCTGATCTCAGGGGGCCAAGGCCAGGCTTTGACTTCTGCCCTCTGCCCAGACACCTTCAGGGTGCTGAGGGGACCTCAAGAGCCATCACCTGACATCCCTAGGAATCTGGGATCAGGTATAGCTCTAGTGTCAAGGAGAGGAAAAGAAAGGACCTGCTGTAACCCCCATTTCCTGCTGTCCCATCCTGTTCCCCAGGACCCTTCTCACTCCCCTGACTGCCACCTCTCCTCTGCAATGATGTGAGGAGGTGAGGTCACAGCTTTTAAAAATATTCTGAGTTCATTAACCCTGTGAGTACTGCCACACTAAGCCAGATTCTTCCCAGTCCCTTCCTGGCTGCCGCTGCCTGTTGCACTTCCCACTGCCACTCACTCAAGTGGCAGCAGCAGGAACAACCAGGACCTACCCGAGAAGCTGTAACTCTGAGAAGCCTGCAAACACACACACACAGGCGTGAACTTGCAAGCACACACTCACACACAGAGGCACACACATGCAAGCACACACATGCTCATGTTTCACACACTCCAGGCCCCTGAAACCTGGTCTCTCAGCACTCCTCGGTCCCGATCCAGAGACATCCATTCTTTATCTCCACTCAGGTGGCCTCATGCCTGCCTTCCCTGGGGACTTCTCTCCCCTGAGCACCTCCTTCCCCAGAAATCCTGCCTGTAAACACAAAGGCAGCTGGGGTCCTTTCTCTCCTCTTGGGATTACTCAAAAGAAATCTCCGAGGGAGGAATCCAGAGACTTGGGTTCCAGTCCCAGGTTGGACTCTAGCAGTGGGATCTTGGGCAAATCCCTTCCACATCTATGAAATGAAGGGATTTACCTAAGCCAGTGGTTCCTAAAGTAAGCAGGACATCAGAACCACCAGGGAGATATTTCCAAATACACCCGCTTGGCCTCATCTCACACCTTCTGAGTCAGCCTCTCTGTAGAGAAAGCATGTTTTGGAAAACATGCTCTGGGTAATTCTGATGCAGAACCAGGTTGGGGGCCATTGATTCAAGAGATTTCCCAGGACATTCAGGCTCTTTTCCTCGTTCCCACCCATGCTGCCAGGTCCAGTGAGGACCCTGTGGTCCTGGGGGGTGGGGGAGGATTTCCAAGGGCTGCTGAGATCTGTCTTCAGCTCCTGACTTACGCTTCTGTTCTGCTTGCAGTATGCTCCAGCTGGCAGTAACAACCCAAACTCCATCTGAATGAGCTTCTTGGTCAGGGAAAACTCCAGACCCTGTCTCCCCAAAGAGCTGAGACTGGATAAGGCAGGCCCACCCCACTTTGCCAGCCAAAAGCCCCCATGCCTTGCCTGGCCACAGAGGTCTTCAGGAGGTGACTCCTCCTCTAATCCTTGGAGCAGACGGAGAGGAGGGAAGGTTAATTTCCATCCCAGCTGCCTGACCGCTGGGGCTGACAGTAAGATAGTGGAGAGCCAGGAGACCAGGGACACAGCAGAGGGATGGCAGAGCAGGAGGCCCTGCCCCAGGCCAGAACCAGTGGGTGGCCCAGCCTGATCCCTAGCTCCTGCAAAGGACCTCAGAAGGCATCATATCCAATGCCTGTGGAGGAACCAAGGCCCCTAGAAGAAACAGGGTTTGTTCAGGCCCTTTGGACCCTGGGTCAGTGCCTTCCCCAAGGCCACCCTGGCTGGACAAGACAGAGGGCCAAGCCTGCCCTGCAAAGCCTCTGGCCTGAGTATGCCTCACCATCCTTGCGGTAGTAGAGGATGTCCACCTTGCACTCCTCAGCCCCCAGCAGGGCCTGCGCTAGGCGGGACACGGCGCTGCTTGGTGTGTTGGGGCCTGTGAGGAAGTCGCAGGTGCAGGGTTGCTGCATCACCTCCACTCGGGAGTAGCCGAAGAGTTCGCAGAAGCCGTCGTTGCAGTAAATGATGGCGCAGTTCTCCATCTGAGCATTGGCAATCAGGAACTTCCGACCTGGGGTGGGAGGTGGGAGGCAAAAAGTCCATGGGAGCCAGGATCCAGCGGCTGGGAGGGAAAGATCATAAGGACTCTTGGTGGCAGTAAGGGGAATTTAGGCAGAGGAGCAGGGCAGTGACCGGAATGAGGGAGGGAGTCAGGCCTGGGGATTGTGGGAAGACTAGGGCAGTGAGGGTCTTGAGGTGGAAGGAAGGCCCAAGGCCTCCTGGAAACAGGAAAAGTGTGGGGAAGGGAGGCAGGGATGTGACCAGATGGGGGTCAGGCCTGGGAAAGCTCCTGGGAAGACCAGAACCAGGATATGAAAAGGAAGGAAAAGAAGGACTCAGAGAAGCCTCTGGAGGACGCGGATGAGGGGGCAGGCAGTGGCTGGAAGGGGAGGTTCGAACTTGGGGCACCAAGGAAACAGCTGGCAGTAGGGAGGGAAGGCCTGCACGCTGCTCCTTGTGTTCCAGAAAAGAGGACAGCATTTAAGGCAAGCGGGTCCCCCTGGAGGAGAAGGTGTTGGGGACATCAAAAGAAGGATTTTTCATTCAGCACCCGGCACTCACCACCTTGCCCGGTTAGAAGTTAGTAAAGGGGTCCAGCCCCCCCTTTCACGGAACCAGGACTCCAGATCGTCCCCCCGCCCCAACATACACACACTCACTTTGGCCCTCGAACTTGCGGATGATGGTGTCCAGGTAAGTGTTTTGGGGAGCGACGTGGCCCCTGCGGACCGGCATCTTTCGGCCGCGGCCCCTGCCCGGAGCCACAGGCGCCACTGGCTCCCGGCGTCTCCGTCTGTCCTCGGGCTCAGCAGCGTCCGGCTCCGGTGGGCGCCGCCCCCGGGGAGGGCCGCCGGGCTCCGCGCCCCGCCCGCCAGCCTGCGTCTGCCCTCCCCTCCCCACCCCTGCCCCACCTCTCCTTTCCTTTCCTGCGCTCCCCTGCCCTCCCCTCGCCTCCCTGGCCCGCGCCCTCCTGGCCTCCTCTCCTCTGCGCCGGCCCGGGAGCTGTCCACGCCTTGGTGCTGAAAGAAGCCGCGCGCCGGCGGCGGGGAGGGGGCCGCTGGGCGGGGCAGTTTCTCTGGGACCCGACGGGGCTGGGGCGGGGCCTTGCATCCTACGGGGCGGGGCGGGGCGGGGCGGGGCGGGGCTGGGGTCCTGGCCCTGGAATAGGGCAGGTGTTCTCTGAGGAGCTGCTTCTGTTCCTGTCCTAAGGGCCAATGGCCTCAGCACCTCTCCGATTCCCTCCCAGTACCAAAGGGCAGTCTCCCCTCCCAGTGCAGGGAGTTTCCCAGGCAGGAGGGGGGCTACAGATGGGGTTGTTAGGGGCCTCAGGTGGTCTTTGGCTGAAAGCTTTCTTCCGGGTCTGACCACTGGGCCCGACCCTGGCAATGATACCATTAGGCCTCTGGCCTGCTCTTATAGCAAGTGATCTCCAGCTCAGCTGAGACCTAGGTCCCATGCAGAGCTCCTGCCGCCAAGTCCAGCCAGGGCCTGGTCCTGAGAGGAGGGGGTAGGAGTACACATGAAGACGTGCAAGAAATATGCAATAAGGGCCAGGCGCGGTGGCTCACGCCTGTAATCCCAGCACTTTGGGAGGCAGAGGTGGGCAGATTACCTGAGGTCAGGAGTTTGAGACCAGCCTGGCCAACATGGCGAAGCCCTGTCTCTACTGAAAAAACAAAAATTAGCTGAGTGGTGGCGCAAACCTATAATCCCAGCTACTTGGGAGGCTGAAGTGGGAGAATCGCTTGTACCCGGGAGGCGGAGGTTGCAGTGAGCCGAGATTGCGCCACTGTACTCCAGCCTGGTAGACAGAGCGAGACGCGAGACTCCATCTGAAAATAAAAAGAAAGAAAGAAAGAAGTATGCAATAAGATGCCTTCTTCAGAGGCCTGAGAGCTCTTAGCATACAGGTACATCTTGGAAGGAGAACAGATTTAAAACCACCTATTAGCAAGTGACCACTGATAAAAGTGTCTGAGTACTGAGTACTGACTGAAAATGAACACACTAGAAAAAGCAAATGGGGGTGGGAATAGGTTTATTGAAAGAGGCTTCCTGGAGAGGAAGGGGAGAAGGGGACTACTGTTCACTGAGCATCTGGGTGGGCTTGTAGTGCTGCAGAGGGTTTGGTGAGCAATTTTGAGCCTGATCTTGGAGGGCAAGCATTCAAATGGGGCATGCACCTTAGGCAAAGGCCAAAGGTGATGTCAGTGCAGAGGGGCTGGGGTGGGGGGAACAAGGGGGTGTGGGAGAGGTGAGTTTGGAGGAAGGAGGTAATTAATAAAGACCCTCAGATGCCATTTTGAACATCTAGATTTAATTGATGAACAACCAAGTTCTTAAGCAATTAGACATGAAAGAAATATTCTGGTGACATAAACTTTACAATGGTGGGTGGGGGAGGAAGGATAGACAAGGAGGCTCAGCAAGGTTTTTACTGGAGTCCAGGTGAGAGGCTTAGAGTCCTGGGCTGGATGTGTGTTTGTCATGCAGAGCCACAGTGCCTAGTGGGGGCCTCTTTGGCCACTGTGGCTGGGGGATGAGAAGAGGGCAGAGATGTCCTGGCTGCCCCTCTGTTGGACAGGCTGGCTGTGGAGGAAAAGAAGGGGCTATTTCTCATGAGCTCAGTACATGGGGTGCTGAGCTCTGAGGAGGGACTTGGGCAGTGGGACATTCATTCATTCATTCATTCACTTACTCATTCCATCATTTTCCAAGTCCCTTTTGTGCACCATGGCCTGTGCTGACTAGAGTTGTTACAGAGGGGCACACTCCTGATGTGCATCCAGCTCTTATAGAGCTGATAGCTAGTAATAGGGACAAATAAGGACATTATGGCACAGAAAAGTAAGAGCAGGGACAGAGTCATCAAACAAGGGTGCTGTGGAGCCTGGGGCTGGAGCAAGTGCTTGGGCTCAGCCAGATCTCAGAAAGACCTTTTGAAACCTGGACAGGGGCAGGGTCCATGGAGATCTCAGCCTAGTATCTCTGTCCCCTGAACACCTGAGTTTGGGGCTCAGATTCTTAATTCAGAGAGACCTGGTCTCCTCTTTTGGCCACCCTCCCACCAGCTCAGTTGCAGCCGGGGTACCCCTTCTCTGTAGTTACTGGCTATAATGCCCTTTCCCCTCAAGTTTTCCCTATTCTCTGACAGACACTGACTCCCAGCCTCCCCAGGAGCCCATGCAACCTCCATCCAGACGCTCTGAATCCCCAATATTGAATGTAGGATCCTCATGGCAGGCAGACCCAGGCTGAGGATAATGAACTAGGAAAGGCAGAGGCAGAGGCCTTCCCGTTCTTTCCCCAGGCTTGTTTCTAGAGCACTAATTTCCCAAGTATTCTCCTACAGTTCCCTCCTTCCTGTCCTCCCCATCCCCCACTGAGCCTGAAAAGGTGCTGTTTGTCCTATGCTCGCTCCCCAGGGCAACGGGCCAGGCAGCAGGTGTGTGTGTGTTGAACAAGGCCATCTCCAGAGCAGAGTGGTTGGAGATGAGCTTTGTTTAAATATTAAAGAAGTCAATCATTAATCAAGCCTGGCTCAATGCCCAGCAACCCACTGTCTCCATTTGGAAGGGCTTGGGCTGGGGCAGAGAGAGCCATGGGGCAGTTTGTGAGGCTACTTACATCTCAACTGGTCAACAAAGAGCTTTTGGGGGCTGGATTATGTAGTCCAACACAGGGCTGGCCCAAGGATTAGCAGAAAGATGTGCTGGTTGGTATAAAAGCACAGTGCTCATAAACTGGGCACTGGTGATTCGTAAAGGAATGTCCTGTCCTACCTGAGTACATTTTATGTACTGTGGACTGAAGCAGAGTCCTTTTTCTAACCAGAGCAGAAGTGGACTGAAGCAGAGTCCTTTTTCTAACCAGAGCAGAAATTCCTTGGGCACTGCAGTCCCATAGCCGGGTTACTGAAAAAAACAAGGCTGTGTGCAGAACCAATTCTGGGCATGACTTGGGGTGGGGGCTGGTTTGCAGGGACACAGCCACTGGGTCAATAAAACCTTAGGTCCTGAGCCACCAGGGGAAGGAGTTTGGCCTGAAACCCAGGACACACATAGAATCACATAGAGCCAGTTGTTTGTGCACACAGCCTCACATACATGAGTTTGCAAACACACAATTACAATATCACATGTACCCAGATCTGCCACAGCTGAACCCAATTATAATTGGGCACTATGCATGCAGGCTGTCCCCTCCTCTGCCCCCCAACTCTCTGGCTCAGCCTCCCTCCTCCTGCCCCCCAGCCTCACCAGTTCACTGGTGTCTAGTCCCAACTTCACCATTCAGCTCTTACCCTTGGAGGCTTCCTGCTTTACTGTGTGAAAATCCAGATGGCCAGGCTGATTGAGCACAGCATCAGGACAAGGCAGAGGCCCAGCAGCATCCACTGTCCTTTAGCAGCCTGGCAGGGTTCCATGGCTATGCCCAGGAAGCAGGCATTGGGCAGTGGGCTGAATATCTCAGTGTCTTGAGTCAGTGACTGTTTTTCCAGGGACTGCAGCCTGCAGGCCAGCCCCAGCACCACCAGAGACATGACAAAGCCCAGGGCCAACAGCACCCAGTACCCAAATTTAGCCTGGTTGGGGTCCAGCTTCAGACTCAGGAATGTCACTTTGTCTGTGTCTTTTTCTGTGGAAGACATAGGAGTCTCATAGGGTGGGTAGAACTGGAGAGGGACCCCTGGGGTCTCCTGTGGCTGTCAGAGGAGATCTGATTGGACTACATGCCCCTGCATGCAAGGGACCAGAGGCAAGATGCTGATCCTTTGCTCAGATGTCAGCCTGGCAACCTAGCTGGACAGTGTGCAAGGAAGCAACTGAGCCAGGGGCTGTGGTGGGAGCGGTGGTCTTGGCTGAAGCTGCATCAGGCCTGGTACAGACAGGGTCCCACAGCAGCAGTGCTGTTGATTCAAGCCAGGTCATGAATGAGCCAGGGGTTAAGGCTGGGTAGGGGTAGGTACTAGGACAGAGCAGGGTAAGGTGGAGCCTGGGGCTGGCCCAGAGCTGGAACCAGGGTCAGATTATCAAACCTTCAAAGGAACAGCTGAAGTCTGGCCAGCCTAAGATGTCCCCTTGCTGCATGTTCTGTCACCAGCCAGGTCAGTAGGGGTTTGAAGTAGGTCATGAAGACATTTGTAGACACCTCAGACTCCCCAGTCAGCATCTTTAGGACCTCTGGCCAGGGCTTGCTTGAGCCCAGCTTTAGAGCATCCCTAGGGGAGTGGGTGCAGCTGTGAGGCTGTGTGAGGGCATCAGCTGGTGCAGCTGAGACCCCCAGTGCACCCAATCCCAGCCCCAGCGATTGGCCAGCCAGAACTTTCCCGCAGAGCTTGGCATAGTGGATACAATCACAAGTTTGAAAGAAGATTAATCTGGGTTTGAATCTCAGCTCTGCCATTTAGTAGCTGTGGGGCCTTGGGCAAGTAACCTTTCTGAGCCTCAGTTTCCATATCCATAAAACGGAGATGATAATGGTATCTACCTCGAAGAGCCATTGTAATGATTAAATAAACACGGTGCTGGGAGCATAGCATGCAGGCAATACACGTTAACTACTGATGATGATGATGATTCCTAGTACTACTGGTAATACTGTGATGATTATTATTCTCCTGGACTCAAATAGGCATAAAGTCCTGAGACACTGTTTCCCGTGAGGTGCTCGGTGTTGGTAGATAGTGGCAGCTCTTCACCCCTTTCTGGTTTCAGGGAGGGTTTGGGAGGATTAGAAACATCATGAGCATGGGAGGTGCTCCGCACACCACCTGTAGTGCTGCACAAATGTCAGCTGTGTTTCACGGCACACCCGGTCCTTAGGGGCAGGTGGTTGAACTTTATGCTAGGTCCCTTGGGCTCACAATGGGAGTATAAGGTGTGCTGAAGCCAGGGCTCCAGGCTTCTCCACTCCAGAGTCCCCAGGAGAGGCAGTGGTGGGCAGATGTTTATCCTTCACAACCTGTTGTTCCTTGATCCAACTCTCAGGACAGACTTGGGACCCAGAGGCCCAGAGGTCACGATCTAGAGTCTAGACTAACAGGGCCCAGGCTTAAACCTGACCTAGCAGTGCTACTTATGGACTGCATAACCTTAAGCAGACAACTTAGCCTCTCTCGGCCTCAGTTTCCTCATCAGTAAAATGGGAGCCATGAATACCTGCCCTCATTGTGATGAGGACTAAGTCCCACAATGATGAAGGAGGGTTTGTAGCTTGCAAAGGCTTATGCGCATCACTTAATAAACAACTGGAAAAGAAAGAGTTAGGGAAACCAAAGGTCAGTGGGGCCTTGGCAGATACCACTGGAGAAGAAAAACCACAACTAACTCTAGGTAAGAGGTTCTGATGCTGGCTCCTGAGTAAGAGGAAGAACCTAGTAGGGGAAAAGCTTCAACCATTGAGAATCTACCCATTTAGAAACAGTCCTTCAGGCTGGGTGGGACAAGATGTTTGACCAAAGGGCAGCCAACAGCCCATGTGGACAGGACATGAGACCAGAGAGCAGCAGAGATGACAACTAGATGCTGCCTGGAGCTTTCAACTCCAAAGTGACAACAACACACCCCATGGACAAGGTCAGGCGCACCATGGCTGGTGGGGTGAAGCTGGGTGACTTTGAGAACTTTGACCAGGCCCAATTCAACCCTCCATTCCCAACAGAAGCAGCCCAGAGCCTGACTCAGGGCCATCACATTTAGGAGGATGAATCAAAAGTAGCAAAACCAAGTTTTAAGATCAATTAGGCAAAAGAGCAGCCAAGAATCTTTCTCTTTTCCCCCTGCAAGCACTCACATCCCCTCTCCCCTCCACAAACCATATTCGGCTCTGCTGCTATTTCATCATCTGCAAAGGTCATGATATCCTCCTTACTCAGAAACCTTTCCTCTGCCCACGGCTCACAAAATGGTATGTGAAGTCCTAAGCCTGGAATCAGGATTTTCCCTGAGCAGGAGTCTGGCCAGGGACACACAGGGACTGGTGAGCAATGACAAGAGATGACTCACTGGCCACATGCTTTGGTGCCAAGTCAGACCCTGAGAGCCCTGTGCACCTTGAGTGGGGTGAGCGTGGGAAGTGGTGAAAATGACTGAGGTCAAACATCCCACCAATCAGGTGGGATGAAAGAGGTGAGTTGATGTAAAAGAAAACAGATATCTTGGCCAGGCGTGGTGGCTCACACCTGTAATCCCAGCACTTTTGGAGGCTGAGGTGGGTGGATCCCTTGAGGCCAGACGTTCGAGACCAGCCTGGCCAGCATGGTAGAACCCCGTCTCTACTAAAAATGCAAAAATTAACCAGGCGTGGTGGTGTGTGCCTGTAATCCCAGCTACTCTGGAGGCTGAGGCACGAGAATTGCTTGATCCCAGGAGGTGGAGGTTGTAGTGAGTCGAGATCATACCACCGCAGTCCAGCCTGGGTGACAGAGTGAGACTGTCTCAAAAACAGAAAAGAAAAGAAGAGAGGAAAAGAAAAGAAAAGAAAACAGATATCTGCTATTTTTTTCTCTTTCTTCTTCTCCTTTTTTTTTTTTTTTTTTAAACGGGGGTCTCGCTCTGTTGCCGAGGGTGAAGCACAGTGGTGTGATCTCAGTTCACTGCAGCCTCGACCTCCCAGGCTTAAGTGATCCTCCTACCTCAGCCTCCTGAGTAGTTGGGACTACAAGTGCGTGCCACCATGCCTGGCCAAATTTTGTTCATTTTTTGTAGATACAGGATCTAACCATGTTGCCCACTCTGGTCTCAAACTCCTAGGTTTAAGGGATCCTCCCATCTTGGCTTTTCCAAAGTTTTGAGGTTATAGGTATGAGCCACCATGCCTGCTTTCTGCTATTTCTTGCACACTTGCATTTGAGGACAAAACTCCCTCCTTGGTCCCCCAGCATGACCTCCTAATCCTCTTTCTATGTTCACGAAAGCCCCTTTCCATTGCCTGGTATTATGAAATTTATTTATTTACTTATTTATTTATTTATTTATTTGAGATGGAGTTTCCCTCTTGTCGCCCAGGCTGGAGTGCAGTGGCATGATCTCGGCTCACTGCAACCTCCGCCTCCCAGGTTCAAGCAATTCTCCTGCCTCAGCCTTCCAAGTAGCTGCGATTACAGGCAACCATCACCACTCTCAGCTAATTTTTTGTATTTTTAGTAGAGACGGGGTTTTTCCATGTTGGGCAGGCTGGTCTCGAACTCCTAACCTCAGGTGATCCGCCAGCCTCAGCCTCCCAAAGTGCTGGGATTACAGGTGTGAGCCACCATGCCCGGCCATGAAATTTATTTATCCTGTGGTTCATCTACCCCTGTTGGATGCAGAGCAGCTGGTCTGCATGAGGACAAGTAAATGTTTACTGAATGAATAAATGACAGGCAGCCAGAGATAGGAATGCAAAGAGCAGAGAGGTGCCCTTATGTTCAACATGTTCAGAAAAGCTCAAAGCTGGGCAATCAGCTAGAATAAAGCCCTGAGACGTGAAAGGATGGAAGAGCAAATCTACTAGGGAGACAACAGTCATGCAAGGTGCAGCCCTCCCTAGGAGCAAAGCCCAGGGGATCAGTCCTGAAACCCCATCTGGCCTGGTGGCTACAGATAAATTGCATGGTGGAATCAAAAATATGCTCATTAAATTTGCAAAGGATACTAAATTTGTGGCAGTGTTAATCCTCTAGGAGACAGGAATAAAGCTCAAGATGACCTTGACCAATTAGGGAAATGGACCTATTGAAATCCGTTGAAATTCAACAGGAAAATGATCAAGTCGGTGGGTGAGCTCCACATCTCCAAGGTTGGAGTGCTGATCTTGGAACCAGTTAGACCTGGATCTAAGCTCACCAGGGGCTGTATTCTTTGAATGATGGAGGCGAACAGGGTGAAAGATAATGTGTTCTGGAGTCAGTTCTGGTTTCAAAGCATGACTTTGCTTCTTGCTAGATGAATGATGCACAACGACACCACCTCTCTTGCCTTCAGTTTCATAATTTGTAAAAGGCAGATAATAATATCCACTTTGCAAAGTTAAGAGCTATTATTATAATATGAAACACTGTAAGAGTACTCATCAGAGAGCACCTCCTGTAGTAGTAAATGCTTCACATTTTCAGTTCAGTCCCCTACTCCCTCAGGGTTTGCTTTGGGACTAAAAACCACTGCCACATAGGTAAGCATGGAAAGAATAAGCTAAACACCAAGTGCAGAGAAAAAGACTCAAGGGTCAAAGTGGACCACAGGCTGACCAGAAGCATGCCAAGAGGCTACTGTGAAAGTAACCTGGATCAGCCTGGGAACTGGATTTGGGCACCTCCAAGAAGAGGTGGGAGAAACAGACTGCACTGAAGGGTGTGCCAAGTGCTGCTGAGAGGGTAGGTCAGCACCTTGTAAGGAAAGGATAAGGGGGATTCGGACGGAAGGCTGAAGCCTGAGGTAGAACCCCAGTGCTGGCTTCCTATCTGGGACAGTTTGGCTTACTGGCATATGTGTGTGCATGTGTGTGTGTGTGTGTGTTAGTGGGAGGGGCTAAACATTGTCTTTTCTTTCTTTCTTTTTTTTTTTTTGAGATGGAGTTTCACCTTGTTGCCCAGGCTGGAGTGCAATGGTGCAGTCTCGGCTCACTGCAACATCCACCTCCCACATTCAAGTGATTCTCCTGCCTCAGCCTCTCAAGTAGCTGGGATTACAAGTGCCTGCCATCACGCCCGGCTAATTTTTGTATTTTTGGTAGAGACGGGGTTTCACTATGTTGGCCAGGCTGGTTTCAAACTCCTGCCCTCAGGTGATCCGCCTGCCTCGACTTCCCAAAGTGCTGGGATTACATGCATGAGCCACTGCGCCCAGCCTAAGCAGTGTCTCTGAACACAGAAGGCTACACAAGAGGAAATGGGCTCTGATTAATGTAGGAAAGACTGCAGTCTGACATGAGGAAGAAATTCCGCTAGAATATAAGCTTAATGAAGCTCTGCTCAAGGTGTCTAGTGTAGTCAGGTGTGGAGAGGGAGCCTGGAGCAGGACTTCCTTAAAGGGAGATGGGGGAGCCCAGAACAAATGAAGGAGAGGGCACTCACCCCAGGAGCTTCCCGGCAATCTTGGAGTTGTAGATGTCACACTGGTGCAGTGGACCCATGTGGCCCGAGGCTTTGCACAGTGTTTCGTGGAACTGGAACTGGAGCACCAGACTGAGGAAGTACCTGGTTGAGAAACGTGAGGGCAGGCTGGGGAGTGGAGACCAGGAGTGGGAAACTCAGAGCCACTTGGGACCAGGCAGCTCTGACATGCAGTGGCCACGAGGGCCCCATGTCAGCAGTCACTGCCTGAGCGGAGGCTCCTTGGGCAGGGCCCAGTCTTGGGCTGACCCTAGAGTGCTGGGGGGCTCTCCTTCTCTAGCTTTCTGAACCAGCAGTCACCCCAACCCTTGCCCCCCTCTGACCTGCTCTCCTCCAAGGGACAGCAGGGATGGTCTAGAATATTCTCATCAGCTCTGCCCTCTACACTGGACCTGATGCAAAAGCTCAAAGGATTCTAGGTCAGAGGCCTCAGAAGGCTGCACAGCCCAACAGGAAGAGATGGGCACGGGTACAGGGTGACATTTGGACCTAGGGCCTTCCTGCAAATCCTCACCCCAGTTCCCATGCCCCTCAACTCCTAGGACTGGCACTGCTAACAGGGCCCAGACCTTTACCGTATGTAGGGCACACCTGCAGAAAAGTGGAACTTGGCACCTGGATCAAAGTCTTCCTCTGAGTGAGGAATAGCGGGGCACAAGCCCTGGTATTTCAACCTGGCAGGGAAAAGGCAGAGGGCTTGGTGGTGGTGTCTGGCAGGTTCTCAGAGCCTCTTTCTTTTCCTTCCTTCCTTCCTTCCTTCCTTCCTTCCTTCCTTCCTTCCTTCCTTCCTTCCTTCCTTCCCTCCCTCCCTCCCTCCCTCCCTCCTTTCTTCCTTTCCTTCTTTTCTTCTTTCTTTTTTTTTTTTTTTCAGAGTCTTGCCCTGTTGCCCAGGCTGAAGTTCAGTGGCGTGATCTCAGCTCACTGTAACCTCCCCACCCTGGGTTCAAGTGAGTCTCTTGTCTCAGCTTCCCAAGTAGCTGGGATTATAGGCGTGAGCCACCGCACCTGGCCTGCCTTTTTCTTTTCAAAGCACCTACGTGTCTATCAAAACTGGACTTGGCAGGCTGAGGATACCTAATGCATTTTTATTGATTAAATAAATGAAAACACATGGGATTGGGAATCAGAGTAAAACAATAGCAGTTAACACTGACTGAACACTTCCTCTATGCTCAGAACCATGTCTGGCTCTCCACATAGACTCACGCATCATGCACTCAACACCGTCCTGGTCTCTGGGGGAGGGACCAGTGGGGGAGCGGGGGAGGCAAGGCCCCTGCTTGCATCCTAACAGTGGGGGACAGATTATAGACCAATAAACAAGGTCATTTCATCTAGTAAGAAGTCTTGAGAAGAAAAAAGAGTAACATCACTGTGGGGCAGTACTACTATTATTCCCATTTTGCAGATGAGGAAACCAAGGTTTGGAGATCAGGGAATTGGCCTCAGGACACAGAGCCAGTCACAGTCACACCCTGATAACCTGAAGGTCTGTTTTTGCCCCTCTGAGATGTGCGACTGTGGGAAAGTTGCTGATTGTCTCCGAGTCTTGTTGTAAAATGTCTATAAAATGGAAGGAAGTAGGCCAGGTGTGGTGGCTCACACCTGTAATCCCAGCACTTTGAGAGGCTGATGTGGGAGGATTGCTTGAGCCCAGGAGTTCGAGACCAGCCTGGGCAACAAAGTGAGACCCTGTCCCCACAAAAAATACAAAAATGAGCCAGGTGTTCTGGTGCGCAACTGTAGTCCCAGCTACTCAGGTGCTGAGGCAGGAGGATCGCTTGAGCCCAGGAGGTCAGGGCTGCAGTGAGCCATGATTGCACCACTGCACTCCAGCCTGGGCAACAGAGTGAGACCCTGTCTCAAAAACAAGGCTTCATCATTGGCTCACTGGAGCCTCTGAACCATCTCCAAGGTCAACAGAGTGTCAGGAGCTTCCCTCCCAGTTGACAGGGCCTTATTCAAGGCCCAGGGAGTTGCCACCCCTCCTGCTTAGCCCCAGGGTTCCATCAGCTGGGGTGATGGGCAGGGCTGACAGAGGCCTCCTGCAGGTGCCTCAGATGGCCTATGAGGGTGACCTTAGAGAGGCACGAGGTCAAGACTCTGCCAAGCCCACCAGGGAGACCTGCTCCTGAAGTCAAGGGTGGGAGTAAGAGGACAAGGGGAGGAGCTCCCAGCTCTGTCACCTGCTCGTTTGCTGTGTGACCTCGGGCTGGTTTGTGACCTCTGTGAGCTTCAGCTGTTGCTTCTGTGAGCTGAGCGCTTTGAAGTGATCACAACGCAAGGTGGTTGTAAATGTTCAAATTAAACATAAGAGGCCGGGCACAGTGGCTCATGCCTGTAATCCCCGCATTTTGGGAGGCCTAGGCAGGCAGATCCCTTGAGCCCAGGAGTTTAAACCTGGGCAACATGGCGAACCCCATCTCTTAAAAAAAAATTACACAAAACTAGCCAGTATAGTGGCGCACACCTATAGTCCCAGCTACTCAGGAGGCTGAGGAAGGAGGATTGGTTGAGGCTGGGAGGTCAGGGCTGCAGTGAGCCGTGATCATACCACTATACTCCAGCCTGAGTGACAGAGCGAGGCCCTGTCTCAAAAAACAAACAAAAAAAGTAAGAGCCTGTTGCAGAGCCAGGAGCACCCCCTGGCAACCCCGAATCACACTATGACCAGCAGACTGAAGCTGGTCAGTCCGCGGCCTGCCACATATGGAGGAGCCCTGGTCACAGGCATTTATTATCCCATCAAATGGCCAGGGGTCAGTGATGAGGTGTAACACGGGGGTCCCTCACTCGAGAGTGATGCCTCCCAACTGCTGGTGGGTTCCCATGGCAGCTTGGGGATGTTAAGCCCGAGGCAGGCATGCGTGCATTTTAGGGGCCTGCCTCTCTCCCATGGGGAGTCTTTCCCCAGAAAGGAAAGTGCTCAGGCCCCCGCACACTCCATTGCCTGGCACCAGGAAGGGAGGGAGGTTTGGGAGGGCCTGCCTGGTGGTCAGTGTTCTGTGATTAGAGAAGCTCAGTTGCAATCATTGTGTGAGCTTCCCAGCTACCCAGGGAGCAGGTGGGGCCATCACCAGGGTCCATTTTTCACAGATGAGGAGACTGAAGCCTAGAAAGGCTAAAAGACCTGCTCAGTGCCTGTGTGGAAGATTAGAGAGGTTCTTGTGCTGCAGAAAGTCCTGGAAATGGCCCATCTGGTGGAAGATGGTGCCCAACCCACCTGAGGTTCCACCACTCCTGATTGTAGATGTCCTTCCAGATGGTGCCGTCAAAGACCTTCCAGCGAAGGAGGTCCATCAGGTAGCCAAAGGGGATGAAGGCGATCTTCTCCAGGGCAATATGCATCAGGAAATTGACCTCATCCTCTGGGAAGAGGGTGAGGGCAGTCAAGAGGCAACCCCTGGGATCTCCTTCCCGTAGCTTTGCCCGAGAGCCCTGACCCCACCAAGCCCTAGCTGCGGTCCCAGGCTTGTGCTGCCCTCCTGCTGGGCCCTTGATCCTCATCACCTGAGTCCTGGTGCTAGAGGCTGAGCAGGCCTATGTTGAGCAGGTGCTTGTGGGAGGAGGCCGAGAGGGTGATCACAGACCCCACAGCCTCTTCAAAGGCTGGGTTGGCACCTGCGCGGAAGATGATGGAGAGGTTCTTGTACTGCAGGAAGTACTGGAATGGCCCATTTCGTGGAAGATGGAGAGCGGGTCTTCTGTGGTCACTTCCGCGCACTTCTTTATTCTACAAGCAAAGGGCATGGGTCAAGGAGCATGGAGAAAGGGAGTTTCCCCATTCAGACTCCTTGAGGGATTGGGTGGTCGGGTTGGAGCCCAGACAGGCCTTGGCAGTTGTTCTTTTTTTTTTTTTTCTTTTGAGACGGAGTCTTGCTGTGTCTCCCAGCTGGAGTGCAATGGTGCGATCTTGGCTCACTGCAGCCTCCGGCTCCCAGGTTCCAGTGATTCTCCTGCCTCAGCCTCCTAGCTGGGATTACAGGCACATGTCACCATGCCTGGCTAATTTTTGTATTTTTAGTAGAGACAGGGTTTCACCATGTTGGCCAGGCTGGTCTCGAACTCCTGACCTCACGTGATCCACTGCCTTGGCCTCCCAAAGTGCTAGGATTACAGGCGTGAGCCACCATGCCCGGCCGGCAATTGTTCTTTCTTACTCCAGGCCCCATATCCACCCAGCAACCAAGCCCTTTCCTCTCACGTCACCTTTCCTTCTGTGTTTCTCACTTGCCTTCTCCCTCCTCTGCCCTGGCTTTCCCCTGCCCATACCTAAGACAGCCAGACAGGGCAGAGGAGAGGACCGGGTGTGTGGTGCCGCTGTGAGCACCTGAAATCGTCGTCCTGGTAGAAGTTCCAGGCAGAGATGTGACACTCCACCTCTCGCCCATCGGTTGGCCTCATTAGCATCAACTTTTTCCAGAAACTGGGTGGGGCAGGTGGCAGCGCCAAGGAGGTGAAGAATGTCTCAGCCTCTTCCAACATTTTCTCTGGCTTCCAGTGCTATGGGAGAAGAGGGGGTGTGGGGGGCGCTGCCCTGTTTGTCCAAGGATGCCAGTGGGGAGGGGCAGGGACAGACAGGCCAAGCACTAACCTGGACTTTCATGATCTTTGTGACATCCTCTGGGATCTTCTTCAGGAAGGGCAGGACCGGGTCTAAGATGTTGACCCAGGACTGAGCCAACGTGTTCTCTGGAAGAGGAGGAGAGGGGCTAAGAGGAGGCTGGAGACAGTCTCTGCCCTTATCTGGCACTCACCTTGGCCACCAGCAGGGCCTTTACCCAGGAGGTGGGCAGGGATGGGCCCCCTCAGGTCGATGAGCTCGGGCCCATAGTGGCGGTGGAGGGCCCTGCGCACGTAGGTGTGCAGGTTCAGGTAGAGTGGCCGCAGCTCCTGGAATAGCCGCTCCAGGTCTTGCTCCAGGGTATCCGACTCATACTTGGAGTGCCACAAGGCCCCCATGTCTTTGTAACCTAGGACAGGAGAGAGGACTCACCAGGAGCTCACCATCTCACCCTTTAGCCATGGCCTAGCTGACAGGATACCCAGACGCCTTCTAGGGAAGCCACTCAACCTCGCTGACCGTCTGGGTCTTCTTTGGCAAAACGGGGAGAATACCTGCCCATTTCAGAAAGGCACTGAGCAAAGTCCATGATCCGAGCTCCCCACCATGCCTGCAAGGCCCTGAGTCCCCTCTTATCCCACCTCATCCTTAGCCCTGTGGCCACCTGGGCTTCTTTCAGGTCTTCCAGAGCACCGGCTCCTCCTGCCGCGGAGCCTCTGCCTAGGCTGCTCTTCTTTCACATCTTGCTTCCCGTCTTTTGCCCATCTTTCAGGTCTTGGATAAATGTCAGAGGCCTTCCCTGTCCACTTGTCTGCAGCAGCCTCTTCTCATTCTCTTTCTCAGCAGCCTCTTCCTATTCCGCATCACCCCAGATGGTAGTGAGAGACAGGTGTTTACTGAATATGGTCTGTCTCCCTGCAGGACCGTAGGTGCATGAGGGCAGGTGCCTGTCTTTTCACCTATGTGTCGTCAGAACCTCCCCAGCACCTAGCACCTAGGTGCTCTATGAATATTTGGAGAGCCCAGCTGCAGGGCTCATAGGTCCTGTCTCCAGGGCCCTACGGCCACCTTCACTCTGGGAAAGCTCAGCTTTGCCCCTTCCTTGCCATCACTCCAAGCTCTGTGGCATCCCATCTGCTCACCGTTGAGCTGTGCAGCCTTGTTGCTGAGCTCCACATAGTGCTCGAAGGTGGTGCAGATCTGGCGGCCCACGGCATCCTGCCAGCCCTGCCAGGCCCACAGCAGCTCCTCTTTGTCCCTGGAGGTGGCCATGACTTCGAGTTCTATGCCCAGAAAAGGAGCCATGGGGGACCCACTCCCACTTGCCTCTTCCCTCACCCTCCTGGCAATAAGGGAGGGTGGTTGGGGGCTGGGAGGGGCCCCTGGAAGGGACTGAGTGCTGGAGATTCTGTGGTTGGGTGGGACAGGGCTTGGGTGTTCACCAGACTCCAGGGACAGGCAGGGCCCCTCATTCAGGCACACCTGGGCCATACTGTATGTCATCTCCAGGTAGGCCAGAAGCTCGTTATACTGGGGGGACAGGTGTTACCCAGGGTAGGCTGGTGCCCCAGGTCCCCCCCCAGTGCTCGCCCCACCAGCCAGGAGAGATCGGTACCCCCACCTCTACTCCTCTCCTTCTCCAGAGGAAGTTCTGATCCTGCCCTTCCTCCACTCCCTGCCTCCCTCCTGCCCCAGGCACTCTGTCTCCCCTACCAGACCCCTAGGACCAGGGAGCATGTGCCTAAAGGCCTGGGGGTTCCATCCATCACCTCCCGCAGCTCGTCCTTGGACAGAGCCGCCTTGTCTATGTTCTGCAGCTTACTCAGCATGCCATTCACATCCGGGTCCTTGAACTGGGTGACTTTAAACAGGTGGGCCTGGGTGCCAAAGTAAATCATGAACTGGGACCTCTCCATGTCCTTGTGCAGCTGCAAAGAGAGCCACCAAGGTTGGGGGACAGGGGAAGGGTCCCACTTGACCTCCAGGGCCATGGCACCCTAACTGACTCCCTAATCCCATTGGCTTAGGGAGCAAGATTTGCTGAGAGGGAGAGGGCAGAAACCTGGATCTCTAAAAGCAAGGAGGTGAGATTTACAAAGGACAAGAAGCAAGAGATTCTTGCCTGGAGGAAGTTTAGGGCTTCCAGGAGGCCCAGAGCTTGCAGCCCTCTTTGACATGTACACTGGGGCTTCCCTTGTTCCTCTTGCTTGGGATGGGGGCAGGAGATGTGGTGCCCCATGGTCCCAAATCCCTAAAAAGAGCAAAGAGAGGAGAGGCTGGGGTGGAGGTGGTATCACATCATCTCCTCCTGATTTTTCCTGGTGATATTGGTGACATAGTTCCAAGTGGCCTCCATGAACTTGTTCAACACAACTTCACCTGTTTGGTCATAAAACTGCAGGAAGATCTTGGTCTCGGTCTCATTGTAGAAGTCATCTGCAGGGAAGGATATGGGCATCATGTGCTGAGAAGGTCCTGTCCGCACCCAGTCCCTTTGTCTGGTCCCATGCTTCTTGGGGTCCCAGCCACACCTAAACTGTGTTCACCCTTGATCCTGAGCCAAGGCAAGAGCTGCCCATAACAGAGGAGCACAAGTAGGGAAGGTCCAGGGCAAGTCCACCTTGCTCCCATGACCAACAGAGCAGCAGAGCTGGGTGAGGCCAGCTCCATATTGTGACGTCAGAGGCCAGAGGCTCAGCTACAGAATGTTAGAACTGGAAATCCCCATCCACCTCCTGGTCCAACTGTCCCCATTTTACAGGTGGGGAGACTGAGGTCCAGAAAGTCAAGCCAAATGATCTGGTTCATGTAGTTAGCTAATGGCGAGCCAAAAAGAGGAACCAGGGGTCTTGACTTTTAGGCCAGAACTTGTTCTGCTCTCCTCGGCCACTTTTCCCTGGGGCTTGAGCCACCCTTGGGTTATGGCCAGGGATTGATGAGGCCCTCCCTCCATAGGCTGGGACCACTTCTGAGCAGGTGGATGGGATGATGGATGGATGGATGGATGGATGGATGGATGGATGGATGTGATATATCTGGGTCTCTGGAAGCCAGGTTATCTCTCTAGGTTCTTCTAACTTGACCTCTTATGTTCACGTGTTTGGGCTTTTTCTCTCTTATGGGCTGTGCAATCAACCCCAGGGCTGTGCAGGGCCCTCCCCATCATACCTGTTTCTCCAGGGAGACCCTGATGTTATGAGTTTGCAATTAGGAGAGGGCACACAAGGTAGGGACTGGGTGGGGTGTGGAGAGGTGAGGCGGGCACCCTCCATCCAGGGTGCATGCCCATGAGTACCTGAGCCTGATCTGAAAACCAGCTGGCAAGACACCAGCTCTCTGTAGGCCTGTGGTCACCCCCAGTACTCTTGCACTGAGGTCTGTGGAGGCCAGCTCCATCTGTCTCACCTTGGATTTCTCCTCAGACTCACTTCCCTCCACACTCAGAATCCCTGTACCCTGGGTTGCCTTCCATCACTCTCAGCCCACAATGGCTCACATCTTCAAAAAGGCCCTACCTCTACACATGGGCTGATACCACGACTAGAGAAACTGACCAAATAACCCCCCAATATGATCCATTATGGGTAAAATATATTTATAACATGAGGAAAGAAAGAAAAAAATAGTGACACTTCTGGTTAAGCTGATCGACTGAGCTCACAGGAAAGTCTCCCTTCCTGCTTCAAGCATGTAGACAGTCCATTCTCACATTGCTATAGAGAACTACCTGAGACTGGGTAATTTATAAAGAAAAGAGGTTTAGTTGGCTCTACAGTTCCACAGGCTGTACAGGAAGCACGGCTGGGGAAGCCTCAGGAAACTTACAATCATGGTGGAAGGCGAAAGGGAAGCAGGCACATCTTCACATGGTGGCAGGAGAGAGAGAGAAGGGGGAGGCGCTACACACTTTTAAACAACCAGATCCTGAGAACTCAGTCACTATCACGAGAACGGCAAAGGGGAAGTCTGCCTCCATGATTCAACACGCCCACCTCTCCTCTAACACAGGGGAGGTCAGGGTGCATCCATCCAGAGAGCTGCAGCATTGGTGTGGGGGGATAGCTGATCCCGATGGAAATGGCGTCTCTGCCAAGCTGGGAGCCCCTGCAAGCGTCAGGTGCATGCATGGGATTGTGCAGGCCATTCCAACCCAACTGAAGATGGCTGATAGGTACAGTTTACCAAGTATAAGAGAAAATCCAGTTTTAGGAGGGACAATAATAATTACCAACCCTCACTGTGGGTTGGTTCCAGGTGCCAGGGACCATCTGGGGGCTTTCAACATATGAATCCTCACAAGAAACCCATGAGGTAAGTACTGTGATCAACGCTCCCATTTTACAGATGAGGAAAGAGAGGTACAGAACGGTTGAGGAATTTGCTCATAGTCACACAGCCAGCGGATGGTGGAAGTGGGACTCAAATTCATATGGTTGGTTCCAGAGCTTGTGCTAAACTGCAGACACAATGAATGAAGCAGACTGCAATGGAGGAAGGACAAGTAGCAGAGCAATCCAAAAGGGACTTAAAATGCAGGTCTTTATGCCATGTATAAAAATTAACTCAAAAATGGATCACAGCTTATTTTCTTTTTTCAATTTAAAAGAGTACATTTAAGGCTGGGCACAATGGCTCATGTCTGTAATCCCAGCACTTTGGGAGGCTGAGGCAGGTGGATCACTTGAGGTCAGGAGTTCAAGACCAGCCTGACCAACATGGTGAAATCCTGTCTCTACTAAAAATACAAAAATTAGCCAGGCATGGTGGCACATGCCTCTAATCCCAGCTACTCGGGAGGCTGAGGCTGGAGAATCGCTTCAACCTGGGAGGCAGAGGTTGCAGTGAGCCAAGATCACACCACTACACTCCAGCCTGGGTGACAGAATGAAACTCTGTCTCAAAAAATAAATAAATAAAATAAAAATAATAAAATAGTACATTTAACACCTTATCTTGGACAATGTGACAGTCATGAGATCTTTGTGTAGGAGAAGAAAGAGGGAACAAAAGAGCAAAGTCTACAAAATTCTTAGAACACAGAGGGAAGTTTCATGACATTGGATTTGGCAATGATTGCTTGGATATGACATCAAAAGCACAGGCAACAAAAGAAAAAATAAGCAAATTGAACCTCATCAAAATTTTAAACTTTTGCATATCAAAAAACACTGTAACAGAGCAAAAAGGCAATCCATGGAATGGGAGAAAATATCTGTTACTCTCAGATCTGCTAAGGAATTAATACCCAGAACGCATAAAGAACTCCTCAAACTCAAACATTCAGAGATGGGCAAAGGGCCAGGCGTGGTGGCTCACACCTATAATCCCAGCACTTTGGGAGGCTGAGGTGGGTGGATCACCTGAGGTCAGGAGTTCAAGACCAGCCTGACCAATACGGTGAAACCCCGTCTCTACTAAAAAAATACAAAAATTAGTCGGGCATGGTGGTGGGCGCCTGCAGTCCCAGCTACTCAGGAGGCTGAGACAGGAGAATTGCTTGAACCCAGGAGGCAGAAGTTGCAGTGAGCCGAGATTGCCTCGCCGCACTCCAGCCTGGGTGACAGAGTGAGACTCCACCTCAAAACAAACAAACAAACACAAACAAACAACGACAACAAAAACAAAGATGGGCAAAGGACTCGGGTAGACATCTCTCTAAAGAAAATACATGAGCTGCTCATCAGCACAGGAAAATATGCTCAATATCACTAATTATTAGGGAAAGGCAAATCAAAGCCACCACTTCACACCCATTAGGATGGCTGTTATCAAAAAAACAGAAAACAAGAGTCGGTCAACGTGTGGAGAAATTGGAAACCTTGTGCATTGCTGGGGGAAAATGGCAGAGCCGCTGCGGAAAACAGTCTGGTGGGTCCTCAAAAAAAATGAAGCATAGAATTACCATATGATCGGGCAATCCTCCTGGGTATATACACAAAAGAACTGAAAGCTGGGACTCAAACAGATATTTGCACACAGTGTTCTGTCAACCTGAAATAATAAAAAAGATCAGAATCCAGTTTAACAGGTTTATTCGAGCGTGAAGCTGAGGACGGCCATTCTCACAGGCTCCAAAGAAATGGGGTCAGTGCTCTGAAGCTGAAAAGTTTAAGGTCTTACTTTATAGTCAGAAAACTAAGAAATTAGGTAGAATCACAACATTTCCCATATAAGTTTGGTTTATGAGGTACAGCAATTTGATTAGTAATAGCTTATTTTCTTTTTTTCAGTTTAAAAGAGTACATTTAACACATCTTGGACAATGTGACAGTCGTGAGGTCTTTGCGTAGGAGAAGGAAGAGGGAAGTTAATCATCTATAATGAAGTTCAACAGAAAAGAGGAAAGGGAACTTCTATGGCACCCTTCAGTCTTTTATAACATTTTACAAAATGATGTAGCTAAGGGGAAAAGGAGTAATCTATAATCAAGGAAACAAAGTTCATAGCTGCCCGTAAGTGACTCAGGTCCCAAAATTACTTTCCTTCAAGGCTCAGAATAATTTAAAGTTTCAACAGCTTTGATTTTGAATTACTTTTTTTTACAGTTCATAGTAACATTATTCACCATAACCAAAAGGTGGAAACCCATATGTTCATGGATGAATGAATGGATAAACAAAATGTGGTATATACATGTAATGTAATATTACTCAGCCTTAAGAGGGAAGGAAATTCTGACACATCCTATAACATGGATAAACACTGAAAACATTATGCTGAGACAAGCCAGAGACAAAACAAATACTGTATGATTTTACTGTTTAATGGGTACAGAGGCTGGGTACTGTGGCTCACACCTGTAATCCCAGCACTTTGGGAGGCCGAGGCAGGTGGATCACTTTAGCCCAGAAGTTCGAGACCAGCCTGGACAACATAAGGAGATCCCATCTCTACCAAAAAAAAATTTTTTTTTTTCTTTTTTGAGACAGAGTCTTGCTCTGTCGCCTAGGCTGGAGTACAATGGGATGATCCTGGCTCACTGCAACCTCTGCCTCCCGGGTGCAAGTGCTTCTCCTGCCTCAGCCTCCCAAATAGCTGGGATTACAGGCGACCCCCACCACACCTGGCTAATTTTTATATTTTTAGCAGAGATGAGGTTTTGCCATTGTTGGCCAGGCTGGTCTCAAACTCCTGACCTCAAGTGATCCGATCGCCTTGGCCTCCCAAGTACTGGGATTACAGGCGTGAGCCACCGTGCTTTGGCCTCTACTAAAAACTTAAAAAAAATTATCTGAGTGTGGTGGTTCATGCCTGTGCTCCCAGCTACTGTGGAGCTTGAGGTGGGAGGATTGCTTGAGCCCAGAAGGTTGAAGCTGCAGTGAGCCTGGACAACAGAGTAAGCACACTTTTTGGGGGCACCTTGTCACACACAGAAAAATGAAACTGTTCTGGAGATGGACAGTGGTGATGGCTGCACAACAATTAACAATGTGAATGTACTTAGTGCCACTGAATTGTACACTTAAAAATGGTTAAGATGGTGAGTTTACATTATGTATATTTTGCCACAATTAAAAAAACCAGGTCTTTAAAGTGATTCAGAGAACAGAATCTGTGAGGCAAAAACAGGCGTTTATGAAAACCCAGGAGGTTTGAAAGAAGCAGGGATGCTAAAATGAAAAATATAGGGATTAAATTGGAACGACAAAACTCTCGACAGCCAGATTAAACAGTAGGCTAAAAATCAGAAGCACCGGGCCTGGAGGACACAGGTGGGGAATCGCCAGGCACACAGGACAGGAAATGGGGTGAGCACTATGAGCAAGAGTTAGGAGACAGAGGGCAAGATAGAAATCCCCAGGCAGGGTCTTATGGGGATCCTCGAAGGTGAGGGGAGATGATGAGGGAGAGGAGACATGGGGAGAGAGGATGAGGCAGAAGCGACACAGGGAGGGAGGATGAGGGAGAGGATGAGGGAGAGGATGAAGAAGAGGCAACACGGGGAGGGAGCATGAGGGAGAGATGACATTGGGAGAGAGGATGAGGGAGAGGTGACATAGGGAGAGAGGATGAGGGAGAGGATGAGGGAGAGGTGACACAGGGAGAGAGGATGAGGGAGAGATGACATAGGGAGAGAGGATGAGGGAGAGGATGAGGGAGAGGTGACATAGGGAGAGAGGATGAGGGAGAGGTGACATAGGGAGAGAGGATGAGGGAGAGGATGAGGGAGAGGTGACACAGGGAGAGAGGATGAGGGAGAGATGACATAGGGAGAGAGGATGAGGGAGAGGATGAGGGAGAGGTGACATAGGGAGAGAGGATGAGGAAGAGGCGACATGGGGAGGGAGGATGAGAGAGAGGAGAGATGGGGAGAGAGGATGAGAGAGAGGATAAGGCAGAGGTGACATGGGGAGGGGAGATGAGGCGGAAGCGACACAGGGAGGGAGGATGAGGGAGACGATGAGGGAGAAGTGACATGGGGAGGGAGGATGAGGGAGAGGAGAGATGGGGAGAGAGGAAGAGGGAGAGGATGAGGGAGAGGATGAGGAAGAGGCGACACGGGCAGGGAGGATGAGAGAGAGGATGAGGGAGAGGCAACATGGGGAGGGAGGATGAGGGAGAGGTAACACGGAGAGGCTGAGGGAGATGTGACATGGGGAGGGATGATGAGGGAGAGGCGACACAGGGAGATGGCTGAGTACTCCCGGAACTGAGGCAAGCTGTGGGCCCCCAGTGGACGAGCTCTGTGTGCTCCCAGTAAGAAGACAGTTGACTGGCTGTGCAAGGACGTGTGGTGGGGAAGTTCCTGGAAGGCAGCTGGGAGATGGGAGTTTTCAGTCCAGCTCCGGCACCCAGTTGCCCCGAGTCCTCTTCCTGTCTCAAGTGAGAGGGCTGATCTGGACTTGGCTGATCTGGGGTTGTTATGAAACTAGCTTTCTCAGGAGACGATGCATTCATTATAAAGAGAAGACACTCTACTAGGACTTTGTACATCATCTCATTTCATCTTCATGGCAACGCTGAGAGGGTTGATAAGAACCGTAAGAAAGAAAATGCAGGCTGGGCGCGGTGGCTCACGCCTGTAATCCCAGCACTCTGGGAGGCCGAGGCAGGCAAATCACGAGGTCAGGAGATTGAGACCATCCTGGCTAACACGGTGAAACCCTGTCTCTACTAAAAATACAAAAAATTAACCGGGCGTGGTGGCTGGCGCCTGTAGTCCCAGCTACTCGGGAGGCTGAGGCAGGAGAATGGCGTGAACCCAGGAGGCCAAGCTTGCGGTGAGCCGAGATCACGCCACTGCACTCCAGCCTGGGTGACAGAGCGAGACTCCATCTCAAAAAAAAAAAAAAAAAAAGAAAAGAAAAGAAAATGCAGACTGCAAAAACAAACTGCCCAAGGTCACACAGGTGATAAGTGCAGAGGTGGGGTTAGCCACTTTTTCACTTATGTTAAAAGCCAGGGTGGGTGGGAAGGGGGTTAGGCAGACAGAGGAAGGTAGAGGGTGGGGAGGGCTGTGGGGATCAGAGAAACTGTCTGGCAGCCACCACCTGTGGCTAGCGTAGGTGAGAGCTGGTCTCCCAAGAGCGGCATTGGCAGGCATGGCACGGGGATGGGCTCAGCCTTCAGGGCCACCAGTAGAAAACACTGGGGTGGCCCCTCTTCCTGCTGTTACCGCCTCCTCTTCCTCTGCTACCTTCCAGGTATCCCCTGCCTCTCCCCACTCACCCAAGGAGGCAGAGGCAGGCATCTAAAGAATGATACTATTGGGCCGGGCGCGGTGGCTCATGCCTGTAATCCTAGCACTTTGAGAGGCTGAGGCGGGCGGATTGCCTGAGCTCAGGAGTTCAAGACCAGCCTGGGCAACATGGTGAAACCCCATCTCTACTAAAATACAAAAGAAATTAGCTGGGCATGGCGGCGTGCGCCTGAAGTAGTAGCCCAACTACTCGGGAGGCTGAGGCAGGAGAATCGCTTGAACTTGGGAGGTGGAGGTTGCAGTGAGCCGAGATCAGGCCACTGCACTCCAGCACTCCAGCCTGGGCGACAGAGCGAGACTCTGTTTGAAAACAAACAGAAAAAAGATACTATTTCAAAAGCCCAGAGGGTAAGGCTGGCCAGGCCAATGCAGTGTGGAGTTTCTCTTCCCCCAGCTGCAGTGCAGTCCTTTGCGTGTTGAAAGCTGGTGACCTCACGCGGCCCAGAAGCTCTGACAGGCAGCATGAACCGCTGTGGTTCATAAAAATAGGAAACGGGGGCCAGGCATGGTGGCTCATGCCTGTAATTCCAGCACTTTGGGAGGCCGAGGTGGGTGGATCACCTGAGGTCAGGAATTCGAGACCAGCCTGGCCAACATGATTAAACCCCATCTCTACTAAAAATACAAAAATTTAGCCAGGCATGGTGGTGGGCGCCTGTAATCCCAGCTACTCGGAAGGCTGAGGCAGGAGAATCGCTTGAAAGCCAGGAGGTGGAGGTTACAGTGAGCCGAGATCACACCACTGCACTCTAGCCTGGGCAACAAGAGCGAGACTCCATCTTAAAAAAAAAAAAAAGGCAAAGGGGGTCATATGATGATGACCTTTGTCTGGTAAACAAAGAGCTTTCAAAACAGGCTGGGAAAAGGGGGGATAATTCAAGAAGTCTTCATTGGTAGATGACTCGGAACCATTTAGAGGACATGTTTATAAATTCCATTGTCCTATGTAATCATAAACTTCCACCCTCTTTCAATCCTAAAATACCTCAGCCCCACATCCTGCCTTACAGAATGGGCCTGTAACAGCCAAGCCTGTGTACAACACACACACAGACACGGACACACAGAGACACGCACGGCACCTGGATTGGGGGGCAAAAGCTGTGGACTAAGGGGGACAGATATTGGGAGATGGACCTAGCTAGGGTGAAGACATCAGCAAAGCCCAGAAGAGACTCAGGGCTGAGGGTTTGACAGAGGGGCCCGGGTGGCTGGGGAGCCCCTGGCCCCAGCAAATGGACCAACTTCTATTGGCCAAGTTCGAAGTCTGGCATTTAAATATCAGAAAAACAGATCTAGTTGTATGAAGTGATAAAAGGATGTATGACTGTAAATATGGTGTGATCCCATTTAAAATACACATGTGCTGAGAAGAAGTCCGGCAAGTTGTACACCAAAACGTCAACAGGGCTTATCTCTTGACGTTGATATAAAGGGCTTTTATTTTCTTTACAGTTTTCTGTATTTTCCAAATTTCTACATAAACATACACATAAAAGTCATAAAAATGTCCCTTAAAATGACACTCCCTCCAATGCAGGGAGTGAGGAGGTGTGTGCTGGGACGCCAGCAGGGTGGCTGCTGGCAGCTAATCCCTGTGCAGGTGCAGCCACTGCTACACTCCAGCGTCTGAGGCCCCTCTGCACTGGCAGTGTTAGAATGGCTGTCTGAGAGCCAAGGCTGTTCACCCGAGCAGAGTCATGGAGCTGGTACAGGCAGGAGCCAAGGTAAGCACTAGGCTGGTGTGTGCCCTCCAGGGGGCACCCTCCTTGAAGCAGGCCCTCCAAGGTACTCGCCCCCTGAGGCAGCCGATAACAGCCGGAAGCCTTCCCCTGGGGGGACCTGGCCATTTGTGGAGCAGGGAAAGGCTCCACTGCCAGTGGAAATGTGAGGCCAGCAGCCCAGGATGTCTGCTTCCCAGAGTCCGCGTGGGTCAGTGCTTGGGCCAGACAGGGGCTGCCTGCGGTGGCAGGACAGTGGCGGGCTGCCTGGGCTGGAGGGAAGACAGGCGCCAGCGCCAGGAGGTGCTGGGGCAGAGCTCTGGGGATCCTCCCCGGCTCCTGAAGGAGGATGGAGGAACAAACCTAGTAACGGGACCCACTTGACTGCCAGGAGGCAGGAAAGCAGCCTGTCCCTGTCCCTGGCTTCCCTGTGAGGGACACAGACTCAGATGGGGAGGGCAGGACCTTTAATTGTATTCACAGAGAGACTTGGAGAGGTGGGGCTCAGTGTCAGGCAGCCGTGTGCTGGGAGAAGGGGCTGGGGCGGCTGGTGGTCTGGAGGACTGGGAGGGGAGGGGGACAGGGACAGGGCAGGAGGAGCAGGGTGGGCTGGGGTGTGGGGTGTGTCCTCAGCTGCCCACCAGTGTTCCCATCCCAGTCTCTGGTGGGAGGCCCTTGGGCAGGGCCGACCCAGCCGGGTCACCTCAGGAGTGTCTCAGCTCCACCTCGGAGCCGAACTGGGGCCCGTGGGAGTGCCGGTGGAGGCTGCGGTGGCGGATGCTGAAGAGCCGCTGGCTGAGGCCCAGGGTGGCTACCAGCAGGGCGATGCCCAGGAAGAGCAGCAGCCACTGGCCCACGCGGGCCTGCTGCGCATCCAGGTCCAGGCCCAGGAAGCTGACGCGGCCGCTGTCTGGGAGGGGCCCTTCTGAGCGAGCTGAGCGGGAAGCAAGGAGACAGCATGGGCAGGGCAGGGCAGGGCAGGGCAAGGGTGCGGGGCAGGGCCAGGCTCCGAGGTCAGCCGCATGGCTGCCCAGCCTGGGGAGGGGGTTAAGACCCAAGGCTGGAGGTGGGGTGGGTGGCGGTACCGGAGTTCGGCGTCCAGTTGTACTGCGGCCAGCCCAGCTTCTCCCCATGCAGCTCGTTCTCCGTGCGGAGCCAGTCCAGCAGCGGCTTGAAGTAGCTCAACATGGCCGAGGCGCTCATGTTGGGCTGGCCCGTGATCAGCTGCATGGCTTCCGGCCACGGCCTACTGAAGCCCAGCTTCATGGCGGTCCTGGGGAGGCATGAGACAGGGAGGCAGAGTCAGAAGGACATGGCCCCTCTTGCCCCCACCTGACATCCACTCTCCATACCCACTCCCAGCTGAAACTTGTCCCAGGGCCCCAGGGCTCCAGGTGCCTAAGGAGATGGCAATCAGGCCTGGCCCACGCTGCAGGTGGGAGTTCCCGGCTCAAAATGGCAAGTGTTCCCACAAAAGCTCCAGTGGACAGACCCCTCAAGGCCCAGGGGCGCAGGCCAGAGCATGGAAACAAAGGAGGGCTGGAGGACACTCACGCCAGGCGCTGCCCGGCCTCCTTGGACTGGTAGATGTCACACTTGTGCAGGGGGCCCGTGTGGCCAGCTGCCTGGCACAGTGCCTCGTGGAACTGGAACTGGATGATGAAGCTGACAAAGTACCTGGAGCAGAGCGAGGCCGTGGCCCGGGGCGGAGTTGGTTGAGGGCCTTGTGCCACTGGGCCCCAGGCCCTTCTGCACATCACATGTGATGTGTGCTAAGTCACATGCGCACAGCAGAGCCAAGGCCCCCCAACTCTGCCCACAGCTATCAGGGTGAGCTCCCCCACCCCAGCTCTTAGCATTGTCTGAGCCTCTTCCTAGCCGTGCCTGTGTAGATGCCTCCCACCCACAGAGCTGCCTCCACAACTCAGGAGGGCCTGCTCCATGGGGTCAGGGCAGAGCCTTCAGAGATCTGGCAGGTGGCTTTGGAGGCAGTGAGGTCTCCATCCCTGGGGTATATGCAAGTAGAGGCAAGGTGTGGCCAAATGGGCCGTGTGGATCTACTAGGGTGGTCTGGGCAGGGAAGCCAGTCCTACATGATCTTATCCAAAGCATCACGAATTCCCTGGTAGAAATCTGCCAGTCAAGGCTGGAGGATTCTCCCCAGCTTAAAGTCTGAAGAGGTTTTAAATGTCCTGAGCCAGTGGCACAGGCCTCTCACTTTGAATGCTGGGTGCAAGCATGTACCACCTAGTTCCCTGGTCTTTCCTAAAAGTGCTTTGTGAAGGCTGCTGGCCAGAATCCGGAATGTTTTTCTAGAGCAGCCAAGTCTCCTTTGCCCACCCCTGTTTGGAGAATTGTCTGCATTAAGCTGGGAAGCTAGCCATCACACCAGCTGGCTCCCGGGTGAGAGCCAGCGCCGGCTGGGAACCCCAGGGACCACTCCAGCAGGCAGGCGGGAGCCCTGTCCTAAGTGTCATCTCTGGAGCACCGTCTAGGTCAGGCCTATCTGAGGTGCTCCAGGGATGCCCTCTTCCTGGACTCTGGGGACAGACTTCATCCATCCCACAATCAGTTATTAGCACTTGATGATGTGCTGGCATCATCCCAGGTGCCAGGAGGCAAGGTGGGCATGGGCCCTGCCCTTGCTGGGCTTCCAGGAACCACGGGAGGCCAGGGCCAGAGGCAGCCACAGCCCTCTGGGGGTGGCCTGGGCTACCTGTAGCCCGGGGGCACCTGGAACTCCAGCCTGAGGTCTCTCTAGCCCCCAGCCTCCCAGGGAGCCTCCCGGATCACAAACAGCCTTGCTAGCCCTCAGCAAGTGCTCTCCCGGGGCACACAGAAGGAGAGGGGCTGCATTGGGCACACTCATCTGTGGCCATGTGACCTGCAGACCTAGTGTGCAGCTACATTCCACTAGAGAGTGATGAATAGTGGGGTCCTGGCCACCCCTCCCTGAGGAGGCTGTGTATGAGACAGAATGCTAAGAAGTTAGCCATCGTGCATCCTGTGAAATGGGGTTCACAGGTCAGGAAATGGAAGCTCACAGAAATTGAGGAATTTTCTCAAGGAAACAAAGTAATGGAGACGGAGTTTGAACCCAGTTCTGTCTGACCCCAGCCTGTGACTGTAACTTGCCCCAGCAACCCTGCCTCCCACCTTAACCGATCTCCAATCCTACATTTTAGTGTCTAGAAGGGCTTCCAGGTACAATTCAAATTGTATCGCAGACAATGTTCAATAATAGTAAAAGAATCACAGTCTTGTTTTAAAAGCAAAACAAAACAGTGCAGAGCTCATGATCCAGCCATGAGTCGTGGTTAATGTTAACTACTTAACCAAGGTCTGGTAACCATTAGCCAATTATTAGGTTGAGTTTCTGTGTTCAACTGTTTGGATGGTACAGACTCTCATCAAAAGAATGTTCAAGAAAAAACCCATCAGCCTTGGCAGTGTGAGTGGGCCCAGGCACCTGCACCGTGCGGCCGGCTCCCCCGGGTCTGCCCTGACTGACAGAGCTTGTGGACCGGGCAGTGGCCGCAGTTGAAACACAAAGCTGTGGGTACTGCCCCTCACAATGTGCCCTCCTGCCTTTCCCGTTACCTGATGTAAGGCACGCTAGAAGGAATGTGGAACTTGGCCCCTGGGTCAAAGTCACCTTGAGTCCTGGGCACTGGGGGGCAGAGGCCCTGGTACTTCAGCCTGTCGAGTGGGAATATATGTTGGAAGATGAGTTTGGGGAGAACCAGGCTGGGGGTGGCATTTTTGACTTGAGGGAGGGTCCCTGCACTTGGGGCTATACTGGGCACCCCATTCTCCTGCGTGCTGGGCCTCTGTGCACAATCACCCCGTTTTCCCCATCACTTACACCACACACATCATATGCACAGACACAATAGTGTACACACACACACACACTCCCCTACCCTGGCCCATCCAGACACCCAGGCACATGCAGACACTCGCAGAGATCCCCCAGCCCGCATCCCGTGGGAGTGTTCCAGAACCTGAGGCTCCACCACTCCTGGTTATAGTTCTCCTTGGTGATGCTTCCATCAAATACCCTCCAGCGCCACTGATCGACGAGGTAGCTGAAGGGGATAAAGGCGATCTTGTCAAGGGCCATCTTCATCAGAAAGTTGATGTCATGCTCTGCAAGGGAAGGGAGCCCAGCTGTCAGACCCAGGGTCCTAGCGGCTTGGCCCTGGTGTGCCTGTGATGGTGGAGGGGTGGGGGTGCTGTACCTTTTGGGCCCTGTGACCTGCCTCCTGGGATGGTCTGGGTGGCTCCCTTCCTTCCGATTGCTCTGCCCCACACCTCTGCCCATGGGCCACTAAGTGCCCCTTTCCCACCTCCCAAGCTCACCACCCTTTCTTGGTCCTCAGCCCACCAGGGCCTCCCGCTTCTCTCTCACCGTCGCTGCCACCCTCACTGCTCAGCAGGTTGAGACTGTGCAGGTGCTTGGGCGTAGACACTGAGAGGGCTAGCACGTCCCCAATGGCCTCATGGAAGCCGGGGTTGGCACCCTCCCTCAAGGCCACAGGTAAGTCTTTGTACTGCATGAAATACTGGATGTGGCCCATTTCGTGGTGGGCCACCACCAGGTCCTCCAAGTTCACGGTGGTGCACTGCTTGATCCTAGGAATAGTGGAGTGGGGGAGAGGGTGTTGGGAGAGGACAGTGAGAAGCCCTGGGCATAAGGGAACAGTGGGCCTTGCTATACCCAGGGCAGACCCCAGCACTGCAGCATGCAGGGGACACAGCACTGTGGGGAGGGAGGGGAAGGGCAACCACTGAGTGTGCGTAAGAGGGAATCTGGGGGCAGAAGCCCCTAGCATCGGGCCGTTCAGGCCATTCCTCTGCCTCCCATTTTCCTGAATGACTCCAGCCCCCACCACCTGTTGCTTTCTGACTGTACAAAGTGCTTGCTCTAGAGGCACTGGGACATTGTGTACTTTCTAGAGAATGTGTGGCCAGTGGGTTCCCATGTACACATGCTTTATCTCCCAAGATGGAGGCTCCCTGAAGGAAACAACTGTTTCTGTCAGGGGTGAGAGTGGGCGATTCTGCATCTCATGCGGCCCAACAGCGACAAACTTATTCACCCCAAGAATTCTTATGGCCAGGATGAATGGCAGCTGCAGAGCTGCCCAAACCAGAAGGTTCTACCGTCTCTCGTCAGTCCTTCCTTGTTCTCATTTACTTATTTATTTTTTATGAAATGGGGTCTCGCTATGTTGCCCAGGATGGTCTCGAACCCCTGAGCTCAAGCAGACCTCCTGCCTCGGCTTCCCAAAGTGCTGAGATTACAGGTGTGAGCCACCGCACCCAGCCCTTCCTTGTTGTTTAGCAAACCAATTCAAACTGCGGGAAATTCTCTCTTGGATCTAACTGGAAGCCTTTTGGCTCAGGTGAATCCTGTTTTTCTGTCATTCTCATCGGGGAGGGGGAAGGAAGAGCTGCCCAGCATCCTGGCCACAAGGCTGGGGATCTATCCAGCTTCTCCTCTGACTCCCCATAAAAGGGAAGACCCCACAAGGGCTCTCATCCCCCAGATCCTGTCTCCTCTCAGCCCTGTGGCTGAGTCCTCATGCCTGGAAGGGCCTGCACAGCCCAGGGAATCCCATCGGGTTTTGTTTCAGGCTCCCCGTGTCTGTTCTCCTTGTAAGAGACACTTCTTCAGCTGTGACAGATGGTCTTTGCCACTTCTCCCAAGTGGGAGGGACTTTTTTCTCTTCTCTTGAATCTGGGTGAACTTGTGACTTGTTCTAGCCAATAAAACATGGCAGAAGTGACTCTGGGCCAGTTTTGGACCTAGCCTTGAGAACTGGCTGCGTCAGTAGTTGCTGTGGGGGATGCTGGCTGCCAGGTAAATCTGCCCACCTCAGATTCCACGCTGGGAGGGCGCCCGAGCTAGCCTGGAGAGATGCCTGACCCACCTCCAGCCGTTCCAGCCATCTCACCCCAAGCACCCAACATGTGAGCCAAGAGGCCACTGGGAACATGTGCCCCAGCATCTGCCACATGGGAAAAACCGAGGACCTCAACCGACAGCCAGAACTGGGGCTCTGGACGTATGGCCCCCATTGAGCCATCCCGGCTGTGAGAGCTGCCCCCAACAGAGGGGGCCCTGTAGAGAAAGGCCATTTCCACTGTGTACTGCCTGAATTCCTGGCACATAAAATCATAAGCAAAATCAACTGGTTGTTTCGTAAGGCTAAGCTCTGGGGTGCTTGGTTGCACAGCAATAGGTAACTAAAACGCCATCCTCCAAGGAAGGCAGCTTCTGAGCCTGTCAGGGGTGAGAGTGGATCTGTACAGAGCACCCAACATCCTCGTGTGCCTCCCTGTGTCACAGCATGTGCCCCCAGGGAGAGGCCAGCTCCATGCAGGGGCTGCTCCCAAGGAGGGACGCGGGGCAGCCTACCATGCTCAAACCCAGGACTGGGACCTTGAGCACTTCCCAGCGGCCAGGCTGACAGAGCTGTTGCGTGCTTCAGAAGTCCCCATCAGGCGGATGGGGTTTTCCTGCCAGAAGCCAACACCTCTCTAGACACTCAGTCCCAAACTCTGGCCCTGTCCCCATCCTGCCCTGCTGGCTCCAGCTGGGGGACAGTAGTGGACCCTTTGCTTGGTTCATTTCCCTTGCCCGTGGGGCTCAGGAACGAGACCTGAGCCCTAGCTGGATGTACCGGAAGTCCTTGCCGTTGTAGAAGTCCCAGGCCGAGGCGTGGCAGACCACCTCCCGCCCGTCGGTTGGCTTCTCCAGCATCGACTTGTTCCAGAACTCAGGAGGCACGGGCAGCAGCCCCAGGGAGGTGAAGAAATCATCAGCCTCCTTAAACATCCTCCTGGGCGTCCAGCCCTGCAAGCAGAGGGAGTTCTGCCCAAACTGGGGGTTCCGGGGACAGACTGCGTGCTGCCGTGGGGATCCCGGGGGAGGGCTAAACTGGAGGGAACTCCTGAATCAGAGGGTCCCTCCCATCCCGGCGGGGCCTCCCTGCCCCTGGGCTGGTGCGGACCTGCTTTAGCATAGCCTCTGTGGTGTCCATCGAGGGGGCTGAAGGGAAGGGCACCACCAAGTCATAGATGTTGGACCAGGTCTGCGCCCACATGTTCCCTGGAGGCGAGTGTGGGGGACGGCAGAGAGAGGAAAGACAAATGTTACTTAGGCTCAATGCCCTCCTGCAGGAAGAGCGCTCCAGATCCCAGTCCTGCTAATCATAGTGGCATTTCTTGAGCACCTACTGTTTGCAAGCTTTGAGGCACACATCATCTTTGGTGTGCATATCCAGCCCAGTAGGTCATTACTGCCTGGCTCTAGGTGGGGGCCTTGCTGGTTATCAGGGAATCCAGGTGGTCTTCACTGTCCGTGAGCAGTGGAGACCAATGTGACTAGCAACTGCTGACATGTGAGGACATTACAGGTCCCCAGAACACCTACACCCCGGTGGCCACCTCTTATTGGCTCTGCACCAAGAACATTGTGTGAATTCACTTTCAATCCTGTCTGCACCCAGGTACTGTCACGATTCCCATTGGCTAGTAAAGGAAACAGGCTGGAGAGTTAAGTGACCGCCCCCCTCGCCGGGGGCCCACGGCTCCTAAGTGGCAGGGCTGGGATTGAAAGGCTGGCAGGCTGCTCTCTTCACCAGCCACTCTGCCATGTCCCCTCCGCACCACCTGAGGTCGGTGTCTGCAGCTCAGCAACTCTGACAGGAACCAGCCGTCTCCTTCAGGAGAGGCTGATGCCTCTGAGTTTAGTGTAAGAAAAGAGCCTAGTTCTCCACGACAGAGGAAAAGGAAGAAACTCAGGATGAATGGAAGGCTCAGAAACAGATTTGGACTCAAGGCTCTTTCCTAGCCAAGTGAGGTGAAGCTTCGGCTGACATCAGATGAAGTCTAAAGTGCAAACCAGTGAGAGAGGGTTAGAGCGATGAGTGATGGAGAGAACATGAGAGAGAAGAGGGAGAGAGCCAGGGAGAGAGCCAGAGAGAGAGACAGAGAGCGCATCAGTGTTAGGTTGCTCCCCTTTCCCCTTTTACCAATTGTCAGGGGCTGAGTTCTAAGGCCAGCTCTGCCCCAGCTCCCAGGCCACGCTGGGCATGTTGCTTTTCTTCCCGGGGCCTGTGTCTCCCAGTTGGTGAACTGACGTCCACTGTGACATCACCAGATGTTCTTTGGTCTCACCAGAGAGGGGCTGAAGAGGGCTGGACTCCCAGCCTGTGTGGGAGCTAGACCCACAGCCAGGCCGTCCTCTGGGGCCTCCCTTATAGTTTCTAAATGGTCTGAGGGCCTGTCTGGTCTCTCTGCTCCAGGAAAGTGTTCCTAACAGCCCATCAGGGACAGAGAACCAGTAGCCTCTGCTTTGCCTTACTCCCTACCATCCCTTACTGTCCTCACCGCCTACTTCACACATTCAGGGCATCTGAGATTGCAGCCCTTGGCAAAGGAGGGTCCAGGGTTGAAGTAGATTTACATTCTCAGGTTCTTCTTTGTTCCAGTTCCCTTGGCCTGAACACTGCGTCTGTCCTCTCATCCCCCACTTCCCATCTGTCAAACCCTGTCATCTTCCGAGGCCCTGCTCACAGGCCACCTCTTGGCAAAGCCTCCCCAGCTCCCACTCACAGCCTCTTCCTCGCCCTCTAAGATCACACAATGTTGTGATGGGTGCCGTGGTCTCCTGGACAAGATTATTAACTTCTTCCCCCATCCATGGTGACTTGCCCGACATAGATCTGCAGTGAATGTGGCACCAGATGCAAGTGGGGGGCTCCCCACTCCCAGCGCCCACCCCCCTCCAGCCTGGGCAACCATCCCCCACAGGGCTGGAGTCTCTCAGTCCCCAGCCTGCTCCCTACCCTCTAGTCAGCCCTGTCCCAACCCTCACTCACACTGTGGTCCGTCTTTACCCTCCTCAAGGCCCGACATGTGCCCTTACCCAGCAGGTGAGCAGGAATGGGCCCCTCCAGGTTGATGTGCTGGGCCCCGTAGTGACGGTGCAGGGCCCGGCGCACGTAGGCATGCAGGTTGAGGTAGAGTGGCTGCAGCTCCTGGAAGAGCCGCTCCAGGTCTTGCTCCAGGGATGGTGTCTCGTACATAGACCTCCACGAGTCCCCTGCATCTACATAGCCTACAGAGGGGACACAGCCAGGCTCTCCCAACACCACATTACCTGCCTCCTCCAGGGATCTACCTTTTCCTAGGCTTGGGGTTTCACAGCACCTCTTTGAGGAAAATGAAGGGACCCAAGTGCCAGTGATGTTGGCAGCAGGGACTCACCATTGAGCCGGGCAGCCTGGTTGATGAGTTCCACGTATTTCGGGTAAAACTGGAGGATGGCTCTCCCCGCCTTGTCTCGCCAGCCCTCCCATGCCCATAACAGGTCTTCATATTTCCGGGACGTGGCCATCACATTCGTCAGATCTGGTAGGGGTTTGAATGCCTTGAGCTCCAGCCCTTAGCTCACCTCTGCTTGTAAGGGGAGCTCAGAGAATTTCAGAGCTGGAATAAAATTGGCGAAACCACATAAAAGTGACTGTATAGGCAGCAGGTCTAGAGAAATGGGAGAAAGGATGGGAGTGGCTCTCCAGCAGTGGCTTACAGAGTCCCCGGCCTGGGGCCACATGCTGCAGACACCTGCAGGGCCTCAGCAGTCCTGTGAGGGGCGTGCTTGAGTCTCTCTCCTCTCCTTTTTTTTTTTTTTTTTTTTTCTGAGACAGGGTCTCACTCTGTTGCCCAGGCTGGAGTGCAGTGGCGCCATCTCGGCTCACTGCAGCCTTGACCTCCCAGGCTCAAGCAATCCTTCCATCTCAGCCTCCCTAGCAGCTAGGACTACAGGCATGCACCACCACATCCAACTAATTTTTTGTATTTTATTTGTAGAGACGGGGTCTTGCTGTATTGCCCAGGCTGGGCTCAAGCGATTCTCATGCCTCAGCCTCCCAAGTAGCTGGGACTACAGGCATCTACCACCACGCCCAGCTAACTTTTGTATTTTTAGTACAGATGGGGTTTCACCATGTTGGCCAGGCTGGTCTCAAACTCCCGGCCTCAAGTGATCTACTCACCTTGGCCTCCCAAAGTGCTGGGATTAGAGGCATGAGCCACCACACCCGGCCAGCCTCCCCTCACACTTGGCATGGGTACCCACATCCACAACTTGTAGGCCAAACCCTGTCCTGGGAAAACCGTTTCTCCTGTTTATTTTCCATTTCCCCTTCTATTTGTCATTGTTCTAATGTGGGAGCTGGGCTGGGGGCCAGAAAGACCCATTTCTGGGTGGAGATTCCTCATGGAAGCAAGTTTATGCCTCAAGTTCTCCAACCCTGGAAAGGGTGGGTTGAGAGGGAGCTGGGAGGTATCTGTGTGCGGGTCCTTGTGTCGGGGGTGAGCTCTTTCAAACGGGCCGGGGTAAGAAGGACCAGCCAGTGGGGAGAAAAGAGGACAGTCAAGAGCTGTCTACTTCTATCCAGTAGGAAGTGGCAGGGTAGGTGAGGGAAGTGAGAGGAATCAGAGGCTCAGGTTCTAGTCTGGCGCTTTCAGGGGCTGTGTGACTCAATTTCCTTATCAGTCACATGCTGGGAGAGGGGCTCAGGAAAGACAGAGAAGGTGAGGAAGTCAAGGGCAGGGTCACGAAAGGAGGCCGGGGGGAGCTAGTGTCCCCGAGTTCCCCCCATTTGGAGTCCAAGCCCATGAAATATAACTTTGAGATCCCGCTGCTCTGAGGGGCGGCATGCAGAGAGGACAGGAGAGAGTGGACACCCTTAAGCAGAGGGCGGTTCTGAGGGAGGGGCAGCTGATCGGGGCATGGTATGAAGTAGGTGCCGGCTCTCAGTGGGGCAGAGAAGCCCCCCTCGTGGAAAACAAGAAAGGGCATTTCCTGGGCACGCTGACCCCAAGAGCGAGGGGAACCCAACTCTGTGCTCTCACCCAGCACCCCCGGGCCCCATGCCAGTCCCAGCCCTCGCCTCTCACTCAGCCTGCACATGAGCTCTCACCTGGCTCGAGCTGCAGGCAGCTGCCATTCGGGTGGCACACAGTGGCCACGCTGTAGGTGGTTTCCATATCCAACAGGATCTTGTTGTACTGCAGGAGGAAGGAGAGGCAATGAGCTGTACTCCTTTGCACTTGGTCTCTCTGGGGCCTGCACTACCCCCAGGCCCCATGGGCTGGCAGGTGGGGAGCCAGGGAGCTGGGGAGCGCTGCCCTCTCAGCAGTTCTGAGGTGCACATCGCATGGCAGATGCCATGACTTGATACAACGAGGAAGAGGAAGCAGCGTGAAGGCCAGGCCAGACCCTGTGTTGGGCTCACTGCCCCAGGATTCCCCTCTCCCTGTACCTTGCGAGCCACACACCTCCTCCAGCTCCTGGGCAGGCAGTGCTGCCCGTTCTAGGTCCTGAACCTTCTTTATGATCCGCTTGATAGTGGTGTTCTGCAACTGGTTCACATCAAACTTCCTGGCCTGGGTGCCGTACTTCAGGGTGTGGTTGGCTATTTGCATGTTCTTCTGCAGCTGAGGGCACAGGGGGATGGTGTCACAGGGCCCAGGAGCTCCAGAGCAGCCTCTGAGCGGGAGGCCCCAAGTGGGAGCTGAGGGCTGGAGGTGGTGGTGAGGGGGCAGTGGAATTAAGTTGCAACCTTTGCCTATAAGACTCTCTGCAAGCTGGACGCTGATAACGTCCTGGATGCAGTACTCACCCTCCCTGGATGCCTGCGGTCAAGCAACACATATCCAGGCAGGGGCAGAGAAGAGAAGACCCCCAAGTGTCGTAAAGGCCCTTAGGAAGGAGCCAGCTTGGTATTAGCTCTGTGGCCTTTCTGAACCTCAGAGTTAATATCAAATCCCATCTGTAAAATGGGAATAAGCTCACCAATTTTGCAAGGCTGTTGAGAAAAAGATGAGGCAACAGATCAAAGTGCCAAGGAACAGTAACAGTGTGTGGCTCAGTGGCATAATTTGTGCTCAGCCAAATAGGCAGGGAATGAGGGTAAAGAGGAAGTGTAGCCCCTTTTGTAGAGGAGACAAACAGAGGCTTTCAATCTTTTAAAAAACGACTTGAGCACCACTTATTTATGTACAAATTATTCTGTTACTAGAGATTGATTTTTGTTTATTTGTTTGTTTGAATAGAGATGGGATCTTGCTATGTTGCCCAGGCTAGTCTCCAACTCCTGGCTTCAAGTGATCCTCCCACCTAGGCCTCCCAGAGACTGATTTTTAAGGAAAGAAGAATTGCTCAGGCATTGAGTAAATGTTCATCAAAATCTGAAATTGAGTTTTTTTTTTTTTTTTTTTTGATGGAGTCTCGCTCTGTCGCCCAGGCTGGAGTGCAGTGGTGCCATCTCGGCTCACTGCAAGCTCTGCCTCCCGGGTTCATGCCATTCTCCTGCCTCAGCCTCCTGAGTACTGGGACTACAGGTGCTCGCCACCACACCCGGCTAATTTTTGTATTTTTACTAGAGATGGGGTTTCACCGTGTTAGCCAGGATGGTCTTGATCTGACCTCGTGATCCGCCCGCCTCCCCCTCCCAAAGTGCTGGGATTACAGGCGTGAGCCACCGCGCCCGGCCCGAAATTGAGTATTGTTTTAAATATTCAATTTAAAATGTGGTGGCAGCCCCACTGTGTGGTGAGCGGGACAGCATCTCTGTGTGTATGCACATGCTCAGGTTTGGGGGTGGGGAGGTGGCTCCCACCAGAATCTTGCTGGTCTCTGTGGTGATGTTGGTGTTGTAGTTCCAGTTGGCCTCGGCATACTCGTTCCACACCACCTGGGATGTCCGGTCATATTCCTCCACAAACTTGCTGGCCTCAGCCTCATCAGTCACCAGGTCTGTGGGACAGAGTGCAGGGAAACAGACAAACCTCTGCCTCCCCTCTCCAGGTTTGTGGTCTCACCAGAAGCCATTATCCCTCTCGCACTCCCTTGTACCCTGCCCTGTCCCTACCCGGCCCCGCCTCTCCCACCCCTGGCACCCTGCCCCTCCCCTGCATGGTCCCACTTGGGCTCTGGGCTGATGTCTGGTGGGCCGTCGCCTGGTGGGTGGTTGTCTGGCTGCTGGTTGTTGCCTGGCTGCTTGTCCCATGGGTGACTGTCACCTGTTGGGATGCCTCCTGGCTGGGGACCAGCAGAGGGTGCCCGTAGCAGAGCAGCAGGAAGAGGAGGCTGGGAAGTCCTGCAGTAGCCCAACCCTGGCCCATGGCCGCAGGAGAGCAGAGTCCTGCAGCTACCGTCCCCTGGCCAATAAGAGCGGAGCCCGCAGTGTGACCTCACAGAGCCTTGTGTCTGGCTTCCTCTGGAAGGGGAGGGGCCCTCAGGTCTGAGCACACCCTCTCTAGGATGCTGGGGGAAAGACATGCCTGTCCCCACTCGCAGGCCCTGCTGATGAGCTTGGGGGGCTGCCTGGCCCTCCAGGACAGGGTACCAGGGCTCAGCTGGTAGGAGCTGACCAGGAACCTGGGGCCTGGGCCAAGCCCAGAGTTGAGGACCCACCTTAGCCCCACACCATCCTCACTCAGGGCTTTACCTATGCCCTCCGGGTAGTTGTCAGGCAACGGCGGGTGCCACTGGTACTCGGGCCAGCCCAGGACCTCGCCGTTCTGCTGGTTCTGCTCCTGCAGCCACTGGGTGACTGGCTGGAAGTACTTGAGCAGCGGCTGGGCATCCAGGGCATCTAAGCCGACCATGTCCTTCAGCACCTCCTGCCAGGGCCTGGAGGAGCCAGCCTGCAGCACCTTCCTGGTGGGCAGAGTGGGTACCATGGGCACAGGGGACTCAGGCTGGAGTCTGCTCCTGGACCCCGGCCCACATGCCCCTGGCCACTTCCGCCCCCCAATGGACTGCAGAAACTGTGGCAATAAGACCCTGGGGCCTGGGATCTCTCTGATGGTGGCAGGGGGCATTTGTGTCGCCCCATGCCAGCCAGAAGGCCCACTCAATAAATATTTGATGACATAGCGAGGAGACAGGCATCCACATCAGTCCAGCTCTGTGGTTGGTGCCCCCCACCCCATCAGAGCAGCCAGACACCTCCTGCCACACCCTTTGCCAGCCGCTCCTCTCTGCCTCCCACTTCCCCCGGCTTCCCACCACACACCGGAGCTTGGCCCCTGCCTTGGTGGACCGGTAGATGTCACACTGGTGCAGTGGGCCCTCATAGCCTGCCTCCTTGCACAGGGCTTCATGGAACTGGAACTGCAGGACAAAACTCACAAAGTACCTGCAGGCACAGGGTGGGAGTCAGGGAAGATCATGGGGGGCCAGGAACAGGGGTTCCTTACCCAGGCACCATCCAGCTTCCTGCAGGGCAGAGGCTGGACCAGAAGCTATCTTGGGGGAGAAGGGAGACCCAAGACAGGCTCAGGAGAGTGGGCCACTCTAACTCCAGGCCTTTGAGGTCTGGAGGAGCATGGGGACAAGCCCTGGGGATGAGGCAGCTAGGATCACAGGAGGAGAAGTGGATTGAGGGTGTGACAGTACTGGGGGTGGGTGGGGTGGGGGCGCTAATACCTGATGTATGGTGTCACATTTGGAACATGAAACTTAGCTCCAGCATCAAAGTGGGTTTCGTTTCGGGTAACAGGAGGACAGATCCCCTGATACTTGGTTCTGGAAAAGGATGGTTAAATTGTCTTAGGGCCTAGAGGTTGCAAACAGATGGATTTAACTTTTGTAGAAAAGGCATTTCCACCCGGCAACCCTTCCCCATCCTGAGGAACTGGGGAAGACTTCCTGGAAGAGGGAGTTTCAGGCAGGAAAGGAGAAGGCGGTGGGTCACAGCGGGGGACATCATTAGAGAGGAGAGGCTAGAACTGGCTGGGGCAGGAGGCGCCTGGCTGTCCAGGAGGCTGGGGAGGGCTAGCTGGGGCGAAGGCTTTTCTATCCCTCCTCTCACCGAAGATACCACCAGTCGAAGTTGTAGCGGGAAGGGGGGGTACGCCCACTAAAGACCCCCCAGCGCCACTGGTCCACCAAGTAGCCAAAGGGCAGGAAGGCAATTTTTTCCAGTGCCATTTTTAGCAAGTAATTGATGTCACTTTCTGTTGGGAGATGAGATGAAAGGAGAGGGAAGAGGTCAGAGGGAGAAGAGGGTCCCCTAAGAGTGTGGGCTGGCGGGGCAGCAGAAAGTGAGGCCAGGGAGATGCAGAGAAGGTATGGCTGGCCCTCGAGACCCTGGGCCCTGCTTGGAAGAGGACCCCCAGGTGTGCTGAGCTGGGCGCAGTGTGCACCGTGAGGCTCTAGGAGGATCCCGAACCCTGCCTGACCTGGGGCCGGGAGGCAGAAAGAAGGGCAGAGCTGAGTGGGGCAAGTGAGGTCCTGCTGTGGGGTGGAGCGGGGTTTAGGTGAGGCTGGGTGGGGGCCTCTCAGCCCTCCCATACCCGTGTCATTGGTGACACGGTCCAGCAGGCCGATTTTGTGCAGATGTTCAGGAGTGGAGACCGAGAGCGCCAGCACGTCCCCAATGGCCTCATGGAAGCCGGGGTTGGCCCCCCGACGCAGGGAGACGGGCAGATCCTTGTACTGCAGGTAGTACTGTATATGGCCCATCTCATGGTGCACTGTGGAGAGCTGGTCCATCGTGACCCGTGTGCACTGCTTGATCCTGGGGCGTAGAGAGGGCGAGGGTGAGAGTGACGGATGGACAGAACAGGGCAGGGCCAGGGCACAGGGCAGATTGGCACCTGAAAGACAGGAATGAGGAGGGAGCTGCCCTGGGGCATGAAGCCGCAGTAGAAACAAGTAACTTCTTTTTTTCTTTTTTTTTTTTGAGACAGCGTCTCACTCTTTTGCACAGGCTGGCCTGTAGTGGCACAATCTCAGCTCACTGCAACCTCCGCCTCCCGGGTTCAAGAGATTCTCCTGCCTCAGCCTCCTGAGTAGCTGGGATTACAGGCGCCCGCCATCACCCCTGGCTAATTTATTTTTGTATTTTTAGTAGAGACGGGGTTTCGCCATGTTGGCCAGGCTGGTCTCGAACTCCTGGCCTCAGGTGATCCACCCGCCTTGACCTCCCAAAGTGCTGGGATTACAGGTGTGACCACCGTGCCTGGCAGAAACAAGCAAATTCTTTACCCTGCCCTGGCTCACCACCACTTGGGCCTTCTTCCTCCATTCCAAGGTATAGAAGTGACTATTTGTCAAAGCTGCCAGAGAAGGTGGACTAATAGGCCTCCTATACCCCCTAGCCCTGGAACAGACCCAGCCTCCAACCAGTGCTGGGGTAGGGTAGAGGCAGGCCTGGGAACCAGCTTCCCTGCGCCTGGGCTGCCTGCCTTTCCCCGGGCCCCAGAACCGGGGAACCCCAGAACGTGCTCTTCCCATGTCTGAACCTGAAGTCTTTCCTGTTGTAGAAGTCCCAAGCCGAGGCGTGGCACACCACTTCCCGCCCGTCGGCCGGCTTCTCCAGCATCGACCCTTCCCAGAACTCGGGAGGCATGGGGGAGAGCTCCAGGGAGGTGAAGAACTCCTCTGCCACCCGGAACATGTGCGTGGCGTTCCAGCCCTGGAGGAGGGGTGTGGAGCCAGGTCAGGGGGAGCCCACTCTGGCTGGCCTGGGGACAGGGCTGGGGTCCCCATCTCGGGTCAACTCCCTGTGCATGAAAGCTTCTCTGCTCTGTGGCCACCATTCCCAGAGGCAGGGCCCTCACTCCCACAGCAGATGAGTGAAAGTGCGTTGTTGCTCTCATCCTGCCACTGTGGAGCCTGGAGGGAGGAGCTGGCACCTCACTGAGGGGGCCGACCCCAGCTCACTGCTCCTACAGACACACCAGGCTGCTGCTCAGTACCCGAAACCTTCCCGCCCCTGTGCCCATCTGTGACTCCCTTTTTTTGCGCCCCACCCCCGACCCCCACCACCCCAGGCTTGAGCCCAGAGCTTACCTGCTGCAGCATAGTACTGGTGACATCGAGGTTGGGCTTGTCTGGGAAAGGCACCACCATGTCGTAGATGTTTTCCCAGCTCTGGGCCCACATGTCTCCTAGATAAGGAAGGAAGGGGACAGCTTGGCTCCCTGCCTGGCTGTGCCTGCTTCTTCATGCATCGCTGAGTGGCACCCTGGGGCCGGCACCTGTACCCTGGGGCCCTCAAGGGCTGCAGGCCTGGCTTAGGGCCAGAAATCTCACACATCAGTCCCACCCACACTCCTCCGAGGGCCACATGTCCTGGGGCTGCAAGATGCTGCCACTGTCATTTCTGGCTGTGCCAGGCCCCAGCCACTCAATCCTGAGGCAGGGCCACAGTGCTTGTTTCCTTGGGCATGAGCTAGGCTGATGGCTCCCCCACTGGACCCAGGGCCAGAGCCTTTGGTTTGGCCCCTAGCTCTCTGACCACTAAGTCCCTCACGACCCTAAGCCTCAGGGTCCCCACCTGTAAAGTGGGAACACGAATGGTCTCCTGCATGTGAAGCAAACAGTATGATGCCCCACACATGTGAGATGTGAGGGTCACAACCCACCTTCCCTTACCCTGGACATCCCCCACCCCTACCTCGGGACCCACACTTCCGTGGGACTCATGTGGAGGCGAGGCCAGGTCCTTACCCAGCAGATGAGCAGGGATGGGTCCCCTGAGGTTGATGTATCTGTCTCCGTATCGGCGATGCAGTGCGCGGCGGACGAAGGCATGGAGGTTCAGGTAGAGGGGCTCTAGCTGTTGGTAGAGGTGTTCCAGATCGTCCTCGAAGGTGGGGGAGTTGTACCAGGAGCGCCAGTAGGCCCCCGTGTCTGTGAAGCCTGGGGGCGTGGGGGTGAGGTATGTAGCTCAGGCCAAAGGCTCGGACCTCAGCCTCTCAGCTGTAAGTCGGCTCTTCCACTGGCTCGAGGCCCGTGGATCTGCAGCTAGCTGGAAAATTGGCTTGGGGGTTGCCACTCTACAATTTCTAATTAGCTACAGCCAGCTAAACAGATCCTGGAGGTTCCCAGAGGCAAAGAGGAGCATCAGGGCCAGGAGTGACAGCAGGATGGCCACGTGGGGCAGGCCAGCAGCAAAGTCCAGGCACACTGGGTGCAGGCCGGTCCCACCTCCACTTTCTGGGAAACTCAGGGCCTGCTGGAATTGTCATACCAGCTGCTCTGCCTGACTCTGGGCTGGGACTCTGGGGAGACAGCTGAGAGAGGACACCTGGCGTGGTTCCTGGACAGGGAGAGGCCTGCTCACCGTCCTGCTTGTAGGCTTCATTGCTGAGGGCAGTGAAATCCTCGTACAGCGGTTTCAGCGGGATGCCCGCAGCGTTGTGCCAGCCCTCCCAGGCAAACAGGAGCATGGCGTAGCTTCGCGAGGAAGCCAGGATGTTGGTGAGATCTGAGACACAGGCAGGCAGGGTCGGTGAGGAGGCCTCCACGTTGAAGTCTTCAACGGCCTTCACCAGAGCCTGCACCAGTCCTTACTGCTCCCACCAGCTTCCTGAACATCACGGTGCCCCCAGAGACAGGGGCCACCTACAGGCCTGGTGGGAGGGGGCTGGGAGCTACAGAAACACCCAGGCAGGGCCCCTGCCCCAGAGACATGACCACCTAAGGTGGCTGACACCAAGGGGACACCCAAAGGCCAAAACCCAGACAGACACTTAGCGGCCTATTGGATGGAGTGCCTTCCTCGAAGCTGCTCATAAAGGGGGCTGGAGCGGGGTTTAAGGGGAAGCCACGAGGGGTCCCTGGCCTGAGGGCTCTTGGGGAACATGAGAGGACCCACGAAAGGGGAAACCAGGCAGCCAGGAGGAAGGCCTAGGGGTGATGGGAGAGGCCGAGGTACACACAGAAGTGGGGGCTGCAGCTGGAGATTCCGGAAGTCCACTTGCCAAGAGAAGCAGGGCGTGGGGGTATCTGCACCGTCCAGCCCCAGTTGGAGGGCAACACCTTTGGGTTTACCTGCTGTCTCCACAGACCCTACACAACTGCATGGTCTGGAGTGCAGCAGGGCAATGTGGGAACACTAGGGCACCGCCGAGAGGGGAGCTGCAAGGGCCGTACCTGGGTCCAGGGACCAGCAGGTGGCAGTCTTGTTGGGGAGGCAGACCTTGGCGGTGGAGTAGATCCTGCTCATGTTGCTTAGCAGGGCGTTGTACTGGGGAGTCAGAGGGGAGGAATGCTCCAGTGACCAGCCCCTGGGACATCTGCCCTCCCCTCGCTGCTAGAAGGAGGAGCCCACAGAGTGGATGTAGCTTGGACAAGGCCACTCAGTGGCACCGGGGCACTTCTGATCACTAAGTGTCACTTAGTGTGACCGGATCACTTCTGAGTCCCCTGCCAGTGGAGGCAGCCTGTGGAGTGGGGGACAGGAGTCCTGAAAGTCAGGGTCAGGGTCAAGTCCCAGCTTGGCACCACCCTGCAGTGAGGGCAGATCCCTCCCATTCTCTGGCTTTGGTGACTTCCCAGTCTTTCTCAACCTTTTCTCTCTCTCTTTTTTTTGGGGGGAGGTCTCACTCTGTCACGCAGGCTGGGGTGCAGTAGTGCAATCACAGCTCACTGTAGCCTTGACCTCCTGGGCTCAGGTGATCCTTCCCCCTCAGTTTCAAGAGTAGCTGGGACTGTAGGTGCACGCACCACCAAGCCCAGCTATTTTTTTTTTGTAGAGACGAGGTTTTGCCATGTTGGCCAGGCTGGTCTTGAACTCCTGGGCTCAAGCGATGCGCCCACCTCAGCCTCCCAAAGTGCTGGGATTACAGGCTTGAGCCACCACGCCCAGCCCTTCTCAACTCTTCCAAAGAAGCTCATAAACCAGCCTAGGGAGAAGTGTATTTGAATTTGGCTTCCTACTCCAGAATGCTTCCTTTAACAGAAAGTAACTCCCCACCCCATCTCCAAGAAAAATCAATGCTCAGAAAGCCATTCTGTGCTTACCTGGGCTTTCCCTTCTGTCAGGGCCCATGTGGATCCCAGGGTTCCTCCCTCCCTGATGGGCTGCTCTCCCCCGACCCCCACGATGGGGCACTAGGAGGCCGCCCCCGAGCTCTGCCTCAGCCCTCAGCCCACCTGCTGCCGCTTAGCCAGGGGCAGGTTGGCAGAGCCCAGGGTGCGCACAGCTCCGATGATCCTGCGCAGCTGCGGGTCCGTGAAGTTCTGCCAGATCGGTTCATACAGCTCCTTGGCCTTCTGGCCCCAGGCCTCCGCAAACTCCTGGCTGAGCAGGGCTGCTTCCTCCTATTGGGCACCAGGAGGGCAGGGAGGGTGTAGGACCCTGCTTAGATGCAGGCCATAAAGGAGAAGCCACGGTGCTGGGGGAGGGGAGGAAGGCCAAGGGCTTCCAGAGCCCGGGCCCTGGGGAGATCCCTGCGGGAGACCTTAGTTTGCGGAAGCCGCGCTTCCTCCTTCTGGAGGGAATCTGCCTCATGGGAATGGTGGAGCAGAAATTGGGACCAGAAAAGAGGCCGGGCGAGTGGAGGGTGGATGGACAGTGCAGTGCGGTGACGGTGACAGCGACAGCGTCCGGAGGTGAGAAGGCAGCTGCCCGAGAGCGCGGGGGCCCCAGAGCCAAGCCCAGCACCTTCGGCGAAGGCGGGCGCGGCCTGGGAGCAGCCACCCTCATCCATCCAACTCGTGCATGCTGGGAGCGCAGGCCGTGCGCGCAGCCCGGCGCTCGGGCCCCGCGGCTGACTGTCGGGGCGAGGGTCCGGGGTCGGGGTGGGGTTCGGGTCGGGGGCGCCAGCCTGCCCGCCCCACAAGCCGGCCGCGTGCTGTGATTGGCCGCCGCGGCCCCGCCCCGCCCCCGCCCGGGCCCGGGCGCCCACCTGGCGCCTTGCATTCTCCGCGGTGATGTTGGTGTCGTGCGCCCAGCTGGCGGCCACGCTCTGGAACAGCACCTGTTCGGCGCTGGAGTTGTAGCTCTGCGCGAAGAGCTGCGCCCCGGCCTCGTCAGCAGAAAAGTTGCCGGGCTGCAGCCCGGGGTCCAACGCCAGGGCGGGCTGCGGCGGCAGCAGCAACAGCAGCGGCAGCGGCAGCAGCAGCCCCGGCCCCCGGCGGCCCGAGGCGGCCCCCATGACGCGGTGCGCGGTGCTCGGCTCTGCCCCTTCTCCTGCGCCGCGGCCGCCCTGCGGGTTATAAAACCCGACACACCCCCGCCCCCGCCCCGCCGCGCTTCCTCCTCCGCTCCAGAGTCCCCAGCGGCGCGGGCCGAGGTTCCTGGCCCGCCCCGGGCAGGGGCGCGGGCCGGGGAGGGGCCGAGGTGCAGCCCGGGGGTGGCGGGATGGGGCTGGGTCGGGCTCCCGCAGAGGAAGCTGGAGAAAGGGCCTCCTCTCTTTAGAAGATGGGGACCCGGCAGTTTGCCGGAACACCCGAGCCTGCCCACCGTGCGGCCGCGCAGCCTCGGCCGGGGCCTGGGAGCCTAGCGGCCTCCGGCTCGATCTTCCCAGCCCGACCCCCCGGAGCCTCCCGCCTCCGGAGTGACAAGGCCGGGGCCCCAGGAGCTGTCCGCAGGCGCCGCTCGTGCGGCGGGGATGGGGCTGATCGGGCCTGGCCGGCTTCTTCACCAGGCCATGGTCGAGGGGCGGGGACGTCGCCTGCCGGGGGTAGGGGTGTGGCGGGGGGGAGAGGAGGGAGGCGGGGACCTTAGGTGTCTTGCAGGCGCCTCCGGGAGGTGCTGGAGGGGCTCAGGGCGGCCGGCACACCTGGGGCTTGGGGCTGCGAGGGAGGGGGAGCCACAGAGCGCAGGAGCTTTGGAGCGCCTGCCCTCTTTCCCCCCGAGGACACAGGCTGCCAGTCGCTCAGCAGAAAACATCACACACGATCCCAACAGAGTCCTAGAACCCGAGGCTAGCAGGCTTTGAGAGCGACACAAAGCCTCAGAGATGAGAACAACCCCCTCATTTTACAGATGAAGAAATTGCCGCTCAGGTTGAGAGGCTTGCTCCAAGTCACCTCAGGTCTCCACACTCCCCTGTGTTTTCCTGTCTCATCCACGTGTCCCTCAAAGTGACAAGTGTGGGGGAGGGAGGACAGTCTTGTCCTATTGGCGCACAGGGCGGTTGTGGAGGCCACCTCGGCACCATGGCGTCTGCTGCCAGAGGGGGGAAGCCCCTTGACCCTGGCAGAGGCCCGGCGGCGCAGTGGGAGGTGGGGCAATGGAGGAACCGTGGGGTGAGGCTGGGCGGTGGGATCAGGGAAGGAGCCAGGGACAGCTGCTCCCAAGACCCCAACCCATTAGGCTGCTGGGGGCTGTTGGGAATCACTTGGGCTTCTGGGTGAGTGGGGGATGGTGTCTGGGGCTCTGAGGGACACGTGCACCTTGCTGTGCAGCATGGAGTGTGTGCAGGAGGCTGTGACCCCGCGTTCCTGTGAGATGCACCTCCAGTGAGATCGCACTGACTTGTCAGATGACGTGTTGCAGGGGAGAGGGGGCGGTGGGGAGAGGAAGAAGGTGGCTGTCCCTAGCACTAGAGGGAGAAGGCAGGGCCTTGTTAAACACTGGCCGGCAGTGGGGCCGGGAGAGGAGAGCTGGGGTCAGGCCTGGCCCTGGCCCGCTTTGCCAGCCTCCCTCCTGACCTGCAGTTTTCCCTCACAACTCCTCCCTGCCCAGTTTGGCTTGGAGAGCCAGTGGATACCAGAGGACATGGGTGCACTTCTGGGCCGGCTACGTTGGTGGACGTTTGTGATCAGAGCAGCCCCATCGAAGGCCAGGGGCCAGGGAGGGCAAGGTGGTGGCCTGGGCTCTCCTCCCAGGAGCCACCCTGCTCTCAGGGGTCCTAACAGCTTGGCCTTCCAGGCTTTGAGGGCTGTGGGTGTCTGTGTGCAAATGAGCTGCTGTCTCCTGGGAGGAAGCAGTCTTTCTGTGGAAAGAGGCTTGGGTGGGGAAGAGATGAGAGTGGGGCTCTGTCAGCCTCTGAAGGAGGGGCCAAGGGAGGAGAGATGAGTAGAGAGGAGAAGAGCCTGAGGCCTAACCTGTATCCAGAGGCCCTCAGCCAGAGGCTGGCCTCGCCTCCAAAGAGTTCCTGAGAACCCTCTTCAGGAGGGTGGAGGGCGGGCATTGCTTCTGCTGGTTCATTCTCCCGTCTGACTCCAAGGCATTTCCACAATGTCTATAGACCCTGGGTTAGGGACTGTGTCAGCAATAAACAGCCTCCGCCTCCACTTCCGACAGGGTTGGAAGATAATGGAAGTCTTCCCCTGGACCTGGAGCAGCTGACACCAGGGCTGCTGGAGGCATCACCCTGCACCTCCCTCACTGTAACGCTTTATTAGAATGGCTTGTTAAATCCCCCAGCTTCATCACTAAATTGTATGTTACTGGAGGGCAGGGATGGCGTCTGCCTTGTTCTCTGTGGTTTTCTCAGAGTTTAGCATGGTGCCTAGCACAGGGCAAAACCTCATCGAAGGAAGGGTGCAGAGGAAAGAGGAAATGACCCACACTCGTATTCACACTCCGGGGGGTGAGCACACAGCCTTTTGCAGGAATAATATAAGAAGAGCCAGACTTCATTAATTTGGAATTTGCAATAATACAGACACTGCAACCTTGAGCCCAGTGAGTAAAAATTAAAAATATCTTCTATTTTTAGGGTCTTATTCATGAAGGAGAAGGATAAATAGAAATAAATAGCTTACATTTGTATAGTGCTTTAGTGCTAAATTCTTGTGTATAAACAATCTAATTTGGTATTTACAATAACCTTGAAAGGTAGGAAAGAGATAAGGCTGTCTGGGCAGTCAGCCACCTCCTCGGCTGCCGTCACAACAAAGGAGAAGGCTCAAATCCTGCAGGAGGATATCATTATGAATAGGCCAGTGCAGAGAGCCACAGAGACCTGACCCACGTGAGGTAACTCAGTTGGCTTGGGAATCTTTTCATCTCTCTTCCAGGAAGTACAGGTCACCAGTTACCACAGGAGAGAAAAACAGCCCTTAAAAATATGCTCAACAATGGAATAGAATTGAGAGTCCAGAAATGAACCCATACAATTATGTTCAATTGTTTTTGACAAGAACACTAGGACAATTAAATGGGAAAGAAAATATTTTTAACAAATGGTGCTGGGGCAATTGGATTTCCACATGTAAAAGAATGAAGTTGGACCCCTTTCTAATACCATATACAAAATTTGGGGCTGGGTGCAGTGGCTCATGCCTATAATCCCAGAACTTTGGGAAGCTGAGGTGGGCGGATCACTGGAGCTTAGGAGTTTGAGACCAGTCTGGGCAATATGGTGAAACCCTATCTCTACAAAAAAATTAGCTGGGCATGGTTGCGCATGTCTATAATACCAGCTACTTGGGAGGCTGAAGTGGGAGGATTGCTTGAGGCCAAGAGGTTGAGGCTGCAGTGAGCCATGATTGTGCCTCTGCACTCCAGCCTGGGTGACAGAGTAAGACCCTGTCTCAAAACAAAAAACAAAAAACAAAACAAAAGACTTAAAATAGACCTTGATGTAAGAACTAAAATCATAAAACTTTTAGAAGAAAACATAGGCAATAAATCTTTGTGACCTTGGATTAGTCAATGGTTTCTTAGATATGACACCAAAAGCATAAGTGATGAAAGAAAAAACAGATAAATTGGTCTTCATCAAAATTTAAAACTTTTGTGCTTCAATGACACCATCAAGAAAATGAAAAGACGGCCAGGCACAGTGGCTCACACCTGTAATCCCAGCACTTTGGGAGGCCGAGGTGGGTAGATCGCCTGAGGTCGGGAGTTCGAGACCAGGCTGGCCAATATGGAGAAACCCCATCTCTACTAAAAATACAAAAATTAGCCAGGCGTGGTGGTTCATGCCTGTAATCCCAGCTACTCGGGAGGCTGAGGCAGGAGAATCGCTTGAACCCGGGAGGCAGAGATTGTGGTGAGCCGAGATTGTGCCACTGCACTCCAGCCTGGGCAACAAGAGCAAAACTCCGTCTCAAAAAAAAAAAGAAAGAAAATGAAAAGACAACCCATGGGATGAGAGAAGATATTTGCAAAGTATGTACAGCAGCCCCCCCTTATCCTCAGTGGGTACATTCCAAGACTCTCAATGGATGCCTGAAATTGAAGAAAGTACCAAGCCCTATATACACTATATTTTTTCCTATACATACATACCAATAACAAGGTTTAATTTATAAATTAGGTGCAGTAAGAGATTAGCAATAACTAATAATAAAATAGAACAATTATAACAATATACTGTAATAAAAGTTATGTAAATGTGGTCTCTCTCTTTCTCTGTCAGAATATCTTCCTGTGCTATCCTCCCTGTTCTTGTGATGGTGAGCACAGTGACACGATACGATGGGGTGAGATGAAGTGAGGTGGATGATGTAGTGTTAAGCTGTGATGTAGCATTAAGCTACTATTGACCTTCTGTATTCTGCATCTGTGTAACCATCCCTTGCAGTGAATGGCTTGGAGTCACTTTTCAGGGGATCTTTTGCTGACGTCTTCTAGTAGGCTCAGTGCTTTGTGGCACCACAATCAGGACACATTTCTGTCCATGTCTTCACAAATATATAATGCCTTTTCCGTCTTTTTTTTTTTTTTTTTTTTTTTTGAGATAGAGTCTTGCTCTGTTGCCCAGGCTGGAGTGCAGTGGTGCGATCTCGGCTCACTGCAAGCTCCACCTCCTGGGTTCACGCCATTCCTCTGCCTCAGCCTTCCGAGTAGCTGGGACCGCAGGTGCACGCCACGACGCCTGGCTAATTTTTTTTGTATTTTTAGTAGACATGGGATTTCACCGTGTTAGCCAGGGTGGTCTCGATCTCCTGACCTTTGGTAGGCCCACCTCGGCCTCCCAAAGTGCTGGGATTAGAGGAGTGAGCCACCGCTCCCAGCCTCTTCTTTCTTTTTATTTTATTTTTTTGCAATTGTTATTTAGTTTTTATCTCATAATCATAAACTTAACTCTGAAATCCAGCTAGGCATGGAGGAGAATAAGGCAAACATGGAACCCAAAGGGAACTGAGAGATAGCACAAAGATTAGAGGCTACTGTGAGCAAATGAGGTGGAGGGTGCTCTCCTGAGCTACAAAAGGAATGATCTGGTGGTTAAGATAAAACACAAGTCAAACTTAGTAGAGTTGTCCACAGTCGGCAATGGTGATCTTCTTGCTGGTCTTGCCATTCCTGGACCCAAAGCGCTCCATAGCCTCCGCAATATTCATGCCTTCTTTCACTTTGCCAAGGACCACATGCATGCCATCCAACCACGCAGTCTTGGCAGTGCAGTTGCAAAACTGGGAACCATTTGTGTTGGGTCCAGCATTTGCCATGGAAAAGATGCCAGGACCTGTATGCTTCAGAATGAAGTTCTCATCATCAAATTTCTCCCCATAGATGGACTTGACACCAGTGCCATTATGGTGTGTGAAGTCACCACCCTGACACATAAACCCTGGAATAATTCTGTGAAAGCAGGAACTCTTATAACCAAACCCTTTCTCTCCAGTGCTCAGAGCAGGAAAGTTTTCTGCCGTCTTTGGAAACTTGTCTGCAAACAGCTTGAAGGAGACGTGGCCCAAGGGCTTGCTGTTGATGGTGATGTCAAAGAACACGGTGGGTTGACCATGGCTGGGCATAGATATACTATAATATATGTGACATGGCATGGCAGGGCTCCCGGCGGCATCGGAATCTGTGGTATGGGGTTTCTTTTAGGGGTAGTGAAATGTTCTGACATTAGTAGTGATGGTTGTACAACTCTGAATATTCTAAAAGCCACTCAGTTGTATACTTTAAAAGGGGGGATTTTATGGTATATGAACTATATCTTGATAAAACTGTTGTTTTAAAAAAAAAGTCCAAATGTTTAATTCCATCATTCTTTGTTAATCAAGAATTCTGTTTATGGATTGGTTTTCACAGAAGCTGTGGTTCTGTCCCCAAAAGTCCGCATACTCCTCTTTGTTTGGCCAAAGCTTGCCCATTCCTCAAAGTTCAGTTCAAGTCTTGCCTCTAACACGAAGCAGCCCTAGTTTCCCCAACCATGCTAGTCTTTTCTTTCTATATTCAGTTTTTTTGTTTTTTTTTTTGAGACAGAGTCTGGCTCTGTCGCCCAGGCTGGAGTGCAGTGGTGTGATCTCGGCTCACTGCAAGCTCCGCCTCCCGGGTTCACGCCATTCTCCTGCCTCAGCCTCCCGAGTAGCTGGGACTACAGGCGCCCGCCACTACGCCCGGCTAATTTTTTGTATTTTTAGTAGAGATGGGGTTTCATCGTGTTAGCCGGGATGGTCTTGATCTCCTGACCTCGTGATCCGCCCGCCTCGGCCTCCCAAAGTGCTGGGATTACAGGCGTGAGCCACCGCGCCCAGCTCTATATTCAGTTTTAACTGTCTGCATTTTCACGTGGGCACCAAAAGCACATGGAGGGGAAACAGCACTGGCCTACAGTGGAAAAATGGGGGCCACATTAACAAGCCTTATGATCTGTGCAAAATAACCTCAAAGAGCCTCAGTTTCCTCATGTGTACAATGGCTATGAAAATCTCTACCTGTCTTCCCTCTTAAGGTTGTGGGGAGATGACAGATCCTTTTTGAGCTGTAAAGCACCACAGAAAAAAAGGTGCTATTAATACTGTTAGAATCATCAGTTACCATTCCTTATATGCAAGGCGCTCAATTAAGAGAGAAGGGTATTAACTGCCTTTAATGTAAAAATTGAGCTGAAGAGGAAATTAGTTCTCCAAGCCTAAGTGCTGAAGTCTGGTATAAATAGTGGATATTAAGGGAGGAAGATGGTTCCTACCAGCAGGAAAGGACAGGCAAGACAGCTTCACATGGAGGAAGGCAGGGCTTAGCTTCAGAGAATCAGAGGGTTAGGGCCCCCAGGCAGGGAGCTTAAATCAAAAGTGGATGTGGGAGGAACCGGGTTGCTTGGAGGTGAGAATGGTTTGTTTAGACTCTAGACCAGCGCTGTCTAGTGGACCTTTCGGTTACGATGTGTATTAGTCTGTTTTCTCACTGCTACGAAGAACCATCTTAGACAGGGTAATTTATAAAGAAAAGAGGTTTAGACCTGGTGCGATGGCTCACACCTGTAATCCCAGCACTTTGGGAGGCCAAGGAGGGCAGATCACCTGAGGTCAGGAGTTCGAGACCAGCCTGGCCAACATGGTGAAACCCTGTCTCTACTAAAAATACAAAAAATTAGCCGGGTGTGGTGGCGCACCTGTAACCCTAGCTATTCGGGAGACTGAGGCAGGAAAATCACTTGAACCCGGGAGGCGGAGGTTGCAGTGAGCCGAGATTGTGCCATTGCACTCCAGCCTGGGAAACGAGTGAAACTCTGTCTCAAAAAAAAAAAAAAACAAAAAACAGAAAACAAACAAACAAAAAAACAACCATTGGATCTCGTGAGAACTCCCTCACTATCACAAGAACAGCAAGGGGAAGTCCGCCCCCATGATTCAATTACTTCCCACCAGATCCCTCCCTCTACACGTGGGGATTACAATTTGAGATGAGATTTGAGTGGGGACACAAAGCCAAGCCATATCATGATGGAAATGTCTGTCTAACATAAATATAATGAGAGCTGCATATATAATTTTATATTTTCTAGTAGCCATATTAGAAAAAGTGAAAAAGGTGTAATATTCATTTTAATATATTTTATTTAACCCAATATATCCAAAATAGTACCATTTTTAACATGTAATCAATATCAAAATTATTATTTCTTTAACCCCTCCACCCCCTTTTTTAAGAGATGGGGTCTTTCCCTGTCGCCCATGCTGGAGTGCAGTGGTGTGATCACAGCTCATTGTAGCTTCCAACTTCTGGGCTCCAGTGATCCTCCCACCTCAGCCTCCTGCGTAACTGGGACTACAAGGGTGCAGCCACCCCACACACAGCTCAAAAATTATTAATGAGATATTTTACCTTCTTGTATGTGCCAAGTCTTAAAATCTGGTGTGTATTTTACACATCTCAATTCAGAGGCTCAATTTTCAACAGAGTGAAATGTAGTCTTACTATAGCAATAAAGTTGTGTTTAATATAAAAACATTTACACTGCTTCCATTTTAAAATTTTATATTAATTAAAATTAAGACCAGGCGCAGTGGCTCACACCTGTAATCCCAGCACTTTGGGAGATCAAGGCTGGCAGATCACTTGAGGTCGGGAGTTCGAGACCAGCCTGGCCAACATGGTGAAACCTGTCTCTATCAAAAAAATACTAAAATTAGCTGGGTGTGATGGTGGGTGTCTGTAGTTCCAGCTACTCGGGAGACTGAGATGGGAGAATTATTTGAGCCTGGGAGTCATAGGTTGCAGTGAGCTGAGATTGCACCACTGCACCCAGCCTGGGTGACAGAATGAGACCTTGTCTCAAAATAAAAGTTAAGTAAAATTAAAATTTAGTTCCTAAGTCACACTGGCCGTATTTCAGACGTTAAGTAGCCACTAGTGCTGGCTGCTCAGTGCAGACCTGGGGTTAAGATCCTGTGGTAGGTTTTGAGGCTGAAGCTGAAGGCAGTTTCTCTATTCACACCTCCAGCCCAGTCCCCGCTGGGCTCCTGGCTCACACCCAACTGCCTTCAGACACATCTGTCTGGGGTCTGGATTATGACGGTGATGATGCCAATGAGGGTGATGAAGAGCCCTAGACCCCAGGAGGTCACCCTGCCGTGGAAATGCGGAATCCTAACTTTGCAAAGTACTTTAAGGCTCACCTAGGAATGGTTACCTCCAGCTGGGATCCTGGACCCCTAGGGGTCTGTATTAGTCCGTTTTCATACTGCTATGAGGAAATACCTGAGACTGGGTAATTCATAAAGAAAAAAAGGTTTAATGAGCTCACAGTTCCACATGGCTGGGGAGGCCTCACAATCATGGTGGAAGGTGAGGGACGAGCAAAGGCATGTCTTACATGGCAGCAGGCAAGAGAGTGTATGCAGGGGAACTGCCCTTTATAAAACCATCAGATTGGGCCAGGCGCGGTGGCTGACGCCTGTAATCCCAGCACTTTGGGAGGCTGAGATGGGTGGATCATGAGGTCAGGAGATCAAGACCATCCTGAATAACATGGTGAAACCGTCTCTACTAAAAATACAAAGAATTAGCCAGATGTGGTGGCAGGCACCTGTAATCCCAGCTACTCAGGAGGCTGAGGCTGAGGAGAATGGCATAAACCAAGGAGGCAGAGCTTGCAGTCAGCCGAGATGGCGCCACTGCACTCCAGCCTGGGCGACAGAGCAAGACTCCATCTAAAAAAAAAAAAAAAACCATCAGATCTCTTGAGACTTACTATCATGAGAACAGCATGGTAAAAACCTGCCCCCATGATTCAATTACCTCCCACTGGGTCCCTCCCATGATACGTGGGGCTTATGGGAACTACAATTCAAGATGAGATTTGAATGGGGCCATGGCCAAACCATATCAGAGTCCTTGAAGGTGCTTATGAGGGTCTGATGACTGTTTTCCAGACCTCAAAATATCTAACAAATCATACATTTACCAGAGGCGTGTCTACCCAGGGTAAAAACAGCAACATAGCCTATGCTTTCAGCTGTCAAGAGAGCAGCTCAGGTTGATAGCCCCAGTTCTCTCCATCCACATCACAGGCCCCCGGCTGCTTCTGTTAACTCTGCAGTATTTCCTGAGCCCCCTTGCCGCCAGGCATGTGCACGTCGGGGCTTGGGCCATGACCCAGCCAGGGTCCAGCTCCCATAGAGCCATATTCTGCACACGCATCTGGGTGGCAACAGACAACAAATAAATGTGAATCCGGGATGATGCTGCTTCGTGGAAGAGTACACCAGGCGAGGGGGTCAGGGAGAGGAGGGAGAAGGGTGCACAGATGGGCTGTTTGTTCTAAGGGTGGTCGGTGGGAAGCAAGGCCCCCGGGGAAGCATGGAGGACCCCCGCAGATCTCTGGGACTGGGATTTTCAGGCCAGGCACCGGCACCCGTTGCAGTGCCTGGGCCTTTGAGAGCCCTGTAGGAGTTAGTGCAGTGGTCACACTGTCGCTGCAGTAGAAACCTTGGTTGTTAGGGCGTTGGAGACAGGCTTTCATTTTTTAAAATGCCTTATTATTATTATTATTATTTTGAGATGGAGTCTTGCTCTGTCGCCCAGCCTGGAGTGCAGTGGCGCAATCTCGTCTCGCTGCAACCTCCGCCTCCTGGGTTCAGGCGATTCTCGTGCCTCACCCTCCGGAGTAGCTGGGACTACAGGCGTGCACCACCACGCCCGGCTAATTTTTGTATTGGCATCTCAGGTGATGCGCCCTCCTCGGCCTCCCAAAGTGCTGGGATTACAGGCGTGAGCCACCACACCCAGTCTAAACCTCTTTTTATAAATTACCCTGTCTAAGGTGGTTCTTCATAGCAGTGAGAAAACAGACTAATACACATCATAACCGAACGGTCCACTAGACAGTGCTAGTCTAGAGTCTAAACAAACCATTCTCACCTCCAAGACGGGGGTCTCCCCATGTTGGCCAGGCTGGTCTTGAACTCCTGATCTCTAGTAATCCACCCACCTTGGCCTCCCAAAGTGCTGGGATTACAGGTGTGAGCCACCAAACCCGGCCTTGCCTTCTTATTATGTAGCATATATACATAAACATGATATCTAATAAAATATATATGTAAGTTATGGAGCATAATACGAAGCGAGCACCCATAAACCCACCAGCCATCACCCTTGCCTCCAGCTTCATCCTTCTCTTCCCACCCCCATGCTCCTCATCTACTCCCCTGAATGCTGGTTTTTTCGTGTCTTTTCTTTTGGTTTTGTTTTGTTTTTTGAGATGGAGTCTCACTGTGTCGCCCAGGCTGGAGTGAAGTGGCACGATCTCAACTCACTGCAACCTCTGCCTCCCAGGTTCAAGCAATTTTCCCTGCCTCAGCCTCTGGAGTAGCTGGAATTACAGGTGCCTGCCACCATGCCTGGCTAATTTTTGTATTATTGTTATTATTATTATACATTTTTTGAGACGGAGTCTCGCTCTGTCGCCCAGGCTGGAGTGCAGTGGCGCGATCTTGGCTCACTGCAAGCTCTGCCTCCTGGGTTCATGCCATTCTCCTGACTCAGCCTCCCAAGTAGCTGGGAGTACAGGTGCCCGCCACCATGCCAGGCTAATTTTTCGTGTTTTTAGTAGAGATGGTTTTCACCGTGTTAGCCAGATGGTCTCAATCTCCTGACCTTGTGATCTGCCCACCTCAGCCTCCCAAAGTGCTGGGATTACAGGCATGAGCCACCGCACCCAGCCTAATTTTTGTATTTTTTAGTAGAGACCGGGTTTCGCCATGTTGGTGAGGCTGGTTTCAAACTCCCAACCTCAGGTGATCCACCACCTCAGCTTCCCAAAGTGCGGAGATTACAGGTGTGAGCCATCGTGTCTGGCCCTGAATGCTGTTATTATTCCCTTAAAAAAGTTTCAGTACTGGCCAGGCCTGGTAGATCACTCCTGTAATCCCAGCACTTTGGGAGGCCGAGGCAGGTGGATCACCTGAGGTCGGGAGTTCAAGACCAGCTTGACCAACATGGAGAAACCCCGTCTCTACTAAAAATACAAAATTAGCCAGGTATGGTGGTTCATGCCTGTAATTCCAGCTACTCAGGAGGCTGAGGCAGGAGAATCGCTTGAAACCTGGGAGGCGGAGGCTGCGGTGAGCCGAGATCACACCATTGCACTCCAGCCTGGGCAATAAGAGCAAAACTCCGTCTCAAAAAAAAAAAAAAAAAAAAGTTTCAGTACTTTATATGTATCTCTAAACATCATACTAATGAATTTTTCTTGTTGTAGAGCTTTATAATAACAATACCACCTGCGTTTGAATTCAAGGGAAATGAAAACACATCAGTGCAAAGACCTACACCCAAGGCAGCATCCTTCAAACTTGCGGAGAAGTGGAAGCCACTCAAATGTCATCAGCTGGTGAATGGATGAACAAAATGTGGCATATCGACATAGGTGGTTATTTGGCAATACAAAGGAATAAGGCTCTAATATATCCCACAACAAAGGGTGAAACCCCCAAAACAGGGTGCTAAGTGAAAGAAGCCAGACCCAAAAGACTACATATTGTAAGATTCCATGTATAGGAAATGTCTAGAAAAGTCAACTCTATAGAGACGGAAGTAGATGAGTGATTGCCTGGGGCTGGGGGTAAGAAGAAGGAGAAGTAACTGAAAATAGGGTTGAGGTTTATTTTTGGGGCGATAGAAACTTCTTTCTCTCAATTATGTTTCTGAGACTTTTTTTGTCGTTGCATAGAGCTGTAGTTCATTTATTTTCACAATTCTATAGTTTGTCACGTGATTATGTCACAATTTATTTCTCTGATCTCCTGTCAATGGACATTTGAGTTACTTTTTGTTTTTTGCTATTACAAAATGATTTGCCAGGAACATTTTGTACATGTCCCCTTGGTATACATAAGCAATTTTATATCTGTTGAATCTAATAGCAAGATATCAGGGCTTGTAAATTGTATGCCTTTTTTTCATTCCATTTTTTAGTGGTTCATTTTTATTGTATTTTACAAGAAGGATTATTCCCCAAACAAACTGGAAATTAACACAGAAACAAGACAGGTCCTCCACCACAGTTTGAGAGAAGTACTGCTGTAGGGAATACACTGGGAGTAAAGTCACTGGGCCAAGGCTGTGCAGGTGTTCAAAGGTATGCAAAAGTTCAAGGGTATCCAGATGTCAAATTGCTTTCAAAATAGTTGCACTGATTTGCACTCCCACCAACAGTGGATAAGAGTTCCCACATTGCTCCATAGCTTCACCAACACTTACTACTGTCCAATTTTTTAATTTTTGCCAATTTGAGGGGCATGACATTTTCATTACCTTGTTGCTGATGAGGTTAAATATCTTTGCATATGTTTACAGGACATGTGTGCTTTCTCCTCTGTGATATTCCTGTTTGTGTTCTTTGCCCATTTCTTTTCTTTTCCATACTGATTCTTAAGAGTTCTTTATATATTCTTGATATTAATCCTTTGTCATTTAAATGTGTTACAGATATCATTTCCAGTCTGTGACTTGCATGAATTTCTTTGGTGGTGGTGGGGGGGTGTCTTTTGATAAACAGGAGGTCTTACTTTGAATGCAGTTGGATTCTATCTCTTTTTTCTTTTTTGGCCAGCTCCTCTTCACTCATGCTGTTTTCCTGGGCAAAGCTCCCGCACGGCCCTCATCAAACCGACAAGCCTTTTTTAATCTGCACCCTGCTGCTTCCAGCCTCCTCTCAGTCCCACTTTATACTCAGTAGTTTATTCCAGAGCTGATGTTTTCACCTCTGAGTCTCTCTGCTGCAAAGACCCTCTTTTGTCTGCTTGTAGAACCCCCAAGTCATTCCTCAAACCCCACTCTGGCACAACCTCTGCTTCTCAGAAGCTCTTCCAGACCCCCAAGGCTGAGTCACTTCTTCTATTCAGTGAACCCCAAGCTGAGCATCGGATGATTGATAGTATATAGGTTTTTCATTACTCAAATGGGACAATTAGGCTGGGCGCGATGGCTCATGCCTGTAATCCCAGCACTTTGGGAAGCCGAGGCAAGTGGATCACTTGAGGTCAGGAATTCAATACTAGCCTGGCCAACTTGGCAAAACCCCATCTTTACTAAAAGTACAAAAATTAGCTGGGTGTGGTGGCGGGCTCCTGTAATCTCAGCTACTCGGGAGGCTGAGGCAGGAGAATCACTTGAACCCAGGAGACGGAGGTTGCAGTAAGCGGAGATCATGCCACTGCACTCCAGCCTGGGTGACAGAGCAAGACTCCCTCTCAAAAAATAAATAAATAAATAAAATAAAATAAAATAAAGATAAAATGGGATAATCACTACTTTTAATAAGTGAAATTTATTTAAAGTTAATTTTAAATTTCAAAAAATGAGATTCTTTAAGAATGGGATGCTTGGAAGGGGAAAACAATCGGGAAACGCTGCTCTCTGGCCAGTAATGTCTCTGGTATCCTCGACATCATCCTGTCCACATCCGAACGTTTTCAAGGACAGAAGCTCACTACTTCTGTGGGCTGAGCCACTGTGGTTGTTAGAAATTGCTTTGTTATGCTAAATGTGTCTCCTGCCTCTTCTTTAGGTTTATTGTTTTTCTTTTTCTTTTTTTTCTCTTTTTTTTTTTGAGACAGAGTCTCGCTGTGTCGGCCAGGCTGGAGTGCAGTGGTGCAATCTCAGCTTACTGCAACCTCCGCCTCCTGGGTTCAAGCAATTCTCCTGTCTCAGCCTCCCAAGTACCTGGGATTATAGGCATGCGCCACCAAGCCTGGCTAATTTTTATATTTTTAGTAGAGACGGGGTTTCACTATGTTGGCCAGGCTGGTCTTGAACTCCTGACCTCAGGTGATCCACCCACCTCGGCCTCCCAAAGTGCTGGGATTACAGGCATGAGCCACTGCCCCAGGCCAGGCTTATTATTACAGGCATGAGCCACCGCCCCAGGCCAGGCTTATTGTTTTTCACTGTGCTTTCTAGAGAAACAATGAGTCTTTTCTCTTTGACATGGCCACTGTCCAAGATGAGAGGTAGCAACCCCATGTCTTTTTTTTTTTTTTTTGAGACGGAGTCTCACTCTGTCACCCGGGCTGGAGTGCAGTGGCGCAATCTCGGCTCACTGTAAGCTCTGCCTCCCAGGTTCACACCATTCTCCTGCCTCAGCCTCCAGAGTAGCTGGGACTACAGGCGCCCGCCACCACGCCCGGCTAATTTTTTGTATTTTTACTGGAGATGAGGTTTTACTGTGTTAGCCAGGATGGTCTTGATCTCCTGACCTGGTGATCTGCCCGCCTTGGCCTCCCAAAGTGCTGGGATTATAGGCATGAGCCACCACACCCGGCCACAACCATGTCTAAGCATGTCTCCTTTTCTCCAGGAGAAACACAGTGCCTTCAGTGATTCCCGGGGAGAGAAGTTCTCTGTATCCTGATGCTCTGTCATCTTCTCATGGATGGACTGCAGATTTTCCACATCTCTCCTAAACTATGCTGCCTGTATTTAAGTAAAGCCTGTGGGCTGGCCTAACATGCGCAGAGGGAGCCCTGGTCCACTTAATGCAATTCCTTCCCTTGGTGCAGCCGAAGAGGGCTGAGGTTGTTCTGGCAGCCTCCTCACCTGCTGCAGCTCATATAGAAACTGAGAGTCAGGCCGGGCGCGGTGGCTCACGCCTGTAATCCCAGCACTTTGGGAGGCCGAGGCTGGCAGATCACGAGGTCAGGAGATCGAGACCATCCTGGCTAACACGGTGAAACCCTGTCTCTACTAAAAATACAAAAATTAGCCGGGCGTAGTGGCGGGCGCCTGTAGTCCTAGTCCCAGCTACTCGAGAGGCTGAGGCAAGAGAATGGCGTGAACCCAGGAGGCGGAGCTTGCAGTGAGCGGAGATGGAGCCACTGCACTCCAGCCTGGGCGACAGAGCGAGACTCCGTCTCAAAAAAAGAGAAAAGAAACTGAGAGTCAGTGCAAACCCTCAGATCTTTTCCGTATGAAAGATGGCCAGTTTGTCGATGTGCATCTGACTTCTCTCTTTTAAATGCTGACTGTCAAGTTCAATCTTAATTTCTTTTGACTCACTCAGCAATCCCATCTTAACTCTCACGTCTCATTTTAGCTCTTCCCCTCAGTTTTCGGTCAAGCACAAACTTACTAAGCAAGATGTTGTTTTGTTTTGTTTTGTTTTTTTTTTGAGATGGAGTCTAGCTTTGTCACCAGGCTGGAGTGCAGTGGTGCGATCTCAGCTCATTGCAACCTCCACCTCCCGGGTTCAAGCGATTCTCGTGCCTCAGCCTCCCAAGTAGCTGGGATTACATGTGCCCATCACCATGCCTGGCTAATTTTTGTATTTTTAGTAGAGATGGGGTTTCACCATGTTGACCAGGTTGGTCTTGAACTCCGAACCTCCAGTGATCTGCCTGCCTCAGCCTCCCAAAGTGCTGGGATTACAGGTGTAAGCCACTGTGCCCGGCTGTTAGGTGTATTTCACCACAGTAAAAAACAATAAATTACAAAAAATGGTGACATGCCAGGGACAATGCAGTGTGGCAACTCATCTGGCCCTGTCTCCAGTGTACCCTGCTATAGGATGTCAGGCCCAGAATCCCAGGAAGCAGGGGAGGAGAGGGAGGTACCTCTTCATTTCAGGCCCAGGATACAGCCCAGCTCTGCCGTGGCTGCGGACAGTGACAATCTATCTCTGCCTCCCAGGCCAGGAACATGTGAGTAAGCTTTGACTCATATCTGTCTTTTCTCCTATTGCCTAATCTTGCCTGGTCTTAATTAAAAATGTCTCCTTCCCTTTCTTACACTCACTCATTCCTCCGCAGGTTTTCACCGAGACCTACAAAGAGCAGTCACCGACCGTGCCCAGACACCTTGGTGAGCAGGGACAGCCTGGTCGCACTGTTATAGGAAAGGGGTCCCGATCCAGACCCCAAGAGAGGGATCTTGGATCTTGCTCAAGAAAGAATTCAGGGCGAGTCTGCGGTGCAAAGGAAAAGCAAGTTTATTTAGAAAGTCAAGTGGTGAAAGAACAGCTACTCCATAGACAGAATAGGGCATTCCCAAAAGTAAGAGGAGGAATGCATCCACCCTAGGTACAGTGCTTGTATATATATAGGATAAAAAAAGATCATGGGGAGATGTGCTCTGCTACAGGGTTTGTGATAAAGGATTCTTTTTTAAAATTACCAAATTTTGCAAGAATCAATATTATTATCTTTGAAGCAAAATTAGGAATGCCTTTGTTCTCGAGATATCGGGATATCTGGACACTCCGAAGTTTGGGTTTGTTAGTAAACATTATTAATCCATTTCCTTAACTGTAAACATCTAGAGGCTGGGAATAGCCTTCTGGGAATGCAAGTCCCAACTTCATTTTCCTAGCCCTCACTCAAGATGGAGTCGCTCTGGTTCAAATGCCTGTGATACCACCTCTCCAGGCTCCCGGGATGTTTAAACAAGCCACTCCCAGAGAGGCGATATGAAAGGTGCAGGGCAGGCCCTGAGCCCTGGCCACAGGCGATGCTTAAGCTGAGCCCTGAAAGGAGGAGTAGGAGTTCAGCAGGCAAGTTGTTAGAAGACTCGCATTTCAAGCAGAAGGTCTGGAAAGACGTGCTGACTGATCGGCAGGAGGCTGTGAGCTGTGGATGATACGGAGACTGCAGAAGCTGAGGCCATGGAGCTAAGGCGGGCTCAGACTTCCTCCTGAGGGCAACAGGTTTTTAGCTGGGGAGGACCATGACCAAATCTGCCTTTCCCAGTCACCTCTCTGATCTCTTTGATGCAGTGTAGATCTGTGCTTAGCAAACTCAGAAGGCCCTGTCACCACCAGGAAGGAAGAGACCCCACGACTGAGGGCAGTGGTAGGTTTAGGGGCTGGCTGCAGGTGGGACCGAAAGGGATAGCTGTGGACTGGCTGGCTTTGGGGGGGGGGTGAAGAGTGGAGGGGGTGATGATGCCTTCTATGGGGAGGGGGACATGCTAGAAACAGTTTTGGGGGAGGTGGGAAGGAGGGTAAGCAGATGAAGGATTTGGGTCTTGGACATGCTGCTAGTTTGGCTTTGACGGTGCAGGTCCTCTGCTATGATGTGAGTGGCTGTGCCCGCCAGTTCCTCTTCTCACTCCCTTCTAGGGCTATGAGATTTGTGACCCTTTCCTCTGCCTGCCTCTGCCCCTGCCCATTGGGACCCTGCTGGACCAGGCATCCATCCTATGGAAATCTCCATGAAGCGTCGACCTCCCTGCCCCCCAGGCATTGGGTGAGTGGCAAGTGAGAGCTGCTCACAGGGCATCAAAGGGGTTCAAAATAGCACCCAAGGCCGGGCATGATGGCTCACGCCTGTAATCCCAGTACTTTGGGAGGCTGAGGTAGGCGGATCACCTGAGGTCAGGAGCTCAAGGCCAGCCTGGCCAACATGGAGAAACCCCGTCTCTACTAAAAATACAAAAATTAGCTGGGTGTGGTGGTGTGTGCCTGTAATCCCAGCTACTTGGAGGCTGAGGCAGGAGAATAACTTGAACCCGGGAGGCAAAAGTTGCAGTGAGCAAGATTGCACCATTGCACTCGAGCCTGGGGAAAAAGAGCAAGACTCCATCTCAAAAAAAAAAAAAAAAAATTGCACCTAAGCCCAAGCCCAGAAGGTGGCCCCGAACCTGGGCCTTCCTTTGAAGCCAGGCCTGGTATTTGCCAAGATCGTGCCTCCTGCCCCCACATCACCAACGTTAACTGCCCTCCATTAGCTGGTGCTGCCTGGGTGCTGCGTGGGCGCTGGCGTGTGAAATGGCAACATGAGGCCGTGTCTACTGAGCCAGGCATCTTAGTGCTTTACACAGAGAAGTGAAACCTCCTAGCAACCCTGTGAGTTAGGTACCATTTGATTCCCATTTTTCAGATAAGGAAACCAAGGCACAAAGTGGTTGGTAGGTGGACTAAGGTCACCCAACAAATGGAGGCAAAACGGGACACGTGTCCCCACCAGGAGCCACCAGCTGTCCCTCCTTCTCCATCCCACAGACTGCGTGAAGCCCTGGGCTACTCTGGCTGGATGGTATCAAGTGTCACATTCTGTGGAGCCAGGATGTTCCTCCAATCCTTTAATCCCAAATCTTTTATTGTGTTTGTTTTGTTTTGTTTTGACAGAGTCTTGCTCTGTCGTCCAGGCTGGAGTGCTGTGGTGCAATCTCAGCTCACTGCAACCTCTGCCTCCTGGGTTCAAGTGATTCTCCTGCCTCATCCTCCCTAGTAGCTGGGACTACAGGTGCGCACCACCAAGCCCGGCTAATTTTTGTATTTTTTGTTGAGACGGGGTTTCACCATGTTGGCCAGGCTGGTTATGAACTCCTGACCTCAAATGATCTGCCTGCCTCAGCCTCCCAAAGTGCTGGCATTACAGGCATGAGCCACCATGCCTGGCCTAATCCCAAATCTTAAACCTACTTTTCCTGGTTCTGCCTCTAGTGAAATCAAAGATCCCTCCGCTGCTGTCCCTATGGGAATGTGGACAGGGATGACACCTCTCGCCAGCTCTGGGTGGCCCCTCTGGTCTGGTCCTTTGCTGCCCAGCTCCTCAAGTCCTCCTCAACACCCCTCTTCTCCAGCCCTGCTGCCACTCTCCCCACCTGAGTACAGACCCTCATCATTTCCCACTGGGCCCCCTCTTCTCGTCCCCCCAGTCCCTCTCCCTAGTCCATTTATTTATTCTATTTTGAGACGGAGTTTTGCTCTTGTTGCCCAAGCTGGAGTGCAATGGCGCGATCTCAGCTCACTGCAACCTCTGCCTCCCAGGTTCAAGCGATTTTCCTGCCTCAGCCTCCCAAGTAGCTGGGATTACAGGCATGCACCACCACACCCGGCTAATTTTGTATTTTTAGTAGAGGTGGGGTTTCTCCATGTTGGTCAGGCTGGTCTCGAACTCCCGACCTCAGGTGATCCACCTGCCTCAGCCTGCCAAAGTGCTGGGATTACAGGCGTGAGCCACTGTGCCCTGCCCCTAGTCCATTTTTTTTTTTTTTAATTGATCATTCTTGGGTGTTTCTCGCAGAGGGGGATTTGGCAGGGTCACAGGACAATAGTGGAGGGAAGGTCAGCAGATAAACAAGTGAACAAAGGTCTCTGGTTTTCCTAGGCAGAGGACCCTGTGGCCTTCCGCAGTGTTTGTGTCCCTGGGTACTTGAGATTAGGGAGTGGTGATGACTCTTAAGGAGCATGCTGCCTTCAAGCATCTGTTTAACAAAGCACATCTTGCACCGCCCTTAATCCATTCAACCCTGAGTGGATACAGCACATGTTTCAGAGAGCACAGGGTTGGGGGTAAGGTCACAGATCAACAGGATCCCAAGGCAGAAGAATTTTTCTTAGTACAGAACAAAATGAAAAGTCTCCCACGTCTACCTCTTTCTACACAGACACGGCAACCATCCGATTTCTCAATCTTTTCCCCACCCTTCCCCCCTTTCTATTCCACAAAACCGCCATTGTCATCATGGCCCGTTCTCAATGAGCTGTTGGGTACACCTCCCAGACCGGGTGGTGGCCGGGCAGAGGGGCTCCTCACTTCCCAGTAGGGGCGGCCGGGCAGAGGCGCCCCTCACCTCCCGGACGGGGCGGCTGGCCGGGCGGGGGGCTGACCCCCCCACCTCCCTCCCGGACGGGGCGGCCGGCCAGGCAGAGGGGCTCCTCACTTCCCAGTAGGGGCGGCCGGGCAGAGGCGCCCCTCACCTCCCGGACAGGGCGGCTGGCCGGGCAGGGGGCTGATCCCCCCACCTCCCTCCCGGACGGGGAGGCTGGCCGGGCGGGGGGCTGACCCCCCCACCTCCCTCCCGGACGGGGCGGCTGGCTGGGCGGGGGGCTGACCCCCACACCTCCCTCCCGGACGGGGCAGCTGGCCGGGCGGGGGGCTGACCCCCCCACCTCCCTCCTGGACGGAGCGGCTGGCCGGGCAGAGGGGCTCCTCACTTCCCAGTAGGGGCGGCCGGGCAGAGGCGCCCCTCACCTCCCGGACGGGGCGGCTGGCCGGGCAGGGGGCTGATCGCCCCACCTCCCTCCCGGACGGGGAGGCTGGCCGGGCGGGGGGCTGACCCCCCCACCTCCCTGCCGGACGAGGTGGCTGCCGGGCAGAGACGCTCCTCACTTCCCAGACGGGGTGGCTTCTGGACGGATGGGCTCCTCACTTCTCAGACGGGGCGGTTGCCGGGCGGAGGGTCTCCTCACTTCTCAGAGGGGGCGGCCGGGCAGAGACGCTCCTCACATCCCGGACGGGGCGGCAGGGCAGAGGTGCTCCCCACATCTCAGACGATGGGCGGCCGGGCAGAGACGCTCCTCACTTCCCAGATGGGATGGCTGCAGGGAAGAGGCGCTCCTCACTTCCTAGATGGGATGGCGGCCAGGCAGAGACGCTCCTCACGTCCCAGACGATGGGCGGCTGGGCAGAGACGCTCCTCACTTCCCAGACGGGGTGGCGGCCGGGCAGAGGCTGCAATCTCGGCACTTTGGGAGGCCAAGGCAGGCTGCTGGGAGGTGAAGGTTGTAGCGAGCCGAGATCACGCCACTGCACTCCAGCCTGGGCACCATTGAGCACGGAGTGAACGAGACTCCGTCTGCAATCCCGGCACCTCAGGATGCCGAGGCTGGCGGATCACTCGCGGTTAGGAGCTGGAGACCAGCCCGGCCAACACAGCAAAACCCCGTCTCCACCAAAAAAATACGAAAACCAGTCAGGTGTGGCGGCGCGCACCTGCAATCGCAGGCAGTCGGCAGGCTGAGGCAGGAGAATCAGGCAGCAGTACCGTCCAGCTTCAGCTCGGCATCAGAGGGAGACCGTGGAGAGAGGGAGAGGGAGACCGTGGGGAGAGGGAGAGGGAGAGGGAGGGAGAGGGAGAGGGAGAGGGAGAGGGAGAGAGCTAGTCCATTTTTATACATGGCTCTGAGGATGCTCCAATCTGACCACAGCTTCTGTTCACTTAGCGCCCTGCCCCGGTGTCTCATCACCTTGGGGATAAAATCCACACTCTGAGAGTGAGTGCAAAGTCCTTCCTGGCGTGGCCTCTGCCTCCTCCATTTCCTCAGGCCTTGCTCTACCACACAAGTCCCTCTATTAGTGCCTCCCGATGGCCAGCTCCCTGGCAGGGCTGATAGTGATAAAATGTTCAGTAGTCAGCAATAAAGAGGCAAAAACAGCAACACTGATTTATAGATATGAAATCAACCAGATGTATCAGCCAAGTTGCCAGCATTCCTTTCTTGGTCACAATATCTTTTATTCCAAACATCCTTTCTATTTATTTTTTGTAGTTAAGATTTTATTACTTCTTTTGTAAAACGGTGGTGAGAATAAGGGACTATTTTTTTTAAATGTCCTTACTTGGCAAACTAAAAAATGTTTGCAACTCTAGTAAGACTCCACTGGGAGCTCAGGGGCTGGGGTGCCTGATCTGGCCCTAAAGCCCCACGACACTGACCTGGTGCCTGCGTGATTCTTCTTCATTGTTCCCAGACAGGGGCCAGGAAATGGAATGAAAGCAGCCACTGTCTGAAGAGCTGGAGACCATCATCTGCCTCTGGAAGCCCAGAGAACCTCGGCTCAGACAGAAGGACAGAGACTGAGGGAAGGGAGAGAGACTGTGACAGAGAAGCAGAGGAGGGTGACAGAGTCAGGGAGGAACAAAACAGCCTGCAGTGGGAGCAGAGACAGAAATGTGGGGGACCCACAGGGAGGGGAGGGAGGGAAGGGGAGGGACGGAGGGAGGGACAACTGCCGTCCAAGTGGCTGTGAGAGCCTGGGGCTGGGGAGAGGCACCCTCCTCCTGTTGGCTTCTCATACAGTCTCTATCAGGGGACCCAGGACACAAGAAGCAAATTCATCTTTGGGTCCACCCTTCAGCTCTAGAAGTCTAGGGCCTGGCCAGGTCCTCTGAAGGGGTCTCTGGCCCCAGGCAGCTTCCTGCCCCCCTGCGTGGCCCCCCAAGCCCTTCTCAAGAGCCCTTCAGTAAATAAATTCACTGGAAGACATCAATGATGGGTCATAGGAGGTGTTCCTAGGGGAGAAAATGACATTTAGTTTTTAGCTCACTTGGAGCCATTTGCTTTAAGAAGCACCTCTTGGCCAGGCGCAGTGACTCACGCCTGTAATCCCAACAGTTTGGGAGGCCGAGGTGGGCGGATCACCTGAGGTCAGGAGTTCAAGACCAGCCTGGTCAACATGGTGAAACCCTGTCTCTACTAAAAATACAAAAATTAGTTGGGTGTGGTGGCATGTGCCTGTAATCCCAGCTGCTTGGGAGGCTGAGGTGAGAGAATCGCTTGAACTCAGGAGGTGGAGGCTGCAGTGAGCTGAGATCACACCACTGCATTCCAGCCTGGGTGACACAGTGAGACTATGTCTAAAAAACAAAAAACAAAAACGAAGCACCTCTTGAGAGAGCTTTGCATGCAGATGTCACAGGCAAAATGCCTCATGTTGTGGGGAATGTGGCAGTGGACTTCTGGGGCCAGGCTGAGGCCCCCACGTGCTGTCCCCCTTGGGAGCAGGGCAGGGTGGCTGGGTTGACAGATGTGCAGAGAAGGAGAGAAGTGGGGGCAATGCCTTCTCTCTGATGGTCAGCTGGCGGGAAAGGCTCCAGGGGCTTCTGAGGAGAGACCCTAAGAGGACTCTGGATGGGCCTCGGCTGGGGGAGGCTGGTGCTGACCTGGCACGTGGGCACTGTGGGGGTGCAATGGGGGACAGTGTGGGAGGTGTCATGGGGGGTCTTTACACTGGGTACTAAAGAGCTTAGGAGCCTGAGCTACCTGGTGTGGGGCAATCACATTTGCTGCTGTGTCCAGGCAAGGAGGAGCAGGTGGGCTTGGACCCCAAAGTGACATGAAGTGGCCAGGACTGAGCGCTGGGCCAACGTGAGCCCCAGGGGGTGCTTGGATTTATCAGCTGAAGAAGGGCCTATGGAAGGGGAGAAAACAATCCTCCAGACAGATGAGAGCACTCAGTCACATCCACCTGGACCTGACATCACCTCCCAGGCTGTGCAGGGGCACACACAGAACTGGAATGGGTAATGACTTATTAGAGCCTCCTTCCAACAGCTGTGGGCCCTGGAACCTAAGAACCCACCTTTGGAGAACATTTTTGGGTCTGAGAGCTTTGAGGCCAGGCCTTGAGACAAACCCACCCAGAAGCCCTGAGCTACTTTTGCTGTAAGAGTAGGAGGGCCCTGCCCCTGCTCCAGGAGCCGCCCCTTGATCCCTGGAAGAGAAGGAAGCACTGACTGATCCAGAGGGGCGATGAGTCCAGAGGCTGAGATCAGCTGGAACCGGGCCACCAGCTGAGCGTGTGATTCCTCTGGCTCCAGGCCACCTCTGAGGGTCTCCCAATGGCTGGGAGGGATTAGAGGACTGTGGCTTCTTGGGTGAGGGAGCCTCTGGGTTACAGTCACCGTGCCCTTTGAATCTAATCTGCTCTCGACAAGAATCAGCTGACCTGATAGGCATGCTCAGGCAGGAGGCAATGGCCAGGGCCAAGAGAAGCATAAGGATGGAGTAGAGGAGGGAGCAGAGCAGGGTCAGGTGAAATCTCTCACTCAGGACAATTGTGCAGCTGACTTGCTGATACCTTGGAGGAGTCACGAAGTTCAGTGTGCCCAGTTGGGGCATCTTCCAGGCTGTGGCTCCATCACCCTGCAGTTTTGGCTCAGAACAGCCACCACATCCTCACTGCTCTCCTGGGATGAGAAGGTGGGTGGAGAACCAGGGGCTTGGTGCGTGGCCAGAGCTGGAGCAGCTTCAGGAGCCAGGTGAAACCTCAGAGCCTCACAGGCTTTGAACAAAGTGCAGGAGTCCCAGCCCTGCCATTTATGGCGGGTTCCTGGCGGTGATCAGTCATTATCAGCAGTATGTTCACTCTGCTGATATCACCCAAGGCCATGATCATCCCTTACCCCAGGCCTTGCACACTTGCTTCCCTGTCCTAGACAGCTGGGGCTGTTCCTGCTCTTCGCTGCCCCTGGCACTCACAGAGCAGCTGACTGACTGACCTACCAACTTAGGGAGAAAAGTGGGGAGGTGGGGATGGAGGACACTCTGGGGATACAGCCTCTTCGTGATTTCCTTCCTGGAGGGGAGAGGCGGCCAGGGCAATGCAATGCTGGGGCTGCAGTGCCTCCGCTCAGCCACAGCACTGGCTGCAGGGCAAACCCTCAGGACCAGATGAGGGGAGCTCAGCCTGATGTCCAGGTTCGCTGGCATGTGAGGGACGTGGTCAGGCACAGCTATAGCCATGGGTCTATGGACGGTTCCTGGATCCCAGGAATTGCTGGTGGGGTCCCTGATACACACCTCACGTCTTCAACCTCTGCCCTCTCTGATGGCCTGTTGGCACTCCTCCTGCCTATCTCTGCACACTCAGCGACTTTCCCCTTTGATGGGGACAGGAGTGGAGGAGGGCAGGGCAGGATGGAGACACCATACACATTCCTGCTCAGTGCCTTTGCCCTCCCTCTTCCATCCATGGGAGTCACCTCCCCTAGACCTTCATGTGGCCTGCGCCCCCACTTCTCCCTCCCAGAGCCTTCCTAGTGCCCCCAACAAGTGCCTGCCCTCGCCTGACGCCCTGTTTGTCCCCTTCTGCCTCTTCTTCATGCTGCTTGTTAGGTTGAAACATAACATCTGTGTTTCAAAACACATGCAGTCAGGTTTCTGTGCATGTGTGTATGTAGATATAGATTGTGGTGCAATCTCAGCTCACTGCAACCTCCTCCTCTTGGGTTCAAGCAATTCTCGTGCTTCAGCCTCTCGAGTAGCTAGGACTACAGGCATGCACCACCACGCCTGGCTAATTTTTGTTTTTCTTTTTGTATTTTTTTTAGTGGAGATGGGTTTCGCCATGTTGGCCAGGCTGGTCTGGAACTCCTGGCCTCAAGTGATCAGCCTGCCTTGGCTTGCCAAAGTTCTGGGATTACAGGTGTGAGCCACCGCACCCAGACGTTAGTTTACTTTTTAATTCCCTGTCTACCCACTTCTTGTAAGTTACATGAAAGCAGACACCTTGTGTGTCTGATCTGTTACTGTCTCTCCAGGGCCTAGGATAAGCAGGTGCCAGTAAGCCTTTGTTGGAAGAAAGGAAGGAGAGAAAATGGACCTCCTCTGGATGGGATCCTTGGCTCCTGCGTGCTGATGTGCAGCCTGTGACCCGGGCTCTGCACTGCTCCTCTGGCTCCAGGCAATCATCATGGAAAGGGCGGCCTCCCCAGAGGGCTGCCTGGGAATGAACTGGGCATCTGGGGAAGCCCATTCCTTTGGCTGCCTCTTGCCTGTGGCGCCCAGGGCTGCCGTGCCACCTCCTTTGTGAAGCTGGTCCCCAGCCCTGCTTATCAGCCCCATGTCCCATTCCCTTGGGCCCAGCAGAGGTAAAAGTGGCTAAGTGGCTTAACTGGGCCAGGTGCAGTGGCTCACGCCGGTAATCCCAGCACTTTGGGAGGCCAAGGCGGGTGGATCACCTGAGGTCGGGAGTTCGAGACCAGCCTGACCAACATGGAGAAACCCCGTCTCTACTAAAAATACAAAATTAGCCAGGCGTGGTGGTGCATTCCTGTAATCCCAGCTACTTGGGAGGCTGAGGCAGGAGGATCACTTGAACCACGGAGGCGGCGGTTGCAGTGAGCTGTCATTGCACTCCAGCCTGGACAAGGAGAGCGAAACTCCGTCTTAAAAAAAAAAAAAAGGTGGCTTAACTGTCCTCTCTGTCATGGCCTCTCCCTCCCTCTTGCCCCAGTGGTATTTGGCTCTTTTGTCTGTCTTGTTTTTCCCAGACTGACCAGCCTTGGGGTTAACCAGGGGCAGGGTGACAACTCACAGGCAATGACGTCCCTCAGCCTCCTTCCCCCCACACTCCAGAGGCTGCAGGTGACTCAGGGTCTTCGTCGGTGGCTCCGGAAGCCTTGCAGGTGCCCTGCCACATGGCCGCTGTGCTGCTGGCTGCTCTGACGGGTCCTGCCGGGGCTACTGCTTTCCTGTCCCCTCCCCCGAAGCTGGGAGATGGATTTCCTCCCTGAGTGATTAATTGGTCTATTTTAAGCTCATCAAAGTAGCCTCGTACTTTCAAGTTCCTCAGGGAGCAGGCCCGGAAGATGATACCTGCGGACTTAAGGCTGCTCCACTGCAGGATATGGGGTCGGGGGCTGTGTCTGTCAATTGTGAGGTCCCTCAGGGCAGGCCCCCTCCTGAGCTGGACAGGGCTTGGCTCCTGAGTGCTGATTCTGCAGGCTGTGGCTCAGTTCTGCACTATTACTCTGGCTCCGGCAAATCCTCATGAAAATAAGCCTGGGAGCCCCGAGGGTTGCAGGTTAGCCCCCTACAGCCTTCCCTTGCATCATCCTTGCTCCTCTAACCAGGGACACTCCTGCCTCCTCCCTGACTATCTCTGCCGGGTTAACACCTGAGCATCTTCTGGCTCGATAATTCTGTCATGACCCAATACGCCTTCCCTGACCCTCACATCTGGGTTGAGGGCCTTCCTATGCCCTGTACCTAATCCTGGTTTTCCCTCTGTAAGGTGGTCAGAGATGGGCTTGGGCAGAGTAGTTTCAAAGGCTCTCCCCAAATCTCTGTGCAGCTCCCCTGACTGAAGGCCTGTGAGAACAGGGTGGTGCCTGTCTTGTTCACTGTTCCCCAATACCTCACCTAGTGCCTGGCACAGAGAAGGTACAAAAATAAAACTTTCCCAAGAATGAATGGTGTGCATTTGAATCTTATAGTGTCTGAGGACTGGGGAACCATCTCTTATCCCTTTGTATCCTCTGCTGCCCAAGGTCAGGGCCTCTGCCTGAAGTCCCTACTGAATGAGGGTTAACTGGTTCAGAGATGAGGGAGGAAGCCATTGCTGGGAGGGGCTAGAACTGGGCCCCTGCCCTTCCCACACCCGAGCAAGAGCAGTAGGATTGTCAGATGAAACACAGGACATCTGCTCACATGTGAGGAATACATCTTTTTTTTAAGACAGATTCTCTCTCTGTCACCCCAGGCTGGAGTGCAGTGGCATGATCTTGGCTCATTTCAACCTCTACCTCTTGGGTTCATGCCATTCTCCTGTCGTAGCCTCCCCAGTAGCTGGGATTACAGGCATCCACCACCATGCCTGGCTAATTGTTGTGTTTTTAGTAGAGACAGGGTTTTGCCTCATTGGCAGGCTGGTCTTGGACTCCTGACCTCAAGTGATCCGCTCACCTCAGCCTCCCAAAGTGCTGGGATTACAGGCATGAGCCATGGCACCCAGCTGGAATACATCTTTAGTATACTGCATGTAATATTTGGGACATGCTCATGCTGAAAAAACTAACTGAATTTGAATTTTTTTTTGGTTTTCTTTTTTTGAGATGGAGTCTCACTCCATTGCCCAGGCTGGAGTGCAGTGGCACAATCTTGGCTCACTGCAACCTCCGCCTCCTGGGTTCAAGCAATTCTCCTGTCTCAGCCTCCCAAGTAGCTGGGATTACAGGTGCCTGCCACCTTGCCCAGCTAATTTTTGTATTTTTAGTAGAGACGGGGTTTCACCTTGTTGGTCAGGCTGGTCTCGAACTCTTGACCTCAGGTGATCCACCCACCTCGGCATCCCAAAGTGCTGGGATTACAGGTGTGAGCCACCGCACCCGGCCTGAATTTGAATTTAACTGGGAAGCCTTTTTTTATTTTTTCCTCTTCTTTCTGAATCTGGTAACCCTAGCAAGGGAGAAGTGACTAGCCAGGTGCCAGGTGGGTCTACGGCCTGAGTCTCCAGCTCTCTATTCACATTCTGCCTGCTTCCTTGATGCTTCCTCCTCCTTAAATGCTTTCTGTCAGAGACCAGGGGGCACTCTAGGCCTGGCTGCCCAGCACGCGGAATCCAGGAGCACTCCTACCTCCTAATCCCTGCCCCAGCTGCCCTCTGGATGGTCAGGGAAGGCCTGAGGAGGTGATGTTTGAGCTGAGATTTGAGAGAATGTGACCAGAGATGATCCAGGAAAGAACATTCCATGGAGAGGTGGGAGTGAACTTGGTGCATCTGAAAACAGAAAGGCTAGCGTGGTTCTGCGATGTGGGAAGGGAGTGGAAACATGGAAACACAGTCAGCATTTCCTTTTTTTTTTTTTTTTTTTTTTGAGACGGAGTTTTGCTCTTGTTGTCCAGGCTGGAGTGTAATGGCGCGGTCTTGGCTCACCACAACCTCTGCCTCCTGGGTTCAAGTGATTCTCTTGCCTCAGCCTCCGGAGTAGCTGGGATTACAGGCATGTGCCACCCCGCCCGGCTAATTTTGTATTTTTAGTAGAGATGGGGTTTCTCCACGTTGGTCAGGCTGGTCTCTAGCTCCCGATCTCAGGTGATCCGCCCGCCTCGGCCTCCCAAAGTGCTGGGATTACAGGCGTTAGCACAACTCAGGAGGCCCTGGAACTCATCTTGTGCCACTCAAGAAAGGGCAGGAGGGGTCCTCTCCTTTCCCACCTTTCCCAAGCTGAAGGACTGCACACTTCTCAGGCTTCCAAGGCAGGAGCTTCGGCAGCAGGAACAGGGTTGCAAGGTAGTTAGTCTGGGTGTCTGTCGTCCTGGGTTGGGACATCTGGGAGCTGGGGCAAGGCCTCTGGGCCCTAGTGCCAGAGAGCAGTTTGGTGGCGTTGCCTGTTCTTTAAAATGGGTTAGGTGTAGCCATGAGCCCCCCCATGCAGCGGGTGTGCAGGCCTCTCCCTCAGTCAGAACACCCTCACCCACCCCTCCCCACTTGAAGCAGGCCCTTGAGAACACTGCTGGCAGGGAGGCGGCTGCTCTTCCTCCTAAGGGAAAAGCCTGCAGCCCCGTGCTGCTGGGCCGTGGGGTGAGGGGGAAGCCAAAGGGCCCCTATCACCCCTCAGCAGGAGTCTCTCCTGGCTTTGGAAGGGGCTGAAGGCCCGGGGCTCTCACGAGGGAACTCAGCCCTGCTCAGCCGGTCAGGACTCCTCCTCCACGTCTAAATCCACAGACCAAACAAAGGACATGGCTCAGTTCCACCTTCAATCCACAGGGATTCTGCCTGTTAGCACGCTAAGGAAACTGTTTCTTACTTTAAATTATCCATTAATTTCCTCCAACTGAAAGATACTCTACAAATTTTCTGTTGTTGGAGGGTTTAAGCTTGGTCCCTCTGAGGGGGTGGGCCCTGCTGTGTCGGCCCCTTGTGTCTGCTCGTGGAAGGTGTGCCATGTGCCACCGTGTGCCATATGCAGCTGACACGCCTGTGCGTCTCGCCTGGCGCTGGAGACTGCTCTCTGTGTACTAAGCGAGTACTGGATCCCCAGGGCCTATCTTGCCCACTGCCTGTGGCAATACACAGGCAATACACAAAGCGCATTCAAGTAAGCAGGTCTCCCTGCCCCCCGGCCTCCCAGAACCTCGGTGCCTGGAGGGCAGGTGGGGGAGGGCGTTCCTGAATGGAGGCCGGTTTCCCTCTGCGGGGAGGAAACCCCATTTCCCTCCTACCCCTAGGCGCTTGCTACATCTGGCCCGGCATCAGACAGGAAAGAACCCTTTCTTCCCAGCTTGTAGGAAGTCTGAGCTGGGCCCCTTATCTACCCACAGCACTTCCTGGACCGGGGGCCTGGACCGGGCTCCGAAGGGGCTGGCTCCCGGTCTTGGTCTTGGCCTCGGCGCCCTCGTTTCTCTGCGCTTTGGGCAGGGGAAGCTGCGGACGGCAAGCTCTCGGCTTTCGTGAGAGCCTGGTGGAATCGGTGTTCCCCGAAGGCTACTCTGCGGGGGCGGGGGCTAGTCCGGGCCTTCCCGGCAGTATCGTCTCCCCCGTGGGGGCTGGGGAGGTGCCCCCAGGGCTCCCGGAGCGGCGGCGTGGCCAAGGCCCGAACCGGGTCTGACATCTAGTGGCCTCCTGGGCCCGGGCAGGGCGAGGGCGGGGCAGGGAAGAAGGTGGAGGGCAGAATGGGAGGCGTGGAGCGAGAAAATCAGGAAGCGCGGGACCAAGCCGGGGAAGGGCGGCGGGTCTCGCCCCTGGCACCCGCTCTCCTCGGGGCCCGTCCCATCCCCCAGGCCTGGCCGACCCCAGGTCCTTCCGTGCGCAGTCGGGGCTCGCAAGGACGAATCCCGCGGCCCTCGAGGCAGGCCCGGGGGAGCTCCCGGCCCTCCACCCCCGCAGGCCGCAGATCCCACGCACCCCCGATCATGGGGGCCCCGGAGGGAGGTCGCGAGGCCGGGCTCACGGTGGCCGCGGTTCGCCCACGTGCGGGCCCGGAGCTGGCAGGGCCCGGTCCCGAGCGTGGCCGCAACCGCGGGGACCTGGCACGTGCGGGGCAGCCCCGGGGGCCGCGTACGCCACTTCCGGTCCCGGAGACACCGCCCAGCCCGCCGCCCGGTTGCCATGGCGACGCCGTCGCGCCACGGCCCGCAGAACCGGCCAAGCGACCCGGGCGCGGCGCGGGGAGGCTGAAGGGACGCTCGGGTAGGCAAGGTAGGAGGCCGGGCTGGGGGTGGGAGCGGAGCGCGCAGGGGTGCGGGGCGGGGGCGGCCCAGGTGAGCCCTGACTGCGCAGGGAGGGACAGCGCGGGGCTCCCGAGTAGCAGCCGGCCTCGCACCTGCCCCTTGCGGCCGCGCACTGGACTGCGGCGCCGACCCGCACCCTGGGCCCGAGGGCTGCAGGGCTCGCCCGCCCTCTCGGAGCCGAGCCTCTCCCGGTCCAGGCGGCCCCTGCCCTGGCCTGCCCGGGTGCCGGGTCTCTGCTGAAGTTAGAACCGAGACCCCCGCTTGCTGGTGACCCCGAGTTTGGATCTTTGCTCCTGCGCCGCGTTCTAGAGCAAGGTAGGGTGCAAATGGACCAACCAGCCTTTGCCACGGCTGCCCTCTTGAAATCTGAAACCGGAGCCACCGCCTCTTGCCCCGAGCAGGGCCCGGGCTGCAACGTGGAGCCGCAGGTCCCCGCCTGTGTCTCCCGACGCCCCCAGCTTCTGAGCGCGAGGGTGGGAGTTTCCCGAGTGGGAAAGCCCCATGGCTTCGGTGGCCTCGGTGGCCCTGTGGTGGGTCAGGCCGGTGCCAACTGCGCTGAGGGCGGAGCTGCCGCCACCTTGACACCTGGGAGATGGCAGGGCCACCCTCCCTCCCTCCCTCCCTGCCCTGTCCCCGACTGTATCACGGAGCGAGGATCATCCGTGTGGATCTGGGGTCCCCTTCCCAGACTTCTCCTTTCTGGTCGTCCTCCTCTCATTCATTCCACCTTGGCAGCCTTTGTGGATTTTCTGACTCCGTAAATGAAGTTACATCTAGGGCGCCTAGATTCTGCCCCTTTGGTTTAATAGCTAATGAAAAAAAAAAAAAAAAAGCTTTGCCACCTCCTCTAGGTGCCTGGATTTCTCCCGGTGAAATTTGATGGAGGCAGGAAAATACGAGGCGGTGGCAGCCCCACCTCCTTGCATGAGGGAGCCTCCTAGAGCTGGAGGTGGAACCACCCTGCTTGTCCCACTCCTTTTCTTTCTTGCTTTATTGCTTTCTTGCTTTCCTTACTTTCCTTCCTTCTTTTTTTTTTGAGATGGAGTCTTGCTCTGTTGCCAGGAGGCTGGAGTGCAGAGGGCAATATCAGCTCACTGCAACCTCCATCTTCCGGGTTCAAGCGATTCTCCTGTTCCAGCCTCCCTAGTAGCTGGGATTACAGGTGTGTGCCACAACACGCAGCTAATTTTTGCATTTTTAGGAGAGACGGGGTTTCACCATGTTGGCCAGGCTGGTCTCGAACTCCTAACCTCAAGTGATCTGCCCGCCTTGGCATCCCAAAGTGCTAGGATTACAGACGTGAGCCACCGTGCCCAGCCTTGTCCTACTACTTTTCTGCCCTCACCACTTTTCCTTGGCAGGCAGAGCTTGGGCTCCTGCTAATACTGGGATGGTTCAGTGGCATTAGATGGCATTGGTGGAGGGGAATGAGAAATTAACCCCCTCTGAAAGCGTAGCTTCACTGGGAAAAAGCACTCTACTGTCTGAACAATTCATAAATGAATTTTGGGAATATACAATGTCACAGATTAAAAGCAGACCATCCTGTGTTCTTCCAGCCCCAGGAGCTTCTGCTTGGTGTGCAGGGGCTAATGGTGGACAGCAATGGAGTGTAGATTTATTAGAGACGGCTGCCATCTGGCTCTCTGTGGCCCCAAACCTCATGTGTCAGCAGTGTGACTCTTTCTAAGGTGCTCTTAGGACCAGATTTCGTTTTTGTAAGATTGGTCTTTGATGGAATGCCTACTTTGTGGCAGGCACTGTGCTGGGCGCTGGCACACCTTTATCCACTTACTCCTTCTGTGTTCAATAAGGTAGCTCCAGATATCCTCCACTTTATAGATTAGGAAGCAGGCTTGGAGAAGGGACTTGGCTTGTCCAGGAGCTGATGGTTATAAATAATGAGTCTGTTTTGAAATCACATCTCTCTAACCTGGGCTGCGCTGGGCCTTTCATGGGCCGTTGGCCCTCTGGCCTTCACGGGCCCCGTCTTCCATAAAAAAAATAATAACAATTGGCCCGGCGCAGTGGTGAAAGCGCGTCTCTACAAAAGATACAAAAAATTAGCCAGGCATCGTGGAGCACGCCTGTAATCCCAGACTCGGGGAGTCTGAGGCAGGAGAATTGCTTGGACCCGGAAGGCAGAGGTTGCGGTGACCCGAGATCTTGCCATTGCACTCCAGCCTCAAAAAAAAAAAAATTAATAAAAATTATATTTTACAACTGCATTGGTATAAATACAAGTATAGTCCAGACTGGATTACAATTAATTTTAAAAACAAAACATTTTAGGGCTGGCTCATGTCTGTCTGTAATCCCAGAGCTTTGGGAGGCTGGGGCAGGAGGACTGCTTGAGACCAGGAGTTTGAGACTAGCCTGCACAACATAGTGAGACCCTATCTCTCCAAAAAAAGAAAAAATTAACTGGGCATTTCAGCATAGCTGTAGTTCCAGCTACTTGAGAGGCTGAGGTGGGAGGATCCCTCGAGCCCAGGAGTTCGAGGCTGCTGTGAGCTATGATCATGCCATCGTATTCCAGCCTGGGTGACAGAGGTAGACACTGTTAACAACAACAACAAAAAAATTAATTAAAATAAGTTTTAAAAAATTGCAACATTTTCCTCAACCCTAAATGTTCATTTTTTTCTTCTGATTTTCATGGAAATGGAAACATTTTGGTTTGTAAGCATTGGGAGCCCTCTGTCTTGTGGGAGAAAGGAGCTCAGTGTTTGACTTCAGGCTCTGCTGCTTCCTGGGTACCTAGTTCCTTGGTACCTGGTCCAAGCAGCCTGGATACCCCGGGTCCCTGGGCTGCCTGGGCCAGGACAGCCGCCCTAGGATAAATGGAAATGCAGCCCCTGCGGCTTGTTCACCCTCCTGTAATGCCTTCTCTCTTACCCTTTGGTCAGGGCCTGGTGTCTCTGCATGCACCAGGGCTTAGTGCCATGCTGGTACAAGCGTGGGGAGGATGCAGGAGGACTGGCATGGGATGGGGAGCACTGCCTGGGAAGCCCCTTCTTCCTGGGGCTACTGGGGTGCTAAGAAAGTACCCTAATAGCTCACACCACACTTTGCTTTCTCCTTCATCACATGCTAGGACGCTCTAGGGCAATTGAGCTGTTTTCCCCTTCACCCATCAAGAAGAGATATCGGCCTTTCCGCAGTCACAGTCTTTCCTAACTCAATTCAAACTCTGCTGTTGATAAGGAGGGCTGTAGCCAGCCCAGGCTGCCCGCTTCCCAGCCTCCCCTGCTCCGCCTTCCGCCCCCGAGGCTGTGCACCATGTGCAGTGTCTGGTCCCCAATAATGAGATTAGTCTTGGTTGCCTTTTAATAAAACGCAGTGGGCACCGGGAGGGAGAGCGATGCTTGGCTCAGTGAAGATCTGCGGGTCATGCTGTCCCTAATGCGCTGATTGCATTAAGTGGATTCTGGCTGCAGGTAGGGTGAGTGGGTGGGGACGAGGGTGACTCTCACAGCTCTAAGATCCAGAAACTGCCAGAGATCTGTCACCCTCATCCTGAGCTGTCACAGAGGAAGGCAAGTGACTGTGTGAGGGGCTACGTGAGCTCCCTCTGGTTGCAAGGTTCTGGTCTGCAGGGCAGTGGAGCCCTTGGGGGTGGGGAGTGGCAGCTTCCAGGCCTTGAAGCTGCTGCCCACAGTTCTGCTCTGAGAACACAGAGGGCCCAAGAACAGCCGGTGTCCCAGGGCTGCCCAGTGAGGAGGGAAGAGCGAGAGAGTATTCTTGCTGTCAAGACTGGGAAATGAGGGCCACGATTCAAAGCCTTGCTTCCTAGGGAGAAATCTCACCCAATGTCCAGGTTTGCAAATGCAGCAGACACATTTGTGGGTGGGTCAGATTCTGTCCAGAGATACCAGAATGTCTATCCCTGTACACCCCCACCTCTGGCATGGGACAGCCCTTCCCTGCACACAAATGGGTTATCAATTATGTCCAATGAATGGCCTCACGAGAGTCCTGTTGCGGAAGGGATCTTCCGCTTATCTCCTGTAAAGCACAGAGCCACGCTCAGAACCTACGGACTGTGGTCGCCTGCAGGCCAGCCATGGGCTTTCCTTTCATCCTTACACTTAGATTTTGAAGCCTCGCCTTTGAATCAGAAGCAGGCTGCTGTCATTCCAGAGGCCGCTGTTCATCTCTGGCTTCCTCCCAGATGCCCAGGTGCCCCGGGTGCCTGGGCTGCCTAGGCCAGGGCACCCGCCTTAGGAGCAAATGGAAATGCATCTTCCTCGGCTTGTTTGCCCTCCTGTAACCCCTTCCCTCTTGCCTTCGGTCAGGGCCTGCTGTCTTGCACGCACCAGTGCTTAGTGCCATGGTGGAACCGAGGCGGGGAGGACGCAGGAGGACTGGCACAGGAGGGGGGGCACCGCCCGGGAGCTTCCCCTGCGTCAAAGCAGCTTCCTCAGTGAGCTCCAACACAGACCCTTGCTGGCCTCAGTCTCTGGAAAGACTGACAGCACCACCCTAGTTCCTGGGCCTTGGAAAGGCCAAAGCCACGAGCAGGCAGCCACTGTTCGGCAGGAGAGCTAGAGATGCTATTGCCCACAGACATCAAAGCAGGGGTGCCGTCTTCCGTGTGCATGCTGGGACGGGTCTTGGAGGCCCAGATTAGCTCCTGGCTTGAACTTGTACCACCCTTACCTGAAAATTGGGTCTGTACCAAAGCTCATCTGCACGCCCCTTTAGGGCAGGGACCAGGCCCCCTCTGTGTGGCCCTAGCACCTGGCCAAGTGCAGGTGGCTGCGGGTTGAGTTGAGCTGCTATTTGCTGATGGGAATTTGGGGGCCTGTCGCTTGTCCTCTTTGAGCCTCCATTTCCTGGCCTGTCAAATTGGGGCAATGCTCCTGTTATCCACACAGTGTCATTTAAGGGTGACATTAGAGATGGCATGAAGTGCCCAGCACAGAGCAGGTGCTCACAGGCTGTTGGGTCCCCACCCTACTGACACACCAAGCACACGTCTGCCCTGCCATGGTGGGGAGCAAACAATGTTATGGTTCCGACTCCCCGGGAGGCCAGGCCGGGCATTTCACTGTAGGATGTTGAAGCCGCAGGCAGTCGTCGCTGCGAGAAGAGAGCCTGGCTCTGATGTCCACTGTCTTCCAGGGAGCCTGGTGGGAAGGAAGGAGTGGGCAGCGGCCCCTCGCTCTGCGGGCCTCTCCTGCCCTTTGTACTCCACGAGGTGTGAGGAAGTTGCCGGGTCACCCAGCAGAGGGAGAGGTGATGTCCCCTCTGTTCTTCCTAATTTGTAGCTAATCAGATTCTGCCTGCAGCCAGGCTCTCTGGGGATGAATCTAATAAAGGAGGCGGCGACCTGGAGAGGAGGACAGACAACAAGTGACCAGGGGGGACAGCACTTCTTTCAGTACATTTTCCTGTTAGACTCGGGGTATTAGAGACCCAAAGATACCCAAGGAGGAGTGAGAGCGTCCCTGCCTTCGAGGAGCAGACAGGGCACCGCGAGGGTAAGGAGGCTCCGGGAGAGCCTGGGGACAGAGTGATCTGCGCACCGCGGTGCCTGAGGAGTGGAGGCAGGGGTGTGGGCCCACAGCAGGGAGCCAGGCTGGGCCATGTCCTTGGATTCTGTGAGCCCAGGCGTCTCCTCTAGAGGGCCTAGCAGGAACAGTGGGGGCTGCAGATGGAAACGGGCAGGATCATGCCATGCAGTTGGCATTTCACTGGCACTCGGGGGCACTTACGCAGGGGACAGCATGATGTTGGGAGCTGGCTTTGTCCCTGGCATGTCTGTCACGTTGAAGAGGGAGAAGCTGCAGGCCCTGACTTGGGTGGGGCAGTGAGGATGCTCAGGAGGGAAGTGAGGGGAGGGGTGCCAGCATGCGGCGGCCTGGGCAGCCTTCTGTGGAGGAGCTGAGGTGTCACCTGGGCCCGGAAGAAGGGCAGCCCTGCTAGCTAGTGGGGAGGGCATGAGAGAACTTGGCGACGATGGGAGAGAAGGTGACTTGGGACGAGCTGGGTTTGAAGCGTCTGTGGGATGTCCAGGTAGAGATGAGTAGTGAACCGTCAGAAATGGGGCTTGAATTTGGGGTGGCGGGGACAGAACTGATACCCGTGTAGGTGACAGATAAGGACAGAGGCAGGAGTTCCAAAAATAGGATTTATTGTTGGCTGGGGCTTCTGGAATCCCGTATTCCCGTCCACCCTGGGAATGTGGATTGGAGCTATGTTTCTGGGAGATGATTTGATGGAATGTGTCAGAAGTCTAAAACAGAACCTAGCCCTTGTTTCAGGATTCCCTGCAGAGAAGTTTGCAGATGACCACATCCTGTTGTTTATTTGGTGGAAAACTGAAATCGAAAGCTAGCTAAATGCTGAACAATGGGAACTAGTTGGCTAAAAAATGGCCGTGCAATGCAAGAGTGTGAGGTTACGAAAATGATGATGTGGGCGCGTATCCATTGACACAAACATCCATGTGTGCTACGCCCTCAGTTAAAAAGCAGGTTAGAAAATGGAATAAATGATCCTGCTTCTATAAAAGGATGCATATGTGTTTTAGGAAGAAGGTGTGTGAGGATATAGATCAAATTCTGATGGCCTGTCATTTTACCTTTTTTGCTGATCCATATTCTACTGCAGTGCGTGTGGATTATTAGCACACACACACACCCTTTTTTTTTTAATTAAAAAAAATTTTTTTTGAGACAGAGTCTCATTCTGTCACCCAGGCTGGAATGCAGTGGTGCGATCTTGGCCCACTGCAAACTCTGCCTCCTGAGCTCAAGGGATTCTAGTGCCTCAGCCTCCCAAGTAGCTGGGATTACAGGTGTGAGCCACCATGCCCGGCTAATTTTTATATTTTTAGTAGAGATAGGGTTTCACCATGTTGTGGCTGGTCTTGAACTCCTGGCCTCAGGTGATCCACTCGCCTTGGCCTCCCCAGGTGCTGGGATTATAGGTGTGAGCCATCGCACCCGGCCCACACACACACCCCCCCTTTAATGGTGGAGTTGCCAACAGTTGTCCGATGTGGCAGAGAGAACTGGGGAGCAGAGAAGGAGCCCATCACTGGGAGGGACTGAAAACCAGCTCCTGGGCACTGCAGGGCAGAGCGTGTGCCGGGTGTGAAGGGGGTCAGTGCCCCTGTGCTGGCCACTGTCCCCCTAGTTCTGATACAGTTGCTGCCAGGAGAGGCTGGACCGTGGCAAGGGGCCAGTGGGGAACCGGGGCGGGATGGGGGGCAGCAGCAGTGCTCTGGGGTCTGCTTGTGGTGGCCATGGTGGTGGCAGTTGCAGTGGCAACTGTGGGCCATGGCAGCACTTTTCCGTGGCGCACAGGCCGCTGCCGGGTGAGGGGAGAGCCCCGCTTGTTCTCCTCCTGCCGCCTCTCCTCCCATCCCCAGCTGCTGGGTGCTCTCCGGCCGGCATGAAGCTGTGCAGGCACTGGGCACTCCCTTGGGCTCTTAGCGGGGCCTTCTCATTGCTGCTTCGCTAGGAACCACCCGCTCTCCTTTCCTCCTGGAGGGCCACGTGGGGCCGAGCACCTGGGACAGCCGTGCTGAGCTCTACCCGGCCCCTTCGCAGGCCTCGTTTCTGGGGGCCTTCAGTTTTGGAAACCTCCCTGAGGGCCCCTCTAGAGTGCGGGTCCGCCCCGCCCCTGGTGTGGAGGGGAAGTGCCCTGTCCCTGTGTGCTGACAGGTCCCTGTGTGCAGCATGGTCGGGGCACTTCTACTCTGCAGGCGCGGCCGGGCGGGGAGCGGGGTGGGGGGCGGGCGGGGGCGTGGGGGGAGCGGGGCTGGCTCTCCTGGGTGTGGGGTGGGGAGGCCTCCTCATCGCCAGCATGGAGTTAAAAACCAGGATGGGGGAGGGAGACTTCCCATTTCTCCCGAGATGTACTTCATGACGCGTCTGGAGAAAAGGTGTGACCAGCCCCTTCCTTCCCGTCAAGGAGCGCGCTTGCCTGTGTAACTCACCTGTAAAGCCCACCCAGGGAAGGCCAGGGCCTCATGAAACAGAAAACAAAGCCGGGCACTGGGCCCTTGAGCTCACTAGAATTTGGGGTATCTTTCCTTGCACCCTCACCGCATATGGAACTCCTGGCGTCGTGTCCCAGGTCACGCCTGTCCCCGTGGGGAGGCTGGGCCCCTCCCCCCAGCCACTCCCGAGACTTGAGACCTCTGCCTCAGGACGATGGGTGGGAAGGGGCTTGCGGGTAGGAGAGCGAGCGCTGCTTCCAGCGGGAGCCTCGGGGGAGGGTGGCGGGGCCGCCGTGGGAGGAGCCGCGCCGCATCTCAGGCGCAGTCTCTAGGGGCTGTGCGCATCCGTGGGGGGGACATGCGCATCTCAGGGGGGCTGCTCGCATCTGGGGGTGCTGTGTGCATCTCGGGGGGGCTGTGCCCATCTAGCGGGGTGGCTGTGCGCATCTGGAGGGGGCTGTGCGCAACCCGGGGGGGGTGTTGCGCGCATCTAGCAGGGGCGGCTGTGCGCATTTCGGGGGGGGCTGTGCATATCTGGGGGGACCGTGCTTATCTCCGGGGGCGGCTGTGCGCATCTTGAGGGGTGTGTACATCTCGGGGGGCCTGTGCGCATCTTGGGGGGCTGTGTGCATCCGCGGGGGCTGTGCGCATCTCGGGGTGCTGTGCGCTGCTCCTCTGAGCTCTGCTCTTTCTTGCAGCGTTTGCCTCAGCATGGAGGGCGGGGCCGCGGCAGCCACCCCCACAGCACTGCCTTACTACGTGGCCTTCTCCCAGCTGCTGGGCCTGACCTTGGTGGCCATGACCGGCGCGTGGCTCGGGCTGTACCGAGGCGGCATTGCCTGGGAGAGCGACCTGCAGTTCAACGCGCACCCCCTCTGCATGGTCATAGGCCTGATCTTCCTGCAGGGAAATGGTGAGTCCCATGGGCCGCTCCTCTTTTCCCGGGCTTGTGGGGGTCCCTGAGAGGCAGTTTGCAGGGGTCTTGTCACCCCTGCGGTCTCTTCTGGTTGGACAAATCTAAGATTCTAGAAAAGACAGAGACAGAAGCTGGTTCAGAGCCTGGGGAGATGGAATCCAAACCCAGGCTCTGAGGTTGGTGAGTGGCAGCTCCTCTCCAGCCTGGTCCAGCATTTTCACCTCGTTTCCACACACAGCATCCAAGGCGGGCACTTCTTGCAGCAGAGGGAAAGGAATGAGGCTCCGAGCCAGGCCCTGCTGCAGGGGTGGTTTGAATTGAGGGAAAAAAAGTAATCATATGTGAGAGTTTGTATGCGTGCGTGCGTGCGCGCGCATGTGTGTTGTTGGTCTTGGACTTGGCAGAGCTAGAGCGCCTCCCCCTGGGGCAGGAGCAAGGCAGTGCTTGGCCTCCACCTGCCTCCAGGCCAGGGATCCAGGAAGCGGGATCTGCATCCGGTTGACCCGCTCTTCCTAGAGGTGGTCCTGGTGACAGCCATTCCTGAGCAGCAGAAAGCTAAGAGGCATTCCTCACGTGACCTGGCCTTGCCCACCTCTTCTGGACGCGGGAGATCAGGCTGGGATCACAAGGTTCTGCTTGGGAGCCAGGCGCCTGCTTGCTAGGAGTAGGACCATCTGCCCAGGCTTAGGTGGGGGCCTGTGTGAGGAGCCACGTGGCTAACAGGTGAACTCAGAGGCTGCTTGTTGCCTCAGTGTGACCAACAGTGGACCTCAAACACAGCCTGGAATTTGCAGGACACCTGACAAGAAGGTGGGTGGAGGGGGGCGTCTGCTGGGCCGGGCAGCTCCTTTAGGTGGGGACGAGGGCAGAGGCGCTGCCTTCACTGCCTGTCCTGGTGGTGGGGACTGTGGTGCAGCCTCCGGCCCTGCCCTCTTTGTGCACAGCTGGGGGAGGTTGGAGGGTGGGGGAGGGGTGTTAAGGTGCACACAGCCCTAGGTGCCCTCAGAGAAGGCCAGGAGCTGCCCAGGGTCCCCAGGGAACCTGGCTTTCTCCTCCGGTTCCTGCAGCTAGGCTCCTGTTACAAGCCGTCAGCTCACATCACCTCTCCACCAAGGTGCCTCCTTGCTGCTGGGGCAGGAGGCCTCACGCACAGGCGGATGCACTCACGTTCCCTCTCTCACCTCCCACAGCCCTGCTGGTTTACCGTGTCTTCAGGAACGAAGCTAAACGCACCACCAAGGTCCTGCACGGGCTGCTGCACATCTTTGCGCTCGTCATCGCCCTGGTTGGTGAGTTCCCGGGCGCGGCCTTCCCCGCCACCTGCCTGCCTCTTCAGGTATGGCAAACAGCCGCTTCACCTGCTCTGTTCCCTCCCCAGAGCTGTGATGGGCCCGCCCCCACCCCAAACATCCCCTGCAGGGCCACTAGGTGCTGGCAGCCCTCGAGCTGGGACTAAAGCCCAGAAGTCCCGCTAGCTGGTTCCCCTGGGTCATCTTACACCTTCCTTTTCCACATCCAACCCTGTCCTCATATGACCTGTCTCTGGCCCAGGCTTGGTGGCGGTGTTCGACTACCACAGGAAGAAGGGCTACGCTGACCTGTACAGCCTACACAGCTGGTGCGGGATCCTTGTCTTTGTCCTGTACTTTGTGCAGGTGAGTCCTTCCAACACCCCGGGCCTGGGGCCACCTACCAGGGAGGTGGGAGGAGGAGGGGAGCTGGGCTGAAATGTACCTCATGGAAGGGCCTGATTTCTGGGGTGTGTGCAGGTGAGAGAGCTGCCTTCCCAGGCCTGTGCGGGTGCAAAGCTAGGATTGGCGGCCAAGGGTGCCCAGCTCCCAGGCGCCCCATGGCTGACTCAGCACTTTTGGCCACAAGCCCAGCTTTCTGAGTGTGCCAAGGCCTCAAGCGTTGGGGGACCGGTCCCTTGTCCCTAAGCGCTTAGTGCTCCTCCCACCACTGTGCTGAGGAGGAAGGAAACCAGGCAGGGCTGAGGGGCTCACAGTCGCCACGTGGGCACGTGGGTGTGGGCCTGGCCGACCTCGGCTGCTGGGGTGTCCGGCCGCCCTGTCCCGGAACCGTCTCCTTTCAAATCCTAGTGGCTGGTGGGCTTCAGCTTCTTCCTGTTCCCCGGAGCTTCATTCTCCCTGCGGAGCCGCTACCGCCCACAGCACATCTTCTTTGGTGCTACCATCTTCCTCCTTTCCGTGGGCACCGCCCTGCTGGGCCTGAAGGAGGCACTGCTGTTCAACCTCGGGTGAGTGTCCTGGGTGGGAGAGGGCAGGGCCTGGGCCACCCTTGCACAGACCTCACCCTGCCTTCAGCTTCCCCAGCTGTGGCTTCCTGAGCCGCCTCTCGTGGCGTCACAACTGGTGGCTGTAGTTATGCTTGCTAAGATTTGGGTGCTTGGGGCTTGGCTTTGGTTAGCTTTCTTGATTTTACCCTTTCAAAGAAACTTCTGGGCTATGGGCACCCTATTTATTCCCACCACGCAGCAGGATCTGCAGGACAACTGCTTAGAGCTAGAATATTGATCTAGGTTTTTACATTGCCCATCTCTTTTTGTCTGTGAGCCATAGCTGGAGATTGCTGGTTGGGGGCGGGGGGATGGTTGTTCTCTTCAGGCAGGGCAGGGAGGCAGGGGCTGGTGCTGGAATCCCCATGGCATCTTTAAGGCCCAGGATACAAAGGGCATTTGGCCTAATTGTGACCCCTTGGGCAGCTTCTCCCTTCCTCTCACCCCTGCAGGGGCAAGTATAGCGCATTTGAGCCCGAGGGTGTCCTGGCCAACGTGCTGGGCCTGCTGCTGGCCTGCTTCGGTGGGGCGGTGCTCTACATCTTGACCCGGGCCGACTGGAAGCGGCCTTCCCAGGCGGAAGAGCAGGCCCTCTCCATGGACTTCAAGACGCTGACGGAGGGAGATAGCCCCGGCTCCCAGTGATGCGCCCGGCCGGCCCTGGGGGTTCGCGGGGTGTCTTCTTGCCTGCCCCTGCTGAGGCGTCTTCAGGACTGCAGGCTCCGGAGAGTGGCTCTGGCAGCAGGCGGGCGCGTGGGTGCAGCTGCATCTGTTTGAGTGCTGCTTTCTGGGGTCAGGTCTCCGCCTCCTCTGCTTCTCCTTTCTCCGCTGCTATAGACCAGTTCATTGTGTGTGGCTCCCGTGTCTCTGTTGCCCCCTTCAGTGCAGAAGGCTTTGGGTAGGACTTCGGGTGTTCGGTCCTGGTCGCAGAGCACAGATCTTTAAAGAAGCGAGAGAGGAGGCCCCACCCTCCTGGCAGCAGATGCCTGGGGCAAGGCCAGGGGAAACTGGGGGGGCCTCAGGGACAGGCCTGGAAAGGCCACGATGGCTGCTGAATTCAAACAAGGAGTCCCTCCAGCCTGAATAACACGTGGCACAAATGGGCCCGGCCTTTGGCAGAGGAGCAAGTGATATGATGTGTAAAGTATGTTGGTGGTGAAAGCAAGGTTCCCCAGGAGAGGGGAGGGACTGGCCCCTGGGAAGCTCTGAGATGAGGCTGTGGCCCAGCTGTAGTCCTGACCTTCCTCTTCTTTAACCCTTTAGCCCTAGGATGGCTTTGGTGGGAGAGGGGATAGAAGCCCATGACTTCAGACAGACTTTCTCTTGGCAGATGCAGGCGGGCCTCCTCCCAGGCTGCTCCAGACATGGGGGTTGGGGATGGGGGGCACCTTGCAGCCCCTTCCTGCTGGGGCTCCCTCCTTGTAGCACCCCCCTTGCGGCTCAGCTCTGGTTTCCTCTCCCAGGCTCACCCAGGCTCTGCTCAGGCTGGGAGGCAGAGGGCACAAACCTTATAATTTTTTAAATGAAAAACCGCTGCTGCTGGCTGTGGCTAGAGCCCCCTGGGGCTGCTGGAGCTGCTGCCTCTGTTCTGGAGGACGAGCCTTCTCCTTATCTGCTGCCCATCTTTCCAGGAAGTCAGGATGGAGTCAGAACAACTACAGTCATCCCCCGTGGTGTCTGCACATCACTCCAGCCCCATAAAGAGTGTCATGTTAGCTGAGTCACCATTTGGCTTCGGCCTGGAAATAGTGTGATTAGAACACTGATCGTGTGCGAGGCCAGGAGATCAAGACCATCCTGACTAACAAACACAGTGAAACCCCGTCTCTACTAAAAATACAAAAAAATTAGCCAGGCGTGGTGGTGGGCGCCTGTAGTCCCAGCTACTTGGGAGGCTGAGGCAGGAGAATGGTGTGAACCCGGGAGATGGCGCTTGCAGTGAGCTGAGATTGCACTCCAGCCTGGGCGACAGGCTCAAAAAAGAAAAAAAAAAGAACACCGATCATGTGCTTCTTGGATCTGGTGACTGTTCTCTCCCTGTTTTCCTTTCTTTTTGGGTGTTTGAGGAGCATGGCTTAGCTTGAGACACACACAGACACTGTGTACTTCAGTGAAGGGCTTAATATACAGTTTCCAAACCTGACGACTCTTCTTCTTGTAATGGCTGCCCTTTTCCTACCTGAGGCCGTCTTAGAGAAAGGGGCCAGTCTCCTCTAATGCTCAGATTTCCCATAGTTGGCTTTTGCTGTGTCTCCTGCCTCAGGCAGTGTCATTTCTGGGAGCAGGTGGTTGTAGTCCAGGCCCCTCCCCAGCAGGGTCTGCCCAGGCTCCTTCGAGCCCCTTTCCCCGCCTCCTCTCAGCCTGTCCGGATGACAGTGTTCGCCTCCTGTTTAGACTGTACACTCTTCAGGGGTAGGGGTGCCGTCAGTTCTTCAATCAGCTGGCACACACTTGTATAGTGAAATGTTTACATGTGGGAAAACTCCGCCTTAGACAAACTACCAAAGTACAATCGTGTCTCTCTCTAGCCGGAATGCTACAGAGAGAAATGGAACCTTAGATTTGCAACAAAAGTCTGTAAACTGGTCTGTTTGCCAAAGTGAACACTGGATGACTAAGGAGCTGAAGAAGGCCCCCAGAAGCGGATTTGTGGTGGGTTATTTTATTTTGCCTGTGGCCAATCTTCTGTGAAATACAATGTGCTGTTGGTGCAACAGATGATTCAATAAATGTCTACAGCAGACCTCTCGCCTGTTATCTTCCTTTACTGTGGTAATAAAAGGAGCCGGAGCTTTTAGCAGCCAGACACATGACGTTAGCTCTAGGCCTGAGAGAAATTGAATATCCGCAGGCTGGGCACAGAAGGTAAAGCGATTAGTGATATTGATCATGGCCTAGGGGCTGAAAAGGCCCAGCGGTTGTCCAGTCTCGACCCAGCAGAGGCAGTGTTGTTTCCACATGGTTAGATAAGCCCTTTCCTCTCAGCCTGAGAGGGTGGCCTGGATGGTGGAGCTGCAAGAGCCTGATAAGAGCCTTGGCAAGGAAGGTCCCCCAGTGTTTAATGGACCCCTTTCCCTTTGAAATCAGTCTTTTTGATCCTTAAGAAGAGGAGCAAAGCTTTTGGAACGAGCTGAGATTCCACTTTAGATCCACGTACGTGGCTCAGGCAGAAGGTGAGTTTTTGGCAAATTTGGGTGGGATCGTACTGTGCGCTTTGTGCCTTGTCACTTAAAGCAGTGGCCGCCAACCTTTTTGGCAGCAGGAACAGGTTTTGTGGAAGACAATTTTTCCACAGACCAGGGCTGGGGGTGGGGGATAGTTTTGGGATGATTCAAGCACGTTACATTTATTATGCATTTTTATATTATTACATTGTAACATATAATGAAATAATTATACAACTTACCATAATGTAGAATCAATGGGAGCCCTGAGCTTGTTTTCCTGAAACTAGACAGTCTCATCTGGGGGTGATGGGAGACAGTGACAGATCATTCGATTCTCCTAAGGAGCATGCAACCTAGATCCCTCGCATGCGTAGTTCATAATTAATAGGGTCTGCACTCCTATGAGAATCTAATGCTGCAGCTGATCTGACAGGAGGCGGAGCTCAGGTGGTCATGCTCACCCGCTGCTGCTCACCTCCTACTGTGCAGCCAGGTTCTAACAGCCACAGACCCATACTGGTCTGTGGCCCTGGGGCTGGGGACCTCTGACTTACTTAAAGCAATTTAAAAACTCACCAGAGCTCACTATTTAAAGGGACCCAACAGCAAATCCTCTAATAAGGTAACAGGAGTCCCTGCTTCCCCGCGTTGGTCTCAACTTTGTCTTCTGCATTGTAGCTGGTCTCTAACGTGTAGGAGCCAGAACGGAGAGGTCTTTCCTTAGGGCACCTGTAGAGTCCCTCCTGAATCAAGGCTTCCATGTGGACCTTTATTTTTATTTTATTTTTTTGAGACGGAGTTTCGCTCTTGTTGCCCAGGCTGGAGTGCAATGGCGCAATCTCAGCTCACTGCAACCTCCGCCTCCTGGGTTCAAGCGATTCTCCTGCCTCAGCCTCCTGAGTAGCTGGGATTACAGGCATGCGCCACCACACTCAGCTAATTTTGTATTTTTAGTAGAGATGATGGGGTTTCTCCATGTTGGTCAGGCTGGTCTTGAACTCCCTACCTCAGGTGATCCACCCGCCTTGGCCTCCCAAAGTGCTGGGATTACAGGTGTGAGCCACCACGCCCAGCTGAGTGTGGACCTTTATTTACTGAAAAGCATTCAAAGCACAAGGCTTGATACATGTCACAAACTGGTTCCTCAGTCAGCATCTCATTTCTGTTTTTTTTTTTTTTTTTTTTTTTTTTGCACCAGCCTCTGAATCTTATGGGTCTCTGTGAATATTGAAGTGATCCCAGTCACCAAGGGATGATGCCTCCCTCTCCAGCCAGCCACTTCACCTCTTCCTCTACGAATCTCTGGCTGGATAATAGCAGGGACCTCATTTTCTTACTGGGGTCCCAAAGCGACTCCTCTTGACTGTGGCATAGAGTTATTTCTCCAAACAAGCACGCGGCATTTCCCAAGCCATCCTCCTGGACCCAGCGCCTGCACTCCGTGGGGCGCCATTCGGGTTGCTTGCTCTTTTCAGACCATCCCTTCTGAGAGAGGAGGCAGCGTGGTGGAGGGAAGAGCTGTCAGTGTGGCTGATTCAGAGGCCTACCTGTGCCTCTGTGACCCTGAGCAACTTCAGCTCTCAGGATCTGCTTCTGCATTTGTTTTGGAGACAGCAGTGTCGTCTGTCGAGGTGTGAGGAATACATTAGGGAACACATGTGAAGTCCCTATCACAGTGTCTGGGACACAATGGACCTCCCAAGAGGATGGCCTGTTAGAATGGACTCTGAGCACCTTCTCTTCTATGTGGGCCCTCTCTTCATCACAGGGCCTTCCAGACATGATACCTGTTATCAGTGCCCCATCTTATTCCTGAGAATGGAATAACTCAGCTGCCAAGACTCCAAGCTCCTCCAACTTGTTTTTAAAGCTGAAAGAGGGTGACTCCATTCCCCGCTGGTTCGCCTACCCATTCCCAGCCGACCGCAGGGGAGTTTGGCCACCATGTGCACGTGCGTACTGTGTCTGCCTGCAGTTACCAAAAGGTACCCATGAGCAGATATCCAGGGGAAGAAAGTCTGACTTACTTAGTGCTTCGGAGGATCTACACAGACTTCTGCTGAGTTTGCTGTTTGCTTCTACTCTGAGTAGCTTTTTATTAAGGTTGAGGGTAAATTCTTTTTAAGAAGTATTAATATTTTAAATGAATCACTCCTTTTCCTTTCCTCCAATGTCCCAGGACTTCTTAAAAAGCTGGGGGTTTGGCCAGGTGTGGTGGCTCATGCCTGTAATCCCAGCACTTTGAGAGGCCAAGGCGGGAGGACAGCTTGAGGCCAGGAGTTCAAGACCAGCCTGGGCAACATAACAAGACTCCATCTCTGCAAAACAAAACAAAAGTTAGCAGGGCGTGGTGGCATGCACTGTGGTCCCAGGTACTTGGGAGGCTGAGGTGGGTGGGTCACTTGAGCTCAGGAGGTTGAGGCTGCAGTGAGCTATGATCACACCACTGCACTCCAGCCTGGGTGACAGAGTGAGACTCCATCTAAAAACAAAACAAAACATCTAGGTCGGGCACAGTGGCTTATGCCTGTAATTCCAGCACTTTGGGAGGCTGAGGTAGGTGGATCACTTGAGGTCAGGAGTTTGAGACCAGCCTTGGCAACATGGCGAAACCCTGTCTCTACTAAAAATACAAAAATTAGCTGGGCATGGTGGCGGGTGCCTGTAATTCCAGCTACTAGGGAGGCTGAGGCAGGAAAATTGTTTGAACCTGGGAGGAGGAGGTTGCAGTGAGCCGGGCTCACGCCATTGCACTCTAGCCTGGGTGACAGACTCTGTCTCAAAAAAAAAAAAAAAAAAAAAAAAAAAAGAAAGAAAAAATATAAATTAAAAAGCTGGGGTTTTGCCAATGACTTTTTTTTTTTTTTTGAGATGGACCCTCGCTGTGTCACCCAGGCTGGAGTACAGTGGCACGATCTCGGCTCACTGCAAGCTCTGCCTCCTGGGTTCATGCCATTCTCTTGCCTCAGCCTCCCGAGTAGCTGGGACTACAGGTGACTGCCACCACGCCTGGCTAATTTTTTGTATTTTGTTTAGTACAGACGGGGTTTCACCGTGTTAGCCAGGATGGTCTCGATCTCCTGACCTCGTGATCCGCCCGCCTCAGCCTCCCAAAGTGCTGGGATTACAGGCGTGAGCCACCGTGCCCGGCCCCGACTTACCCATTTTTTAATGAAATAACTGGAGCAGCCCAGGAATGGTTTTGAGATTGAGCAGGTGGCTGCTGCCAGAGTCCCCTCTTCTCTTTGAAGGCAACTGTGGCATCTAGGCTGGGCTGTGTGTTGCCTGCAGTTTGTCTGCTTCCCTAGGCTTTGGGAAATGCAGGTATGCACAGCAGGAATGTTTGTTTAGCACAAATCTGATGTCAAGAGGAAGTGGTCTCCCTCCTCGCTTGTCCCTGAAGTAAACACAGAGGTAGCAGTTAAACAGGAAAGGCTGCAGGCTCAGTGCTGCTCCCCCGCTTCCCCACTCCCTTTTAGATGGTATTGAGTCTCCAGCCAGTTGCAGGAAACCTGCCACTTTTCCATTCACAATGCAGCTGCCTAGCTCTCTATATGGTGAGGACTGGAGTTCGACCAGATTTCTGATGAAAAGACAAAGCCCCTGGAAGCAGTGGGCCTCCAGTTGTGACGAAGCCCTTAGGTCTGCAGTGGGAGCTGTGCCCTCTGCTCGCTACCCTCTCAGCATGCAGCCTCTAAACACAGCCACTCAAGCTGGCAGCCCACCTCAGCCTTGGCTTTGGTAGGGTGGCTGGATTGGGTGCAGCTTCAGCTACAAAATGAAACAAGAGCTCAGTGCTCCCTGGGTATAGCTAGAGAGAAACCTCTTCCAATGAAGAAAAAGCCCCCCTTTCTCAACAAATGTCACAGGCCTGTGCTGACAGCTCCTTAGAACGGCGTCTCTTGTCCACAGCTCTCTTGAGGGCCTACCACAGTGTCCAACTCTGAGGAGAGGAGGTGCTCAATAACGTGACCGAGCAAATAAATGCACAAAGGGGTGGCTCTGAATGTCCCACAAGAGACCAAGCAAATCATCGGGAATTTGGCCTTAGCCCTAACCTGCCCAATTCCTCCTGAGGGAGGGTGCCCCCATCACTGCATCCTCAGGAGGGTAAGCTTAAAAGCCAGCTCCCTGAAGAGGCTGTAATGGAAGGAGAAAAGCATCACAACACCATGGTTTTCCAAGTGTTAGCCATTTATAAATAAGTACATTTGCTTTCATACATACAGTTCCTTGTACAGATGACAATCTGTATACATGGGGCAGGAAAATGCATTCATTTGAACTTTTCACATCTATCTCACACAGCTCACATGTACAGACAATAAAACTGCTCAAGCAAGTACAGCAAAGGAAAATGTCTTTCCTTATACACAGGGGTAGATGCCTCTGTGGGGTGTGGGGCATCCCCACTGCACGGCTTCACAACTGTGTGGTGTTCAATATATCAGGAGAGAGAACAAACATGCATTGGATAATATACTGTACAGAGAAAGTCCTTTACATCTGAGTCATAGAAAACCTAAAGGAAAACTAAGTGCATTAAAGCTTTTTCCAGCAAGTGTCTTGAAAGGACAGCAAAGAGGAGGAAGAATCAAAATCATATTAGTACAAATCACTCTTTAATTGTAGACTGTACATGTCTGTACTAATTAAAATCATCTTGGATTTGGAGGAGACAGAACAGAGACAAAGATGCTGTGCTAGATGGAAAGGAGGCCACGCCTGAAAAGGCACCTGCCCTGAGCCTGATGAGGAACTGGCCTCACTCAGCAGGAATCAGCCAAAGGAAACAAAAAACAAAACAAAACCAGAACAGGAAGTGTAACTTACAGGATTTCCAAAATCACCTGTGAATGAAGTGGAGATCTGGAGCCGGCATCTCTTAACTTTTTTTTTCCCCCCAGTAAATTGGTATGCAATAAGGCAGGTACATTCAAGTACTGAATTTTCCAGAATTAACTCTTGTCTGGCGCTGGGGACCAAAGGGATTGAGTTGAGCCCCCTCTAACCAGACTTTCTGGTTAGCGATTAGCAAAAGAAAAATTCAGCCAGCAAGTGCTACAAAAACAAAGCAGCTAGGGCACTTCCGTTCCACAGAGTAGGTCTACCTGGAAAAATGAGCGCGGCGCTGGCCTGATCTCTACGCGTCCAGCGGCAGCCTGGCAAGTCAGCTCAGCGTCGGTATCAGAGTCAGCAGGAGGCAATGAGATGATGGGGTGAGGAAACATGAAAGTAACACTTGATTTTTGGTGTCCAATTATGCGTTCATTTGGTACTGACTTTCAAAGCTCTGACTGTGGCCACCATGTGGCCACAAGCATCTCAGGGTGGCTCACCTGCTGTGAGGCTTTGGACACCGAAATGAAGGTTACCAACACTTCAGCCCTTGAGTGGTCTGTATGACAAAAGGAGTTGATGAAAACCCAGTGATTATTCAAGTAGCTCTGCACAGTGGCTCCACCAGCCCCATTGTGCTTGTGTCCAGGCCCCCAGCCAGCCACCTTTTCTTGGGAGCAGCCAGAGCTGAGTTCAAGGCATTGCATGGTGAAGGGTTCCATGACACGTCTTTGCAGGTAGCTCTTGCCCCTAAGCCCTTTGTTCATTGTTGTTAGTCATGGTAGATGGTCGGTCTGGAATTCCTAGAGGAAGAGGAGAAAGAGCTGCACCTCCCAGTGAGCGAGCAGCAGGACCGCACAGCCCTCGGTGTGGAGGCAGCAGCCGGCTGCCTTTGCAGGTCGGTTTCTTGAGAAATGGGCAGCCCAGGAACAGACAGGCAGGGTGTGCGAGGCTGCTGGGCACTGGGAGCATCAAGAGGAGGCTGGGCACAGGGGCGGGCACCTCTTGCCCCCTGGGATAGCCTATTCCATTTTGTGGCAAAGATTCAGTGAGCACTGGTTTTGTCCAAGGCATTTCTGCAGTAGAAAAATAACTCTCTCTGAATCAAACCACCCAACTGTGACGCTTCTGGAGTTATAAAAGCTGGAGGCTGAGAGGAACTGACAGGAGGGAGGCTCATGGGGAAGAAGGGGCTTCTCCATGTACCCATCCCTCTACCAGAGCAAGGGAGCTCTGGTCAACCTTCTTCCAGCCTCTGCCTGGCTGAAGTCCAAAGCATGTAGTGTTCAAAGAGTTCGTCTTGCACAACTGGCACAGATGCACGAAGACCCCTTCCAGGCCTCTGTTGCCTTCTCCTGAACCTCTGAGCCCGCTTGCCTGTTGCCCTGGAAGCAGCTCCTCTCTCCCGAGGGGATGCCGCTGTTCTTTGCTACAAAACAAGCGCAGTGCAGAGCCACAGTGACACCTAGTGGTAAACTATGGTGAAGCACAAGTGACATCCACATAGCCCACTGTACGTGACTAAAATCTAAGGAAAAATACTTATGGATATTAAATTAGATACTGATTAATTTTTAATTTTTTCTATTGGGTACATCTCTGGAATATAAAAATACCAATATTTAGAGAGGGGCTCATAAACTACTATACAATATTAAGGACTGAGAATACCTTTCTCTAAGCTGTTCTGTTTACAATAATTTAGGAAAAGTGTTTAATAATCCAGGCTTAACTACATTAGCAAACTTGTATATCTGGACAACGACCTGGGGTACTGTACATGATTCTAATTAGTGGAATTTTCCTGAGCCATCGAGTTTAAGTTATACACATCTAAAAAGAGGGGCACATGGGGGAGGAGCGAGAAGGGTTTGTGCTCTATTAACTTGGGACTTTAATAGTGCACGTCTGCAACCCGGACAAGATACAACAGCAGATACAAAATGGTCTCCATTTTGTCATGCCAAATTCTCATGTTACACAGGTTTTCCCTTTACTTTGTAAATAAACATTAATTGTTAATTGTTAATTGTGTGCCTTACTGATCCAGTAGATAAAGTAACCGTGTCTCAGGAGTCCCTAAGAACATTGCTGGAAAAGCACTTTAAAATCACTGCAAATATTTTTCATATTAAAAAATTCTTAATCTTTTTGATGCTTATATACAAGTTATTTCTTGTGCTATAAATGTTGTGATCCACTGCTTGATGTCTTTCCTTTCCTTTTTTCTTGAAAAATACACTAAAAGACAAGAGCGGTTCTGCTATTTTCTAATGAAGACATTACTCACACTTAAATATCCAGTACTTCAGTTACAAATTCAAACAGTAAAGTGCACCCATTTATAGACATGATGTGATAGAAACCCATTAGTGCAAGAATCCTGGGCCAATGGAACATACAACTTGGTGAGAAACCTATTAAACTGAAGTTTGTCACCTCTGTCCTCCATTTCAGGGTGGTATGAATTGAGTAAGTTTCATCTGAAACATTTCCTCCCACCTGAAGCCAGACATGGACTCAGCGAGTGTTTGCTGCTGGGGAAGGGGCAGCTCTGAAATACAGTACTCGGATCATTCCATGGCAGTGAAGTAGCAAACAGGGCACAGGGCACAGGCAGTCTGCTTGTAAGGAAAAACGTCTCCTGCCCCAACAAGCTCTGGTTGGCATATTCTAGTCAAAAACAACTGGCATGCAGCAGTGATACCTACTCCCTCTTATGATGGCCAAAAAGAATGGCATTTTGACTGTTGACATTTTAGGTGTTTTGCCCATAGGGTATAGGCCCTAAATCTTTTTGTCCTGGAAAACTGAGAGACCCTGGGGAGAAGCGGCATCAGCGGCATATTTGTAAAGCTACAGGACCTGCTCATTCGCCTGGACAGGTGAGTGCGGGTGGTGTGTGGCGTTCCAAATGAGCAGGAGCACTTTCCTGACAGACACTGAGAAATTCTTCAAAATGCAGTGGCTCCTCAGCGAGAGGCGGTTTTAAGGAGTAAGATGTAAAGATGCCAGCAGTGCTGAGACCTGGCCAAAAAGCAATCTGAGAGGCCACTGGGCTCCTGGCTAGAGGTTGCCGCTAGAGCTACACATTTCATCTTCCTGATGTGAGAGAGAGGGGTATAGAGATGGAGAGAGGACGCTGATGCCTACCCTGGTCTAGCTGAGAAGGCGTCGCTGATGCCCACCCTGGTCTAGCTGAGAAAGCAGTCCTTAGGTATCAGGGAGTGTGGAAAGAGGCTGGGGCTTGAGTTAGTCTTGCTATTTGCTTTCAGCACAGAGACAAGTCCTGGCCTGTTTTAGGTTTGGGGGTGGAGAGGTCCGTCTATTTCGCAGAATCTAAATTAGTAAAGAAATGCTTCTGATCTCAGGTTCATGCTCCCTGTGTCTTAATGATCCCTTCAAAGGGCACTTACTTACTTACTTACTTACCAGACACATGGGACTGGTCGCAGCCAGATTTTTATTCAGGAAACTGCCCTTCCTGCAGCCCTTCCCTAACAGAGCAGAATGATTCCTAACAACAGAGAACGAATGCTCCTTTGTTTCGTTTCAGTTGCTTAGTTGAGTTGTTTAGTTGTAAGAGCTGATGTACAGCCAGTGCCAGGCCTGTGCCGAGGCTTTGGTTCCAATGTTCTTGCTATCCACTCAATAGTGGCCTCGCTCACTCAAAGGTCAGCCTACCAAATGACCACGAGACCTAGAAGATGTGTCTTCTAGACAAGCTTCAAGATCAGAAGCTTGCTGTCTATCTCATGCCCCCACCCAGGGCTGCAAAACAGGGCTGAAAGGGGTCTTTCTTCACCCTGAAACAGTTTTTGCTGCGTCTGACTTTAAAATATCACACTCTCATAAACACTCCTAGAAAAAGAAAAGAAACAGTTCCTGTAATAATAGATAATCAAACTATAGATCTCAAAATGGAAGTAGACAACAACGGGCATGACCCTGGGTGGAAATATTGGGACTCAGTCTCATGGTCCCAAGAGATTCCAATCTGCTTCTGAAAGAAACAATTTCTGTATGACACCATCTGGGTTTACAGGAAGAGGGCCACTAGAACAAAATCTGGCTGTAGGTGAAGATCCAACTAACGGGATTGTCACACCAGCCAGCCTTCGGTTAGAGTTTCCTTTTAGTGGAGTATGACACTCAGTGATGTATCAGGATCTAAAAAGTAGATGTCTCCAGAACAGACTTCCTATAGCCTTTCACTGAGAATCCAGAACAATCTTTTTTGTTTTTCTATGTATTCATTCCCTCCCCCACCCTGGAAAAGCAGCAGCTTTTAGTGGTTAATTGTCGGCTAAAAATCTAGAGAATAACTCTCAGTGAATTCTCTTAATAGCCACAATTCTCATCTAATTTCCTTGGCTGACTGCAATATTTAAAGGGCTGGCTGTTTTTGACATGTTCCTACAATGCCTCTTGGAAAATCAATGTAGTGACATTTTACATAATTATATTGGGGTTTTCTTCCAATTTAGCACTTAATTCTTCTCTCTCTGATCCTTTTACCCCCTAGGAAGACCAGCAATAATCCTAATGCACACTGCAGACCTGGTGGCTGCAGGGCGCTGGCGGTCTGGGGAGGGGCCACAGCATGAGAATGCGCTGCGGCTGGCTGTGTGGGTGACACTGGCTAAGGATGCAAAGGCAAAGGGGCATCGCACTCTTTCTAAAGTTTCTAGAAGAAAACGAACAAGAACACCTTATTTTTTAAAAAAGGAAAAAGACAATTACACAACAAGAACATCAGTGAAAGCGATTGTCTCCTGGAAAAAGCTGACCAGTGTGTCTGATCTCCCTGGGTTAAAGCACACAGCACGAAAATCTCCTCGTTGGCATCTGAAGAGAGGGAGAGAGCATGTGGCTGGGCACAGACAAGAGAAACTGAAGTCCTGGCTCCCGGGAGGCCGCTTCCCAGTCGGCTGCATGCAAAGGATTTCAGCATGTGGGCTGCCACCTCTGAACACCACACAGAAACTACATGAGAAATTAAGCCAGAGAACTACCTCGAATGTGGAAACCAAGCCTGAAAATGTGCAGTGAAAACATATGGGTCTCACTCCAACAAAACGTCTTTTAAACATTAGACTCCACGAACGGTCTCTTTGGTTTGATAGGGGATGTCTGCCCTTGCCGAGAGTCTCGGGACAGCTGCCTGTACAGGTTGTCCTGGTATGCCTGAGCCACAGGTAGAGTCCGAGCTACCTTCACGTCGGGATAGGAGGAGGCCTGGCTGACTCGCTCCAAGAGGTCTCCACGAGACCCGTTAGCCAGCATCCCATGGGGGCTGTAATAATCGTCCTCCAGCAAATGGCCATTCTGTGCATTGTTGGTTTTGTTATAAAAGGCAATGTTGCTGATGGATGATGGTGGACTGAAGGACTCAGGCTGAGGCAGGTTGCCTGGAGACGTGGGACTGAGGACGGTGTCCACAGATGACACTGCCCAGGTCCGATTCTGCTGGTGGAGGTGGGGGTACTGCTGAGTCCGTGCTGTTTTATCTATGATCCCCATGAATGGTGTGGTCCTGGATCGGGTGGGCTCACTGGGGTAACCTCCTTGAGTTGGAGACACTGGCGACAGCTCGTCACATGACCTCTCATATGCAGGTTTCAGTGGGATCTCCATTTGCTGGATGGAAGAAGATGGCCGGAAGGTCGGAGTTAGGTTGGAGGTGGAGGAGATACTATTGCTAGATGGAGAGAAGCGAAGGCCTACACTTTGGGAATGCAGCAACGGCCTGGGAGTTGGCGGGTGCGGTTTGATTTCGTTAGGGTTGACACTGATAGGTCTTCTGATTAAATGCGACACATCAGGGGAACCTAGTTGGCTGGAGGAGCGCTCCAGATCTAGTTTTGAGTGACAGACTGGGTAATAGGATGCTGACTGGCTGCGTCCGATCTGTGGTGTCTGGCTGTATCTCACGCCACCTCGGTATGCTGAGGAAGGTCGCTGTGGAAGATCCTCTTTGGTCAATCCTCCATGCTGACAGATGGCGCCTGCACTCAGGCTGGCTTGGACATGCTGCACCGGCCTTCCATCCCCTACGATTCCCCCAATTGACCCTTGATAAACCAACCGGCTCTGGCTGACTCCTATGTCTCCTTGTGAAGACTGGTATTTACTGGCCATTGAATGGGCTACTTGGCCATAGGCTCCTGTGGGGATGACGGTGCTTGAATGGACGGCTGGGCTGGGCTGGTTACTTCTCACAATCTGGGCCTTGGCAGGCTGTAGCCTGAGCCCTTGCTGGGGAACTGCCACAGGGAGCTGAGGCATCTGGTAGGGCCGCTGGGCCATTTTGGATAATGGAGATTTGGGTCTGCCAGGAAGCTGACTGACGCTTGTTTCCTGCTGATAGCGCACGGGTGAACCAGACTGGGATCTATAGACACTCATACTTTCAGCTGGAGGGCTGGCCCGATACTGAGGGCCTCTCCGGAGAGGGGAAGGGGGAGGGCTTGGGTATTCTTTGCCCTGTCCTCCCACAGGAGGGGGGCTGAAACGGTAAGATCCTCCCTGATGAGCCGGGGAAGTGTGTGGTGGGCTAGGCCTGTAATGTGAGTTCTGATGAGTTGGAGAAAGGGCAGGTGAGGTGGACTGATAGGTCTGTCTAGTGGGAGAGCCTACAGAACTACTGGACCGGAAGTCAAAAACCTGATGAGAGCCAAGAGGTGAGCTGGAGATGTAGGCTGAGTCCCGATGCGGGGGAGAGGAGGGTGGGCTCTGGATGACCGGGAGCCCCTGGCTGGGCCGGGCCTCTGTCTGGAGGCCAATGGAAACATTTTCAACATCCTGTTCCAGGTACTCCTCCTCGAATATATCCTGTACAGAGTATATGTCTTCATGCTGTGGCTCAGGTTCTGCTTCTTCCGGCAACTGCTGCTGAGGCTGCGGTGGCGGCGGTGGCTGCTGTGGCTGCTGCATCTGTCTACACTCTTCTTCCACTCTCAGCAGAAGTCTCTGGATCTCACGGTTGTTGGGACACAGCTTGATGGCCTCGTTCAGGTCCTCTAAGGCTGCTGCGAACTGTCTGCTTGACAAAATGTGAACACAGGAACTGGAGTTATTCTGAATCCAGAGAAATCACCAAGAGCTGAGAACATGGTCACTATCTCAGAGAGCTGTGGTGGCGTCTGTGGGAGTCTGGGGTATTTCGGTTTAGTTGGATTTATAGGGAAGGAAACAGGAAGACTCATTCTGGAAGAGTCCGAATGATTCCCTAACCCATTCGGCCTCCATCTTCCTTCTGGCCTCTCTGGGAATAGTGGAGAAATGCCCCATTTTGTCAGTCCAGCCAGGCCCTTCGGGAAGTTGTTTTGGTGCCCAAACACACACCAGGCAGTATGAGAGTTGGGTGGGGTTGTCATTTACAGGGTCACTGTCAAGTAGCTTAGGAACAAAAAAAACTACATATTTAAAAATCTTGCTGATCCAGCAGAAATTTTTCTTTATATTCTCAATATTTTAGCTCCAAATTTCAGGCCTGTTCTACTCTAGGCAAGAACCCTGTCCTCTGCCCTTTCTAACCCTCATCTCTCAGAATTGCTGTGTCTCCATTTGCTCTATCAAAGTGGGGCAGGCATTAGGCTTGCTGACTAGGTCACTCGGGGCTGGAGCTGAGCTGACTCCAAGGAGACTCTAATTTACAAATGAAGAAATGAACTGTCAGAGACATTCCCATCTTCTCTACTAATATCACCTGACAGGGGCAACTGACCTTGTGAAAAAGGAACTACCCAGAGGGAAGGAGAATTTCAGTCAGATTTCTGTGAGGACTTCGTTGCCCCAGCTAGGTAAGAGTGCGATCACTGCCACCACCATCACTAGCCTCAAGCTGGGTGTGATTTTCGGGACCATGTGCCCCTGGCCATAGCAGTGAACCTGAAGCAGTTCTTTCCCATGCAGCTGGGGAGGAGGAGGGCAGGAGGCATAAGAGACAGTGACAAGTTACACAAAGATCACTGATGGCAGGTTCTAGGTTATTCTGGGAGCTTTTCTGCCCAGTGGCCAAACTAAAGCAGATGGGCACAAGGAATGTGGAATGGTGTTCTCTTAGAGGGTCCTCTCCATCCTGGCAGCAAGGACCTCTTGACTCTGTGTGTGTGTGGTGGGTGATGGTTTAGGTGGAAGGGGGTCTGATGCCACCAGACTTGAGGAGAGCCCCAGAGGGAAGACTAACTAATCCGGGATTCCTCAAACGCCTATGGGAGAAGGAAGAGGAACCTGTGATGTTAAGTGAACCATCCTACTTTCCCTCTAAAGCGGGGGTGGGGTGCTCTGCTTAAGTGATTTCTTTAAGTCGCCGTTGTCTCTTTGTGCTAGCTGCTCTGGGGGTTGAAAAATGCCTGAGATACGGCAGAGGCTTCTTGGAAGAAGCTGCCATTCTCCAGTGAAAAAGTGTTTTTCTCCCGAAGTGAAACATTCGTGGCCTCCACAGCCCAGCAGATTTGCTGATCTTGAGCTGAGGGCTGTGCTATGGGAGCCATCCCCAAAGCTTGGCCCTGACAGTTCTCAAGGACAGAGATGTATTTGGGTACATATGCCCCAGGGTGGCCGACGCTGCCTTGGCCAAATTTTCAGAAAAGAGACCTCTTGCTTTCACCCTCTCTCTCTCTCCTCACCTGCTGCTGCGTTTTGCCCTTGCTCTCGCATAGTAAGCTTCATAAGATTTCGGTTTCAGCTCCAGGGCCTTAGTAGCAAATTCCTCCGCCATTCCAAAATCCTGTCATTACAATAGGTGTGCAAATGAGTCATTGATGAGATATAAAAAATAGACAACTTGGGAATAAAACAAATTATTTGTACATTTTTTGACATTCATGGATGGAACGCCTGGGACGCTAGACGTGCCTGACATGGCTCAAGCCGCGTGGCCTGTGGACTGAAAGTTCCTTCTGCCTTTGTCCTGTGTAGCGCTGCGACTGCTCACTGGACTTTATCTGCCCAGAATATTAAAATAGTTTTAATTTTCCCTCTTTTTGCCTTTCTAATAAAGTTCTCAGCCCGGAAGCCAAACACCAACCCTTTCCAGTGAAGCTCCTGAAGTTATCCATGCATGTAGGAGGCAAACGCACACATGTCCACATTTCACGTGGACCCTGGTCTGAGCCCCACACCTTCCTGCTACATGCACTACACTGTGGCTTTCTAAGGGACAGGTGAGAAGGTGTCCTGTAAAGTCCGGGAGGATGACGTCTGTAAAGGAAACTGCACTGACTACAGAGACTAGAGGGAGAGGGGGTGTCAGACAGACCTGGGTTCAATTCTCTGACCAGCTTCATAACCCCCAAGTGTATAGTGTATTTTCTCATCCATACCTACCCCGGGGGTAGGATCAAGTGTGATACAGTATTTAAAAGCCCTGCACAGTTCCCGGCACATAGTAGGTGCTCATTAATTATCGTTTTCTTTCTATTTCACAGAGGCTTCTCTGATCTGTTCCTTTTTTTAACTGGTTCCTTACTTAGGAAACACTTAAAATTAAAAATAAAACAAAACAAGAGAAGACCCCAGCTGTGACTGAGGTCTGTGCTCTCCCTAGAGGAACACGCTCACAGGCATGTCATTCCTGAGAACCCCTGGAAACAGAGACTGGGGGGTGGGGTGGGGAACAACGCCGACTAGGCAGCCTATGGTTTTCAGTATTCCCTTAAATACTAAGCTAAAAGAGAAGGCTTTCCCCTTCTTTTAGTGTCAAAGCCACAGTATAGCATGGTAGCCTCTGGTTATGGTCATGAGTCCTAAGGCAGAAAACAAGGCCTTGGGCAGAACAAAGGCCCTGGGGCATAGGTAAAAAAATTTTTTAAAAGTTGATGGGAAATCCTCTACCTAAGAAGACAGACGTCTGGTGTTTGGCACAGTATTGGCCCAGGAGGTGATTAACAACCGCTTCTGAACAAATGTGGAGCTAGAAAGAATTTCAGCTTTTATGGGTCACCCTCTCCCTGCTCTGCTTCCAGCCTTACCCTTTTATTTGTTCTTTTGGGACCATCATTATTCCTAAAAATATGAGGGCATTTTTAAAAAGTCTATTATTTGGTAGGGAAAAGAGATCAGTGGGTTGGCAGCAACTTCTGAGCTTTGCCTCATCCTCATCGGCTGGTGCAGGGGAGGCCTTGGTGCTGTTCCTTTCATTTCACAGGAGACCCCAAGAGCATGAAAATCTGTCTCCCGAGACCGCCACCTTCTCCCTTCCCGGGGTTGGGGGGCCTCTTCCACATCCCCACTTCCCTCAGCACCCTGGAGCAACTCTGCCTCTGAGGGCCATGGCCGTGTTCTCTGAGACAGTCAGGTTTAACTCTGCCTCTGAAGGTCATGGCTGTGTTCTCTGAGATAGGTTTAACTCTGCCTCTGAAGGTCATGGCTGTGTTCTCTGAGACAGTCAGGTTTAACTCTGCCTCTGAAGGTCATGGCTATGTTCTCTGAGACAGTCAGGTTTAACTCAGGTTCCTTCCAGTGTCAGGGTTTAGGGTCTGGAATGGATGATCTAAAGGTTACACACACAAATCTTTCTGGAAGATCCCTGGCCATGAGGTTCAAATCTTGCTTCTGTCCAGCTGAGTTTTTAATTGATCAATACATCTGTTTGGCTTGGATTATTTTTATCTCCTGAGGAACTGTGAGACCTCAGGCAGGTAGATGTCAGAGACTCCTGACACAATCTTAGCTATTTCCAAAACCTGAGAGAGGGTTCTTGGCTTGGAGTGTCTTCACGTTAAAGGGCAGTGGCTGAGGGAGCAGTGTCTGGGGACATGTGAGATGGGTCTGCAAGGTAGGCAGGAAGGACCGTGGCTTACCAGGGAGACGATAAAGGTCCAGGGGGAGTTCTGAGATTCCCCCTAGGACAAGAAGGGACATAGCATGCTGGGATACAAAGATGAGGAAAGAGGCGAAAAGTTCGATAGCCTCAGAAATTAAACCTTCAAGACCATGGTCCAAGCCCTCTCCTTAGCCCTTCTTCAAATGATAAGGGAATATACCTGAGAGTAATGACTACAATTCACATCTAATTGCAACTGGAATTCTAGTGACCACTGCTCTCACATTTTCCCAAAGACCAGAACACTGACTTGGTGGTATGGGGGTGGGAAAGATGGTATTCTCATCACTTTCAGTTAAATTATGAACATTCAGAAAGCTGCAAAGTACTCGCAGCATTAATTTCTGTACAGTTTGAGATACAGATTGTACTTAGACTTGATTTCTTTCAAATTGCAAATGTCAGTGCTCTGTGAAGGACAACCAAGTTCCAAATGGGGCAGAGGAGGATTTCAGGGGCCTGGTAAAAGCTAGTGAGTGACACAGGCTATCAGCTACCAGGATTGCAGAAAGGAGTTGGGGTGACAGGGACTTACGTTCATTTTCCTGCGACACCGAGAGAGGTTGAGGAGGAGAGACACCTTTAGTTCCCGGAAAGTTTTCAAGTCCTCACCAAACCCTTCTCTAGGGAACTTCTTCAGGGCGTACTGGTAGCGCTGGGCAGCTTCCTTTACTTTACCTTTCTAATGGGAGCACAAGATGGCGAAACACACAGTTGGTCTGCTGAACAGCTGAGGAAGTGTGGTCCCCACTCCCTTCTTCTTCTCAGCAGCTGTTACTAAGGGCTAACCCTCCCAAACGCCAGCCTAGAGAGGAGTTCTGGCCCTGATGGTGAGGGCAGAAGGGTCTAGTCTTTTCTATAGGAAACTCACCTGGCAGGAAAGGCAAGGTTGAGGGGATACCCAAGATACAAGCCAGGGAGGCAAAGCCTTGGCAAATGGAAGGCCCTGGACCCTGACTTCCCAACTGGATTCCAAAGAGGCTGACCATGCTCATTTCAAAGTTCCTTTGCTCTCTATAACACATATGACTTCCTAACCCCAAGCACTCCAAAGTTATTACTTCCTCCTTAATTTCTGGCTTGTCTGGAGAACTGTTTTTTTGGTCTGACGCTCCACCTGGCCAGCCCTCTAGAAGTCACTCTCTTCCTCATGAAGGATGTGGGAGCTAAAGCAGTCTAGCAGTTGCTTCCCTAATCTCATGGCATAAAATAATACCAATCAGTGTTCCCCATTTTTGGAAAGGCATGGAGTAGGGTGGCAGTAGAAAAGTGAAGTTTAGAGTTTGTGATTCCATCTGATGTTGCAGGAGGGATTATCCAAGAGGAAGTAAATCTATGACCAATTTAGAGATCTGGCCACAGCGACCTTGAACTTTTCTTCCACTTTGTATCTGAAAATCTATAAGCTGAGACCAGAAAGATGCAGGCGGCATCTCCCACCCCTTTAGCTGATCTTTATCCACTCTATTCCTTCTCTATAGTTACAACTCCACAGGGATCCCAGTCTTTTACTTTTCCCTTAGCACCATTCACTAAGGAGAGATTTGGAGTCTTTCAAGGTAGAATTCTGAGGGGAACAATAATGGCACTGCATATTTTCATTAAGAGGACTCCTCGCCTCAGAATACCAGAAGTTATGCTATAACCAGGACATAATCTGAGAGTAATGCCATTGTGAAGTCCATAAATATGACATCTAGGGTAATGAGGACCTTCTATGAAGTCACGTAAAATCAAGGTTGGGCCAGGGCTTAAGCTTCCTGAAAGCCTGGGAGTCCTAGATTACCGTGACTCATTCAAAGGGTACTTAGAAGATAGAATTCTGCTCCTAGGAACTTGTACACTCCTGACACAGGTGAGAATAATATGCTTCACAACTATTTCTCCTTATCTTTTAGTCTTGGGGAAGTGTCAGTGATGACTGCTGCCAAAAACTGGGTTGGATTTGTATGAAGCTTCGGGACAGGGTAATCCAGCTGATCCAGTGCGATGACTTTGACATGTAATAGACCAAGGAATTCATTTGTGTCAGGGTATGGAGCCTTCAGCTTGGACTGTGAGTACAAAAAGCCTCCACAGTTTTTGTTATTGTCATTCAGTGAATGATTTCAAACAAATCTTATAATTGCTATTTGTCTTGGTTTCCTTATCTTATTCAAGGATGCTGATAAGCTATTGTTACTATATACTTTTTAATCTATGTATATATTATGACATATGAAAGCTAGGATCAACATACTGGAAATAGCTATACTACATAATTTTACTTTGACTTGTCTCATGAGTTTCCAGATCCTACCTAACAGATTCCATGTAAAAATCGACAAAACCATGGGTGAGTGACCAGGTGAAACCAGGGCTTTAGATTGATCAGCTGCAGGCAACTATAGGCTACTCTTGCTCTCTTGGTAAGGCAGAACCCCAGGATCCCCAACATATGAGGCCATCACTGAGGAACAGTAGTTTCCCTTTGCCTCTACGCAAAGGATGAGAATTATCAAGACTTTGTAAGATTCTACACATGGAAAACAGTCAGTGGCTGTTCTGAAGAAACTGTGTCCCTCCCTCCCCTCACCTTATAAAACATGTCCCCCTCTTCCATCAGCTTGCTCAACAGGATGATCATGATGTCTGGCTTGGAGGTGGCCATCGCCCATGTGGCTGGACCTGTAGTGTACAGGATGCATGATGGGTAAAAAACTCATACAATGTAAGGGTGGTAGGAAGCTAGGTGAAAAAAATACCCTAGGGGAATTTCTGCTGAGAGAACAACTTGCTCCACAATTAGTACCTCATCTTTTAGACCTGGGAGTATTTTAGTAACTCCCACTGCCAAGAAGCTGCATTGGATTTGTATTCACCTTAAAATAAGAATACTTGAACCATGTGAGCCTGCCCCACGCGAGGGCAGCAAAGCCTGCGTGCTGCATGTGGGCAAGCAATGGCTCAGTTTGGAATTATTTTAAATAAGGAATTGGGAGGAAGGATTTATATTAAACATTACCACAGGATTTGAAAAGTCCAAAAAGGGTAATTTATTTTGGATTTGGGACTCAAAACCCCCAGATGTTTAGCCTCTTAACTTTAAAATATGTACTTTGCAGAAGGGAAACCACTGATAACTCTAAAGTTTCCCTTAAATGATAAGTACCAACTAGGACTCCCCGGGATTCACTTTGAAGCAGGAGCACAGTTCGAATGTCAATCAGATGTGAAACAAACCAACATTACTGAGGATGACTTTACCCACAAAAAGAAAGAAAAGGTTAAATTGATTAGTTTACAAATGCCTGAATTATTTACAAACTATGCTTTTCAAGGTTAGTTATCAAAAGTTCAAGTTATTCTCTACAACAGTCATTAAAAAAAATCTTCTTTTAAGGTGAAGTAAATTAAAAGATTAGAGGTGTAGGGAACTCATGCAGGCTAAACCAAAGAGGAGAAGGCAAAGCTGACCAAGCCATCAGACCACGCCTGATGCTGACAGCGGTGAAATATACCTCGTGGGCGACTCGGTAACGTCTGACAACCTTCAAAGAAAGGAGAAAACAAAAAGTTGTAGGAGAGGAAAAAAAAATGGATGAAGGTGAAAAAAAAAAAAAGAAGGAAAAAGCAGCAGTGAGAGGCAGGCAGCACAAAGCCAGCATATCAGCCAACCCTCGTCTATAGGTCTGTGGGCTTGGGGAGCAGCTGGGACAGCGGCAGCAGGGACTTGAGTCTGAAGCACATTCAGAGCAAGGGAAAGCAAAGGCTCACGGCAGCGCAGAGATCCAGGATGCTGATAGAGTGGGGCTGGAACAGAGGCAGTGCTGAGAGGTGCTTAAGGCCAGAGCAGCCTCCTGGCTAAGGCTACAAGGGACATGGTAGAGAACCACGTGGTTCTGGACACAGGGGACTGCAGACCATGGCTCAGATGGCGCTTTCCCTGGGCCAAGAGCCTCTCTGTTCACTTGGACAATAATTGGGCCAGGGAGGAGGGGGAACTATATACACTCACACCAAATACCCAGGGCAGCCAGACCACTGGACCAGTCTGGCCCCTGGGCACAGATGGCCAACATCCTCTTCCCTTCTCCTACCTATCTTGGCTCCTTTCTTCAGAAGAGTGACAACAACAGAAGTGTTCCGGCACCCCACTGCCCTATCCAAAGGGCGCATTCCACTGTAGTCAACGTGCTCGATCATGGCCCCATGATCTACCAGGAACTGGACCTAGGACACGGATCAAGCAGAGAAGTTAGGACAGGCGTAATGGCTCAGCACTGTTCCACCGAGGGCTCTGGCTGCTGCCTGCCCTTTTTCAACTGCTGGCCTACCCCAGGCTATGCTGCCATGTATTTCAGGCCTTAGCTATATCCTTGATCTTTAACAGCATTTTGAATATTCTTGCTCTCTAGCAAGTATAGATCTGAGAGCTCTGTATCAGGAATCATCAATACATCACTCCACTTTCAACCCCAGGTAGTATGGATGGAGAATAGCCCCTCTCTCTGCTCTCTTGAGGCTTGTTTAAAGGTACTTACCACCTCAGCATCGCCATAGAAAGCTGCCAGATCCAGTGGGGTACGGCCATTCTTGTCAGCATGGTCTGTGGCAGCTCCGTTATCCACCAGAGAACGTACTACTGAGAGATGGCCCTTCAAACAAGCCCAGCTGAGGGCTGTCAATCCTTCTTTGTCCATAAGAGCAATGGAGGCACCTGCAAAGGCAAGTGATAGCACAGGGCTGAGGAGACATGGAATCACACAGCAGGAGGGGAAGTACGCTGAAGGGGCATGCTCCTGCAAAGAACACTGCTCGTTTCTGGACTATTTCCATTTTAAGACTGATGCTGGTATGCCAGTTGTATCTCAACTGTTAAAAGTTCATCCTATAAGCTTTCAATAAAACAGATTCCAGTCGTTTTACTGAGTATTCAGGGTCATCCACAGTCTATTCCTAATTACTCTCTATACCTGTTTTATTATTCCCCTGTGAGAATCCTCCACTTTGGCCAAATGGATGTGCTCACTGCCTCTCGGATCTCCCGTCAATCCTCCCGCATCCTCACTCTCTGCCTCTCGGATCTCCCGTAAATCCTCCTGCATCCTCACTCTTGGTCATGCTGCTCCATGTGTGGAAGAGCTTTTCTTCCCCCATGACTTGCCTCACTTCTCATTCTCTAGGAACTATCTCCATCCTCCTGCCTCTAAGAAGCTTCTCACAGTTCACTGCTACCTCATCTTAAGTATGCTTAACATAAGTCAACTTATTCCATTATTTCTTTTTATGTATACTATTTGCATGTAATAAATTCTCAATGAGCATTTTCTTCTGCTTCTTTTTTTTTTTTTTTTTTTTTTTTTTTTTGAGATGGAGTCTTGCTCCGTTGCCCTGGCTGGAGTGCAGTGGCCCAATCTTGGCTCACTGCAACCTCCACCTCCCGGGTTCAGACAATTCTCCTGCCTCAGCCTCCTAAGTAGCTGGGATTAAAGGCATGCACCACCATGCCTGGCTAATTTTTGTATTTTTAGTAGAGATGGGGTTCACCATGTTGGCCAGGCTGGTCTTGAACTCCTGACCTCAAGTGATCCACCTGCCTCGGCCCTCACTGCACCAGAGTTCGGTGAATGTTTTCTGAGCTGAGCAGAAGCCTTCCATTGATAATAGTGCTAACTCCTTGAGACAGTCTCATCAAATAGGAGCCCAGGACATGTTTGTCATTGATCACGATGCCAGGGCCCCTTCTCCCTCCCCAGGTGGGGGAAATAAACACGAGAGGACACTGAGCCCAGGACAAGAAAGAAATCTAGAGTTTAATCTAATAAAGTTAAATTCATAGAATCAAAGAATAAAATGGTGGTTACCAGAAACTAGGAGATGGGGGGGGGGGATTGGAGAGATGTTGGTCAAAGACACAAAATTCACTTAGAAAGAAGAAATAAGTTCAAGAGATCTACGGTACTAGTTACTAACTAGTACACTAAATCTACTCTATAGTTAACTATAGTCATAGTGATAGTTAATAACAATATATACTTGAAAACTGTTGTGAAAGTACATTTTAAGCATTTTCACCAGAAGAAAAAAGTGTGTAAGGTAATGCACACATTAAGTAGCTTGATTTAGCCATTCCACAATGTATACATATACAGCTTGAGTATCCCTCATCTGAAAATCTGATTTCAGAAATGCTCCACAATCTGAACCTTTTTGAGCACCAACATGACACTCAAAGGAAATACTCATTGCAGCATTTTGGATTTCACATTTTTGGATTAGAAATGCTCAACCAGTAAGTATAATGCAAATACTTCAAAATGCAAAAAATAAAATCCCAACAGAAGTGTTTCAGATAAGCGATATATAACTAAGCATTTCAGATAAGGGATATACAGCCTGCATCAAAACATCATGTTGTACACCATAAATACTGTTCCTTTTTATGGTTAGATATGTTTAGCTACACAAATACCACTGTGTTACAACTGTTTACAGTAACTCAGTGCAGTTAATACGCTGTACAGGTTTGTAGCCTAGGAGCACCAGGCTATACTATACAGCCTAGGTGTGTAGTAGGCTATACCATCTAGGATTGTGTAAGTGCACTCTATGATGTTTACAAATGACAAAATCACCTAAGGACACAATTCTTGGAATGCATTTCTCTGAACATCTCCCCTTTGTTAAGTGATACATAACTGCATATACCATTTTTACTTGTCAATTAAAAAAATAAATATTTGGCTGGGTGCAGTAACTCACACCTATAATCCCAGCACTTTTGGAGGCCGAGGTGGGAGGACTGCTTGAGGCCAGAAATCTGAGACCAGCCTGGGCAACATGGTGAGACTGTCTCTACAAAAAACTAAAAAATTAGCCAGGTGTGGTGGTGGTGTGAGCCTGTAGTCTTAGCTACTAGGAAGGCTGAGATGGGAGGATGAGATGGGAGGATCGCTTGAGCCCAGGGGTTCCAGGCTTTGGTGAGCTATGATCAGGCCACTGCACTCCAGCCTGGGTGATGGAGTGAGACCTTGCCTCTAAAAAAAGACAAAAACAAAAACAAAAAACAAATACAAATAAACAAAAAATTCAGAGTTTAAACTACTCAGCCTTATTCAATAACTCCATCCCCACTTTTAAATTCTCCACCCACCCTTTCATATTCTGGATCTGTTTCCCTTCAACATTTCTATTTTCACTTGAAAGGATCAAGCATACCTGACATGCTGTTTTGTAATCAGTCTAAAATCCAATATACATTTGGTTCTTAAGACCCAGACTGTAAGGCCTTCAATGGTAAGAAGCGAATCATTTACTTGCTAGAAGAGTACCTAAGACAACGCTTTTCACACAGTAGGCATGTCATATTTAACTACATCAGAGATCAACTTACTGCACCAGGACACTTGGCTGCCCCCTCAGCTGGACAGGATTCGGATGTCAGCTCAAGCTTAGCACCTGCCACAGCAGGCTCAGGGTTTACTCAGCAGTTATCTAGCCTATCACCTTTGCATCTCTGGAGGTCATTAGAGTCTATGGTTTCCCACAGGAGGATGAAAAGCTGGAAGGGACCATCCCTTAATCCTGATGAGAGCCATTTATGTAATGGTATAGTTTGCAATTAAAACACTGACTCTAATATGGAATAAGTTTAAATACGGAACAGAATCCAAGGCGTTTTCTCAGATGCAACATCTATAAATTTCCTGGACAAAGTATCCAGTGGAGGAAAGAGTAGGATAAGAAAGTTTTGGATGTACATTACAGATGAACTGATTTTTCCAAAGATAAGGAAAGAGAAGAAATTAAAAGGAGATACACATGAAACAAATCCATAATATGTTAAATACTTCCAAAATCCAATTTGTAATCTTCCTCTTCTCTCTTTTCTTTCTCATGCAGTTAATGAAATCACAATTCTCCCAAATGTCCGTCTTACAACTCTGGAGTTATCTTTAACTGTTCTATCCTTATTTCCTACATCTAATCAGGCTTCATATCCAAAATACCTCTTGCACATAGCCCTTTTTTGTTCTATGCTGAAAGCTACTGCCCTTGGGTTAGGACCTCATTATGCCTCATATGTTCCATTACGATGGCTTCCTAACTGATCTCCTGGCTCCTTTGTCAAATCTGCTGTTCACATACTGCCAGAGTGATTGTTTTTAAAGCATAACTCTGCCATCAATTCCTTATTTAAAATTTTTAAAGCCTCCCCAGATTCCTTTAGAATTAAGTCCAGATTCTTCTAACTTGGTCCTTTTCCATTTCCACATACCTTTCCAATTTTATTTTCCGTAGTCCCCTTACATTTTACTAGACAGCTTGCATATTTCTCCAAACCTGTCATTCCTCTTTGGCCTTTCATCTATGTTACTTCCTCTCCCTAAATACAAAACATTTTTCCTCTTCGAATTTCAAAGTCTGTCCTAGTCTAACTCAACGGACGCCTGTATCAGAGCACTCAGGATTCTCCGCTTTTTAAGGCATTTATCTTTGTTTCATCTCTTCCCTGCCACATTATAGACCCTTTGAGGGCACAGGTTATAGTGTATTAATTAAAAAAATCAGAACCACTCATAGTTCCTAGTATAGTGTTCTGCTAATAACATAGCCTAAATAAATCTTTGTTGAATTCATTAAGCCTCTAAGTGTGGAAAAAAATGAAACAGTCCAAAGATGAAAATGTCTTCACTGGTAAGGGAGAACAAATACCTGGAATCTATGGCTACGGAGCCTCTACTGGCACATGACAGGTACTTTGCAGCTATCTAAAGGTTATCAGTGGCTCAAGAGTTCCTGCCTCTTTCAGTGGACTTGGTTTGTTCTGGAATATTACTCTGGACACATCTTATCTTGAGAATCTAGGCCCAACCTTCCTCCTCCTTGCTTCCCCAGCAGAATGAAGGGAGAGAGCATGAAGCCAAATTTCTTTGGTAGCTTATATGGGGAAGGCAAGAGCCACTTCGCACCCTGTAAGAGCAACTCTCTGATTCTGACCCAGCCTTGAGTCTGAGTCTGTGGAAAAAAATCTTACTTAAGGGATACAGCTAAAGATCCAGTAAGTCTCTGACTGAGCTGTAGTTTGAAATCTTAGAAGAAACCTAATTTCTTCCTAATTAAACTACCCTCAGCTGCTCTGGCCTAGGCATAATTCTTCAGGAGGTTGGTTTTCTTGAAGGAAAGTACATGTGCTTGTGGATGTAATTACCGACATTTGCGTCCAGTTTACTAATAGTGGAGGCTAACTGGAATGACTGCCTCTGTCTCTTGCTTCAAGTAAATGCTCAAGCTCCACTAGATGGCACTGCAGAGTCACCAGTGATGAGCTTTTTCTACTACAGAGGTCCATCATCAGCAGCCACTGTTATGCACAGGTGATAGAGGTCACAGCAACCAACAGGAGCCTGACGTACTTTATGATGGTGGTGTGATCATCATCTCCTTTAACTTATTTCCCATTCACCAGGAATTTGTGGATGTTGGTAAGTGTCAAAAGGAATTTATTACTACAGGGTAATAATCTTGATCCCCCAAATAGCATCCCAGAGTCAGCAGGGATCTTCACTGGCATTTGCCTCCTTTGAATTCAAGAAAAATATTAGTTGTGCAGGCTTACAAAAGAATTGATAAAGTCAGAACACAATCCCCGGAAGATGAACATTTATTGAGTATATATTTTTAAAAAATCAAAGTTTGGAGACTACTGATCTGAATGAGAATTTAGAATATGTTAATTTCATTTAAATCCCTCAAGTCATAAGGAAATAGAGAGTATCAGAGTTAAAAACATTACACTGAATACAAGAGGGGAGGAGATAGCCTTTCATTTTCCAACCAACTGGATTAATATCTGTTCTTAGCATCTCCTGGGATCCATTGCTGGAAATCATGAGTTCACCAGGTAATTATGGAAACTGGCCAGCCAGCTCTAGCATTCCAAGACTAACCTTGTGCAAGCAGAAAGTCCACGGTTCCTAGATGGCCTTCGGAAGCAGCCATCATCAGGGGAGTGCGGCCCTGCTTGTCTGCCATGTTGACATCAGCTCCATGGGTGAGTAAAAGATCAACAATCTGCAAGTGCAGAGAAACAGGGACCAATTAGCCCAAAGAAGAGCTGCTGAGAAGACACGTGCACACTATCTCTTACTCTGTAGGAATTCCTACTGCTGTACGAGTCACCCATGTATCTTTCCACTTCCCCCATAAGTACCTGTATAGTCCTAGTACCATGTGATTTAATCTCTCTCAGGGACAGTCAAATGAGAAGGATTCAACTCTCAATGTCTGACTCAGCTACTAAGTAAAAAAGAACTTAACAAAGGCCAAGATGTAGGATTAAACAATCCCATAGCGGAAGTTCCAACATAAATCACTCCTTTATTGCCCTCTAGTGGTTGCAAATCTGCCTGTAGTTAATACTTGCAACTGAACTGAACATAATCAAGTGACTCTGGTAACTCTTTAGGGCTGTTTGGCTTCTACAGCCTTTTTTCTATTGAAATACTTCTGAAGATTATTATCAGTGTGCTTTCCTTTCCATCCTAAGTGTATAAATTAACATTTATCCAGAATCCAAACATCTAAAAGGATTGTGTTGTTAGAATTTGCATTCACTGTATTTTCTTTTAGTAAGTCTCAGACATCTGCAAGTAAGTGATTAGCAGAAGTCCGCTGAGAAATGAACCTTCCAAGGAGTCTTTGGATGCTGTGAAATGTGAGAAGGAGGTCACTCTATCACCAGGACATAAGTAGTTAGTCCTTCTATACAATCTGTATCAAGTGATGGTTTTGAATGTTAACTGTCGTATTCTCAATTAACCAGAATACTCATAACAAAGGTCCAAGTCCTCAAACCTGATCACTGCTGGGTAACCCAAACTTTACTTGTGATCATTTTGCTCTGTGCATCAGAAGTCCTCACCTAGAACTCAGTCCTGCCTGAGGGACTGGAAGTGGTCGCCCTGCTTACCTGCCAGTGGCCCTGGCGCACTGTGCTGAATAGTGGCACTGCTCCTCGGCGGTTTGGCTGGGCCACTGCCGCCCCTTGTTCCAAGAGCAAACGGCACACCTCCAGTTTGCCCCTTCCGGCTGCAGCTGTTAGGGCTAAGGGCAGAGAACAAAGATTGAGGATAGGTGGTTCTGGTCCTCTCCAGCGCTCCATGTTAAACGTGACATATCCTTGTGTTTCATTAATGTAATTGCTACTTTACTTCTAAGAATAATGATTTTTGCCACCTTTTCCATAAAGAAAAGTTCTAAAGAAAAATAATGAATAAAGACACATTTAAATTGCCTCACAATATTTGGAGACAATAATAATAAATCTATTGAAAATTCACCTTTAATCAAACTCACTTGGTTTCATTTTTCCTAACCAGACTGTCTTCTCTGCTTTGGTCTACCTCTCCTTTGGTACCTCTTCCTAGCTACAAACTCTGTTAGTCTACGTGTGGGTGGAATCTAAAGACAAGAGTCTTTGCAGAGATAAAAAGTTTTTTTTTTTGTTTTGTTTTAGAATTAGCTGGGAACTACCTCCAGCCAAGCTCTACCCCTGGGCTCTTAAGCCTAGAGAACCAAAGTTAGGAATTGCAGTCCAAGGTCTTGGGCCAGTTTTCATTCTTTTTCTTCATTAGTTGATACAGAAGTTTCTGGTACATTTGCAATCATTTTTTATATAAGGATTTGAATGATTCAAGGTAGCAGTCTTAAAGATGAGAGAAGAGGTATGACAAAGACTATTTTCTTCTGAATATAAAATAATGAAGTCACAGGTAAAAATAGCTACAGTGAGTTTAAGAGACACATTAGGAAAAAAACAGAAACATTCTTCTTTTTGTGCCACTGTCCACTGACAATATGATCTCTGATACAAAGGAGATTTTACGAACGCCTATTTTGTCCTCAGAGTGTCGTTTCAACAGTAGAAAGAGGAGTTTGGAGATATGAAGTCTATCTTTTAACAAATATGTATTTGTTTCATTTAACCATGGGCTCTCAGGTGCACAAGTCTATTGTTTTAAAAAATGAGGGGTATGGAGGATGGAAACACTGTTAGAACATGTAGGAGTTATACTTCATTTTAAAGGAAGAGGATAAAGATTTTTTTTTCCAAATTGACTTAAAAAATTGATGTAGTAGTCAGCAGGTTCTTCTTTTATTATGGCCTCCTACTCCAGTAACAAACCAGAAAATGATAATATTTGGCAGGCACAGATACTGCAGTTTGCAAACTTTAAAACGTATTCAGAGAAGCAAGTAAAATTTACATCAAATGGACATTTGCATTCATTTCCACTTAAGTGCAAATTATGGCATTTTGTCTCTGGACTTGGCCAAATTTATCCACTACTGAGTCATATGCAAAATGAAAACTACCTGTAATTTCCGCAAGTATAAACCTTCAAGTAACATTTTCCTTCCTTCTGCAAGGATAAGAAGGACTTATGAAGTAAAATGTGGTAATTTTAGAAGATACATGCACTCTTAAACCAGTTCTATCTATGGCTTGTCTTATGTGTATTTTCAATTTTAGTTGGAACTCCTGACATTGGCATTTCTTTTCAGTTCCTTACGGGAGGGCAGTGGCATGGTCCTATCTGAGGTGAGGGTCATTTCCATCCCTGAGTGGGTGAGCTCAGGTGTTAATGGCTATAATTATTTCCTGGACAAAGAAGTTTTATCTCTTGTTTTTTAAATATAAGTGATGCTCCCTCTTTCTCAAGTTCATATTTCTAAAAGGTTAGAAAACAAATTGTGAGTTCTATATATGGGTCAGAACACAAGAGTAGTTTAATAATTTGACTGGATAGACACTTACTAGGAACCATAAGAATTATCTCGGTGCATAAAACAAACCATTTGGAAAATTTCTAACCCACATTCTAAACTCGTTTAAAGTAGTTACTAGGTTGATAAGTTTGCAGCAAACCTCTGTATGTGAGGGTGCCAAATACATTATTTTTCACGAAAGAAGTTACAGCATCCTAGAGAAAATACAGAATTTCAGAATGAAGCCTCTCACTAATGATGCCAGTTCACAGAACACATCTGAATATTCACAACCAGTGACCATCTGGAAAGCCATACTGTCCAGTCTGACAATTCTATGGCTCTGGCTGCCCCATTTCTCCCCACTGGATAACACATTTACATGTGAGGGAATGTTCCATTTGGCCTTTTTCTTTGTTGTATCATCTCTGTTGTTTAGGTTATGATGTCATTTGGCAGCAACCTTCAGCTGATAGCTGGACATGGTTAACACAGCTGGCCAATTTCATCTCAGAACAACACAACTATGTAAAATGGAGTCTGGGCTTTTCAAAATCCAAGAGCAAGGAGTTGTATGGCTGGATTTTATATGAGATTTATCGAAAACTGTTAAAACTTTCTAAAAGAAAGGAGATGAAGGTAAAGCCAATTCTATAAAACACCAAACTGCAAACAGAGCAGTTAGGAACCAACTTTCTTCCTAAAAGAGCAGTAACAGAATTTGTTTCCTAGCTTGTCAGCATCTGACGAGATGATCTGACAGAAATGGTCTTTTTTCAACGGGAAACATCTAAGGAGTTGGAAGAGGCAGACAGGATGTAGCTCAGAGTTGGGGAAACAGCCAGAGTCTGCTTGGATGGGATGCTGACACTAAAGAGAACGCAGAGATACACATGACTCTTTCATCTACTTTCAACCTTGGAAGAGTCCAGCACAGACAGGTCATGTAAGATCAAGGGGTCGGGTAGGAGGGGGAAGTGGCTGGGGAGAAATAAACTGATCACTGCTATTCAAAATGACATTAATAAAACACTTATTGAGCTATATGTCAGACACTGCTCTCAAAGAACTCATGGTTGAGTAAGGAAACAGACGAATATGTTAATATAGTGTGATATGCACAATGGAGATATGTCCTTGGTATGAGGGAAGGCACAGAGGAAGAGGTTTCTGAGATGGCCTCCAGGTAGAGATGATAATGTGAGTTAGATGCTGAAAGATGAACAGGAGATTTACAGGCATGGAAGGTGTGGGGTGGGCCAAGGGAGAGCATGAATAAAGGCAATGAGGGGAAAACAACATGTTTACTGTTATTGGAATTACTGGAGAAGACAGGCAATATATGAGACTGGAGGTTATTACTGGTCTTTTTATGCTACATTAAAGGACTTAATCCTACAAGTAGTAAATGAAGGTCAGAAAGCAGGAAAGTGACACAAACAGACTATGGCTTAAAAAGACCACTTTGGCTGAAGTCTGAGAGATGTATCACAAAAGGGTGAGGCTAGAGGCAGAAGCTCAATTAGGAGGTAGCTGCAATAATCTAGGCAAATGATGATGAGGGCAGGAATTAAAGGAATCTAGTAAGTTTATGTCGTAAACTCTGGTTTCTTTTTGGGGCCATGTATTTCCAGGGTTGGCCTCCAGAGTTGCTAGAAGCTCTCAGCGCTGGTCCTGGTCTGTGCCCACAACACAAGGGAGAGGAGGGTGTGGTGAACAATCTTGTCACCTTGTTTGCTTTTCTTCTGTGGTGTTCCCTAAGAAGTCTGTGAAAACTCTACGGGATGGGAGGGGGTCAGCAGATAGTGAAAGCTGGATGTAAGATGATGACATCTGGAAAGATAAAGAGGCTGCAAATGGAAGATGAAAGCAACCAGGATGCTCTAGTGATCTGCCTTCAGAAAATCTAATATGTAAAAATCACATCCCAATTAATATTCTAAGATTCACTTTCTCCCTCTACATTTTAACATCTCTGAAATTGGAATGCATCTTACAGTTAATGTGATAATAAAGAATTGTGTCAGTATAGTTGGCAGAAGTTGTTTGTTTTTGTAGTGGCACATAAAATAATGGCTACATAGTTTCTTAAAGTTAATGGTGTCTTAGATTTGATAGAGTAAGTGATACATATTATAGGAAACATCACGACCATTGTATTTTCCTTAGGTTAAAAATTGTCACTTAGGTCCTGGTTGCAGATATGAGCCCCCACCAACTAGCTTTGGGTCACAGACCACTTTTGTATGTGAAAATATGTATAGGATTTTGTCATGGGAGGAAGCATCATAATTCAATAGGTCATTATAAAATTTAAATGATCATGTGCTATAAGTTAGAAAGGCACATGTATGTTTAATAACCATCACAGTAGATAGAACAGTAAATCAAAGTCCATTCTATACTAGTGATGAGTTCTAGGGTCACTGCCACATAATAAACATTATTTTCCAGAATTTTTTCTGAAATAAAATAATTTTTCATAGATATAGAAATTGTATTACAGCCAGGCACGGTGGCTCACACCTGTAACCCTAGCACTTTGGGAGGCTGAGGTGGGGAGATCACCTGAGGTCAGGGGTTTGAGACCAGCCTGGCCAACATGGTGAAACCCCATCTTTACTAAAAATACAAAAAAAAAAAAAATTAGTCAGGTGTGGTGGTGCACGCCTGTAATCCCAGCTACTCGGGAGGCTGAGGCAGGAGAATCACTTGAACCCAGGAGGCAGAGGTTGCAGTGAGCCGAGATTGTGTCACTGCACTCTAGCCTGGGGGACAGAGTGAGACTCCGTCTCAAAAAAAAAGAAAAAAAAAATCATATTACAAATAAATTCCATCTTAACTCATGTTTAAGTAGCTCTTCATGTTTATAATATTATAATTATATTGTATATATGCATAAGTCAAACACAACACAATTCTGATTACAAGCAAACACATGAAGTTTTGATTTTTTAAAATCTTGAAATATGGTACATATGTACAACATTCACTGTAAAAATTTATTGTATACTTTAAGGAATAAAATATTTTAAAAATCCTGAGGCCATAAAATTTTATTCTAATAAGAAATTCATGTCAATAAAAATAAGTCCTCCATTTAATTCACGCCCTTCTTGAATATTTTTAAGGATTTCTTTCAAGTACACCATTAGAATGTGTTTGATATTCATCGCTATGACTATTAGTCTTGTAATTTCTATTCATTATCACCATGGGGACACGACTCTTTTTGCTGCTGTCAGTGGTTACACCGCCATGCCCTTGGCAACAAAGGGTCTGCTGGAGATGTGGCAACACTGTTGGAGAAGGCTGTGCTGATAGAAACACACCAACATGTCCCTCCTGCAGCTCTGGGTCACACACATATGCATACTCCAGAGCGGCTGATGTCCTGCCCAGTTCCTTCCCCTCAGCCTGTCCTCTGGCTTCCCTCAGGGTGGGGCTCCAGAGACAGCAGCTGTTTCCAGCTGTACACTTTCCTTTAATCTGTCATGGACTCTTAAGCTGCAGCTGCCAGGCATCTGCTCCCTTTGGATCTTACAAAAGGAGGGATTATTCGAGAAGCAAATTCCTGAGTTTTGGACCATTCCACATGATGTTAAAGAAGTCAGGAAATGTGTCTAAGACTTTGTCACGAGAAGAAATGCCACAATAGGTCTTTATAAATTTTAAATGAGTTCAAGAACCTCTTATTTTTAATAACACTCTTATCCTAACCCAAATGCATACCCTTCTTGTTTAGTAAAATATTCTCCCTAGATTGGCCATCTCAATATTGGTCTACTTCTCCTGGAAAATATCACACATATCTGGGGTTACTCTACAGTTTTCATTGCCCTGGTTTCATAAAAACACATCCAAGGTTACTAATGTTTCTCCAGATGCTGCAGTTTAGACTTGGAGGGAAGACAACAATCATTTCCTGCAAAGGCCACAAGGAAGAGGCTTCTGTTTGCATTGTACCGAACGATACAGAAACTGATTTGCTACAGACCAACAGGAACTGCATGAGGCTGGGCATTCATTGTGCATCCAGATAGCAACTTTACTCATAATGTATTAGATTAATTGTGTCAGATACCACGCTATCACAGTAACATTTGGTTAAGCCAGAGGTGTGGGTGAAAATTTAACATCCTGGTTAACAAATGCAAGGGGAAAGAGTTATTTTGATGGGAGAAATATTTATTCCTAACTACTACAAGGATCACATAAAAAGGAGACAGGCCACAATAATTTTCTGCTCTGGTTTGGCACATTGTAAGGTAACTTTCAGTCTTTTAAAAATATTTGGAAACAAGAGAGGGAAAAAGTTTTGTTTGAAAGAAGACTCTGGTGCAAAGAGTATGGAGAATCCACAGGCAAAGAGGATTGAAAGAGGAAAACTGCTTGACTGTTTAGTTTGGCTGAATCAGTCTGCATTACAAAAGCCTGAGACAGAAGACTGCCAAATGTATGCCAGGGAAAAAATAAGGGGGTGAGATTCGAGAGTCCACACAAACACAACACATTCTTGAGGGCAACGTCCATGAGAGGTACCTGTCTCTCCCCAGAGACTGTCAAAGCTGTTGATCTGTGCTCGCTCTACTTCCTCTTCATCTTTTTCTGGAAGATCAAGTAGGTAGGAGACAATCTGAAACAAGAAGTTGTGTCAGCTCAAACTTCAGGTGGAAAACTATGCTACTGACACTAGCCTGTGAGGTTTGGAAGATGCTTGGATGATCCAAGTATCACTAAATCTCTTGCACACAAAAGGAATCAGAATTGACCGTCCTAATAAAGAAACTCACAGCTTCCATGATGAGCATTTGTCTTATCAGGTATGGTTTGCACATTTCTCTAGAATGCAATTCACTTATATAGCATGTGATTTTTTAAAAATTACATATTCTTCATATTTAAGTTAAAGAAGCAATCCTTCCTCCTCCCTATAAAAAAGCCATAGAAAATAAATACGAGAAAACTGAGGGCCTGTTTTTCTTTCTTTTTTTTTTTTTTGAGACAGGGTCTCGTTCTGTCACCTAGACTGGAGTGCAGTAATGTGTTCATGACTCACTGCAGTCTTGACCTCCCAGGCTCAAGCAATCTTTGCACTTCAGCCTCCGGATTAGCTGGGACTACAGGCATGCACCACCACACCTGGCTAATTAAAAAAGTTTTTTTTTTCTTCCCCAGAGATGTGGGTCTTGCCATGTTGTCCAGGGTGGTCTTGAACTCCTGGCCTCAAGTGATTCTCCTGCTTTGGTCTCCCAAAGTGCTGGGATTACAGGTGTCAGCCACTGCATCTGGCCCTGTGTTTCCTCAGAGTAAAGTGATTATCTTCCTTTTTCCTCTCAGATGTATAAGGACTGTTCTGCAACTAGTAAAGGGAGAAAAATCTCTAAACACAATGAAAAGTGACAGTTCTGTTTCTGGGAATTTGACTGAACACGGTTCAAAAACCTCCCACAGATGATAAAATTTAATATTACTTAACACTCCCTTGGTGACATGTCAGCTCAATTGATATGGTAGCTGTTTTGCTGATTATCCCATGCTTGCACTGGCCCATGAAAGCTGACTGTTAAATTCTCAGAAATTCTGAAAGCCAGTTGTTTATTAGAAATCAAATAGCAATTAAATAAATTAACATTAAAAACAAAGGTTAAAGAATACTCAAATCTCTCAACTTCCTATTATTTAACTATATCTTACTATTATCTATGCTGTTGAGGTTATTTATATTGATTGTGCATGTCTTGTCTGCATGGTGGGAATATTACATCACAACATGCTACTATGCTTCTCCTCCCCTCTTTGTTTCAGTGATGTCACACTGGTAGCTTGAAATTGGCCATGATGGGAGTATTTACACCCTTGAAACTGGCAAACATTATAAATCAGGGCTTCATTTAGTGCTAAAGCTGAAAGAGGATTCAGTTCAATGAATATAGTTCGTATGTGGACGAGAAGTAGTTTAACAGTAGATCACATATCAGATTTAACGGCAATACAGTTATTGAGAAAAGAGCAAACTGGGATGCAGCTCCATTTGTCAAACTTTCGTTATAAGTTACAACCACAGTTTAGCTAAAAATTTGGCAAAAATCAACAAAAGCTTTCAATTAAGAGTATTATATAGTTCATTATTATTTGTAAGTTGTGTGCAACATATTCTTTTTGTTTGTTTGTTTTTTTTTGAGATGGAGTTCGCTCTTGCTGCCCAGGCTGGAGTACAATGGCATGATCTCAGCTCACTGCAACCTCCACCTCCCGGGTTCAGGCGATTCTCCTGTCTCAGCCTCCCGAGTAGCTGGGATTACAGGTGCCTACTGCCACGCCTGACTAATTTTTGTATTTTTAGTACAGATGGGGTTTCACCACGTTGGCCAGGCTGGTCTCCAACTTCTGACCTCAGGTGATCCACCCGCCTTGGCCTCCCAAAGTGCTGGGATTACAGGCGTGAGCCACCACGCCCAGCCTCTTTTTTTTTTTTTTAATTATTTCAAATTTTATTGTAGATTCAAGGGCAGTGAATGTACAGGTTTGTTTCATGGTGTACTGGATGATGCCGAGGTTTGGGACACAAAAGTTCCCATCACCTGGTAGTGAGGATAACAACAGTTTTTTTCAACCCTTTCCCCTTCCTTTCCCCTCCCAGTAGTCCCCAGTGTCTACTGTTGCCTCTTTATGTCCATAGGTACTCAATGTTTAGCTCCCACTTATCAATGAGAACATGTGGTATTTGGTTTTCTGTTCCTGTGTTAATTCACTTAGGATACTGGCCTTCAGTTGCATCTATGTTGCTGCAAAGGACATGATTTTGTTCTTCTTACGGCTGTGTAGTATTCCACGGCAACACATTCTATCAGTAAAATTTATAATAAACGTATGCACACACAAACACACACCCCTGTTCCACCCCACACCCCTCTTCACAGTTGGTTGTTAAACATTTCCTAGCACACTACCAATTCCCTACATTTGCCACTATTATTGTTATTATCATTAATAAATAAACTGTATAATGTTTAACAGTTTACCAAGCATCCCTTACAACAGCCTTGTATAAAGGAGTTTATTAGCTTCACTTTGCTGATGGGAAACTAAACTTCTAAGAGATAGGTAAATTGTTCAAGGGCTAGAGTTAATGAATAGCGAGGCTGGGACTCAAATCTGGTCCTTCTGAGATTCTAAATGTTATGCTGTTCCTGTGCCACATTATCTAACCATGTGACTACACCTCAATAATTCATCTCTTTGAGCCTTGGTGCCACTGTCTGTTAAACAGGGAGGAAAACATGGAGAATAATTATATCATTTCCACGGTCCTTTCCAACTCGCACCTTTCTATACCTATAATTTGAGGGACTTTGGCATTTGAGTAAAGTGCTTCATGGAGTTTAATCTCCTTATTATTCAGAGCAGCGATCACGAATTCACATTAATTTGGTTGGCAATTTTGTCTTCGTGCAATCTTTTCTCCTGGTTTCCTGGGTCCTTCAATACAGAGCTTGAAAAAACAATCCTATTGCCTACTTCTTACCTCAGTATAACCCATGCTGGCTGCAGCAATGAGGGCCTGTTGGATGGCATGGCTCTTCTTAAATACTCCTTGCTGCTGGCCGGCCATCGTCCAGTCACACTGAATCAAAAACTTGACAACCTCCAGATGACCTCGGAGTGCAGCATGAACCAAAGCACACTGCCCGTTCTTATCCAAATGATCCACCTAAGAGGAGAGGACAGGAGATATGTGTGAACACAGACTTGTGGCTGAGCTCGCAATCTAGTCACATCCGCCACTGCACAAGCCTAGGCTACTAAGAATCATCCTTTCCACTCCTGGAACCAATCTCTGAGCAAATTCAGGAGACTCTGCTCAGCCTAGATTATTACTGAGCTACAACTATGCTAAATGTCCCTCTGGGAAGAACTTCTTTTCCTCAGAAAAGGTCAGACTTTTTTTTTGCATTCCAAGAAAAACAAAAACCAAAACTCTCAGTTTGAGCTTCGTCTTCCTGAGGTAAATTCTTCTTTGTCTCCTCAAATAGTTCATTTTAGACCAAGATTTGAGAAACTGGTAGCTCTGCTGGCATAAAAAAAATTATCTTTGAAATCAAAAAAGGGAAGAAAAACATTATGAAGCTACAATTTTTTGGCCTTCCAAAGAAGCAAAACATCTCACATCATGAATCATTTGACCACCAAACTTTGGCAAAGTCTGCTTCTCTCTTCCAGCAGGAGGGAGGACTCTCAAAGATCTGCCCCAAATGGCTAGAGGCACTTCTGGCTTAGTGCACCAGTAGCAGTCTTCATAATTTCAGTGTTGGTTACAAGTTTAGGCTGAAAGAAGACCCTGATCAAGATTGATTTACCAGAAGGGCCTTCGTTTCAACAGATGAGTAGCCTTTCATTAGATGAGTAGCCTTTTCTGGTAGGTAGGTGGTACTTGTCCTGCGGTAGTTAGATCAGTTGAAAATATAAGTTCTGTTTCTGGCTTTCCTACTGATTTCAGTTCCATCCAGCCATCCACATAGTGAATATTTACTGAATACAGAGTATGTGGCAAAGTACCACTTAGGTGAATAAGACAGTAAATATATAGGTTCTGCTCTCAAGGACTCTCCAACAAGGTAGGGGAGATGTGACCAATGTGACAAGAGCCTGTCCAACAAAGGAGTATACAATAAATTTAAAGGAATGTAAAAGTGAAATAACATTTCAGAGGAAGGAAAGATTAATTCCTGGCTAGAATCAGGAACAGATTCAGACAGAAAGGTCTATCTTGACTGGCTGAGATGGAAAATGATTAATGTATTCTACTTTTTGTAAGAGTAGGGCACATGAAAGGGAAGTTTAAACTCTAAGGCGGAAAAGGTCTTTTGGGACAGAGCATGGATATTTCTGAATGCCAGGCTAAGTGGTCTGAATTGTAACCAATAGGCAGTGAAGTCATTGAGTGTTTTCATGCTCAGAACTGTATTTTCAAAAACTAAGCGAATGGATAAAAGAAACCATGGCTCCTTGGAGAAATGGTTGATTCCAGGACTGGGGTAAGAGATGAGACTAGAACATCTTGTGGTGTCAGAAAGTCTGAAAATGCTCAAAAATTAATAGAGGGAAGTTGAAAGGACACAGGAATCAGTTTGAAGGAGTTCCCAATGGCCAAATCTGGGGCAAGGTGAACAATGAAAATGAATAATAATGGTAATGGATTTCAGGCTATGGAATAAAATAAATATCCATGACTTCATAGCAATATCAATAAATACTTGAATAAATACATGGGGGAGAAGGGATCGCTTTCCCTTTCAGTAACATCTCAATTAATACATGTTGAGGGAATGATGGAAGTAGAAAATCACTGTTAGGCAAACATCAAAGCAATAATTATTGCAGTGGCTGGGCATGGTGGCTCATGCCTGTAATCCCAGCACTTTGGGAGGCCGAGGCGGGTGGATCACCTGAGGTCACGAGTTCGAGACCAGCCTGGCCAACATGGTGAAACCCCATCTCTATTAAAAAATACAAAAATTAGCTGGGTGTGGTGGTGGGTGCCTGTAATCCCAGCTACTCCGGAGGGTGAGGCAGGAGAATCACTTGAACCTGGGAGGCGGAGATTGCAGTGAGCTGAGATCATGCCATTGCACTCCAGCCTGGGCGACAAGAGTGAAACTCCTCTCAAAAAAAAAAAATAATAATAATAATAATAATACTTACTGCAGCAAGAATCACTGATGGATCCTAATATTAGTGGACAAAAGTATGACAAGAACCAGGATGTCTGTCTTTCTAGTCTCAAAAGCATAACCCTAAAAGATATTTCTTAATTACAAAAGGAAAAACAGTAACTTCAGAGCTGAGAAACCTGGAAGACATTACCTTAGATGCCTGTTGGGGGTCAATGTCCTCCTAATTCTGGAGTAGGGATTAAGCTAGAGTGATCAAATGCTCAGAAGAATCCAGCGAAGAAAAAGACTTCTGAAATAATGAAGAACATTATTCCGTATTGGAGGCCTTTTTGGACAGGTATTGTGCGGTGGCCTTGGTATGTACTTTCTTGGACAATGTCGCATCATCACTGATATATGGTCAGTGTGTTGGTGAGCAGGTCTAGGGTAGCCAAGTGACTGAGGTTAACACCACCTGTAATAAGACCTATCAACAGCAGGGACTTCTAGTGCTGCATTTTTATAAGGGTACAGCATTGCTTACGTGGTATTCTTGCCAAAAATATATACACTCAATCTCACAGTGAGAAAACATTAGATAAACTAAAATTGAAAAACATTCTACAGAACAACTGGCTGGTATTCTTCAAAACTGTCAAGCTCATAAAAGATCAACAAAGACTGAGAAACTCTCACAGGTTGGAGGAGACTAAGGAGGCACAACACTAAATGTAATGTGAGATCCTGACCTGGATTCTCTAATGCAAAAATGATCAGTGGGACAGTTGGACAAATTTCAGTAAGGTCTGTAGATTAGTTAATAGTATTATCACCAAATTACTTTCCTGGTTTTGATAATGAGACTACAATTACTTAGGCTGTTAACATTAGGAGAAGCTGAATGGAGGATATATAGAAACTCTATGCATTTTTTTTTGCCTACAAGAGAATTATTTTATTTACTTTTATTATTTTAAATTGACACAATAATTGTACATATTTATGGGGTACAGTGTGATATTTTGATACATGTATGCAATGTGTAATGATCAAATTAGGGTAATTAGCATACCCATCACCTCAAACGTGTATCATTTCTTTGTGTTGGGTCTCTGCACTATTTTTGCAGTATCTTTGAAAGTCTAAAATTACTTCAAAATAAAAGCTCTACAAAAGCTAAGGGGATGGTGTGTAATAGATGAGATGAGAATCTGAAAAACGGGTTTGTTACACAAGAAGACTCCAAGAATAATTCAGGGGGATAGTGGCAGTTGGGGTAGAGACCAAGGAGTAGCTTCTCAAGCTCTTTTGAGGATAACATTGAAAAGTGCTGGCCACTAAATGAATTAGGAAGGGCAAAGGAGGGAAAGATGTCAATGACTCCCTAGTTCTGAGAAAAACGGAGGCTACATTAGCAGACTTTGAAAATCCAGAAAGAGGAGGGTAAAGATGCTGAGTGATTTTAGAAAGCTGGATCTGAGGAACTAACTAGTCAGGGATATGAACATGCCTGCCAAGGAAGCAGTTACAAATGTGAAACTACAGCTCAAAAACACTTTCAGAAATTAGCAATTTGGGGTTAAGAGTCACCAAAATGTAGGTAGGAGAACTAGAACCCAGTCGGGTTTGACGCCAAAGCCTATGACTTTAATGCTGAAGCCATGGCGAGTATGAGGACGGAAGGAAGACCAGAGGATCTCAGTGAACAGTTCTATCAGAAGAAGAAGAGAGGGGCAGCCAGAGAAGTGGGAAATGACATTAAAAGTTTACTACTGGCCGAGCACGGTGGCTCACGCCTGTAATCCCAGCACTTTGGGAGGCCAAGGTGGGTGGATCACCTGAGGTCAGGAGTTCAAGACCAGCCTGGCCAACATGGTGAAACCCCATCTCTACTAAAAATACAAAAATTAGCCAGGCGTGGTGGTGTGCGCCTGTAGTCCCAGCTACTTGGGAGGCTGAGGCAGGGGAATTGCTTGAACCCAGGAGGCAGAGGCTGCAGTGAGCCAAGAATGGTGCCACTGCACTCCAGCCTAGGCAACAGAGCCAGGCTCTGTTTAAAAAAAAAAAAAAAAAAAGGTTTATTATTGCTAATACTATGGAGGGGCTCAGAGATGTGAGGAATAAGACAAAGCTGCTTTATTTGGTGAATGGCAGTCATTAGTGACTTTTAAAAGAGCAGCTTGGTAGAATGTAGGGAGGTTGGGTTATTTTCTTTTTTACAGATACTATTTATTAGGCACTATATAAGATTAAAAGAGACTTTAACACCTCTTTTAAAAAAAGGCTTTATCTCTTTCAATGCTTACACTGACTCTTTTAACACCCTTTTTATAGATGAAAAGTGCGATTGAGAGAGGTTAAGTGACTTGTTCAAGCCCTTGTATAAATTAAGTATGGACACAGGATTTAACCCAGTTGTGTCTGATCCTAAAGCTTATCATTTTAATGAGTTGCCTCCTCTCTCATTCATGGAAGCCAGAATGCAAGTGGTTAAGGAGTAATAAAGAGGTGAATGTAGCCAGTATAGAGGACTCTTAGGACAGGTTTGGCAGAGGTGAAAGGGAAGAGATGGGATGTTGCTTCTGGTTAGCAAGGGAGAGGAACATTTCTTTTTTAGGTTAGGTAGGTTTCTACATTCATAGGTTTGTAGAAACTGAGAAAAAAGGTAGTGTGAATTTAGAAAAAGAATGAAATAACGTGAGAGAATGAGCAACACCGTGGGTTAAGAGTGTAGAGGAGGAGACAATTGCTCTGGAAAGGAAGGTAAGTACTTCCTTCTCTAAGGCAAAGTAGAGGTGAGCGTACGTAAGAACTGATAAGAGTTTTGAGATACAGGCACCTTGAGATGAGCTCGATCACAGTGATGAAGGGCAGAAGAGGCGTGATAGGATCTTGAAAGAAGTACATATGAGTTACATTTCTGCTCTGGGGAAAACAATGAAAGATGAAGAAAAGGATGGCTTGGCAGTGTAAGGGCTGAACAGCAGGAAAGACCCAGCTAAGATCAGAATATGAAGTGACAGCAATAGTAAGAAGGGCTGGCTGCCGTGGCTCATGCTTGTAATCCTAGCGCTTTGGGAGGCCACAGTGGGAGGATCTCTTGATCCAACGAGTTTTAGCAAACCTCCGAGCAATATAGCAAGACCCTGCCTCTACAAAATAGGAAAAAAATAAAGCTGAGTGTGGTGGCACATACCTATACTCCTGGCTACTGGGGAGGCTGAAGACTGCAGTGAGCTACAATCATGCCACTGCACTCTGGCCTAGGCAACAGAACAAGACTTTGTCTCTAAAAAGAAAACGAAAATAGTAACGAGGCCCAGTTATCATTGTTCCTAGAGGTGTCCATTCAAATGAATGGGATGTCACAGGTGCACAATCACTGTGCTACAGTAAACTTCTAAGGCTCTGAGATGTCATTGAGAGGCCTACGTCTCAGTTCCCAAAGGAGTGGAGGAGTCCCACTTTCTCCCCTCGTAACAGCACTGAATACCGCAGAATGAAGTCATACTATGACTTGTATTTCACTATGAAACCACTAAAGTCCTCAGTTTGTTTTCAGGACTGAAACAAAATACTATGAGGCCAGACTTTTTTTTCCCAGAGGCCCACATTTGTGAGACCAGCATTTTTCTTTTCACCAATATTGTGAAATCGAGTTTTTATACATAAAGCAAACATATTTTGGAAATATTTTCAGAGAACTGATCAGTACTAACAGAAGCACTTCGAGGTGCCCTTGGTCAGTCTGAGTATAAATAGGGAGAATCATCTTCTCCCCTTATCTCTAGAGTGGTGGTCTTCAAGGACAGGATGAAGGTGTCTGGTCCTGTTCTCATCTCCATGGCTAAGTTTTCTTCTCTACACATGAAAGGCTTAGAGCCTGCAGGTGTCATTTGGTCCAGACCTGCCACTGCAGTCTCCTGGCTTCCTCACTTCTCCTTCCTCTCTTTGTTAAAAAGAGGCTTCTTCTGAGCTCAATAGATCATTTCTGGGTTGTTATGTAGAAACTTTTTGTGGTTACGGATAAATGCAGTTTCCCAAGCACCTCTCAAAGGGTTTAGAACTGTGTGCTCCTGCAGGATGGATGGCAGTGGCCCTGCACATATGCAGAACCAGCACTCTCTCTGATCTCCTCTCCATCATGGTTTGATATACTCTACCCAGACTCATGAAGTAACACTGGAGATAAGAAAGAGTATGCATCGAAAATAAAGAAAAAGGGAAGAAAAGCAGCAGAGCTGGGCAGCCAGTACCTTGGCCCGTTTCTTGCACAGCAGCACCACAATGCTCAGGTACCCTGCTGCTGCAGCATATCCCAGGGGAGTCAGGCCACTTTCAGAAGAGGCATCCACGTTGGCCCCGAACTCCAGCAGCAGGGCTACCATTTCTGTGTAACCAAGATGGGACTGAACACATAGAATTGGAGCATTATTTAAAACCTCTGTCCGGTAATTAATATTGGCACCTCCCAAAATCAGCAGTCGGCTGACCTAGAAATAAACAAACAGAACTAATAATTAGACAAACAGGAGTCACATCCTTTTAGTCATCTTTTATTAAACCATCTAACATTCTACAACAGTGTCTAGTAGCATTTAGTAATTGCTTTATTTTATAATCTCATTTGCTCCTTTTTCTTTTCCTTTGGTAGATAATGTAAAATATCTCCTTTACATAAATGGCATAGTAACTAGAGCAATTGCCTCCTATACTGTAGTGCTGAACATAGTCTCTACGAAGTGAGCTCTTGGTCAGAAAAGCTCCTACCAAGACAAAGGCTACCTGAGATCAATTTACTCTTTGGAACCAGCAGGACCTGATCCCATATGTCAGAGTCAGCTTATAGAAGTTAAGAGGACAATGGAGCTAGTCTCTAATTTATAGAATAAAATTTAACAATTTAAAATATATTAAATTATCAATAAAAGGCTAATAAGAAAGACAAGTCAAAGATCAACTAAATAGCTACTTAATGTCCTTCTAGTTTTATTTTTTCATAGTTAATTCCTTATCATATTTATAATTTCTTTATAAATTTACCTTTATATTTGGAGTGTAGAGATTTCGTAAAGACGCCAGTGCCATGGAAAGACCTTCTGTGCTATAAGAGATCCAGAGACCTTGGAGGATGGAGGATGATACACCAACTTTTTTACTCAAACCCTGAATAAGAAATACAGACAATTAAATTAGTAGCCCAGCAAAAAAAAGTAGCATCAGTGGTGAATTAGTGGCCTCTTTGTTTTTGGTACTAATGAATGAGAGCGGAGTCTCACCCTAACAATGTTCATGCCAAGCAAAGCCTAGGTGGGGGGACAAAGACCAGTCCTGCAGGAACAAGCTAACTGAAACAGTCTCCATCTCTGCAGCCCTTAGCAACACGTCTACTCAACACCTCTCTTTTCTATCTGGATATAATTTATTTTTCCATATCTTTTTTATTAGCCTTCTTCAATAAATCTCTTAAATTCAAGTTACTAAATTACACACTGTGGCAGAAATAATGCAATGTGATCACGGATTTCCATTTCATTTTCTTCCTGAACATTTGGAAAAACTCTATTTCCCAGGCTCCTTTACAGTTAGGTAGGCCATGTGACTGAATTCTGGTGAATAAAATTAGGGCATAAATAATATGTCATGTCCAGGCTTGGCTCCAAAACTTCCTGCATATTTCTCTACACTTTCTATTGTTCCTTTTGATTACAGGCCAGATGTAGAAGATCCAATGGAGAATTCTGAGGCCCAAGGTGATTTTAGAACTACTACACGGAAGGAGCCTGCCCAGACATCTGCACTGTACTGTGATGTAAGGAGAAATAAATCTTTGTTAAGTCATTGAGATTTTGCAGGTTTGTCAATAGCAGCTAGTGTTCTTCACCTTAACTAATATATCCCAAAATGATTACATATGCTTATCCTCAGGAAAAAAACAGCAATACAGGCTTGATTTCCATCCGCAACAAATTTTCTCCTAGTATCACTGGCACAGGTCCCACGACATGTACTAATATTTGTCCTTTTCACATGGGCTTCCCCAGAAGGAAGTTAGAATAATTTGTTCTTCAGATCTCCTGATTGTTAGACACTCTCTGACAATCATCTTACTCTTCTGTCAATATCTGGATCAAATCAGTTAAAGAAGGAAATCCTGAGGGCAGGAAGATATTAACAATGAAATTTGGGTTGTAATAAGAGATATAGGGAGGTACTTCTTTTAAAAACTTAAGCTACTTCTGCTTTCTTTGTCCCTGAAATATAGAATGTTCTTGCCTAGAATACCTACATATACCCAAAATCAGGAAGGTGTGTTTATGCGGCATACTAGGGAAGGGGCATCTACAAAGGAGGAATGTGTCAGTAACTTATGAGTTATAAATTCATCTAACAAGACCTCTAGTCATGGTGGTCAAGGTCTTCCCATAGAGAGTTCAGGGTCTCTAAAGTGGGTTAGGAAAAAACTTCCTGTAGAGGGAATTCTCACACTAGAGGAAAGGCTGAAAGGTGAATAATGCTGTGGGAAGGCTAGATACACGAACGTTTTAAAGGCTTTTCCGACACAGGCACCTTTTTTTTTCTCCCTGTGGGGATATTCTGATGCAACCAAAAATTAAATCATTGAACTTTCCTATTAAAAATTTTATTTTCAGCCAGGTGCAGTGGTACATGTCTGTAATCCCAGCACTTTGGGAGGTGGTGGTGGGAGGATTGCTTGGGCCCAGGAGCTTGAGACCAGGGAAATGTAGGGAGACTACATCTTTACAAAAAAATTAAAATATTAGCCAGGCATGCTGGTGCATGCCTGTGGTCCCAGCTACTTGGGAGGCTGAGGTGGGAGGATCGCTTGAGCCCGGGAGTTTGAGGCTGTGGTGAGCAGTGATCGTGCTACTGCACTCCAGCCTGGGCAACACCGTGAGGCTTTGTCTCAAAAAAACCAAAAAACAACAACCACCAAAAAACAGAAGGAAAAAAGACTTCTACATTTCAGTTTTTGAAATTATAAAAATAATACAAATTTGTTATAAAAATCAAATAAAATAATATGGTATTAAAAATAAACCTCCCATCTCAATCCTAAGAGGTGACTCCTATTAACACATTAGTGTTTATTATTTAACACATTTTCTATATATACGCAAAATACATACATACAAGTGCATATAAACAACGTAAAATTTACTTTATTAAACATTTTTGATTAAGGAAAATTTAAAATGTATTTACAAAAGTAGAGAGGAATAGTATAGTAAAGCTCTCATGTACCCATCACCTCACTTCAGTAATTTTCAACTCATGGCCAACCTTGTATTATTTACATTCCTGCTCATATCCCCTTCCCTTGATGGGATTATTTTGAAAAATCCCAGATATTTTATCAGTTAATATTTAATTATTTTAGTCAGTGTCTCTCAACAGATATGAACTCTTTAAAACATACCTAAAACTAAGAAGGATTCTATAATATGAAATATCCCAACAGTGTTCAAATTCCCTTGATTAGCTAAAAAAAGGAACTAAAATTTTTTTGGTTTGAATTGGGATTCACATAAGGTCCATACACTGTTACTGGCTTTAAAACACTTTCATATTACTAGGTAGTTCTAGGCTTTGTTCTCCCTCACTATTATAGCTTTTAATAATCATCCATGTACATGTATCTTTATACACCTATGCATATATATCTATAGAATATGCCTCAAGAAGTTGATATATTTTGCGACATTTTGACATGGCTTTATCAAAGTGGCTGCAAGTGTTTATACATTCTCAACAAAAAATCCACAGCTTGATAAAATGAGGAAGGATGGTGCTAATTATTTCTACGTATCCTCTCGTTCCATTCTATCCTAAGAGCATGAGCCAAAAGGCTGGGTCAAATCCTAGCAGAGTAGACCTTTGGGTGCCCAGAAACACAATCCTATGCTGGGAGGCTGAAACAGAATCCAGTTTTAACCCCTCACACCACAAGATTATTTCCCTTTTCATCCTCCTCGATTATTTAAAAATGGCTACCTAATTTCTACATAGTCCATATTCTCTCTGGCCTTGAGGAGGCTGGGCTCTGTTCTGAATCTGTCTACTATAGTACCCATGTAGGCACCCAGAGCTGGGTAAACAGAAAACAGTAGGAAAGGTGGGTAAGGGCAGCTTCTGATTGCTCATTATTACTTCAGAAGCTCTTTTAATTTGTGCAAGTAACAGGGACATCAATTACAAACTCTCATTTGGCCATGCAGTTTACATGCAAACAAAACTGAAGCAAATACATCACTAAGTAGTTCTGATTGTTATTTTGGCATATGAAATAGAATAGTTCCAGATCTTTTAGGAAGAATTCTAAATGTTACTCAGGGTTGGAGTCCAGACAAGTTAGGTTCTTGAGCACACCTGCACTGTAGATCCTGGAAGACCAGGAAGCTTAGCTGTGACTCCCCACTTGGGCCTCAATCTCCTAATTTATAATATGTGTGGGCCTCAAGACCTTTTGAGGAATGATAAACTATATTAACGAATTCAGAGAGAAAAATCAGCATTAAGAAATATCCATAGTCTAACAGAGGAAGCTTTTAGCAATGGAAGACATGTCTTACATATGATGGTTGAAGGAAAAAAAGGCAGGAAATCTGACATTTATTCAGATCTACAATGTGTCAGGTTCTGTGCTAGGGCCTTTCCAGATTTAGCTTCTCTAATGTAATCTAATCTTCACAACAGCCCTAGGAGGTAGAATTTATCACTATTTTTATTTAGGAGGGAACACAACTCCTGGAGCTAGAATTAGAGGCCAAATCTGTTTTTACTCTAAAGTTCATGTTCCTTCCATTATACCAACTAAAAAAAGGAAAAGTAATTGGCACCTGATTCAGGACCTCACTTCTCTGATCTTAGCTGAAAAAGTAGCAACTATAATAGACTAAAACAGACAAAACAGCTGATTGCTGCTTTCTCCCTTTACCTTTAATTCCAAACCATTTTCCATCCTTGGCCCTCTTCTCCAAAATTGTCCTTTTTAATCCCAGACAATTTCTTCTACTCCTAAGACATCACACTTATGAATTCAACTAAGCATTATATGCTTTTTTCCCAACTATTAAATTAAAGTAAAATTGTGTCTAAGACCTGTAACAGTTACCTTTCTGTTGACATATGTATGCTAACTTTAGGATAAGGGTTATCACTGGGGAGGGAGGAGAATGGGGTAAGGGAAAGATATAAAGGGGCTTCTACTATAATTGTTACATATATAACATTTATATATATAACTATTAAATGTAGGTAAGAGTCACCTATATTTTGGTGACTCTTAACCCCAAATATATATATGTGTGTAGCCTTTAGAGATCCTAGCCCCTCTTCTGAGGATTATATATATTAATGAATTAAATCCTCACAACCACTTAGTAAGGGCTAATATTATTGCCATTTTAAAGATTAGTAAGATTAGTGGTGGTAATCCCAGCACTTTGGGAGGCCAAGGAGGGAGGACGGCTTGAGACTAGCAGTTCAAGACCAGCCTGGGCAACATGGTGAGACCCCCATCTCTACAAAAAATAAAAATAATTAGCCAGGTGTAGTACTGTTTGCCTGTAGTCCTAGCTACTTGGGAGGCTGAGGTGGGAAGACTGCTTGAGCCCAGGAGTTCAAGGCTGCAGTAAGCTGTGATTGTGCCACTATACTCCAGCCGGGGTGAAGAGTAAGACCTTGTCTCCAAAAATATAAAAAAAAAAGTTAAACAACTTGCTTAAAGTCATACAGTCAGGAATTAAGAGAGACAGGGTTTGAACTCAGTCTGTTTTTAGAGTCTGATCTCTTAATTACCATGCTTGCTATACTGCCATCTTTAAATTAATGATGTGGAATAGTGATTTTTTTCAAACAGGAAAAGAAAAGAATAGTGGTTTCTCAACTAGCTGGGGTGCACATTAGAATTACCTGGGAAGCTTTTCAAAAATACTACTGATCAGTCGCTGCCGGTGGGAATGCAAAATGGCACAGCCACTTTGGAAACTAGTCTGGCAATGTCTTGCAAGCTAAACATAGTCTTACCATACAATCTGGTAATTGCACTACTAAGGCATTTACTCAAATGAGCTGAAAATTATGTTCACATAAAAACCTGCCTCTTAGTGTTTATAGAAGCTTTATTCATAATTGCCAAAATTGGAAGCAACCAAGATGTCCTTTAATAGATGAATGGCTAAATAAAATGTAGTAAATCCTTATAGTGAAATATTATTCAGCAATAAAAAGAAATGAACTATCAAGCCAAAAAAGACATGTAGAAATCTTAAATGCATATTGCTAAGTGAAAGGAGCCAGTCTGAACATTCTACATGTTGTGTGATTCCAACTATATGACATTCTGGGAAAAGCAAAACTACAGAAACAGTAAAAAGATCAGTGGTTGCCAGGGGTTGAGGAGGGTAAGGGGAGAGGAATGAATAGGTGGCGGATAAAGGAATTTTAGTGCAATGAAACTATGCTGAGATACTTAATGGTGGATACATGACATTATGCATTTGGCAAAATCGACAGAGCTGTACAACACAGAGTGGACCCTAACATAAAGGATGGACTGCAGCTAATAATAATGTATCACTATTGGTTCCTCAATTGTAACAAATGTACCACATCAGTACAAGATGTTAATAATAGGGAAAATTGTGGTTGGGGGAGTATGTGGGAACTCTGTACTTTCTGTTCAACTTTTATATAAGCCTAAAATTGGTCTAAGAAATAAAGTCTATTTTAAAAATGAAGCCTAGGTTCTACTCCAGAACAATGACTCATAATCTCTGGGAGTAAGGCTCAGGAATGTGTGTGTATTTTTAAAAAAACTCTGCAAGAGAATCTAATGTATAGCCAGAGTTGAAAATCACTGACCTACATCTATAGAGAAATCTCAAAGACAGAATGCTGAGTGAAAAAGAGAAAAAAGTTATAGAATCTTATAGCATTAAAAAACCCAAAATAGTTGTATATATTGTTTATGAACAGGAACCTACATTGGAAAAGTGTAAAATATAGATGAGAAGAACATGTTAGGGGTGTTAGCATGTGCTAAATCCCAACACATTTAGAATAGGAGTTATCTCTAAGGGAGACAGAGAAATGGGGTAAAAGAGAAATACAAAAGCGTTATCTATTATATTTGTTACATTCATTTCTTAAAAATAAAGAAAAATATTTGAAGCAAACATGGAAAAATGTTAACATTTGTTAAATCTGGTAGATAATATTTGATTACATGCAATTATCTGTACTTTTCTATATTTCATAATGCAATTAAAGAGGAATAGGAACATCTTTTCTTCTAAAACAAGAAAAAAAGAGGTAAGAATTGATAATGATATAGATTGATTTGCTGGTGAGGGGAGGAAAATAGTTAAAGGAAGTCACACTTGGTAGCTTTGATCTTTTTCAGTGACTCACAAGTTAGGCTGTTTGTTTCATTAGTTGGCTTTATTAAGAGCTAGAGGAAAAAGAAATGGGAAAAGGAGCTGAGTAAGAATGGACCTTGGTAAATGAATGTCAACTAAATGGTCCAGTAAATGGACCACAAAGCAGCACTGAGAACCGCACTGAGGCTGGACTAGATACATAAGAAATACGCCTGAAATACATAGCTTTGGATTTGGAATACTAGCTTTACTTGTACTATGGACTTTTGATTTCTTCTGGTTAGTGGAGTTGACCCTTTGTTCCTGTGAAGTACGGGAGAAAAGAGCGTCAGTTTGGTTCAATTCAACAAAGATGACAGGCAGAGAAGTGTGATCCCATTACCAGCCAGGATGTAGCCAAAAATAATGCATAATTAAATTCTAAGCTCATGGTTTCTTAAAGAGAATTTTATGTTCGAATAGCTTGAAAAAGTGCCTCTTCAGTATCTGTAACTATTGCTCAGGTAAGGGATCTTTTTGTCGGCAATAAATGGTAATGGAGTCCCTTCCTTAGAATCTAAATTTACAAAACTGTTTAGCAGCCAGTGATAAGCTTGCTCAAGATTTTTGAATACTTAAGAAAACAGGGAAAGCATGAAGAAACAAGAGCAATCTCATCTTAGGGATCTTTAGCTGTGGCTCAGGTATCTGAAGATCATGGCAAAAACTAACCTTGGGGGCTTATCCAATGAGCTTCTTTAAAGCGGGTTATTTACAAACATCACCTTTATGAATATAAAACCAGAGAAATGTAAAATTAATTGGAAAAAAGTACCCATTGGATTGTGTGTCACTGCTGAATAGAAGTTTCAAGTGGAACTATTTCTAACCATAAAGTCTATATTTGTCTTTGACCCACAGCTGGTGCAGATTGAGAATTCTAGCAGTTTGGGAGAAGTTAAAGCCTCTCAACAGGGAACACTGCATTTAAAGGATCCTGTAAACTGCAGCACCAGGAAAACCATAGTCCAAGTCTTCATTCTTCAGCTTGCAGTCACGTCACCACCATATGCTGTACACTAGAGTATTTATGGCTTGAATCACACATGGAGCCAGTCTTATCTCAGGCAACCATGCTGTCTGCATCAGTATAAGATAAAACTGTGCTAATGACAGGAGGGCATGTTTAAATGTACGTTTCCATGTATGGGATAAAATACTTCGTCAAATGAAGCTTGGTCAAATGAAGCTTCATGCTACTTCTCTGTGAATGTGGTATTTATTTTATGGGGCAGCAAAGGCAGGGATTAGCTTCATTTTTGCATCTGATTCTAGGCAGATAGTGATGCTAAAAGGTTAATGCTTAAGTTACTGTCTTTCAGTTACTATCTAACAGCAGGACAATGCTCTTAGAGTTTATGGAATTATTAGCTACTTTTTAGTCTGCTTGAAACTGGAATGCCATACCTTGCCAGTTATTTTAGCTCCACTCTGCTCCTACTAAGTAAGGTCATTTTTGGTACAGTGATTTGTTAGACAAGACAAGTAAGATTCAAATACAAGATTTGTCACTGTGGGTTTCACTTCTGTCCATCTGATGACCAGGCTGCTCTGGCTCTGTGCTTATATATTGGGAAGAATTTGCTAGGCTCTTGAAGTTATCCTTAATGCCATCTTTCTCTCTGAAGACAATGGTTTCATTTTTTAACAATATCCTGTGGGGGAAGCCTGACCCAGAGAACTGTTTAAGATACCCATATTCTCCATCCTGAGGCAGGAAAAGAATTCTGAAAAGGCTGTAGGGATTGGAACTCTCAGACTGTGGGACAGAAAAATTAGCACAGTAACTTCCTTCTCCACTTTTGTGGGTTAACCCAAAACTGTTATCTGAACTACAAATTCCTTAAGATTAGGGATTGTATCTTTTTTGTTTTTGTATCTCTAGTACCCAGTTTAATGCCTCAGTAAGTGATGAATAAACAAATGAATGCATACATGCACAAACAAATTATGTGTCCTCTTTTTGGTCCTCCATTTCAGCCTTCTGAAGGCTGAGAGAGAAGCTGATGTTATAGAGTTCTTAAAGGTTTTCAAACTAATGGGAGAAAAACTGGGATATAATTTGAAGAGAGATTTGGGGGAAGTAGCTCCAAGGAAGGTTAGTGTTGGTTTGAAAGTCATAGCACCAGGAATGTTATTATTGTCACTAAAACAATTTTAAAAAATGGAAAGAGTAATTGCCCTCAGTGATTTTTTAGACATCATGAAAACCTGCAACTAATTGCTACAATATGACTGTCCTCAGGAGATGATAGGTCATGTATGGAGCACACATCTATAGGTGTATATGCACCTTGTCAATGATTATACATATACATTTCCTGAAAAGCCTATCAGTTAGTTACACTGGGAGATGTACAATGTAGTTCTAAAGGCCTAGGGAGGAACAGGCCATACGTGTTGGGAGATGAACCAAGTTTGCAGCAAAAGAACTTCAGAAGGCAGGGACTACACTGAAATAGTCTCTTACATAAAGCATATGAAAGTCTGCTAGAGATGGCGGAAAAATGGTTCCAACTGCTTTAATTACCTTAAAAATGTGTGCTTTGAGGATGTGATGTCCCAGTTCAATAGTCTGCTGTCGGTTTAGTTTTCCCTCTTGGCGGGAAAACCAGAAGGCAAGTAACGTGTGACCACTCCTGCAAAAAAAGAGAAATTCATTTTAATTAATTAATTTATTTATTTATTGAGATGGAGTCTCACTCTGTTGCCCAGACTAGAGTGCGGTGGCGCAATCTCGGCTCACTGCAGCCTCCACCTCTTGGGTTTAAGTGATTCTCCTCCCTCAGCCTCCTGAGTAGCTAGGATTACAGGCGCCTGCCACCATGTCTGGCTAATTTTTCTATTTTAGTAGAGATGGGGTTTCGCCATGTTGGCCAGGCTGGTCTCGAACTCCTGACCTCAGGTAATCCACCTGCCTTGGCCTCCAAAGGCATGAGCTGCTGCGTCCAGTCTGATTCATTTTAATAGAAATGTTAATGCCCCAATTCTGCTTTGGTTGGGGGACTCTTCAGGTCCAGTCATACCTCCAACAAAACTATATCATTCAACTGGTTTTTTGGGGAAGGGCACCTGCTCCTGGGCAAAGAATGGGTACTGAAAGGTTCCTAGGCAGTTCCTTATCCAAATCACATGTATAAATACCACAAAATGTCAGTTATAGTTGGCTTACACCCATCCCACACACAGATGGCATTACAAGATTTTCATTTTTATTTTCTGTCTCTGTCAGCAACTCTCATTCCACCCATGCTTAAATGTCAGTGTTCCTCAGAATCTCATTCTTGGTCCTATTCTTTCCTCGCTCTAGATTAGCTCATCCATCCTCAAAGCCTTCACCACCACCTATATTCTGTATCTTTTTCTTTATTTAGACTTTTCTTCTCAGCCTTAGGCCAGTATATATCCAACTGTCTATTGTACTTCCCCATTTGGAGGTCTCAGTACCTCACACTCAACACGACCCAAACTGGACTTACAACCTCTTCCCCAAGTGACGTCTTCTCTGATCAGCCTCTACCAAGCCCCTACCCTTTCCCTCCAGCTGAGAATGGAGGGCTTTCTTTCTATGGCTACCAGTGTAGACTGTATATCCTCTAGCACAGTGTTTGCCATACTGTCACATACTCTCTCCTCCACTAGATTGAGGTTCCTGATAGCATCTGTTCCCCATTATCTCCTTGCTAACAGATCCCAAACCTGTTTATGAAAGAGAAAGCTCTTTTATCTGCCTCTGGATATTGTCTTATCTGCCCATGATGTCCAGAACTGCCTTAGTTTTCTTGCAAATCATGTGGTCAGCTGGCTTGAGGACAAAGTCAACAGGAGGGCTAGGCTAAAAGAATTGCAGAAAAATAAAGTTTGAGCCCTATTAGCTGCCCTAATTCTGAACTTGTTATATGAGGTAATAGATTTCTGTTCTGTTTAATCTATTTGAATTGGAATTTTGTTTTTTTTTTCCAGCTCAAAGCATCCTAATGATACACTTATTTTAAGTGTTAATGTGTGTGTGTATGTATGTGTGACATGTATGTATATTTAGGGTTGTATTTCTATTTACATTCACGAAAGAAATCTGAATTACTTATATCTTCCATAGTGCCTAACATAGTCTACTGCATATAAAAATGCTCAATAAAACTTTTAGAAGAAAAAATCTGGCATTAAAGGACACTAGATCACCTTTGAGATGTGTTTTCTTACCCCATTTGTTATGGCCTCTAAGAACTGCTGACACTTAGAACCGTCTCTCTATGGCTGATATGCTTTGACTCTGTGTCCCCACCCAAATCTCACCTTGAATTGTAACCCCCATAATCCCCACGTGTCATGGGAGGGACTTGGTGGGAGGTAACTGAATCATGGGGGCGGTTTACCCCATGCTGTTCTCATGATAGTGAGTTCTCAAGAGATCTGATGGTTTTCTAAGTGTCTGGCATTTCCCTGGCTGGCACTCATTCTCTCTCCTGCTGCCTTGTGAAGAGGTGCCTTCTGCCATGATAAGTTTCCTGAAGCCTCCCCAGCCATGTGAGTCAACGAAATCTCTTTTCTTTATAAATCACCCAGTTTCAGGTATTTCTTTACAGCAGTGTGAGAATGGACTAATACAGTAAGTTGGTACTGCAGAGAGTAGGGTGCTGCCCAAAAATGTGGAAGCAACTTTGGAACTGGGTAACAGGCAGAGGTTGGAACAGTTTGGAGGGCTCAGAAGAAGACAGGAAAATGTGGGAAAGTTTGGAACTTCCTAGAGACTTGTTGAATGGCTTTGACCAAAATGCTGATGGTGACATGGACAATGAAGTCCAGGATGAGGTGGTCTCAGATAGAGATAAGGAACTTGTTGGGAACAGGAGTAAAGGTGACTCTTGCTATGCTTTAGCAGAGACTGGTGGCATTTTGCCCTTGCCCCAGAGATCTGTGGACTTTGAACTTGAGAGAGATGATTTAGGGTATCTAGTGGAAGAAATTTCTAAGTAGCAAAACATTCAAGAGGTAACAGAGCATAAAAGTTTGAAAAATTTGCAGCCTGACAATGCAATAGAAAATAAAAACCCATTTTCTAGGGAGAAATCTAAGCCAGCTGCAGAAATCTGCATACTCAATGAGGAGTCAAATGTTGAATCACCAAGCCAATGGGGAAAATGTCTCCAGGGCACGTTGAAGGTTTTCATGGCAGCCCCTCCCATCACAGGCCTGGAGGCCTAGGAGGAAAAAGTGGCTTAGTGGGCTGGGCCCAGGGCCTTGCTGCTTTGTGCAATCTCCAGACTTTGTATCTTGCGTTCCAGCTGTGGCTAAAAGGGACCAATATACAGCTCAGGTCGTTGCTTCAGAGGGTGCAAGCCCCAAGCCTCATTTTGTAAAAATACAAAAAATTAGCTGGGCATGGTGGTGGGCACCTGTAGTCCCAGCTACTTGGGAGACTGAGGCAGGAGAATGGCATGAACCTGGGAGGCGGAGCTTGCAGTGAGCTGAGATTGTGCCACTGCACTCCAGCCTGGGCAACAGAGTGAGACTCCATCTAAAAAAAAAAAAAAAAAAAAAAGAGTACAGTGGCAATTTCCAGATTTTATGAGTTCGAAAGAACCCTGGACTCACACCTTCAGATGATACTGATGATTCCATGCAAGCTACACTTGTCTGAGACATTCTCCCAATTAAATAACTTCCTTTCTATTATGGTTAATTCATCCAATCAAACAAGGTGACCTGGTATCCACTACAATTTAGAAATTCTGTAAAGGCAAAAATTAAAGTCCCTTTTTAAACTCTTACTGGAATGAAATCCATTTGATGATTCCTATGTATGATGGGAGCTGTCCCATCCCCTGTGTTCCAGGTTCTTTACTGACACTTAAAAACTCTACAGTCACAGCAGAAGGCACCTCTTCACAGGGTGGCAGGAGAGATAATGAGTGCCAGCAGAGGAAATGCCAGACACTTATAAAACTATCAGCTATCACGAGAACAGCATGGGGGAAACTGCCCCTATGATTCAATTACCTCCCACCAGGTCCCTCCCACAACATATGGGGACTACAGGCGCCTGCCACCATGCCCGGCTAATTTTTTTTTTTTTTTGTATTTTTTAGTAGAGATGGGGTTTCACTGTGTTAGCCTGGATGGTCTCAATCTCCTGACTTCATGATCCACCCGCCTTGGCCTCCCAAAGTGCTGGGATTACAGGTGTGAGCCACCGCACCCGGCCCTGAACTCTTATTTATCCCATGAAAACTCAGTTTAGGTGATAGGTTATTTTATTTTTTTCTTTTTGAGATGAAGTCTCGCTCTGTCACCCAGGCTGGAGTGCAGTGGTGTGATCTCGGCTCACTGCAACCTCCACTTCCCACGTTCAAGCAATTCTCCTCTCAGCCTCCCAAATAGCTGGGATTACAGGCATGTGCCACCATGCCCAGCTAATTTTTTGTATTTTTAGTAGAGATGGGGTTTCACCATGCTGGCCAGGCTGGACTTGAACTCCTGATCTCATGATCTGGCCACCTCAGCCTCCCAAAATGCTGGGATTACAAGCATGAGCCACTGCACCCAGCCTATTTTAGTTTTTTCAATAGAGATTGTTCTTTTTGAATTAAGTTATTTTTTGAGTAAGTTATTTTAACAGACCATATGGAAGTTAGACAACAATACAAAGCATTTATGAAGTATCTTACTCTCAAGATCTCAAAATTCTGTCCAGCTCTTAACAGTAAAATTATTGTAGCCTCCCTGGTATAAGAATTATTACTTTAAGTTACTCATCCATGGCTGTTCCACTGTGACTAGAACTTCTGAATATAAGTCTCTGATCCACTATCTATGCTTTAGGCTGTTAATGAGAATTCATGCCTATTGGGATTAATGTAAAAAAGCTTGTGCTTGACAAGGAAATGAACTTTCAGTTAGACATAGAATTGACTTTACCCTAGTGTTTTCATTTTACCACCATAACTAAGAAATGCTGGTGAGATGTCTGCATTTCTCTAGTCTTCATTTCAGCTGGCTAGAGATAACTGCTTGCTTTTGCATCAGGCACTGAGGAGAAACAGCAAGCAATACAGGTCAAGGATAAGATGAAGGTGGCAACTATAGTTCATTTCTTTTTGAATACAAGCATGCTACATTATTACTAAAAGGATGGTTCTGATCAGTACACTGGACTCAAAGTTTGTGGTATGTAGGACATAAGGGGAAACAGCAATGTACATTCTATATTAGCTCCCATGGTGACATCTTGAGCACTGAGATTTAATTCTGCTTCTCGGTCTGCTGGATCTCTCCACCTCCATCACTATCAAACTCACTTTTTGAAGTTGGAGCTTTCCCTCAAAACCATCTCTCTCTCTTTTTTTTAAATATTGCCAGTTACTCAGGCATAAAACGTAGTAGCTATTTCCCCCCTCTCCTATATTTTCTCTCCTGAAAAGTCACAAGTATCTCATTCTCTTCATTTTATTCTTGACTGCTCACTCCCTGGCCATCCCAATAATCTACATTGCAAAAACCTGATCAAAATTCTGCTCAAAATTATTTGCTAGTTTTATTTTCCCTCTGATATAAAATTTAAATTCCTTAGCATGGTATCCAAGGGCTTTCTATAATTTGTCCCTTGCCTATTTGTCTGTCTTTACCTTTTTACCTTATCCTTTCAATTCTAAACAGAGTAAATTATCTGTAGGGTTTCAAACATGCTTTCCCTCTGCCTGGAATTCTCTTTCCTGTTTAGTTCATCAGAAAAACAATTTCTCATTCTTCAAATGGCAACTCACATCATCTCCTCTGTGAAGCCTTCCCTGGTGCCCCCCGATAAACTCAGGGGTTCCTTCCTTAGGTTCCTGTTGTACCTGGTACACATCTCCATTACAGCACCCACTGCAGGGCACTCTTCTATGTTGCTCTACTCCACACGTGGGAAAAAGCACGGCCTCTATCCTCAACAGAGTCTAGGTAATAGGGGTATATATTTGCAGAATGGATGAGTAAATAATAACATCTTATACCTGTGTATCTTAAGGTTTTCAAAATACCCAGGCATGATGGCTCACACCTGTAATCCCAGCACTTTGGGAGGCCAAGGTGGGAGGGTCGCTCGAGTCCAGGAGTCCAAGACTAGCCTGGGTAACAAAGCAGGATCCTGTCTCTACAAAAAAGTTAAAAAGTTAGCCAGTTGTGCTGGCGTGTGCCTGTAGTTCCAGTTACTTGGGAGGCTGAAGCAGAAAAATTGCCTAAGCCCAGGACGTCGAGGCTGCAGTGTGCTATGATTACACCGTTGCACTCCAGCCTGGGCAACACAGCGAGGCCCTGACTCAAAAAAAAAAAAAAAAAAAAAACCAACAACAACTGAAAAATCAAAATACTTAATAATAATAATAATTATTTTTTGAGACAGAGTCTCACGCCATTGCCTGGGCCAGAGTACAGTGGCATGATCTTGGTTCATTGCAACCTCCGCCTCCTGGGTTCAAGCAATTCTCCTGCCTCAGCCTCCCAAGTAGCTGGGATTATGGGCGTGCACCACCATGCCCGGCTAATTTTTGTATTTTTAGTAGAGATGGGGTTTTACCATGTTGGCCAGGCTGGCCTTGAACTCCTGACCTCAGGTTATCTGCCCGGCTTGGCCTCCCAAACTGTTGGGATTACAGGCCTGAGTCACTGCACCCAGAAAAATACTTTAATAATTTTTAGATTCTCAAAAAATCATTATACCATAGGTATAGCAGTAAATACTACTCCCAATATTATGGTAGAGGATTGACAGAGACTAAGCAAGATTGAGGGACAGACCCAGCTCGCATGCCTAGGAAGTAAAAGAGCTAGAATGAGAACTTCAGTGTTTTTGAAATCTAGTTCTACTGAAACCTAGTTCCACTGAAATCTAGTTCAATTACCACACTAAGATTAGCAACTTGGTCTTTGTTTCAGAACACACTTGTGTGAAAAAAAATCCACCACTGTAAAGAACAATATACTCATTTGTATAGTATAAACTCTGAATTCTTTAATTTTAACATAATTAAAATCAGCAACCATGATTTTGACACTTTTTGATTGGCATTTTGAGAAAGAGTAGGTAAGAAATAAGGTAGAGACAGCTCTAGGAAGCGTGGTATGTTTTAAAGCATGACAGAGCACAACTATGCTTTCCCTTTATAATTAAAGATGATGAGGCCAAGGCACAGTGGCTCTCACCTGTAGTCTCGGCACTTTGGGAGGCTGAGGCAGGAGGATTGCTTGGGTCCAGGAGTTTGAGACCAGCCTGGATACCATAGCGAGACCCCATCTCCACAAAAAATTTAAAAAATTAGGCGGGTGTGGTGGCATGTGCCTGTGCTCCTAGCTACTTGGGAGGCTGAGGTGGGAGGATCACTTGAGCCTGGGAGGTTGAGGCTGCAGCAAATTGTGATCGTGCTACTGCACTTCAGCCTGGGTGACGAGCAAGACCCTATCTCAAAAAAAAAAAAAAAAAAAAGATGGTAATCATAATCAACTTTAACATGGGTTCAGATATGGTCATAAAGGCCATGGGGTAGGGAAGTGAAGACAGAAGAGAATTATTTTCACATAGCTTATATAATATCACCTTATGATTCAAAGTTACTTTACAAATTTCCTTACTGGCATTCACAGTGCTGCCTCTTCATCCCTAAAAGTCAAACAGACCTACTTTTAAATCCTAGTTCTGCCACTTACACACTTTATAACCTAGGACAAGATACTGAACCTCTTTGTGAGACAGGGATAGTAACATCTACCTCTCAGGACTGTGGTAAGAATTAAGTGAGACATATTAAGCGAATGCATTTTATTTTATATTTCTTTTATATTCTTCAGAGTAACTAGTGTAACGCTAAACTAAAGGAATGACCAGTAACCACAAATGACTTTAAACATATAGGAAGATGATTGTGTGTTCAAATGGAACTTTAGTCTTTAATGTGTGTAGCAGGGTGAAATGTGATACCCTGTCCTTAACCCTGATCCTTACCCTTCCACACTGTACCCTACTACCTTTGCAGCCAGAAGAGAAGTCCACAGATCAGGGAAAAATTACTGGGGTACAGATGCCGTTCACTGCTAGCAAATGCAACTTGGAATTGTAACTTCAGGCAGAGGGGAGGGTAAGGACAGAGCTAACTGATCCCTAAGAAACAAGGTAAAAATTACGCTAACAGGAAGAATATAAATTTCTCATGTAGACCAGAGGTTTTCAGGAGGATAGTAAATCTTATATTCAAGGTATATTTGATTTTAGATATTTTAGGAGAAAGTTGATCACAGGTCACAGTTGAGGATCCTTCCCCCAGCACTCTCCCTCCTCCCCTTTGCTGGATAAGTATGCGTGTTTTGACAAAAGTCAGAGAAGGTGGTATCCAGGATAGCAGAGAGCAAATTCTACTTGCACTCTCATTTGTAGGCATGAGTAGTCCCTTGATACTGGAGACAAATGACACTCACTTCTGGATAACTACGGGTTACAAGGCAGTGAGGAACTACTGTCACTTGATGATCCTGTACCTCAAGAGTTCAGAGCTATGGAGTCTTTTAGAGAAAAACCCTTTCTAAAGCAAGAATCACTCCCCTCTATCCTCATTTAACATTATGGAAGTTGGATAACAGTTGTTTCACACAAAATATACAATGGCATTATGTTTGTTTTTCTAATAGGTTTTCACTTAGCACCCCAGGAGATAGCTAGTCTTAAAGTTTCTCTTTGTAGTACCAAAACATGCTAACAAATAAATCTGGATATTTCTAGCATGGACAGTTTCTCACTGTTCTAGTCAGAGTTACTAATATGGAGTCACACAGATTTCATTATGATGACAAACTTAATATACAACCTTCTAATGCTTCAGAGAAACAACACTTAGGTGCTTTGATTTTTTTTTTTTTTTTGAGACGGAATTTTGCTCTTGTTGCCCAAGCTGGAGTGCAATGGTGTGATCTCAGCTCACTGCAACCTCTGCCTCCCTGGTTCAAGCGATTCTCCTGCCTCAGCCTCCTGAGTAGCTGGGATTACAGGTGCACGCCACCACGCCTGGCTCATTTTTTGTATTTTTAGTAGAAATGGGGTTTCACCATGTTAGCCAGGCTGGTCTTGAACTCCTGACCTCAGGTGATCCACCTGCCTCGGCCTCCCAAAGTGCTGGGATTACAGGCGTGAGCCACCGTACCTGGCCAGGTGCTTTGATATTCTGTGTGAGGGTCAGATGTGACAAAGTGGTATAGTTACAGCTAGCTGGCAAGAAAATTCTTATAATCTAAAGCCTATCTTATAATTTTGGAGGAAATAATATGTGCTGCTGTGAAGTGTCTTTATATTACGGAGGCTAATGTGGGTTATTTAAAGAGACCTAGTGAGACGAGAATTATGAGGCAGAGATGGCTGGCGGCCTCCAAAGATTGTGCTCGCCTTCCAAGTCAAGAGTTCTTGTTGGCAAGTGGCTTCCTTGCCAGGGACCTCGCATTCAAGTGGGGTTATGTGACTCAGTTCTGGTTAACGAAATGCAGACAGAAATAATATTCACTTCAGACCTGGCCCAGAAGAATCTTCCACTCTTCCACTGTTTTTTGTCTTCCCCCATCTGCCAGTTGATGAAAACAACAATTACGCTGGGAAGCAGTGTGTGAAAGATGGCAGAGCCCCCATTGGCCTGCGTCTCTGAAAAATGGTACAGGGCAGACCTCTTCCAAAACATGTGGTGCCTTTGGACTTCATGTGAGTGAAAAATAAATTTCTATTGTGATAAATCACTTAGGTTTTGGGGTTTACTTATTTCAGTAGTTAGCATTACCTTAAATAAAACAAGAAAATTAGTTTATGAGGGATTGCTAACAGAGGATGGATAGAAGGATGAAGAAAGAGTAGAAAGGAGGACTAAGGAGGCCGGGCGTGGTGGCTCACGCCTGTAATCCCAGCACTGTGGAAGGCCGAGGCGGGCGGATCACGAGGTCAGGAGATCGAAACCATCCTGGCTAACATGGTGAAACTCTGTCTCTACTAAAAATACAAAAAATTAGCCGGGAGTGGTGGCGGATGCCTGTAGTCTCAGCTACTCGGAAGGCTGAGGCAGGAGAATGGCGTGACCCCGGGAGGCGGAAGTTGCAGTGAGCCGAGATTGCACCACTGCATTCCAGCCTGGGTGACAGAGAGAGACTCTGTCTCAAAAAAAAAAAAAAGAAAAAAAAAGAAAGGAGGACTAAGGAACTGTTTATCTCAATATCAGTGAAAATGGGCAGAAACAAACATAATATCCTCATAAATTAGATATTTGGGATACTAGTTGGGACATCAGTTATGAGGTTTATAGCAAAAGGCTAGGTGAGAAATGCTAAGACCTATTAAATGAGAAGAGAGAGCAGGGTGTATGTGGGAGAGACATTTTGGTGATACTCAAAAGCGCTTGGTCTTTTTTTTGTGTAGGGAAGGTAAGGATGGAGGGATTAAAAACTGCAATTAGGCCAGGCGAGGTGGCTCACACCTGTAATCCCAGCACTTTGGGAGGCTGAGGCGAGCAGATCACTTGAGGCCAGAAGTTCGAGACCAGCCTGGCTACCATGATAAAACCCCGTCTCTACTAAAAATACAAAAATTAGCCCGGCATGGTGGGGCATGCCTGTAATCCCAGCTACTCACAAAAATTAGCCTGGCATGGTGGTACATGCCTATAATCCCAGCTACTCAGGAAGCTGAGGCAGGAGAACCACTTGAACCTGGGAGGCAGGGGCTGCCATGAGCTGAGATCATGCCACTGCACTCTGGCATGGGCAACAGAGTGAGACCCCGTCTCAAAAAAAAAAAAAAAAAAGCTGAAATTATTATTCCTTTCCACAAGATTGTCAAAGCACACTCCATGAGAAGAAAAAAGGAAGAGGAGTCCTTGTGTCCCGTGACAGTAATGAGTCACTTTCTATCCCCAGCAGCCTTCCAGTATAAAAGCCTGTCTATTCCAAACCACTCATTCCTAGCCAACATGAAGTAATTTTTCAAACTCACAGCTAGCTGAAAGTATTCAAACTATGGTATCATCGATAGATTCCCTACCAGAGCCCACCATAAAGAGCGAAAGGTGAAAGAGGGAAGTTCCTTTAAATGGATGTTTCTCTTGTGTTACCAGGGGTCTTTGTGTTTGCAAAAAAGTAACTTGTAGGATGACCTGATAAAGTGGTATTTTCAGTAAGATTAATTCCTCTGAGAAATTCAGATGATACCATCAGATAATCATTGTTTAGGACATGGGGAATTTAGTCCTTCTAGCAAGGATCCCCGTGCCTCCATCTCCCTTTCTGCCAGTTGGACAAAGGTGTCTTCTGGCCAGGTTCTTAATGTTCTGTAGCTCCTGAGCCCTACTAGGAACACGAGTGTGGCAACTAAAAAGATATGGGTTTCCAAAAGTTCAAAAAGGTTTGTTCAAAAAGGACTTTAAGTTGCCCTTTTGATAGCCAGGTTTCTAGAACTCATCATCCTTTGCCTCTCTTCTATGTTTAGTCTCTTACTTTTTATCTTCCCGTTTTCCAGTGTCAACCAACATGGTCAAACTTTTCCCTTCCTTCATTGCTAAAATTTTGGGAAGTTGAGTCTATGGTAGTGGTCTCTACTTTTTCATTTCACATGTAGTTTTTAACTTATGGGAATTGGACTTCTGCTACCAATCATTCTATGCAAAGTATTCTAGCAAAAGCCATATATGGCCTCTTACCCTTTGCCTTATTGCAGTACAAGGTGCTGGTGAGCATCCCCTCCTTGAAACTGCCTTCTCCTTTGACTTCCATGACCTTACTTCCTTTTGTTTCTCTAATTCCTCTCTAAATTACTATTTGGCTCATCATCTTCTTTTAGCATTTAAATATAACTATTCTGTTTCATGCTTCTAAACTTTCTACTTTATATTCTTGGGTGATCTCGTTTAGTACTATGGCTTCTACTGTCAGTTATTTGCTGGTAATGCACAAAGTTATAGCTGCATGCCTTGAGCATTCTCTCTGTCTATTTTCTAAAGGCACATTCCTAAATATATTCTGTGCATCTTTCCTCAGAGGCAATTCATTATGAACATGTCCAAAATAGGACTCACTTTCTCCCCATAAGCCTGTTCTTCCTCCTGCCTTTGCTCATGTTAGAGCCCCTCCTCCATTCAGAAAGTTCTATGTTGGTTAGTACCATCACTATTATCCATCATTCAAGATAAATCTCGTCACTTTTGATCCCTCTGTCCTGACCTTTCACATACCATATAAAAAAAGACCAAGTGCTTTTCAGTATCACCAAAATATCTCTCCCACATACACTCTGCTCTCTATTCTCCTGTTATAGGTCTTACCATTCCTCACCTAGACTGTTGCTATAAACCTCTTAATAAGTAGCCCAACTTGCAGTCTCTTCCCTTCATTTCGACTCATCTTCCATACATCACTTGTCAGAGCTATCTTTCACATCACCAGAGTTATCAGATCTTTGTTTCTTCCTTCTCAAAAGGCTACAGAGGCTCCCTGTTATCTACAGAATTATAAAGTCTTAAATATGGCATTTAAGGTTTTCCCAGTGACACCTCCTATCATCCTCTCTTCCTGATCACGCATCTTATTCTCTCATCATAGCTGCTCACAGTTCCCCAAAGGCATTTCATATGTTCTCACTCCTCCTTGTTTCTGTTACTGCCATTACCTTTTCCTTTCTGCCTACAGTGCTCCTGCATTCCCTTGCTGCTTAACAGAATTCAACCCATACTTCCAGGCTGAACTTTAATGTTACCTCTTCTGAAAAGTATTTCCTCTTTGTCTAGGTTCCTATAATACTTTGTACTATGGCACTATTGTTGGTTGCTGTGTCTGACTTTCCTTTAGAGCAGGGGTATCCAATCTTTTGGCTTCCTGGGGCCACACTGGAAGAAGAAGAATTGTTTTGAGCCACACATAAAATATACTAACACTACAGATACCAGATGAGCTAAAAAAATTGCAAAAAAATCTCATCATGTTTTGAGAAAGTGTACGAATTTATGTTGGGCCACATTCAAAGCCTCCCGGGGACACATGTGGCCCATGGGCCGTGGGTTGGACAAGCTTGCTTTAGAGTATAATGGCTTTAGTGTCAGGGGTGTCTTAAGCCACCTAAGTTTCTCTAGTGGTTAGCACAGTCCTTGGTGTAGAGGAGAAGAAGCTCACTAAGTGTTTTGTGTTTCATGAATGAATAAAACCAAGCAAGTGGGTACAAGGAAGAGCAATGCAAGGACTTCCAGATTCACTTTCCAATTCAGTACTCAATTTGACTTTGAATTTGCAGATATTTCTGCTGTCGCTGTTAAGACTGTGAAATGAGTGTGCATATGACTCAAGTATTAAGAATAGGTTAACAATCCTGATCTTTTCCACTTCTCTTCTTAAAAATTCTGCCAACAGTTAAACTTTAGTTGTTGCTGTCTTATAGTCTGCTTGTGGCTATCCATTCTCAGCAAATGATACTCATGCTTCTTGGCGAAAATTATTTCTTCCATTTTTCACTTAACAGTCAGTAACTGCTTCGGCATATTTTTTCATGGCTTTCTCATGGAAGCTGAATTCAAAATATATTTCTGGTTCCCTTGTGCTGTTTTATAGTCAATATGGAAATGTATGACCCTTGTGAAAGTAAACTGTAAGTATGACCAAAAGGTACCTTTATAGAAATGAGTGGAAAAGCATTATTTTCTTGTAAATATAGAATCTGAATAGGAATTTGCTGCTTTCTCCCACTTTGCCTCACATCTTCCTACTGCCTTTCTGTTCTGTTAATGCATCTCGAGCTCTAGGAAAATGGTCATCTTTTCTCTGTTCCAACAAGAAGTCTTTAGGTAGCTGGCAGGGCTTCATGAGGCAGAAGAGCTATGACTCCACTGAAATGTCAGTTTGAAACACCAACGGTAGTCATAGGAAAATTGATCACTTCTCTCTTCCTCCTCCATGCCCCTCAGCTCTTTGTTTATACCTCTAGCACAGCACTCTGCCTTGAATTATAGCTAGTTATAAATGTGTCTGTTAAAAACACTAACCTGTAAGTCTTGGTAGACAGATCTTACTTGTATTTGTATTCCCAGCAGTGCTTAAGACAGAGCCTTAAATATATTACTTAATAAATATTCACTGAATACTTGCTGAAATGCATGTCTTCACTTAACTCCCGAGGCATGGCAGGAGGTAACAAAGTGAACAAAAGATACTATCTGTTGAGTTGTGGGAAGAGTTTCTCAAATATTTGAAGTTGCTAGCTTAAAATTAGTACCACTTATCATTCCTTTGTTGGCTCATTAGTTCGTCATCAAAAAAAAATTTACCGTGCGCTTACTGTGTTCCAGGCACTCTACTAATCATTAGGAAGACACAGTGAGCAATACAGAGAAGGTTCTTGTCCTCATCGAGCTCATTTTAGACAGAAAAGTGGACAAAAACGAGTATTCACCTACAATTAATAATAAATTGTGATAAGTGTTAGAAAGGAGGTAAAAAGGATGTTATGATTAAGAGATAAACCAGGAGGCACTTACTTAGATAACGTGACAAGCAGAAGTCTTTCTGAGGAGGTGGCATTTAAGCTGAGATCTGAAGGAGGAGTGAGAGATCTTTCTATGTGATGAGATGCCTGGGAAAGTGAGCTCCAGATGGAGGGAACTGTTAAGTGCAAAGGCCCAGAGGTGGGAAAGTGCAAGTTCTAAAAACTGGCAGAAAATTGTGAATAAGAGGGAGAAAGAATGAACTTAATTCAGGGAGGGAGGCAGAAGCTATATCTATAAATACAGGGCTTTGAACAATCTGGCTTTGATTTTACTCTAATCATAGAAAGCCACTGGAGGATTTTCAGGAAGAGGTTACATGGTCTGATTTGTGTTTTTATAAGATTGCTCTGGCTGCTGGTGGAGAATGGACTCGAAGAGGGCAAGAAGGGAGACCAAGAGGTGAAAGTAATCCATGTGAGATCCCAGGATGTGGTCATTATGATCATGAGAGATGGAAACAAACAGATACTTGCAAGTAAAATTTGGGTGGTAGAACCAACTGGATATGTGGACGGCTACAGTAAATTCATGTCTCACAGCTGTGGCTTCTTATGGTTGACAGGATGGAACGCTATTAGTGTTGAAAATGTGGAGATCTACCCGCTTTTGAAAGTCTCTAGAGATGGCCGAGTGAATTGCTTTACTTGCAAAAAAGAGAATATGCTGTCATGTTGCACTACACTGGCAATAGCTCCTCCTGACTGCTGTGCCATTAATCTTGGTTTGACAACCTAGGAAAACTTGTGGGGTTCTTATCTTTTGATCCAGCCAGTATTGCTTCGGAGACTCATTAATAGAATAATTAGCCTCTAATTCCTGTGCTACTTTCAGTACAAGAAATTTCCCTTAATCGCCTGCCCTACTTCCACCTCATTTTAGATTAAGTTGCTGTAACCAGTATTCACTATACCGAACATATCCACCTTAAAAAAGCTCTATATGTATTTTTAAACACATAAAGCAGTTATTACCTTTTACAAACAATATAGATGTAAGTCTCCTCTGTGTTTTCATTAGTTGGCTGTTCTGTAATTTTTTTTTTTTTTAAGAGTCAGGGTCTCACTCTGTCACCCAGGCTAGAGTGCAGTGGCATGACATACCTCACTGTAACCTTGAACTCCTGGCCTCAAGTGATTCTCCCACCTTGGCTTTCCAAAGCCCTGGGATTACAGGCATAAGCCACCTTGCCTGGCCTGTAAATGCTTCATGAATAAGTAAACGCTAAGCATTTATTCTTGCCAAGTCATCACTTCTGGGCCTTTTGGCTAAGATCAAGTATATTCTTGCCAACTCATAAAACGATGCACTCTTTCCAACTTATCACAAGCAGAACTATATCTCTGTATGTATATAGACTTAGGAAATCTCTCATAAGTTTTTATGACAGAATAAGTAGTTCTCAGTTTTAACTGGGTTTGGAGAAGAATTCTAATTAGCAGCTTTTTCCAAATTTCATTTTGGATTTGGAAAACGAAAAAAAAAATGTTGCTGTGGCCCATCTTCTAATGGTCTGACAGGGTGAAAGATGGGAACAGTTTGCCTATTTGACTAATAGATGTCGATCCTATGATTTATGCTGAGACAAAACAAACTTGTAAAGCTAAAAGACATTCAATGTGTTGGCAAATTGAACATATTTCAAAATATATATTAGAGTTCATGTAATTCCTCCCGTTTGTCATATCACAAAACCATGACATTGGGTCATTACTTCAGATATGAGTCTCAGATTTACTCTTGATGCCAATAGGGGGTTAGAAAGTGGATAATAGGAAAAAATATTCATTGGCAAATTAGATAAATCCCCAATAATATTACAGGTCAATGAAATATCTTCTTGGAAATCACACAACTAAACTATGACATCAGAAGACTGATTACCACTCAGTGGAAGATAGAGAAGAATTAGAAGTGAAGAATGTCTAGACTCTGAAAAGAGATGAAGCACTAATGGTCCCAGGGAGGTAAGCTCATCTACTAATAGTCAAGTGTTAGTGAAAGACCCAGAATAGCCAAAGCTATCCTAAGCAAGAACAAAACTGGAGGAATCATATTGCCTGACTTCAAATTATACTATAGACCCAAACGGCATGGTACTGGTATAAAAACAGACATGTAGACCAGTGGAACAGAATAGAGAGCCTAGAAATAAATTCATACATCTACAGTGAACTCATTTTTAAAAAAGGTTCCAAGAACATACTTTGGGGAAAGGACAGTCTCTTCAATAAATGGTGCTGGGAAAACTGGATATCCATAGGCAGAAGAATGAAACTAGATCCCTATCTCTCACCATATACAAAAATCAAATCAAAATGGATTGCAAACTTAAATCTAAAACCGGAAACTATGAAACTATTAAAAGAAAATATTAGGGAAACTTTTCAAGACATTGGTCTGGATAGAGACTTCTGGAGCAATACCCCAAAAGCACAGACAAGCAAAGCAAAAATGGACAAATGGGACCTCAGCAAGTTACAAAGCTTCTGCACAGCAAAGGAAGGAAACAACAAAGTGAAGAGACAACCCATAGAATGGAAGAAAATACTTGCAAACTACCCATTTGACAAGGGATTAATAACCAGAATATATAAAGAGCTCAAACAACTCTATAGGAAAAAATCTAATAATATGATTTAAAAATGGGCAAAAGATCTGAATAGACATTTCTCAAAAGAAGACACACAAATGGCAAACAGGTATATGATCACTGATCATCACAGAAATTCAAATGAAAACTACCACGAGATATCATCTCATCCCAGTTAAAATGGCTTTTATCCAAAAGACAGGCAATTAACAAATGCTGAGAAGGATGTGGAGAAAAGGGAACACTTGTATGCTGTTGGTGGGAATGTAAATTAGTGCAATCAATATGGAGAACAGTTTGGAGGTTCCTAAAAAAAACTATAAATAGAGTCTAGGGTGAGCTGTAAACAGACGGGAGCCCTGCCCCCTCCTGAGTTGTCAGGGTGGGAGCCCTGCCCAGCCATGGCTGCAGACCTGGGCATCCATGTGCTCTTGGGGGCCCGGGAAGATCCCCATACCCCCACAGGCTCAGAAGTGCCAGCTCTACTTGGCCTCTCCCTGTTCCCAGTGCCCACTCTGATTTCGGAGCAAAGCTGAGGCTGAAGCTGGGCACTGTTGTGACCCGGCCAGGTGTATGTCTGTTCAGGGCAGTGTTGACACGCCAGCCCCATGCTGCCTCAGTCCCCTCTGGACTTTGGGTGCTGACGAGCATGGGAGGGAGGCTGAGGGTAGGCTGAGGGTGGCTTGGTGCAGGCCTGCAGGTGCCTCTCGGCCTGCAGGTGCCTCTCGGCATGAACAGCCTGGGTGCCATGGATGACATGATTGATGGTGGCAGGAGGCAGACAGGCTCCTGGGTGGAAAGGAGTGGGTCCCCAGTGAAGCCCCACCTTCAGGCCAGAAACGGCCTGAAGCATGGGGGCTGGGCTGTCAGTTCTGGGTGGAGTCCATGGCCCTGAGTGAGAACTTATGGTGCTTTTTCCAGGCCTGCCCATGAACCAATTAGCATGCATGTCCTCCCTTCTGAAGCCCATAAAAACCCTGGACTCAGCCAAACTCACAGAGATGAGACAACCTGCCTGCAGATAGGAGCTACCCACTCCATGTCTCCTCTCCCCTGAGAGCTGAACACTCGATGGGACAACCTGCCTGTAGATAGGAGCTACCCATTCCAGGTCTCCTCTCTGCTGAGGGTTGCACACTTGTTGGGACATCCTGCCTGTACATAGGAGCTATCCACTCCAGGTCTCCTCTCTGCTGAGGGCTGCACACTTGATGGGACAAACTGCCTGTAGATAGAAGCTACCCATTCCAGGTCTCCTCTCTGCTGAGGGTTGTACACTTGTCGGGACAACCTGCCTGTGCATAGGAGCTACTCAATCCAGGTCTCCTCTCTGGTGAGAACTGGACACTTGCAGGGATGACCTGCTTGTGGAAAGGAGCTTCCCACTTTGGATCTCTTGAGAGCTGTTCTGTTGCTCAATGAAGCTCCTCTCTGCATTGCTCACTCTCCAGTTGTCCATGAACATCATTCTTCCTGGATGCAGGACAAGACCTCAGGACCTGCTGAATGGCGGGACTGAAAGAGCTGAAACATGCCCCACTGCTCGCCACATTGTGGACGATGAGAAGGAGAGAAGAGCTGCAGTTCTTTGAGGAGCCCAGACCTAGGGACTCCCTGAGCTATGGCTGTGACACCCTCTTTGGGCTCAGCAGTTCCTGGTGTCTCCAAGCTTCCAGGTGCCACCGCATTCCCCTTGTCCAGACGTGGTTGCCTGCAGTGGAAGCTGCGTGCAATATGTTTGGTACAACCGCAGCCTCACATGCAGCTGGCACCTGTGCTGGTGCCTGGAGTTGCCTGCCCTGCTGCAGCAGCCAGCGTGCCTGGTTGTGCAGTGGCTGGACCCCATGCTCTCTTGTCCACACACTGCTCACTGTTCTGTGCCTGGCTCACCCTTGGGAGGTGTGGGATCTGGGCCAGTAGCACGAGCTGAGTGCAGCCTGCTGAGCTGAGTAGGCAGAACGATCCCAAAGGGTGTGAGCAATACTCAGGCAGAAGGCTCTGTCAGCCACAGAGGTTTCTGGCTGGCAAAGCAACACCCCAAAGATCCTGTGACACTACCATACGATCCAGCAATCCCAGTCCTATGTATATACCCAAAAGAAAGGAAATCAGTATATTGAAGAGATATCTGCAGTTTCATGTTTGTTACAGCACTACTCACAACAGCCAAGATTTGGAAGTAACTTAAGTGTCCACCAACAGACAAATGGATAAACAAAATGTGGTGCATATACACAACGGAGTATTATTCAGCCATAAAAAAGAATGAGGCCCTGTCATTTACAACAACATGGATGGAACTGGAGGTCATTACGTTAAGTGAAATAAGCCAGGCACTGAAAGACAGACATTGCGTGTTCTCACTTATCTGTCAGAGCTAAAAATTAAAATAATTGAACTCATGGAGATAGAGAGTAGGGGAAGGTTACCAGCTAGGAAGGGTAGTCAGGACTGGGGAGGGGTTGGTGGAAAGGGGGGGCATGGCTAATGGGTACAAAACATAGAAAGAATAAATAAGACCTAGAATTTGCTGGCACAACAAGGTGACTAGAGTAAAAAATAATTTAATCAAACATTTAAAAATAACTAAAAGAGTATAATTGGATTGTGTGAAACACAAAGGATAACTGCTTGAGGTGATGGATATTTTACCCTGATGTGATTATTACACACTGCATGCCTATATCAAAATATCTCATGTAACCATATATATATATATGTATGTATGTATATACCATGTACCCACAAAAATTAAAAATTAAAAAAAAATTGAAAGTGTGAATAAAAGATGTCTGGTACATTCTCTTTTCTCTGCTTTAACTCTTCCAAGCCTCCTAAGGGTTGATTTAGTTCTAAGAGGCCCTTTTTCCTTCCCATGCTTCATCATTTTGCTGAATTCTCTCCTAATGCTTTGAGAAAGCAGAACCCATCCTCCAGTTTAAGGGTCTGCTCTGGGAGCCTGCAATGGCTATCAGGAGCAGTGACCTCAAGTTTGTGCTTCAGTGAGGGTAAGGTTAATTGTCATCTTGCCTGGAGGCTCATATTTAGATTTAAAAAACAAAATCAACACAAACTTCAACTCACCATTTATTTTGTAGTCATTTCAACCCCATCTATTCTATAAGAAGCCCTGTTATACAGACCTCTGGCACAGTTATTTTTCACTTTGGGGAGGACACCCTCTCTTTTTCCTTAGACAAACTGCTTGTTCTCTGACACCCTGCTTTGTGGCAATGGATTTTGGAGCATCAGGTCTCCAACGTGTAATTCACTTACTAATATGGTCAAATAAATTAGGAAAAACCTCGACAAACCACTTATTATAAGCAATCAATTCTGGTCATAAAGAATCAAGTAAGTACTCAACTATCCCATGGTATAGGTAGGATTTGTGTCGCCTTTTCCCTTTCCATTCATCACAGGATTTGCTGTCTTTAATTTGAGGAAATCAGGTCAAACCAAATTAGGCTCCCACATCACAACCTTAGGCTCCCACATCACAATCTCATTAGGTTGTATCAACTCAACACTCATTACATGAAGTTCACAACAAGCTTCTTGTATCTTATTCAAACATTTAAAAATAAGGCTGGCTAGGCTGGGCACGGTGGCTTATGCCTGTAATCCTAGCACTTTGGGAGGCTGAGGTGGGCAGACCACCTGAGGTCAGGAGTACGAGACCAGCCTGGCCAAATTGGTGAAACTCCGTCTCTACTAAAAATACAAAAAAGTTAGCCGGGCAAGGTAGCAGGTACCTGTAATATCCCAGCTACTTGGGAGGCTGAGGCAGGAGAATTGCTTGAACTCAGGAGGCAGAGGTTGCAGTGATGTGAAATCGCATCACTGCACTCTAGCCTGGGTGACAGGACACTCTGTCTCGAAAAAAAAAAAAAAATGCTGGTGCAGTAGCTCATCCCTGTAATCCCAGCACTTTGGGAGGACAAGGTGGGTGGATGGCTTGAACCTGAGTTTGAGACCAGGAACACAGTAAGACTCTTTCTCTACAAACAAAAAAAATTAGGCATGGTGGCATGTGCCTGTGGTCACAGTTACACAGGAAGCTAAGGTAGGAGGATTGCCAGAGCCCAGGAGGTTGAGACTTCAGTGAGCCGTGACTGTGCCACTGCACTCCAGCCTGAGTGACAGAGTGAGATACTGTATTAAAAAAATAAAAACAAACCCCACAAAAATACACACATAATAACGCAGTAGTCTTTTAATCTCTGGCAAAATCTTACACACACACACACACACACACACACACACAAATATTAATCTGAGAGCCGTTCCTATGGAAGGGAAAGTTAGATATCATGAAAATTGAGAAAATGAGGAATAGAAACAGAACAGAGTGGAGATTTATTCAGGGCGAGCCTAAAGCGATATAGAAATATTAAGCAGTAACTGGACTGCACCACAAGGCTGGTAGCTCCGACTGTCTACTCTATCAGCCTTAAATTTCTACTATGAGAGTCACTAAAAGGTTGCCTAACAAAGGCCGATGACTACTTCTCTCAAATGTCTTATTTTAAATGCACAAGTTGCCTCAAATAGGTTTTCCATCTCTTTACTATTAGCATAATAGCAGGAATTCGCTTATTAAATTAGTGAGTTAATCTGATATCTCCGTGCCCAAGAGAATAAAACATAGGACAGATTAAGTTCAGGGTATGTCAGAAGGCTGACAGTGATGAACAGTGGGAAACAGAGAGCAGAATGAGGTGGTATGGTCTAAGGTTTGTGATTGCTTCAAGGGGCATATTTTACCTAAACTGCAAATCTAAAAGATTCTTCAGTGATACTCTGCTTACAGTTTGATACACACACACATACACACACACACACACACACACACACACACACATACTCTCTCTCTCTCTCTCTCTCTCTCACTCTACTCACCTTGTTACTCATTTATTTCTATGACAATGAGACAACGATACATCTATGTAACGTTAGGTCATTCTCTCTGGTAGGTCAAGTCCTTGCCCAGATTCTGAGACAATAAGCAGTCTGGTATTCAAAATAATGAAAACTCAATCTCAGCTGTAGCATTAACCTCTGGCTCTGCTATTTCCTGCTTCCAGCACCATTCTCAGATTACTGACTCTTTTCAGCTCAGGCAGAAGCAACCTCCTTGGGTAGCCTATTTCTGGAGAAGATCAACTACTTTTTGGCAATTGAGTGCTGAAAGCCCAGGAAAATGGACTAAAAAGGGTAAGAATGTTGTGTTGCCTCTGGAAGCTCTCCTTACACCACAGAGATGTACATGTCAGGCACTGGCTTACCTGGTGTGATTTCAGAGGCACTGAATTGGTCTTCTTTGATCTACTGAAAGATGCTTTAGAGAGAAGGAGAGAAAGTGGAGAACAGAAGGAGAAACAATGTGCAAGAAGTGGAGGCTGAAGGCCACAAAGACAAACCATGCCTGGAGAGAGTCCTGCTAATCAGACCTGCCTGAAATGGAAAACAAGTGCAGCCAGCTGCTTTGAAAGACCAGCTTGGGCTTTGCCAATAGCATTAAATTCTTAGTGAATTTCCATCTCATTGACCTAGGGAGCCTTAAGCACTGAGATCAATACTTCAGTACTTTAGTAACAAGGTTGGTGCCAGCCATTGCTGGGGAGGGGGCTGAGTTCCAACTGAAATGAAATCTAAGAAAGCTTTTTTTGATAACTCCTGGTCCTGTTTACAATTTTACTCTCTGCCATTAAGTGAAATAAGATGATCTCTCAGCAGCCATGCTATTCAATCATCAGGGAACGGATTATACAGGATTTGAAGTTGGAAGTACCTGCTCCTCTTGTCCCAGTGCATCAGTCGGTTGCTGCAAAACTCCTAGTTAAAATGCGATGTTGAGAAGGCAAAGCCTGTATAGTCATGATATGGCTGTATAAAAGCCGTATTTTCTCCTCTGAGAGCCCCTGAGGATTTCATCTGTTGTAAGGATACTATTAATTCAGTGGTAGTCTGGTTGCCTTGGACCTCAGCTTTCAATCCTCTGAGATGTCCCAGGATCTAAGGTCCCAGATCAGCTAGCAAAGTTTCTCTGGGAACTGATCTCAAAGCGTTTATTAGGCAATTCTACATTAGTTTCTTTTTCCTATATACATAGTTGCCAGTTCTTTGTATTAAATATTGACAACAGCTCTAGTAGGATTTATAGTAAAATCCTTTTGGGAACATCATACAATTCACAGAAGGGACTTGGATTGTTTTTATTGTTTCTTTTTAAAATCTTGTGCTCCAAAATGATAACAGCAGAAGATGGCTGTCGCTATCCGATTAGCCACAGGATTTAACTAAGATACACCAGAAGGGTCTATTACTGCAGGGTGAGGGGAGGAAAAAGAACATACCCCAAGTGTTTCTTTTACTCTGTACTATTCTAGGCATCATACTATATGACCTCACTTAACTTCTCAACAACTCTAGAAAAAAGGCATTATTATTGCTCTTATGTAGATAAGAAAACTAAGTCTTAGAAACACTATGTAACTTTTTCCAAAGGTCAAAGTTCCTAGAAGAGGCAGGATTTATATGCAGGTAATTTGACTCAAGAGTTTATGTTCTTTCCACTACAGCATGTTTCTTTAAAAAAGCTTCCCTCTCAGAGAAAATGCTACAAAGTCTATTGCCTGGCTTAATATCTTCATCATAATCTGGAACTAATTTTCTGATGAATCAGCATGGAGTAGGCTGAGCAGCATGCCCACAGTACAGTTGTCTCTAATAAGGCCTGGTGAAGGACACGGTGAAGGGCAATAAAACCCCAGCATGAACACAGAGTTTTATTCTTTCTGATGAGTCACATGTGAGGCATAGTCAAATCTGGCCTCTTCTTTTTGAGCCAAAATAAGCTCTGCATTTGCCAGCTATGTTGTTGGTGTCTTCTTTGTTTCCATGAAGTCAGTAATGTACCCGGCTTTTGAAAACACCAACTTTATTAAAGGAATACGTCTTTAAAAATGTTAGTATGACGGAGTAAAAGCACACCCCGACCAGGATGCCAGAGAACTAGGTTTCATGCAATAAAAAGGGAAACAGTTTCATATCTAGTCTGGTTTGAGTTGAGAAAGATTCTCAAGTCAGGTTCAAGCTCATTGGGAAAGAGTGCTGGGGTAAATCAGTGATCCTGTTGTGCGTGTGGGGTGGGGAGTGGTGGGATATATCATGCACTTGTGATCCCTATTCTGGTGTGTGCCCCTCCCTTCTCCCATGTATTAACCTTATGACTTTGTGCAAGTTGATCCAGCATCTTAAGGCCTTTATAGCAAAATGGAGATAATGACACCTTACGTATCTAAAGGCAGCATGGATAGACCAGCTGATCTCTTCAAATCTTTTTCAGCTAGGAGGTTTAAGATTGTATTTTCTAGTATAAAGCTTAGCATTGGCTGGACTTTAATGGATTTAGTCACTGGAAACTTTAAAAATGATAAGGTTTTATAAAAGGGCAATAAAAACTTTGAAATGATTCTGCCCTAAATCAAAGAGATTTACAATATATCAATTCTTTCTTCATATCAGAATAATAATACTGAGGAAGTCCATTAAATGGTTAACTTAATTATAGCCTGTGAACCCTGTGGGGTCAGTGAAAATTATTTAGAAGAACACAGGAACGTAGGATAGCATTCTAAATATCTATGCAGATGTTGAGTCTTAAGGAAATAACATTGTAAAACAATAAATTAGTTAACCTCATTATAGCCTTGCCTTGAGAAGAAACACAGATGATGTCTCTTCTATGTGAAATGTTCAATGAAGAACACTTCTACTTTCAATACTCACACTCCATGCAATAAACAGAAAACAGACTCAGAATTGTTTATCACAGATATATGTCTTACCTCGGATCACAGAGAAATTTGGTTTTCTCTCCTTCTTCTCTCCAGATAAGCCATTCTCGAAAAGAAGGATGTACAAACATACGAGTCATGTCTCTGCGCTTGATTAGGAACATGGAGAGGTTCTCCATTCTCTGCTGAAAATCCTCCCATTCTAGTGTGCCTTCAATGCTCCCAGCATTGATGGCCTGGAAGATATGCTCATCAGTCAGTGGGTGGAGAGAGGCCACTGCCACATTCAGGAGAGGCATCACCCGGTCAAAGGAAGACTGGGTTGGGAACTTCATATTGCACTGGAGTAAATAAACCTCTGAGAGCGAAACAGGAACTACTTTGTAGCTAGAGCTCTTTAACACTAGATAGCCTTTCTCTATGAGGTCAAATGTAAGTTTCAGATATAGATAGGACCCTTGACTGAGGGTCTTGAGATGAGAACTGAGTTTGCCAAATGTAGTATTGTCCATTTTGCCATTAAGTGAAATGTTATTCTGGATCTCTGAGCTGCTGTGTATCCGGTGCAGGATGTAAGCCTGCAGGTCCTGGTCTATGGCTTCATTCTCTTCTAGTCGATCCAAAAAAATCCTATGGAAAGGCAGCAGCTTGGTAATTTCCTAAAAAGATGGAGAGAGAGAAAGAGACAGAAAGACCTTCAGTTTCCCCTAACTCTTGTGATAAACTATGAGGTTCACAAATGTATTCTGAACTTCGAAGTGGCCAAACAGGGAAACATGATCAAGTATTAGTATCCAAAAAGTAAAACAAATTAGTTGCATAGAAGGGACACAACTTCTCCTAACATTGAGACTTAAGATATATTTTTAAATGGGTCTTTGTAAAGAGTGCTTTTGGAGTGATTTCATGATCGTCATTCTAAACAACACTCCTGAAATAAATAGAAAACGGAGCACTGTATAACTCTTTTGCTGTAATTTTTCTCAGTGTAAACCAGGGCATAATGCCAAGTACAAGTCAGTAAGAGAAATGTACAAAGATTCAAAGACTGGCTTAGAAAAAGTTGGCTTTCTAACTCTCCTAATAAAATGACTATTTAAAAAAAAATTTCCCACACAACACAGATGTATAAAATGACTACATTTAAATGCGGGCCTTCTGGAGATACCTTAGCCGAAAGGTACACTTCTAACAGTAGGAAGCTTGGCACCTTGGTAACAGATTCCAATAGAATCTGTTGGAAATTCTACTGGGGGAAGGTGATATGGCTTTGTGGCTACTCCTATGCACTGGATTCCATCCTTTCTTACCTACCCACGGACTTTGCTCCTGTGAGTACCCATTCCCTCTCCTGCATCTGTTTCTTCTCAGCTGGGTCACACATACATAAACTCCATATTCTTCCTTCCAGCTACTACCCTGTATCTCTGTTCCCATTTTTCACAAAAGTTTTCTGTATTCGCTATCTATAATTCTTTCCTTCCCATTCTCTCCTCCATTTGTTCCAATCAGGCTGCACCCTCACCACCTCACTGAAATGGTTCTTGTCAAGGGCATCAGTAACTTTCACTTTGCCAAATCCGATAATAAAGTTCCAGTTCTCATCTTCCTCAACCTCTCGGCAATATTTGACACAACGCATCTCACCTCAATGCACTTTTTTTGGAGTCACTTTCTGCAGCTTGCTCCCAGAGAACGTTCCCCTCTTTTCTCTCTTAGCACACTGGCCACTTTTAACCTTCCCTTTTTTGCTGGCTCTTTTTTTTATTTCCCAGCTCACCCAGGGCTCTGGGCTCTGTTCTTTCCTCTTCTCTAGCCATTCTCACTCCCATCAATAGATTCTTTAGTCCCATGGTGCTAAATATTATCTATATGTGGCTCATGCCTAACTTTATGTTTCTAGCTTAGTCATCTCCCCTGAGTCCCATCTTATATCTGTCTACTCAACATTTACATTTGGATATTTCATAGACAATGTGACCAAATCAGTACTTAATTTTGTCCCCCGCCACAAAACTCACCCCATGTCAATAAATGGCATTACCACTGACTCTACCACCAAATTCTAGAAGATATCTGTGATCTTTCTATTGTCCTCAAATCATCATTCACCCATTTGCTCACAACATACCCAGGATTCATTCTTGAGTCTTCTCTCTTGCTGACACCCACATTCAGCCCATCATCAAGTCCTTTTACTCTCCTTCAAAATACAGTCCAACGAAATATGACCATTTCACATGGTCCCCATCATTATCACTCTAGTCTAAGCCACCATTACCTTTCACCTATACTTCTGCTTCAACTCTTTATCCCTTACATTTTATTATGTAGACGGCCAGTTGACAGAAATCTTTAAAAAAGACAGATCAGATCTCATCACTTTTAAACGAGAGGCCTTTCCTATATATCCTATCTAAAACAACTACTATCCAGTTATCCCTCCACCCTATTTTGTTTTTCTTCATAGCACTCAACACTACCTGTAATTTTAGTATATGTTTAACTTTTTGCTCATTTGTTTTTTGTGTTCCTTACTAAAATATAAGCTTTAGGAGGATGGGAATATTGCCTGTCTTGTTCATTTTGAATCTCCAGCCCCTAGAACAGTCCCTGAAATACTCTTAAGAAATGTTTGTGGAAATAATGATGATCAAATATAAATGAAGGCTCATTTTCTAAAACCTATAAATTCTTTCACTGTCGGAAATGAAATAATTTTTAAAAATTCTTAGTTGAAGTACTTTTTCTGTTGGCACAGCTGAAAAATTAAAGTCACCTACTCTATCCGGAAACACAATTTCTTTTGAGACTGCACATGATATTATGTGAGAATATGTATGAGGATAACATCTCCAAAGCATCCATTTGGTAAAGCAGTCAGAGATTACATTCCTGGAGGTTTCTTTCATTCATCTTTCATTTTTAACAATCAAGCTACTAATAATGATAGGTTATATAATTTTTAGTTGTAAAGATGGATTTATATTGATTTATCCATATCCTTTAGCTCAAACTACTTTGAGATTAATAATAAACATCTGTAAGGTGGTGGCCAGGATTAGAAATATAGTTTCTCATCATGGAAGACAGTAATGCTAACTGGTCAATATATGGAAATAATGCTAAGTGCCTGGCAGAGGGGGAAAGGAGGGACTTAAATGTACAGACTATTTTCTGTACATCAGCACTTATGACAAGGGGGCTGCATCCAAATAGTGAGATAAGCATATAATGTTTGAGATTTTAATATTCATCATAGGAGGAAATAATTTTTATAAAAAGAATGAGAAACATTGTTCCAAACCAAGTGTGAATATGTAAAGAATGGGACACCAACTCAGCTACAATGAGAAGGCTGGGGAAAGCAGAGTCATTTATCTTTAGCCCATATATTTTTACAGGCTCAGTCTCACATTCCTGGTCCTTATTCCAGGCCATTAAGTGACCAGTGAGTGAGAAGGGAAAGTAATTAGAAAAAACAACAACAACAACAAAAACCTTCTCTCTCAGTTGTAGTAAATTTAATCTAAAGCCCTAATATTGCCAATTTTTGTTAAAGGAGGACAGATATAGAGGAAAGTCCATATTCATGCTATAGAAGAGTTGTTTAAGTAGAAGCAGAGGGAGGAACCAGAAAATCTCATTCTAGGATGTAGATTGAACTGAATTTTGCATAGCATTAAATGATCAAAAAATGTTAAACGAAAGTCAAAGTGTTAGAGATCATCTTTACACTGCTGTCCTCAGAACAGTCTAGAAAAATTGACTTTCTTTTCATGCTATTTTGAGGAACATTTTATTAAACCTCATCCAGAGCAACAGAAATGGGAATCTGAGAGTCACGTATAAAGAATGTCTTTCTAGATCATATCTCTCAAAATATTAGATTAATTCTTCGGGAATTATTCTTCATAATGCTCTAGGACATAGTAGAAGTTTATGAAACTAGGACCTAGAACTTTTTCAGTCTAAGCTCTTTCCAAGAGGAATCATTTATGGTTTAAAAGCAAACAAACACATACCTGTAAACTGGTCCTAACTGTTACAATTAGTTTGAGCCAAGAAGGAAACTTTCCGATCATTTTACTCAGAAACGATACAATTGTATCCCCATAATCCGGTTTGTGAAATTCTGCTTCATTTAATCCATCAATTAAAATGATGAAATCTTCATCTGGGATTTTTCTCTCTGAGATAGAAAGAAACACATTACTTAATAATTACCAAGTGGATAAATGAGTTCTTACTGGATCTTTGATCACATATTTCTTTGGAACAAAATATTAGAAAAGGCTTGTCATGTGTTTAGTGAATGCTCAGGGTACATAATTTATTCTAAGGGCATGGAAAAATTAACTTAGTAAATTCATTTTGCTTTTAATCAGGTATGAAGGCTTTTGTCACATATGAGTATATATATCATCATTTTCAGAAATCTCCATATTAATAGTTGTGAGACAGCCTGAGTATTGGAGTTAAGAAAATTTGCACATGGGAAGTAATTTTTCTCTTACACATGAAAAAGCTGAGTAGAACATGTTCTGTTTTTTTTTTTTTTTTTTCCCTATCTGACAGCATTAAAGAGAATAGTATCATATGTTCTTTTGGGAATGTCCCCAAAAAGGTTTATGTAAAGTCTAAAGTCTAAAACAGTATATAGGACTGCATGTGAATGTGAATGTGTAGTGGGAAGGAAGAGACAGAGTAACAGAGAAAAGGAATCCCAGGCATTAGACAGAGTTGAACCAGGTGGCTAGATCCCAACACCGTAGCAGCTTCCTAGACTATACCTAAAGCAGCCGCAATGAGACCAGTCCCTTGCATGATCTTCCCAAAAGTGGAGGAGTCAAGTGGAAAAGACAAACATCTGCTGTGTTTGTGTCCAGTTCTCTCTTGGACTCCACATGATCCGGCATTGACAAAATCAATTTAACTTTAGGGCTATGCTGACGAAGCAGCTTGGGAAAATTTCAGGCTTCTGCACTTGATAAATGCTTATTGATTCTTGGTTCAACAATTAGAGATTCAAAAATTTCCACACTGAAAGAACATTTTAGTCTAAGTGAATTGTGAATAACAAATAAAAGTTATTTGTTAGCAGGATCTCACAGGCTCTGAAAGGGGGAAAGCAGAGGGAAGAGGGCAAGCAGTCATCAGATACCTGGAGTGAGAAACAGGTTTTATCTGAGGAGGAAAAAGAAGAAGCCGAGGACAGAAGAAAATGTCTGTGGACTTGCATACAAAATTGGCTATTTTTGCCTTTGAAAGTCAAGACCAATTGAAACTGAACATACTATTTTGTTTCCATATTTGAAAATATACAGATCTTTTGCAATGATTAATAAGCCCTTATTGTTTTTCTCCTAAAGCATAAACTTTATAAAAGAGATTTAATTTCAATATCCAAATCAGTTCTCAAATTATGAAGAATTTTAACAATTACTTTCATCTGCCAAGTTTTTAGGGAGTGAAATGAACTATGGATTCCAGCTCTATTAACAATCACTACTAATGGAGTGGTATTCTAGATGACGAAGCACTAAGAAAACATGAAATTCCTTCAGGGAGTGCAAAGTATTAAGGAAGAAAGAGGAGTTGCTTGGAACTAACTGGGATTTACCCAAACAACGAGGGGGGTGGGTGTTATGTTCTTGATTTTGAAGGCTCTGGCTCCCTTAAGCTTAACCATGCCTTTAATTTCCATAGAGGAATTTTCTAGTTGCATTCTGCCTGGCTAAGCACCATCAGCTAGTATCACTCACTGTGCTGGAGCTATCTATCCCTGTACTGGTTCAGGAGAGGCCACTGCAATATTTTCAAGCTCTGACTGTTAAACAGCTGGTAGCTTGGAATTGTGTATGGTGGGAATATTTACACAATAAAAATTGGCAAATATTACAAATCAGCCCTCCTCTCCCAGGTGGCTGTTAAAAATTTACCAGCACACCACTGTCCCCGCCCTTCAATTATATCTCCTTTAATAACTTCAACCAGGTTCCTTCATAAGAAAGTCATGATTTTCCAGTAGACAAAACAGCTGATGATAATGCATCTGTTGGGATTTTCTTTGGGATATCATTGCAAACACATTCTCAAGCATGGAGATCAGTAATGTGTAGTAAATTATGGTCCAGACATTTTAATGAATGAATAATTCATTTGCTAATAAAATTACATTTTCATTTGCATAAATTCTTAGTAGATTAAGCCCATGAGTAAAGTAGATGATATATTATTTTTTATTTTTAAAAGGGGGTACTTGCCTTCCCCCTTAATAAAGCTAATTTTATTCTTCTAAATTCTGATTATTATTTTTTTTTGAGATTTCCTGTTTTGAAGGAATTACTTACAAGTCACCTACTAATGTAGGTATCAAAAAAAATGTCATCACTTAGGAAGTAAGGAGGGCATATTTATCTAAGGATATCATAATTTTTAGGATTCAGAACGATAAATGCAAATAATTTCCTAATGCTACTAATGCTGTAAAACAATGAGAACTGTTCCTGAAATAATTCATTTTCCTTTGCTAAATGATAAGGTTTCTCAATTATAAATTTAAGAGGTGAGATACTAATGTTCTTTAGATTTTCACTTTGAAATGCAACCAGCCTACAAGAATGCTTCAGTATGTTCACTCATTCAAATTTCTGTAGATATTTAGAGTAGTACTTTAAATCAGTAGCTTAAAAAAAATTTACAAATAAAAATAAATTGGGGACTAACAAAGGATTGCTGCTTCGTATTTTGCCATGTAAGAACATGTAAAATATAATTACCATCCACGATCACCATATTTCATAGAATAAAAAGGATTTTAACATTAAAAAAGTAGGAGGGACATTATCTAATCTTTACATACATATATATGGAAAACTACATTATATCTACATCCATACAAATTCTGAGCTGTTGCTATTTTCTTATTTTGTCATGGACTAACTAAAAACTTTAAATGGACTGGTGCTTAGGAGCCACTGCTCTAGGTGACAAGTCACTAAAAAGGTTTCCCAAGCCCTTTAAAATCCTTATTTTTAATCCCTTGTAAATACACGTTCACCAGGGATTCCCCACTGCCTCCACTTACATGTATTCCTAACAAATACGTGAACTTTCTTCCTTAGTAGTTCCATTGTAAGACTCTACCTAGGTGCCTGAGAGAAATAAGAATTACAGAGACTGCAAGAGAAGAGATAGTAGCTAGTACTGAAGTCAGAACTGAATCTCGGCACATGAGATTCTTTTACTGGTATATATAGGAATTGTTGAAATTGAAAAAGAAGACTCATATCAGACAATATCTTTGTTCTGAAAAGCTTCACATAATATCTGAGTTATCTTTCCTTCAGTGTGGTAACAAATTAGTGTCTCAGCTGAGCCTGGTGGCTCACATCTGTAATCCCAACACTTTGGGAGGCTGAGGTGGGAGGACTGCTTGAGTCCAGGAGTTCCAGACCAGCCTGGGCAACATCGTGAGACACTATCTTTACAAAAAATAGAAAAAAATTAGCCAAGTATGATGGTGCGCTTCTGTAGTCCTAGTTACTGAGGCAGGAGGATAGCTTGGGCTCAAGAGGTCAAGGCTGCAGTGAGCTATGATCTTGCCACTGTACTCCAGCCTGGGTGACAAAGTGAGACCCTGTCCCAACAAAACGAAACAAAACAAAACAATTTGTGTCTCCTTTCATTTCATATTGGTAGCTAAAGCAAAAGTGTACTGAGAAACTTCAAAACTTTTTCATTTGTTTTATATGAGCATGTGGGTGTGCGTGTATGTATTTTAATCACTGTACTTGTGGAACTTTAAAGTACTGTGAAAAATACTGACTCATTTTTCAAAGAAAATACATAATTTGAAATCTAGCTTCTGACTCTAAATTGAAAGTGTTTTCCATTGAAAAAACTCCAGCTACCTTTAAAAAATAATTCTATATTAAAAATTATTGCAACAAAATTTATATATAGTGAATTACAAAGATCTTAACTATACACTTTGATAAGTTTTGACAGCTATATGTACTCATGTAAGCAATACTGTGATCAAATTTAGAACATTTCTATCTTTCCAGAAATTTGTTAGGTTCTCCTCCAGTCAGTCCTCAATAGGAAACCACTGTTCTTATTTCTATCACTGCAGACACTTGTTCTTTTGCCTAACACGTTTCTGAGACTCTTCTACACTGATTGTACTATTATTTTGTTCCTTTTTAATACTAAGAAGTATTCAATTGAATGAATGTACTACAATTTATCTATTCTGTTGATGGACACTTGGGCTGTTTCCAGTTTTTGACGACTATGAATAAAGCTGCTAGAAACATTCTTGTACAAGTGTTTTGTAGACATATGTTTTCATTTCTCTTGGGTAAATACGTAGCAATAGAGTTGCTTGGTCATAAAGTAGATGTACATTTAACTTTGTAAGAAACTGTTGGCTGGGTGTGGTGGCTCATGCCTATAATCCCAGCACTCTGAGAGGCTGAGGCGGGAAAACTGCTTGGGCCCAGGAGTATGAGACCAGCCTGGGCAACATGGCAAGACCCCCATCTCTGAAAAAAAAAAAAAATTAGCCAGGTATGGTGGTGTATGCCTGTAGCCCCCGGTTACTCAGAAGGCTGAGGTGGGAGGATTGCTTGAGCCGAGGGGGTCGAGGCTGTAGTGAGCTGTGCTCATGCCACAGCACTTCAGCTTGGCTACAGAGTGAGAGACCTTGTCTCAAAAAAAAGAAACTGACAAATAGTTTTCCAAAGTAGTAGCGCTATTGTATAGTCCCACCAGCAATGTATTAGAGTTCCAGTTGTTTCTCATCCTTACCAACACTGGATGTTCATTCTTTTAAATTTTAACCATTCTAATGGGTGTGAAGTGGTATTCTAATGGGTGTGAAGTGGTATTCTCATTGTAATTTTAATTTGCATCTCCCTGATTACTCATGTTAAACACTTCTTCATGTGCTTGTAGGCTGTTGACGTATCTTCTTTTGTAAAGTGTCTAAATCGCTTGTCCATTTAAAAACTGAACTGTTTGCATTCTACATGTATCGTAGATACAAGTGCTTTGTCTCTCACACACAGAAACATAGTGAATATTTCCTCCTCTTTGGTGACTTGCTTTTCCTTTTTCTTAGTGGTATTTTTTGTTGAGCAAATATTTTTAAGTTTGATGAAGTCTAATTTGTCATCATTTTTATATAATTAGTGATACTTTGTGTCCTTAAGAAATCTTTACCTATTCCAAGTTTGTGAAGATATTCTATGTTTTTTCTATTAGCTTTAGAGATACAACTTTTCTATTTAGGTCTGTGATCCATCTCATATTAATTTTGGTGTATAGTGTGAAGTAAGGATTGAGATTATTTCCCCTTCCCCAAACATTTATCTAGTTGTTCCAGTACCATCTGATGACAAGAATTCTCTAATTGCCTTGGCATCTTAGAGAAGATCAATTGACTGCATATGTGGGTCTATTTCTGGATTCTCTATTCTGTTCCATTGATCTATTTTCTATCCTTGTATGAATACAATCCTGTCTGTGGAATTTTGGACCTGACTCAAGCTGGCTCATGAGAGCTGATTGCTAAACTTTTAAGCATCAAATCAGCCCCCCATCCCTGAGCTGGATGTTAAACATTTACTAGCATATCACTGTCATGACTATTATAGTAATCTGTAATTCTGTACGTCTTGAAACCAGATCCTATCTTCCAACTTTCTTCTTCAAGAATGTTTTGGCTATTTTTGGTACTTTGCATTTCTAAAAGTTGTCCATTTTTACAGAAAAATTCTGCTGGGATTATGTGTTTTTTTTTTTTTTTTTTTTGAGACAGAATTTTGCTCTTGTTGCCCAGGCTGGAGTGCAATGGCATGATCTCAGCTCACTGCAACCTCCACCTCCCGGGTTCAAGTGATTCTCCTGCCTCAGCCTCCCGAGTAGCTGGGATTACAGGCATGTGCCACCACGCCCGGCTAACTTTGTATTTTTAGTAGAGACAGGGTTTCTCCATGTTGGTCAGGCTGGTCTCAAACTCCCGACCTCAGGTGATCCACCTGCGTTGGCCTCCCAAAGTGTTGGGATTACAGGCGTGAGCCACTGCAACCAGCCAGGATTATGTTTAATCTATAGAATAGTTTAAGAAAAAACTGACATCTTCCAATCCTCATTTATGACATATCTCTTCCACTTACTAAGTTCTTTAATTTCACTCTGCAATATTTTTGCTGTGCTTTCACTAAGTCTTACACATCTTTCATACATTTATTTTTAAGTATTATATATTTTTTGGTGCCACTGAAAATCGTATTTATTCTACTTATTTGTTGCTATATTGAATAGCAAGGGGTTACCTGAATGTCTGGGGCTGGGGGTTGGAAGTTGGAATCATTTGGAAGCTTATTCAAGCATATGTTTGGTGGCAGAGCAGGAATGAGCACTGGGACAGTCAACTAGACTCTCCCTGTGGTTTGTGCTTTGCAGCATGGTGAACTCAGGGTAGTCAGGTTTCATATATGGCAATACATGCCTCCCAAAGCAAGTGGTTTGGTGAACAAGATGGAAGCTGCATGGCTATTTATGACCTCCCTCAGTTGTCACATAGCATCATTTTGTTGGCTGAAGCAGTTGCAAGCCTGCCCAGTTATGAAGGGAGGGGACCCAGGTTGAACTATTAGTGGAAGTAATGTCAAAGAATTTGTAGCCATGTTTTAAAACTGCCACGTAGTTTTAAAATTTCATTTTCAGTATTTTGTTGTTAGTATAGAAATATTTGTACATTGACTTTATAGCCTAAAGCTTTGTGCTTACTAGTTCTAGTCAGATTTCTTTTTTCTGGGTAGATTCCTTAGAGTTTGCTAAGGTAAACAATTATGTTGTCTGCAAATAAAGACAGTTTTACTTCTTCCTTTCCAATATTTATACTATTTGCATGCTTGTTTATTTTCTTATTGTACTAGCCTGGACCACCAGTGGAATGATGAATATAAGTGGTGAGAGTGAGGGAACACTCTTGTCTTGCTCTTGACCTTAGGGGAAAAAAGCATTCAACATTTCACTACATGTATTTTTGGAGTTGTCCTTTATCAGACTAAACTTCCTTCTACTCCTAGTTTGTGTAGTTTTTATCACTAATTGGTGTACTTCGGAGGGACTGGTTTCATGGAAGAGAATTTTTCTGGGGTGGAGGGTGGAGAGGATGGTTTAGGGATGAAACTGTTCCACCTCAGATTATCAGGCATTAGATGAAGTGCGCAACCTAGATCCCTTGCACGCATAGTTCACAATAGAGTTCGTGCTCCTATGAGAATCTAATGCTGCAGCTGATCTGACAGAAGGCGGAGCTCAGGCGGTAGCCGTCGCTCACCTCCTGCTGTGTGGCCTGGTTCCTAACAGGCCACGGACCTATATCCATCCTTGGCCCAGGGATTGGGGACCCCTGATGTAGTATTTTGTCAAATGCTTTTGTACATTTATTGAAACGATTATGTGGATGTTCTCCTTTATTTTGTTAATATGATGAATTACACTGATTAACTTTCTTTTTTCTTTTTGAGACCAGGTCTCATTCTGTTACCCAAGCTGGAGTGCAGTGGCATGATCTTGGTTCACTGCAGCCTTGACCTCCTGGGTTCAAGTGATCCTCCTGCCTCAGCCTCCTGAGTAGCTGGGACTACAGCTGTGCACCACCATGCCTGCTGGTGTTGTTGTTGAGATGGGTACTTGCTATGTTGCCCAGGCTGGTTTTGAATTCTAGGCTCAAGTGATCCTCCTGCCCTGGCCTCCCAAAGCACTGGGATTACAGGCATAAGCCACCAAGCCTAGCCTAAATTCCTTTTATGTTCCAGTTACCATACTAGCTGCTATGTCTTCAATGGTTATGCAGCTTTTATAGTTTAGCGGGATAAAAATATGCTAAACATTAAATAACTAGATAGTCATTAATTACACTGTTCTGCCTCAGCCTCCAGAGCAGTTGGGACTATAGCTACTTCTCTAATTTGGTCTATTTTTGATTCATGAATTTGGAACCTCTGTTATTAGGTGCATACATCTAATACATGTTCCTGATGAGTTGGCCCTTTTATGTTTATCAAATGCCTCTTTAGAAATACTTCTTGTCTTGAAGTCTACTCTGTCTGAGATTACTATAGTCACTCCAGCTTTCTTATGCTCCATGTTTATACAGTCTCTATCCTTTTACTTTCAATCTGTGTCTTTATATTTAAAAAACTGCATATGGTTGAGTCTTGCTTTTTATCCAGTCTGACAGTTTCTACCTTTTAATATAAGTGCTTAGCCCATTTACATGTAATGTAATTGTTGATATTATTGCTTATACATCTACCATTTTGCTTGTTCTATCTCTAAAAAAAATATTCTTCTTTATTTCTTGAGTTCTTTTGGGTCACTCTAATAAATTTTAGTATTTCCAGCTGGAAAATTGTGTTTCCAGCTATTGCTCACAATGGTGATTTAAGGGTGAGTTAAAAACATGGAAATAAAATGAAGTAATTAAATCCACTTAGAACAGTATTTATAATAGAGATCACTAAAGCTGGTTATGGAGACCTAAATGAGAGGCAGATATATCTTGTAGCAAAACTATAAAACATATGAATTATGCCAGAGCTGACTGCAAGCATTTGGATAGCCTTCTTTTCTTTTTTTTTTGAGACGGAGTCTCACTCTGTCGCCCAGGCTGGAGTGCAGTGGCACTATCTTGGCTCACTGCAAGCTCCGCCTCCCGGGTTCACGCCATTCTCCTGCCTCAGCCTCCCGAGTAGCTGGGACTACAGGTGCCCGCCACCATGCCCGGCTAATTTTTTGTATTTTTAGTAGAGATGGGGATTCACTGTGTTAGCCAGGATGGTCTTGATCTCCTGACCTCGTGATCCACCTGCCTCGGCCTCCCAAAGTGCTGGGATGGATAGTCTTCTTGAATTGGCTGTAAGGTGTAGATCCTTGTATCACTGTGTTTCTTTCAAGGTACTCCTACATGTGAGCAGTTTCTATATTCACTTATCTGTTCAAAACATATTTCCTAAAATGCCTACTATGTTCAAGGTGAGGTAACCACTATGAAGGATAAAAGCTGAATTTTACAAAGTTCCTAATTTCAATAACATACAATTTACTCAAAGGGATAAGTACAAAAGTAATTCTTATAAACTGCAAAGTGTATCTGGCATATGGTAAATATTTAATAAATATTAATAATAATAATTTTAAATTCTTGTTATACATTATGTGTTATGTACCATAAATACATATATATATTTTGAAAAAGGATCTAATGTTATTTGGAAGGACATCATTTCTGACTGGAGGGGGGCAGGTAGATCAGTAGGTATTTCATGAATGAGGTAGCATTTAAGCTGGTCCTTGATAGATGGGTGGAATTCTGACAGGCAGAGATTTAAGAAGAAGGTATATCAAGAAGGAAAATAATGAGTAAATATATGGAGGTGGGAAAATCTAGGGAAGTATTTGAGGACTAGTGAATATTTTAGTTTACACATAAACACAGGGTTCCTAAGGATAACAGTGAATAATAAGGCTGAAAAGTAGGTTGGATACTGGCCATCAAGCATCTTGAATGTCAGAACAAGGAATTGAAAGTTAATTCAGAAGGCAATAGGCAATCAGCGGATTATGAATTGAGGAATTATGTGATCAGAGAAGTGTTTTATAAAACTTTATCTGGAAGAAACACATAAAGTCTAGAAGACTGGAGAGACTGGGGAAGAACTTCCCCTCCAGGTGTGCCATGAATGGTTTAGAAGTGTACTTAAAATTCAGCCCTCAGGACATCTGAGGCTTGGCAGAGCTGTCTCCTCAGGGCCAGTCATGTCCAGCAATGAGGAGTTATAAATTTTTATCCCAGTATGCTATACAAAGTTTTATTATTTTGTAAGTGTGTCATGATGTGGAAAGAGCACTAAACTCGAGAACCAGGAAAGACCAGGATGAGGTAATTATAGATATGATGCTATGGGCAGATGAACAGTCCTTGTGGTAATGATGCTAGAAACAATTGAGCCAAGTGGGTGTGAGAAACATGACGAAGGCAGAATTAACAGGTTTTAGAGATTGACTGAATGTCCAGGAAATAGGCTTAAAAATACTTGTGGAGAAACGGCAATGTTTAAAAAGGTAACAGGTAGCAAAGGTAGTGACAGAGGTCATCAGAGTAGAGGAGAAAGAGAAATTCTGATATCCAAGTAACCAGCATGGAAGCTGAAATAACTGAAGATGATGGCCAGGAGAAATTATAAACCATCTTTCCTTATTAGTGCCTCCAAAGCCCTTGAGAAAGGTGTCTAAGTCTCTCAGGAATAAACAGGATTGCTCAGGAATTTTATGCATACCCACATCCTTTTCTTTGGCTTCTGGCACTAACAAAACATTGTTAAGAGTATGGGGCAGGAAGACTTAAGAAGGCAGGTACCATTTTCAAGGAAATGGTTGCACTTAGGCCACTGCTAACACTAGAACTGCAGAGGAAAAAGGGAGGAAAGGCATGAGCATGAATGGGAGATGGATCTCATTTAATTTTTTTCACTTTTAAAAAATAACAGCTCTCCTATAATACAATTTATGCACCGTAAAATACCCTTATGCCCCTTAAGTAGATTTTAAAGTGTACAGTTAAATGATTTCTGGTTTATACAGAGCATTGTGTAACCATGGAGGCCATTCCACTTCACATGAACTGATGGGGTAATAAAATATGTTTTTTATTAATATTACATATTACAGGGGGGATTTCTAACCATAGAAACTTCACAACACTGCGTTGGAGCCACAAATTTACTGACTTATTTAAACTTCACAGAAAGGACTGAAAGCTCTACTATCTTCAGGACAAGGAAAAGGCATTCTATTTGGAAATAAGAATAAGAATTTTTATAAAGAAAAGAGGAAGGAGTAGTTACTGCTGGATTTTTTTTTTTGCAAGTAAAATCTCTTGTCTGTTAACTGTATCCTACAGGATATCCAGCTATGGAACATTTAGTTTTGGCAATGTGATAAAATCAATCATTTTTATAGTATGACCCGGGTGAACTTGGGCTCTAAACCTCCATCTTTCCCCTCCTTTGGGCCTTATCTGTACCTTTATGGAGATTTTCTAGTGGCTCCAGAACTCCCCTCCGGAAGGAGGCCATGGGGTCTTGAACACAGGAACGAAGGCTCAGCATGCTCTGCAGGTGAGGTTCCCGAAGAAGCTGCTCCCGATAGGCTGTCAGCTGAGGTGAGCGGCAGAGCAAGGCAGCAACATTGTGGACAAATTCTGGCACCAAGCAAGTGTAGGCATTATCTGCTTGACAATAGTGATAGGCAACCACCTGCAAAAGAAAGATGAGAATGCAAACAGGCTTATCAGTAGTAAGAGCAATAGCTATGATTATCAGCTATTGAGTGATTATACTAGAAATCACTTAGTATCTCAGTATTACATAATACTTTTTTGTCTCTTCATTCCTCAACTTTTCCAAGTAAATATAAAAGCTACTAACTCAGAAAACGTCTGATTTATGTAAGATCAGAAATTTGATACTTCTATTGTATGCATATGATATCATAACCCAGAATAAAATTTGTAAATAAAAATGGAGTTTTCCTCTGGATTACAAGAAATAGGAAGCAAGTCTGAAAATAAAGACTTACATTGATATCACTAACATTTATTCAGCATGGAGCAGTATAGGAAATAGTCTAATCTTTAAACAAAGCATGAGGAATAAAATAATCCAAGAAAAATCATGTTAGTCTCAACAAACACATATACTTCTATCAATTTTTGGATTACAGGTGTGTTATAAACTAAGTCTTATAAAAATAAAGTAATTCAGATTTTAAAATTAGCATTAAATGTTTTCTGAGCACCCAGGCAGAGACAGAAAAAGAGTATCAGAATTAGATAAAAGGAAGAAGGAAAGGAGTGAGATTTTTGTTAGATGTAGGTCTTAAAATCAAAGAACATGGAAAATTTATAAGCATTAATACCATCCAGGGTCTGGGCTGCCTGGCTAGGACCTGGAGTTCTAGGGTCTGTTTTTTGTTTGTTAGAATCTGCACAGCACTCACCCCAGGTCTTCTGGCTGTTCTCTTTGCCTCCACGGCAAGTACAAAGGGGATTTTAATCTGGACCACTTTTCTGGCTCATTACTACCCAGAAAAGGGATTGGACTGTGTAGAAAATACCAAACTGGAAGGGGGAGATTCAGCTTGAATGTAGAGAAAGCACTCAGCATGGTGCTCAGCACCTACTAATCACAGCAATGTCAGCTGATGCTGCCATTTATCATCACCATCTTTATCCTCCTCACTGCCATCATTCTTAAGGATCTGTATACTGTCTTTTTCAGCTACTTAGCTTTGTGCCTATATACCGGCAACTGAAATCTGTCCTAGGGGCACTCATAGACATATGAACTCCAGCTCTTCAGGCCTCTCTTCGAGAACACCACCTCTAACTCATCAGGCATCTGCCAGTCATCTACTAAAGAGCTCTGCTTTGAAAAGACTCCTCATCTACTGGTATGGTCATCCTAGTTCTTCTAACACATGTTGGAAATGTCGATATTTTTTAAACACCTGAAATCCTTCTCATTAAACATAAAAAAACCCCAAACAATACAGGAAATGTTACTACATATACAAAACTGAAGATAGGAATTGCCTGTGAGTGAAGCAATGAAGTCTGAGCACAATATGGAAAGTGGAAATCAGAGGTTGTATTTTAAAAATCTCCACTTTTCTTCAGATAGACTGGTGATTATTTTACCTACTGTATTTTATCTATCTTAAACAGAATGTAAGGAACCTAAAGAGAAAGGCTGTCAGCAATTGATCTGTCCTCTCAATGAACAGTGAATGCCAGTGGTTAGGTCTACATGGGTACAAATCTCCACTTGATAAAAAGCAAACAGCAAACCTCTACATCAATATAAACTTTCATCATATTTCACTTCAATTGATTCCACATGTTGAGGCTAAGCACAGCTGAGAAAATCAGCTGCAACATCCTAAAGTAAGAAGATACCATTTTAAAGATAAAAATTGTGATATTTAGAAAAAGCATTATTTTACTGATTTTATTAAAAAAAACCCATCTGTGCTCTTGGCTGAATGTTTCATCTAAAAGACAATGCTGAAGTTGCACCTTCTGTGCTGGTGAGGTTGTGGAGAAAAAGGAATGCTTATACACTGTTGGTGGGAGTGTAAATTAGTTCAATCATTGTTGAAAAGTGTAGCGATTCCTCAAAGACCTAAAACAGAACTACCGTTCAACTCAGCAATCCCATTACTGGGTATAAATCCAAAGAAATACAAATCATTCTATCATAAAGACACATGCACACGTATGTTCACTGCAGCACTATTCACAATAGCAAAGACATGGAATCAACCTTAACGCCCATCAATGGCAGACTGCATAAAAACAATGTGGTACATATACACCATGGAATACTATGCAGCTGTACAACAGAATGAGATCATGTCCTCCTCAGGAACACGGATGGAACTGGAGGCCACTATCTTTAGCAAACTAATGCAAGAACAGAAAACCAAATACTGCATGTTCTCACTTATAAGTGAGAGCTAAAAGATGAGAACACATAGGCATGTAGAGGGAAACAACAACTGGGGCCTACCGGAGGGCGGAGAGTGGGAGGAGGGAGAGGATCAGTAAAAATAGCTAATGGGTACTAGGCTTAATGCCCGGGTGATGAAATACTCTGTATAACAAATTCCTGTGACATGAGTTTACCTATATAATAAATGTGCACGTGTGCCTCTGACCTTAAAATAAAATTTAAAAAAAAAAAAAAGATTGGAAAGAAGCCAAAGATGCCCACTTTCACCATTACTATCCAATATAATACGAGTGATTGTGGGTAGCACTATAAAGAAAAAGAAAAGAAATAGGAAGAGCAGAGACTTAAATGGAAAAGATAGTTTTTATTATTAAAATATATAGTTATCTATATAGAGAAAAACAAGCTATTAGAATTAATAGAGTTCAAGATTTTTGGTACAAGATTTTCTTGTAAAAATTAATAACATTTTTGACTCCAGCAATAACTACTTAGAATTATAGTAAAAAATATGATATCCACAAAGGTATGAGGCAGAAAATTTAACTAAGAATATTAAAAATAAATAAATAAAGTTGCACCTTCTGTGGCTGCCTCTCTTTTAATTTTTAGATATTTCTTTGGCATTCCAAATATAAAGTCTTGATGCATCTGCAGAATTCAGGCAACATCTTCATTAGATTTGCACTGTGGCTCAAAATAGATTATTTACTAGACTTTTAAAGTAGTTACGTAGTAGGTATATGCACATACAATCTGTCAAAAACATCTGTTACTTCCTCCAAATTTTCTATTAATATTACGTATAACTTTCCCTCTGTATAAAAATAGAAAACAAGCCTGAAAATGTAGATTTTTTTCCCTTCAGTTTCTCATTAGTACCAGCGCGCTTGGTAAGAGATATTAGATCACTCCCTACACCTTTGAGAAAGTCATCATACATAGTCACTACTATTACAGCTCCTTGGGAATGGTTCAGGATTAGTCTACTCATAATAAATCAGCAGGTAAAACCTTTCTCCTTGGCGAATTCTTGTCTTTCAAAGTAACTTGTTTAAATTTCATTTTTTAGCTATGTCTTTCTTACATTATTTTTTTCATTTCAACTTTTCCTTCTGTTAAATTCCTAAACTTTTTCTTAAAACAATTTCATCCACAGCATATCTGATATGAGCAGAGTTGCATTATTTCTTTGGAGGAAGATAGCAAGTAAGTTTTAGGTTACTCTTGTGAGGGAAGAAAGAAAAGGGCAGGCCTGTGGGCTATATACAGAAAGAAAAGACTAGAAGTCAATACAGCCTTGTGTATAAAATCTCTTGATTTAATGCTGTATATAAAAAATGATAAAACTAGTCATAAACTTCATCAAAGGGACTGAGTGGCAGCAAAAATGTCACGCTTGCGTTGAGTCACAGGCCTTCACTCTCCATAGACCATTTTCTACTTCAAATGAAGGATCAGTGACAGAATTAAGCTAATCTCACATAAAGTGAAGGCAGCTTTGAATATCTGAAATTTGTTTGGAAATAAAATTCTAATTTCCATACTGACTGGCATTTGTATCACTTAAACTAATATTGCAGCTGTCACACGCTTACTCTCCATGTTCCTTTTCATTACTCCTTCTGTGAATGTCTTCTTCCTCACTACCACCCGATTGATTTCCTAATCAGCAAAACCCTTCCAACTCTAAAGTTTGATTTTTAATATTTTTGGGACTTGGTGGCTCACCATAAATAACAACTCTCTCTTCCTTTTCTCTTAGTCCCTCAATTCTGATTCTAATCCTCATGCTGGGACTAGATGCTAAGAATAGATCCCAGGCTAGAGTTCTGCCTCAGTAATTTTCCAGCTTGGAGCCCTACCATTTTTTTTTTTGGCAGTAGGACTTTTATTTATTTTTTAATTTTTTACTTTGAACTAACTTTAGACTTACAGAAATGTTGCAAAAGTAGTACACAGACTTTCTATTTATCCCTCATCCAGCTTCCCTTATTATTAACATCTTACATAACCATAGCAAAATTATCAAAACCAGGAAATTAACATTGGCAATACTATTACCTATAGACATTATTCAAATTTTACAGTTTTTCCACTATGTCTTTTCCTGTTCCTGGATTCTATCCAGGACCCCATACTGTATTTAGTTATTTTTCTTTAGTCTTCTGGAGTCTGTAAGAGATCCTTAGTCTTTGTCTTCTATTTCCTTGACACTTTTTTTTTTTTTTTGAGAAAGAGTCTCGCACTGTTGCCTGGGCTAGAGTGCAATGGTGCGATCTCGGCTCACTGCAACCTCCGCCTCCCAGGTTCACGTGATTCTCCTGTCTCAACCTCCTGAGTAGCTGGGATTACAGGTGCACACCACCATGCCCGGCTAATTTTTCTGTATTTTTAGTAGAGGTGGGGTTTCACTATATTGGCCAGGCTGGTCTCGAACTCCTGACCTTGTGATCTGCCCACCTCGGCCTCCCAAAGTGTTGGGATTACAGGCATGAGCCACCGTGCCCGGCCATCTTGACACTTTTGAAGGGTACTGATCAGTTATTTTGTTGAATGACTCTCATTTTGGGTTTGTCTGATGTTTTCTCATGATGTAACTGAGAATTTTTGTCAAGAATACCAGAAAAAGAGTGTTTTATCCCTCTTTGTGGATCATATCACAGGGTTCATGATAGTGATGTTTTTCTACTGGTGGTAGAGTTTGGATATTTGTCCCTGCCCAAATCTCAGACTGAAATGTAATTCCCAATGTTGGAGATGCAGCCTGGAGGGAGGTGTTTGGGTCATGGGGGCAGATCCCTCAAGGCTTGGTGCTGTCCTCACCACAGTGAGTGAGTTCTCACAAGATCTGGTCATTTAAAAGTGTGTAGCACCTCCCCAACCCACCTCCTGCTCTGCTCTGGCCATGTGATGTGCCTGCTAGCATCTCACCTTCCACCATGAATGAAAGCTCCCCAAGGCCTCCTCAGAAGCTGGACACATGCCATGCTCATACAGCCTGCAGGACTATTCAATCAAACCTCTTTTCTTTAGAAATTACCCAGTCTCATTTCTTTATAGCAATGCAAGAATGGCCTAACACAACTGGTAATGTTGCCCTTGATCACTTTGTTAAGGTTCTGCTAGGTTCTTCTACTATCATCTTTCCCTTTGTAGTTAATAAATATCTTAAGGGAGATGTTTGAGGCTATGCAAATCCTGTTTCTCCTTAAACTTTTGCCCATTAATTTTAGTATCTATCAGTGGATCTTGTCTGCAGCAGTATTTCCTGAGTGTTTGCCTAATAGTGATTTTCTATTCCCCTCTTTGTTTCTTTCTACATTTATTAATTAGAATCCTATTGGAAGAAAGAGTTCTCCCTTATCTCCCATTTATTTATTTATTATTGATTTAATAAGTATGGGCTTATTTTATCCTATTGGTTATAATTCAATACTATATTAATTTTGTTGCTCAATTTGTTCCAGCTTTAGTCACTAGGATTTCCTTCAGGTTGACTGCTGTGTTATTTCAAGAAGCCTCTATCTTTTTTTGAGCAAGTTCTTGCTTTTTGGCACCAAAAGATGTTCTAGACTTATTTTGTATTTTCCCTGCCTCTGGGATCATCTACTTCTCTAAAAAGCCTCTGTTCTTTTTATTGGAGAATGATATTAAGAAAAAAGATGTGGACACCAGTTGTGATTATTGTATTGATGTGTCATTGTTTTTGGGTTCTCACTGAACAGAGCTAAGAAATACAAGTACGTATAAAGGCATACCTTGGAGATACTGTGGGTTTTGTTCCAGGTCACCAAAATAAAACAAACAGAGCAATAAGGTGAGTCACTCAATTTTTTTGATTTCCCTGTGCATATAAAAGTTATGTTTACACTATAATCTATTAAGTGTGCAATAGCATTATGTCTAAAAACATGTACATACCCTAATTTAAAAATACTTTATTGTTAAAAATGCTAATGATCACATGAGCCTCCAGTGAATCCTCTTTTTGCTTGTGTAGGGGGGTCTTCCCTCGATGTTGATGGCTGCTGACTGATTAGGGTGGTGATTGCTGAAGGATGGGTGACTGTGGCAACTGCTTAAAATAAGACAATAAAGTTTGCTGCATTAATTGGCTCTTCCTTTCATGAAAGATTTCTCTGTAGTATGTGATACTCTTTGATAGGATTTTACCCATAGGAGAACTTCTTTCAAAGCTGGAGTTAATCCTCTCAAACCCTGGCACTACTTTATCAACGAAGTATATGTAATATTCTAAATCCCTTATTGTTATTTTTACAATGCTCACAGCATCTTTACCAAGTACAGATTCCATCTTAAGAAACCATTTTCTTTGCTCTTCCATAGGAAGCAACCCCACATCCATTCAAGTTTTATCAAGAGATGATAGCAATTCAGTCACATCTTCAGGCTCCACTTACAATTCTAGTCCTCTTATTATTTCTGCCATATCTGCAGTTACTTCCTCCACTGAAGTCTTGAACCTCTCTCAAGGTCATCCATTATGGTTAAAATTAATTTCTTCCAAACTCCTAGTAATGTTAATATTGACCTCCTATGAATCATAGATGTTCTTAATGGCATCTAGAATGGTGAATCTTTTCCAGATGAAAATCTTGAAAATCCTTTTCAATTTACTTTGCCCAGATCCATCAGAACAATCATTATCTATGGGAGTTCTAGCCTCATGAAAAGTATTTCTTAAGTTACAAGACTTAAAAGTCAAAATTACTCCTTGATCCAAGGCCTAAAGAATGTTGTGTTAGCAGACATGACAACAATAATAATCTCCTTGTATGTCACCATCAGAGCTCTTAGGTGACTAGATGTATTGTCCATGAGGAGTAGTATTTTGAAAGTTATCTTTTTTTCTGTGTAGATCTCAATAGTGGGCTTAAAATAATCAGTAAACCATGCTGTAAACAGATGTGCTATCATCCAGGTTTTGTTGCTTCATTTACAGAGCACAGGTAGAGTAGATTTAGCATCATTCTTAAGGGCCCTAGAATTTTTGGAATGGTAAATGAACATTGGCTTTAACTGAAAGTCACCAGCTACATTAGTCCCTAACAAGAGTGTCAGCCTGTCTTTTGAGGCTCTCAAGGCAGGCATTGACTTCTCTCTAGCTATGAAAGTCCTAGGTGGCACCAGCTACCCACAGAAGGCTATTCTGTCTACATTAAGAATCTATCATTGCTCTCGGGTGGCCCTGGCCAGGGAAGACAAGCTGTATGTCACTTCAACTGGCCATAGTGGTAGAAGTAGAGGCAGCGGGGCCTGTGTGACCACCTGGGTTTGTGAAATGGCTGCTGGCATTTCTAAATCCAGTGGGGCTGATTGCAAAGGAGGCCCAAGGAACAGTGCCAAGTTAGATGCTGATTACTCACTTTGAGTCCTTTATTGCAGAGTCTGTTCATTACCAACAGGGTACTGTGAATATATGCCTGTTGTTGCTAAATGAAATGAATTTGAAAAACTTACTGTAGAAAATTCACCCAATCAAGAAGTGGAATTAGTAAGGGTCAAGGAATAGCAGGGGAAGGGGAGAAGAAAAAACAGAAGAGAGGTGGAAGGGGTCAAATAAAACCAAAAAAGGAGACTGTACCATAAAAGGTTATTATAGCCAAAATTCCCAGAGCAAAGAAGAAATATGTAAAAACAGTGTGTGGCTTTGCAACTTTTGAAGTTGATCTTAAAGAAGCACAAAGATTTTTCTGCTCAAAAATTCTCCTGTGGTACCTCGGTAACAGGGGAGGATGAAATTATTCAGGAAGACTCTACAGATGGCATAATTGATATCATTCAGAAAAAACAGCCAGAGGTGGATGATGACAGCATCGAAGATCTTGAAGAAGTAAATATGTAGTTTTGAAAATACGTCTGTATTTAACGGCTGGAACTGAGAGTTGATACCGCCAAATGGAGAGAAGTCTTTTAAATATAAATAAATACACACACACACACACACACACACACACACACACAGACACACACACACACACACACTCTTATCTTACAGTAAAACTGTAGGCTTCATTCTTGGCGTTTTCACTGTTCTGTACAAGGTTGTTTGGTTTTTTATTGCCAAAGTCAAATAAATAGGAGAGATTGTCTACGTATGAAATAGAATTTAGACAAAAAATTCTGGTCATTTGCTACTGACTTTTCCCTCTCTTCTTAATTCTTTTTGAAAAACCCAGATCTTTTTGTGGGAAGCATTTCTGTTGATTATTTTACTGATCTAATGCTGAGTGATTTTTAAAAAGCATTCCAATTTGGCTTCCTCACCAGTAATACGAAGAAGAATACCTTGCTTCTTTGACATGACAGTTTAGAGATGGATGAGAATCTAATAGATTTGTGGTTGAATTTGCTTCACTGTTATCAAGTCCACTTCGTGGGCACAATAACATACTGTTGGTGGGATTTGTTCAAGCTATTCTGGAAATTATTTGGTAAAGTACACTAAAAGCCTTTAGACCATTTGCACTGTTTATACTAGTAAGCCACTTCTTTGACATCATTCTAAAGAAATAATCAGTCTTGCATAAAACTTATGAATGAAGGTATGGATCACAATGTTATTTATATATCAAAAAGTTGCAAATAATATAAACAATTAGGAAATAAATGGTTAAAGAAGTGATAATGCATCATGTGGTAGAATATTATGCATGTGTTTAAAAACCATATTTTCTAAGAATATTTGGAAACACACTTGGCAATGTCAAGTAGGGGCACACCCCAGATACATTATTATTTTTTGGGATGGAGTTTCACTCTTGTTGCCCAGGCTGGAGTGCAATGGTGTCATCTCGGCTCACTGCAACCTCTGCCTCCCGGGTTCAAGCAATTCTCCTGCCTCAGCCTCCCAAGTAGCTGGGATTACAGGCATGCGCCATCATGCCTGGCTAATTTTTGTATTTTTAGTAGAGATGGGGTTTCACCATGTTGACCAGGCTGGTCTCGAACTCCTGACCTCAGGTTATCCACCCACCTCGGCCTCTCAAAGTGCTAGGATTACAGGCAGGAGCCACCGCGCTCCGCCTACATTTTAGATATTTATTATCATCATTGTTCTCAGTGGAAGTCCATTCAGAGAGGCTAGAGGCTCTTGTTGTGGCTATAAATTATGTGAGTAAAATTCTGCTAACCAATTAAAAATAATATATACCCATGTTTAACAGTCTGGAAAACAGCAATTAAAACATATCTTTCTTATAAAAGAACGGACACTTTTAATGAATGCATTAGATGAATTATATTTTAAGTCAGGTGCTGCAAATCAAAAAGATGACTTGTATTTTAAATTGGTATGGTCACCTTTAAGAATTTGGAACCCACGAAACCATTGTTTATTGTCATGCAAATTATGATCCTGAATAAATTTTTTTTTTAAAATAAAGTCTCAGAAAATATGTAATAAAGATGTAAAGTAAAACAATGAAAAAAAAGGAAAATCTATGGTTTAAGTGTAGCCACTTTCATCAATTATCTTAGCTGGATCTTCTGGATAACTTGCTACAGCTCGTGTATCAGCACGTACTGCTTCACCTTGCACTTTTATGTTATGGAGATGGCTTCTTTCCTTAAACCTCATGAATCAACCTCTGTTACCTTCAAACTCTTTTTCTGAAGCTTCCTCACCTCTCTCAGCCTTCATAGAATTGAAGAGAGTTAGGGCCTTACTCTGGATTAGGCTTTGGCTTATAGAAAATTTTGTGGCTGGTTTGATTTTCTAACTAGACCACTAAAATTTTCTCTGTATCAGCAAAAAGCTTGTTTTGCTTTCTTACTGTTCATGTGTTCACTAAAGCAGCACTTTTAATTTCCTTCAAGAACTTTTCCCTTATACTCAAAACTTGATTACTTGCTTGGTGCAAGAGGCCTAGCTTTCAGCCTATTTTGGGTTTTTGACATGCCTTCCTCACTAAATTTAATTGTTTCTAGCTTTTGATTTAATGTGAGAGATGTGCAGTTCTTCTTTTTACTTGAACACTTGGAGGCCATTATGATGTTATTCATTGGCCTAATTTCAATATTGTGTCTCAGAGAATAGGGAGGCCCAAGGAGACAGAGATGGGGGAATGGCTGGTCAGTAGAGTCATCGGAACACATAAAACATTTATTAAATTTGCTGTCTTCATGGTATCTGAAACCAATTACAATGGTAACATCAAAGACTACTGATCGCAGATTACCATAACAAATATAGTAATAATTAAAAAGTTTGAAATATTGCAAGCATTACCAAATGTGACATGGAGACATGAAGCAAACACATGCTCTCAGAAAAATGGTGTTGACAGGCGTGCTCCAGTATGAGAGTGTCTGTTTTCCCACAGCCTTGACAACAGAATAGTTTTTAAATTGTCATGTTTTAAAATTTTTGCTAGTTGATAGGTAAAAAACTGGTATCTCAGTATTGATTTAGTTTGCATTTCTTTAGTTATGAGTTTGAACATGTTTCAAAATGTTTCAAGGCCATTTTAATCTTTTTTGTGAGTTGTCTGTTTATTTTTTTCCCATTTTTTCATCATGTTTTGGTCTTTTCCTCAATTTTAAAGAGTTCTTTAAATATAAGAGATATTAACTCTTTATCTGTAGTATATGCTATAATTTTTCTTAAAATTTTTATTGATTCATTAAAAAAATAATAAATCTATCATGCTGACATCTAAGAATATGTTTTATGAAAATAACTATTTTTCAAAGCAAACATTTCAGAAAGTGGCACTGTGTAAATTTTTGCAATAGACTCCCAAATCTGCCTCTGCATTCAGTATGCTCCAAGAAACTGTTTTGGATTCAAGTACAAGACGAAATGCCAGTCATATGTTGGAGAAGGGAAGGTGGATGTTTTTCTTTGATACTATGCTAAAAGTTGACAAGTGGTAGATTTTTAAATTATTATGTTTGATTGACTAATCATAATTGCATACATTTATGGGGTACAATGTGATGTTTTGATATATGTATATAATGTGGAATGATGAAACCAAGCTAATTGACATGTATCACCTCCCTATTGTATCATTTTTTATGGTGAAACACTTAAAAGTTAGTTATTTTGAAATATATTATTGTAGTTGCCCTGCTTTGTAACAGATCTTAAAACTTATTCTTCCTATCTATCTGAAAATTTGTACAAGGGAGAAGTTGTTGATCACCTGTGATCAACAACTTCTCCCATTCCTTCCTTCTTCACACTCCCAGTCTCTGGTAACTATCTTTCTACTGTTTACTTCTATGAGTTTAACTTTTTTAGATTCCACATATAAGAAAGATCATGCAGTATTTGTCTTTCTGTTTCTGGCTTATTTAACTTAGCATAATGTCCTTCAGTTTTATCCCTATTCTTGCAAAAGACAGGATTTCCTTCTTTTTAAAGGCTAAGTAGTATTCTATTATACAAACACACACACACAATGAATACACACACACACACACACACACACACACACATATACACATACACATACCATGTTTTAAAATTCTGTTTTTCTTCCAACTTTTATTTTAGGTTCAGAAAGTACATGGGCAGGTTTGTTAATGGGTAAATTGCTTGGGGTTTGGTGTACAGATGACTGTCACCCACAGTGAGCATAGTACCCGACAGGTAGTATCCTCACCTTCCTCCTACTTTCCACCCTCAAGTGAGCCCCAGTGTCTGTTATTCTCTTTCTTGTGTCCATGTGTACTCAATGTTTAGCTCCCATTTATTAGCAAGAACATGCAGTATTTGGTATTCTGTTCCTGTATCAATTTGCTAAGCATGATGGCCTCCGGCTGCATCCATGTTGCTGTAAAAACCAAACACCGCATGTTCTCACTCATAGGTGGGAATTGAACAATGAGAACACATGGACACAGGAAGGGGAACATCACACTCTGGAGACTGTTGTGAGGTGGGGGGAGTGGGGAGGGATAGCATTAGCAGTTATACCTAATGCTAAATGATGAGTTAATGGGTGCAGCACACCAGCATGGCACATGTATACATATGTAACTAACCTGCACATTGTGCACATGTACCCTAAAACTTAAAGTATAATAAAAAAAACCATGAATGATTTCATTCTTTTTTTTTAATGGCTGCACAGTATTCCATGGTGTATATGTACCACATTTTCTTTATCCAGGCCACCACTGATAGGCATCTAGGTTGATTCCATGGCTTTGCTATTGTGAAAAGTGCTGCGATGAACACATGGACACATGTCTTTATATTTATATATAGAACAATTTATATTTCTTTGGGTATATACCCAGTAATGGGATTGTTGGGTTCAACAGTAACTCTGTTTTAAGTTCTTTGAGAAATTTCCAAACTGCTTTTTTAAAAAAATAACACACTTAAAGAATCCATTCAGCTTGGTTCCATATCTTGGCTACTGCAAATGATGCTGCAATGAACATGGGCGTGTGGCTATCCCTTTGACATTGATTTCAGTTTCTTTGCATATATACTTGGAAGCAGGATTACTGGATCATATGATAGCTCTATTTTTAGTTTTTTGAGGAACCTCCATGCTGTTTTCCATAATGGCTGTACTAATTTACATTCCCACCAACAACGTAAAGAGTGCCCTTTTCTCCACATCCTTGCCAACACTTATCTTTCGTCTTTTTGGCAAAAGCCATTCTAATTGGTGTGAGATGATATCTCAATGTGGTTTTAATTTGCATTTCCTTAATGATTAGTTATGCTGAGCATTTTTTCATGTACCTGCTGGCCACATGTATGCCTTCTTTTGAGAAATGTCTGTTCAGGTCCTTTGCCCATTTTTTTAATCAGGTTGTTTTTTGCCATTGAATTGTCTGAGTTCCTTTTATATTTTAGATATTAACTCCTTATCAGATGTATGGTTTTCAAAGATTTTCTCCCCTTCTGTGAATTGTCTCCTCACTTTGTTAACTGTTTCCTTTGCTGTGCAAAAGGTTTTTAGTTTACATGTCATTCCATTTGTCTATTTTTCCTTTTGTTGCCTGTACTTTTGAGCTCTTTTGTCAATATTTTCTCTCAGTTTATCAGTTGTCTTTTGACTTTGTTTCTGGTATTTTTTGGTCATGCAACATTAGAAGTTTTTTTTTTGTTGTTGTTGTTGTTGTTTTTGACAGTCTCACTCTATCACCCAGGCTGGAGTGCAGTGGCATGATTGTGGCTCACTGCAGCCCATACCTCTTGGGCTCAAGCAATCCTTCCACCTCAGCACCCTGAGTAGCTGGGACTATAAGCACTTGTCATTACGCTCAGCTAATTTTTTTTTTCTTCATAGAAACAGGGTCTCACTATGTTGCCCAGGCTGGTAAAATTTTTTCACGTGGCCAAATTTGTCAATCTTTTCTTCTATTCCTCTAGCTTTAGATCCTAGAAAGCCTTTCTCTTCACCAAGGTTAAAGAGAAAGTTACTAAGTTTTCTTCCATTAGTTGCATGGTTTCATTTTTAAATATTTAGATCCTTAATCCATTTGCTTATTCTTGTGCATGGTGTGAGATATGAGTTATCTATATGGTTATTTAGTTGTCTCAGCCCATTTAATTAAAAAGTCCACCTTTATCCCAATGATCTGAAATACTGCCTTCATCATACACTAAGTGTCCACATGTCCTTGGGTCTAATTCTGAACTTTTTATTCTATTCCACTTGTCTATTCACATACTAGAAACACACCGTTTTGATTTAGGCTTTACAGTATGCCTCAATGGCTCGTAGTCAGAGCCCTGTTGTTTAATTAGCTGTAGCTGAGATCAGGATAATGTTTATCTTTGTTATAATTCTAGATCTAAACAGCTGTATCCTGTATATTGCTACTATTCAATTATACATTACTGATTACTTGAGCCAAAGGAGGTTAGGGCCGATAACAAATACAAATTTTAAAGAAAAGCGGCTAATTTATTTAGTTCATCTGGAATTCCTAGAGATGCTGATCTGGCACACATAAACAGTCTAAGTACATTCAATCTACAGTTTATGAAACTTTGTCTTAGAGGATTGGTGGAATTCCAGATTCTCAAACAAGATTCATTCCCGGAACACATGAATCTGATTCTGAATTGACCTTATAAATTGGTTGGGAACCACTATCATGTATAAGTACCCAGCTGAATACTCCAAGATTTCCTAATAGAAAACACTAACATTTTCATTCATTCACAAATATTAATTGAACTTCCATTGTATATCAGGCACTGTGCTAGGTTTTAAAGCTATAATAATGAGTAATATAGCTATGACCCCTGTCTGCCCTCCACAGTTTAGCAGGAAACAGAGGCAATTAAACAAGTAATAATAATAGTGTGATAGAAGAGAGGAAACATAGGGTGCTAGGGCAACACACAGCTGGGGCACCTTAAGGTAATTTAGGAGAGCCAGAGAAAGCTTTTTTAGAAGAAGCAATATTTAAGCTGAGACATGAAGAAGGACAAGGGGTGAACCAAGGTGTGGTAGTTTTCCAGGCAGGGGAAAAAAGTATGCAAAGGCCCTAAGGCAAGACATAGCTTTTTACTTTCAAGGAACTGAAATCAATTTTAGTGTGGCTAGCATATAAGTGAGTGGGGAATGGTGGAAGATAGGGCATGGCGAGGTTTTCCACTGGCAGTGGTTTTGCTCCCCAGGAAACATTTGGCAATTTCTGGAGACGTTTCTGGTTGTCTTAATTAGAGGTTGAGGGAGTGCTACTGGTAGCACAGAGGTCAAGGTCACTTCTTCTAAATATCCTATAGTAGACAGGACAACATCCGCCTTGCCCCTGCCCGCCCCCCGCCCCCCACCCCACACAAAGAATTATGTAGTCTAAAATAACCGGTCCTGGGAAAAGCAGAGGTCCTTTCATTACAATTTTTATGATATTTTAAGAAGGGAGTTTGGATTTCATTCAAGGGCAAGGAGGAGCTATTTGATGGCTTTAAGTAGCAAAAAACAAATGTTTTAGAAAGATTACTCAGTACAGAGAATTGACTAGAATTTCTTCATTCAAATATTTATGTGCCATGCATTGTGTAGGAGCTGGGGATATGGTGGTGAACATTTAAACACTGACCCATTCTAGTGGAAGAGGTAGAAAATAAAAACAACATAGAAATTAACAATAAACAACAAGGCTGTTTTCCCATATTCAGTGTTCCAAATGTAGATGAAATCTGGGTCTGACAGTAAAACGTCAGTGTTAATTTTTAGAGAAGAAAAGCCCTAGACAAATTTTATAAAACATCATCTATGGGGTATGTGTTGTTTAGTTTGGATCTCATTTCTACTAAATGAAAATATTTTTAAAAATAATCACTACAACACAAATAAAATCTTATTCTTCATTATTGTTTTTCATTTTCTGTGTATGTATGTGTGTGTGTGTGCATGTTTCTGGCTTACATTTCCATATTATGTTCAAAATGCTCAATATTAAAGGATTACTGAAATGACTACTTCTTTGGCTGACAGCTTTAATAGTGACTGCAACAATTTCAGGAACCATGATCATTTGACACCCCCTGGTATAGTACAGAACTTGTCTCTTGGCAAGGATGACATTTACTTTTTTTCTTACATAGATTTCCTTGGGAAAAAAAACCTTTGCTTTTTGTATCTCTGTGACACTTCCTAAAATTAGCTGTTTTCTCTAATGAACTCATTTCAGATATGTTAGCTTCTTAATCTAAGGACTGTCAGTGACAACTTGCTTAATGTGTTGGGAGATTCTAGTTGCATAAAAACCTTTTTTGAAGAAGAATTTTAGGTCAGCAAAATGACTGAAAGTACATCTTCATTATAATTTTCTTGCTGTGAAGCCACCTTAAATGATGGATGGATTTTTCGAAATAACACTAAACTAAATTCCTTCCTGTCACACTAGAGAAGCAGCTTCGTGCAGTGGTTAAGAGTATAGACTTTGCCTGCCTCAGTTTAAATCTTGACTCAGTCATGTACTAGCTTATGGTCTCAAGCAAGTTATTTAACCTCAGAGCCTCTATTTCCTCATTTGTAAAATGGGGATAACCATAGTATTCACATTACAGGGGAGGATACTGACTCTGAATCCTCACTTCGTTATTTATTAACAGTATGACTTTGAAAAAATTAATCACTGAAGTCACTGTTTCTTCATCTGTAAAATGAGATAATGATGTACCTCATAGGGTTAAGGTAAAAATGAAGAAATGATATAGCAAATATAAGGTAAATAGCACTAAGCCCATAACACACATTAAGCCTTCCATAAAGGGAGGCCAACTTCTCCTTGTCTCGTGAATTTTGTGTGTATTACCACAGGGGCACAACAGATTCAAAACCTAGAGAAATCTCTGTTGGAGTTAAATTCACATATCCAGGAAAGGCCCTGAATGAGATCTCCCTGTCCCTCTACTGTGATTATGCTTTAGAAGAAATATGTAATGTTAAGTGGAGACACGCTCGAGAGATGCCAACCTATCAAAATCTTTGCTTCAAATGGAAAGTATTTCTTCAATAAATGAAATAGTTCTAAAGTTGTGACAAAAACTCTCCAGTGTTCTCAGTTAACTAGATGCACAAGAAAGAGCAAGAATGTTATGAAATACCAATGATAATTACTGACATACAAAGAAATGACACCAAGAATATGTCAAATTGAGAGATTTTTCAAGAACACTTTAAATTTTCATGTTAGTCTACCTCATCAAAACATTAACTAATTTGAAAATCCTATTTAAAAGATAATTTCTGCTTACTGGTTTGCTATAGGTGAGCAGCAAGATTGCAGGCTTCTGCTCTATGCGTCTACAGAACACTTTTGTGTAGCTGAACTGTAACACGTAGCACAATAACTGGGATAACATTCAGTTTTAAGCTAAGTGGCTACTTCTGATACAATGTTATAAGCTGAACAGGATTCCATGTCTAGGTGCAACTAGATTAATTTATATTTTGCTTAAGGAAGACACAATCATGAAATTTAACATGTAATCATGCCTCAAATAAGTATAAACAGTAGCCACTAATTTCCTACTTATGACATGTAATGTTTTCCAAATATTGAACATGAACATCTTGGGACTTCTCTTGATGAGAGAAAGAATAAGATGTAAGAAAGTGAGGAGAATTAATTCTCTGTGATCTTAGCACTTATCATCTTCTGACATACTATATATGTATTTGTTTATTGTCTTTCTCTCATGAGAATGTGGACTGTATAACAGCAGGAATTGTGTCTGTTTTGTTCACTGATTTATCTTCAGTCCTGGACTATAGGTCCTTCAAATGTATATCTAAACTGAATAACTGAATGACTGAATAACTGAAGTGCTGGAAGCACTTTAACATCTGTGTATTTCTAAGATAGATATTAGTCTGTTCTTTTTTTTTGAGACGTAGTCTTGCTCTGTCGCCCAGGCTGGAGTGCAGTGGTGCGATCTCAGCTCACTGCAAGCTCCACCTCCCAGGTTCACGCCATTCTCCTGCCTCAGCCTCCCGAGTAGCTGGGACTACAGGCGCCCGCCACCACGCCCGGCTAATTTTTTGTATTTTTAGTAGAGACGGGGCTTCACCATGTTAGCCAGGATGGTCTCGATCTCCTGACCTTGTGGTCCGCCCGCCTCGGCCTCCCAAAGTGCTGGGATTACAGGGATTCTAACTGTTCTAAAGAAGAGGATAGAGACCGTTTACACAGGAGATATTTAGAAAAAAACAGAGATGTCTTTTAAAGCTACAATGACTTCGCAATGAATTGACGGAAATCTCAGATTTTGCAGAAGCCCATTTATAGATGAGGATGTACTACTGAGTAGGAATAATTAATAATGTATCTGGGAAAACATGCTGTTTCTGGCTTGGAGCTGGAGTGTATTTCTATGAAAAATTTGAACCTTACAATATTACAGACCATCTGTAAAACTTCCACAAAGCATAGGAATTAGAAACACCAGGTACTGTGGAAGAGAAGGGTGAAGGGACCTGAAAACACAGAATTTATATGAAGTTTATGTAAGAAGTTAGATCCCCAGATTCCCATCCCTGCCCTGCCCAGCCAGGTGACTACCTTCCCCAACACCCACAGGAAAGAGAACTAGAGAAATTAAACAAGAGAGAATCTAGACTTAGGGACACCACACATTGAGCAAGGTAGAGATCAGGTGCAGGACTGAAAACAAGGGGCTTAAATAAATGTCTGATAGTGAACAGTGAAGCTCCAGCCCTCTTTTCCTGCCCAGCTCCAAAATGCTGGCACCCAAGACATATACTCTCCAGTCAGAAGACTGGAGGATTCTTTGCTAGAGAATTTGAACAGCCCAGGAAAAAAACTTAGGAATACTGACTTTTGGGCATTTCAAAAAAAGGGCGGATCATCTTAATGTTCTATGGTCAAGCTCTCTACACACACAAGCTTCTAATCAGTTTTTTCAGTGCCTAAGTAAAGAATACATTGCGTCCATAAAACAAGAACAGGATGCTATAAAAAGAAGGAGACAGCTGGAGAAAAGGAAGAACTGTTACACATTAAAACTATGAGAGCAAAAATAAATTTTTTGTAAAAGGATTGGAAAGTAATGTTGAAGAAATCTCTCAAAGGTGGATTAAAAAACCAAAAAACAAAAGTATAGAAAACAGAAAAGTTAAGAAAATGAGAGTATCATACCAGTATAGGAAATTTAATTTTTTTTTTTTTGAGATGGAGTCTCACTCTGTTGCCCAGGCTAAAGTGCAGTGGCGCAATCTTGGCTAGCTGCAACCTCCACCTCCTGGGTTCAAGGGATTCTCCTACCTCAGCTTCCTGAGTAGCTGGGACTACAGGCACATGCTACCACACCTGGCTAATTTTTGTATTTTTTTGGAGATGGGGCTTTGCCATGTTGGTCAGGCTGGTCTCAAACTCCTGACCTCAGATGATCCACCCACCTTGGCTTCCCAAAGTGCTGGGATTATAGGCATGAGCCACTGCGCCCAGCCAGAAATCTAATTTTTTATTAATACGAGTTGTAGAAAGAGAAAATAGAGGAAATGGTGGTGAGGAAATCATCATACATAATACAAAAGCATTACTCAGAATTAAAGAATATTTCCAGGGCTTGCTAGGTACCAACAGAATAAATGAAAAAGACTCAAGAACAATGGTGATAAAAAGGATTCTAAAAGCATTTGGAGAGAAAACAAGGTATATATAAAGGATTAGGAATAAGAATAGTATCAGAGTATTTAGTAGCAATATTGGAAGCTCAAGACAATGGAGCAATGCCTTCAAAATTGAGAAAAAATAATTTTTACCCTAGAATGATATACTGTGTCAAACAAATAAGCAAGTATAAGCATAGAATAATGATGCTTTTAGAAACAGTAAGTATCAAAAAATTTATGTCCTATGCATTTTTTGTTAGGAAGCTACTGGAAGATATGCTCCACCAAAATGAAGAATAAAATCGAGAAAGAATATGACATGAGATGAAACACAAAAGAGGAGGGACAGGAACTCCCAGGAGAACAAGGTGGTAAGCCTTCAGAGTGTCCTAGGTCCAGACTGAGCTCGATGGAGGGCTCTAGGACGGAGGCCTCCAGGGTAAAAAATGTAACTTGTAAGTGTGGAAAACTGTACTGACAGAAATTTTACAAAACTACATTAAGGGTTATGAAATGACTTAGCCAAAGATTTGAAGAAAAATAAGCAAATTTTAAAATGAGGCATTTCATAAACCCCTAGGAAAAACAAAATCGTTCAAGAAGGAAATGTTATCCTTGGCGCCAGAGTGATGTATTTGCACAGTATTAATACTGAAAATACTATATATAATATGGATTCAGCCAAAAATCATGCAATAATTGTATTGGGATGGTGGTAGGAAGAAGGAAGGTGAAACAACTATAATTCCCATCATCCATAATAAGAAGCAATAGATAATTTGTAAACTAATAAAAATTTTAGCAGTATACGAATAGTATTTAGAAATATGGAGGTGAAAATCAGAGAAACTTCCTTAAGAGGTAAAAGTGGCTGCCTGTGGAGAGAAGATGGGTGGGGTAGAGGAAGAGCACTGCTGGTTTTGAGCATTCTTTGATTTTCTATGTGTTTATGTTATTTTGAAAAAAATAGAAATTTCAAACTCAAATGTATAAAAAATATTATGGACAGGGTAGTATAGCACGAAGAGTTTTAAGCTAGGAATGAAAATTTAAAACTGTTGATTACTTATACCCTGATGTTGGGTAAAACATACCACTTCCGGTTGGGTGCAGTGGCTCACGCCTGTAATCCCAGCACTCTGGGAGGCTGAGGCGGGTGGATCACCTGAGATAAGGGGTTTGAGAGAAGCCCGGCCAACATGGCAAAACCCCGTCTCTACTAAAAATACAAAAATTAGTCTGGTGTGGTGGCACGCACCTGTAGTCCCAGCTACAGCTACTCAGGAAGCTGAGGAACAAGAATCACTTGAACCTGGGAAGTGGAGGCTGCAGTGAGCTGAGATTGCACCACTGCACTCTAGCCCAGGAAACCGAGAGAAACTCCGTCTCAAAACAAACCAACCAACTAACCCACTTCGGTCTCAACTTCTTTATTTATTCACTAGAAGACGTTTTTTCTAAGGGTCTTTCCAACTCTAAGGTTCTGATCCCATCACAATAAAGTATTTTTCTAGGAATATCAAAGAAAGAGAAACTTTCCTCCACGTTCTCATGGTATAGCTTTACGTATTTTTGTTCACTTTGCCAAAGGTCTCCCTATCTTTGCTTCCTTGATATTAAAATGGAACTACCATATCCCCAACGTGGGAATCATATTGTACCTGCGAGGCTAGTCTTCGCATAGCCTCCTCCTGCCGCCTGCGCATTTCCGGAGTTCCTGGGCAGCTTCCACTGGTGATAGATGAGTGGGCTGAAGGTGGCTGTGTGAGTGGCAGCTCTCTGTTGGCATCCACATCTGGATTAAAAAGATTTAGATGTTTGCATCAGATAATCATAAAAACTTTAAGGAAAAATGGCTAAATTCCATTTGTTCTATGATCTAACAATTCTGCTCCTAAGTATATACTTAAGAGAAATAAAAACACATGTCCACCCAAAAACTTGTACACAAGTGTTCACAGAAGAACGATTCATAATAGCCAAAAGTGGAAACAACCTAAATGCCCACCAACTGATGAATAGATGAAATACAAAATATCCATTCAATAGACTACTAACAATAAAAAGAAATGAGATACCGATACATGCTAGAACGGGGATAAACCCTTGAAAATGTTATGCTAAATCCAAGAGGTCAGTAAAAAAAAGGACCATATATTGTATGATTCTATTTATGTGAAATGCCCAGAACAGAAACATCTGTAGAGACAGAAAGTAAATTAGTGGTTACCTAGGGCTGGAAATAGAGGGTTAAGAGGAGAATGGGGATTGACTGCTAACAGGCATGAGCTTCTTTTAAGGGGATGAAAATGGCCTAAAGTTACATTATGGTGATTGCTATACAACTCTGTGAATTATACTAAAAATACTGAGTTGAACGCTTTAAATGGGTGAATTACATAGTATGTGAGTTACAGCTCAATAAAACTGTTTTAAGATTTTTTTAAAAATTCAATTTGTTCTTATTTAGAACATTTATTGTTACTAGTAGAAATTATAGGCTATATTTATGAATAAGATCATACTTTAAAAATAGATACCAAAGTAAATATTAGAAGTTGTTATTTGATGGCCAATAGTGATTGAAAAGAAGGAAGAATAGGAAAAAGTAGTCCTCATTTAACTCCTTACCAGTAGGAGTGAATTTAGACTTCTTTCATTTAACTGGTGCAGTAAATTTCTTGGTCACTGGATACAGTTCTGGATAACTGCAGGGGGGTGGGCATGGAGGATGGCAGTGAAAGAAGCCTCAAGGACTGTGTGACATTTGGGTTGAGGTGAAGTTCAGTGATTGTATGTTACTGTATTATTTCTGCATTATTTCTGCTGTTCACTTCCTTCCCCTACTCTATTCCCCTTTATCTGGTATTTGATTTTGTGGGTAATTACTGTCCAAATGCCCTCTGTCTTTCTAGCTATTTCCTTTTGGAAATGCCCTCCTTTTTGTCTAAACACCTTACTTTCTGTTTGGTATTCAGACAATAGTAGAAATAAAAGTTAATAGGTAGGCAATAGTCAATGTGCATAGCACACTGGCAAAAGAGACTTCTGAAATGAACAGAGTAGGAACGTAGGATTTATTTACTTAACAGCTGTTTGGGGGCTTGGCAGCTGTTGGCAAATGTCAAATCCAAATAATAACTACATTGAGACTTTTAGTGATAGAAACATACAGTCTTGTATTAGAGCTTCCCCAACTACTATACTGAGAATACCTGTAGTTAATGTAATAATCCTGAATTATACAACAGGTCTGTTTTCACAAAATATTTTTGTTCTTTGTGTGTGTGTGTGTTGGGGGTGTGGATAATGGTGGTGGTGGTGGTGGAGACTGATGGGGGTGTCAGGTTTGGGAGAGTAGGTGGAAAGCAGGATGACAGGCTAGTGCCTGCCTTGACAGCTTTTCTATACCTTTCCAGGGAAATGACAAGGAGGGGGGCGGGCTGGGGGGCTGAGTTTCTGTGGGGGAAGGACAGCCAAGCAAGGCAGTACTGCAGGCTAAACTGCTCCTATCTTCCACAGCAGTGGTGCTCAGCTTTTATTTCTACTATTCTCTGAACACCAAACAGAAAGAAGACAGGGGCAGAAGAAAGAATGACAGATGATGCAGAGAAAGAAGTTGGGAACTCCAGTGATTTCCCATGTTTTTTTATTATCACTACAACTATTAATTAGTATCATCACCCAAGGATTAAGAAAGCCAGTGAGGTTCCAAATGACCCATCCAAGCTTAATATGATAACTCATATTAAGTTTATATATAATAACTTATATTAAGTTTAATATAATAACTTATATTAATAACTTATATTCTGTAAAAAATTAAGCCAACCCTCCATATACAGACATCATTCTTACTATTAGTGAAAAAACTGCTGCTCCTGCCAGTAACATATTCAACACCAGTTCATATAGGTAACAGATTTGTGCCAAAAAATAGCTTGCATTATATCAGTCACTTATTCTTGACCCTTCTATTGGTTAAGATGGCACTGGTAGAATATAGTTTGGCCATCAATAAATTGTAACAAAAATTATTTTGTATAAGGTAACATTGGTTCTGAGTAATTCTGATATATAGAACCGCATATTTAGCTCTCTTAACTCCTTTCAAATTCGGAAAGTTAACTGTCAGACCAAATCTACAGTCTCAACAACGGATGTTTATCTCATGAATGGGGAGTGTCTTGGTGTTTCTGGAGATTCTCCTGAAGGCAATGGATGTTAGAGAATAACTTAGTGAACTACCTTTAAAGAATCTCTGCTTTGGGGAGTACATGGGCTGTTTTCTATAAACTTTTGCTCCCCCAGGCTCATAGAGAGATCCCCAGGTACCTCTGCTTTCTGTGAAAGCAACTCTTCTCGTCCTTGGGATTTATTTTCTGTCATGCATGATTCTACCACTCTGTTATCTGCAACTCTGATATACAGAGGAGTCACAGAGAGCTTGAGCTTTCTGGCTTCCTTTCTGACACACTCAAATTGCAAGCCACTTGAACTACTCAGATAAACAGCAGTTTGGAGTGATAAATACTTAAACACTCAAAGGAAAACACTGGAATAGTGTGGAAAGTTACTTTTAACCATGAAGATGTGTTCTCAGAATCAAAATTTTAGCAGAGACAATTCTGAAAGATCAATTAGTCACACTTCTTCATTTTACAAATAAGAAAACTGAGCTCTAAAAAATTCAAGTAAAATTCTCAAGTTCACAAAGTCTAGTCAATTTGAGTGTTGGGGCACAAACCCTGGGCTCCTGACTCCCACAGTACTATGGCAATCTACCTCAGAAGAGCTTCATTTAGAAACTAAGCATTATATTCCTCTGAAGAAAAGAATTCTTCCATACCAATTCTTACCATACCCTGGTAAAGAGGTATTTTGATTCAGTTTTCTTCCAAGACACCAGTTCTTCCACGTTAGACATCCATAAGTTTATCAGAGGCCATCTGCCTCCTTAATGATACAAGGCTGCTAACTAGCTTCAATAGGAAGTCAATAAGTTTGGAGGGTCTTCACTGAGTTCCTGTTAAGTTTCCAGCACTGTGCTAGACCCTGTAACTACTATTATCTCACACAAACCATTTCTAGTGGTTGCAGTCTGAAAGTCTGTGGTGGGCTAGATTATTGATTTGGACTAACAAAGCAATAGTTTCTTTTTTTGTTCTCTTCTAACTAACAGAAACCAGGTAAACTGGTTCTATACATGTAGTATGTATAAGAAGAATACTGATACATTTCTATTTATTTTCTTTACTCAAGTGAGTTTCACCAGTAAGGAGAGGCAGCATAGTAAAATGGATAGGAGAATGGCCTCTGAAACCAGACTGCTTAGTTCTCCCATTTATTGGCTGTAAAACCTAGCAGAACTTACTTAACCTCTCTGGGCCTCAGATTACTTACCTGTGAAATGAAGACAACCTCATTGAGCTGGTAACAGGATGTGATGAATTAATATTTGTAAAAAAGTTAAGAGAGTATCTGGCACATAGTAAGTACCATATGAGTGTTTTAAAAATAAATCAGTAAGATCCTGGTAGTGATTACTGGGCTGCCCCCTGGTTGTGATGAAAGAAGCCTGAATACATATGAGAGCTCAGCACCTTTTCACAAGGAAGCAGGAGAGAACCCCTTCAAGGACACAACGAAGCTCAAGTCCAAGCAGTGCAACACTGACGCCAACAGCAAAGAGATGAAGGATGCAAACAGACTGTGCTGGCAAATAAGAAGAAGAACTGGGCACAGACTGAGCAAAATCCAACAGTGATGAATGCAAATTGCTCTACGGGCAATTGCTGCGGTCGTTATCTAGAGGACAGTCCAACCACACAGCCGGCACGGAGGAGTCATAAACTTATTCCACGAGAAAGGTTTTTCTTCAGTCACGCTTAGGTGACTACTGGGTATGTGGGTTAGATGTAAATAGAGTATTACAATCTTTCTCTCAACCTAAATGAATAGTCCTCACGTGGAAGTCAGGTTTTGCAGATGAGAAAATAAAAGGATATACGACCTAATATAAATATGTCAGAAAAACTTCAGCGCCAATGAAACAGGGAGTTCTTTAAAAAGGAATACGTACGTTTGGGGGAGGCATGTGGGCTGTCTGAGGCGATCTGTCTCATCCTTGTACCATGGCAGCTGAGGGCCACCAGTCTGGAGATGATGGCAGTTTTGCCGAATCCAATGTTTCCCACAATCACTACTCCTTGGTTCACGCTGGCATTTGAACTTTGAAGTTGAGCATCTATTTCGTGGAAAACCCAATCTCGGCCAACAAACACTGACTCTGTAGTGATGCTGGGCACTTCAAAGAGCAGAGGCTTCAAGGAGATATCTGGAGGCCTATAAGGTGCAAAGCGAACTGAAAGGAACAAGAGAATGCAGAACTTAGGTCAAACTGTCAACATTGAGAGAAACAAAGAGAGAAAAAATGCAGTGTGGTTTAGGGACTTGAGTTATCATATGATGGCATCCTAGGCTTATTCAGAAATAATGCAACTGCGAATGTTGATTCTATACAGATAAGCAACACAGGCGAGCTAGAGCTAATTGATACTGTAAATTGCAGAACACAAACACTGATAAAACATTAATGATTTACTTGATCAGTCCGAAAGTCGGGATGATATTCAAAATTATTACAGGGAAGGGATGGCCCAAGCACCAGCAATCACTACGGATGCAAGCCTAGTGAAGAAGGGACCTAAAGGCCTCCTGCTACGCCACGGGATAACCTTTTAATTGTTGGATTGTGGAGAGGTGCAGGAGTGAAGTTCCTGTTGGAAAGGCCAGGCTGTGGCGGGGCATCTAGACAGCTTACCGTAGCAGCTCTTTACTAACCAGTAACATATTTCAATATTTCACAACCAATATGGCTATACCAGTACGTATCAGTTGAAAATCAGTCCTGAAGAAAGCAGTATAGAGAGGCTTGTTTGTTTCTTTAAAAACACCAATGAGAATAGTAATTCCTTTAAGTTCATGCTAGTATTTTTTAAAATCTAGTAGGTATTATTATTAGGGGAAGCAAGGCCATTAAAAGCTCTGATGGTTTAAAAGATCTTAAACATTCTAAGCAGTCGAGCAGAAAGCAGGCCTTCACCCAGTGTCTCTGTGCCTGTACTGCTTACTATTGATGCCAATTAAAAAATAATTTTTGGCTTATACATCTCTCTTGGGGATAGATCCACACAGTTTTTCTCAAGATTTTTTTCTGTGCTTATATAATTATGGGGTGTGCTAAGGGCCAAGAATAAACTATACTGTCAACAGTTTTCTAAAAATGCAGAATTGATGTGACGTGCTTTAAAAGAAGATCTACTAATTATATTGATGGTAAAAGGAAGTCCTGCCTGATGGTCCATATCTGGGTTAAACGGCTTCCTGAACTGTTCCCAGAGCAGCTCTAAGACGTATCACTTTATCTGTCTGAAACCAGGTATTTCATTTTTGTTTCTTTAACCTTAGCACAGTGCCTTGATATATACTAGGTGCTCAAAAAATGCTTAAGGAAAGAATTAATTAAAAATAAGGTATTACACTCTAACTCCATTTTTCAAATATTTTGGAGCACAAGAAAGGCCAGGAGTGGGAAAGAGATGGAAAGAGGAGAAAGAGAAATCACAAAGGGGAAAATGAGATAATTTATACTTCATACGTTACTCTAGAACATACTTGAACCACTTACACACCACAAGGTGGGATACAGAGATGGTGGCTTACTTGAGAAAACACAGACACACGCACACATACATGTGTGCACTCTCATTTAAAACTGCCTGAAAGCCACTAGAATAACTGAGCATTTAAAAAAGGCTAAAATTTCCAAAAGTAGTGCAAATAATTTAAAATATAAAGCCAAATTCTGACAACAGAAACAAAATGCCCAAAGTTTTCATTAACTAAAGTGGGGTTGTGGGGGGTTAGGGGAAGCTGTGGAGATAAAGCTACAGGGTCACTTATAATTCCCTGATTCACATTTCTGTAACAAAATTTACTCTTGTATTTATTAATAATTTCAACTTTTATTTTAGATTCAAGAGGGCACACGTACAGATTTGTTATCTGGGTATAGTGTGTGATGCTGAGGTTTGGGGTATGAATGATTCTGTCCCTCAGGTACTAAGCATAGTACCTAATAGTTTTTTGACCCTTGCCCCATCTTCTTCCCCCTTCTAGCAGTCCCCAGTGTCTACTGTTACCATCTTTACGTCAATGAGCCATGAGTACTCATTGTTTAGCTCCCACTTATAAGTGAGGACATGTAGAATTTGGTTTTTTGTTCCTTCCTGTGTTAATTCACTTAGGATAATGACCTTTAGCTGCATCCATGATCCTGCAAAGGACATGATTCCATTCTTTTTTATGGCTATATAGTATTCCATGGTGCATATGCACCACATTTTCTTTATCCTATCCACCACTGATGGGCACCTAGGGAGATTCCATGTCTTTGTTACTGTCACTAGTATTTTAATGAACATACGCATGCATATGTCTTTTTGGTAGAACAAAAAAACTACTCTTTTAAAATCCATACCTATAATTATTAGAATTTGATGAAAAATAAACTTTAGTTTGCCAAAAATCCTTTTAAAATCTAGTGTCTCATAGCTAATAGATTCTATTTTACTTAAACACTATTTTACTGATGTAATTCACAAACCATAAAATTCACTCTTTTAAAATATACAATTCAGTGGTTTTTAGTATATTCACTAAGTTCTGCAACCATCACCGCTATCTATTCCCGAATACCTTCATCACCCCCAAAGAAATCCTGTATCTATTAGCTGTCATTCCCAATCCTCACTCCTCCCAGTCCCTGGCAATCAGTAATCTACTTTGCCTGTAAAGGTTTGCCTATTCTGGACATTTCATATAAACAGAATCATAGAGTATGTGGCCTTTTACTTCTGACTTCTTTTACTTGGCTTAATATTATTCATTACTTTATTGCTGAATAATATTCCATTGTATGGATATACCATATTTTGTTTATCAGTTAATAAACATTTGGGCTGCTTCCACTTTTTGGCTGATTAATGCTGCTATGAACATTCATGTACAACTTTTATGTGAACATATGTTTTCAATCCTCTTGGCTATATATCTAGGAGTGAAATGTCTGATTCATATGGAAACTCTTAGGTTCACTTTTCTGAGAAACTGCCCAACTGTTTCCTCTATTTGGCTTTTACTATATTCTTATTCAATATATTTTCACTATAGAAAACTGAGGGATAGTAGATAAAATAGTAACTGTGTTTCCATTAGCTAGAGAGAAATGCTATTAGCATGTATTCTGAGTTTTGCCTGTACCATATATACTTATTTTAAAAACAAAAATGGGATCATACTATATATACTGTTTCATCATTTACTTTTTTCACCTAGCAATGTAATGTGAACATCTCTCTACATGATAAAACATAAATCTATATTATCATTTTTAATATGTGTAGACTCTTCCATTATATAACTAAATCATAAGTTATTTAACCAATATCTTATTGTTGTATGTTTAGATTATTTTGGTTTTCCACTGTTATAATCACAGCTAACAATGAAATAGCCTTTACTATATGCCAGAAACTATTTCTAAGCATGCTAACTGGCACAACAGTCTGATGATAGTTATTACTACTTTCATTTTATAGATAAAACAGAGGCAAAAAGAGATTAAGTTATTTGCCTAAGGTCTTTTACCAATCTGAATCTTATCTACTATGCTCTAGTTCCTCTCACGAAAAGCGGTACTACAAGCAGTGGTACAATACACATCACTGTATATTCACCTTGGCACACCTGCCTTATTTTTCTTGAAACAAAATGCTAGAAGTGAAATTTCTGGGTCAATGGGTTGTGTTTTTGATACACCTTACCAAATTGCTCTCCAGAAAGATTATCCTGGTTGCGTGAAAATGACCATATCCCTCTCAGTCTCATCATCACGGGGTAGTATTATTATTCTTTATCTTTGTTAATCTAGTTAAGAATGGCATCTCATTGTGTTTAATGTATATTTTGAGTATGAAAAGTAATTTATGTGTGTGAAAGGTGATTTTTTAAAAACATGTGTATTGGCTATCTGAATTCTTTTGTGAATTGCCTGTTCATGGCTTTTACTCACATTTCTATTGGAATGCCTGCGTTTGTCTTACTGAATTTGTGAGAACATTTTTAACCCTGAGGACATTAATCTTTTGCCTTTCATAGTTACTTTTTGCAAATAATTTTCTCAGTTCTTTGCCTTTAAAATTTTTCTTTCTTCCTTTTAGAAATAATATTTTTCTTTTTTTGAGATGGAATCCTGCTTTGTCGCCCCTGGCTGGAGTGCAGTGGCGCAATCTTGGCTCACTGCAATCTCTGCCTCCCAGGTTCAAGTGATTCTCCTGCCTCAGCCTCCTGAGTAGCTGGGACTACAGGCGTGTGCAACGACACCAGGCTAATTTTTGTATTTTTAGTAGAGATAGGGTTTCACCATGTTGGCCAGGCTGGTCTCGAACTCCTGACCTTAAGTGATCCACCTGCCTTGGCCTCCCAAAGTGCTGGGATTACTGTGTGAGCCACCAAACCTGGCCTCTTCCTTCTATTTTAATTTGTGAAAGTTGAAACAGTTTATGTCGCCAAACTTGTCAGTCTTTTTCTTTATGGGTTCTGCCTTTAGTGTTGTTCTTTGAAAGTTCCCTCTTAATCCAAGAGTATAAAAACATTAACATTTTTTTTCTAGTGCTTTTTTGAGTCTGGTATAGAGTAGGGATCTAACTTTTTTTTTTCCCCCAAAGGGTTAACAAATTTTACCAGTGACAATTTAAATTATCACCAATTTGTAATGCTTACTTTATCTTATTCATATTGGGTTTGTTTTTAAGTTATCTAGTTTGTTCCACTTATCTGTAAGTCTACTACTGCATCAGTGTTACGCTGATTTAGTTGTTATTATGTACTAGTTAATTGTGAGTCTCCCATCATTATTCTTATTTTTTCAATAGATTTTGAAAAATACATAGTTTCAAAAATAATTTCCGGAATTAGTTTGAAATTTACCATAAGAAATCTTTTCAATTTTATTCATTCAGTTCTGACAGTTAATCAGAAAATGCTCCATTTAAGTTTCATTAAATGGATTTCTTGAAATAACCATAAAACATCTTCTTAAACCAAAGACAGATAATTATTTCATCTTAGCAGATATATATTACACATTTGAAAACAATGATTTAGTTTTAATGTCATATTTTAAAAACCCAGATAATTCACAAAACAATTTAGAAAGCAAACATTTAAAAATGTTTATCTTTGACATAACCAAATAAATACAAATTAAAGCAAACTATATCTACCATTAGAAAAAAATACGGTTTTTTGGCATGTAATCATATTCAAAACCATCTTTTGAAAAAATATTAGTTTCTTCAGTTACTGGTAGCACTGTAAATGTGTCCAACTTTTAGAGAACCGACATTTTGCAAATGCCAATTTGACCTTAAAATCCTGTTCTGGGAACTTATTCTAAGGAAATGATTCATAAGAAAAGTGCAAACACACACACACTAACACATACATACATACACACACTCACATTTTTTGCAGCATGTATGGTGTTAGTAAAGGTGATTTAGTAAACTATGGTGTATCTACCAAAAATTACACAGACATTAAAATAGAAAGGAATACTTTCCAGAATCATGGAAATGTGGAAGTATTTATGAAATAAAATTTAGTAAAACAGTAGAATAAAAAACAATATATATTATGATTACAATTTACAGTATATGCAGATGGAAGCTAACAATACTCCAAAACAAAAATAGTGAAGGTATGATAGGATTAATTATATCTTTAATTATAATTTTTTTAAAAAAATTTTTCAATAGGAATATTAGCTATTTTTTAAAAAGCTGCAAAATGAATTGGTTGTTATTTTACCCAAAGACAAAATAAGCAAATATTTTATCACAATCACAAATTATTCTGTCATGCATGGGTGAATATAACTACTGCCAAATCCAACAACTAATTAAACTACATCAATTGAAACACACAAGCATATATGTCCTGGCTATCTCTCTCCCACTTTTACTGTGTATACATTTTTAGAAAATGAAAACAAAGTATATGTAGTTACAAATTTTAACTGTTGTAGCTATTACAGAATGATTTTAAAAATCAAAAAATATATAAATATATAAAATTGGCTATTTCTGCCAGGACAGTCTGAATGTCAGGCTGAGTACTTGGTTTATATTTCCTTTGAGTGACAGGCAGTGATGACCCACTGAAGTGGACCTAATACTAGGCTTGGCTCACTGGAGAGGGAAGACAGACTGGAGATACCCTGAAGACTACTACTCACTATAATAGTCCCAGAAAATGTGATGAAGGCCTGAACAAGGGAGACACCAATGAAACAGCAAAGAGTGAAGAAATATGTAGGACCTGTCAAAAAACTAGATGTAGAGGGATAGGGAGCGGAAGAAGCCAAAGATTTTTCCAGTTTCAAGTCTAAGGGATTATGGAGCTGAAGAGCACCAAAATTAAAATATAAGAAGAAATTTACTATGGGATAGAAATAGCTTTCCTGCTTTCTTTCTGTTATGTAAAGGCCTTCCCCCACTAAATATGAATTAGAGATATAATTTCCTCAACATCTGGGAGGAAAGGATTAAAACTCTGGATACAGGCTGGGCACCGTGGCTCACCCCTGTAATCCCAGCACTTTGGGAGGCCGAGGCGGGCAGATCACAAGGTCAGGAGATTGAGACCAATCTGGCTAACATGGTGAAACCCCGTCTCTACTAAAAATACAAAAAATTAGCTGGGCATGGCAGCGGGCGCCTGTAGTCCCAGCTATTCGGGAGGCTGAGGCAGGAGAATGGTGTGAACCTGGGAGGCAGAGATTGCAGTGAGCTGAGATCGCGCCACTGCACTCCTGCCTGGGCAACAGAGCGAGACTCTGTCTCAAAAACAACAAAACAACAACAACAACAGCAACAACAAACTCTGGATACATTAGAGTATGCCCAAATTTAAATTTCAAATGCATTAAACAAAATTGTTCACTGAATTAATCTCTATAGAAAATCAAAGAACCACACCAATATTCTTCTGTGATTATGTGACAGTTCTATACTCATACAAGCCCTGAAACTCTTGAGTTTGAATTCTATAGAATATAAAAATGTAGCAGAAATCCTCTTTATTTTATTTAAGGCCTTTATTTTATGTAGGCCACTGAAATGAGGAATATGTGTAGGATGAAGGTCTGAATATCTTAGACAAGTTAGCTGATAATTATTTTTAGATTACATCGGGGGAAGGAAACTTACATGAATTGATATAAGCACCTGCTAACATAGGAAAGGGCAGCAGGGTGAGAAGAGTAAGGAGCTCATAAAATAAGAATTAACAAAGTAATGGTAGTTTTCTAGAAAAGAAAGGGTCCTTCTTATCGACTACTCCTATTGCTACCCGGACTGAGGCTGGAATGACCAGTGCTGGAACTGGGCCTGTCTGATGATAAAAGGACCATATCACTCCCCTACGCAAAACCCTCCAGTGGTTCTTTATTGCATTTAGAATAAAATCAAAACTCCCTCCCATAGTGCTCAAGGCTCTAGATGATTTGGACCCTGCCTACCTACCCCTGCAGGCATCTCACATCACTTCCCCCTCAGTCTATGCCCCAGCTCTTCTGGCCTTCCAGTTTCTTGTTTCAGCGTAAATGCTACTATGTTAGCGGGGCTTCCCCTGATAAGCTTTTCAAGTTGGTTTCCCTACTGCTCATCATTTTTTTTTAAGAGACATGGTCTTGTTCTGTTGCACAGGCTGGAGAGGCAATCATAGCTCACTGCAGCCTCAAATTCCTGGGCTCAAGCAATCCTCCTGCCTTAGCCTCCCAAGTAGCTGGGACTATAGGCATGTCCCACCATACGTGACTATTTTTAAAAAACTTTGTGTAGAAATGGGGTCTTGCTATGTTGCCTAGGCTGGTTTTGAACTCCTGGCCTCAAGTGATCTTACCTTGGCCTCCCAAAGTGCTGGGATTACATGCGTGAGCCACCATGCCCGGCCCCCATAATTTTCTTTTAGCCAGAGGGCTTATTTGTTTCTCTTGGAGAATTTATCATAAATACTAATTATTTTATGTTCTTATCACGTATTACAATCTAACAATATTTATTCTTTTGTTTTCTTGCTTATTCCTGTCTTCTTAACTAGAATGCAAGCTCTATGAAGGCAGGAACCATCACTGTATCAGTACATAGTCTGGGGTACATAGTAAAGGCTCAGTAAATATTTGTTGAATGAATGAATATTGAAGAAGGGAATCAAGAGAGTTTTATTAAAATAATTTTTATGTATTAGTAGAGGAGATGAGTGAAGTATTTTGTTATTATATCAGGGTGTCATTATATCACAAACATCCTGAGTATAATTAAAATGAAAGTTCCTGCTATTTAAGAAGTAAACTTAACCAAGCAATCCCAGTCTGTCTTCAAGTCTTATGAATTTTTCCTTAGAAAGATCTCTTGTATCAGTTACCTCTGTTCGTTTCCAACTGCTCCCACCTAGCTCAGACTTTTGCTACATTTACTCTCCTTGCTTCCTGCCTGGCTTCCCTTACTTCCTGCCTCAGTCACTCCGTTTTGGATATTATGCCAGACCAATTCTTTATTACAATGACCACATTACGTCATTCCCTTCTAGCGCGTCCAAAGGTGCAGTTTTCTGCTGTATCAAATCTAAGCTAAGCTCCTCCCCAGGTTCTGACGGCTTTCTGTAACATGGCTCAATTCTGTCCTGTCCACGCCTCACACCCTGCCACCATGTGCTATCTGAGGCAGACAAGGCAGTCTTCACAGAGTACCCTGACAAACTGCTCCAATCCAGTTCCTGTGCCTTAGGGCAGGTTGTCCCTTTGACCTGAAATGCCCCTCTTCTTCTCTTCATACCATGTCCATATATTACAGTCAAGGTTAATTTTCATCTTCTTCATAGTATCTTCCTTAATCAATCTAGTCCTCATTTATTTTCCTCTTCCCAAACTAAGTTTACTCCATATAATTTAGTGCTTAATTATACACTGACTTACACTACTTATTAACATTTTAAATACTGTTTTTCCAACCAGATTGCAAACTCTTAGAGAAAGGATAATGTCTAGCAGTTTTAAATACAGACTACATGTGAAAGACAGAAGAAAAAAGGGAAATCATAGCGGGTGGGGCCAAGATGGCTGACTAGAAGCAGACGCGATCAGAGGCTCCCATTGAAAAGAACCATAACACTGTGTGAATCCTGCACCGGCAACCGAGGTACCCAGGTTCCATCATCAGAACTGACTATGTGGCTGGTGTGACCCGCAGAGAGGAAGGAAGAGCAGTGTGGTAAGGCGGCCCACCTGAGAGCCACACGGGGCAGAGGAGTCACCCCCAGCCAAGGTAGGCAGTGAGTGAGTACGCTACCCAGCCTGGGAAAACATGTTTTTTCCACGGAACTGTGTAACCCATGGATCGGAAGATCCTACTCGTGAGCCCACACCAACAGGGCCTAGGGTCCCAACCATGGAGCCGCACAGATTCTCAATAGCCACTCGGCTAGAATGTGCTTAAGCCTACCAAGCTCCTGGGGGTAGCGGGGGTGGTGACCAGCACCACGGCTGCAGCTGCCTGCTGTCTAAGCCATCTGAGCTCCTTGGGGAAGGGGCAACAGCGAACAATAGGACTGATAGCTGCCTAACACACTAAGCTCCCTGGGCAGGGGATGGGCGGCAGCCATCTCTATAGCTCCAGGCTGCGCTTTCCCCTGCCGGAGCAAGGGAGGATGGATGGCTTAGTCCCAAGAGGTGTCCTTCACAGCTGAACACACTGGCTGTGGCAGACCGCGGACAGAGTGCCTCTTCAGGCCTGACCCATCCCTCCTCATTGCACGGGGCCTCCCTGCAGGAACTCCAACAACTCCAGCCAGGGACTCAGGGATAGAACTCTAATCTCCCTGGGCCTGAGTCCCTAGGTGGAAGGGTGGCCGCAGTCTCCATGGACCAGCAGACTTAGTCTTTGCTCCTGCATAGTTCTGAGGAATCCAGGGAGCCCAGACAAGGCCCCCTACCCAGCAAAGCACCCCCGTCCACCAAGGGACAGTCAAAGTGCTTTGTTAATAAACAGGTCCTGCTCCCCGTGCCACCCAACTGGTTGAGAATCTCCAACAGGGGTTGTCAGACACCCTATACAGAAGCGTTCCTACTGGCATCAGGTCAGTGCCCCTTGAGGTCAGAGATCCCAGAGGAAGGAGCAAGCACCCATCTTTGCTGCTCTCCAGCCTCCTCGAGTGAGAATTCCAGGCACAGGAGTGAACCAGATGAATAGGGCCTGAAGTGAACCCCCAGCAAACTGCAGCAGCCCTACAGAAGAGGGACCTGACCATTGCAAGAAAAACAAACAGAAAGCAATAACAGCATCAACAACAAGATACCCACAAAAACCCCATCTAAGGGTCAGAAGCCTCAAAGATCAATACTAGACAGACTCATGAAGAGGAGAAAGAATCAATGATAAATGCTGAAAACTCAAAAGGCCAGAGTGCCTCTTCTCCTCCAAATGATCGCAACGCCTCTCCTGCAAGGGCGCAGAACTGGATGAAGGATGAGATGGACGAATAGACAGAAGTGGGCTTCAGAAGGTGGGTAATAAACTCCGCTGAGCTAAAGTAGCATGTTCTAACCCAATGCAAAGAAGCTAAGAACCTTGATAAAGGTTATAGGAGCTGCTAACTAGAATAACCAGTTTAGAGAGGAACATAAATGACCTGATGGAGCTGAAAAACACAGCACGAGAACTTCGTGAAGCATACACAAGAATCAATAACTGAATCGACCAAGCAGAAGAAAGGATATCCAGACCATCTTGTTGAAATAAGGCACGCAGACAAGATTAGAGAAAAAAGAATGAAAAGGAACAAAAAAACCTCCAAGAAATATGGGACTATGTAAAAAGACCAAACCTGTGATTGACTGGAGTACCTGAAAGAAAGGAGGAAAATGGAACCAAGTTGGAAAACACACTTCAGGATATTATCCAGGAGAATCTCCACAACCTAGCAAGACAGGCCAACATTCAAATTCAAGAAATACAGAGAACCCCAGTAAGATACTCCACGAGACGATCAACCCCAAGACACATAATCATCAGATTCTCCAAGGTTGAAATGAAGGAAGAAATGTTAAGGGCAGGCAGAGAGAAAGGCCAGGTCACCTACAAAGGGAAGCCCATGAGACTAACAGCAGACCTCTCAGCAGAAACCCTACAAGCCAGAAGACAGTGGGGGCCAATATTCAACATTCTTAAAGAATTTTCAACCCAGGATTTCATATCCAGCCAAACTAAGCTTCATAAACAAAGGAGAAATAAAATCCTTTCCAGATAAGCAAATGCTGAGGGATTTTGTCACCACCAGGCCTGCCTTGCAAGAGCTCCTGAAGGAAGCACTAAATATGGAAAGGAAAAACCAGTACCAGCTACTGCAAAAACACACCAAAATATAAAGACCAATGACACCATGAAGAAATTGCATCAACTAGTGTGTGAGATAACAAGATAGCATCATGATGATAGGATCAAATTCACACATAACAGTATTAACCTTAAATGTAAATGGACTAAATGCCCCAATTAAAAGACACAGATGACCGGGCACAGTGGCTCATGCCTATAATCCCAGCACTTTAGGAGGCTGAGGCAGGTGGATCACCTGAGGTCAGGAGTTTGAGACCAGCCTGGCCAACATGGCGAAACTGTCTCTACTAAAAATACAAAAATTAGCCAGGCATGGTGGCGCATGCCTGTAATCCTAGCTACTAGGGGGGCTGAGGCAGGAGGATCCCTTGAACCTGGGAGTTAGAGGTTGCAGTGAGCTGAGATCATGTCACTGCACTCCACCCTGGGCAACAGAGCAAGACTCCATCTCAAAACAAAACAAAAAACCTGACACAGACTGGCAAATCGGATAAAGAGTCAAGACCCATCTGTGTGCTGTATTCAGGAGACCCATCTCCCGTGCAAAGACACACATAGGCTCAAAATAAAGGGATGGAGGAAAATTTACCAAGCAAATGGAAAGCAAAAAAAAAAAAAAAAAAAAAAAAAAAAGCAGGGGTTGCAATCCTAGTCTTTGACAAAACAGACTTTAAACCAACAAAGATCAAAAAAGACAAAGGGGGCATTACATAATGGTAAAGGGATCAGTTCAACAATAAGAGCTATCCTAAATATATGTGCACCCAATACAGGAGCATCCAGATTCATAAAACAAATTCTTAGAGGCCTACAGAGACTTAGATTCCCACACAATAATAGTGGGAGACTTTAACACCCCATTGTCAATATTAGACAGACCAACGAGACAGAAAATTAACAAGGATATTCAGCACTTGGAACTCAGCTCTGGATCAAGTGGACGTGATAGACATCTACAGAACTCTCCACCCCAAATCAACAGAATAGACATTCTTCTCAGTGCCACATGGCACTTATTCTAAAATCAGCCACATAATTGGAAGTAAAACACTCCTCAGCAAATGCAAAATAACTGAAATAATAAAAAACAGTTTCTCAGACCACAGTGCAATCAAATTAGAACTCAGGATTAAGAAACTCACTCAAAACCAAACAACTACAGGAAATTGAACAACTTGCTCCTGAATGACTCCTGGGTAAATAATGAAATTAAGGCAGAAATCAAGAAGTTCTCTGAAACCAATGAGAACAAAGACACAACTTACCAGAATCTCTAGGACACAGCAAAAGCAGTGTTAAGAGGGAAATTTATAGCACTAAATGCCCACATCAGAAAGCCAGAAAGATCTCAAATTGACACCCTAACATCACAATTAAAAGAGCTAGAGAAGCAAGAGCAAACAAATCCAAAAGCTAGCAGAAGATAAGAAATAACTAAGATCAGAGCAGAACTGAAGAGTATAGAGACAAGAAAAACCCTTGAAACAATCAATGAATCCAGGAGCTGGTTTTTGAAAAAATTAACAAAATAGATAGACTGCTAGCAAGACTAATAAAGAAGAAAAGAGAGAAGAATCAAATAGACACAATAAAAAATGATAAAAGGGATATCACCACTAACCCCACAGAAATATAAACTATCACCAGAGAATAGTATAAACACCTCTATGCAAATAAACTACAAAATCTAGAAGAAATGGATAAATTCCTGGACACATACACCCTCCCAAGGCTGAACCAGGAAGAAGTTGAATCCCTGAATAGACCAGTAACAAGTTCTGAAATTGAGGTAATAATTAAGAGTCTACCAACTGAAAAAAGTCCAGGACCAGATGGATTCACAGCCGAATTCTACCAGAGGTACAAAGAGGAGCTGGTACCATTCCTTCTCAAACTATTCCAAACAACTGAAAAGGAGGGACTCCTCCTTTACTCATTTTATGAGGCCAGCATCATCCTTATACCAAAACCTGGCAGAGACACAACAAAAAAAGAAAACTTTAGGCCAATACCCCTGATGAACATCAATGCGAAAATCCTCAATAAAATACTGGCAAACCAAATCCAGCAGCACATCAAAAAGCTTACCCACCACAATCAAGTGGGCTTCATCCCTGGGATGCAAGGCTGGTTCAGCATATGCAAATCAATAAACATAATCTATCACATAAACAGAACCAATGACAAAAACCACATGATCATCTCAACAGATGAAGAAAAGGTCTTTGATAAAATTCAATATCCCTTCACATTACAATCTCTCAATAAAGTAGGTATTGATGGAACATATCTCAAAATAATAAGAGCTATTTATGACAAACCCACAGCTGATATCATACTGAATGGGCAAAAGCTGGAAGCATTCCCTTTGAAAACCGGCACAAGACAAGGATGCCCTCTCTCACTACTCCTATTCAACACAGTATTGGAAGTTTTGGCCAGGGCAATCAGGCAAGAGAAAGAAATAAAGTGTATTCACATAGGAAGAGGGGAAGCCAAATTGTCTGTTTGCAGAAGACGTGATTCTATATTTAGAAAACTCCATCATCTCAGCCCAAAAACTCCTTAAGCTGATAAGCAACTTCAACAAAGTCTCAGGATACAAAATCAATGTGCAAAACCCACAAGCATTCCTATACGCCAACATTAGACAAGCAGAGAGCCAAATCATGGATGAACTCCCATTCACAATCACTACAAAGAGAGAGAATAAAATACCTAGGAATATAGCTAACAAGGGATGTGAAGGACCTCTTCAAGGAGAACTACAAACCACTGCTCAAGTAAGAAAGGACATGAATGGAAAAACATTCCATGCTCATGGATAGGAAGAATCAATATCATGAAAATGGCCATACTGCTCAAAGTAATTTATAGATTCAATGTTATTCCCATCAAACTACCATTGAGATTCTTCACAGAATTGGTAAAAACTACTTTAAAATTCATATGGAACTGAAAAAGAGCCTGTATAGCCAAGACAATCCTAAGCAAAAAGAACAAAGCTGGAGGCATCATGCTACCTGACTTCAAACTATACTACAAGGCTGTAGTAACCACAACAGCATGGTACTGGTACCAAAACATACATACAGACCAATGGAACAGAACAGAGACCTCAGAAATACCACCACACATCTACAACCATCTGATCTTTGACAAACCTGACAAAAATAAACAATAGGGAAAGGACTCCTTATTTAATAAATGGTGCTGGGAAAACTGGCTAGCCATATGCAGAAAACTGAAACTGGACCCCTTCCTTACACCTTATACAAAAATTAACTCAAGATGGATTAAAGACCTAAATGTAAAACCCTAAACCATAAAAACCCCAGAAGAAAATTTAGGCAATACCATTCAGGACATAGGCATGGGCAAAGACTTCATGACAAAAATGCCAAAAATAATTGCCATAAAAGCCAAAATTGACAAGTGGGATCTAAGTAAACTAAAGAACTTCTGCACAGCAAAAGAAACCATCATCAGAGTGAACAGGCAATCTACAGAATGGGAGAAACTATTTGCAATCGATCCATCTGACAAAAGTCTAATACCCAGAATCTACAAGGAACTTAAACAAATTTACAAGAAAAAAACAAACAACCCCACCAAAAAGTGGGCAAAGGATATGAACAGACACTTCGCAAAAGAAGACATTTATGCAGCCAACAAGCATACAAAAAAAAAAAAAAAAAGCTTAACATCACTGACCATTAGAGAAATGCAAATCAAAACCACAATGAGATACCATCTCATGCCAGTCGGAATGGCAATTATTAAAAAGTCAATAAACAATAGATGCTGGTGAGGCTGTGGAGAAAAAGGAACGCTTTTACACTGTTGGTGGGAATATAAATTAGTTAAAAAATTGTGGAAGTCAGTGTGGCGATTCCTCAAGGATCTAGACCCAAAAATACCATTTAACCCAGCAATCCCATTACTGGGTATATACCTAAAGGAATAGAAATCATTTTACTATAAAGACACATGCACACATATGTTTATTGCAGCACTATTTACAATAGCAAAGACATGGAACCAACCCAAATGCCCATCAATGATAGACTTGATAAATAAAATGTGGTACATATACAACATGGAGTACTATGCAGCCATAAAAAAGAATGAGATCATGTCCTTTACAGGGACACAGATGAAGCTGGAAGACATCATCCTCAGTAAACTAACACAGGAACAGAAAACCAAACACTGCATGTTCTCACTCATAAGTGGGAGTTGAACACTGAGAATAACAAGGACACAGGGAGGGAAACAACACACACCAGGGCCAGTCGGGGGATGTGGGGGCAAGGGGAGGAAGAGCATTAGGACAAATAACTAATGCATGTGGGGCTTAAAACCTAGATGATGGGTTGATAGGTGCAGCAAACCACCATGGCACATGTATACCTATGTAACAACCCTACAAGTTCTGCACTTGTATCCTGGAACTTAAAATAATATAAAATAAATAAATAAAAAAGGAAATCTCATGATTGTAGGTTTTTACATATATTCTTCACATAAGTTTTTTAAAATCAAGGTGAAATTAATATAAAATTAACCACTTTAAAGTGTACAATTCAATGGCATCTAGTACATTCACAATATTGCACAACCACCACTTCTATCTAGTTCCAAAACATTTTTGTTGCTCCAAAATAAAACCCTATATTACTAAAGAGTTATTCTCCATTGCTCCCTTCCCACGTCTCTGGCAAACAATTCGCTTTCTGTGTCTGTGGATTTCCTTATTTGGATATCTCACAAACGAGATGTGACATTTTGTGTCTGTCTTCTCTCACTTAGCATAATTCAAGGTTCATTCATGTTGTAGCTTGTATCAGTACTTCATTCCTTTTGATGGCTGAATAATATACATTGTACATATATACCATGATGCTTATCCATTCATCCACTGATGAATATTTGGATTGTTTCTACCTTTGGCTACTACAAATAGTGGTGCTGTGTATATTCGTGTGTATGTATTTGAGCACCTGTTTTCAATTCTTTGTGGTAGATACTTAAAAATGAAATTACTGGATCATATAGCAATTCTATGTTTAACTATATGAGGAACCACTAAACTGTTTTCCACAGTGGCTGTACTATTTTACATTCCCACCAGCAATGTACAAGAGTTCCTATTTTTCCAAATCCTCATTAACACTTGTTAGTTTTTTTTGTTTTTATTACAGCCATCCTAGGGGGTGTAAAATAGTATCTCACTGTGATTTTAATTTGCATTCCCTAATGACTGATGATGTTGAACATCTTTTCATAAGCTAGACATCTGTACATCTTCTTTGAAAAATGTCTATTCAAGTCATTTATTCATTTTTAAATTGGGTTGTCTTTTTGTTGTTGACTTGTAGGAGTTTTTTTAATATATTCTGGATACTAGACCCTTATCAGATACATGATTTGCAAATATTATCTCCCATTTTGTGGGCTGTCTTTTCATTTTTTTCACAGTGTCCTTTGATGCACAAAATTAATTTTAATGAAGTTCAAAATATCTTATTTTTTGGTTACTGCTGTTCCTCATGCTTTTGGTGTCATAGCTAAGAATCTTTTGCCCAATCTAAGGTCATGAGGATTTTTCCTGTACTCTTTTTCTAAGAGTCTTACAGTTGGAGCTCTTATCTGTAGGTTAGGTTGTTGATTCATTTTGAGTTTTCTGTATGGTGTGAGGTAGGGTCCAACTTCATTCTTTTGCAGGTAGATATCCAGTTGTCTCAGTACCATTTGCTGAAGAGACTATTCTTTCCTAGACTTAGCACCCTTGTTGAAAAGCAATTGGCTATAGATGTATGGGGTTTATTTCTGGACTTTCAACTGTATTACATTGGTCTTTTATGTGTATTCCTATGCCAGTATCACAGTGTTTTGATTAATACAGCTTTATGACAAGTTTTGAAATTGGGACGTTTGACACTTCCAACTTTGTTCTTTTTCAATATCATTTTGGCTATTCAGGGCCCCTTGCAAGTCCATGTGAATTTGAGAATTTCCTTTTCCATTCCTGCCCAACAGGCTGTTGGAATTTTGCTAGGGATTGTGTTGTATTTGTAGACTCCTTTGGGTAGTACCAATATCTTAACAACATTAAACATTAATACAGTATATAGAAGAAGCATAACTGCTTTTTGTGAGCTGATATTGTATCCAGCAACTTTGCTGAATTCATGTTATTAGCTCAAGTTTGTTTGTTTGCTTTTTGTAGATTTTTTTTTCTGACCCTTTCACTTTCTCTTCTCCTGAGACTCTCAAGTGCACATTTACAAACTTGATGATGTTCCACAGATCTTGTAGGCTTGTTCATTTTTCCATATTCTTTTTTCTTTCTCTTCTTTAGACTGAATAATTCCAACTGTTTATCTTCGAGTTCACTATTTCTTCTGCTTCTGCCTACTCAAATCTGTTGAACTTCTCTGGTCAATTTTAAATTTTATCTATTGTACTTTTCAACTCCAGAATTTCTATTTGTTTCCTTTTTATAATTTCTGTCTCTGTTGATATACTCTATTTGCTCATAAATTGTTCTCCTGGTATCCTTTCATCCATGGTTTCCTTTAGCTCTTTGACCCTATTTAATACAGCTGATTTAAAGTCTTTGTTTGATAAGTCCAATGTCTCAGCTGCCTCAGGGATGGCTTCTGTCAATTTATTTTTTCCAGTGAATAGGCCAAACTTTCCTATTTCTGTGTATGCCTTGTCATTTTGTATCAAAAACTGTGCCTTCTGAATATTATAATGTGGTAAGTCTGGATATCAGATTCTGCCTCCTTCACAGGGCTTGCTGTTATTGCTTATTTTGGCCCTACTGTTGTCCCTTTAGTGACTTTTCCAAACAATTTTTGCAATGACTCTACTCCTTATTGTGTGTAGTCACTGAAGTCTCTCTTCTATTATCTCAGTGGTCAGCCAGTGATCTGACAGATTTCATTAAATGCTGAAATTGAGTAACCTCTTTCTTCATTAGGCACTCCTCTTGTAGCTTTAAGTTTTGATTAGATTCCAGAATTCTGAAAAAGATGATTTTGTCATTTTTTGCCAGCTTAATGGTTGCTTCAGGGCAAGGACTGATTCTTAGAGCTTCTTACTCTGCTTTTCTGTGATGCCATTTGATAGCAGGAAGTAGCTAACCACTCAGGGGGTTTCTTGGGCATCTGAGAGCCCTTGATGGAAAAGCAGACATTCAGACAGATGCACTGAGCTCTAGCTGAGTAGTCTTAGGCAGGAAACAGGAAATAGAAAGATCAGCTGGCTCCATGACTTGGGGAGGTAAAAAGAGGGAGATAAACCTCACCCAGGACTGCCTCAGTTGTGGGCTCTCCTGACAAACGGAATTATGGGCCCCTCATAAAATTCTTATAGTATTTTTATGGACAAGTCTAATTAGTCTTATAGGGATGTAAGGCCATGTAGTTAGTTTAAGAACTAGACCCAAAACCTAGTTCTCACTCTAAAATCCAGGCCTTTTCTATTATATTATGTTGTATTTGTTCTAAAGGATTTGATTATTACATCTGAATGTGGCATGAGTTATCCCACTGACGACCAGAATTGATTAGGCTTATATGACTGGCTAAGCCAGCTTCTTTCCCCTTATCTCTCTTTGTACTTCCCTTTAGGAATTTTCATGCTTGGCCAGAGATGACCTTTCCAGAGTGGAGAACTATTCAGAGACTTCGTTGCTTTCTAAATAGACTTATCTCTTCAGGTCCAAGATTACTTTACATGTTGTTTCAAAGGAGGCTTTCATGAATATGACTAATGCTAATTTATAACATGGAATAAGTACAGACTCAAAGGCCTCAGTTTCTGAGAAATAGTCTATTAAGATAACTTGTTCTCATGTTGACATAATGCCTCATCATATTTTATTCTACTGAGAAAGCTTTGACATTTTAAAAAGTTATTTAAAAAATTTTCTAAAAACGTAATTAATTCACAAAAGCCTCAAGAGAGGAACACAGACAAAATTAGCCCAGTACCATATGGCAAAACAACTGTAGACACCAAAAATGGTGTCTGTACAGCCCAGAAATGGATGGTTTCTGTACCTCAAAACCTAGGGCTTTTATCAGATCAATATGATAAAAGAAAGCCCTACTTTCTATGTACTCGACTATAAATTTAGAACATATGAACAAGAAAGCACTGTTGGCCTGCATTACGGGGATGAATGTAATGAATATTCTCTGTGGGGTTCACATGCCTAAATAAATGTTTCTTTATTTTGAATATCTGCTGGTTTCCAAGAGATTTTCTAAGGCAGAAACCACTGAAGGAATTCAGTGACAAGTTATCATCCCAACTATAGCTGAGCTAAGGAAAAAAGATGAACTAATCCATATCATTTAGCAACAGAATGTGACTTTCTTATCCGCAGCACCCAGAAAATGGTACAGCCAAGGCAGCAACAGAGCAGGAAGACCACTCCACCCTTCTAAAAGCATTCCAGTAAAGTATACTAATACCTGCAATTTACTTTGAAATGCATAAAAAATGATAGGTGCATAAAGAGATAGGTAGATGAACAGATGTGATAAAATAAGACAGTAAAATGTTTATGATGAAATCAAGTTGGTGGGCATATGAGTGTTTGTTGTAAAATTCTTCCATTTTGTATATCTGGAAATTTTTCTAATAAAATGGGGAAAAACATAAAAAGGAAAAGCATTCTAATAGGGCATACAAAAAAGATAAACTTGGGAAGGCAGTTTCTTTTTGTTTTTTTTTCAAGACAGGGTCTCATTCTGTCGCCTAGGCTGGATGGAGTGCGGTGGTGTGATCACAGCCCACTGCAGTCTCAACCTCCCAGGCTCAAGCAATCTTCCCATTTCAGCCTCCTGTAGCTGGGACACAGGCACATGCCACCATGCCGGGCTAATTTTTGTATTTCTTTGTAGAGACAGGGTTTCACCATTTACCACGCTGGTGTCGAACTCCTGAACTGAAGCAATCTGCCAGCTCTGGCCTCCCAAAGTGCTGGGATTACAGCCATGAGCCAACACGCCTGGCCTAGTAGTTTCTTTAAGGATTTAAGAACTCCTCCAGTCTTTAATCACTGTGTCTATCTCTTCAATGTAAATTAGGCTTATGGCAGACAAATGAATTCCTTCTAGGAAAGTTTCTGTGAGATCATCAATAATTGTAATTATATATCTAGGCTTATAAAGAAAATGTAGGGGCTGGGTGCAGTGGCTCATGCCTATCATCCCAGCACTCTAGGAGGCTAAGGTGGGAAGACTGCTTGAGCCCAGGAGTTTAAGATGAGCCTGGATAACATGGCAAAACCTCATCTCTACAAAAATTACAAAAATTAGCTGGGTGTGGTGGCATGTGGCTGTAGTCCGAGCCTGAGGTGGGAGGATAGCTTGAGTCCAAGAGGTTGAGGCTGCAGTGAGCTGTGATTATGGTACTGCACTCTGGGTGGGTGGGTGGCGGGCACCCACGGGAAAAAAAACAAAAACAAAAAAAATCCTTACCTTTCTTCAACTAAGGCAAAGTGTAAACCTTTAATAAACAAAGAAAAACACATTAAGGCTAACAGATCTGTCCAGTCAAATGCAAATATAAACAGCTGCAGCTAGGGAAAAGAGGGGAAGGGGAAGTGGGGGCTCTAACTGGATCTTGACTAATGCATATTTATTCATGGAAAACAACCATGAATCATTTAAAGAGAAGTCAGTCACAGGACTGGCAGAAGAAAGTGTAACACAGCCAAAGTCTGGTGCAAATAAAAGCAGAGTTGTATTTCCTCACATTCTTCTATAATGACTATAAAGTCTAGCCTCGAAGTACCTCTGTTCCTTTGAGCAAAAGATAATTTGGGGCTTATTTTTGGGGTTCATTCCATGCATGCTATTCTCTACATAAAACAGGGAAAACACATGTGCTTCATACAAAACCTGGTATCACATTAGCACCAAACAAAAGGCAAAACACACACTTATTTTTTCTTAATACTTAAGGCCATAGTAGGAGCTCATTTTTCTACTGAGTTTCTAGAAGAAACTCATTCTTCCATTTACAAGAGTCAAGTCTGTTTATTCTTGGTGCTCAGGAATAGGACTAGAGTGGGCAGCTATTCCTATCCCAGGAAATAAGTTTTTGAAGAACGGAAAGCAATTTGAATCAGGTCCTAAAACACACTCTAAAGATAATGGTCTGAAAAATGTTCACTCTAGATACATTCTGTAAAGAAAATTAGAATAAATAAAGCAGAATCGCTTTTTTGGGTGAGCAGGGAAGCATATAGCAGGGAGGGTAAACTGTGGACTTGGAGTCAGGCTGCCTCAGTTTGCATCGTATCTCTGTGCAAGCTTAGGCTAGCTGCTTATGTTATTGATATTTCAGTTTCCTCATGTTTAAAATAGGGTTAATGATACCATGGAGATAAAATGAGTTAATACATGTGATGTGCTTAGGACAGTGTCTGGCTGTTAACTGTGTTAGCTGTTATCACCATCCATATCATCAAGCCAACAGAGACATCCAGTGTAATCATAATCACCCCATCCCACACACACTTATTTAAAACAAAACTAAACAAAAAGGATACCAAAACATATTGGCCCTTTTTGAGCCATCTTCCCTTTGATGCTGCTTCTTCATCTCCATTCTTCCTTTTACCACCCAAAGTTTGGAAAGAACCATGTTTGCAATTTTCACTTTCATAGCAATAATTTATAGCCTGGCTTCCACCCAAAATATTCTGCTCTAATTGTTTTAGTTAAAGTCACTAAAGACTTTCTGTTAAATCAAATTATTTATTTTCAGTCTTTATGCTTCTTAATCACTTTTTAGTATTTCACACTGTTTACCCATCCCCACTTTTTGAAATAGCCTCCTTTCTTGGGCTTAACGTGACGACACTTTCTTCCAGTTCTTTTCTTGTCTTCTCCTCCTGATATATCTTTAATGACTCCTGCTTTCTGCCCATCTTTAAAATACTGCCAATCCTAGGTTCTATATTTTATTGTTTTTTTCTTATCAATCTCAAAGGAAGACACTAGTGTCTTTCACACAATCTAAGTGGTGATGGTGCCCAAGTTTATTCTATTCTAGACCTCATTCCTGTACAGCATTTCCAACAACTTAGAAGAGTTATCTGCTTGGATATCCAATAGAAATCTCAAACTTAAAATGTTTAAAGCTAAATTTATCTCGCTTACCTTAATCTATTCGTTCTTTTCCATTTGTTACCACAGTTAATGAAATATCACCATCTGTCTGGTCTTCCAAGATAGAAACTTGGGACTTACCCATAATTTCTTCCTCCTTAATCATTACAACTAATTTGTCACAGGTCTTATCAATTATTCTTGAGGAATATCTCTTAGATATAATCCCTTTCCTCTTTTCCCATTCCACTGTTGTTTATAGTGCTGTAATCTTGGAGGGGTTGCTGGTTCACTCTAAGCCTGTTTTGTCATCTGTAAAATGAGGATAATAAGAGCATCTACCTGATAAGGTTAAACGAGGAAATGTATGTTAAGTCCTTAATCAGAACCTAGGAAGTTCTCAATGAATGATAGCCATATAATTTAGGTTCTCAAGATGTTTTGCTTTTATTTTAATGGATAATCTTGCATCTCTCACATTTCTTTTGTATAAAGCCACCAAATATTTGTATCTGACATGATGATGTCCATCCCTACACTGCTACCCTTGCATCTCATTAACTCACCCCACCATAATCATCCAACCTAGTGTTACTACAGTTCTTGTCAGAGGGTATGTACATTCCAGTTCTTGTCAGAGGGTATGTACATTCCATAATGTTTAGTAAACGGATTTGTGAATAAAGCTAATATGATTTCCACTCTCAACTGCAGAGAAATGTGTATAGACTTGGTTTTGGTAGAACAGGAAGGCTAGGGGAAGACAGTTAAGGATGCAAACCCAGCCTTTGAAAATCACTGCTCTGTACTATATAATAAAAGAAAATGAAATCATTTGTTTGCCATCTTTCAGGAACACATTCCCTGTTTAAAGGCTACTGTCATAAACAAGAAGACTATTAAATAACGAGAGGGAAGAAAAACCATTTTCCAAGCTCTGTGCATGTCACAGGTAAGACTTGGATACTAGCCAAGGCACTTATAATCGGTGAATAGTATTTCCTATAGGAAGCTGGGGGAAGGGGGAAAATGCCTCAGAGTTAGTATTTAGAGAGGACAGTATGAATTTTTTTTTTTAAGACTCACTTTCATTTAGAAAAGTTATTGAGAAGGCTGGATCCACATCCATCCATTTAGTAACTAAAGTCTTGCTAATGTTACATGTTAAGTTTATTGTTATGTAAACAATGACTCATTTAACTCTTCATTATTGTAAGTACAATATGCATTGTAGCTTATGGAGAACCTAATTCTAACTACCAAGACGGTTACCTTCTAATGAGACACTGGTTTATGTTCTGGTCTACTCCATCTATAACATTCTTCTTAAAAATTTGACATGAATTTCCACTTCTGGCCAAGATGGAGTAAGCGGCACTAGATTAACCCTCCCACCTAAAGCAATAAACAAACCTTTACACAAAATATATGAAACAATAGGTTTTAAGACAGCAGACATAAGGCAATGAAAAACAGTGGTTCCTCAGATGGAAAACAAATGAGGCAAATCCTGTGACTGCCCACTTATTGCCTTGAAAGCATTTCCAGGCCACAATGTAAGAAGGGAGACTTCCAGTTTCCAGTTTCACATGTAAGGAGCTTGGAAGTCACCACTTCATCCTAACAACAAGTAAAAACCTGAACAGACTAAAAATTCAACAATTCCAGGATCCATAAGAGGTGAGGGCACAGGGCAAATCACTGAGTACAGTCAGGGAGTCACAGCTTACCAGAGTGGAAAATGCAGTGGGAACCAGAGCCAGGGTAGGAAAACCTGACTTGCTACTGACAAATTGCTGGAGGCTCCATGTGGACAAGTCTGAGAGTTAACAACTCCAGGGGCACTCAGAGATGGGGGCCGCCACCATTTTGTGTGACTTACCTCTAGGAGCCCAACCAGGTTCTCACAGTAAATACTGAAGAAAAATCCCCTCAAGCTTCTAGCAGAAGAAGGGGAAAAGTAACCATTTTGAAACATGCCAAAGCACAATGCTCTTAACAAGGCCTGCCCTCAGGGGAACCTAGTTCACCAGAGCCCAACCTGCTGGAGTATTATCAGTGCCTAACTGAAGGGAAGCATTCCTTGTGGGAGAAGGGAAATACCCAACTGTCTCCCACTCTAGTCCTCCTCTCCCACTGAAGGGGGGGAAGGAAAACAATACCTGAGGAACACTTATGAAGCTTACAGTTCAGAGGCACAAGCTCACTAAAAAACTGAGACCTACTTACTGAACTACAGAACGCTTCCTCATCCCCACAGCTCACTACCACATGATTAATAATAAAGGCCCACTTACAGCAGTTCCTTTAAAACAGTAGATCATATCCAGCTATCAAGAAAAAAGCACAAGGAATACTAAAAGGCAAAGAACACAATGTGAAGAGACAGGGTGAGCATCAGAACCAGACATGGCAGAGATGTAACACACAGACAGGGAATTTAAAACAACTATGATTAACACGTTAAAGGCGCTAATGGATAAAGTAGACAGCATGCAACAATAGTGGGTAATGTAAGCAAAGAGATGGAAATCCTAAGGAAGAACCAAAAAGAAATGCTAGAGATTAAAAAACACTGCAAAAGAGGTGAAGAATGCCTTTAATGGGACTATTAATGGACTGTATGTGGTCTATTAATAGATAAAAATCAGAGTAAAGAATCTCTGATTTTGAGGATGTATCAACAGAAACTTTCAAAACTGAAAAACGAAGAGAACGAAGACTGAAAAAAACCCAGAATAAAATATCCAATGACTGTGGAACAATTACAAAAGGTGTAAATATGCATAATGGGGAATACCAGAAGGAGAAAAAAGAGAAAAAGGAACAGAATAAATATTTGAAACAATAATGACTGAGAATTTTCCCCAAATTAATATCAGACAGCAAACCACAAGATGGTCGGAGAACATCAACCATAATAAATGCCCCCTAAGCTATACTTAGGCGTATCATTTTGAAACTACGATAAAGAACAAATCATGAAAGAAGCCAGATTTTTAAAATGCCTCATCTATAGAGGAACAAAGATAAGAATTACATGTGACTTCTCAGAAACCAAGCAAGCAAGAAGAGAGGGGAGTAAGATACTTAAAATGTTGAGAGAAAACCCCACCAACCTAGAATTCTGTACCCTGAGAAATTATCCTTCAGAAGTAAAGGAGAAATAAAGACTTTCCTGGACAAATAAAAATTGAGGAAATTTGTTGCCAGACTTGCCTTGCAAGAAATGTTAAGAAAAGTTCTTTAGAGTGGGAAAATAATATAGGTCAGAAACTAAAATCTACATAAAGGAAGGAAAAGCACTAAAGAAGGAATAAGTGAAGGTAAGATACAAACTTTTATTTTTTTTTTATTCTGAATTGATCTAACAGATAACAATTAGGAACAGGGAGGGGTATTACATAATGATAAAGGGGTAAATTCTCCAAAAACATATGAAGATCCTTATAGATCTCATATATAGATTTCAACATCCTTTTAACAGAAATGGACAGATCCAACAGGCAGAAAAATCAGTAAGGACACAGTTGAACTCAACGATACCATCAAATACCTGAATATAACTGACATCCATAGATGACTTTACCCAACAAGGGCAGAATGCACATTCTTTTCAAGTTCACACGGAGTATTTACCAAACCAGACCACATTCTGAACCATAAAACAGATCTTAATGAATTTAAAATAGAAAGCATATAATATCTGCTCTCAGATCACAATGGAATTATTAGAAACCAATAACAGAAAGATAGCTGGAAAATTCCAAAATACACAGAGATTAAACAATGCAAAGAGAGAGAACCCAGTCAGAATCTGACACATTCCCTTACTTGAGGAGGTGGAGCTGAGAATCCCAGGAGACCAAGGCAGTGAGAATTCAAGGGACAGAGTTCTGGGAAGAAGAAAGCTGTGCAGAAATAATTCTGGAGATCTGTGGAAATTAACCCTTGAGAAATCAATGGAGTACTCACTGGCATGTGTATGTGAGGAAACTATCCAAGGCTGAGAAAAGATCTATCCAAGATTAGAAAAAAAAGTATCTGCTTCTTACATAGGGCCAGAAATAGTACCTGTTCCTACCAGCCAGAATGGAAAAATTTACAGGACATTCGGCCAGGCACAGTGGCTCACGCCTGTAATCCCAGCACTTTGGGGAGCCGAGGCAGGCAGATCACCTGAGGTCAGGAGATCGAGACCCAGCCTGGCCAACATGGTGAAACCCCGTCTCTACTAAAAATACAAAAACTTAGCCAGGCATGGTGGTGCTCACCTGTAGTCCCAGCTACTCAGGAGGCTGAGGCAGGAGAATTGCTGAGACTAGGAGATGGAGACTGCAGTGAGCTGAGATCATGCCACTGCACTCTAGCTTGGGTGACAGAGACTCCTCAAAAAAAAAAAAAATATATACAGGACATTCAGTAGAATACTCAGAAGGGTCTTATCTCAGAAGTACCAAACAATTAGACCTGGAATACATGCTGCTGTGGTCCTGCTTAACAAATGATTAAGGCAAGACAGAAAACTGATCATATTGTCTGCAAATAACATTTCAGAAAAAAGCTTAAGAATATGTATAAGAATACAAAAATTTCTAACACCCAACAAGCTAAAATTCACAACATCAGATAACCAAAAAGAGATTATCAGGTATGCAAAGAAGCAAGAAAATATGATTCATATTTAGGAGAAACAAAATCAATCAATTGAAACTGACAAATAAGACAGATGTTAGAATTAGTAGAGAAATATCTTAAAACAGATTATTACTGTATTAAATATGCTCAAAAGGTATGAACAAGGAAGCTATAAGACTCAAATTGAACTTCTAGATATAAAATTAGAACATCTGAAATGAGGGCGGGTGCAGTGACTCACACCTGTAATTCCAACACTTTGGGATGCTGAGGTAGGCAGATCACCTGAGGTCAGGAGTTTGAGACCAGCCTGGCCAACATAGCAAAACCCTGTCTCTACTAAAAATAGAAAAATTAGCCAAGTGTGGTGGCGGCTGGGTGTAATGCAGCTACTCGGGAGGCTGAAGCAAGAGAATCATTTGAACCCGGGAGGCAGAGGTTGCAGTGGGCCAAGATTGCGCCACTGTACTCCAGGCTGGGTGTATAACAAAGAGTACAGAGAGAGACTCCATCTCAAAACTAACAAACAAACAAACACACACACACCCAGCTGAAGTGAAAAATACACTAGATAGAATTAGTGACACATTTGACGTTACAGAGGAAAAGATGAATGACCTTCAAGACAAAGGAATAGAAACTATACAAAATTAAAAACACAGAGGGACCCTCCAAAATAAAAATGCATCAGTGAACTGTGAGATAACTCCAAGTGGACAAATATAGTTGTAATTGCAGTCTCTGAAGGTGGGGGAAAGAAGATACATTTAAAGAAACTATGGCTACAAAATTTCCAAATTTGAAGAAAACTATAAGCCCACTGATCCAAGAAGTTCAATAAACCTCAAGTTTAAGAAACATGAATAAAATGACACTAAGGCACATCAAACTGATCAAAACAGTGATAAAGAGAAAATCTTAAAAGCAGCTAGAGAAGAAATGACATTAAGTACAGAGGAACAAAGGAAAGAATGACAGCAGATTCCCTGTCACAAATAATGCAAGTGAGAAGGCAGTGGATCTGTAGTTTTAAATTATGGAAAGGAAAAAAAATCTGTCAACTTAGAATTCTTTACCCAGTGAAAACATCTTTCAAATATTTCAAAAATCATATTAAAATAAAGACCTTTACAGACATATAGAGGCTGAATAAATTAATCACTAGCAGATCCACAATGCAAGAAATGTTAAAGGAAGTCCTTCAGGCAGAAGGAAAGACAGCAGATGCAAATATGGATTAACACAAAGAAATGAAGAGCACCAGAAATGGTAACGCATGGATAAATACATAAGATTTTTATCTTATTGGTTAAAACTCTTTAAAAGATAACTAACTGCTGTATTGTGGGGTATATAACATTTATATAAGTAAAATGTCTGACAACAACAACATAGAAGTTGGGAGGGGACAAATGGAAATATACATGGTGCAGAAATAATTAATATAACAGGTCTGAGGCTGCTCCCCTCAGAAAGCTTGCTTACAAGGTTGACTCTTGGCAGGAGTCTGGGAACTTGGATTTCAGGAGGGTTCTTACCATTCCCAGAACTGGTAAGAACGGCTCATTGTACCTAAACAGTTTGTATAAACAATGTGGTTTACCTGCTCCCCTTCTGGCTGCCTGGAATTTTGGTATGTGTTAGGCAAGGTGGGGGTCTGTATGACCACACGCCAATAAAAATCTTGGGTCATGAATCACTAATGCGTTTTCCCGGTATACAATATTTCACACATGTTGTCACAACTAATTGCTGGAGGAATTGAGTGTATGTTGTGTGACTTAACTGGGGAGGGTACTTGGAAGCTTGTGTCTAATTTCCTCCAGACTTGCACCATGTGGCTTTTCCCTTTGCTGATTTTCCTTTGTATCCTTTCATTATAATAAAGCATAGCTGTGGGAATGACTATATGTTGAGTCCTGTGAGTCTTCCCAGGGAATCCGTGAACTGAGGGGCACTCCTGACATAACTATTGTAATGCTCTTATACTATACATGAAATGGTGTAATATCACTTAAGGGTACACTGTAATAAGTTAAACCTACATAGTATACATGATACAGTGAACAAACAATAACAAAGAGTACAGCTAATTAACTAAGGAGATAAAAATATACAAATAATCAAAATGTGATAGCAAAATAGAGAAAAGCAGGATGAGAACAAGGAATAGATAGGATAAATGAAAAACAAATAGCAAGAAGATAAATTTAAACCTCCCCTAATTAAAAAAAAGTAAATGATCTAAATATTTCAATTAGAAGCCAAAGACAGATTGGATAAAAAAGCAAGACCCATCACTATGATGCTAATAAGAAGCTCACTGTAAATATAAATAAACAAATAGGCTAAAATTAAAGGTATGGACAAAGATAACTAATATATGCTAACACAAATAATAGAAAGGTGGAGTGGTTTTTATTATTAGACAAAGTGATTTCAGAGCAAAGAGTATCATCAAGGATTAAAAAAAGGTCATTCCCTAATGATCACTGGGTCAGTGCATCAAGAATACATAACAGTCCTAAATACACGCTCTAATAACAAAGCTCCAAACACAAAGAGCAAAAACTACAAGGAATAATACAGAAATCCACAAAATCCATTTTTGCAGCTAAAGATTTCAATGTCTCTCTTCTAATAATTAAGCGAACAAGTAGAAAATCAGCAAGGATATAGAAGACTTGAAAAAAACAATTTGACCTATTTGATATTTATAGAAGTGTCTACTGTAAAATAGCAAATTCTTTTCAATTGCATATGAAACATTTATGAAGACAGACTATATTTTGGGCCGTAAAAAATTCTGTATAAATTTAAAAGAAATCATGTCATACAAAGCATGTTCTTTGATAACAGTGAAATTACACTTGGAATCGATAGCAGAAATATATCTGGAAGTTCCCCAGAAATAAATACATGTAAATCAAAGAAAAAGTCAAAAGACAAATTTGAAAGTATTTTGAATGGAACGCAAATGAAATGCTTTAAAAAAAAGTAAAGAGGAGGTAATACTTTCCCATTACCATGATACTAAAACCAGACAAAGACATCAAAAAACCCTAGAAACCAGTATCTCTCATGAACATAAATACAGAACAGTAAATACAAAATTGCAGCAAATTGAATCCATCAATATATTAAAAAGTCATGACCAAGTAGCTTTTCTCTTAGGAATGCGAAGTTAGATTCAAATATCAATCAATGTGATTTGCAATGTTTAACTAAAAAAGAAAAATATAACTTCTATTGATGTTGAGGAATTCTGACAAAATCCAATATAAATTCCTGATTGAAAAAAAAGTATCAACAAACTAACAACAGCAAAGAACTTCCTTAATCTGATATGGAACATCTATGGAGAACATATTGACATAGCTAATGGTGAAAGACTGAATGCTTTCCACCTAAGACCAAGAAAAAGCAAGAATTTCCGCTCTCTTTGTTTCTACTCAACATTGTACTAGTTCTAGTCAGAGTAATAAGGCAAGAAAAAGAAAAAGGAAGAACTAAGATTATCTTTATTTACAGACAACATGATCATCTATGCAGAAAATCTTACTGAATCTATTAAAAAAAGTCATTAGAACTCATAAGTGAGTTTAGCAAGGTTTTAGGATACAAGAGCAACATGGTAAAAATCAATTGTACTTCTATATATTGGCAATGAACAATTAGAAATTAAGCTAAAAGCAATATCATTTACAATAGCATAAGAAATATGAAATACTGAAGGATAAGTATAAAAGATTTTCAACATTTATACATTGAAAGCTAGAAAATACAGCTGATAGAAATTAAGGAAGGTCTACATGACTGCAGAGATATACTATATAGGTTGGAAGATTCAATACTGATAAGTCAATTTTCTCCCAAATTATCTATCTTCCCCCCTCAAATTGATCTGTCTGTACGTCTGTCCATCCATCCATCCATCCATCCAATGCAATCTCCATAAAAACTCTAGCAGTTTTTTTTTTTGTAGAAATTTATAAGGCTTCACACGGAAATGCAAAGAATCTAGAATAGCTGAAATAACTCTAAAAAAGAAGACTGGAGTGTTGACATGATTTCAAGATTTACTATAAAGCTACAGTAATAAAGTATGTTATTAGTATCAATACAGAATATTATTAGATAAGTGAAACAGAAGTCCAGAAATAGAACTATATATCTATGGATGAATAATTTTTAACAAAGGTACAAAAGGAATCCAGTAGATGAATAGTCTTTACAACAAATGGTGCGGGAACAACTAGGTATCCGTATCTTCCCCTCCAAAAAGAAGAAACCGAAAAGAAAAAGAATGTTGACACATATCTTGCATCATATACAAAAATTTACTCAAAATCAATCAGATACCTAAATGTAAAACATAAAACTACAAAATTTCTAGGAGAAAATATTTGTGTCCTTTCATTTGTCAGAGAAATCTTAAACACGACACTAAAAGGCCAGTCCTCTAAGACATAAATTCACAAGTTGGACATCTAAAAACTTCTGTCTTCAAAAGACACTGTTAAGAGAATGAAAAGAGAAGTCATAAACGAGGAAAAAATATTTGTAAATCAAGTATCTGTTAAAGGACGTGCATCCAAACTAGATAAAAAAAGTTTCACAACTTAAAGAGGATGTTCAGATAGCAAATAGGCGCACAGGAAGATTTTCAATATCAGTTACTAGTAAATCCAAATTAAAGGCGCAGTGAGACATCACTACATAGTAGTAGAATATCAAAAGTTTAAAAGATTGACCACGCTGTGTACCAACAAGAATGGGGAGGAACTGAAACTCTCATACATGGATAGTGAGAACGAAAATGATACAACCACTTTGAATATCATTTTGCAGTTTCTTAAAAAGTTAAACATATACCTGTCAGATGATCTAGCCACCTACTCTTAAATATTTGATAGAATTCAATGGTGAAACCACTTGATCATGAAGTTTTATTTGGTGGATGGTTTCTGATAGCAGGTTCAATTTCTCAAAGGAAATAGAGACCCTGAGATATTTTATTTCACCTTGTGTTAGTTTTGGTAAGTTGTGCTTTTCAAGAAATTTGTTATTTTCATCTAAGTTGTTGCAGTTACTGGCATATATAATATCTCTTTATATTTTCTTATTATCCTTTCTATGTCTGTAGAATGTGTAGTGATATCTCCTCTTTCATTCCTGATATTAGTAATTTGTGTTTTCTCCCATTTTTCTTAAGCAATATTAAGATTCATAAATTTTATTTATGGGGTTCATAAATTTTATTTTTTCAAATAACGAATTCTGGCTTTGTTCATTATTGCTAATGTTTGTCTATTTCTTACTCCACTGATTTCTGCTCTTATCTTTATTATAATATTTCCTTCCTTTTTACTACATTGGGTGTATTAATTTCTTAGGGCTGCCATAACAAGTTACCACTAACTTTGTGGCTTAAAACAACCAAATTTTATTTTCTCACAGTTCTGGAGGCTAGAAGTCCAAAATCAAGGTGTCCCTAGGGCCATGCTCCCTCTGAGGCTCAAGAAAGTTTTTCCCTCTTCCTAGTTTTCGGTAGCTCCTATAAATCCATGGTGTTCTTTGGCTTATACAGCTCTATCACTCCAACTTCTGCCTCCAAATTCACATGGCCCCCTTCCTTGTGTACTTCTGTGTGACTTCTCTTCTTTTTAAAAAATACCGTCATTGGATTTAGGGCTCACCCTAATTTAGCGTGATCTCATTTTAATTTAATTACACCTGCAAGGTCTTAGTTCCAAAAAGGTCACGTTCTTAGATTCTGGGTGGACCTGAATTTTTGGGATACATTATTCAATTACACTGGGTTTAACAGATACATTTTAGAACCTCTGGATTCTGTTATGTTCCTCTCAAGTATGCTGATTTTTGTTCAAGTATGCTGATTTTTGTTCAAGTTAACTTAGCCGGATTCAAATTCTCTTCGGTTATAATAAGCAGCTGAAAAGTTCTTTCAGCTTCTGGGTGTTTCTTTATTTGCAGAGCTTATTAGGATTTCTTCTATACATATATGGTTCAGTAGTCAGCCAAGGATCTGGGGCAAGGCTTACACACACATTTTGGGACCTACCGCCTCTGCAGCTCCCTTTCTTTTAGAAATTCCTTGCTAACTTTCCAGTATTCTGCCAGCTTTGGGATTCTGTCCTTTGATACTTCAAGTAAGTAAAGCTGTGGCTTTCTGCCACCTGAAGCCATCCACAGATTGGAAAGAGTCCTTAAGCAAAATGCTACAAACTTGAAAATACAAGTTTGTCCTTATATTCCAAATATAAGTTTTGGTCCCTATATTTCAAATGTAAACTCACTTCCCACTTCCATCTGCTTTCTGCCACTCTCCAGTGCCTTCAAATAGTTATTTTTTGTATTTTGTTCATAATTCTTAATTGTTATCCATGGAAGGCTTAGTCCAAAAAGGCAATTCTTCCACTAACAAAAGCTGGAATTCAGACATGTTTTTATTATGGCTTTAAAATGCTTTAGCAAAGTGCGCATTCATTTGTCAGGCCAGAGGTGCCAGATGATGATTTTACCTCATTAACTCTGAGAGGAATATTTTTAGCTTAAAAATTCTCAGCAAGTAGTTCTTACAGTACAGCCAGTATAGCTACCTATTTATAGGTAGGTGTTAGCCAAAGTAAAAAAGACCTACTGAAGTTCCAGAAGCATTCAGCAGAGCAACCTGTCCCTATAGATCAGTATTACATAAAATCTACCTAGCAATTTTTCTAACCCTATCAGATTTCTGCTAATAAACAGAATCAGACAAAGAAGTAACAGATGTATTTAAACAAGTCATTTTTAGTGGAAAGAAAAAAGGGAGAAAGCAAGAACAAAAGTGACTAAGCTAGGAGACAGATATTTTCATCATATCTTAGTAATTAATTACTACAAAGGATGGTGGGAAGGACTCTTAAAAAAGCAACTCTTTTAAAAAGAGGAGGGAAAGGATCAACCTTCACTATTAGCAGACATCCTCAATAATTAAGAAGATATGATATTTACTTGGCAGCCTACAGTCTATTCTATATAGAGAGTAGGTCAATACCTAAACTGAATTAAAAAAAAACTAGGTTTTACTTTTTTACCCAACAATTAAAAAACATATCTGGGGTTTAGTTTTAACTATTTAGACTGAAAAGTACATTTCATCCTGAGATTTGGCAAATCTGTGAAATTCGAGAGTGTAACAGAATCGTGGAGAGGGTAAGAGAGAAATGAACTAAGTTAGATCTGGATTCTAGTTCATGGTTTATTATTCTATTACCCTGGGCAAGTGGAATTAACTGCTTTTGGAGGCAGTTTCATTAAATGTGAAACAAAGGACTTGGATGAAATCTTTAAGATTCTTTCTTAGTGCTAAAAAAAGCTTTACGTGAATCAGATTTTAAACATATGAGAATTGAGTGATACTGACTATGAACTAACCATGACTCAAATGTTATTTCCCTTGTTCCTTCACAGAATCCCTTTGCCACTTCATTTCTCCCCACTTCCCCATAATCTTTCGTAAAAAACAGGGTCAATGAAGTCAGGCATGTCTCTGAAAAGAACTCTCTAGAGCTGATGATTCTCAATCTAAGACCTTTCTAGAATTTGATCTAAAACTTTTATCTCACTCATAAGACATAGGGGAATAAAAGTTAAAAATGGGTGGGGGGGACTCCTTGGGAACAATCAGTTTATTTTTGAAAACACTATGTTCCTTGTTGAGGTGTCCTTTCTGTACAGTGCTCACCAGTGAGGATTGCTGCACCTAGTCTAAGACTTTCAGTCCTTTGAAAACATTATGTGATATGACAGGTGCTATATAAAAGCATGGGGTTTCAGGAGTTTAGTATTTCCTAGCAAGGCTTAGAGCTTTTTCCTTTTACTAGATCAGCTACACTCTCTATATATCTTAATTTACCTCTCCTTTGGGTCACAATCCTCTGTTTCTAATTTATAGCCCCTAAGATCATTTAACCACAGGTATTATATCAGGGTAGGTTATATGCTCAGACATAACAACTCTGTGACCTTTTGCAAATTACTTAACTCCTCTCTCCATCTTGATTTCTTACTCTGTAAAAGGGGATACATATACCTCATGGGGCTGTCATGATAATGTAGTTATTAGCATGAAACCTGGTACATAGTAAATGCTCAGTAAATGCTAGTGATGGTCATGCTTTCATCCTGTCTTCCCATTCTTGATGACGAACTCTGCTCAAGTCTTTTCACTTTACACATTTCTCAATCACTTTCAGGAGTCTTGGCAGCATCATGGACTTCCCCTCACCTTCACGTTTCAGTGCCATCTGTTGCCTACTCCTGATGTTTGTTCTTCCATAGGGGGAGAGGCTAATTAAAGCACAAAGCTACCCTCTTAAATTTTTAAGTGAATAGTACAGCATGGCTAACTATAAGCACAATGTTGTACAGCAGACCTCTAGAACTTTTTCATCTTTCATGATTGATACTTTATACCCATTGAACAGGAACTCCCCATTTCCTCTTTCCCCCAGCTCCTGGCAACCACTATTCTACTTTCTATTCTGATGGTTACTTTAGATGCCTCATGTAAGTGGAATCATGTCATATTTGTCCTTTTGTGACTGGCTTACTTCATTTAGCAGAATGTTCTCAAGTTTCATTCATATTGTAGCATATTACAGGATCTCTTTTCCATTGATATATAGACCACATTTTCTTGATCCATTCATCCTTTAACATTTAGGTAGTTTCTGTCTCTTGGCAATTGTGAATAATGCTGCAATAAACATAGGAGTGAAAATATCTCTGAGACCCTGATTTCAGTTCTTTTGGAAAAATACCCAGAAGTGGGATTGCTGGATCATATGGCAGTTCTATTTTAAATATCTGATGAACCTCCATACTGTTTTCCATAGCAACTGCACCATTTTACATTCCCACCAACAGTGTATGGGGTTCCAATTTCTCTACATCCTCACCAACACTTGTTATTCTTTCTTTTTTTTTTAAATAATGGCCATGTTAACAGGTGTGAGGTACTATCTCATTATGGTTTTGATTTGCATTTCCCTGACAATAAGTGATATTGAGCATTTTTTCATATACCTATTGGCTATTTGTATGTCTTCTTTGAAGAAATGTCTATGTAAGTCCTTTGTCCATTTTTAAACATTGTTTTGTTGCTACTGAGTTGTAGGAGTTTCTTATATATTCTGGATATTAACTCCTATCAGATACATGGTTTGAAAATATTTTCTCCTATTCCATAGATTGCCTTGTTACTCTGTTGCTTCTCCTTATCCTTCTCCTTAAGACAGGTCCTCATTCTGTCAGCCATGCTGGAGTGTGGTGACACAATCATAGCTCACTGAAGCTGCAGCCTTGGACTCAAGTGATCCTCCTGAGTAGTTGGGACTACAGGCGTGTACCACCGTGCATGGCTAATTTTTAAAGTTTTTGTAAAGACAGGTCTCACTATGTTGCCCAGGCTGGTCTCGAATTCCTAGCCTCAAGTGATCCTCCTGCCTCAGCCTCCCAAAATGATGGGAATACAGGCACGATCCACTGTACCCGGCCTGTTACCTCTTTTTAAGTACTAAAAATACTGATGCCAAATACTGATGACTCATCTGGCATAGAAATAATTTTAGTCTTTGTTTTTTTTTTTGCTGAATTAATAAAATTCATTAAGCATTGTGTTGGCATGTTCTTATACATTATCTTACTATCTCTGTTCCTTTAGTTCTTTTCCATTACATGTTCCATTTCATTGTCCATCTGGCAGTGTCTATTCTTTAAATTTTTTTTTTTTAGCTTTTCTTAAGTATCAATGAGTTAATTTTAAAGGTAATAAACTGTAACTTGTTTTCTTCAAAACTGCTTTTAAATGTTGCTAATTTCTATTCCTGCACACTAACTGAACAAGGATGCTGGCAATGATAACTTAAGACAGAGAAATGACATGATTCTGAGCTGCATTTTAGAAAGATTACTTTGGCAGCCAGGCATTATACTGATTAGATGACAGAAAGACCAGAGAAGCAGAAAAGATAACTGATGGGTCTTCGGCTTAATACCGGGGTGACGAAATAATCTGTACAACAAACCCCCGTGACACAAGTTTACTTATGTAATGAACCTTCACACGCACCCCGGAACCTAAAATAAAAGTTAAAAAAAAAAAAAAAGAAGAAGATGGAAAGACCAGAGGAGGGAGGCAAGCTAATTAGCAATATTGAGAATGGAGAATATGGAAAGAATGTGAGAAACTCTGTGAGAGCTGAACCCTCAGGGTCTGGTCCTGACTGCATATAGGAGATAATGTAGATGGTGCTTCAATGCTGACTCCAAGATTTAAAGCTCAAGTGAGAGGAAAACTGAAGTACTATTTAGGAAGAGAGGAGTCGAAGCTGGTTTGGGTGAATGAATCAAGTATCCTCTCTGACCACAGCTCCTGCTGAAATATTCAACAGTCTTTGCCATCTCCAATACCGCAGAGTACAGAGTATCTACCATAAGCCAATGTACTGCTATTACTGTATTACCGATTGCTTTTTATATTAAGTTGTCTATGACATAGTTTCCTTATTACCACTACTTAAAGAGTTGTGAGGATTAAATAAGAATATGTTTAAAGCTCTAAGCACTGTGCCCACAAAGAGTAAGAACTCCAATAAATGTATGCTATCACTTTTACACCTTTTGAAGAGTGTCTCACTGTTAACATTTGTCTTAGTGTTTTAAAAAGTCCATTGCCTTCTATTAATGTGGGGATAAAAAAGGGGGAAGGCTTATTTTACTCTGAAAAAAATCTTACTTTGAATCTTTGAATAACTTCCATATTAAATTTCAGCTTTCTGACATTGGTCTTATGGGAAAACATTTGTTGAGAAAAATCTGCAGTCACTGCTGAGTGGAATTTTCAGAAAGAGAACAAAGATCTTTGGAGAACAGTTAAAAAAAAAAAAAAAAGAAAGGGAAAACCCAATTCTCCCAAAGGTTGCTGCTTTTTTATATGCTTCCTCACATTTAATACCTGAAAATGTAGAGAAAACATAAAACAGTAAAGGTTTTAAAATAGGAAATATTTGATAAAATATTTATAACTATGGCAATACAGTTGTTTTAAGTATTGTGCTCTTAGAGTGTTGGCTTTTAAGGTGATATACAACATTTATTTTTGGGAATATAAAAACTGGGTATTTTAATTCGTTGAAATTTAAGATAAAACATTTTAAAGTGAACTCTCATTGATGAAATAGCCTTTCGTTTGTGGCCTTAAAATGAAATCATCTAGTTCTGTAATTTTATGAGCATCTGGGGAAGTTATTTCACAACAAACCTTTTATATACTACAAGATTAAAAAACTTAGATCATTTTACTGAATTACAAAATTTTTTTGCAAAGTCTTATCTAAGTAAATTTATTGGCATTATGGTTACTTTAATAGACCTAGTCACTTTTGAGGAAAATAATAAGATTAATTGGGAAGTTTATTCTTTAATTTAGATCAAAACATCAAAATAGGTTAAGAGTGTGTTATTTTTCTTTACTGCACTCAAGGCATTTTAAAGTATTTCCAGTGAGATATCTTGCAGAGTTAGATGTCATGATGAGAGTTTTGTTCATGTTACTTCACAGTCTTCTCTGCAGAAGAGCTGGTTGGGGGTGAGGGGAACAACCTCATACAACTAAAACTTACAATCTACCCATATAATATTTACTATAGGAAGTTATGTGCATGCAACCTTATCCTTGGGTTTTGAATCTACTTAAGAAAATTTAATCTTACTTGTAGGGATGAAATAATGAACAATGAGGTAGAAAAGACTGATGGAAATATTCCCTTGTAAATGTGAGAGCCAGCCAGGCAATGATCAAGATGACTAAGCAACCTCAGGGATGTGTGACTCAGTAGGCTAATGTAAGAGCATTTAGCTTCATGACATGCATCTTAGTCATCATCATAAAGGATTCATTGTTTCAGAACAGTACGGGACTCATAAATGGTGTGAAGCACAGATTTGATAAAAATTAAATTTATTGCTTTGATAAAACCAAGTTAACTGTGGCAGGGCCAATTTCACATAAATTCTGCCAATGAATCAGACTATCATTTGTACATATGCCCTCCAACCTAGTGTCTATTAAAGTAGCTAATAACTAAACACAAAGCCTCTGAATGGCTTTTTATGTAATGAGATTTAGTAAAAGTTCTAAGGAAACCACCATATATTGAGAAATGAAGTTTTAATTAGCAATATATAATTTCTTCAAGTAGAAGAGTGTGGTTGTAACTTAAGACCAGGCAGGTTAGGGTCTCAATATTAATAATTTGTTGTTAATTTAACCCACGTAGCTACCATTCAAAGTCACTATGCTACAATTTGCCTTGTATATTTTAACTCCTCCTGGTTCCCTTTATATAATCCATCATAAGATTTATTACATTTATCCATAAAAATAAACTATTTCTTCCTTCCTTGTAATAGGCAGCAAACTTAGTTTCTATCTTTCTCTGCGGAATGAGAGAGCTTTCATTAAGATGATCAGAAAGAGTGGACATTTTCAGGTGGATAATTTTTAGCATAACTCCACATTAACCTAATGGTGATTAAATTTAAAAACATGAAGCCAAAAATAATTAAAACAATTTTTTTGAGACTGTTGCCCAGGCTGGAGTGTAGTGGCACGATCTTGGCTCACTGCAACCTCCACCTCCCAGGTTCAAGTGATTCTTAAGTCTCAGCCTCCTGAGTAGCTGGGACTATGGGCCCACGCCACCATGCCTGGCTAATTTTTGTATTTTTTTAAAGTAGAGATGGGGTTTTACCATGTTGCCCAGGGTGGTCTCGAACTCCTGACCTCAGGTGATCCCTCCACCTTGGCCTCCCAAAGTGCTGGGATTACAGGTGTGAGCCACCATGCCTAGCCTAATTTTAAAATTTTAAGTTAAAAACTTTATTAGTTAAATTAATTCAAATTAATATCTATCAAAGACATTAGGCTTTGGGACTAGAAAAGGCGCTTGTAGTAGGTTAGCTAGCTATATACTCTGTACTAGTACACAATCTTCTATGACTTTTATCATTAGTATTCAAGCTCTTGGATGGTTGACAGCTAGGAATCTGTTAAGTTGCTTTGGACAGTTGACTCACATGACCTCTCCCCCGTTGGGCCGGGTTTCTGGAAATATCAATTTTTGTAGAACAGTTGTTCAAAACAGCTGTCTTGAAGAGTGAAAAAAAAAAAGGACTTTTTAACTAATGAAGCAATGTTGATGTTAATATCCCACTTGGAGATGTTATCCCAACTTCTGCTTCAGCAGTCAAAAGACTACCATTATCATCAAACAACTGCAGTTACTATTAAGGCACCTGTTAAATTAATTATGCCTGTATTGTTAAATCATGTTCATGAATAACATGTAACCAGCTCTCAAACTACGCATTTTTGCACTTTTGTAAATAGACTGATGGACCTTGAGGCATAAAGCTTATCTTCAATTACAATGACATCCTCTAAACTAGTGGTTTTAAAAGTGTGATCTGCAAAATCACCTGCAAGGTTTAAGACACGGCTTGCCAGCCCCATTCTCAGAATTTCTGATTCAGTAGGTGTGGAATGGGGCTAAAGAATCTGCATTTCTGAAAACTTCCTAGATAATGCCACTCCTGCTGGTCCCAGGACCACACTGTGAGAGCCACTAAGCTCGCCTACTGCAATAGTCTCAGTGAGAGGCAGTATTGAAGGAGGTGAAAAGTAGTTGGATTTGGGAGCTCTTTGGAGGTGTAGAGCCAACAAAACTTGTTTTTAAACATTGTGATCCTAAAATAAAATAAAAGCGTCATCTGGGGATCCCTAGATTCTTGAGATATGTTCTTGGAGTTTGCAAAGTCAAAACTATATTTACAGTACTAAGAGGTTATTTGCCTTTTTCCACTCTCATTCTTTCACAAGTGTACAGTGGAATTTTCCACAGCTTACATAACTTTAACATGTAATGGGTCTATTATTTATAAAAAAATGAATAAATGAGTTATTTCAACAATCCCTATTATTATTTTAAAACATTATTTTAAACAAAGTATATTTAACATATTATTTTTAATTTCTAATATGATAATATCAATTTATCCCATATAAATATAAGCTCAATAATTTTTTAAAAATGAGACAGGGTCTCCTTCTATCACCCAGACTGGAGTGCAGTGGAGCAATAATGGCTCATGGCTCACTGTAGCTTTGGCCTCACAGGCTCAAGTGATCCTCCCACCTCTGCCTCCTGAGTAGCTAGGACTACCACCATGCATGGCTAATTTTTAAATTTTTTTGTAGAGACAGGGTTGTTGCCTAGGCTATGTTGCCTATGTTGCCTAGGCTGGTCTTGAACTTCTGGCTCAAGTAAGCCTCCCACCTTGGCCTTCTAAGGTGCTGGGATTACAGGGACAGCCATAGCCGCCTGTGTAATTTTTTTATGAGTATAAAAGGCTCCCGGGACCAAAAAGTTTGAGAAACACTGCTCTTAACAGAATAGTACAAGATTCTGCCTATATGAAGTTCCCAATCAATGCATGGCTTGTCACCTCAAATGTTCTTTGGACATACATCCAGAGGATATTATTTCAGACACTCTCTACACTTGAAATCAGTCAGTCAATAAACTTAGTTATCTACTGGGTATACTACAGTGTATATAAGCATTAACTACCATCTCTAGGATCATTTAAAACCAGAATTGTGATTAAAAAACTATTTCAGAATAAAATACCTAGGAATACAGTTAACCAGGTAGGTGAATTATCTCTATCAGGAGAACTTCAAAACACTGCTCAAAGAAATCAGAGATGACACAAACAAATAAAAAAAATTTCATGCTCATGAATAGGAAGAATCAATGTCGTTAAAATGGCCATACTGCCAAAAGTAATTGGTAAGATTCAATGTTATTCTTATCAAACTGCCAATGACACTCTTTACAAAACCAGAAAAAATTATTTTAAAATTCATATGGAACCAAAAAGAGAGCCCAAATAGCCAAGGTAATCCTAAGCAAAAAGAACAATGCTGGAAGCACCACACTACCTGATTTCAAACTATACTACAGGACTGCAATAACCAAAACAGCATGGTACTGGTACAAACAGACGCATAGACCAACCGAACATAATAGAGAACCAGGAAATAAGACTGCAAACCTACAACTACCTGGTCTTCAATAAAACTGACAAAAACAAGCAATAGGGAAAGGACTCCCTATTTAATAAGTGGTGCTGGGATAACTGGCTAGCCATATGCAAAGACTGAAACTGGATCCCTTCCTTACACCACATAAGAAAATTCACTCAAGATGAATTAAAGACTTAAATGTAAAACCCCAAACTATAAAAACCTGGAAGACAACCCAGGCAATACCATTCTGGATAAAGAAATAGGCAAAGATTTAAAGATTTCATGATGAAGCCACCAAAAGCAATTCCAACAAAAGCAAAAATTGACAAACAGGATCCAATTAAACTAAAGAGCTTCTGCACAGCAAAAGACACTATCAACAGAGTCAACAGACAACCTACAGAATGGGAGAAAATTTTGCAAACGATGTCTCTGACAAAAGTCTAATACCCAGCATCTACAAGGAACTTTAAGTTAAGAAATTTAATTAATTAAATTTAAATTAATTTGTTAAGAAAAAACAGATAACCCTATTAAAAAAAATGGACAAAGGACATGAGCAGTCACTTTTCAAAAGAAGACAAACATGCAGCCAACCAGCTTATGAAGAAGAGCTCAATGGCAGAACACACAGACACAGGGAGGGGAACATCACATACTGGGGCCTGTTGGGGGATGGGGGGGGCAAGGGTGGGAACAGCATTAGGATAAATACCTAATCCATGCGGGGCTTAAAACCTAGATGACGGGTAGATAGGTGCAGCAAACCACCATGGCACATGTATACCTATGTAACAAACCTGCATGTTCTGCACATGTATCCCAGAACTTAAAGCAAAATTAAAAAAAAAAAAAAAGAAAAAGAGCTCAGTGTCATTGATCTTTAGAGAAATGCAAATCAAAAGCACAGTGAGATACCGTCTCATAACAGTCTGAAAGGCTGTTAATAAAATGCCAAAATATAACAGATGTTGGCGAAGCTGTGGAGAAAAAGGAACACTTATACACAGTTGGTGGGAGTGTTTTCCACAATCAGTTCAACCACTGTGGAAAACAGTGTGGCAATTCCTCAAAGATCTAAAAATAGAACGGCCATTCAATCCAGTGAAATCACTGGGTATATTCGAAGGAATATAAATTGTTATCATAAAGACACATGCACACATATGTTGACTGCAGCACTGTTCACAACAGCAAAGACATGGAATCAACTTCAATGTCCATTGATGGTAGACTGGATAAACAAAATGTGGTACATACACACCATGGAATACCATGAAGCCGTAAAAAAGAACGAGATCATGTCCTTTGCAGGAACATGGATGAGGCTGGAGGCTGTTATCCTTGGTGAACTAATGCAGGAACAGAAAACCAAATGCCGCATGTTCTCACTTGTAAGTGGGAGCTAAATGATGAGAACGCATGGACACATAAAAGGGAATGACAAACACTGGGGCCTACTGGTGGGAGGAGGTAGGAGGAGGGAAAAGATTGGGAAAAATAATGAATGGATACTAGGCTTAATACTTGGGTGATGAAATAATCTGTACAAGAAACCCCCATGACTCATACCTATATAACAAACCTGCACATGTACCCCTAAACTTAAAAGTTAAAAAAAACCTATTTCACAGAACTTGTCAGAGTACTCCTTTAAAATGTATGAAAGATACACCTCTATTCTAAAGTGGAAAGATATACCTTAATGCAGACTAAAAAAGATTTTCAATCATTTCATTACTTTTTTGGGGGTAGTTTCATTTTAATCATAATCAGAAGAAAAATATGTCAAACTGAAATATGACTGTAATTTGTACATTCCTTTAAATAAAATTAGAAAGCATGATGTGACATGTTTTTAAAAATTATTCCAGGAAAACAAATCTGATTTTTTCTGAAATAAAGTACAACATTGTGGATATAATAATCACATATTATAAAGGCTTGCCAAGCAGGTCTGAAGAAACATAAGGAAAGTTTATCTGCCCAAGTTTGCTTTCCTTTCTTGATAATGTGTTTTAAGTCGTATCCTAAGCCATACAATTCATCTGTAAACAATAATTAAGATAACATGTTACTTTTTGAGAGAGGATTATTGTTCAGGGACTCTAAATTCTGAAAATTCTGAATTAAAGTTATTACTAGTTTTAGTATACTTTACACTGCTAAGTAAACACCTTGCTTTTTATGGATCAATGTACCCAGCTGGATGGCATGTTCTAACCGTTTAGACTGCTAAAAGGAAAGCTCTTGAAAAATAAAGATGACTTCAAGGAACTGAAATACTAACATCATAGCATCTTCATCAATGGACAAACTCCAGCCTAAGTATTAATGTAAACAATAAGTTAAGACACTATTTGCAAGGAATATGAAATTAGTATTTTTAGAAATTCAATATTCAGTCAGAGCCCTTCCTAAAGATTTAGGTGAGCTTTGGGAAAATCTTTGAATGTGCTTTTGTTGTTTCACTGAATGCTTCGGCTGAAGATCAATGCAATGGAAAAGATCTTTGTTGCATTCCAGATAAAACTGGTATTTGTAAACATCAAGCTCACCAGAATGTATCTGTTAAAGACCTTATTAAATCTTCAGATACTACAAGCAGATAGGTACTACCACATATCAACAGAACTCAATATAAAGGTTTCCCAAAAATTTCACTGCTGAAATCTGTCAAATAATTTTGTTTTCTATGTAGTATAACATCTATTATTCAATGATTAGTAAAGCAGAAAATAAAGTCAACAATGTCAGTATGTTTTTTAGTAATAAGATGGAAGATGATGCCAATGTGGCAGATTTTCAATCAAATCTGAAGGTCCATATAGATCAGTAGTTCTGTCCAATCTTCTTTATTACGGCTGTGCATTCTGGTCGGGGCGCAAATCAATTATTTGGTCTCTTGATCAACTTTATTCAGACTTTAGATGTAATTAGTCTAAAATAGTGCTTGATATATTTCCATTTTCTGGACTGTAAACACACAGTTGCATATGCCATGCAACTGGTATATGACAAACTGAAGAACTGGCAAGCAGGATGGACAAAAGGACTGGGAACTAAAAGTATGACTGAGGCTATCAACTAACTGCTGTTGATGGGAGGTATGGTAATTGTTGCAATACAATCAATTATTTTAAAATCCTGTTTGCTTAGCCATCACTGAAAAACTGTTAGCATAATGATGTCTAGAGTGGACAGCAGACATGTATAAATTCCTTCCCATGGGAATTGTGCACGTGGCACTATACTGCTTAGAGTAGGGAATAGGACAAGGGGTGAAGAGGAGAGCTAAAGAAAGATGAAAATCATCCGTAAGATAAAATTAAAAACACACTTGTGGTAGAGATAGAGATTGCTAACATACCAGAGAAAGGAGACTATCTGTTAAAAGCTATCAGAGACAGTTTGGTTCATTTTGAGCAAACGAGAGGCATAGAAATACCAATAAGAGGCTCCTCAACTAGACCATCACTGTAACAAAATGACAGTCTTTAAAAAGATCTGGTGCCAGCTTGGAGAAGCATGTAGCATGCCACAAAGAAGGTAAGGCAACAGGTACCTGAGTGAGAAAAGGATAGGTTGTGTAGCTCTTGCTAGGCCAGGATTATAGGCACTTTCTAAAAGACCAAGATAATAAAATATTGCATGTTACTAGAAATGGCCACTAAAACAAAAATGAAAAAAATTCCCTAGCAAAATACAGCCTGAGTATCCCTTATTTAAAATGCTTGGGATCAGAAGTGTTTTGAATTTCAGATTTTTTTGGACTTTGGAATATTTGCATATATATAATGAAAGATCTTGGTGATAGGACTTGGGTCTAAACAAGAAATTCATATGTTTCATACACACCTTATACACATAGCTTGAAGGTAATTTTACTCAACATTTTGTGAAACAAAGTTTTCACTGCAACCCATCACATGAAGCTAGGTGTGGAATTTTCCACTTGTGGTGTCATGTTGGCACTCAGAAAGTTTTGGATTTCGAAGCATTTTGCATTTTGGATTTTCAGATTAGGGATGCTCAACCTGTACATTATGATCAGCACAGTTCACCTGCAATATGGCTAGGGCTGAATCTGGTCCGCAGTCACTTCTGAAATCCAAGATCTTAGAAAGGTTATTTCCCCCATTACCACAGCCCCTTTACATCTGTTTTCTTTCAGAATTTCGAGGAACTAATGCTTCCAAATGTTGATAATTACACAATGCCTGTCTATGAGGAGTACAATGTATTTGTGTTTATCTTTCTCTAGACTCAGCAGAAATGAACTGGTCACATGCTAAAATGGATCATTTCACTTCTTAGGGAGGTTTAAGTAAGTATGGGAATAGGAGACAAAGCAACTTTTTGGCTTTTGCCCATTTCCATCTGTTCCCGGGCACCCTTAAAGCCCTTCTGTGGTTCTAACCTCTTAAATCCTGCTGTGTGCGAGCACCACCCATGCTCTGTCTTGGCATTCGTAGAGAAGTTCTCAAAGGTGTATGTCTCTGCTCATCCAGGTAAGCAAGGTCTTCCAAGTGGGCAGAGCTGGTGGCTGACAAGAAAGAAAAGTTTAGTTAGAATATTTAAGTTCAGAAAATGTCTTTCAGCTAGTCTGTATCTCCGGAACTTTGGAATCAGGGCTTACTCCAGCCAAAAAATATATATGCAAAATATGTAATATATATAAAATACATGTATTTTATGCCTTTAAAAATCCAAATAAGTGGTTTGTAAAAAATATTAACCCTTCATTTCACTTGCTACTTTAAGACAGTACATAATAAACCTGTGCTTGCTAAGAGGTTCTATAACCTTAAACAGAGGGATTAAATATTTCCTATTCAAAAAGCAAAACAAACTAAGCAAATAAACATAAACCCTTACTTCATAAAAGAAATAGATAATGGTAGATTTGAGATTTAAAATGAAAAACAAAATGCTAGTCCAAAAGCTTAAAATGCCATCTTGCCTCTGAATGTCTGGATCATGAAAGCTGCAGAGACAGTAACAAAAAGGAAGTTTCTTTGTTATCAAAAGAAATAGTAAATGGGTTTTTACTAAAAACTGAGTGAAAGAAAAAATTCATTTTACAAAAATGTTTCAAATTATAAGAAATACTAGAGTATCCATTTTATTGTTTGAAAATATTAGCTACCAGTGGTTCATGCTAGTAATCCCAGGACTTTGGGAGGCTGAGGAGAGTGGATCGCTTGAGCCCAGGAGTTCAAGACCAGCCTGGGCAACATGGCAAAACCCTGTCTCCACAAAAAATGCACAAAAAAATTAGCCAGGCGTGGTGGTGTGCGCCTGTAGTCCCAGCTACTCAGGAGGCTCAGATGGGAGGATTGATTGAGGCTGGGAGGTCAAGGCTGCAGCCAGCCATGATCATGCCATTGCACTACAGACTTGGCAACAGAGAGACCCTGTTTCAAACAACAACAACAATAACACCACAAAAAAAGGAAGAAAATATTAGCTACCAACTTATTACTAACAACTGGTTTGAGTTGGTGAGAGGGAAAAAAAACCCCTAAGATTATCTTTTTATGGCTGCTGGGCCTCAAATGTTTTGCCACCAAATACTTGGGGAGTATATTTCTGTATTGTATGATGTGTTGAGATTACATGGTCATTTGCCTCAAAAACTTTATAATCCAAAATTTTAATCAAGAAATCCAATTTTGCCACCAATGATATATACTACCTTACCAAATAGCTGATTATAAATAAGCTCTTCAATATAAACTAAGAAGCAAAAAAGGAAGGGGAGACAGCTCAGAATTCCCTCAGCATAAGGAAACAAGAATTATGACAGTAAGTAAACTTACATCTCCAACCTCATATATAAGTTGTTTATGATGATTGACATTGGGTACTGATATTCATTTGTTAATCTGTTCATTCATTTAACAAATATAACAAAATTGTTAGTAAAAAAATGTCAGCACTGTGCCGTAACAATACTTTTACCATAGTTTCTAATCAGTGTATAGGAAAGAAAAAAGATGAGCAAGGAAACATTTTACTAAAGAATGTAGCAGATAGCAGTCAAAAGAATATTTTATTAAAAATTTATTAAAATTTTATTAATATTTTATTACAATTACAGGAATGGAATGGACCTTAAGGGCTATCCCATCCAACACCTGTGCAATGCTCAACTCTGTTATCTTTTTCAATGTAGTTGTATAGCTTATGCCTGAACATGTCACTATCTCTTGATACACCATATTTCAACTTTGCATAACTCTTGTTATTAGCAATATGGTTCTATTTCTCTACCTCTTACCCTCTCTTTCTCTTGATGGTACAGATGATTCTTCTGCTTATATCAAAAAGAAGAAGGAATAATCTTTTTAAAAGTTTATTACTAAGGTGAAAAGAACTAAAAGGAATGAACATGTATTTATTAAACACCTGTAATGTGCTGGGTAGTGTGCAACATGCTTTTCTTGAATTATGGCTTTTATTTTAAAGGGAAACAAAAAAAAAACAGAAAGTGTAACAATGAAGACATTCTGTCTAGTCTCTTAAGAGAAATGCATGGGCTTCTTGCCTGGAGAGATGCTTGGAAGATTTCTATGTCTTTGCTAAGAATCCCTATGGGTAATTTTTGGCCTCTCCCATATGAAGATAATAATATTAGGAGAGTCTGAGCACAACTATTCCCCTAATTTTACTAAAACTACTACTACAAGCATCATCTCCCTTCCTTTCCTGGATATTTTGAACATAAATATTACCTAAAACACTTACTAAGTAGTTACAAAACATTAGTCATTATATGAGTCCTTTGTATTAGGATATCCTACTTTTCACAGATATAGATTCCAATTCATATGTATTCCACAGCAGCTCTGAAAATGGGTCATTAATCCCAAACAGAGGCCATACCATTGGCCCAGGGAGACAAGTCAGTTGATTAAGAAGACTGATATAGGTTGAGTATCCCTTCCCTGAAATACCTGGGACTAGAAGTGTTTTAAATTTTGAATTTTGTGGGAGATTCTGAAATGTTTACATTATACTTACTGGTTCAGCATTCATAATCCAAAAATCTGAAATATGAAATGCTCCAATGAGCATTTCCTTTGAGCATCAGGTCAGCACTCAAAAACTTATGAATCTGGAGCATTTCAGATTAGGAATACTCAACCTGTAACTGATTCTAAGCAGAAGCTTTCACCAAAAATCTTCCTCTGCCCAAGGACTACACAGAGCTCAGAAACTGTTGCGACTATTCTAACAGAGTAAACTCTTGATATCATGACATTTAGAGTATGGTAAATATATTTGGGAGTGATGTTGGCAACAGGAGAAGGTAATGAGTTCCTTTTTTTTGAGACGAAGTCTCACTCTGTCGCCCAGATTAGAGTGCAGTGGTGCAGTCATGGCTCACTGCAGCCTTGACCTCCCAGGCTCAGGGTCTCCTCCCACTTCAGACTCCCAAGTAGCTGGAACTACAGGCATGCATCACCACGCTCAGCTAATTTTTTAAAATTACTATTTGTAGAGACAGGGTCTCTCTTTGTTGCCCAGGCTGGTAATGACTTCTTTGCTCTTTTCCTGTGCCTCTCCAATGCCAGCAAGCCACACACACTATTAGCAGTTTACTTTCCATATACACTACTATAAAAATAGGTAGTTTCTCAACACAAAAAGTTGAGAAATCTTTTAACTTTATACCATCTCCCCAAATTACTCAATTAAATAAGTTTAATATTACAATGAAGCTTTCAATCCAAGTTCTCAACATTCAAGACACAATGATAACCCAGTTTCTCCTTGCAAAGGCGAGGTGAAACACTCTGGTGATACTGGCATTTTGCTTGGTCATAATAGTCCAAAAAAGGCAGTGGAAGGGAGCTACTGGTTATCTCTGCATTTGCTGCTCCCCAAAACATGCCTGGAGCAAACTGAAATACTGCCCCCAGTTCTTCAGCCTTTCCTATATACATGCTCTTTCTCATCTGTCTTTGCAGTTCTCACCACCAGACCCTGAATCCCATTTTGCAGTAATTCCCATCAGAGGTTGAGTACACTTCCCTGCCCTTGACTTTGGGTTTGATCATTTGACTTGCTTTAACTAATGGTATATTAGTAGATGTGATACAAGGAAGGATTTAAAATGTGTTTGTAGAACTGGGCTTGTCTTTTTTGGTTCTGCCAACATTATGAAAGAATATGTCCAGTTAGCCCACTGGTCCAAGGAGGATAGAATAAGGTAGATCTGGAGCCAGTCTCCAGCTTGGAGCCAAACCTAACCAAACTGCCTAGACCAATCAATCCATAGTTAACCTGAGATGAGTGGGTACAAATAAATGATTATGTTGAGCTGTTATATTTCCGTATAGTTTGTTACACAGCATTATTGTACCAATAGCAGAGTGATATACCTGTCGATCTTTCAACATCTGAGTATGGCTTAGGCTGTAGAATTCTAATAGCTCTACACGAGCAGGGACTATGTCTTATTTACATTCTATTCTCAATAAATGCATTATGCCTGGCATAAAATAGGTGCTCAAAAATGCTTATTAAATTAATTTGTTGAAAGGGGACCAAGGGCTGTTTGGGTAAAGTATGGTTTCAAGAACAGGCTTGCTGACTTTCTTTTGTACTGCATCTACAAAGGCAGAGGAAAATTCTTTCCTGTTCTATAACATGGTAGATTACACTAGCTTTCTTTGGTTTAAAAGGTAGAATCAGCTAATTTCAAGAATAAATACAACAAAAAATAAACAACTCAGATTTGATTTACAGAGAAATCAAAGTGATATTCTGTGAAATATAATTGGCACATTTTATGGTACTTTAAGCTTCAAAAGACATTTTTATAATTAAGTGTTTGAACCAACTTTTATAATATAACTCTGAAATGCCCAATTATTTTACTGACACTTTGGACCAGTTATCATAAAGATTGCCAGGATGTGTCCTGTCTGCTCTAGATCTCTGCTTTTATTTGATCTTCATTTAGTTATAATATATAATTATCCTACTTTTCTATCTTAAATAAGCAAGATTTGCAGTAAAAGCTCTTTTTAAAAGATTTCTTGGCAGGCTGAAAATTCAGAGTCAGCTCATCACTATTAATATATAGAGTTTTACATTTAATAACGTTAATGTTCTTCTCTGTGCTCAACTATGATAAGAGCCGATTAAAATGTGCTTAACAATACACACGCTTTATGTTTCCCGTCTTAGTTATCTAGGTCTACTGGAAACCCAGCTAAAGGAATTTATCCAAATTGTAGATATAATTTCTATAAAGAAATAAGTATTTGAAAGCTAGTTTAGGGAACTTAAACTAAGAAAGGGAAGTTAGATGCCACATTTTACATCAGAGAGAGTAAAAGAGTAGCAAAAGTATTAAAAAAAATCTTTATCTCAGCATTCTGAAGTTAAAACTACCCAGAAGAGGTATCTAATGTCTTATTTTAAAACATTAGGGACAACGACAAAACCATCCCTATTGCTGTTCTAATGTTTCCATGAATTCTTTCTTTCTTTTTTGGGGGTTGAGAGGAGTTTAGGCCAAGATGCAGGGGGTGGCCCTGGCCCATAGTTGTTTCTTATGTTTAATCCAATGCCTCCTGCTTTAACTGAAGTCTATTTTCTTTTGTTTGATTCTTTATCGATATCTATGTAGCTACCAAAAAAAAAAAAAGAGGACTACTAGGGATTCAGACCCATCAAGAATGAAGACTTAGGACATCCTACCAGGGAAAGAACCCTGACTAGATGTGGTCCTGGCTTAGGGCAAAGGACACATGGGATAGGCAGTAGATGAAAAAAGTTACAAATATCAGCTGGGTGCGGTGGCTTGCGCCTGTAATCCCAGCTACTAAGAAGGCTGAGGTGGGAGGATCTCTTGAGGTCAGGACTTTTAAGACCAGCCGGGGCATCAAAGCAAGACCTCATCTCTGAAAATTAAACAAACAAACAAAAAAACTGATTGGGTATAGTGCGCATGTCCGTAGTGCTAGCTACTTGGGAGGCTGAGGTGAGAGAATTGCTTGAGCCCAGGAGTTTGAGGCTGCAGTGAGCACCACTGAACTCCAGCCTGGGCGACAGAGTGAGACTCTTGTCTCTTAAAGAAAAAAAATCAATCTCAGTTTCATAACTAGCTACAGAAATGACGACTATAGCAGCTATGCATATTTTGTTCCTTGCTTTTGTTATATATGTGTGTGTGTGTTATACTAATTTATTCTTTTTCTCGCCTCCTTTCCCTTATTTTATAAATACAAGTTTTGATGTAAATTAAGTTTCCAATTTAGTTTTTAGATAACAAACCATTCAGATAGGACTGTGTCAGAGTTTGAGGAATAATTAACATAGCCAGAGATGGATAGTGTTATATCATCTAAACATAGTTAAAGTGACTGTTGGAACTAGCCTCATTTTGGAGAGGTAAATATGTCTTCAATTACATGAAAGATACTTCCATCTTGTTAGGTTAAAATACAGAGTTTGTTGTGCTGAAAATGTTTGGAGTTTCAAACATGTATAGTTTGGAAGCTCAAATAAATATAGAAGGGTGAGTATGGATGCTGGTTAGCCAAAAAGGTGGACTTTGTTAATTGTTAAGGTTACTGGAGAAATAATTTGCCCCTTCCTGTTCCTATCAGCATTACCCTAGTCTTACTTGTTCAGCCAAGCATTGGCAGTTCATTCCAGGAGCAGCAGTTGAATCTAGTTTGCAGTTTTTCCAAGGGAGGCGGGACTAACCTCATCTCACGTCTTCAGATACTGGCACTGGGTGACCAGTGCCTTGTTCTTAGTGGTCTGGGTCTAATCTCCACAGAACCCTTCTTGGAGCCCTTGTATTAGCCTCAGCTGAGCAGGATCCCCTTCATGGAGATGTAAGTGTCAGCTTTGTGAGGCCTTTCTTCCAATCTTGTATAGTTTAATAATTCTTGCCTCTTTTTGTTTCCTCAGGTCCACAGGTGGTAACTACTTCCTGCAGTTGTTAAATCCATGATACCTCAAGGTTTTCTTACTACCTTTTCAGTTCTTTAAACCTAGTTAATGATTTTTTTTTTCTTTTTTGAGATAAACTAGTCACTCTGCCACCCAGGCTGGAGTACAGTGGCACAATCACAGCCCACTGCAGTCTCAATCTCCTGGGCTCAAGCCATACTCCTGCCTCAGCCTCCGAAGTAGCTGGGAGGCTAAGGCAGGCGCACACCACTGTACCTGGCTAATATTTAAAAACAATTTCTTTTGTAGAGATAGGGCCTTGCCACATTGCCCAGGCTAGTCTTGAACCCCTGGCCTCAAATGATCCTTGTAACTTGGCCTCCCAAAGTGCTGGGATTACAGGCATAAGCCACCGTGACCAGCCAACAATTATTTATATTATCAAATTCAACCCTTATTCTGTTAAAATAAGTATGCTTTTATGTCTCCTGACTGGCCCCTAAATGATACAGGATAGAAAAGAATTGAACACCAGTCCCTTTCATATACATGATGTTGATAATAAAGCAATATCACAGAATGTAGATGCAAAAGAAATTTTTTTTTTTTTTTGAGACAGGGTCTCATTTTGTCACCCAGGCTAGAGTGCAGTGGTGTGATTTTGGCTCACTGCAACCTCTGCTTCCCAGGTTCAAGCGATTCTACCTTAGCCTTCCGAGTAGGCGTGCACCACCACTCCTGGCTAATTTTTTGTAGAGACAGGGTTTCGCTGTGTTGCCCAGGCTGGTCTTGAACTCTTGAGCTCAAAGCAATCAGCCCACCTTGGTCTCCCAAAGTGCTGGGACTACAGGCGTGGGCCATCGCACCCAGATGAGAAATCTTAAAAGATCACCTAGTATAAACACCAGCAAATGATAATCTGTGGACCAAATATGGCCTGCTACCTGTTTTTGTTAATAAAGTTTTACTTGAACAGAACCCTGCTTATTCATGTAAATACAGTATCATTTATATCAGAGCTAAGTAGTGATATAGGCCATGTGGCCTGCAAAGCCTAAAATACTTACTAGCTGCCTTTTAATAAAAAAGTTGCTGAATCCTGATCTATTCAGATCCTCTCATTTTATGATTAGGAAACAGTGGAGTGACTTGTCTAAAGTGATTCAGTCACTGGCAGTACAGCAGCCCATGAAGCCAGGTATCCTGACTCTCAGTACAATGAGTGCCTCCTTCCTTCCCACTTTAAAGCTAAACAGATTTAAATCTCTTTTTAAAAGCTTATTTTTTATTCCTTATTCATCTTCGCCACTTTCTTTTAATTCTGTTTTATGGCTTCAAAGAGTAGTAATAGTGACCTTGCTAATGCAAAGTAATGTACCCTGTATATCATATACTAATAAATCACAGCTCTCTGCGCTTGAAATATTTTCTGCAGTAAGAAACAAAATGAAAAAACAAACAAAAGCCCCCAAAACACTATTTTTCATAAGAAAATAAAAATAATTATAGGGTACTTTTTAAGCTGATAAACTGAAGAGTAATTTGAAAAGAAGATTAATGGAAATAAGTATCTTCTATTTACATTAAAGCAAAATTCAAATAAAATCTTAACAGCTGGGTGAGCGACAGAAATTTCTGGTTACCATTATGGCAATATTAATGGCACAGTATATAATTTCAAAGCAAGGTTCTAGGAGAGTTCGTTTATTAAAATGGCTCACATTAAAATGGTTTGACATGTTTTAATTAAAAGAGAATGTATTTTTCATTAATAGTGAGTAAAAATGATAATAGAAATGTATAAAATGGAGTGCAGCAAAATGCTGTATTAAGGGAAAAAAGCCTACGAGGGAAGGTGGAACAAGATAGTCAAATAATACCCTCCAACGATTGTTTCCCTGTCCCCCTGCAGGAACACCAAACTGAACAACTATTCACATAAGAAAGCACCTTCATAAGACCCAAAAATCAGGTGAGCAATCCTAGTACCTGGTTTTAACATCATATTAAAACTTTGGGTGCTGGTGACCTAGTGAGACACCAGCTGGGGTGGCCAAGGGAGTGCTAACGTCACCCCTCCACTAACCCCAAGCAGTGCAGCTCACAGCTCTGGGAGATGCCTTCCTTCCACCTGAGGAGAAGAGAGGAGACAGTAAAGAGGACTTTGTCTTGGAACTTGGATACCAGCTTAGCCACAGTAGAATAGGGCCGCAGGAAGAGTTCTGGGGCCCCTATTTCGGGCCCTAGCTCCCAGAAGACTTTTCTAGACATACCCCGTGCCAGAAGGGAACCTGCTACCTTGAAAGGAAGGACCCAGTACTGGCAGGATTCATTATTTGTTGATTATAGAGCCCTTGAGCCTTGAATCAACATCAGCAGTACTCACACAGCACTTGCCACAGGCCTTGGATGAGACCCAGGGCCATGCTGACCTTAGGTGTGACTCTGTGTATTCCCTTTTTGAGGGAGGACTCCTGCTTGAGGAAAAGAGAGGCAGGAGTGAAGGGGGCTTTGTATTATAGATAGGGTACCAGCTTGGCCATGGGGGTAAAGCACCAAGAGGGCTTCTGGGTTCCCCAATTCCAGGCCTTGGCTCCTGGATGGCATTTCTGGACCTGCCTTGGACCATAGGGGAGCCACCTACCCTGAAAGGAGAGACCCAGGCCTAGCAGCATTCACCACAAGCTGAATGAAGAGCTCTTGGGCCTTGAGTGAACATTAGCAGTAGCCAGGCAGTACTTGCCATGGGCCTGGGGTGTTGAGACTCCTTCTACACGATGGAAGGTGAGGAAGAGTGGGAAGGACTTTATCTTGTGGCTTTGGTGCCCGCTCCACTGCACTAGTATGGAACACCAAGTAGATTTCAAGGTTCCTGACTCCAGGCCCTGGCTCCTGGACAGCATTTCTGGATCTGCCTTGGGCATTAAAGAGGAGACAGAGACTGGGGTAGAATGTTTATTCAAAGGGAGAATAACAGAGAACTAAGAGAAATATATTAACATTCAAGTAAAAGAAGCTAATAGAACACCAAGCAGATTTAACCCAAATAAGACTATCTCAAGGTACTTTTTCCCAAAGGTGAAGGATAAAGAAAGGATCCTAAAAGGAACAAAAGAAAAGAAACAACATACAAAGGAGCTCCACTACATCTGGCAACAGACTTCTCAGTGGAAACCTTACAGGCCAGTAAAGAATGGCATGACATATTTAAAGTGCTGATGAGAAAAAAAATTCTATGGTAGAATAGCGTATCCAGGGAAAACATCCTTCAAACATGAAGGAGAAACAAAGGCTCTCCCAGACAAACAAAAGCTAAGAGATTTAATTAACATCAGACCTGTGCTACAAGAAATGCTAACCAGAGTTCTTCAATCTGAAAGAAACGGACATTAATGAGCAATAAGAAATTATCTTAGGTACAAAACTCACTGTAACAGTATAGTTCACAGACCACTGTAATTGTGATTTATAAACTACTCATATCTTGAGTAGAAAGCCTAAAAGTTGAACCTATCAAATATAATAACTACTTTTCAAGACATAGATAGTATAAGATATAAATAGAAACAATACAAAGTTAAAAAGCAGGGGAGATGAAGTTAAAGTGTAGAGAGTTTTTATTAGTTTTCTCTTTGCTTATTAGTTGGTTTGTTTTTGCCATCAGTGTTAAGTTGTTATCAGTTTGAAATAAATGGGTTATAAGATGTTACCTGTGGCTGGGTGCGGTGGCTCACACCTGTAATCCCAGCACTTTGGGAGGCCAGGGCAGGTGGACTGCTTGAGCTTAGGAGCTCAAGACCAGCCTGGGCAACATGGCAAAACCCCATCTCTACAAAACACTACAAAAAATTAGCTGAGCATGGTGGTGTGCACCTGTTATCTCAGTTACTAGAGAGGCTGAGGTGGGAGGATCACTTGAGCCCAGGAGGTGGGGGTTGCAGTGAGCTAAGAACACGCCACTGCACTCCACCCTGGGTAACAAAGTGAGACCCTATCTCAAAAACAAAAACCGAAACCAGATGTTATATGCAAGCTTCACGGTAATCTCAAACCAAAAAGCCAACAACAGATACACAAAAAATAAAAAGCAAGAAATTAAAACATACTGCCAGAAAAAAATCACGTTCACAACAAGGAGGGCAGGAAGGAAATAAAGAAGAACACAAAACAATGAGAAAAAAAATAACAAAATGGCAGGAGTAAGTCTTTCCTCATCAATAACAACCTTGAACGTAAATGGAATAAACTCTGCAATCAAAAGACACAGCGTGGCTGAATGGACCAAAAAAAAAAAAAAAATACCAACCAACCAACCAAACAAAAAACAAGACCCAATTATCTGTGGCCTACAAGAAACACACTTAACCTACAAAGACATATACAGACTGAAAATAATGGGATAAAAAAGATATTCCATGTAAATGGAAATAAAAAAAGAATAGGAGTAGCTATAGTTATATCAGACAAAATAGATTTCAAGACAAAAATTATAAAAAGAGACAAAGAAAGTCACTACATAATGATAAAGGGCTCAATTCAGCAAGAGGATATAACAACTGTAAATATATATGCACCCAACACTGGAGCACCCAAATACATATGCACCTAACACTGGAGCACCCAATTATTATTAGAGCTAAAGAGATAGACAGATTTGAATACAATAATAGCTGGAGACCTCAACACCCCACTGTCAGCATTGGACAGATCATCCAGACAGAAAATCAAAAGAAACATTCGACTTAATCTGCATTATAGACCAAATGGATCTAATAGATATTTACAGAACATTTCATCCAATGGCTGCAGAATAGACATTCTTCTTTTCAGCACATGGATCATTCTCAAGGGCAGACCATATGTTAGGTCACAGACCAAGTACTAAAGAATTAAAAAAAATCATATGAATTAACTTCTATGACCACAATGGAATAAAACTAGACATGAGTAACAAGAGGAACTCTGGATACTATACAAACACATGGAAATTAAACAATATGCTCCTCATGATCAGTGGGTCAATGAAGAAGTTAAGAAGGAAATTAACAGATTTCTTGAAACAAATTAAAATGGAAACAGAACTAGTATGGAACACCTATAGGATACAGTGAAAGCAGTATTAAGAGGAAAATTTACAGCAATAAGTGCCTACATAAAAAAGGTAGAGGCCAGGAGCAGTGGCTCATGCCTGTAATCCTAGCACTTTGGGAGGCCGAGGCAGGTGGATCACTTGAGGTCAGGAGTTTATGAGACCAGCCTGGCCAACATGGTGAAACCCTGCCTCTACTAAAAATACAAAAATTAGCCAGGCGTGGTGGTGGGCATTTGTAATCCCAGCTACTCCGGAGGCTAAGGCAGGAGAATCGCTTGAACCTGGGGGAAAGAGGTTGCAATGAGCTGGGATCACACCACTGCACTCCAGCCAGGGCAACAGAGTGAGACTGTCTCAAAAAAAAAAAAAAAAAAAAAAGAAAAGTCAAATAAACAACTTAATGATGCTTCTTAAAGAACAAAGTAAACAGTAAACTAAACCCAAACTTAGTAGAAGGAAAGAAATAAAGATTAGAGCAGAAATAAATGAAATTGAAACAAAAAATACAAAAGATCAATGAAATGAAAAGTTTTTTTTGGAGAAGATAAAATTGACAAACTTTTAGCCAGACTAAGAAAAAAAGAGAGAAGACCCAAATAAATTGAAATCAGAGATGAAAACGACATTACAACTGATACCACAGAAATTCAAAGGATCATTAGAGACTACTATGAGCAACTATATACCAATCAATTGGAAAACCTTGAAGAAATGGATAAATTCCTCAACATACACAACTTACCAAGACTGAACTATGAAGAAATGCAAAACTTGAATAGACAAAGTAATGAGATCAAAACCATAATAAAAAGTCTCCCAGCAAAGAAAAGCCCAGGATCCAATGGCATCACCGCTGGATTCTACCAAACATTTAAAAAAGAACTACTGCCGGCCGGGCGCGGTGGCTCACGCCTGTAATCCCAGCACTTTGGGAGGCCGAGGCAGGCGGATCACAAACAAGGTCAGGAGATCAAGACCATCCTAACATGGTGAAACCTCGTCTCTACTAAAAATACAAAAAATTAGCCGGGCGCCTGTAGTCCTAGCTGCTCGGGAGGCTGAGGCAGGAGAATGGTGTGAACCCGGGAGGTGGAGCTTGCAGTGAGCCGAGATAGTGCCACTGCACTCCAGCCTGGGGGACAGAGTGAGACTTCGTCTCAAAAATAAATAAATAAAAATAAATAAATAAATAAATAAATAAATAAATAAATAAATAAATAAAAAATAACTATTCCCAATCCTACTCAAACTATTCAAAAAAGTAGAGGAGGAGAGTATTTCCAAACTCATTCTATGATTCTAGATTACACTGATTCTAAAACCAAATGAAGACCCATGAAAACAAGAAAACCACAGGCCAATATTCCTGATGAACACTGATGCAAAAATCCTCAACAAAATACTAGCAAAACAAATTCAACAACACATTAAAAAGATCATTCACCATGACCAAGTGGGATTTAACCCAGGGATGCAAGGATGGTTCAACACACACAAATCAATCAATGTGCTACACCATATCAATAGAATGAAGGACAAAAATAATACAATCATTTCAATTCATGCTGAAAAAGCATTTGCTAAAGTTCAACATCCCTTCATGATAAAAATCCTAAAAAAACTGGGTACAGAAGGAACATACCTAAACACAATAAAAGACATATACGACAGACTCATAGCTAGTATCATACTGAATGGGGAAAAACTAAAAGCCTTTCCTCCAAGAACTAGAACAAGACAAGGATGCCCACTTTCACAACTGTTATTCAACATAGTTCTGGAAGTCCCAGCTAGAGCAATCAGACAAGAGAAAGAAATATAGGGCATCCAAACTGGAAAGGAAGAAGTCAAATTATTTTTGTTTGCAGATGATATGATCTTATATTTTAAAAAACCCAAAGATTTTACAAAAAAACAGAACTAATAAACAAATTCAGTAAAGTAGCAGGATACAAAATCAACATTCAAAACACAGTAGCATTTCTATGTGCCAACAGCCACCAAGATGAAAAAGAAATCAAGAAAGTAATCTCATTTATGATAGCCACAAATAAAATAACTAGGAATACATTTAAGTAGAATAGTGAAAGATCTCTACAACTAAAAAACAATAATGTAAGAAATTAAAGAGGACACAAAGGAAGGGAAAGACATTTCATGTTCATTGACTGGAATCAATCAATATTATTAAAATGTCCATACTACCAAAAGCAATCTACAGATTCAAAGCAATCCTATCAAAATAATAATCACATTCTTTATAGAAATAGAAAAACTAATCCTAAAATTTATATGAAACCACAAAAGACCCCAAATAGCCAAAGCCATCCCAAGCAGCAGGCACAGTGCTCATGCTTGTAATCCCAGCACTTTGGGAGACCGAGGCAGGCTGACTGCTTGAGCCCAGGAGTTTGAGACCAGCCTGCATAACATGGTGAAAACCTGTCTCTACCAAAAACAACAACAACAACAACAAAAACCCTCAAACCAAAAATTAGTTGGGTGTGGGTGGCACACACCTATAGTTCCAGCTACTCGAGGTCTGAGGTGGGAGAATCACTTGAAGTTGAGGTCCAGGGAGGTCAAAGCTGCAGTGAGCCATAATTGTGCCACTGCATTCCAGCCTGGGTGACAGAGCGAGATCCTATGTCAAAAAAACCCAAAACCAAAAATCAAATAAAAATGGATTAAAAACTTAAGTTTAAGACCCCAAACTATGAAACTGTTAAAGTAAAACACTGAAGAAATTTTTCAGAACCCTGGTCTGGGCAAAGGTTTCTTCGGTAATACCCTAAAAGGGCAGGCAGCCCAAACAAAAATGAACAAATAGGATCATATCAAGTTAAAAAGCTTTGTACAAGGGAGGAAACAATCAACAAAGTGAAGAGACAACCCACAGAATGGGAGAAAATATGTGCAAACTATCCATCTGTCAAGGGATTAATAAGCAGAATGTATAAGGAGCTCAAATAACTCTATAGGAAAAAAATCTAGTAACACAATTTTAAAATGGGCAAAAATAGACATTTCTCACAAGACATACAAATGGCAAACAGGCATATGAAAAGGTGCTAAACATCACTGACATCAGAGAAATGCAAATCAAAACTTCAGCGAGATATTATCAAATGGCTTTTATCCAAGAGACAAGCAATAATGAATGCTGGCAAAGATGTGGAGAAAAGGGAACCCTTGTTCACTGTCAGTAGGAATGTAAATTAGGTCAGCCACTATGGAAAATGGTACAGAGGTTACTCAAAAAATTGAAAATAGTACTACTATATGATCCACTGCTAGGTATATACCCCAAAGAAGGAAAATTAGTATCTGCAGTTCCATGTTTGTTGCAGCACTATTCAGGATAGCCAAGATTTGGAAGAAACCTAAGTGTCCATCAACAGAAGACTGGGTAATTGCACCACTGCACTCCAGCCTGGGCAACAGAGCGAGACTCCTTCCAAAAAAACCAAAACACAACAAAACAAAAAACAGACGACTAGGTAAAAAAAAATGTGGTACATACACACAATGAAGTACTATTCAGACATAAAAAAGAGTAAGATCCTGTCATTGCCAGCAACATGGATAGAACCAGAGGTCATTATGTTAAGTGAAATAAGCCAGGCACAGAAAGACAAACTTTGTATGTTCTCAGTCATATGTGAGAGCTAAAAATTAAAATAACTGAACTCATGGAGACAGAGAGTAGAATGATGGTTACCAGAGGCTGGGAAGGGTCGCTGGGGTGGGGGTAGTGGGGATGGTCAAAAGGTACAAAAATATAGTTTGACAGAATGAATAAGATCTAGTATTTGACAGCAAAACAGGGTGGGCTATAGTCAACAATAATTTTGTACAACAAAATGTACAATATTGTACATTTAAAAATAACTAAAAGAGAATAGTTGGAACGTTTGCAACAAAAATAATCAATGCTTGAGGTGATGGTTATGCCATTTACTCTGATGTGATTATTACATATTGTATGCCTGTATCAAAATATCTCACCCACCCTATAAATATATACATATACTATGACCCATAAAAATTAAAAAGAAAGAAGCCTAATACAGATATATTTTTAAAAAATTATACTCATCTAATATTTTAAAGATTAAACTATGAGAGATCTTATACTGTGGAGTACATATTCCAATTAAATAATAGTCATGTAATTCATTTTAATTTTTGTATCAAAAAATCTTCTGGCAAGTACTTTTAGCCACAGGTTTAGTTTCTCACGTTTAACTTCTTATATTTAAATAAAAGCTGGTGGTTTGTAAAATATCAATGTTTAGTGTGGTTTTAACAAGTTAAGCTAATCTTTACTATTGAAATACCTAGGAAGATGAACATCACTATTCTATCGCCTTGATTTATTTCACAAAACCAAGAAATATAGTAAATATGCTTTGGCATGAGCACATTTCTCAATTTCAGACAAATGACACTAGAAGAAAAAGACAAATATTGCCATCACTGAACTGAGTGAATAGTTCATTCCTTCAAAAATCCAAATAGAAGTACAATGACCTTAAAAAAAAGCAGCGATATTCAATATCAAATGCAATAGCTCTGGGGTCCTGATGTTGGGCTTAGACAGCTTTCCAATCAGTAAATGGGGAACTATGGCTTTAATCTGGGACTACAATAAAATTATGGTTGGTGTTATCTGAATCTATCATTTTCCACTGCCTTTTTTTCTTATTAATCATTGTCCCTAGTCCTCTTTTAGTTTCTCTTTGCTTCATCATTTTCAAAATTCTTCTCCTTTCAAATAGATTATTTAAAGGCATATGAGACAAATATTGGAAAGATCAGCCAGGAGACACAAACTTCTGTTAGGTGTTTCCCTTTGTTCTTCTAGTTGTACCTAGTTGTACTCTTCCTCACAGTCATTTGGATCTTTTCCATTTGTATATCATTTTCTGATAAAAAGGCTTGGTCAAACTGCGTCAAACTTATCTTTCCCTTTGCCAAAACTTTGCTTAGGCTGCACTTTCCTTGCTTTCCTAATCAATCTCCCAGTCAGAATTAATTGGTTCTCCTTCTCAGCAACCACATAAATATATACTGCTGTTTAGAATTTGTGTTATTCAGGTAGGTGTTTACATGTCTGCCTTCCTTCACTGATTGTAGTAGGTTCTTGAGAACAAGAAAGAAATGCCCAATTCATCTTTCATTACTCTACCACTTCAGAGTAAATCAGAGTGCCCTGCACATGATACTCAATGTAGAACTAAATTCCAGACTGGTCCTACTTAGATTTCATAATCCGTTTGGCACGATCCTCCTCCTCCTCACTGTTTTGCTTTCTTAATGCTTAACAGATATCACTAAAATAATATGCTTAGCTTCAACAACGTTTCTATTATCTTCCTTCAGATATTCATGATCCCCCTTTTCCTTTTTTCCATAGCATACACCACCTTCTAGCATAGTATATAAATTACTTATAAATTACCAGCCTGGGTAACATTACTTACTAACATTACTTTTCCCAGCAATAATGTAAACTACATGAGAATGGGAATCTTTGTTTTGTTTATTAATGATGATACTTAAGTGCTTTGAACAGTGCCTGGCATATAGTACCTGCTCAATAAATACTTGTCTAATGAACGAATAACCATTATTATATGCACATTTCATGTTTCAGCTACATTTAACAATGAGCAAACAACAACTTAACTTTTGTCTTACTGGGTTATTTTGAAGGAGTTGGCTATAGCAACAATGCCTTGTACATCATCATCTCATACAAACACCAATGACGGCTCTATAGGGACACATACGTTCCTACCTTATAGCGCTAGTCTTACTACGCAATTGTACTGCAAAAATTTTTGAGATAGTTCTGTCAGATTAAATTAACATTATATTGGGAAGATATTAGGTTGGAGGATTGCTTGAGCCCAGGGATCGAGACCAATCTGGGCAACACTGTGAGACCCTGCCTCATTCATTCATTCATAAATAAATAAATAAATAAATAAATACTATAATATTTAACTAACACTTTCCAGATACAAGTATAAGACATAATCAGGTGAGTTCAGATGAATGGAGAAAGCAGAAAAACAAATCTATAACAAAATTTTTATGTAAAGAGAAAAAGCTTTAAAAAGTAAATCCACAAAGTTTGTCATTTAAAAGACTTGTTTTGAGAAGGAACAGGGAAAAGAAAAAAAGAACAGCTTTTTTTTAGATTTCATCAGGTTGTAACAGCTGAGGACAACTCAGCATTTAACTGACATGCATTTTTGAAGTTAAAATAATTTAAATACACTACAAGTGGGCAGAAGAAATCTAACAGACATTTGGTATACAACATTTTAGAGATAACTCTATACTGAGTTTGGAAGACAGTTTGAATTGTTTCTTCTTATATCAGTTGCCACTAATGCAAACAGATTATAGTAGTAAAATTGTCACTCTAGCTGACTTGAGCAAGGAACCTGGAATGACACTGTATGTTTGCTCCTGCCTGGGCAAGAAGCCATTCTGCTGTCCTTATACCCTTGATACATAAAGCCAACGTTCTGACTGCTGAAAAGCCCATTTTTGATTTTTGCAAAATCTCTATTAAAAGTTTCTGATTGGGTTTGCTTAAATCCCCCTAGATTCCCGTTCTGTATTTACCTGATTCTTAAGATCCTTTTCTTAGGAAAACATGAAGCTCCAAGCATTAACATGTAGATGGCCAGAGTTTATATTTTAGCTGACTTCTGTTGTTTGTATGTTTCCTTGATAGACCTCTCATTCTCACACAAAGCACTGACGACAGCTGTTGCAAGCAAACATTTCCTGCTTCCCACATCCCTCTAATTCACTGCCAATCTCATTTTTGGACATCAAGGATGACCGTAGACTGCCTACTCTGATAATTTCTGCCATGCAACCACAAGTCCACAAGAGTCTTCTACTTCCTTCCAACACACAGGCTTAAAAACAAATATGCAATAGCAATTTACATTTTGAAAACAAAACACATTGTTAAATCTTTTTAATATTTTAGAATTTTAATTTAAAGGTGTATGAACAGCTAAGTTTATATTCAGAAAACTGAGCTACTCCAGAAAATTCCGAGCCTTAATATTGCAGACTGCCAAAACTCAACTTTAATCACTTTATCATTTGAGTTAAAAGTTTTCATGTTTTCAGCAAACAGTACTATCCTCATATGTGGAACATGGAGTGTTAATTGTTTTATCTATTTTAACTATGAACTTCACTAGTTGGAGTCTTTATGTTTTTAAAAGTATGCAGCTGAATCTATTTGACCAACGTATTAGTCAAACTTCTATTTTAATACTGTAAATAAAATACACGATTTTAAAAATTTTCACTATATATATTTCTTCCATTTATGTCATATGTAAGTTAAAAGCTTAGAAAAATATTTTTAAAAATAATTCACCATAAATATTTGCATACATGCTGACTCCATTCTCCCCACAAAAGTGTCACAAAAGCCACAAGTCATTTCTGTTCTTTTTAAAATCAAGAATCTTGGCATTATGGAACAATATATATAGTTTTATTCATTACAGTTCAATCCAGTAGCAGCCTCAAGGATTTTAAATAATCCCCTAAAAATTTCCTGGTCATGCCAGAAGATGTGGTCCTAAAAAGATGCTAAGGAGCTTAGGCAATAGAAGGTGATCCTCTTCCCAAATTGGGGAGAAATCTGTATCATGGCAAGGACCATTTAAACAATTATTAACCCAGGTTTTTAAAAGTTACTCAAATGATATTTTTCACATTATTATTCAACATCATTTGGTCTCTAAAATAAATAATTATATTAGTCACACAGAAATTAAGTTTAAAAAAGATGAGAAGTTTAAAAGTTGGATCTGAATAAGGCTTTTTATTACTGGCATTCATCATTCCCATCCCCATCCTGCCCTTGACGTTCAGATGCTTAGAACAATTTAATAAGTGTGAATATACTTTTTTTTCCTATTTCAAGCTCACTTCATATTTGAAATCCTCAATTATTCCTGTTCACCAGAGATTTAGCATCGGAGTCTCCCCAGTTTAGGGAACCACTTCTATGTACCCATTAGAAAGGAAAGGAAAGTATGTGTATCTAGAGCTAAATGAAAAGAGCAGACCCTCCTGAGACGAGAAAATTTAATTTAAAAATGGTTTAGATACGTAATCATTTAAGCTACCAGAGGTTGTGGTTTTATCAAATATTTACATACATTATACATTTAGCAGGGCAATTCCCTGTGAAAGTAATTTTATTTCTCTACGTTCTGGAAAAATTTTCAATCTACAATCTACTAAGTGTTGAAAATAACTGAGTCATTTGGTTTATAGCTTCCTTTTCTGCCTCTTTCTGAGCATCCTGAAACCATGGTTTCCAGATACAAAAAACAACCTAATACAAACTATTCCCTGACATATGACTTGCCCTGTAGGCCAAAGTAGGTCTGTTTGTATTATGTTCAACACTGACAAGAAATAATTTTCTGATGAAGTATTTTGTTCAACACAGTCAATATGTACTACTCCAGTAGCATATAATCTTGTTCTCCAGGACAGAGCTATCTGATCTCTGATGGTATATTTACCTTTTACCCTTCCTTTAAGGATGAGTGATAAGTACTGCTTAAGAATCTAAAGCACTCTGCTAGCCAGAAAGACTAACATTATGGGAAGACAATTGTGGTAAATAAAAAAATCATTCACAATTAAGGTCTAGTCTACAGATGTAACAATTAAGGTCTAGTCTACAGATGTAACAATTTAGGATGATGTAATTGTTTCTATTTTTTTTTTAACATGAGTAGGGGAAGAGGAGGGACAAGAGGGAAAAAATATTAAGTATTTCAGGAAGTATTTTCCAATACTTGAGTTAAAACAAACCCCAATGTCGTAAAGAAATCAGTTTTATAATACATGATATAAACAGTATGTTTTCTATTAAAAAGATAAAGAGGAAAGTGACATGAAAAACATGGTCTATCAGAAAAAAAATTGACAAATTGACCTCACCAAAATTTGACATTTTTATATTTCCTAATATACCAGTAAGAAAACAAAAAGACAAGCAACAGACTGAAGTATTTGCAAATACATGTCTGATGTGACTTGTATCCAGAATATACAACAAGTTCGTACAAATCCAAAGAAAATAACCCAATATGAAAATGTGCTAAAGTTTGAATAGATATTTCACTAAAGAATAAATGAATAGATAACAATACACAAAATAAGCTCAACATTAGCAGTCATTAGGAAAATGCAAATTAAAACCTCATGAGATATCATTTCACACCAGCTAAAGGTAAGACAGTAACAAAGGAGATGTAGAGAAACAGGAATCCTTGTACACTGCCGGTGGGAATGCAAAACAGTACAGCTACTTTTAGAAAAACATTTTTGCATTTCTTAAAAAGTTAAATATAAGCTTACCATAAGATTCAGCAATTCTACTCCTAGGTATCTATCTATCCAAGAGAAATGAAAACATATGTCTACCCAAACACTTGCAAACAAATGTTCACAGCAGCACTATTCACAATAGACCAAAATTGGAAACAATGTCTATCAAATGGTAAATGAATAGACATAATATGGTACAGTCATACAGTGGAATCCTACTTGAAATAAAAAGGAAGAAACTACTGATATATATACGTCATAAACCTCAAAAACATTATGCTGAGTGAAAGAAGCCAGATACAAGAGACGACATACCATATGACTCCATTTATGTGACATTTCCAGAAAATACAAATATATAGACTCTGTCAATTAGTGGTTGCCTGGGAACTGGGAGAGGGAATGGGATTAATGTTAAATAGATGCAGAAATCTTTCTGAGGTAATGAAAATGTCCTAAAGCTGATTCATGGTGAGGGTTACACAACTTGCTACATTTACTAAACATTACTGAATTGTACACTTGAAATGGGTGAATTTTATAATATATAAAATAAGACTCAATATACTTGTTTTTAAAAAAATTTTTTTAAAAATCCACACACAGACTGCTGCTTTAGAAAAAAAAACAAAAAAAAAAGTTCTGGCCAGTTTGGGTACTCATCTTAGGTTTATATACTCAATAAAATGAAACATTTTAAATAAATTATCTATTTGTTGTAGTTATTAGGTTTTATTAAGCAACACTAAAATAGATAATTCAGACAAAGATCTTGTTATGTTTCCTAGGACTGCTATTTCTATACCAAAGAAAAGAGAAAATCCTTCTGCAGAGACAACAGGCCTACATACATATAATTTTTTTTTTTTTTTTGAGACAGCGTCTCACTCTGTATCCCAGGCTGGAGTGCACTGGTGCAATCTTGGCTCACTGCAACCTCCGCCTCCCAGGTTCAAGCAATTCATGTGCCTCAGTCTCCTGAGCAGCTGGGATTACAGGTGCACGCTACCATGCACAGGTAATTTTTTTTTTTTTTTTTTGATAAGGAGTCCCGCCTTGTTGCCCAGGCTGGAGTGCAGTGGCACGATCTCAGCTCACTGCAACCTCCACCTCCCGGGTTCAAGGGATTCTCTGTGCCTCAGCCTCCCGAGTAGCTGGGATTACAGGCCCCTGCCACCACGCCCAGCTAAGTTTTTGTATTTTTAGTAGAGACGGAGTTTCACCATGTTGGCCAGGCTGGTCTTGAACTCCTGACCTCGTGATTCGTCTGCCTCAGCCTCTCAACGTGCTGGGATTACAGGTGTCAGCCACTGCACCTGGCCAATTTTTGTATTTTTAGTAGAGACGGGGTTTCACCATGTTGTTCAGGCTGGTCTCGAACTCCTGACCTCAAGTGATCCACCCACCTTGTCCTCCCAAAGTGCTGAGATTACAGGTGTAAGCCACTGTGCCCTGCCACATTTTATATATTTTAAAAACTGGTATGATTTACATATATAGAGTATATAAATCTTTGGTGTATAGCTTAATTATTTTTATACATGTGAGAGTCTTCAAAAAGTTCATTGAAATGCATCTTATGAAAAAACTATGGATGAATTTCAAAAATTTTTTGCATCAAAATAAATTCATACTAACTTATTATAAGATGTCTGAACAGGATATAGTTTGAGGCATTAAGAACAAGACATTAGTGTGAAAAAAGCCCTCATCAGAGCAACATGAATTCTGCTAAAATTGAAGCAAGGATAAACAGCAAAGTTATGGTGAAGCCTGGGTGGAAGAATAGTAAAATCACTGATTTTTACAAAACATTTATGGAGACTGTTATTAGTCCATTTTCACACTGCTAATAAAGACGTACCCTAGACTGGGTAATTTACACAGGAGAAGAGGTTTAATGTACTCACAGTTCCACATGGCTGGGGGCCTCACAATCATGGCAGAAGGCAAGGAGGAGCAAGTCACCTCTTACATGACATACTCCCCTTTATAAAACCATGAGAAATCAAGAGATTTATTCGCTATCATGAGAACAGCACAGGAAAGACCTGCCTCCATGATTCAATTACCTCCCACTGGGTCCCTCCCACAACACTTGGGAATTGTGGGAGCTATGATTCAAAATGAGTTTTGGGTGGGGACACAGCCAAATCATATCAGAGACAATACGCTAAAGAAATCGGCGGTTTACAAATGGATAACTTGTTTTAAGAAGGGATGAGACAGTGTTGAAGCCTGCAGTGGCAGACCATCCACAAAAATTCATCTTGTTTGTATCCCAATTGAAAAGGACAAATGATAACAGCACAAACAAGAGCCAACATGACAGATGTCTCAATGGGTTCTGCTTTCACAATTATGACTGAAAAATTAAAATGGGGGCAAACTTTCCACTAAATGGGTGCCAAAACCATTGTCCCCAGATCAGCTGCAGAAAAGAGAAATGCTTTCAATGAAAATTTAAAACAAAATGAGTAGGATTCGGATCCTGGAGCATTTCTTTGAAGAATGGTAATGGGATGAAACATGGCTTTACCAGTACAATCCTGAAGACAAAGCACAACCAAAGCAAGGGCTACCAAGAGGTGGAAATAGTCCAGTCACAGCAAAAGTGGACTAGTCAAGAGCAAGCATCATGGCAACAGTTTTCTGGGGTGATCAAGACATTTTGCTTGTTGACTTTCTGGAGGACCAAAAATGACCCGCCTGCTTACTATGAAAGTGTTTTGAGCAAGCCAAAGCTTGAGCAGAAAAACACCTAGGAAAGCTCCACCAGAGAATCCTTTTCCACCACAATGATACTCCTGCTCATTCCTCTCATCAAACAAAGGCAATTTTGCAAGTTTAGATGGGAAATCCATCTTACAGTCTTGATTTGGCTCTGACTTTTTTGTTTCTTAATATTAAAATCTGTAAAAGGCATGCATTTTTCTTCAGTTTATAATGTAAAAAAGACTTAATTGACATGGTTAAATTCCCAGGACACTCAGTTCTTTAGGGATGAACTAAATGGCTGGTATCATCACTTACAAAGGTGTCTTGAACTTGATGGAACTTATGTTGAGAAATAAAGTTTATATTTTTTATTTGTATCTTTTAAGTATGTTTTCCATGGACTTTTTGAAGTCTTCTCATGAGTATAAATCCATGTAACTACCATCCAGACCAAGATACAGAAAGCTCCCTTAGTCAATAATCCTACCAAAGGTAACCATTACTTTAGTTCTATAATTATAGAAGTGTGATCATTTTGTTTCTATGAACTTTATATCAATGTACATACTTTATACAGAAGGCACTCTTTTGAGTCTTCTTTTGTTCAATATCACATCTGTGAAATATATTCACGATGTTGTAACAGTAGTGTGTTCTTTTTCATTGCTGCATACAATTTATCAGTTCCACTGTTGATGGACATGTGAATGGTTTTCAGTTTTTAGATATTATGAATAAAACTGATAAAACTTTATTTTATCTGTCTTCTCATAAACAAAAGCACTCATTTCTCATGGACATTCTATTCAGAAATGGAATTGTGAGGTTTTAGATAACATGCATATATAGCTTTATATACCTTTAATACATCTTGTCAAACAACTTTACAAAATGGAGTACCAACTTATTAACATACTCCCACCATCAATGTATAATTTCAATTGCAGCATTTCCTTGTGTTGCTTGCCATTGCCATTTCTTTTAATTTTGTGGGTTTGGGTATAGCGATATCTCACTGTCAAGAATTGTGAAGAATCTGTAAACTAACAAGCTTGGATGCTGGAAAAAGATATGAAACTTTGGGTCGGAGATCAAAGACAGTTTTTTACTCAGAGCAATAGCAGTAGCCAGAGGATCAACATTGTGCCACTTTCCTGAGCCCTAATTCCCACAGGGCACCTGTACTTGTAGATGGTCGCAGTATAACAGAGGCAATCTATGCCTACAGATTAGTTTGCATTTTCTAGGATTTTATACAAATGGAATCATATAGCATATATTTTTTTAATCTGGCTTCTTTCAAATAGAATAATTATTTTGAGATTCATGTATGTTGCTGTGGTATCCATAATTCATTTCCCTCTGTAGCTGAGTAGAATTTCACTGTATGGATACACAATTGTTTATCCATTCACCTGTTGATGGGCATCTGGGATGCTCAGTTACTGGCTACTACAAATAAAACTGTGATGATTATGTATATATTTTTAAGAACATATGCTTTCATTTCTTTTGAATGAATCCCACTCATTTTTGACCTCATATCTCTCTTACATATATTATAATTAAATGCAATCATCCCTTGGTATCTGCAGGGAATTAGCTCCAGAACCCCTGGAGCTATCTGCAATAGGATACCGCAATCTGCAAATGCTCAAGTCCCTTTTAGTTGGCCATCCATATCCATGGATATGGAACCACAGATACAGAGGATCATGTATAGGTATATATGATTATATATCACATACAGATATTATAATGTTTTATATATATAGATATATTTTAAAGAATCAGAAATATTAACCTTTGGAGAGAGATATTAGGTGTAGAGAGGAGAGTGGCTTTTACTTTTCCTTCTGTATTTTTTGTTTACAATAGTATTAGCCTCACAGACACTGAGAGGAAAAGCTTATCGGGCTTTTATAGGAGTACAGGAGTCTTAGACATCTCATAAGCTCACAGTTAGCATTTTTTTGGGTAAAATAATGAATCTCAAGAGATATGTCTGTTTAAGAAGAGCAAAGTAATTCTACATTCTTTTCAATAAACTAAAAAGAAGTCAAGAGAAAATGAGAACGAATATATTAAGAGACTTCTCCACCACCAAAATGAAAATTCCTAAGTTTGGAAATGAGGGCTCTAGACTCAAGCAGGTGACCAATTTACTATTAGGCACTGTCTATGCACCACACTGATGATGAGTCTAGCTAAATGCATATTACAAAAACTTAAAACTTAAGGGTCAATTTCAGCTTTTTTGTCTCTTTCAAATCCGTTTAGTGTCTTTGCTATCTTGTATCAGTATAGCTGAGTAACAATGTCCTCTCACGGAATTTTTACACATTTCTGATGCTCTATGTAATTCATGAAGTCATGTGAAACACATCATGAAACTTTCATAAAGTCTAAAACAGTTTCTGTCCCTATGCACAGCTAACACTGTATATGACCTGTATAGCCGAGATGCATCGCCGAGGGGTGACTTGAATCCAACGCCAGGGTAAGATTTTAGAATGAACGTTGGGATTGCCCTTTTTATACAGGCTTTGTAGGCCACTACAATGTTAACTGTATAGCTTATGATCTCTGTTCCAACAACTGAACTCTGTTGTGGTAGAGCAAAGTAGCCATAAATAAATAAATGAGTGTGGTTTTGCTGCTATGAAACTTTATTTACAAAAATAGAGTGTGCCAAACTTGGCCCATGGGCCCTGGTTTGCTGACTGCTCTCTTAGAGAAACAGAAATCTCTTAAAATCTCCATTTTTTTCCCCAATACCATTACACTGCTAATTGAATAAGGGCTTCTGATTAACCACTGAAAAATATATATTGCCAGTTGTTAGCAAATAGTGATAAATGCTGTTTATACATTCCATTATTAAAGAGAACTACAGTTTATAATTTTGGAAGAAAAGAAATTGTGAGATACTAGTAAGTCCAAAACTGTTTTGTAACTGGCTCATACTACCATCTCATATAGAGCTTACTTTCTGTAAATAAGCCCCCACCCCACCTTTTTCTGGGTAATCTCTCCTATGAGAAGACTATATTCTATAGTAAGATGAAGAAAATTATCATTAGATTTACTAACTACATTGTTATTTTTGTTTAAAGCTGATATCACAGATTGGTTGGTTCATGCATATATTCATTCATTAGTTCACTCACTATGGAACCTCTACTGGAGTCTTCTCAGTTGCTAATGTCAAAAAGTTTAGATTGTGACAGTCAGACCAACACATATACACAATAGCTGCACATAACACAAAGTAGACTGTTGCCAACACAAAAAGAGAATGCTTTCTAGAAGAAGAAGCAATTACTTGTGGCTGGGAGATGACTGGAGAAAGTTTCATGAAGGAGGAAGTATTTGAGTTCAGCCTGGGAAGGTGGCTAGGAATTAGATGGAGATAGTTTGGTAGTTGCCTCAAAGCTTATTACTGTCTGGTGGTTAGTTTCATGTGGTCCTGATGGCTTTCTGAGACCAACAGCAAAACATTAAATTAACCAGCTTGCTTGTTCCATTCTCTCTTCCCATAGTCTGTTCAGTTCTGGCACTGCTCTGAAGGTACAGGATACAACTAGAGAGGGAGCACTTGGCTAATAGGGAAGTACAACAGTTCTGGGATACACTTGGGGCTAAGGGAAGCCTGAGGAAGAGCTGAGTCGCTTTTAAACAAATGAGAAGGTCCTTGATTAACACAGTGAAAAAAGGTTCTAAGGGATACACATAAAATATAATGGGGAGTAAGTAGGAAGAAGACAGTAATACACAATGTTGATGTTAAGTAGTGACCAAGACTCATAGCCCTGAATTAACATTGTTCATTCAGACTGACTACATAGTTCCACTCATTGAGACAAAGCTTCTTTGTCTTCTACTAAGTGTTCAGTGCCTTTCTCAAATAATAGAACCAGAATTTTCTTAGAAATCATTGTAGCTTAGTTAGGAAGTAAGTTGGGACATACTATTATGGTTGGTAGTTACATTCCTCTATTTATATACGAGCAAGGATTTACATGCTTCTTTTCGGAAAAGACTCAGGCTTGCCTGGAACTTTTCATAATGTACAGTTGATATGGTTTGGATCTGTGTCCCTGCCCAAATCTCATGCTGAATTGTAATCCCCATTGTTGAAGGTGACTGGATCATGGGGCAGACTTCCCCCTTGCTGTTCTTGTAATATGAGAGTTCTCCAGAGAATGGGTCATTTAAAAGTGTGTGCAACCTCCTCCTCCTCCTGCTCTTCCTCCTGCTTTGGTCATGTGAGGTGCTTGTTCCCCCTGTGCCTTTTGCCATGATTGAATGCTCTCTGAGGCCTCCTCAGAAGCCAAGCAGAAGCTGCTATGCTTCCTGTACAGCCTGCAGAACCATGAGCCAATTCAACCTCTTTTCTTTATAAATTACTTAGTTTCAGGTATTTCTTTATAGCAGTATAAGAATAGACTAAAACAACAGCATTCTAGGATTCTAATATGACATGGTAGTTGGGGATTGACATAGTTAGAAGGTCCTAGGATAAAAAATTTCCTGTCACTATATAAAAGTGAATAATCTTTAACAATTAATATTAAAATCTTCCATAGTTACTTATCTTTCAGATGAGCCATTTCCCCTATAATCACACCTGATGACAGATGCTGATGGTCTCCCAGAGAACAAAGAACACGTAGGAAAGGGAACTGGGAATGGCAAGAAGCATTACACTATCAGCTACATAAGGAGTAATTATCAGTGAGATAATCTATCCAGGTCTTCATGAGGAAAGTAAGAGAAGCAAACATAACTTTGATTTTATAGTCTGGACAAAGTCCAGATGATGACATATTTTGAAAAGTCAGAACATTCAACTATTCTTCAAAAGTCCCAGGTTTGAATTATTAAACAGCAATTTAGCTGTAGTAAAAATACCCCTTGACATCAATTTTGAGGAGAGTAGGTGCTAAGGAATGATGACTCCGTATTTCAACCACTTAACCCTCAGTATCATTTCTTTCTTTTTTTTTTTTTTTTAGAGACAAGGTCTCACTATGTTGCGCAGGCTGGTCTTAAACTCTTGGCCTCAAGGAATCCTCCTGCCTCAGCATCCCAAATTGCTGCAACTACAGGCATGAGCCACCATGCTATATCATTTCTGATATGGTTTGGCTCTGTGTCCCCACCCAAATCTTATCTCGAATTGTAATCCCCAAGTGTCAGGGACCTGGTGGGAGGTGATTGGATCATGGGGGTGGTTCTCTCATGCTATTCTCGTGATAGTGAGGTAGTTCTCATTAGATCCGATGGTTTAAAACTGGTAGTTCCCCTGTGTGCTTGCTCTCTCTCCTGCTGCCTTGTGAAGCAGGTACTTGTTCCTCCTTTGCCTTCTGCCATGATTATAAGTTTCCCAAGGCTTCCCCAGCTGTGTGGAACTGTGAGCCAATTAAACCTCTTTTGTTTATAAATTATCCAGTCTCAGGTAGTATCTTTATAGCAGTGTGAAAACGGACTAATACAATTTTTTTTAACCGAGTTTGCTAGTGGTGTTGCAGAATTATTCTTTAGAAATGTAGCCACCTGGTGATTCTTCCATGAAATGATAGCCAGGATATTGTGAAAATACTGAAACTCACGGGATGAGGAAAAGCTGAATTCTTGTCTGCCTTCCACTTTTACAAACTATGGATGATGATTTCTGATAATACAAATTACACTGAGATATGCCAATTTTAGTAATGTTTTTTAAAACTAAGATTTTAAGAAAAGAACTAAAACCTCAAACTAAAATTCTTTCAAAGACTTCTCATTGAGAGAAAAGACTTTTAGTTGTTTGATGATATATTTTATAGGCTGTTTCTGAATTTCTATGTGTTTTTGTACATTTTGGGAGCAGAACTAAGCAATCACTCGAGGAAGATGAACCTTCTCCCAGATTCAAATAATATATACATGTATATTACCCAAACACAAAAGAACAGCTTAGTCAGAAAAGATGAATGGAAAATTTAAATACTGTCAGAGCAGGATTTATTTTCATTTCAATATATACTGGAGTAAAATGATTATTTAACAACAGCAACAACAACAACAACAACAAAAACTTACCTGCTACTGAATTTGGCCGTGGCATGAGATACAAAGGAATAGACTGTACTGATTGAGATAACACTGTTTCCAAATTTCTCTCTGGGATCTTATTCAGACTATAGGTGGAAGCAGTCATGTTTTCATCTACTCGATACAAACAGGAGTCCATGCTGGATTTTTGAGACTGCCAAGGTTTTATGTTTCCTCCAGATCCTAATTCTTTACTGCTTTCCCCAGCATATTTTGTGCGTTCCACATTTTCAGAATAGCTTGTTAATGTAGCTGAAAAAAAAAGAGTAAAATGAATTTAATAAAGCCACATACATACAGTTATTAATCTTTGACAAAGTTGATAAAAACACACATTGGGGAAAGGACACCATTTTCAAAAAATGGTGCTAGAAAAACTGGATTGCCATATGCAGGGGAATGAAACTGGACCCCTATCTCTCACCATATGCAAAAATCAACTCAAGATACACTAAAGACTTAATCCTAAGACTAGAAACTAAAAATACTACAAGAAAACCTACAGAAAACTTTTCTGGACATTGGTTTAGGTAAAGAAATTATGACTAAGACTTCAAAAGCACAGGCAACAAAAACAAAAACAGGCAAATGCAACTAAAACTAAAAAGCTTCTGCACAGCCAAAGAAATAATCAGCAGAGTGAAAAGAACCTGCAGAATGGGAGAAAATATATGCAAACTATACATCTGACAGGACTAACATTAAGAATATACAAGGAACTCAAACAACTCAACAAAAACTTCACAAATAATCCCATTAAAAAGTAAGCAAAGGACATAAACAGAAATTTTCCAAAAGGAGACATACAAATGGCCATGTACATGAAAAAAATCTCAATATTAGTAATCATCAGAGAAATGCAACTTAAAACCACCGTCTTATACCAGTCAGAATGGCTACTATTAAAAAATCAAAAAATAACAGACGGTGAGGATGCAGAGAATGCTCATATACACCGTTAACGGGAATATAAATTACAACAACCATTAAGGAAAATACAGAGATTTCTCAAAGAACTAAAAATAGAACTACCATTCAATCCAGCAATTCCACCACTGGGTAACTACCCAAAGGAAAAGAAATCCATATGTCAAAAAGATATCTGCACTTGCATGTTTACCACAGCACTATTTACAATAGCAAAGATATGGAATCAACCTAAATGTCCATCAACAGATGAATGGATAAAGAAATGTGGTATATACACACAATGGAATATTATTCAGCCATAAAGAGAATGAAATGTCTTTTGCAGCAACATGGATGGAACTAGAAATCTTAAACAAAACAAGTTAGACGCAGAAACACAAATATTCCATGTTCTCACTCACAGGTGGGTGCTAAAAAAAATGTGCACATATTGAAGTAGAAAATGGAATGACGGACAATGGAGCCTCTGAAGGGTTACAAGGTGGGGGAAAGGTGGATGATGAGAAATTACTTAGTGGGTTCAATGTACATTATTTGGGTGATGAATATCCTAAAAAACTCAGACTTCACCACTACGCAATTTATGCATGTAACAAAACTGCCTTGTACTTCATTGATTTATAAAATTTAAACAGTGAATTTAAAAGAAAATCTAAAGTAGAGATTAATCTGTTTATGATTACGTAAATTCATGATTAGATAATAAGAATATTTAGTAACATTATTTTTAAAAGTTACTGATGATCATTTCACTTCTTTCATGAAGTTTACATAACTGAAACCAAAATACAGTCATCTCTCACATATTTCAACAACTCTATTTAAATAAACTAAAAAAATTCATGTATCAGTCCTAGAGAAACTACAGCTCAGGTCTATTAGTGGTAAAATTTTCAGAATTTCATCAAAAGGGAATTTATATAATCTTCAAGGACTGCTGGAGAGCCTCAGCGGTCCCTAAAAGATCTCTATATTCTTTTTATTCTGTTCTTTTCCTCATTTAAATTTATTTCCTTGCTTCTAATATGTAACAAAGAATTAGAATAAAATAAGCAGTCCCTAAGCAGGAACTAATAGAAGAGACAGAACCTGCCCAAATAAGTAAGCAATAACAGGCCCTACTTGTACAGATCTCTGTAGCTCTAACTTTATGGATTTAAGTACCTTAATAAAATAAACTGAAAGGTCTCTTGAATTTTATATAGTCTTACTACTAATTATACACAAATAGAAAAATTTTAATTAATGCTAGAAATGAAAGGATTAAAAACATTAACATCTAGATTATAATTTTTTAGCAATAATTATAAAACAAGAATAAAAGATATCATCCCAGAGGAGTTTTTATATGTTAGTTCATTTTCTCTTCTTATATTTTGAATGTACCTATTGCCAAAAGAAGAGACCTAAGCTCATGAGGTAATTTCCACAATCGTTTTTAGTGAGGTTCTCTCTCTGCAAATTTAAATGGAGTTCTGGATTTTCTAATAACACGGGAAGAAGATGAATTATAAAGGATGACCTAAATTTCTCTCTAAGAAAGAAAATCTGACTTTGTTGTCACAAAAAGTAAAAGGCTAAGGAAGAAGAAATCTAAGTAAACTAGAAAAAGGTAGAGAAGTGGGAAGAGGGAAAATTTTATAAACTTAAGAATTAAAAGAGAGATGAGGGTATGTGCTTTTGGGCTCCACCTGAGAAAGGAAATCAGAAATATCACAGAACCCTTTGGAAACCTTATGAGATTTTGGAAGATAAGTTCCCGTATTTATTATACTCTATTTCCCCTTTAGTGATTAGTTGTAAAATCTTAAAAAATAGACAACCTATGCTCATTTTGGAAAGACAGCTAACAAAAAGAAAGCAGAGAAAATTATATTCCTACATTTTGGCTGGTCTTTGGGGACAAAAAACCAAGGATAGTATGTGGTAGCAAATCTGGAAAACAGTTTCTGAAACTCAGAAAATCTTTCCAAAGGAAGAACATGGAAAACAAATAAAGAATTGAAAAGTAACTCCAGGGGCCTAACAACTCAAAGGCCAAAGTGATTTTTTTGATAACTGGTAAAAAAAAAATCACCTCAGAAAAAGCTCATATACATTTTAAGCAAGATATTCTTTCTTCTGTATTAGATCATAAGCTTTAATACTAGTAATCATAATAAATTCATACTTATCACCTTATAACCTTTAAATTGTACCATGAGATACAGTAACTCATTCAATTATCAACAGAACACTCTAAGCGGGACTGATATTACTATCTTCATTATGCAGATGAGGAAACCAAACCAATGTGCAGATTAGGCATCTTGCCCACTTATATAGCTAACAAGTAGTCTCACAGGCAACTAATTACTTGGAATCTTAATCATTTACTATCTTATGTTGTTCCTTAACTCTTTTGTAGATGTACCTTGCCTCCTTTACTACACTGTACATTTCTGGAGAGTAGAAACTATATTTTAAGGGTTTTTTCATATTTAAATTAAAAAAAAAACTTTTAGCACCCAGCTCTGTAATGCCCACATGATGATAGGAGAGATAAAACAAAGGAAAGCACAGAGGCTAAAGCCCTGCTGTTCTCTACAAAAGTCATAGGAAAATAGCATGCAGTGAACATTCAGGAGACCCTCAGCACAGAAGGACACTGCAGACATTAACAATGAAATATCAGAACGAAAATAATCGGCCTCATTCTTCAGGGCATTTTTTACTACTACTTACATTAAAAATATTGTTACCAATGATATGAGTGTATATGTTATCTGGGAAATTATTTAAGCCAAGAAACTGCCTACTTTTAGGGAAAAAATGTAATGAGAGGACATAGTATTTAAAGACACATAAGCTAAGCTCTGAAGAATGGATTCAGTATTGGTGAAGTGTTTATGTCTGCTAGGAATATAGTACTGTACTCTTAATGTGGAAAAGGCTTTATATTTGTGGTAGGGGAATAGGTGCAAGAGATCAATCAGGCTTTCTATAATATTTTAGGATACTGTGAAACAATTAAATAGGTACTGAACTATTAGCTCTTGAGAAGACTGCATCTTCAATAATGGTCAAGGACTTCAATAAAAGTCCTTGCAATACCTACCCAACTCCCAGTCATTCCAGATAACAACTTCACATTCACCTAAATTTGGTCTTTTATCTTTACTTAATTTACTTTATTTTACTTTACCTGTTGGAAAAAGAGGTTTGCTTTATGAGAAAGGAGACAGAAATCTAACCCAGACTTGAGGGCTAGAGAATACTCTTGTCGACCAAGTTGAGTTGGTCAGGTAAAGACGAAAAAACAATGGTTTATCCAAAGACAAAAACATTCACAAGGGCACAGCAAAGTTCGTAAGAATTAAGTAAATTCAATAGACTAAAACTTTGGAGGTGGGTTGGGGCCAGTGGTGTGCTGGTACAAGTTTAACATCTTGGCTCTCTAAAAAACAACAACAGGCCGGAGGGGCCAAGATGGCTGACGAGAAATATATGCGTTTGGAGGCTCTCACACAGAAGAATGAAAATGGTGAGTGAATCCTGCACTGGCAACTGAGGTATCCAGGTTCTCTTATTGGGACTGACTAGGCAGTTGGCGTGAGCCATGGAGAGCAAGGAAAAAGCAGGGTGGAGCCATGGCCCACTCAGGAGCCACACAGGGCAAGGGGAGCTCCCACCCCCAGCCAAGGGAGGTGGTAGTGAGTGATTGTGTTACCCTGCCCAAGAATCCACGATCCACGGTTTTTCCATGGATCTGTGCAACCCACAGATCAGGAGATCCCCCTCGTGGGCCCACACACACCACCAGGGTTTGGGTCCCAAGCACAGAGCTGTGCAGATTCTCGGCGGCCTCTTGGCTGGAAACTGCCTAAGACTACGGCGGCCTCTTGGCTGGAAACTGCCTAAGACTACCGAGTTCCCAGGGGGAGGGGTGGCCATCATGACTGTGGCTGCCTCCTACCTAAGATGACTGAGCTCCTGGGAAGAGGGGCAGCAGCCATCACTGCAGCTCCAGTCTGCTGTTTTTCCCCTACTGGTGCCAGGGAGACTGGGCGGTTTAGACCCAGGAAGAATTCCCCACAGTGCAGCACAGCAACTGTGGCAGATTGTGGCCAGACTGCCTTTTTAGACCAGACCCTGACCCATCCCTCCTCACTGGCTGGGGCTCCCCTGTGGGAATTTCAGTAACTCCAGCCAGAGGTTTACGAACAGAACTCTGATCTCCCCAGAAGGAGAGGCAGCCGCAGTTGCAGCCGCAGTCTCGGTTGATCAGCGGACTTAGTCTTTCCCGCTGCTGGCTCTGAGGAATCCGGGTAGTCCAGACAAGTGGGATTCCCCCCAGTGCAGTGCACCCCCTCTGCCCAAGGGGCAGCCAGAGTGCTTTGTTAACCAGGTCCCTGATCCCCTGCCTCCTGACTGGGTGAGAACCCCCAACAGGGGTCGCCAGACACCTTATACAGGAGGGTTCCCGCTGACATCGGGTCAGTGCCCCTCTGGGATGGAGCTCCTAGAGGAAGAAGCAGGCAGCCATCTTTGCTGTTCTGCAGCCTCCACTGGTGACACCTCCAGTTGTAGGAGGGACCCAGGTGAACAGGATGGGATGGACCCCCAGCAAACTGCAGCAGCCCTATGGAAGGAGACTGTTAAAAGAAAAACAAATAACAGAAAGCAACAACAACAGCATTAGCAAAAAATGTCCCCACAAAAACCCCATCCAAAGGTCAGCAGCCTCAAAGATTGAAGCTAGACGAACTCACGAAGATGAGAAAGAATCAATGAAAAAATTCTGAAAACTGAAAAAGCCAGAGTGCTCTTCTCCTTCAAATGATTGCAACACCTCTCCAGCAAAGGGCACAGAATTGGGCAGAGGCTGAGATGGATGAATTGACAGAAGTAGACTTCAGAAGGTGGGTAATAACTTCACAGAGCTGAAGGAGCATGTTCTAACCCAATGCAAAGAAGCTGAGAACCATGATAAAACATTACAGGAGCTGTTAACCAGAATAACCAGTTGAGACAGGACCATAAATGACCTGATAGAGCTGAAAAGCACAAAACAAGAACTTCACAATGTAACTACAAGTATCAACAACCAAGTAGACAAAGTGGAGGAAAGAATTTCAGAGCCTGAAGACTAACTTGCTGAAATAAGACAGGCAGAAAAGATTAGAGAAAAGAAGATGAAAAGGAATGAACAAAATCTCCAGGAACTATGGGATTATGTAAAAAGACCAAACCTATGACTGACTAGGGTACCTGAGACAGGGAGAATGGAACCAAGTTGGAAAACATACTTCAGGATATCATCCAGGAGAACTTCCCCAACCTAACAAGACAAGCTAACATTCAAATTCAGTAAATACAGAGAACCACAGTAAGATACTCCATGAGAAGATCAACCCAAAGACACATAATAATCAGATTCCCCAAGGTCAAAATGAAGTAAAATACATTAAGGGCAGCCAGAGAGAAAGGCCAGGCCACCTATAAAGGGAAACCCATCAGACTAACCGTGGACTTCTCAGCAGAAATCCTACAAACCAAAAGAGATTCGGGACCAATATTCAACATTCTTAAAGAAAAGAATTTCCAATCCAGAAGTTCATATGTGGCCAAACTAAGCTTCATAAGCGAAGGAGAAATAAAATCCTTTTCAGACAAGCAAATGCTGCAGGAATTTGTCACCACCAGGCCTGCCTTGCAAGAGCTCCTGAAGGAAGCACTAAATATGGGAAGGAAAAAAATGTTACCAGTCACTATAAAAACACACTGAAGTACAAAGACTAATAGTACCATGAAGCAACTACATCAACAAGCCTGCAAAATAACCAGCTAGCATCATGATGACAGGATCAAATTCACACACAGCAATATTAACCTTAAATGTAAATGGACTAAATGGCCCAATTAAAAGACAGAGTGGCAAGCTGGGTAAAGACCCCTTGGTATGCTGTATTCAAGAGACCCATCTCAAATGCAAAGACACACATAGGCTCAAAATAAAGGGATGGAGGGAAACTTACCAAGCAAATGGAAAGCAGAAAAAAGCAGGGGTTGCAATCCTAGTCTCTGACAAAACAGACTTTAAACCAACAAAGATTTAAAAAAAGACAAAGAAGGGCATTACATAATAGTAAAGGGGACAATTCAACAGTAAGAGCTAACTATACTAAATATATATGCACCCAATACAGGAGCACCCAGATTCATAAAACAAGTTCTTAGAGACCTACAAAGAGACTTAGACTCCTACACAATAATAGTGGGAGACTTTAACACCCAATGTCAATATTAGACAGATAATCAAGACAGAAAATTAACAGATATTCAAGACTGGAACTCAGCTCTGGATAAAGTGGATCTGATAGATAGCTACAGAACTCTCCACCCAAAAACAACAGAATATACATTCTTCTTGGCACCACCTGGCACTTACTGTAAAATTGATCACATAAATGGAAGTCAAACACTCCTCAGGAAATGCAAAAGAGCTGAAATCATAACAAACAGCACAACCAAATTAGAACTCAAGATTAAGAAACTCACTCCAAACCACACAACTACATGGAAATTGAACAACCTGCTCCTGAATGACTCCTGGGTAAATAAAGAAATTAAGACAGAAATCAAGAAGCTATTTGAAACCAATGATAACAAACAGGCAATGTACCAGAATCTCTGGGACACAGCTAAAGCAGTGTTTGGAGGGAAATTTACAGCACTAAATGCCCACATCGAAAGCTAGAAAGATCTCAAATCGATACCCTAACATCACAACTAAAAGAACTAGAGAACCAAGAGCAAAGAAACCCCAAAGCTACCAGAAGACAAGAAATAACCAAGATTACAGCAGAACTGAGGGAGACAGAGACACAAAAAACCCTTCAAAAAAAATCAACAAATCCAGGAGCTGTTTTTTTGAAAAAAATTAATAAAATGGATGGACTGCTAACTGGACTAATAAAGAAGAGAGAAGAATCAAATAGACACAATAAAAAATGATAAAAGGGATATCACCACTGACCCCACAGAAATACAAACAACTGGGCCAGGTACGGTGGCTCACACCAGTAATCCCATCACTTTGGGAGGTTGAGGTGAAAGGATCACTTAAGGTCAGGAGTTTGAGACCAGGCTGGCCAACATGGCAAAATCCAGTCTCTGCTAAAAATACAAAAAAATTAGCTGGGCATGGTGGGACACACCTGTAATCCCAGCTACTCAGGAGGCTGAGGCATGAAAATCGCTTGAGGCTGAGACATGAAAATCACTTCAACCCAGAGGGCAGAGGTTGTAGTGAGCTGAGATCACACCAATACACTCCAGCCTGGGCAACAGAGTGAGATTCTTTCTCAAAAAAAAAAAAAAAAATACAAACAATCATTAGAGAATACTATAAAGACCTCTATGCAAATAAACTAGAAAATCTAGAAAAAATGGATAAATTCCTGGACACATACACCCTCCCAAGACTGAACCAGGAAGATGTTGAATCCCTGAATAGACCAATAACAAGTTCTGAAATTGAGGCAGTAATAAATAGCCTATAGTAATAAATAGCCTACCAACCAAAAAAAAAAAAAAAACCCAGGACCAGACGGATTTATAGCTGAATTCTATCAGAGGTATAAAGAGTTGCTGGTACTGTTTGTTCTGAAACTATTCCAAACAACTGAAAAGAAGGGACTCCTCCCTAACTCATTTTATGAGGCCAGCATCATTCTGATACCACAACCTGGCAGGGATACAACAAAAAAGAAAACTTCAGCCCAATATCCCTGATGCATATTGACGGAAAAATCCTCAAAAAATACTGGCAAACCAATCCAGCAGCACATCAAAAAACTTAGCTACGATCAAGTTGGCTTCATCCCTGGGGTGCAAGGCTGGTTCAACATACACAAATCCATAAACGTAATTCATCACACAAAGAGAAGGAAAGACAAAAACCACATGATCATTTCAATAGACGTAGAAAAGGCCTTCCATAAAATTCAACATCCCTTCATGTAGAAAACTCTCGATAAACTAGCTATTGATGGAACATATCTCAAAATAGTAAGAACCATTTATGCAAACCCATGGCCAATATCATAATGAATGGGGAAGAGCTGGAAGCATTTTCCTTGAAAACCGGCACAAGACAAGGATGCCCTCTCTCACTACTCCTATTCAACATAGTATTGGAAGCTCTGGCCAGGGCAATCAGGCAAGAGAAAGAAATAAAGCATATTCAAATAGGAAGAGAGGAAGTCAAACTGTCTGTGTGCAAATGACATGATCCTATATCTAGAAAATCCCATTATCTCAGCCCCAAAGCTTCTTAAGCTGATAAACAACTTCAGCAAGGTCTCAGGATATAAAATCAATGTGCAAAAATCACAAGCAGTCCTACACACTAACAACAGACAAGCAGAGAGCCAAATCATGAATAAACTCCCATTCAAAATTGCTACAAAGAGAATAAAATACCTAGGAACACCGCTAACAAGAGGAGTGAAGGACCTCTTCAAGGAGAACTACAAACCACTGCTCAAGGAAATGAGAGAAGACACAAACAAATGGAAAAACATTCCATGCTCATGGATAGGAAGAATCAACATTGTGAAAATAGCCATACTGCCCAAAGTAATTTATAGATTCAAACCCATTCCCATTAAACTATCACTGACATTCTTCAAAGAATTAGAAAAAACTACTTTAAAATTCATATGGAACCAACAAAGAGCCCGTATAGCCAAGGCAATCCTAAGCAAAAGGAACAAAGCTGGAGGCATCATGCTACCTGACTTCAAACTATAGTAGACGGCTACAGTAACCAAAACAGCATGGTACTAGTACAAAAACAGACACATAGACCATGGAACAGAATAGAGATCTCACAAATGAAGACCACACATCTACAATCATCTGATTTTTGACAAACCTAACAAAAACAAGTAATGGGGAAAGGCTTTCCTACTTAATAAATGGTGCTGGGGCTGGGCATGGTGGCTCACACCTGTAATCCTAGCACTTTGGGAGGCTGAGGCAGGAGGATCACTTGAGGTCAGGAGTTTGAGACCAGCCTGGCCAACACAGTGAAACCCGTCTCTACTAAAAATACAAAAATTAGCTGGGCATGGTGGTGCACACTTGTAATCCCAGCTACCTGGAAGGCTGAGGCAGGAGCATCGCTTGAATCCAGGAGGCGGAGGTTGCCGTGAGCCGAGATTGCAGCACTGCACTCCGGCCTGGGTGACAGAACAAAACTCTGTCTCAAAAAAAATAAATAAATGAAAAATAAATAAATAAATGGTGCTGGGAGAATTGGCTAGCCATATGCAGAAAACTAAAACTGGACCCCTTCCTTATACCTTATACAAAAATTAACAAGATGAATTAAAGACTTAAATGTAAAACCCAAAACAATAAAAACCCTAGAATAAAATCTAGGCAATACCATTCAAGACATAGGCATGGGTAAAGATTTCATGATGAAAACATCAAAAGCAATTGCAATAAAAGCCAAAATTAACAAATGGCATCTAATTAAACTAAAGAGCTTTTGCACAGCGAAAGAAACTATCATCAGAGTGAACTGACAACCTATAGAATGGGAGAAAGTTTTTGTAATCTATCCATCTGAAAAAAGATCTAATGTCCAGAATCTACAAGGAACTTAAGCAAATTTACAAAAAATAAAACAAAAACAAACAATCCTATTAAAAACTGGGCAAAGGACATAAACAGACACTTCTCAAAAGAAGACATTTATGCAGCCAACGTATGAAAAAAGCTCAACATCATTGATCATTAGAGAAATGCAAATCAAAACCACAATGAGATACCATCTCATGCCAGTCTGAATGGTGATTATTAAAAAGTCAAGAAACAACAGACACTGGCAAGGCTGTGCAGAAACAGGAATACTTTTACACTATTGGTGGGAATGTAAATTAGTTCAACCATTGTGGAAGACAGTGTGGCAATTCCTCAAAGACCTAGAACTGGAAATACTATTTGGCCCAGCAATCCTATTACTGGGTATATACCCAAAGGAATATAAATTATTATATTATAAAGATACATACACACATATGTTCATTGCAGCACTATTCACAATAGCAAAGATATGGAATAAACCCAAACACCCATAAATGATAGACTAGATAAAGAAAATGTGGTACATATACACCATGGAATACTATGCAGCCATAAAAAGGAATGACATCATGTCATTTGTAGGGACATGGATGCAGCTCAAAGCCATTATCCTAAGCAAACTAACACAGGAATAGAAAACCAAACATTGCATGTTCTCACTTATAAGTGGGAGTGGAACAATGAGAACATATGGACACAAGGAGGGGAACACCACCACTGGGGCCTGTCAGGGAAGGTGAGGGGAGGAAGAGAATCAGGATAAATAGCTAATGCATGCAGGGCTTAATACCTAGGTGACGGGTTGATAGGTGGAGCAAATTGCTACCACACATTTCCCTACGTAAAAAACCTGCACATCCTGCATGTGTATCCTGGAAATTTTTAAAAAATTAAATTAAAAAATAAAAGACAAAAACAAAACAAAATTCTGATTTGCAGTGTTTGCTGATCTCCGTGGTATAAATGTACACTCAAGCTACCTATGACTTAACTGGCTCACAAAATTACCAAAATCTTAAAAACTGAATCTTGCAGGTGCTAGCTGGCCACAGCACACCACTGGCTAGAATGACAGAGAGGAGACAGAGTCCAGATCAGACTAGAACTCGTAAGCCATATTAAAGGGATTAGATTTTATCCCGGTTTCTCCTAAGGGCAACCGAGGCACATGATTAAAGGCTTTTGAGGGACATAATTAAACTTACATTTTGGAAAGATTACTTTGGTTCTAGTGAGTAGAATACATTACAGTAAGGTGTTGCCACAGACCCCCTATGGTGTCTGGTGATGCCTAAAAAGACTCTTTCCATAATATTTCTAAATGCATGAAATAAAATGCAAAAACAGGAGAAATCAATTATTTTGAAAAACAGTAATCAAAATAATAAAAAATAGATTTGTGACACAGTAATTTGTGAGTTTCATTAACATTAAGTGATAAGATCTAGTGCAAGTCTACTATATTTTCAAGGTGGTGACAAGTGTGATATTTTATGATACCTACAAGTAACATGAAAATATCTGAGGTATTTATTGGTGACAAAGTCACAAAAACTTCTAGTGCTTCTGTGGTTTGTTACCTACATTCAAAATAGAAGTTCTAAATTTCAATTAGAAATCAAAAAATGAAAACGTAATCTTTTTTTACAATCCAAATTCATGATCTCCTGTGTCAGAGGATTACCTGATTGAAGGCAAACAGAAAAGTTAGGTTTTATAGCAATCCGAGTTAGAAATATTGACCTGTATTAAGAAATGACAAAGGAGATGAAAAATAATGAATGGACTTGATAATTTGATTAGATGTAAAGAATGAGGTAAAAATGCAGTCATGAATAATATCCTGGTTTCTGGCTGGGGCAAATGGCTAGATGGTGGTACCATCTACTTAGGGAATACAGGAAGAGAAGCAGGATTAAGAGGAACATAAATTTAGCTCAGGAATATGTAGAATTTGAAGTGTCTATGGGGCATTCAAATAAAGATGTACAGTAGACAGTGAGATAATTAAACTGAAGCTCAGGAGAATAGAGAGTCAGATGTCAAAGTTATTAACCTTAGGAGCTGACTATTGTCTCTTAAGAAGTTTGTAGAGTGAGGGGAGAGGAAGGCCTAAAATGACACCCGTTGAAACACAATTAGGCAAAGCAAGAAGAGCCTGCAAAGGAGTCTAAGAAAGAACAACCAGAAAGAAGAGGAAAACAAGGAGACTGTGGGCAAGTCAGGCAAGAGAGAGTTTCAAAAAGTAAACATGCGTCAGAAAACATTAACTGTAATAAGAACTAACAATCATTATTGGCTCGATCTATATGGAGGTGATCTAGATAATACCTTGGGTGAGTAGTATAGGCAGAAACTGGAATGTCAATGGTTCCAAAGTGAGAGGGAGATGAAATTAAGAAAAGGTGAGAACAATTCTTTCAATGGGTCTGTGAAGGGTAGAGGGAGATAGAAGATGCAAAAAGACTTGATCATGTTTAAATCCTAATTAAAATGGAATAAAATAGGCAGAAAAAAAGATATAGGAGACAAAGGAGATCTATATGAGGATGGTTCCTTCAAACCTGGATATGATGATGGCCTATAGGAAATCAGCCTGAGATGATCAGCTAGAACTTCCTGGGCATAGTACTGACAAATGAGTCAGAAGATTCATGGTGGTGGAGATTAGAAGGGACTACCACATAAGACCAATAATACCATGACCTCTCTCCACTCCCTGGAGGCCTAATGGACACTCCTTTCACTAAGGCAATGAGAAATGTACTGGTGGCAGTGGTGGGGAACACTGACATCTTTGAAAAGCCTGAAGGTGACCATCCTCTCTAAGTGCAGTTAATAGGGAGATGTTATCATAGAACTGGGGTCTCTAATATCAGTGAGGATACAGAGGCCAGTTGGCAGCACGTATTTCTCAGATGCAAGGAGGATATATTATTGTAAAGATCAGCAAGGCTGGGACGGGTGTGGTGGCTCACGCCTGTAATCCCAGCACTTTGGGTGGATCACCTGAAGTCAGGAGTTTGAGACCACCGTGGCCAACACGGTGAAACCTCGTCTCTCCTAAAAATGCAAAAATTAGCTGGGCGTGGTGGTGCGCCCCTGTAATTCCAGCTACTTGGGAGACGGAGGTGGAAGAACTGCTTGAATCTGGGAGGCGGAGGCTGCAGTGAGCCAAGATCACACCACTGCACCCCAGCCTGGGCGACACAGGGAGACCCCGTCTCAAAAAAAAAAAAAAAAAAATCAGCAAGTCTGGGAGAGCAACCAGGGTGCTTTGACTAAAAGCATCAGTGGTGATGGTTAACAGATGACAATGTTTCTAGTGGCAAGATGGTTGAACAGATTAGGATGCTGCTTACTTTATTTTTTAAAAAGAGGCTAACATCAGGCATAGTGGAAAATGGCAGTCCCTTAGGTTTCAGATCTAAATTAGTTCACAGACCAGAATTCACTGGTCTAGGATTGAAAAGGAAGTTGGAGCTCTTTGGGCAAGGGCTTTGCAATGCCACTGTAGTAAAATATTCCTCTGATTCTCACCCAAAGAAAATTGTGGCTATGTGTTAGGTTAACTATGTATGTGTGCTTGAGGTAAAATACACATAACATAAAGCTACCCACTTTAAAGTTGAGGTAGGAGATCAGCACCCACCTGTAATGAACCTGATGATTAAACACAGGATGCAGTAAAGAAAATGGCCCAAATCAGAAGAGGGTGACGAAGATGACCTCTGCTTGCCCTCACTGCTCGTTATTAAAGACACTCCACTGCCGCCATGACAGTTTACAAATGCCATGGCAACGCACTAGGGCAATGACCTGAAAGTTACCTTCTATGGTTTCAGGAACTCCTTGCCCCTTTTCTAGAAAAGTCTTAACACTCTGTCCCTTAAATATATATATATATATACACTATATATAAAATAATTAAGAGTGGGTACAGATATAGCTAACCAGCAATGTACACTGCAGCTGTGTCTGCTGTTGCTCCTGCTTCGGACTGCTACTGTTGCCATACACTGCTGCTGTGCTCCTCCGGGCTGCTCTGCCTGTGGAGCAGCCACTTTGCTGTACTCTGCTCCTCTGGGCTCCTCTGCCTATGGGATAGCCCTGCTCTCTCTATGGAGCAACCATTTTGCTATATACTATTGCTCTAATAAACCTGCTTTCTTTCACTGTCGGCTCACTCTTGAACTCTTTCTTGAGAGAAGCCAAGAACCTTCTTGGGCTAAGCTCTAATTTTGGGGTGCACCTGCATCAAAGTGAACAAATTCAATGGCATCTAGTACATTCCCAATGTTGTGCAACCATCACCTCTATTCAGCTCCAAAAGAAAACTTCATACCCATTAAGCAGTTACTATCATGCCCACCCCCTCAAATCAACCACTAGTCTGCATTTTGTCTCTATAAATTTACATATTCTAAATATCTACTAAGAAGGGAATACATAATATTTGGCCTTTTGTGTCTGGCTTCTTTCACTTAGCATGTTTCTGAGATTCGCCAATGTTGCAGTAGCATGTATCAGTGTGTCATACCTTTTCATCACTGAGTAAGTTTCCATTGTGTATATGCCACATGTGTTTATCCATTCATCTGTGGGTGGGCATTTGGATTGTTGCCACCTTTTGGCTACTGTGAATACTGCTGCTGGGAACATTCATGTAGTATCTGTTTGACTACCTGTTTTCAATTCATTTGGGCCTATGCCTAGGAGTAAAATAGCTGTGTCATGCTAGTGTGTATGTGTGTGTGTGTGTGTGTGTGTGTGTGTTTAATCAGTTTTATTAAGGTATAATTTACATACAATAAGATTCATACTTTAAGTAAAAAAATGCAGTTTTGACAAATGTATCCAGTTATGCTGTAATCAACTTTCCATCATCCCATACAGTTGCCTCCTAACATTTTGCGGTCAATCCTACACCTTTACCCACCACTCTACACCTTGGCAACTGCTGATTTGCTATCATTATAGTTTTGCCTTTTGTAGAATTTCACACAAATAGAATCATACAGTATGCAGTCTTTTGTTTCAAGCTTGTTTTATGTAGCAAAATGCTTTTAACATTTATCCATGATGTTGTATTAGTAGTTCATTCCATTTTTTAAAAATTGATATATCACAGTATTTATACATTTGCTAGTTTGATGGCATCTGAGTTGTTTCAAGTTTTCAGCTGCTATGGTCTGTATGCTTGTGTCTCCTAAAACTCATACATTGAAATTCTAACCCCCAAGGTGATGGTATTAGGAGGTAGGGCCTTTGGGAAGTGATTTGGTCCTGAGTGGGGTTGATCCACCAATATAAGTGTACCAAAAAAGCTTCCTCACCCTTTCCATCATGTGAGGATGATGCTGTCTACGAAACAGGAAGTTGGCCTTCACCAGACACTGAATCTGCCTTGATCCAGGACTTCCCATTCTTCAGAACTGTGAGAAATATATTTCTATTGTTTATAAGCTATCCAGTTTATGGAATTTTGTTTTATCAGCCCAAATGGACTAAGACCTCAGCCATCATGAATAAAGCTGCTCTGAATATTCAACTACTGGTCTTTGCGTAGACATATGATTTTCTTGCTCTCTTGTACATACCTAGGAATAGCATGGCTAGGTCAAATGGCAGATTTTTGTTGAACTTTATAAAAGAATGCCTAAGGAGTTTTCAAAGTGGCTGTACCATTTTACACTCACACCAGCAGTGTCTGAAAATTCCAACTGCTCCCACATTTTTGCCAATCTTTGGTATTGAGTTTTAGACATTGTACTAGGTATACAGTGATATCCAATTATGGTTTTAATTTACATTTTCCTAATGATTATTGATATTGAACATCTATCTCTTGTTATTCATATGCTTTCATCTGTGAAGTATCTGTTCAAATCGCTTGCTCATTTTATTGAAATTCAAGTTGTATGCCTTTATATTAAGCTGTGAGGATTCTTCACTTATTCTGAATAGAACTCTTTTATGAGATAAGTGTTTGAAAAATTTTCTCTTCATCTATAATTTCCCTTTTCATTTTCTTTCTTTTTTTTTTTTTTTTTTGAGATGGAGTCTCACTCTGTTGCCCAGGCTAGAGTGCAGTGGCATGATCTTGGCTCACTGCAACCTCTGCCTCCCAGGTTCAAGCAATTCTCCAGTCTCAGCCTCCCAAGTAGCTGGGATTACAGGCACACACCACCACCACCACCACGCCTGGCTAATTTTTTTATTTTTTTTAGTAGAGACAGGGTTTTGCCATGTTGGCCAGGCTGGTCTTGAACTCCTGACCTCCTGCCTGCCTCGGCCTCCCAAAGTGCCAAGATTACAGGCTTGAGCCACCGTGCCAGGCCTTTTTCATTTTCTTAATAACTTTTGAGGAGTAAATATTTTAAATTTTGGCAGTCAAACATCAGTTATTTTTCTTTTAGGGTTAATGATTGTGTTCAATTTTAAAAATTTTTGCCTAACACAAGGTTACTTAGGCTTATGTTAAATCTATTATTTCTTCTTGCAGTTTTATAATTTTAGCTCTTAGGTTTAAGTCTATGATCCACGTTGAATTTTTGTATGTGGGGTAGGGTAAAGACAAACTGTTTTTTCTTTTGTGTATGGATATGCAAATATTCTGATGTATACGTACATATATACGTATATACGTATATACACACATATATACATATACACGTATATATACATATACACGTATATATACATATATACACATACATGTATATATACACATACACGTATATACACATATATATATACATATATATATATATATATTTTTTTTTTTTTTTTTGAGACTGATTCTTGCTCTGTTGCCCAGGCTGGAGTGCAGTGGCGCGATCTCAGCTCACTGCAACCTCCGCCTCACGGGTTGAAGCAATTCGCCTGCCACAGCCTCCCAGGTAGCTGGGACTAGAGACACGCGCTACCACACCTGGCTAATTTTTTTGTATTTTTAGTAGAGACGGGGTTTCACCATGCTGGCCAGGCTGGTCTCGAACTCCTGACCTCAAGTGATCTGCCCACCTCAGCCTCCCAAAGTGCTGAGATTACAGACATGAGCCACCGTGCCCAGCCTATTCTGTAATATTAATATTTGCTGAAAAAAATAGCCTTTTCTCACTAAAATGCCTTGATTCCTTTGTCAAAAATGAGTTGCTAGTGTATGTGTGGGTCTATTTTTGGACTTTTTTTTTTTTTATGAGACGGAGTCTTGCTCTGTCACCCAGGTTGGAGTGCAATGGCACGATCTTGGCTCCCTGCAACCTCTGCCTCCTGGGTTCAAGCGATTCTCCTGCCTCAGCCTCCTGAGTAGCTGGGATTACAGGCACGTGACACCATGCCCCACTAATTTTTGTATTTTTAGTAGAGGAGAGGTTTCACCATGTTGGCCAGGCTGGTCTCGAATGCCTGACCTCCGGTGATCCACCCACCTCGACCTCCCACAGTGTTGGGACTACAGGTGTGAGCCACTGTGCTCAGCCTATTTTTGGACTCTTTATGTGGTTCCATTGTCCACCTTTACAGCAGTAACACACTGTTTTGAATTCTGCAGTTTTATAGTAAACCTCAAATCAGGTAGTATAAATCCTCCAACTTTGTTCTTTTTCAAAATTTGTTCTGGCTAATCTAACTCCATACAAATGATAATATCAGGTCGTTAATTTCTTTTTTTTTAATTTTTGCTTTTATTTCTTCTAAAAAAATGGATATATGTGCAGAACATGCAGGTTTGTTACATAGGTATACAGTGCTAGCTTGTTAATTTATACTAAAAACCATGGTGGGCTGGGTGTGATGGCTCATGCCTGTAATCCCAGCACTTTGGGAGGCTGAGGTGGGTGGATCACCTAAGGTCAGGAGTTCAAGAACAACCGACCAATATGGGGAAACCCCGTCTCTACTAAAAATACAAAAAATTAGCCGGGCATGGTGGCATGTGCCTGTAGTCCCAGCTACTCGGGAGGCTGAGACAGGAGAACTGTTTGAACCTGGGAGGTGGAGGGATTTTGTTTGGGATTGCACTGAATGTATAGACGAGGAATTGAAAAACTTTTTCTTAGGGAGCTATATAGTAAATGTTTTGGGCTTTGTGGGCCAGTAGGCAACATCCAGATTGTTACATATCTGGATGTTACAAATGTTACATATCTGGATGTTACAATAATTTGTTACATATTATTATTTATATAATAATTTAAAATGTGACCATTTAAAAATATAGAAATCATTCTTAGCTTTCAGGAGACAAACACGTGGGTAGCCAGATTTGGCCTGCCTGCCATGGTTTACCAACCCCTGGAATAGATCAATTTAGAAAGAATTGACATCTTAACAGTATGGAGTACTGTGATCTTTGAACATGGTATATTTTCCCACATATCTTTGTTAATTTTGCTCAGCATGTTTTGCACTTTTCACTGTGCAGGTCATGTATTTTTTAATTTATCTCTAATTATTCCACAATTTAGTGCTTTGTAAATGACCCTTTTATTTCAATTTCCATTTTTTTTGTTGCTGGTACAGAGAAATACAATACTTTTTTGCATATTGATCCTACACCTTGAGACTTTGCTAAACTTACTATTTTTTTTTCTTTTTTGAGATGGAGTCTCGCTCTTGTTGCCCAGGCTGCAGTGAAGTGGCGTGATCTCAGCTCACTGAAACCTCTGTCTCCTGGGTTCTAGCGATTCTCCTGTCTCAGCCTCCCTTAGCTAGCATTACAGGTGTCTACCACCATACCCAGCTAATTTTTGCATTTTTAGTAGAAAGGAGGTTTCGCCATGTTGGCCAGGCTGGTCTCGAACTCCTGACTTCAGGCTATCCACCTGCCTCAGCCTCCCAAAGTACTGGGATTACAGGGGTGAGCCACCGTGTCCAGCTAACTCACTAGTTTCTAATAGTTATTTTTGGTAGATTTCTTAAACTTTATACACAGAGTATCATGTCTGGAAATAGTGACAGTTCTACTTTTTCCTTTCTAATCTAGATGCCTTTTATTTACTTACTTTATTCATCTTATTTCACTGATTGAGACTGCCAACATAATATTGAATAAAAGTGATAGGTGTAGAAATCTGTCTTGTTCATGATTTTCAAGGGAAAGCATCCAGGTTTTTACCATTAAGTATGAATTAGATGTAGGTTTTTCAGTTACCCTTTATCAAATTTAAAAATTTTTCATCCATTCCTACTTTTAACTTTTTGTCGATTTTTTTTTTCCCTCCTCTCTATGGGGTCTTGCTGTGTTACCCAGGCTGGAGTGCAGTGGCATGATCACAGCTCACTGCAGCCTCGAACTCCTGGGATCAAGCCTCCTGGGTAACTAAGACTACAAGTGTGTACCATCACACCTGGCTAATTTCTAAAAACTTTTGTAGAGACAGGATCTCACTATGTTGCCCAGGCAACTCTCGAACTTCTGGCCTCAAGTGATCCTCCTACCTCGACCTCCCAAAGTGCTGGTATTACGGCGTGAGCCACCGTGCCTAACCAATGCTGTTTTTTTTTTGTATTTATCAGATGATCATACAGTTTTTCTTTTTTAGTCTGTTATTAATGATTAACTACACTGATTGATTCGTGAATGTAGAAACAACCTCAATTCCTGGTATAAAACCCATTAGTAATGAGACATTATCCTTTTTATATATTATTAGATTCAGTTTGTTAGAATTTTGTTAAGAACTCTGCATTCATGAGAGATAATTGGTCTGTACTCTCCTGTTCATGTCATGTCTTTGTCTGGTTTGTTCTTAGGGTAACAATATTGGCCTCCTAGTTGTTCCTCTTTAACTTCCTGGAGGAGTCTGTGTAGAAATGGTATCACTCTTCTTTAAATGTTTGGTTGAATTTACCTGTCAATGAATCTGGACCAAAAGTTTTCCTTATGGCAAAGTTTTAAACAACAAATTCAATACAGCTATTCAGGTTCTTTCTTATCAAGTAAGCTCTGATAGTTTATTTATTTCAATGAACTTGTCCATTTAATCTAAATTGTCAAATTTACTGACATTAAAATTGTTCATTTAAGTTTCTTCCCAGTGTAGAGAAAAAGAAAAATAAATTTAAAAAATAAAATTGTTTGTGACATTCCTTTAGTATTCTTTTAATGTCAGTGGGGCCTGTAATAATGTCCCTACCTCACCCTTAATAGCGGTAATTTGTATCTTCTTTTTTTGTCCTAGTCAGTACAGGTAGAGGTTTATTGATTTTACTGATTTTCTCAAAGCACCAGCTTTTAATTCATTGTTTTTCTCCACTGTTTTCTATTTAACTGATCTCTGCTCTGTATGATTTCCTACCTTCTGCTTACATTCGGTTGAACTTCTTATTTTTCTAGTTTAACTGGAAATTCAGTTCATTGATTTAAAAACTTGCTTTCTAAAAAAAGCTCTTAATGCTATAAATTTCCTCCTAAGCTCTTCTTTAGGTATATTCCACAAATTTTGATATGTTTTGTTTTCACTGATATTTAATTTAAAATATTGTTAAATTTCCACCTTCTTTTGACTGGAGCATTATTTAGAAATGTGTTATTTAATTTCCAAAGATTTGTGAAATTTCCTGATATTTTTCTATTACTGATTTCTAGTTTAATCATGCTGTGGTCAGAGAACATTGTTTAGTTTGAGTCCACTTAAGTTTATTGAGACTTGTCTTACAGACCAGAATATGGTATGTCTTGGTGAACCTTCTAAAAAGGAATCTGTACTCTGCTGTTTTTGGGTGGACCACTGAAATATTTTTACTCACAACACTTCTGATACCATATGTGTGAGTTTTTGCTGCCACCCAACAATCAATTTGCCAATTATCTGGACACCAACTGGTGCCCTACGATTCATATGAATTCTAACACTAACTACCCAGAGTTAGCACAGACTCCACAGGTTAAGGGCTTACTTCCACAAGGCTGTCCTCACTTTGCATGCCAGCTGCAAGTCCCAGGTTGTCATCTGTATTTCTGACCAATTGGCTATAGAGTGGGGATTCACACAACCTCCTCGAGTTCAATAATTTGCTGGAATGGTTCACAGGACTCAGGAATGCACTTTACTTACTATTACTGTTTTATTATAAAGGGTACAACTCAGGAATAACCAAATGGAAGAGGGGCAGAGGGCAGGTATGAAAGTGTGTGGAGCTGGCCGGGCATGGTGGCTCAGGCCTGTAATCCCAGCACTTTGGGAGGCCGAGATGGGTGGATCACTTGAGGTCAGGAGTTCCAGACCAGCCTGGCCAACATGGTGAAACCCCGTCTCTACTAAAAATACAAAAATTAGCTGGGTGTTATGGCACGTGCCTGTGATCCCAGCTACTCCAGAGGCTGAGGCATGAGAATCACTTAAACCCAGCAGGTGGAGGCTGCAGTGAGCCGAGATCGCACCATTGCACTCCAGCTTGGGCAACAGAGCAAGACCGTGTCTCAAAATAAAATAAAATAGGCCAGGAGCGGTGGCTCATGCCCATAATCCCAGCACTTTGGGAGGCCAAGGCAGGCAGATCATGAGGTCAGGAGATTGAGACCATCCTGGCTAACACGGTGAAACCCCATCTCTACTAACAAAATACAAAAAATTAGCTGGGCGTGGTGGCGGACGCCTGTAGTCCCAGCTACTCGGGAGGCTGAGGCAGGAGAATGGCGTGAACCCAGGAGGTGGAGCTTGCAGTGAGCTGATACCACACCACTGAACTCCAGCCTGGGCAACAGAGTGAGACTCCGTCTCAGAAAAAAAAAATAATAATAAAATAAAAATAAAACAAAACAAAACAAAACAAAATAAAATAAAATAAAAGTGTGGCACCTCCATCCCTTTTCCTGGCATGCCTTTTCCAGTACCTTGGTGTGTTCATTAATCCAGAGGCTCTCTGTACCCCATCATTTAGGGTGTTTTTAAAATGGAGGTTTCACTACTTAGGCATGATTAAATAATTGGTCACTGTTGATTAACTCAATCTCTAGCCTCTCTCCCCTCCCTGAAGTCTGGAGTGGGGCTAAAAGTGTAACCGTAGTCATTCCCTGGTCTTTCTGGTGACCATTCCCTATCCTGAAGCTATCTAGGGGCCTGCCAAGATGCTCCTATGACTCGGAAAATTCAAAGGTATTTAGGAACCCTGTGTCAGGAACCAGGGACAAAGACCAAATAGACATATTTTTTATTATCACATTGTTCAATAAAAGACGATTAGGTCAAGTTGGTTGATGGAATGGTTTAGATCCTCTATATGTTAATTGGTTCTCTACTTGTTCTATCAGCTACTGAGAGATGAATGCTGAAATCTGATTATGGATTTCTCTCATTTTGAAGTTCTGTTAGTTGCATAAACATTTAGGTTATTTCCTCTTGATAAACTGATCCATTCATCATTATGAAACGACTTTCAATTGTAGATCATTCCTGTTCTTAAATCTATTTTGACATTTTTTGTTCTGAAATGGGTAGAGGGAAATAATGAGCATGCATTATGGTCTCTAGGACTACATGGAGCAGCAAGGACCTAAATCTTTGTTTACTAACCCTTTCTAAGGCTTTTTGGGAGGTTACAACTGACTACCAACTTGAAGGACTGGATTTAGAACCTACCCTCTCAGGAAAGAATTGAGAGCATCATTGCATCATCTTCCCAGGGTGAGACCAGATACTCAGAGGATACTACTGGATCAATGTGGTACAAGGGTTGGACTGTACTGGGTTTGGCATCTGCTATTCTCTGAATGTTTGTGTCCCCCAGCAAATTCATGTGTTGAAACTTACAATCTCCAATGTGATAGTATTAAAGGTTCTGGCCTTTGGGGGTTGATTAGGTCCTCACAAATGGGATTAGTACCTGTATAAAACAGGCCTGAGGAAGCATGTCTGCCTCTTCAGCCATGTGAAGCCACAGCAAAGGCTTCAGCTACAAGGGATGAGCCCTCACCAGATATCAAATCTGCTGGTGCCTTGATCTTGGACTTCCCAGCCTCCAGAACTGTGAGTAATAAATGTCAATTGCTTGTAAATTACCCAAGCTAAAATAATTTGTTATAGCCATTTGAATGGACTAAAGCAGAATCCTAGATATAGTCACCTGCCAGTTGTTTGGCCAAAGTGGCCTTCACAACGATTTGAACAATTCTCATGGGTTGGAGTTAGGTCTGTGTTACTAATGCCTCTGGCTTCAGACTGAGGGATTGGCTACAAGGGCTGCTCCGAGTCATTTGTGTTGATCCTGGGCACAAGTCAATCAATACCTTACCTCATGTGCATGCTATACAGTCTGTCTCCTCTGTCCCTGGACTTCTCTATTGTCACTGAGACATAAGATATAGTAGGGCTACTGGTTTTGTGCAATAGGGAGAATAAGGGAGATAATACTCACCAGGCTGTGACCAATACAGGAAGGGAGTTAGCAGAAAAATCCTCTTTGGAGTCTCCTTTCCATGGTTCAGAGACATGTGGTCTCTCACCTCTGCCAGCTCTGTAGTATCTTCCCTTACATTTTTTCTCTTTCCTTTCCTGTCTCACTCCCCCTTTCCTTCACGCTTGCTTCCCTGGCTTGTACTCTGTTAAAAAGGTCTTAACATATAAACTTTTGTCTCAGGCTCTGTTTTCTAAGAAATATATGCTAAGGCAGTCCTGGTGCTGAAAATGTTGGGAACCAGGGGCTAGATATTCTTAAAGCTAATTTAAATGTTCAAGTCATTATTAAGTTATCATATTATTTCAGCATGTTGCCAAAACTATTCATTTTAATGAAAACTTCATTTCACATATTCAGTCTTTCAGTAATAGCCCAATGGTTCTTAAACTTTTTGCCACCAAATACAATGTTGCACCTTCCCCAATGAGATTTGTATGAATTCCACAGCATGTTTTATAATTATTTCTAAATGTATTCATTGATAGTATATAGTTGTATATATTTATATTATGTGTCTGTATTGTTTAAATAAATGTATACTTATCCTGATTTCTGGAAGTTGTCTTATTAAAATATACTTAAGTCTTTTTCATTCACTAAAATCTGACTGAAATATAATTTCATTTGGTCAGCTGGCTCTGTAATTCTTAGTTGGAAGCTTGGAGTTACATGGCTACACGGGTTGTACACCGAAAGCTAGAGAATGCAAGCTCCTGCTTCCCAGAGGACTTGTCTAAGTGTAAAGTGTCTGTTATTTAATTCCTTGCCTTTTGTGGTGTTTTCTTTGTGTGTCCTAGCAGATGCTTCTGTCTTTAGGTACCATGTCACAGTTGGCTAAGATGTACTTGTCTCTGTGTATTCTAACCCTGGTATATATGCCAGAAACATAGCCCTTTTCTCTGACAGACCATGAGCACATACGGTAGGCTCCAAACACTGAAACATTACACTTGTAAAGGTCTGAGAGGGTAGTAATGGGTTTCACTATTTTCAATATTTCATAGACTTTATAAATAATCACATATTTATTGGTGACTAGTTAACTACAACATCAAGCCTCTGTAAACTTAGCTAGAATTATATCAAGGGTGACAATATTAGTTACCTTATTTTGAACATAAGTGTTAGCAGATATATGTCTCATAAATTAAAAATGAGCAACTATTGAATAATGAATAGAGTAATGCTGACAGATTTGTTGAAAACATGAGATCTATCAATAAAAATGATGAAAGTAGTCCTGATAGGTGGTAGAAAGTTTTGAGTTAATTTGTGGCACAAAGACACAATTATTCATTTGGTCTATGGACCTTATTTAAGTGCTACATTTCATAGTAAGAAGGGCTTTTAAAAGCAAAGAGGGTCGGGCACGGTGGCTCATGCCTATAATCCCAGCACTTTGAGAGGCTGAAGTGGGAGTATCGTTTGAGGCCAGGAGTTCAAAGACCAGCCTGGGCAATATAGTGAGACCCTGTTTCTATAAAATAATAAATAAACAGAATAAAAGCAAAGAACAGGAGGACATTCCATTTTCCTAATGTAAGCACTGATGTTATTTTGCATTTTTGTTGTATTATTTGCACAAACCAAACATATCTGTCATTACATGGCTCACTTGTCTTTCCACCTAGGTATTTCTTCAAGCACCATTCCTTCTGCTTGAATGAACATATTTCTATAGCTATTTTTATGTATGGCAATATAGATGATATCCAATTATAGATAATCTAATAATATCAAAAGAACACAGGAAGAAGCTCAGCAGGAATTATGAAAGTCGTTTTACCAAAATTAATCATAGAGAACTTAAGAGAACAAAGTTAGTCAATGGAGAATTCTAATCTCATTCAAAATCCAATAAAGTTTCATCTTGTACCCAACAGTCACTCTAAGCACTGCCAAAAAATGAATTTAAAAAATGCCAGGTGTTCTCAGCAAACTATCACAAGGACAGAAAACCAAACACTGCATGTTCTCACTCATAGGTGGGAACTGAACAATGAGAACACTTGGACACAGGGTGGGGAACATCACACACCGGGGCCTGTTGTGGGGTGGGGGGCTGGAGGAGGGATAGCATTAGGAGAAATACCTAACGTAGATGACGAGTTAATGGGTGCAGCAAACCAACACGGCACATGTATACCTATGTAACAGACCTGCATGTTGTGCACATGTACCCTAGAACTTAAAGTATAATAAAAGAAAACAAAACAACTACAACAAAATGCCAGGTGAGCCTTTCATTCCCTCCTCCCCCATCATTAAGCTTTCCTTCTTTTTATACATTTATTGAGCATCTACTATGCTACCATGTGCCAGTCACTGGACTAAATGCTACAGATAAAAAATGAACATGGCAGTTTCTGCTAACAAGAAATTAACAGTCAATGGGGGAAAAGTAGACTCAAAAACTATGCATAATACCATGTGTTAAATTTAATAATACAGATAGGCACAGGTATTACTGGGAAAGTGGAGTAATAATATGTCCTGAATAGCAGTTGGAAGTGCAGAGCTGAGGAAAGGTGGGAGGAGTAGTAGTGGTGGTGACAGAACACTTCTCAGCTGGATTTACGATAAAAGATTAGAGGAGATAATCTATTATCTCCTCTAATGTTGGGAGGAGAGAGGATATCATAGTAAGAATGATCATTATGAACAAAATCACAGAAATGAAAAAAAAACTATTGCCGCTAGAACAATAAATCCAAGGCAAAAAGAAGTGGGAGAGAAGGCTGGGGAAACTGGCCATCACCAGATCATGAGGGCCTAGGTCAAAGGAAGCCTATCGATCTACAAAATGTAAATTCATTTACCTATAAGTCTTACAGGCAAATGAGAGCCAAAAGAGTGATATGGTCAGACTTTGTTTTCAAGAAGTTCACTTTATCTTTTAGGTAACCGGGAGTCAAATGAGTAATTGATTTTCAATTAATTTACTTTGGTTGCTGAGTGAAAAACAACAGAAAGAACAAGATGAAAAGTAGACAAAAAGATCTGTATTAATCTAAGTCTGAGATAATGAGGACCATTGAAGCAATGCTATGAAGGATGAAAATAAAATACAGGGATGAGAAATATAAAGAGAGGGAGGAGGCAAGGGCTCCTCTCAGGTATCTGTCTTAGGTTCCTGGGTAGGTAGGGATGCCATTATAAAAGGATATTTTGGATAATTTTATGCTAAAAAATTTTAAAAAGATTAAAAACTACAAGGAAACTGATTCAAAAAGAAAAAGAAAACCTAAAATGTTCTATAGTATTAAACATAATACATAGAAACAGTAGTTAAAATTGAAATGTGCATTTATTGCATGAAGACAGTGCCCTGATTATTTTAAGAGCAAATCTGACTAAATATTCAAGAAACAGATAATTCCAATCTTCCACAAACTATTTCAGAGGATAGAAAAAAAGGTTACTCTTTATCACATTGTGTTGCTCTATGTTATTTACTCAAAATGTTTAGTTATTTAATAATTATATCCCTATAAAGACTTCTTACATAAACCACAATTTAGATATTATGCTAAATCCCGAGAGTAAATAAAAAGTAGGAGACATAAATCTTGACATTAAGAAGCTTACATAAAGAAAATAAATATATAACTATAAGTAACTATACTGGTTATTGGCAATGAGTCTCATAAGTGTAGAGGAGGGAGGTAGATAGTGCGGAAATCCAGAGAAGGGAGGGATAATCAGAGTCTGCTTCATGAAGAAAGTAAGATTTGGTTTGTGTGATTATTCCTGGACATGTGTCCATGATGAAAAGAATGTAATAAACAGAGAAATTGTGGAACCAAAAATCAGAGCTCGAAATACGAAATAGGAGTCAAGGAACAGAGAGAGTCATCCCAGCAGGGAAAGCAGACTGAGAAAGATGACAATAGAAAGGCTGAGAGTCAGCCTTGGGGAGTATTTATATTTGGATGAGCTCAACCTATTTTATAAGGCTAACATAATCCTTGATAGCAAAACCTGACAATTGCAGAACCAGAGAGGAGAATTTCAAGCACATCTCACTCATGGATATAGATTCAAAAATCCTAAACAAAGTGTTAGAAAATAAGTTGATTTATTTAAAAATGTATCATAACTACACGTGGTTCTAGGAATGCAAAATCAGGTTAACATTTGAAAAATTAATGTAGTTTACACCATTGAGAGAATAAAGGAGAAAAACTATTTCATCACCTCAAAAGATATTTGTAAAAGTATTTGAAAAAAATTAATATTCGTTTATGGTTAAAAATACATAACAAACTGGAAATAAACATTTTAAAAACCTGATAATGATGTCTACAAACATCTACAGGAACATAATACTTAATAGCGAAATACTGAAAGCATTCCTTTAGCCCGAGAGCAGTGGCTCACGCCTGTAATCCCAGCACTTTGGGAGGCCAAGGCAGGTGGATCACGAGGTCAGGAGTTCGAGACCAGCCTGGCCAACATAGGGAAACCCTGTCTCTACTAAAAAAACAAAAAATTAGACAGGCATGGTGGTGCGTGCCTGTAATCCCAGCCACTCGGGAGGCTGAGGCAGGAGAATCACTTGAACTCGGGAGGTGGAGGTTGCAGCAAACTGAGATTGCACCACTGCACTCCAGCCCAGGCTACACTGTGAGACTCCATCTCAAAACAAACAAACAAAACAAACAAACAAACAAAAAGGATTCCTTTAAAAATCAGTTACAAGATAAAGATGACTGCTTCCATCACTATAATTCAATGTGCCAGAGAATTAGCTGGTACAACAAGGAAAAAAAAAAAGTGTGGCCGGGTGCAGTGGCTCATGCCTGTAATCCCAGCACTTTTGGAGGCTGAGGCGGGCGGACTGCTTGAGCCCAGGAGTTCAAGACCAGCCTCGGCAATATGTTAAAATCCTGTCTCTACAAAAAAAAATACAAAAATTAGCTGGGTGTGGTGGCATGCGCCTGTAGTCCCAGATGCTTGGGAGACTGAAGAGGGAGGATCACTTCAGCAGGAGTTTGAGGTGGAGGTTGCAGTGAGCTAAGATTGCAACACTGCACTCCAGCCTGGGAAACAGAGAGACTCTGTCTCAAAAAAATTGAAAAAAAAAATTAGGAAGAAATCAATCAATCAATAAATAATACATGATATAAGGATAGGTAAGGAAAACATAAAAAGTCATTATTTGCAAACAATATGGTTGTATATGTAGAAAACCACAAAAAAACTATAAATTATTTAATAAGAGACTTTGCTGCAGTGCTGAATACAATACACAAATCTCTACATATTTCTATGCAATAGGTAAGAAGTATAATGAAAAAGACATAACACTGACAAACGCATAAAAATATAAAGCATCTAGGAAAAAAGATCTTTGAAAGGATATACCAGACCCTATTGAAAAATTAGAACATTTTATTGAAAGATACTAAAGAAGCTCTAAATGAAAGAGATAAAAAATATATTCCTGGATTAGAAGATTTAATATTGGAAACAGTTGTAAATTCATCACTCATTGATCTATGGTTTCAATGCAATTCTAATAAAAATCTCAAAAGGGGTTCTTCATGAATTTGGCAAATTGATTCTTAAGTTTATTTGGGAGAAGAAAGGGTACAGAATAGCCGAGAATCCTCAAGATGATGATCAAGTTAGGGGACTTTGTTTACCAAGTATCAAGACTTATAGCGGTTGTAATTAAGACAGTACAATATTGTTATAAGGAGAGACTGATTTACCAATGGATTGAATAAAAGCTCAGAAAAAGACCTAGAATAAAAGCTCAGAAAAAGACCTAGACATTTATGCTTTTGGCAGCAATACACTGCATGCGAACATGGTAATGGAACTAGTTATTTGTATAGAAAAACATAAATTTGTACTCTTGTACCAATTCTAGGTGATTTTAAGGACTTAAATGACAAAGCAAAGTTTCACAAAAATATAAAATACAAAGGAAAAAACAAAAAAACTTGACTACATTAAAATTAAGGCTTCCTATTAAAAAATAAAGATTTCCTTCAAATCTGTAAGGAAAAGAAAAATCACATTAGGAAATGAGCAAAAACTTGAACAGGTATTTCACAAAAGAGGAAACCTAATTGGCTAATAAACATGTGAAAAGATTGTTTAACCTCATCAGTAATCAAGAAAACACAAATTAATATCACAATTAGATAACTTTCATATCATCCAGATTGGCAAAATGAAGCCTGACAATATCAAACATGGGAAAGATCTATAGCAAATGGAACATTTTATAGTATATTGCTAGTGGCAGTATAAACTGGTATAGTTTCATAAAAGATGAAATTATTTTATAAAGTTGAAAGAGACACATTTCTAATAATCTGACAATTTCACTTCTAACATTCCGAATCATACATATGACTAACGACACAAGCCCAAGAATAATCACAGCAGCACTATTTGCAAGAGCAAAAATCTGGAAACAACTCAACTTTTCATCAACAGAATGAATAAACAAATGTGCTATATTCATACAGTAGAATATGATATGGCAATAAAAACAAGCAGACTAAAATGCAACAACATGAATGTATCTGAGGTACATAACAGTAAGCACAAAAGAAATTTGTGGCTGAGCGTGGTGGCTCATGCCTGTAATCCCAGCACTTTGGGAGGCTGAGGCGGGCGGATCACGAGGTCAGGAGATCAAGACTATCCTGGCTAACACAGTGAAACCCCATCTCTACTAAAAATACAAAAAATTAGCCAAGCGTGGTGGCGGGTGCCTGTAGTCCCAGCTACTCGGGAGGCTGAGGCAGGAGAATGGCATGAACCCGGGAGGTGGAGCTTGCAGTGAGCCGAGACTGCGCAACCGCACTCCAGCCTGGGCGAAAGTGCGAGACTCTGTCTCAAAAAAAAAAAAAAAAAAAAAAGGAAAAAAAAAGAAATTTGCATAAATATGCTTTCAGGTATATGAAATTGAAAACATGAGATCTAAATAATAAATTATTTAGGGATACAAATGTGGCAAAATCATGAAAGAAAGTACTGGAATGATAATCACAAAATTCAGATGACCTCTCAGGGTAGGGTATGAATAGAGAAATGGGAAGAGATACAGAAGAAGGCTTTAGCATATAAGACAGGTCATTTTTGTTATAGGGTAAGAGAGGTAGTCAGGTATTTGCTATATTCTTATTGTCTATACCATATACATATTAATAAATATTCTTTTAAAAATGTTTTACTGTGGTAAAATATACACGACATAAAATTATTTTAGCCATTTTTAAGTGTATAATTCAGGGGCACTAAGTATATTCACAATGTTGTACAAACATCAACATTATCCATCTCTAGAACTTTTCATCATCCCCAACTGAAATTCTGTATCCATTAAACAATAACTTCCTATTTCCACATCCCACCAACTCCCCACGCCGCTGCAGCCCCACTCAGTACTCTCTATTCTACTTTTTGTCTCTATGATTTAGCTACTCTGGTATTCCATTTATATGAGTGGAACCATATATATCATACAATCCTTTTGTGTCTGGCTTAACTCAGCATAACATTTTCAAAGTTCATCCATGTTGTAGCATACATCAGAATTTCATTTCTTTTTAAGGTGAATAATATTTCATTGCATGTATATATCATATTTTGTTTGTCCAGTCATCTGTCCATATTCATTTGTATTATTTCCACTTTTTGGCCGTTGTGAAAATGCCACTATGAACATCAGCATACAAGTATCTGTCCAAATCCTTCCTTTCAATACTTTCAGGTATATACTTAGAAGAGAAATTGCCGGATCATATGGCAATTCTATGTTGAACTTTTTGGAGAACTGCCATACTCTTTTCCACAGCAGCTGCATCATTTACATTCCCAGCAGCAATGTATGAGAGTTCCAATTTCTCCACGTCCTTGCCAACACTTGTTATGTTCCACTTTCTTTTTATAATTGTCATCCTAATGGGTATAAAGTAGTGTTTTATTGTGGTTTTGGTTTGCGTTTCCCTAATGACTAGTAATGTTGAATATCTTTTCATGTGTCTATTGGCCATTTGTATATCTTCTCTGGAGAAACGTCTATGTAAGTCTTTTTCCCATTTTTGAAATGGTTTGTTGTTGTTGAGTTGTAGGGGTTCTTTATATATTTTGGATATTAATCCCTTATCAGATACATTATTTCCAATATCTGTGGGTTGTCTTTTTGCTTTTTTTTCTTTTTGAGATGAAGTCTTGCTCTGTCACTCAGGTTGGAGTGCAGTGGTGTGATCTCAGCTCACTGCCACCTCTGCTTCCCGGCTTCAAGTGATTCTCCTGCCTCCTGAGTAGGTGGGATTACAGGCTTGTGCCACCATGCCTAATTTTTATATCTTTAGTAGAGATGGGGGTCTCGCTATGTTGGCCAGGCTGGTCTTGAACTCCTGAGCTCAGGTGATCCACCTGCCTCAGCTTCCCAAAGTTGTGTAACCTGTCCCAAAGTTACAGGTGTGAGCCACAGTGCCCGGCCTTTTTGCTCTCTTGATAGTATCATTTGATGCACAAAAGTTTTAAATTTATGTCAAGTCCAATGTATTATTTTCTTCTGTTGCCTGTGCTTTTGGTTCATATCCAAGGAATCAATACCAAATGCAATGTCCAAAGATTTCCTCCTATGTTCTCTGTTCCTCTCCTATATCCAATCCATGAATACAGGATGTCTTTCTATTTAAGTCTTAAAAATGTCTTCTGCAATGTTTTGTAGTTTTCGGTGTATGAGGTTTTTTTTTTTTTTTTTTTTTTTTTTTTGCCTCCTTGGTTAAATTTTGAGCAGTTTTACAGTTTTTAACTACTATGTTTAGGTCTTTAATCCATTTTAATTTTTGTATATGGTAGATGGTAAATGACCAACTTCATTCTTTTGCATGTCAATATTCAATTTTCCTAACGCTAATTGTTGAAAAGACTGTCCATGCCACATGGTCTTAGGACGCTTGTCAAAAACCATTTGACCATATATGCAAGAGTTTATTTCTGGTCTCTTTATTTTCATTTATTTATTTATTTTTGAGACAGGGTCTTGCTCAGTTGCCCAGGCTAGAGTGCAGTGGCTTGATCTCAGCTCACTGCAACCTCTGCCTCCCAGGTTCAAGTGATTCTCCTGCCTCAGCCTCCCCAGTAGCTGGAATTACAGGCTCCTGCTACCACGCCTGGCTACTTTTTGTATTTCTAGTGGAGATGGGGTTTCACCATGTTGGCCAGGCTGGTCTCAAACTCCTGACCTCAACTGATCCGTCTGCCTTGGCTTCTCAAAGTGCTGGGATTACAGGCATGAGCCACTGCACCTGGCCCCCTATTTCTGGTCTCTTTATACTGCTTTGATTACTGTAGCTTTGTAATAAGTTTTGAAATCAGGAAATGTGAGTCGTCCAATTTTGCTCTTTTTCAAGACTGTTTTGGCTATTTAGAGTCCTTTAAGATTCCATATGACTTTTAGGATGAGTCTTTCTTTCTTTCTTCTTTAGGATGAGTCTTTCTTTCTTTCTTTTTTTTTTAGAAACAGAGTGTCGCTAGGTTTTCCAGGCTGGACTTGAACTCCTGGCTCAAATGATCCTCCTGCCTCAGCCTCCCAAGGAGCTGGGACTACAAGTTCACGCCACTATTCCCAGCTGGATGTTTCTATTTCTGCAAAGACTACTGTTGGGATTGTGATAGAGATTGATTTGAATCTGTAGATGGCTTTGATAAATATTGTTATCTTAACAATAGCAAGTCTTCCAATCCATGAAGACAGTATATCTTTCCATTTAAGTCTTAAAATTTCTTCTGCAATGTTTTGCAGTTTTCAATGTAGAATTTTTTTTTTTTTGCCTCCTTGGTTAAATTTATTCCTATTTTATTCTTTGTGATGCCACTGTAATGAAACTGTTTCCTTATTTTTCTTTTTGGATTTTTCATCTTTAGGATATACAAATACAACTTGTTTTGGTGTTGATTTTGTATCCTGCAACTTTGCTGTAAAAATATTTTTATTTACTCAGTATTTATTTAAAATGAATGAATCCACACACCGATGTGCATTTATGTAAGTTAGGGATACACTTTGCAGTCACGGCATTAACATTTGCCACAACTTCTAAACAAATAAATATGTATTTTTTATATCTACAGAAGGAAGCCAAATGTGGGAAAAATATTTACTTTTATTCTTTAATCATCCTCATTTTCCTTTGTCTTCTCAACTTTCGTCATTTGTTAAGCAACCTTTCCACACACCTTCCTTGGAACATGTGTCTCCCTTGGCTTTGGTGGCATTGCACTGCCCTAAGTTTTCTCCTATTTATCTGACTACTTTTTTTTTGGTGTCCACTGGCTCATTCTTCTCCCACTTCCAATTCCCTGCTCTTTGAATGTGCTCTAAGATTTTGTGCTCAGTCCTCTGTTTTCTTCTCTTTGGATTTGCCTTCTTTAGATTATTCTTTTCCCAAAACTTCACCTATTTCCATTTGAATGACTCCCTTAACAAGTATACAATAGGCAGTGAGCATATGAAGAGCTGCAGAACCTCTACACTAATCAAAGAAATGCATATTAAAATGAGACAATTTTATAACCATCAGATTTACTAAAATCAGAAAGTCAGATGACACAGGTCTATAATCGCATATATGAAACTCTGAAGATGTGTTTCAAAATACAGAATGTCTCATATTTTAAAAAAGTAAAAAGGCACAGATACTGTATATGGCACAGGGAATAGTATCCTGTAACCGAGTATATTAACATTTCTACAATAAAATGTATAGATATTCATATTTAGTAGGATAAAGACTGTAAGTAGCCTCATCTTAGCTCAGGTAAGATTTTACAGCCAAATGAATTTGATGTAAATTTATATTTTAAAAAACTTACGGTTTTAAGAGTTTTCAGATTTTAGAACTGGGCTAGCTAGTGTCAACAAAGAACGAGAAAAGGGAAAAGAAGCTTTATATACTGCTGATGAGAATGTGAATTACTGTAACTATTCTGGATAATAATCTGGGAGTATTTCATGAAGTTAAATAATCATATGCCCCATGACTCGGTAATTCCAGTCCTAGGTATAAACTCCAGAAAAGGTTTGTACAAATGGTAGAGGAGTTGGAAGCAACCTAAGTGTTCGCAGGTAAAATGTGAAGAATATTTACATCATCAGAAGCAAGAAATTTGGTGTTCATATAGATTTTAAAAAGCAGAATATAAGATCTGTATTAACATGCCACTTTATAAATTAAAATCACAAACACACACAAAAAACAACATATAATATTCAAGGACACATTAATATTCAAGGACTTATATAAATATAATAGTATGGCTGCAATGAAATGGGATTGAGGATAAAGGGAAAAGTAATAAACTGAGAGGAGCTTTGTACAGACCAATCTGTATATACTGAGGAGTATTATTAATTCAGCTCTCTGCACCTGGGGCCCAGAGCGATAGAGGAAAAAACATAATCACTTTTGTCTACCTATGTATAAATATAAGCCCATACATTCACATGTGCAATATCATAGATGATGGAACACATTCATTCCCCATTTATGCTCTGCTCCTAAATACTTAATTGGGGTTGGCATATACTATAATTTTGGGAGTCTGAAGAGAAACCTAGCCATAAATAACTTTTAATTAAAATTATTCTTATTACCACCTATGTTCTTTCCTCTTCTTTATTCTACATAAAGCTGCTGGAGGCTATGACACTGTCATCATCTGGTTGTTAGGTAGAAAAGGAATACCCAGAAATGCCATTTATGTTTTGGACAGAAGCCCAATTTCCATTTTATCTTCTCACAGAGTATAAATATATAGTTTTATACTATTCTTAAATTCTTATTTCTGACTAGAAAATGTACACAGACTTATTTGTCAAAAGGAGTCTATTGGTAACTCCATTATTAAAGGAAATGCAATTTTTTTAGCATTTTGTAAATGACAATGGTATAGAATAATGTTCAATGTCTGAATCATTATACAACTTGATAGCCATAAAAACTGAGAAGCTCCAGAACTATGTTCTTCCCCTACTCTTCTTATCTCCATACCTAACTATAAGAAGAGCATTAGAACAGTGTCCCAAAGAGTAATCACAATACTTTAATATTTTCTAGTTGTCAAAATGCATTAATAGGAAATATTACTCAAGAAAGATCACTCAAAATTTTGAATATGATGAAAGATTTCCTGAGCTAGAAATATCCTATGATTTTCATAGCAAGAGGTGTTGAATCATAACAATACATATAAATGATGATGGCCTATCTCCTGAACATGAATGAGCCCTCCAACAGTCCACGTCTGGCTCTGATGAAATGTTTACCTAGAGTCTACCGGAGATAATAAATTACATAATGTCCCAATCAGCATTGCCTTTATCAGAGTGGTTTTAGTTTCTGCTGCAAACTGCTAATTGGGTTGAAGATTATTTAGAAATATTTCTAGGACTAAGTAGTCAACTAGGATCTTTGGTAAAAAAAAAAAAAAAAGGTATAAGAAAATTCACGAGGGGAAAATTAAATGGAAAATTTCTTTGCTTGAATACTTCTAAGTTTCAAGTTCTCTTTATGCCCAAGCTTGCCATAAAAATGTATTCGTATAAGGTTTCAAATCATAAGCAAAGAAATACCATTTTTCTACTTTGCAGAAGGTAAAAAACAGGGCTGTCTTATTGACAAGAAGAAAAACAAAGTCTAAAGGGGCTCCCAAAACTAATTAAATAACTAATATATGGTTTGCACAAATAGACCCAGAACAACTCAAATCATAACTCTTTCGCCACTTAATCTAATCTCACCTTTCTTTCATAAAACTCTCGACTATACCAGTAAGGAATGAACTTTTTCTGAACTACTTCTGTTGGTAGATAGTTGATGTACGTGCATTTACAGGAAGAAGTGGACAGAAGTTTTTTTTTTAAATCCACTCCTTCTTATCAGGGAATATCCTGATAAGGAGTGGTTAAGTAGGGAGGAATACCTTTCATTTTGTTTACCCTTAGGTTTCTCTCTCCAGCATCATTAAAAAGACCAGGAAAGTTTTATATATACATCTCAACAATTCAAAAGCAGAATTTTTAAAAACCTTAAGCTTGTGTAATTATTTTAAAAAGGAAAAAAAGGACACAAAATTATCAATATAAAAACCAACTCACCAATGATGCCACTATCTCTGCTTTCAAGGGTAGAGGTTGGACTAGTAACAGCCCCATAGCTGCAGTCCTTGGCAGTTGCATTTGTACTGATGGGTGGGAGTGTAGAGCAGGGGCTACTGGCTGGTGGAGAGGCAGTGCTGCTAGTCAGAGTGGAACAAGGACTTATCCGCTGGGTGATTGCTGAGGTCTGAAAAATTGGAATCATGAATAAGTAAGATAACCTGATCAGCTGTTAAAGTATATTTTAAGATAAAATAAATGCTTTGATGAAAAAAAAAACTACATGCATAGCTTTTACATCTATTAGGCTCTATTTGTTTTTGCTTTCTCGGATAAGGACTTTGGGGTCTACAAATTAATGTGAAACTTGATGAACTTAACATTAACAGAGACTGTTGCCAGTTTTTCTGCCTACAAAATTTCCAGTGACAAGTACCCTATCACTGCCATTCATTAATAGAATAGAGAAATTTTTTATTAAGCACAAGTTCTCCCTGCTATTGCAAGTTTTCCTTGCAATCAATAAAACTTTTTGGAAGACCTGGAACTTTGCCTTGTTAATAATTTTCTTTCTTTCTTTCTTTTTTTTTTTTTTTTTTTTTGAGACAGAGTTTCATTCTTGTTGCCCAGGCTGGAGTGCAATGGCACAATCTTGGCTCACTGTAACCTCCACCTCCCAGGTTCAAGCGATTCTCCTGCCTCAGCCTCCCAAATAGCTGGGATTATAGGCATGCGCCATCACACCTGGCTAGTTTTGTATTTTTAGTAGAGATGGGGTTTCACCATGTTGGCCAGGGTGGTCTCGAACTCCTGACCTCAGGTGATCCACCCGCCTCAACCTCCCAAAGTGCTGGGATTACAGGCATGAGCCACTGGACCCAGCCAATAATTTTCTTTAGATGGAAGGGAAAAAAAAAATCTCTACAGCTGGGAAGAAATAAAGTTCTTAATGCAAGGAAGTGTCTTTTCGATACATAGGCAGCTGTCCAGAGACAATACATGAATGCAGAGAAAAATGCCTTATTCTAAAAGTTTGTCTAATAAAACAGAATTAATATTAGTTTAATACAAACCTAAATAACTTCTCTGTAACAGCATTACAGCCTGAGATCACTTTGTATCCTGAATGATTCTTACACTTGAAGCTATTTACTTTTTAAGTTTTGATGTGAAGGAATGAATAATTACTAAAAAGGTTGGTGGTAATATATTCTGATTTACCTAATTTAATGACAATTCACTTTTCTTCAACTCTTTCTACACAAATAAATTACTACAATAGTGAATAAAAGTATATTTTTTCAAACACTAAAAACATTTTATCCTTTTTTTTTTTTTTGAGATGGAGTTTCACTGTGTCGTTCAGGCTGGAGTGCAATGGCACAATCTCAACTCACTGCAACCTCTGCTGCCCAGGTTCAAGTGATTCTCCTGCCTCAGCCTTCCGAGTAGCTGGGATTACAGCCGCCAAATATCACGCCTGGCTAATTTTTATAGTTTTAGTAGAGACGGGGTTTCACTGTCTTGGCCAAGCTGGTCTTGAACTCCTGAATGTGTACTTCCCACCTCAGCCTCCCAAAGTGCTGGGATTACAGGTGTGAGCCACTACACCCGGCCAACATTTTATCGTTTTTAAAATTATTAAGTGATCAGCAGCAAAATTACTTGAAGACGCACTAATGATAAATTTAACATCTTTAAATGTTAAATTTAAAAGAAGCCTTTCAACTTCTTTACAAATAGAGTCTCTATTCATACTCTTTCTGCTAAAATTTAATAACTGGAGAATGTGTTGATAACTAGCTATGAGAATATTAAGGCTCTTCGACTCATCCTAAGATGATTCCTAGATGCAGTCCCTTGTGTTTAATCATCTCTGTTGAATCTAGGTTTTGATTTTAATTTAAATACTATAACCAGGTTACAAAAGATAAATTTGACTCAACCAAAAACAAGTGACATTCTCATTACCCTCCAACCAAGTAAATCTTTTCAATCATATCAATAATATTAGAATCTAATTTTTCTTAACAACACAGTAAGCTCTCAAACGTATCCAAATTTCTCTTCTACTATATGTTATCTCTCCAGAGAAGAGGAGAGTTTCAATTTTTTAAAATCTCTATTTTTATAATATGATGCTGGTCTACCAGAGCAATGATTTTTTTTTTTTTAACCTTAAAATCTTTTTTCCCTTACAGAGCAATTATTCCTAACTAGGCACACAGTAATATCACTTGTGACATGGAAAAAACAAACATGCAAGCTCTCTTACAAAATTGACAGATACTGAGCCCCCACTCCAGACTTATTGAATTGGAATTGGAATCCTTCAGGTTAGAAATGTGGCAAACGATTTTTAACCTCCCACTCCCAGTCTGAGACACATGTGAGTAGATGAACTGTACTCAGGTCTTTTACATTAGATATAGCTATAGTCATTCCATATTGCAAAAGTTTTAGGCCCAGCATGGTGGCCTATGTCTGTAATCCCAGCACTTTGGGAGGCTTGAGGCAGGCGGATTGCTTGAGGCCAGGAGTTTGAGACCAGCCTGGCCAACATGGCAAAATGCCATCTCTATTAAAAATACAAAAATTAGCTGGGTGTGGTGGTGCATGCCTCTACTCCCAGCTACTCAGGAGGCTGAGGCATGAGAATCATTGAACCCAGGAGGTAGAGGTTGCAGTGAGCCAAGATCGTGCCACTGCACTACCGCCTGGGCAACAGAGTGAGACTCTGTCTCAAAAAAAAAGAAAAAAAAAAGAAGAAAAGTTTTATTATGATAGGAATCTATTACTTTTATAACAACTCATTTCTGTTCTAAGATTCTCATTCTGTTCTTTGTGAAAGAAAATCATATTATATGCATAATATAGACAATGTGGAGGTTAAGCCCAAACAGCACTTACTTATTTTTACTCTAAGTTATTTTGTGCAAAATAAAGCACATATCAGAGAATGTGTATCTTAAAAGCTTTAACTGTAAACGCAAAGCTTAAATATCAAGCCATTTAGAAAACAGAAAATTGTTCATGGCTTATGACTTAAAAGGCAGGCCTCATATTTACTTAAGGAGACTAGTTAATGAGCTAGAGAAAGACAACTATTTATTCTTCATGCTGTAGGCTAAAATGGACGTCTATTTAAGCCACTGCACTTCCTAAACCTTTCAGTGTTTTTCCCATTGCCCTTAATGTTCTCCAGAAGGATCCTAAGAAAGCTCCCAATCTGGATCTCTTAAAGGTCCTACAAATACACAACATAAGAAGCTAAAGAGGAAATTCATAAGGTCCATTTGAATACCTTGGAAACTACTGAAAGAATAAAGGGGTCAGGTGAATATCACTTTCATGCTTTGTTTTTTTTGCAGAAAAATGATGTACGCTGACTTGCATTAGATTCTGTCATTACTATTTTGAGAATATCATCACTACATGATCTGCCTAAGCATAGCAGTTTATCTTTGTTAATACACTGTTTAGCTCAGAAAAAAGTCACCAAATTAACATGACCTCCTACTTCTTCATAATCTTCCTGAGACCAGAAATTCAAATGATCAATTTAGCCACTTTCTTGTGTGGTTCCAAGATAGTTCCAGTGTATATTATACTGCAAGAAGGCTATCATTTAGCTTCATTATTAATATTTTAAATTTGTATAAAGCTTAACAATTTAAAAATATTTTTATATATTATCTCATTTACTCCTTATCAACCTGGTATGAGAGGCATAATGTATGTTATTTCCCCCACTTAAGAAATGTGAAAATGAAACCAATGAAAGTACGAAAGCTATGATGTAATTTCCCCCAAATCACACAGTTCCTGCATATATTTATATACTAACTATACTGCATATTATTTTATACTTTTTATTTATATGACATTTTACAGCTTACAAAGTACTTTCATATTCATGATTTAACTTGATCCTTTCAACAACCCTGTCAGGTGTTATTATTTCACATTACACTGGAACAGTATGGTGTGGCTGTTAAGAGCATAGATTATAAAAGCAGACTGCCTGGATATGAATACCATTCCATCACTTTCTGGCAGTGTGTTTCCATATCTTATTTGAAAATTGGAATATGAATGAACTCTACTACACTGGGTTGTGAAGAAGCTTAAACAAAACAGTGCAAGTAAAACAATTAGTACAATAATTGGTACACAGTAGGTATTTAATAAATGTCAGTTATTATTACCTATGAAAAATATAAAGCTCAGAGAGGTTAAGTGACACATCCAAATTTACAAAATGGTAGGTGGCAGAGTTGGAACTAGAACACAAATTTTCTCCCTCCTGGTTCAATGGCTTTTCTATTACACCATATTGCTTTAATTAAATCAATGATACTACTCATTTACTTAAGATTATGTTATTCAGTAATGTACAAGTAAGGTGCACTCCATAGACTTGTGACTTTATGCAGAAATCACTGTGACATGCGGAATCTCAAGAACAACAAGTACAAATTTTATCATCCAAGGAAATGTAGCTGTGTAGAAATGACAGAGTCCTTGAAAAATATTCGGGTTATAAGATATGACATCAAGTTACCTGGTCATTACTATAACAGTCACATTTTAACTTGACATGAATATCAAGAAATGAAAGGTGAAATAGATGTTTTATTGCTCCCAATTTTAAAAAATCCCTCAACAATATTGTTCCCATTTTTTATTCACAGAGCAGCACAGCATATTGACATAGTTACAATGTAAATTGATTTAAAAAATCATCAGATCTGACATCATGAAACACACATTCTTGTCATAAGGTAAAACAACCCCACAACTAAACATGTAATGTAATATCAGTTAATGGTAAGAGCTATGAAAAAATAAAGTAGAAGCATAGGGGTATATGGATGGGCAGGTGCAATTATTAGAAGAGGAATTAAGTAAGACCTCTCTGAGGAGGTAACATTTAGGCAGAACACTGAATAAGTGAGGAAGTGAGTTATGGGGGAAGAACATTCCAGTAAAAATGAATATAGCTGATGTGACTGGCGAACGACAAGGAGGCCAATGTAGCTGGAGAGCCGTGCGTGAAAGGGAGAGGGGTAGGAAGTGATGTAGGAGAGGTAGCAAGTGGCTAGATCAGGTGTAGCCTTCTGGGCCACAGTAAAGATTTTAGATTTTATTTTAAGTATGATGGGAATACAGTAGAAGATTACAAGCAAAGTGACAGAACTGGATTCATATTTTACAAGGATCACTCTGGTTACTGTGTGAACAGACTACAGGGGGGCAAGAGTGGACACAGAGACCTATTAGGAGACCATTTATTCATATAATAAATACCTACTGTGCACCTAGTAATGACAGTAATGTTCTAGGGGCAGAGGATACGGCAACGGGTAGAATAGGCAAAAATCCCAGCCTTCCAGCCTTACATTCTAGTACCTATTGCAGTAGCACAGGCAAAAGATGACAGTGGCTTGGACTTGGGTATAGCAGTGGGAATAGTGAGAAGGGATCAGATTGAGTACATATTTTGAAGACAGGGTCTACGATTTGCTGAAAGAGTGAACGTGGGTCTGATGGAAGTCAAATGGCTCCAATGCTTTTGTCCTAAGCAAGTAGGTGATACCATTTACTCATATGGGAAACACTGCAGAAGGCACAGGTTCTAGGGAGAAATCTGACATGTTAAGTTTGAGATACATTTTAAACATTAGGTAGAAAATATAATGTGGGAAGCTAAATATACAAATTTCAAGTAAAGGGGAAAAGGCAGGGCTAGAGATAATTTGGGAGTTAAGATAGTATTTAAATAATGTGCAGCTAGCAAAACCAATAACCTAAGGAGTGAGGCTTGAGGACAGCACCCTGGAACATCTGAACTTATCCACACAATATATAAATATATTCAAATAATCCTTGTATATCTCATTGTAACAAAAGTAGTATGTGATATAGACTCTTCACTAATATTTATTAATAAAATATGCAATTTAAAATTAATTTGTCATCTCCTGAATAAAATGCTTCACTATCAGACATTCACGCTGAAGATTAAGATCATACAAATGAATCTGACTCTAGTACTTTTTTTTGCTACATTTAAACTGAAAAAAATGAAAATAGCAAAAAGAAAGAAAACTATAAAATATTTTTTAAATTGTAGATTTTTTTAACTTTCTGAGACGGATACTTAGAAAATCCCCAAATATTTAGATATTGAGTAATACACTTCTAAGTAGCCTTTGAGTCCAAGAGGAAATCACAAAAAAATGAGAAAATATTTTAAATTGGAATAAAAACTAAGTATAAAAAAACTTGTAGGATATAGCTAAAGATGTGCTTAAAAAGAAATATTAGTTTTAAATGTGTATTTCAGAAAAGTAGAAAATCTGAACTAATGATCCAAGTAATCTTTTAGATCCCACTTTCTAAATTATCATTTTGTAATTGATAAATTCCACTGTGGTCACAGTAACTGGAATCTTTGGAAATTTGTCAAGACCTGCTCTATGGCTCAGCATATAACCAATTCGGTAAATAATCCACATGCACTTGAAAAGAATGTATATTCTGCAAATTTGGGGTGCAGTGCTTATATACGTGTCAATTTTATTTGTTGGCTTGCTCGTTCATTCATTAAATCAATCAAAACCTAAAAGTGGCTTTTTGGGTTGTTAAATCTAAGACTAAAGCTAAAAGATTATTCATAAACTGAAGAAATAATAGTGATTATGGAAAGTTAAGTTGTATTCTAGGCCTCAAAAGGCATTCAACAATTGGGATTATTTCTGGCATAATAAGCTGATTCACACCATGTTTCACAAAGGTGATAGCAAACAGCTTACCTGATTTTCATCCTGTACTTCCATGCTGTATTGGTCACCTGGCTGAACTTCTGTGACTTTCTCTCCAAGGAGGAAACCCAGACGAGTCATGAGTGTGTTTGCTGCCTCATCTACAGATGGAGGGGGGCCAAGCTCCTGTTCAGCATCACCTGTAACAAGAAGGCATTGAAGAACATGAATCTTTCAAAATAAAATGGTCTAGTTCTGCAACTATTTGTACATTCACTTTGGTCATTTCTTTAGTTTTCACATTTTAACTCAAAAATTACAAAGTTATGAGGTTTTTCTTGGACTACTCACTCCCAATATAAATTCGCTTCCAAGTAAAAAATTTACACGAATCAAATAAAAATGAGCCAGGGAACTCAAAATGATTATAAATGTGAGGCAGAAAAAAAATTTTACCTAAAATGAGTATCTGTTTATGTTAGGTTGACTTACCGTCCATATTTATTCAGGCTTTGTTCTAAATTCAGAGCATTTAATCTCACCTTGTAACAATCCACAGTAGCACAGATTTTAAAGGACTTTACAAAAATCTTTTTATGGGGTCAGATATATCCATTAGCATTACAAGCATTAACTGAAGTGTCATACGGTTTGATGCCAAAACAACAGCATCACAAAACACAATCATATCCTATTATTTAGGATATTCAGTATTACACAGTAAACCACTCCAAATGCTAAGAAGGTAAGATCTGCATTGTTATTATTCCATTTAACATTTATATCAACTTCTCTAATAAAGTCACAAGCTGGGGGTCAGAGATAGGGTATATGTGTATTTTTGTGTATTAGTACTGAACTCAAGTTCCATCTGTGAAAAATCTCTACAAAACTCTCACTGAATGTATGTCAAGGTAGAAAAACAAGGCTCTATTTTTCCTCTCCTATTATCCTCCCAGAGGCAACATAAATAGATTTCTTTGCCACAGAACAGAAATAAGAGAATCAGTAGGGTTATTTTTATGTTATAAACATTTAGATAACTTATTTTTTTCTCAAGAACAATTGAAAGCTTCTTATTCCTTGATAAAATGAAAAGGCAAAACTGGTCTCTTCAAATTAATGAGTAACACTTTCCTCCCTCCTAAAGGTTAAACTAACTAATCTTTTGCAAATTTTTCTCATTGTAGATTCCAGACCTCTAGATATTCTGGGGCTCTATTTCACTGTCTCCTACAAAGTTACTCTGATAATAAGTGTTTCCTATGTACATGGTTAACAACAGATACGAGAATTTATACAACACGGAGATATAGTCATTGACTTTGAAAAGTTTATAATCTATATGGAAAATAAGAGTATATATTTATTTAGCATATACTTACATAATGCTTATGATGTACAAGTCACTAGTGTAAACACTTTACATATATTAGCTTAACCTTCATAACTTTAGATTCCACTTTCTAAGGTAGAAATTATTACCCTCATTTTACAGATGAGAAAATAGAGGCACAGATACATTAAATTATTTGCTCAAAGTAATAAAACCAGTAAATGGCAGAGCCAGGATTAGAACTTGAGCTCCCTGACTCCAGAATCTATGCTCCCAATGAGCACAACACAGTGTCTTCCTCACTGGAAAGAAATATTACAAATGGTGAGAATGTCTGAATAAGAGATAACTTGTAATAATAGGCATATTGCTCATAGCATGTTAATCTCAATAATCTTAACAAAGCATGTTGTAAACACTAAGTAAGGTAATCGAATGGAGGTTCTTAAGAGACAGATAACTGCAACCCTTTCTACATTACTACTTTCAGTACTTCCAAGTACTAATGCAGAAAGAAGTTCAAGAATTCTTCTGTGAGTGGCTATATTAGATACTGCTACCACACCAGGTCCTTTTCATCTGGTTTGACTGGTATTTTTTAAACCTTGCTAAATCTACTTTTTCTTTCCTATTTACTTACCTCGTCTCAAAATATCATTTGAGGATGACATTAATATATTATCTGTCGTGCACTCTATAACGAAAGAAATCCGATACCAGGTTATGATACGAAAAAACTATCTTTGGCAATTACATTTGTTTTGAACTTTTCTTATTTGTTGATCTTGAGTAAAATTTTACACATTATGAAAGGCCTAGTAGATGAATTAGTGGGGGCTTCTCAAATAACAGACAGGGACCTAATTGCGAATCCCTCCATCTTAAGTCTTAGATTATCAACGGCTGCCTCTGTCTCCTCTTCCTGAAAGTATGCCAGGATTTCTGGTGGAATAAAGTAGAAACAGTAGAGGCACTTCCTTTCTGGTTTCTAGATTACAGACTTAACTGTCAGTAACCTCTTCCCTATTCCACTTTCATTTCCTATTTTAAAATAAATTAAAAATAGTTACTTCTGAAAACAAACAAGGGTGGGGCCAGGCGCGGTGGCTCATGCTTGAAATCCCAGCACTTTGGGATGCCGAGGCAGGTTGATCACTTGAGCCCAGGAGTTCAAGACCAGCCTGGGCAACGTGGTGAAACCCCGTCTCTGCAAAAAATACAAAAATTGGCTGGGTGTGGTGGCGCGCGCCTGTGGTCCCAGCTACTTAGGAGACTGAGGCAGGAGAACTGCTTGAACCCAGGAGGCCGAGGTAGCAGTTAGCCATGATCATGTCACTGCACTCCAGCCTGGGCAACAGAGCAAGATCCTGTCTGAAAAATAAATAATATATTTTTTTAAAAGGTGGGAATATCTGAAATATATTTTGAAGTTGCTCTGTAGGACCAGATGAACAGCTTCTCACTTGCAGGAATTTATTAGTTTGGTGCAAAAGTAATTGAGGTTTTTGCCATTATGGCACCATTAAAGGTAATGGCAAAAACCACAATTACTTTTGCACCAACATAATAGTGTATTCAAATACTGTATGTTGAAACACAAAGCCAGGTCCTCCCCTCCAAACCATTTCATTTAAAATATGCTTAAAATGTCACCAGGTCACGCATTTTCATTTTTTTCCTACTTAGTGTACGTTGATTCTGCATTCTTCCTTAAATACTACCATTTTTCTTCCCTTTTTGTTTCATTTCTACTTCCCACTTGCAAGTAACTGCTACGATAAAACCTCTCTGCCTGCAAAATGAAAATTTACCAGGAGAAAAAAGTCTGGCCAGTGGAATAAAGATAGCCTTTTTCCCCCTCATTACAATTAACAATAGGGCCATTTGAAGATCACTAAAAGGGAGGATTTAATGGAAATAGTGGTAGCTTAAGAGAGAGAAATCAGTGCTAAATTATCAGGGTTATTGGGTTCTTAATTTTTAAGAACAGAGAAAGTGATTTAAAAAAATTTAAGAAAATTCTTTGACATACTTTAAAGATTGTCTGGTCTTTGGAGGCAATGTGTATTTTAGAATGAGTTTCATCCATATTGTGTGTATCAAATCTTCTTTTTTTGCAGGGGGGAGGGTGCATTATGGTTTTCCATGTTCATGGTTTGGAAGACAATTTTGTTATGATATCAATACTCCCCAAATCAATCTACCAATTTAATGCAATCCTTATCAAAATTCCAGCTGCTTGCTTACTCGCTTCCTTTCCTTCTTCCCTTATTTTTGCAGAAATTGACCAGCTGATCATAAAAATTATATGGAAATATAAGGGGCCCAAAATTAAAAAACAACCTTTAAAAAGAAGAACAGAGTTGGAAGACTCACATTTCCTATTTTCAAAATTTATTACAACGCAACATTAATCAAGGCAGTATGGTACTGGCATCAGAATAGACCAATGAAATAAAGAGTCCAGAAATAATACTCTTACATTATGGTCAATTGATCTTTTTTTTTCTTTTCTAGGACAGGGTCTCGCTCTGTTGCCCAGGCTGGAATGCAGTGGTACAACCATGGCTCACTGCAGCCTCGACCTCCTGGGCTCAAGCAATCCTCTTGCCTCAGCCTCCTGAGTAGCTAGGGCTACAGGTATGCACTGCCATGCCTGGATAATTTTTTTAAAAATTTTTTTGTAGAGATGGTGCCTCATTATGTTGCCCAGGCTGGTCTTGAACTCCTGGGCTTAAGCAATCCTCCCACTTCACCCTCCCAAAGTGCTAAAATTACAGGCATGAGTCACCATTCCTGCCTTGGCCAAATGATTTTTAACAAGGATGCAATGACAATTCAATGGGAAAAAATAATCTCTTCAACGGTGTTGGGACAACTGGATAACCACAAACAAAGGTATGAAGATGAAGCCCTACCTCATATATCAAAATTAACTAAAAATGTATTGTGGACCTAAATGTATAAGCTAAAACTATAAAACTCTTAGAAGAAAACATGGTAGTAAACTTTGTGACCTTTGGTTAGGCAATGATTTCTTAGATATGACACTAAAAGCACAAGTGACAAAAGGAAAAACAGATAAATCAGACTTCATCAATATTAAGAAGTGTCATGCTTCAAAGGATACCATCAAGAGAGTGAAAAGACAACCCACTAAATGGGAGAAAATATATGTGAATCATGTGTTCAAGGGACTTGAACCCAGACTACATAAAGAACTCCTACTACTCAACCATAAAAAGGCAAATAAATGAATTAGAACATAGGCAAAATACTGGAATAGACATTTCACCAAAGAGGGTATACAAATGGTCAATAAGTACATGAAAGGATGTTTGACATAATTAGTCATTAAGGGAAATGCAAATCAAAACCACAAGGAGATATCAAGTTATATCCACTAGGATGGGTAAAACAAAAAAGACAAGCAATAAGAAATAGTGAAATTTATTGGAACCTTCATACAATAATGGTAGCAATGTAAAATTGTGCAGACACTTTGAAAATAGTTTGGCAGTTCCTCAAGATGTTACACATAGAGTTACCATGTGACTCAGCAGATCTACTCCTAGGCATATACCCAAAAGAACTGAAAACACACATCAACTTGTACATGAATGGTCATAGCAGTGTTATTCATAACAGTCAAAAATAGAACCCCACTGTCCCTCAAATGGTGAATGGATAAATAAAATGTCATATATTCCCATTAGGGAACATTTGGCCATGAAAAAAAAAGAAATACTGATACATGCCATAAAATGAAAGAACACTCACTGAAAGTATTGTGCTAAGAAAATCAGACACAAAAGACTACATATTGTGTGATTCCAATCATATGAAATGTCTGGAATAGGCAAATCTGTGGAAATAAAAAGTAGACAAGCCATTGCCTAGGACTGGGTTGTGTGGGGAGTGACTGTGAATGGGCACGGGACATTTTTTTTTGGGGGGGGGTGATAAAAATGCTCTAAAATTAGTGGTGATAGTTACACAAGTCTGTAAATATACTAAAGTATCACTGAGGTGTACATCTTAAAAGGATGTATTTTTTGGTATGTGAATTACATTTCAGTATAGCTGTTATTAATAAATATGAAAACCCCATAACAGTACAGATAGAACCATGTACCCATCACCCAGTTTTCCCAAAGGTAACATTTTACATAACCACAGTGAGTTATATGGGAAAATGACACTGGGAGAATACAATTAACTAGACTACAAACCTTATTCAGATTTTGCCAGTTTTTTTTTTTTTTTTTGGACAGAGTCTCACTCTGTCACCAGGCTGGAGTACAGTGGGGCTCAGCTCACTGCAACCTCCGCCTCCTGGGTTTAAGCAATTCTCCTGCCTCAGCCTCCCCAGTAGCTGGGACTACAGGCGCCCACCACCATGCCCAGCTAATTTTTTGTATTTTTAGTAGAGATGGGGTTTCACCATGTTGGCCAGGATGGTCTTGATCTCTTGACCTCATGATCTGCCCACCTAGGCCTCTCAAAGTGCTGGGACTACGCCACTGCACCCAGCCAGATTTTTTTTTTTTTTTTAAGAGATGGGGTCTCAGCTTTGCTGTCCAGGCTGTTCCGGAACCTCTGAGCTCAGGTGGTCCTCTCAAACTCAGCACCCTCAGCACCCTCAGCATGCTGGGAATACAGGTGCATGTCACCCTGGCCAGCCTGATTTTGTCAGATTTTGCCTGCACTCATTTGTTGTGGTTGGGGTTTTTTGGGTACATTTTGTGTATAGTTCTGTGAATTTCCATGTGGTATCATTTTTCTTTTGCCTGAAGAAATTTCTTAGACATTTCTTGTAGTACAAGTCAACTGGTGATAAAGTCTTCCATTTTTTATATGTTTGAGAAAACCTTCACTTTGCTTTCATTTTTGAAATATGTATTTTTCAGGGTATACCATTCTAGGTTGATAGTGTCTTTGTCTCAGTAATTTAAAGATGCTATTCCTAAATTTGAAAATTAAAGAATTTAAAAAAGGATGCTGCCCCACTTGTCTTCTGTCTTGAATTTTTTTTTCAAAGAGAAGTGTGCTGTCATCTTTGTTTCTCCACTGTCTGTGATTTTTCTGACTGATTTTAATAGTTTTTCCTTTATCATTAGTTTTAAGCAGTTTCATATTGTGTCTTAGTGAAATCTTCATGTTTCTTGTGCTTAGGATTCATTGAACTTCTTGTATCTGTGGGTTTATAGTTTTCATCACACTTAGAACATTTCTTCAAAAAACACATATGTGTATGTGTCTGTATATACACAAACACACACATATATGTATATATATATATAAAAAACATAATTTTTGGTGGTTGTTCTCTCTGGGGCAGATTATAACTTTTATTAGCTATAATAATAGCTAGCTATATATGGCAATTAAGTATACCATTAACCAAATCTGAGTAAGGTCTGTAGTCTAGTTAATTGCACATGCCAGGTACTATTCCTAAGCATTTTACCTATATTAACTAATTTAATCATCAAACTGCCCTACAAGGTAGGCAATATTATCCATACTTTACAAATAACGAAAATAAAGCATACAAAGAATAAGTAACTTACCAAATTCATATGGCTAGTAAGTGGCTGAGCCAGGCAATCTGGCTCTAGACCTCAGGCTCTTTACTCCTAAGTTATACCGTCATCTCCAAGTCCAGTCTCTCACCATATTGCCAGGCATCAGTCCCCAGCTCCCCTCTGCCCACTGAATTTGCTCAAAACTCTCAAAATTTCTCAAGTCATCATATCAATTATTTGACCTATATGTTTGTCTCATCCATGACCATCCAGGTGATATGAAGAGGGTCTCATCTTCATAACACAATACACTCCAATTAAGATATGTCCCTAAACAAAGACAGTACTTTCCTTGAATGGAATTCTGTAACTTCTTTAATAATGACGACAACTTTGAGGTATGAGAAACAGATATCTGGTTGTTGAAAAACAATCTCTGTGAGACTGTGATACACAAAATAAATCATACAGCACTCATGCATTATGCTGATTAAAACTATTTAAATTTGTAGTTCTTGGTTTTATTTTGGCTCTTTGTAAGCAGTGTGTTTACGCATTAGGCTACGCTCCCAGAAATCTGGTTGAGGAATATGTCACCATAAAGACTAAGGGATTATAAGTTTTACATGGAAATGGAAAGATCCAAGAATAGTATAGAAGACTCGAAGAAAGCCCGGGTGCGGTGGCTCACGCCTGTAATCCCAGCACTTTGGGAGGCTGAAGCGGGGGGTGGATCACCTGAGGTCAGGAGTTTGAGACCAGCCTGACCAACATGGTGAAACCCGACTCTACTAAAAATACAAAAAATTAGCCGGGTGTGCTGGCAGGTGCCTGTAATCCCAGCTACTCGGGAGGCTGGGGCAGGAGAATCACTTGTACCTGGGAGGCGGAAGTTGCAGTGAGCCGAGGTTGCGCCATTGCACTCCAGGCTGGGCAACAAGAGTGAGACACTGTCTCAAAAAAAAAAAAAAAAAAAGAGAGAGAGAGAAGGGCATACTGCTTAATATCGAGATTAATATAAAGCTAAAGTAATTAAGACACAGCTAGACAAAAGCATAGATAAAAAGGTGGTCAATGGAACAGAGTTTAAAAATCCAAAAACAGATCTCTCTCTATATATAATCACCTGATTCAGAACAAAAGTTTCACTGCAGTGTTTCAGTAACATGAGAGTGTTTTCAAGTATTGGTGACAGATCAATATGATATCCATATGGAAAAGTAAATCCTGTCCTTAAAAGAATAAGTTTCATATAGATTATAGACCCAAAGGTAAAAAGTGAAGCAATAAGTCTTCTGGAAAACGACCTTTTAGTGTAACTTTATGACCTAGAACTAGGTAAATAT